>NC_000010.11:76620368-77870368 GCF_000001405.40 Homo sapiens | reverse complement strand
TTGTTGTGGAGCCCAGGATCTCATTAGTTCTTGGCAGCTTTCTGATGCCAGAGCCCTAAGGCTTGTTCAAAGCCCTTATTGCAAAAATTCCATCTCCAGCTCACCCACTTGGCCTGGTACATACCGCTCTTCATTGTATAGTTCTTTTGGCTCCAAGAACAAAACACTGGATTTGTCCTTGTTTTATCTGACCTGCCATCTCTGTGTGTTATGCTTTGTCCACTCCCAATTTAGTCTCTGAGTCAGTTTGCCCTCCCTTTTAATTTTATGTCATCCATAGTCTTGATGAGCAAAGTGTACCTTCTGTTTCCATTAATCATGGAAATTGCTGAAATGGGATGGGGGATGGGGGATGGGGGATGGGGTAGGGACCTTATAAGCCATCTGGTTGAACTCCTTCATTTTGCAGACCAGGAAACAGAGTTCCAGAAAACAAAAGCTACTTGCTCAGCACGACCCAGCTATGGGCACCTACATAGAGCTAGGTTCAGAAACTGGGCTTCCCGGTGCTGGGAGGGTAACATCTGGTTTTGAAGATATTTGAATTCAAACCAAACCACAGTGGTTGTGTGTCCACAACCAGGAATTAACATTAAGTGTGGACAAAAAAAAGTGCTACCCTCTGGCTTTGGTGATGGTACAATTGCTCATCATTTTAGGAGTAACTTTTAATAAGGGGGCAGATACTAAGTAAATTATTAAGAACTGAGCTTGAATACAGTTAGAACCTAAAGAGCAGAACAGTCAGAGAAAGAACAGATAGTTCAGTTGTTCTTTAATTTCTGCTCTGTTACCCTCTGCATGGAAGCCAGAATCATATTGCTAGAGATGTGGAGGAAACCCCCACACCCCATGTTTACCTGGGGCATGTCACTCCCTTGCTAAGCCTTTCCCCAGATGTCCCAACAAGAAGCCAGCTGACTGACTCCAAGTTCCCCTCTGCCCGCCTGCCCAGAGCAGGAGGGGCCGATAAAGTGAGGTGGGAGGCCTGGCAGAAACACCGAAGTCCAGATCTGCTGAGCGCGCCTCCTCTGCTTGGCCCGTGGATGTGGATTTCTAGTGCCTGGTGCATGTAGCTCTCATGGCCTGGCATTGACTGATGATCAGCTGGCTTGGGGTGAAGACGAGTGACCCCTTGGGGTTAGTAACATGGTCTCCCCTCTTTCCCCAGGTTCTACCTACAGCGTCCTGTCCACCATGCCCTCAGACTCAGAAAGCAGCAGCTCCCTCAGCAGTGTGGGTGAGTACCACTGTCTGGGGAGGACACCGGGTGGGCCAGGGGTCTGGGTGAAAGCCAAGGCAGCTGGGGTTCATGGGAGAGGAAGCTGGTTCTCCCTTGTCAGATTACTCACAGGATCATCCTTCCGTTGATTTCATTTACATTTTCTCCCATCATCAGAAACCCAGTTCTGATGTTAGAAGGAGGTGGGGAGGTGAGTGCTGGGAAGCACATGTTTTGCCATTGTTTACTTTGTCAGGGCACAGGGCTTCTAGGGGAGCCTGTTGACCCACCATCCCCACCCCAACCCCAAAGGCCTTGTAGTAACTCAGTGACCACTGCCCAGGAGACTCACCCCTTTTGGAGTTTCCTTGGGGATAGGCATTGCCAGTCCATGCTGAATTGGGTGTGTTTCTCTGAATATGGGTTTCAGAAAGCCCATAAAATGAGGCCAGCCCTTCTCTGAAGTCCAGCAGGAAGGCCGCAGTGGTTTCTCAGGCTTCCCACACCTCTGTGACCCATTCCCTCTGTTTAGCACCTCTAGTGGGGTTTCTCATGGCCTGATCTGACCATGATGGATGCAGACACCTTCAGTGGTGAGTCCCGGCCATCTTTTGAGCCCGAAGGACTCACAGAGGTCATCTACTCCAATTATTTTCTTTTCCCTCTGCAGAGAGATGGGGAAATTGACATTCTGGGAGGGGGAGTCACATGCCTGAGATTCTAGAACTAGTCAGGACAGCTCTTTCATATGTCAGCTCACATCTTGAACACCTCCAGTGTGCCAGAGGTGGGCTTGGGCCGTAGTGGCGAATTAGGCAGATGTGGGCCCCACACTCCTGGATGTTAGGGTCTTTTGGTGGGAAACAGTTAAATAAGTAGCTGCAGTAAGGGAAGGTAGTGTGATAAGAGGGAAGACAGTGACCAGCCGGCGAGTTCCATCTTAGTTTTCTAGGGCTGCTATAACAAAGTGCCGCAGACCAGGTGGCTTACACAGCAGAAATTGATTGTCTCACAGTTCTGGAGGACAGAAGCCCAAGATCAAAGTGTCAGTGAGGCCACGCAGGCTGAAGGCGCTAGGGAGAGATCTGTCCCGGGCCTCTCTCCTCGCTTCTGGTGGCTTGCTGGTAATCCTTGGTGCTCCTTGGTTTGCCGACATCACACTGATCTCTGCCTTTGTGTTCACATGATGTTCTCCGTCCATGTGTGTCTGTCTCCAAATTTCCCCTTTTAATAAGGACACTGGTCAGATTGGCCTAGGAGCCTGCCTTACGGCAGCAAGACCTCATCTTAAATTGATCATCTGTAAAGACTATTTCACCATCAGCAATAACTGCTGTGGGCTGAGCAGTGTCCCTCTCGGGACTCCCCTTTTAGAATGCAAATGCGCCTCGGAAAGATAACGCTTTGACCTTTCCAAATAAGGTTCACATTCACATTTACTGGATTGGGACTTTAGCATCTTTTGGGGGGCCACAACTCCACCCATAAAAACACAGTTCCTCCCATAACCCTCATCCTGTTTAGGGCTCAGGGCAGGCCCTTCTGGGACTGCAATTCAAAGCTCCCAACGGTATCCTATTACTTTGTTCTGCCTGCTTTTGGTGCCCGGAGACATATCAATGGAATGATGGGATTGTTGGAATTTGGAATGTGGGACTCACCCTTCAGGAAGTGCATGGAGTGGGGCAGTCAGGATCAGTAGATGGGGAAGGTGAGGCTTTTTAAGGTGGACTGGGTAAGCCCTGAGCATACTCCTCTGACCTGTCTAGTTTTTCACCCTTCACCAATATCTGTCTAACAGATAGCAATCAGTAAACTCATTCCCATCGGCATTTCAAGGGTTAAATCGTTACCTTTCCTAGGCACATGTGCATTCTAAAAGGGGATTCCAGAGAGGGGTATTTGCCTAACCCATAGCAATTACTGCTGATGGTGGAATTCCCAGCCTGAGTAGGAAGATATTTCTTGGGCAGCTGGACCCCAGCATATTCTGGAAGAAGCGTCATGGCCGTGACCCACCAGTTGGTTCTGCACTCACCTGAAGCTGACTCAGTCCTTGCGATGGAGCCGTCAACAGTATCTCTGTGCTCTTCCTGGGCATCACAGGCAGGCAGAGTGCAGTGCTCTGATGTGTTTCTTGGAGCAGGATGGGTCTGTACTGTCTGTGTCTGGATATTTAATGCTGAAATAACTGGTTGCATCCCTTCTGGGCAAAGCCTCTTGAGTTCACAGGGAACCGAGTTTTGCTTCTCTTGCTCTTCTGCTTGAGATTGCCATTGTCCTTTGGGTGCAGGCAGCAGGGAACACCCACTCATACCACCTTAACCAATCAGGAAATGTATGAGCTCCCATATGAGGCTGTGCTGAGGTCAGCCAGTACATGGGGATGCAGCTCTGCCCTCCTCTGTGTGGTGTCTTCACACAGTCTCATGGCGGGGTGTCTGTAGCAGCAGCTCCAGCCATCACATCCAGACCTGACAGTGTCCAGGTCTGCAGTGTCCAGTATGGGCGCCACTAAACACAGGTGGCTACTTAAATTTAAATGAATTAAAATGAAATTTAAATTTCTAGTTTCTCAGGCAAATCCACCACATTTCAAGTGCTCTGTAGCCATCTGCGGTGAGTGGCAGAAGAAGAAGGCGGGGTTCTTATGAGCAAAGGAACCTGTTCCAGAGTCCATCAGTATGGCCTCCTTTCATTGACCACAGTTGGCTGCTTGTTTGTGCCGAAACCAGTGGCTCACAAAGCCTGGTCGCTGGACCACTGGGGCACTTATTAGAGATGCAGGTTTGAGCCTCCTCCCACCCCTGCTGCATCAGAAACGCTGAGGGTTTCTACAGCTTAATAGCCCTCCAGTTTGAGATGGGCTGGCCCAACCTCATCCCTGAGAAGGGAACCAGAATGTCTGTACCAGGCTTGTACCAGTCCCTCGGGGTGGAGTGCCTGGTGGGGCTGGCCCTGGCTGGGAGCACTCTAGCACCTGCCAGGGAGTTCCTGCTGGCTCAGCCACACCTGATGAGAGGCAGAAGTCTTTGCAAGCACACACCGCCCTGGCAGGAGGGGCCGCTGGTAAGGTCACATGGTGATCTTAGGAACCTGAGAAAAGGCAAGAGCAAGATCCTTATAATAAAAACATCACTTCCACTTTTCCATTTACATCTCCCTAAATGGAAACGGCTGGGAAAACAATGGCAGGTTGTATTCAGCATGAGAAGAAATTGGAGGCTGAAGCCTGGGGCGTGTAGACAGCGTTCTCTCAGGCGGTCTGTCGGGTCTCGGATCTCCAGCCTGGCCCTACTCACAACTCGCCACACCTTTGCCAACAGCCTTAAAGGCAGCAGGTCTTTGTGCCAAGGCCTCCTCGGGCAGTTTTCATCAGCTAAGCACACACAGCTTCCCCGAGGCCCTCCCCCGCTTCCTGCGCCTGTTGTTGTGACCTGCCCCCGACCCTACCTGGTGGATCTGCCTGGGGACTGCACACTCGTTTCAGGCAATCAGTACTTTTTTCCTCCCCATTCATCCTGACCTAATTTCTCAGTAGCCTTTTATTTCTCATCTTGGAAAACTGGGGAGGTTTTAAGGAGGAGAAGAGACATTCTTGGGCAGCACTTATAAAGCCAGCCTTAAATTCCATGAAGATTGAAATAGCAGAAGATTTCTTATTAAATGGAGAGGTCTCCAGGCTTATCGGCAGGAGAAATTGCTGGAGGGCTTCTCTCATATCCCAGGGAAGATTCCTTGAAAGTGCTTCTTCTGGTTGACAGGGGAAGGTGGGGTGAGCCATCAGGGAAGTGGGGGCTGCCACTGACGCCCTGTGACCTCTGATCCTTCATTCCTGGCCCAGACTTTTGGGTCAGGGGTAATCCTTTGCAAAGCCAATTTATCAGAGATGGGAATGCCTCCTCCTTGTGGGGCAGGTGTTTGGTACTCATAGGGATCACGGTGAACACGGCCCCAAATGTTATCACACTGCCAGGGAGACAGGCACTGTCTGGCACGACTGGCTATTCTGTTCTGTGTAGAGCAGAAAGAAAGAAGTAACTCAAGGGAAGAAGCAGTTAGTTCTGATGAGGGGAATCACAGAAAGCTTCCTGGAGGAAGTGGCCCTTGGACTGGGCCTTCCAGGAAAAGTGCTCTGGACTAGATGCAGCTGGGAAGTAGTTGGCCATGGCTGCTTATGGTGGTTTGGGTTCTGAAAACCAGACCCTGAGTCAAGGGTTCGAAAGCAAGTCTTTGATCTGGCTGGAGATCTGGGGCCTGGGCTTCCAGCATTGGAATCTAACCTCCTTTCACTCCAAGCTGGGGAAACGCTGAACTGGAGTCATGTACTCATTGACTAAGAGGGGTGTCCCCCTTAGGCCTTCATTGTCAAGGACATCAGTGGGGGATTTCTTTAAAGGCAGTGGCTGCTGGATAGCCAGTAAAACAAAGGAGAAATATGCAAATGCAACTTTGGTCTGGAACAGAGGTTCTCAAACTCTAGCAGGCATCGGAATCACCCGGAGGGCTTTTACCACACGGAGTGCTGCAGGGACTTACTCCCAGGGTTTCTGATTCAGTGGGTCTGGGTGGGACCTGAAATTTTGCCTAGCAGGTTCTCTAGTGAAGCTTAGGTGCTTTAAGAAGCACTCGTTCACCCCAGGCAGGGCCTGGGTCTTTCCTGGACGGCTCTGGGTGTCCTGAGTTGTAGGTGAGGATGACGTGGTGCTCTGATGACTGTGGCTCTGGGTGTCCTGAGTTGTAGGTGAGGATGACGTGGTGCTCTGATGACTGTGCTCTGCCACTGCTTTGCCTCTCCCGGGCAGCCAGGGCCTGGAGGTGGCCAGGAAGTTTACCTGGACATCTCTCTGGCTCCTGGAAGCACAGGCATACAGGGCCTGGAAGCAAAGGTGAGACCTGCCCAGCTGTAAGACCAAGGATGCGCCTCCAGGGTCAGTGGGAGCATGACAGTGAGGGAGCCCAGGACAAAGGGCGGTGGCTGAGAAATCCACCCAGCTGCCAGTTCATTTGCTGAGCCTCGGTGGTGGTGACCATAGCAGCCAGGGCAACTGAAGGAGCTGAGGATTCCTGTGATGGGGACACTCCCTTCTGCCCTCCTTCTTACACCCAGGTCAGAGGGAGGCTGGCCGCCCCAAGGTCCTCATGGCTGGAGACTGAGATGGGTTGTGTTGGGACGGCTCTGAGCCCCTTCCTTCTGTCCTGCTTCCTTCTCTCCTCTTCCAGCTTCCTCGTAAGGCAGGGCTGTGTCTTCCTGTTGCCTCCTTTACAAAATGGGGGTGAAAAGAGCAGCGCAGGGCTGGCTGCTCTTTGTCTCCATCCAGAGCCTGCTCCTGATCTGGTGTCTTCCTGTTTTGGGCCATTTTAGTCCAAACCAAATCCCTTACCTCTGAAATCTGATCCTGAACACCAAAAGGAAAAGGACAATCTGCCTCCTTCTCCAGTGGTTGCCAGACTTGGGTAAGGAAAGCCTGAGGTCACGGGAGAGTTGACAGCTTTGCATTTGAGTCCAGAAGAACAACTGCACAAGGTTAGAACTGCATTGGAAGCTTTTGTTGGCAGCTACTTTGGAGGCTTTTGTTGACAACCCAGCTTTATGTTAGTTTCTGTTTTGCCTGTTTTTAAAAAGTTTACTGTAAATAACCACAGTGACAGCAGAGGAGGTTGGTCCTCATCTCTTTACCTGTCAACATCACTCTTAGGATGATGGCTTCATTCAGGGCATCACAGTTTGGTTTTCTTAAAAAAATAGGCTAGGTGTGGTTGCTCAAACCTATAATCCCAGCACTTTGGGAGGCCAAGGCAGAAGGATTGCTTGAGCCCAGGAGTTTGAGACTAGCCTGGGCAACATAGTGGGGCCCTGTCGCTACAATAAATAAAAATAATAATAATTAGCCAGGCATGGTAGCACACCCCTGTAGTCCCAGCTGCTTGGGAGGCTGAGGTGGGAGGATTGCTTGAGCCCAGGAGGTGGAGGTTGTAGTGAGCCTTGATTGTGTCACTGCACTCTAGCCTGGGTGACAGAGCAAGACCCTGTCTCAAAAAAGAAATTTTTTTTTGTTAAGGTTATGTTCATTGAGATATAATTTACATACAGTAAAATGTATTTTTTGTAAGTATACAGTTCAAGTTTTGACAAATAGTCATGCAACCATTGCTACTTTTAAGATGCAAAACACTGCCCTCTGTATCTTAAAAATTCCCTCTGCACTTTTGCAATCTGCCCTTTCCCCACCTTCAGTCCTTGGCAGCCACTCATCTCTTTTCTGTCCCTGTAGTGTTGCCCTTCCCAGAATGTCATATGAATGGTTGTGTAGTATGTAGCTTTTAGAGTCAGGCTTCTTTTGATTAACGCAGGGCATTCCAGCTTCCCCCACACCCTGTGTGTGTCCGCAGTTGTATTAGTCATTCATCCCTTTTCATTGCTGAGTAATACTCCATCATAAGGACATAACACAGTTGTTTATTCATTCCCTAGCTGCTCTAAACAGCTGTGTGCTGGTTTTTGTTTGAACATAAATTCTCATTTCTCCTGGGTAAAATACCTAAGAATGGGATTGCTGGGTGGTATGGCAATTGCATGTTTAGCTTTATAAGAAACTGTCAAACTGTTTTCTGAAGTGGCTGCATGACTTTGTATTCTCATCAGCAGTGTTTGAGAATTCCAGTTTTGAGAATCCAGCTGTATCCTTGCCAGCATTTGGTGGCATTGCTTTTTATTTTAGCCATTCTGATGGGCATATGGTGGTAAAGGAACTTCATGGTTGTCTTCAAATGCTTGCAGGTCTATTGCATACAAGAAATCCAGTTGTTCCCTGTGGCCCTTAGGGGTTAGATCAAGGGTCAGTGGAGGGAATGTCCAGGGACAGATTAACTCAGTAGAGGGCATAATTTTAGGGAGAGAGATAAGATGGGCTCTGCTGGGAAGTAGTGAGCTCCTTTGCTGTAGAATTTGGTCTTGGTGGCCATTTGAGGGATCCTGACAACCATTTGGATGGTAGGACTGCATCATTTTCAGAATATCTGTCAACCTCTAGATGCAAGTAAAAAGACAAAAACTTCAGTTGAATGGGGATTGAGAGGATTTTCTGCAACCCTTGCTGTTCTTTTGGAACTTCTGGGCGTAGCACATCTTGAGATTGGTCATGAGGTCCCCTGTGGCCCTCCTTGGCCCTCCCCATCCCCCAATTACAAAAGGCCGGAGGCATCGGCTGCACTTTCTGCTGGGTCTGAGAGCCTGATGTGTGATGGATCTTGGGTCTGGTTGACCTTACTTTCTGTATGTGTCCTGTATGCTCAAGCCTTTGGGCCAAGAGAAGTGGAACGAGAATCCTTCCCTATTAGGAGGCATTGTTGTGGAGTGGTTGAGGTGTTGGCTTTGGCGTCAGAGCTGAGTGTGCATGGGAATCCCATTTTCCTAGCCATGTAGTCTTTCTGACGTGTTTCTCAAGGAGCAATCCTAGCACAACCCCAGTAGGGAGCTGTGGAGATTAATGAGTTGAAGGTAGAGTGTCTTTAGCACAGAACCCAGTGCTTGGGCAGTGCTTGGCACATGTCGTTGCTACTTTATCTGTGTGGCCAGCCACGCCCAGGTCCTCATGGCTGTAGACTGAGACGTCTGGAGACAGAGATGGGGTGTGTTGGGATGGCTCTGAGCCCCTCCTTCTGTCCTGCCGCCTCCTCTCCTCTCTCCAGCTTCTTTGAAAGCCAGGGCTGCATCTTTATGTTGCCTCGTTTATACAATGGGGATGAAAATTCAAAATTTCTTGTCTCCCCAAAGGCAGGTTACTGGGCCTGGTGGTGCTTTTCTGTTGTGAAACTGGACATTTGATGTTTCTCTGCTATTTCTTGAACTTGACTATAGCATAGAATAGCCATTCTGAAAGTGTGGCCTGATGTCCCTGAGGTCCTTTCAGAGGGCTCGTGAGGTGAGACTGTTTTCATAATGATACTAGGATGTCACTGGTCTTTTCTGCTTCCATCCTCACATGGGTGTAGAGTCTAGTTTTCTAAAGATTCCATCCTGGGTGTGTGACATTACAGAGATGAGACTCCAGCTGTCTCTGTGAAGCTGGATGTTAAACAGCCTGTGTAACAAAATGCAAAGCAATGATGCTGTTCCTGCCGCATTGCTTTGTTTTGTAATGGAAAGGGTGGTTAATGTCTCATAAAAAATCTTATGTCAATATATAATGGAGTTTTGATTTTTTAAAAAATAAGTAAATATTTAAAAATTCTTCTTGGTTTTAATTTCTAATCTTGTAAATTTTATTAGACATAACATCTGTGAACAAGAGCTCTTTGGAGTGCCAGATAAGTACAGAGGTCCTAAGATCCAAAAATGTGCAAGTTTTGAGGTTAATACCTTGGGTTCTAGGATCATTTAGAGGTCCATATTCCATATTCCATAGCTCTGTGACCTGGACACACTATTTAACCTTGGTAAGATTGTGTTTCCTGATGTGCAAAATGAGGATAACAGTGATATTTACCTTATGAGGATCGAAATGGGATAATGTATGAAAAGCATTTCAAAAACTGCCAGGCATGGCCGGGTGCAGTGCCTCACGCCTGTAATCCCAGCACTTTGGGAGGCCAAGGTGAGTGGGTGGATCACCTGAAGTCAGGAGTTTGAGACCAGCCTGGCCAACATGGTGAAACTCCATCTCTACTAAATACAAAAAATTAGCCGGGCATGGTGGCGCATGCCTGTAATCCCAGCTACTTGGTAGGCAGAGGCAGGAGAATCGCTTGAACCCAGGAGGTGGAGGTTGCGGTGAGCCGAGATCGCGCCACTGCACTCCAGCCTGGGCAACAAGAGTGAAACTCTGTCTCAAAAAAACAAAACCAACCAAAAAAACCCAAAACCTGCCAGGCTTGCATTGTGTGCTACTGGTGGTTGTTATTTGGGAGGCACCGAGGCATGAGGGTGAAGTGCATGTGTTTAGAATCCAGACTGCCTGGGCACTTGAGTCAATTACCTAACCTTGCTGGGCCTCAGTTTATCACCTGTGAAATGGGGACGATGTTATCAGTACACACTTGTGAGGTTGTTGTGAAGGTGAAATCAATGCCTGGAACATAACCTCCCCCTGGGCTTGGTTAGAGGTTGAGTAGCAGGCACGTTCAAAGGAAGCTCCACTTGTTGGAGAGTCAGGTAGGTTATGGTCAGTCAGATGACTCAGCACCATCACCCACCTGACCCACAAAACTGCTGGGGGCAGCAGTGAAGCTCAGGGTCTTTTGGTGGAAAGGTGTGGGAAGACTTCGAAGCTGCAGAGGAGACCCCTTTGGGGAGAGGAAATGCTGACCCCTGGCCTCACCGCCAAAGAATATTTTGACCCCAAAGGTGCGGCCTGGAGCAGAGAAATCCTGGCTGTCATGATGCTGGTGGCTTTTAAACACAGTCTGTGTTGCTTAATGACAGGGACACATTCTGAGAAATGCGTTGTCATTTGGTAATTTAGTTGTTGTGTAAACATGAGTGTGCTTACACAAACTTAGATGGTATCTACCCCATACCTAGGCTACACGATATGGCCTGTTGCTCCTGAGCTGCAAACCTGTACAGCATGGTACTGTACTGGCTACGGTAGCCAGTTGTAACACAATGGTAAGTATTTGTGTGTCTATACATAGAAAAGAAAAGCTGCAGCAACAGTACAGAATAAAAGATAAAAAATGGTCCACCTGTACAGGGCACTTACATGAATGGAGCTTGCAGGACCTGAAGTTACTCTGGGTAAGTCAGTGAGTGAGTGGAGAGAGAATGTGAGGGCCTAAAACATGACTGTACACCGCTGTAGGCTTTGTAAACACTGTACACTTAGGCTATATTCGACTTACAGAAAATATTTTTCCTTCTTCAATAGTAAACTGTTGCTTACTGTAACTTTTTTACTTTATAAACTTTATATTTTTTTAACTTTTTGACTGTTTTGTAATAACACTTAGCTTAAAACACAAACACATTGGGCCGGGTGTGGTGGCTCACGCCTGTAATCCGACCACTTTGGGAGGCCAAGGCAGGCAGATCCCTTGAGCTCAGAAGTTTGAGACCAGCCTGGGCAACATAGCGATACCCCGTCTCTAACAAAAAATACAAAAAAATTAGCTGGGTGTGGTGGCACATGCCTGTAGTCCCAGCTACTTAGGAGGCCGAGGTGAGAGGATCGCTTGAGCCCAGGAGGCAGAGGTTATAGTGAGCTGAGACTGCGCCACTGTACTCCAGCCTGGGTGACAACAAGACCCTGTCTCAAAAAAACACACACACACAAAAAGAATACACACAAACACATTGTACAGCTGAATATTTTCTTTCTTTATATCCTTATTCTATAGGCTTTTTCTATTTTAAAAATGTTTAATTTTTTTGTACTTTTTTTGTTAAAAACTAAGACACAAATATATTCATATATTAGCCTAGGGCTACAGAGGGTCAGGATCAACAAGACGTCATTAGGTGACAGGAATTTTTCATCTCCATGGTAATCTTTTAATTTATTTTTTTTAGAGAGAAGTTCTTGCTTTGTCACCCAGGCTGGAATACAGTGGTGTGATCTCGGCTCACTGCAGCCTTGACGTCCTGGGCTCAGGCGATCCTCCCACCTCAGCCTCCCAAGTAGCTGTGACTCTAGGCACGTGCCACCACACCCAGCTAATTTTTTGGTATTTTTTGCTAGAGACGGGGTTTCGCCATGTTGCCCAGGCTGGTCTCAAACTCCTGAGCTCAAGGGATCCGTCTGCCTTGGCCTCCCAGAGTGCTTGGATTACAGGCATGAGCCACCACTCTTGGCTAATTTTTGTATTTTTTGTAGAGATGTGATTTAATCTTTTTTTTTTAATACATATTTCTTTTGTTTCTAACTCTATTATAATCTTATGGGACCACATCCTACATGTGGTCCACCATCATTGACTGAAACGTTGTTATGTGGCACATGACTGTCGTGCATTTCAGGGGGTGCTGGAGTCAAGTGGTTGGGGTTCCACAACCTGAAAAGACTGAAAAGCACAGCACTGGGAGTTGAGGATCCTCCTCCCACTGTGGTCTGGCTTGTCATGCCTGGCCCTGAGCTCCCTATCCTCCCTGGCCCTTCTGGAAGGCCCCAAGCCACTGCTTTTGTCTTGGGTTGGGGGACTCTTGGTTTGCATGAACATTTGACCAACAAGGATCAGTGGGACAGGGGTGGTCAGGACAGCACAGAGAATCAGAAGACCTATCATGTCCTATGCCCTTTGTGCGTTGTGGGTCCAGTGCGGAACAGACACTGTGTCCCCTGACACGAGTCAGCCTGCCAGATCCCATCCACAAATTGGATGGTTGCTGTGAGCTCCTCTGACCCCAACAAGGGTCTCTAAGGGTTGATTGAGATATCAGGTAGACATATTGACAGGGTTCAATATAAAAGCACCATGGATTAGTCTCTTCTCCTGGGATGAGGTGCTTTCTTCCTAGAGATGGATTTGGATCTTATCAGAGGTGGTGGTGGCAGCGGTGGCTGTTGCCTGCTAGGAGCATAAGGTGTGGGGCTCCCTGTAGGACACTCAGTCCTAGGGTGGTTGATGAGGGCTGGTGAGGGTTAAGTAGCCTGGAGGCATCAGGACCAACTTGAATTGCGTCACACTGACCTCAGCTGGGAGCCAGCAGCCCTCCTCTTAGCCTGCACGCCTGGGCTGGTTGGGCAGGTCTTTCAGGCGGGTGGACGGCTTGCAAAAAGGGAGCCGTGCACTGTCCAGCCCTGGTCGAGGAGGGCGGGGACACGGCCCTTGGGCCCCAGCTGCCCTGGTCCTTAGTAGCGTCATTGGATTTCAGGTGTGCCTTTCTCCTCGAGCCATGCCTTCCACTCTCCTCAGGGCACAGGTTGGTCTGTCCTGCTCCATGTGCCAGGCTTAGTGGTGGGTAACAGCTGATATTTCCAAACCAGGGGAGGATGCAAGGATCACGGCCAAAACAGTCGCATCCTGGAGGTGTGAAAGCCAGGTTGGGGAGAGAGTGCGCGTCTTCAGGGTCCTTGCTGGGGTGGTTACTGGGGGTTGTTGAGTGCTTGGATGCTGGAGCCAGATGCCCTGCACTCACTTTCAGTTCTACCTGCTACCGTCTGTGGCTCAGTGTTCTCATCTGTGAAAGGGGAATGCTAAGAGGACCCACTTGTTGGGTCACGAATAGCTAACACAAGCCAACAGCTCAGGACAGCACCGGGCGCCTCGTGAATGCCAGATGAACACAAGTTCACTTTATTATTCCCCTTCCACAGGCACTACCGGGAAGGCGCCGTCCCCACCACCCCTCCTCACTGACCAGCAAGTGAATGAGAAGGTGGAGAACCTCTCCATTCAGCTGCGGCTGATGACCCGGGAGAGAAACGAGCTCCGCAAGCGCCTGGCCTTTGCTACGCATGGCACGGCCTTTGACAAGAGGTAGTAATTGCGCCGTCTCCCCTGCCCAGGCCCCATGGTTGGGATTACTACCCCGATGCTGGTGCTGTCACCCCCAAACACCCCTGGCTCCTGGGGGTCCAGGCTGCGCTGCCTGAGTGTCCCCTTTCCCCCACCTCATGTCCAGAAATGCTTCCCAGGGGCAGGACCCACAGGCTTCTTGTGGGGCAGGTCCCCATCCCACATGTGGCAAGGCCCCTGATAGTGGTGTGCTTGTGTGCAAAGTCAGCTCGTGTGTGTGTGTGTGTGTGTGTGTGTCCCTACCACTGTCTCCTAGACCTGCCTAAGTTGAGTGAAGCTTTATGTGGTTGGTAAACATATTAATTGTTCCCTGTCACACATGTGTTTTATTTGTTTTTTGAGACGGGGTCTTGCTCTGTTGCCTGGGCTAGAATGCAGTGGCACAATCATGGTTCAATGCAGTTTTGACCTCCCCGGCTCAAGTGAACCTCCCACCTCAGCCTTCCAAGTAGCTGGGACTATAGGTGTGTGCCACCATGCCCAACTAATTTTTTTTTTTTAATTTTTTTGTAGCAGCAGGGTCTTTCTTTTTTGCCCAGGCTGGTCTTGGGCTTCTAGGCTCCAGTGATCCTCCTGCCTTGGCCTCCCAGAGTGCTGGAATTACAGGCGTGAGCCACAGTGTCTGGCCCCACATGATGTGTTTTAAACAGAGCACATTGTACCTGGTGTCTTTGTTGCTTTGAAGAAAATGTTTGCTGCTTTTGTTGTGATTTAGAGGTAGATACCAGGGAAGGGTGGCCCATAGGGTGGGGCAGAGAGAGTCTTTATCTACCTGCATGATCTAAGAGGACTTTCTGGGAAGGAGGAGGGCCAGAGAGTGGTTTATCCTTTAGCTCCCATGCTGGTAGAGGTCTGGAGGGGAGGGGGGCTTGGTGTAAACACTTCAGTTTCACCTCTTTCCTTCAGGAGTAAGGGTCTATGCCTCTGCACTTTGTGCCTCTGGGATTATGCCAGAGCTGCAGAGCCTGATCCCTGAGCTTGTATTCATGAGGATATGCCCCTCAGTCAGTTGGCCCGAAGGCAGGATGAGTGAAGACGTGGATGTGCTAGCACATGAGAGTTGGCACACTATGGCCCACGGGCCCACTGCCTGTTTTATAAATGAAGTTTTATTGGAACACAGCCATGCTCATTGGTTACAAAGTGTCTATGACTGCTTTCCTGCTACAAAGGTGGAGTCGAGTGGTTGCAACAGAAACTATGTAGTGTGCAAAGCCTAAAGTATTTACTGTGTGGCCTTTTGCAAAAAAAGTTTGCTGACCTCTGCTCTAGAAAAAGGGTCCTCAAACTTGAGCATGCACCAGAATCATCCACAGAGCTTGTTAATGCACAGATCATTGCCTCTCTTTCCCTCCCTTCAGAACACCTGACTCAGGAGGGCTGGGGCTGGGGCTAGGCCTGAGAATGTCTATTTGTGACAAGTTCCCAGGTGATACTGTGCTGCAGGTCTGGGAACCCCACTCTGAGATCACTGCTCATGGCCAGTGTTCTTAACCTTGGTTGCACATTGGAATACCCTGGGGAGTTTTTAAAAAATCCTCACGTTTGGGTTTTATCCTCAGATATGCTAATGTAATTGACCTGGGCATTGGTATTTTAATGTGTACCCAAGATTGAGAGTCATTGTTCTAAAGAGAGGAGAAATTTCTTTTCTTTAATATTTTACTTTTATTTATTTATTTATTTATTTAGTAATTATTTTTGAGACAGGATCCTCTCTGTTGCCCAGGCTGGAGTGCAGTGGTGTGATCTCGGCTCACTGCATCCTCGACCTCCTGGGCTCAAGTGATCCTCCCACGTTAGCCTCCTGAGTAGCTGGGACTACAGGCACATGCCACCACACCAGGCTAATTTTTGTATTTTTTTTTGTGGAGGCGGGGTTTCACCATGTTGCTCAGGCTGGTCTCAAACCCCTGGCTTCAAGTGATCCACCTGCCTCAGCCTCCCAAAGTGCTGGGATTACAGGCACGAGCTGTCACGCCGAGCCTACAGAGAAGAGACATTTCATCACAGGTTTCTGGTGGACTCAGACCTGTTGTACAGACTCCTGGAAGCTCCTGCAGAACAAGTTGGCACCTTCTTAGCTCTCCAGGCCCATGCAGGGAGCTCAGGCAACCACGGCTCCCTCCATCCTAGGGATTCTGATTCTGTGGGTCTGAGTGAGGCCAGGATATCTGAGTTTAACAAACACCCAGGTGTGTGTGGTGCATAGAAGACCAGTACTGGGGAACCACTGGGCTGGCCTAATCCAGGACCTGGTTCCTCTATCCGTGTGAATCCTGGGGCCTGTGTTCATGGGGCCATTCGCTCTCTGGGCCAGGCCCTACCACAGGCTGAATCCTGACTATGAGAGGCTGAAGATCCAGTGCGTGCGAGCCATGTCGGACCTGCAGAGCCTGCAGAACCAGCACACCAACGCCTTGAAGAGGTGTGAGGAGGTGGCCAAGGAGACTGACTTCTACCAGTGAGTGAGGCCTGCTTGGCCAGGGCCTCCAACACCCACAGACAGCTGCCTTTGCCCTTCTTTTCTCTGGACTTAGTAGCCAGGGGTTCTGGTTCTAGTCCTGTCCCTGTGCAAGAGCAAGCAGTCTGCCTACAGCAGGTGGATTTGTGCCTTTGGGCCTCAGTTTTCCTAAGTGTAAAACAAGGCTATTAATCCTTCACATCTTATTGCCAGCTTCAGAGACCTGGCAGGCATGAAAGTGATTCAGAACATGCAGCAGGGCTCAGGCAGGCCTCTGGGTCTCTGTCCAGGGGCCCTACTGCAGCTTCTTCCTGTAGGGTAGGCCCAAGGGGTGTTTCCCTTTGGTCTCCCAGCATCCCTCTGAGGGTCTTTGCCTGCCCACCTGCTGATATCTGTCCAGGCCCCAGTATTTGGAGGCACTAGGTCTGTACCAGAGGGGCCTGTCTCCCTTCCCTGGAGATACATGTGCCCTTTTTGGTGTCAGGTTTGTAAGTGGTGATTTGGATGTTTCTGGAATTGGGCTGTTAGCAGGTTTTGGCTTGCCTCTGAGTGCTACAGACCTACCTGCCATTGGCTCCTGTCCGCTGTATCTACGGGAAGTGTTGGGACCTGAGGCTGGTGATGCCCTGGGGTGGGGCGGGGTGTGAGGGGCTGGCTGGGGCTCACTGAGCATGTACCGGGTGTTTCAGCACACTCCACAGCCGGCTCCTGAGTGACCAGACTCGGCTGAAGGATGACGTGGACATGCTGAGGCGGGAGAATGGGCAGCTGCTGCGGGAGCGAAACCTGCTGCAGCAGTCATGGGAGGACATGAAGCGGCTCCACGAGGAGGACCAGAAGGAGATCGGTGACCTCCGTGCCCAGCAGCAGCAGGTAGGCCCAGCCCCTGGAGACTGGCCATTTCTCCCAAGTAGTCCTCATTCCTTTTAATGGAGAATAGTATTGAGAAGTAAATGCTGGGCCGGGCACGTTGGCTCACATCTGTGATCCCAGCGCTTTGGAAGACCAAGGTGAGAGATTGCTTGAGATGAGCCTGGGCAACATGGCAAGATCCCATCTCTACAAAAAAAAAAAAAAAATTAGCTGGACATGGTGGCACACCTGTAGTCCTAGCTACTCAGGAGGTTGAGGCAGGAGGATCATTGGAGCCCAGGAATCTGAGGTTATAGTGAGCTATGATCATGCCACTGCACCCCAGCTTGGGCGAAGGAGTGAGACGCTGTCTCTGATAAAAAAAACACAGCCAACCAATTGCTGGATGTGCTTGTAGCTTGGGTTGGCACTGTTTCCCGGCCCTCTTAGTGGAAAGAAGTAGGGAGTAGCTAAGTGTACACATACACACAGGCACATATACATACATACATACACATATGTATATCTGTATTTCTATATCAGACAGGTAGATTGAAAGCCATGAGTTCGCATTGACATTTTCAATTCTAATCCAAGACCACAGGTTCATTTTGGTTTCCACCTCTTTTATTTTTGTAACTTCCTTTAAAAACATCAGTGACAAGGCTGGGTGCGGTGGCTCACGCCTGTAATCCCAGCACTTTGGGAGGCCGAGGCAGGCAGATCACGAGGTCAGGAGATCGAGACCATCCTAACATGGCGAAACCCCATCTCTACTAAAAATACAAAAAATTAGCCGGGCGTGGTGGTGGGCACCTGTAGTCCCAGCTACTTGGGAGGCTGAGGCAGGAGAATGGCGTGAACCCGGCAGGCAGAGCATGCGGTGAGCCAAGATTGCGCCACTGCACTCCAGCCTGGGTGACAGAGCAAGATTCTGCCTCAAACAAACAAACAAACAAACAGTGACAAATGTGATTCCTGTTATTTTATTTATTTATTTTTTTTGAGACAGAGTTCGCTCTGTCGCCCAGGCTGGAGTGCAGTAGTGTGATTTTGGCTCACTGCAACCTCTGCGTCCTGGGTTCAAGTGATTCTCCTGCCTCAGCCTCCTTAGTAGCTGGGACTACAGGCACATGCCACCATACCCGGCTGATTTTTGTATTTTTAGTAGAGAGAGGGTTTCACCATGTTGTCCAGGATGGTCTCGATCTCCTGACCTCATGATCCACCCACCTTGGCCTCCCAAAGTGCTGGGATTACAGGTGTGAGTCATCACACCCAGCCAATTCCTGTTATTCTTAATTTGTTTACTTGGTCAATCCCCCATGTGTAGCTGCCTCCCATGCCCTCTGCAGTCCCCCATCCTGTTCCCATCTCCTCCTGACCCTTTGTGGGCTCTTCCACCCCATGCCTTCTCTCTGTCAGGCCTGGTCTCCTCATGCCATGCCAGGACCCACTCCTCTTTCCATGCCAGCTGTGATATCCCCTCTGGGGCGACCTGCCCTAGTGTAGGTCCTTGTCTTGCTCTGCTTTGCCTAATGGCTTTAAGGTTTAATTGTTTAGATAAAAGGAGTATTCCATATTCCAATGAAACTGTATTCCATTGAAAAACTTGCTTCTGTTGAAAAAGTTGCTGTTTATTTTCCTTTCTCCGATATTGATTGAGGTTTTATGTGGAGTAACCAGGGCAGGCTCAGCAAGAGACCCTAAGATGGATATACTTGGAGCTATTAGAAGTATTTTTTATGTGCCCTCTGATTAGGGGAATTGGTCGTGTGAGGTCAGGCCCAGTGGCTGGGGCAAAAGTTGGTATTTAGCCCATAGGTCTTGACTGAGCCTTGGTAATGGAAAGCCGGCAGCAGGAAGACTGTCCCTTCTCGCACCTGCTGCATGGCACAGAGAAGCTGTGACAACATGCTTCCCACCCTTTATAGATTCAGGAGGTGGGGGTGGTGCTCTTGGAGCATTTCTCTAAGGATGAAATGAGAGAGTAGAAAGTGCCGTGCTAGCTCTGGTCAGTACTGCCCACAACCCATTCCCCCTGCAGGGACCCTTCCTTGTGCATGTCAGTGGAGCTTCCTGGAGCAAACAGATTTAAAGACTGTAGGTTTTCAGTTTCTAAAGAGGCAAAAATATTTTTAACCTCAAAAGAAATCCTGTGGAGGAATCTTGCGTGTGAAGCAGGTAAGGATGGCGGTGCTGTGTCAAAACAAAGCTCCCAGGAAGCTGCCCGAGGGGATGGCCCTCTAAGGGTTTGAGCCCCTTCTCTGCCCTGGGGTGCGTGGTAACTTCCCCCACCTGAGGGCAGGCGGCCTCTCCCGGCCTTTACCTACACCCTGCTGTGTGCTTTGTTTTCTTGCTGTTTTGCCTGCCGGCAGTTTGTTCTTCTTGGTCTACGCTTGGCTCAGGTAACCTTTTGCCTTGGGGTTTAGTTTGGATTCTATACTTCCTTGAGAGAATCATCATTTCAGAGGTGTATGTGGCTCCACCTCGGTCCAAGGGAAGCCCCACAGCCTTGCTAGAAAGCACGAGGTTGGCACATCTCAGTGTAGGAGAATTGGTCTGTATGGCTGTCATGAAGACACTGCGTAGAAGGCACTGGCGCCGCGTGCCCGTGTGTATGAGGCGCTCAGTCAGTGTTGTGGTCGTTAATGATATTATTCTAATCCTGTCAAGTCTGGGTTTAAATCTGCCTCATCCAGGATGTGTAGAAATTGGGACCTGCATATGTTGTTGGTGGGAATAAATGATACAGCCACTGTGAAAGGCAGCCTAGTGATTCCTCAAAAAACTAAACAGAGCTAACAGGTGACCTCCCAGCGACACTCCTAGGTGTCCAGGAGAACTGAAAATATACGTCCACACAGAAACTTGAGGTGTGAATATTCATAGCAGCCCAAAACCGGTAACAACCCAAAGGTCTACTGACCGATGAATGGATAAATAAAATGTGATCTATCCATACAATGGAATATTATTCAGCATAACAAGGAATGCAGTACTGATCCATGCTATAGTGTGGATGAACTTCAAAAACATGACAGCCAATGAAAGAAACCAGCAAAAAGACCACAAACTATGATTCCAGGTACATGAAATGTCCACAACAGGGAAATCTATGTAGACACAAAGCAGATTTGTGGCTGTCTTGGGCTTGGGGTTTGGGAAGTGACTGCTGATGGGTATTGGTTTCTTTTTGGGGTGATAAAAATGTTCTGGAATTAGATAGTGGTAGTGGCTGCACAACTTTGTGGATTCATAACCTTGTGAATATATTAAACACTGAATTGCATACTTTGTGTGGTATGTAAATTATAACTCAGAGAGGAAAAAAAAAGACTCAGAATTTCACCTTGTCATAAATAGAGAAATCCAGTCTGGGTACAGTGGCTCACACCTGTAATCCCAGCACTTTGGAAGGAGCAGGAGGATCCCTTGATTCCAGGAGTCCAAGATCAGCCTGGGCAACATAGACTATCTCTACAAGAAATTGTTTAATTGAAAATATTATTTTTTTAGAAGGAGCACTCTGCCCTCAAGAAGCGTAAAGTTTCCTTGTCTCCCGTTCTCTGACTTTCTTGAGCACCTGCTCAGCTTTACAGACATTCAGACTGAGGTCTCCCTCCCACCCCTGTCCCCCTCTCCCTTTCCTGTCTGCCTCACAGGGGAGGGTCTTCTTCCCCCACCTTGCAGCCCATTCCCTGCTCTCCTTTTCCTACCGTTGTGGTCCTTGGCAGCAGGGGCGGGGGTGGGGATGCATCCTGGTCATTGGGGTCCCCCAGGTCAGTTCAGCTGGACCAGTGCCTCTCAGCAAACACCACCTCCAGACCCCACCAGGAGAAGAGGCCTGGCTGCCACAGGGAGCAGGGCTGGGAGCATCTCAGAGCTGCTGGGCGACCAGCCCCGCGTCCTGGCATCCTGGGCCCCCTTGCCTTCATCAGGCGTGGAGTGGATGCCTGGCTGTGGGATGCTCAGGTGGCAGTAGGCCAGCAGCAGAGGAAGCGGGGATAAGGGGATGGCCACAGGCTTGCTCCCCGCTGGGCCCAAGGGCAAAGGTCAACCTCTCTGGACAAGGGCAGTTTTGTTGCCGGGTTCCTCCCACGCCTTGTAAACTTGAAGAGGCCCTTGCAGGGTAAATGGTGCTGTTTGACTTGAGTGTTTGCTTGAGGGATTTGTGGGGCTTCCCGGCCCTCTGCATGATTTATCTCAGAGGAAATGAGGCAGCCCTAGGGGAGGGGGCGCCATGGTTGAGAGCAGCACACAGGTGTTTTGTCCATATGTGTGTTTTGCTGGGGAGGGCCTCTGCCTGGCATCCCCATCTCTGGGTTTGGGCAGTCCGAGTGCACCTTCTTGGATTCTTCTAGGCTGTGTCAAGAATGCCCAGAAGACCCTGACAAGGCTTGGTTGGGGAATCTAAGTAGAGGGTGTTTTTGCATCTTTTTTCTTTACTAAAATAGTGTGTATTCTTTAGTTAAAATAGAAAAAAAATCTTCAACCAATGTGGGCAGCCACCCACCTACTCAGATCCAGCCTAGCTTTGTGGAAATGACCATCCTCTGTGTAAACCATTGGGATGGATGTGTATCCTTGTAGATTTTTTTTTTAATGTCACATTTAATACCCATATAGTTTAATTTTTATTCCCTGAAACCTGCTTTAAAAAAAAATCCTACAATATATCATGGGTTTCCTTACATTTTCTGTGAATTTGCACATACAAAAAGGTCCTTGCTTGTTTTGTTGTCTGTCAGGTGTTAATCGAATTCTGTGTGGAGCGTCTTGGTGGTCAACATCTTCCCATGTTACAAACCATGTTTCAGTGGACACACATGTCTTTGTGTTCTTTTGCACACATGTTTTGAAGTTTGAGCCTTACAGGTAGAATTCCTGGGACCAGGGCAGTGCACATGTTCTCCTAGGTCCTGCTAATCTATTTGGGAAACCTCTCAGGCCCCGAGAGTCTTCTCTCTCCTCCTCCTTGCCCTTTCCCCTGTCTTTAAAATATACTTTCTCTTGTAATTCATGAAAGTTGATTTTCTTGTCCCAGGTATCCTGAATGAATGCCCTTTGATGGGCCTGGAGGAAGGAAGAGAGGAGAGGGGTTTCCTGGTTGCTGAAGGGCATCCCTTACAGAGAAGCCCACAGAGGAGTGTTCTGACCAATGTAGGGTACAGGTAGGAGGGTTGGTCTCTTCCTGGCCTCCCTGCAGGGAACAGCTTAGACTGTGGCTGTCTTTGTGCCTCCCCTGTGCAACTTCCACCCATTTCTCCTAAGCCCCTTGAACTCACAGGCCAACTGTCCCGTGCTCAGGCTGGAGGGACATCATCTCTAAAGACTGCTGCCTGCCTGAGTGGAAAAGTTGACTCTCAGGCCAGGCTCAGGGCTCACGCCTGTAATCTTAGCACTTTGGGAAGCCAAAGTGGGTGTATCACTTGAGTCTAGGAGTTCAAGACCAGCCTGGGCAACATAGTGAGACCCCCATCTCTACAAAAAATAAAAAATCAGCCAGGTGTGGTGGGGCGTGTCTGTGGTCCCAGCTACTTGGGAGGCGGAGGCAGGAGGATCACTTGAGCCTGGGAGGTTGAGGTTGCAGTGAACTGTGATCACTTTAATTTTAGAATTCTGGGCCAAATTTAAATATTCTCTCTTCATTAGCTTTTGCTGGGAAGCTAAACATTTGACTGTAGTTAGGTGTGTGTGTGTGTGTGCGCACTCGTGTGTGCATGTGCATGTGGAAATACCTACCAAGAACATAATCCTCTGATGGCGAGAGGGAAAAATTCTAGACCAATAGATTTAGTTTTTTGGATTCTCCGGAGTTAACCATGACCTGGTTCCCCAGCTTTGTTCAGAGGCTGTTGGTTACATAGTACAGGCCTGGCACTGAGTCCTGTTTGTAGAGAAAGGGTGAGAAGTGTTTGGGGCCTGCGAGCCTCTTTGAGTATCTGGATGCTGCCCTGTGGGAACAGGTTATTCTGTTTGACTCCAAGGCTAGAGTGAGAACCAGAGGTTAGGAGTTGCAGGGAGGCGGAGTAGCTCCCGGTGAGCACGACCCTATCCCAAGGAGCTTTCACTTGTGGAGCAGGCCGAGGGTGGCCGTCATCGTGGTGGAAGCAAGCAGTACGGGGCCTGATCTCTCTCTCTCGGTCTTCTGACCCGAGGATCCTACCATGTTATGAAGGCTGGGGGGAGCAGCTGAAAGGACCTCGAGGTCTGTGACCCACCCTGTCGCACTGGGAATTCGTGGCCCACTCTCACGGCCCTTGCTGGCAGCCTGATTCACACGGCCCTGAATCATCCCTGGATTGTCACACAGGCCCGGATCCAGGCCCCTCAAGGTTAGCCATTCAGGGGACTGCAAAGAGGCCAAACCATGGTATAGACTCCTGATTCTGCCGAGCACTTGTGGAGGTGGGCTCTGCGGGCTACCACCCAGAACCGGGCTTTGTGTCATTTCAAGGCTGCCTTTGGAATGAGTTTGTTTCTGAGCTGGGAAGGCGGGAAGCCGCTGCAGGAGAGCGTTGGCTCGTCTCCCCGCGGCTGCCACCTTGTGGGGAACTCAGGCAATGACAGCCTCCTTTGTTCCCCAGCAAAGCAGACTCATTTGGAGCCAATGGGGTTCTCACTTGGCTTAGGGGATGTTTAGACAGTAAAACATTTGAGGTAATTTTTTTTTTTGAGACAGAATATTTCTCTGTCGCCAAGGCTGGGGTGCAGTGGCACAGTCTTGGCTCACTGCAACCTACGCCTCCTGGGTTCAAGTAATTCTCCTGCCTCAGCCTCCGGAGTAGCAGGGATTCCAGGTGCCTGCCACCACACCCGGCTAATTTTTGTATTTTTAGTAGAGACAGGGTTTCACCATGTTAGCCAGGCTGGTCTGGAACTTCCAATCTTGTGATCTGCTCACCTCGGCCTCCCAAAGTGCTGGGATTACAGGCGTGAGCCACTGCGCCCGGCCTGAAGTAATTTTTAATTGGCATTTTTGAGGTATTGCTCACCAATCAGGGCAATCCAGTTTAGATGCTGGACCTTTCCAGATGTGGGTAGAAGGCGTTGGTTGACCAGATGTCAGGACTGTCCTTCACTGACCCAGTATAGTCATGGTGAGCCCATTCTTCGTCTTTTTTTTGAGACGAAGTCTCGCGCTTGTCACCCAGGCTGGAGTGCCATGGCGTGATCTCGGCTCACTGCCACCTCCGCATCCTGGGTTCAAGCAATTCTCCTGCCTCAGCCTCCCGAGTAGCTGGGATTACAGGTGCCCGCCACCACGCCCAGCTAATTTTTGTATGTTTAGTAGAGACAAGGTTTCACCATGTTGGTCAGGCTGGTCTCAAACTCCTGACCTCAGGTGATCCGCCTACCTCGGCTTCCCAAAGTGCTGGGATTACAGGCATGTGCCACTGTGCCTGGCCAGGGCTTTTTTTTTTTTTTTTTTTTTTTAAAGAAAGATTTTAGATGTAGAGTGGGCACTGTCAGTGAGGTTCTGTTTCTCAGTGTGCATTCCTGTTTTGCAACAGTGATGCCATTTTACAAAACAGTGAAGATTTTGACTGCCTGAGATACCTGTGTACTGCTTTTTAAAATAAGTTCTGTATTTTTGGTGTACTAGTAAGATTTCCCTTGAAAGAAAATGTTCTGCTTTAAAAATAAATAAAGGAAAAAGAATGAGCCTGAAATGAACCAATCCTCCCTCCCTCTCTCCCTCCCTCCTTTCCCTTTCTTTCTCTCTCTTTCTCTTTCTCCTCCCCTTCCTTCCTTCCTTCCCTTCTTCCCTCCTTCCCTCCATTTCTCCCTCTTCCTTGACTTCCTCTTTAAGAGTCTACAGTCCTAGAATCTAATGCTTAGGTCTTAGAGGAAGACCTTACTTTCTTGTTGCTATGATTCTGACTTTTAAATTAAGCCCTCTTTTGCTTTTTGTGTTTTTCGTGTTTATTGAGAGCTGACCCTAATTCCAAAGGGAGTGTTCCATCGTCCCAGCTTCTGGTTCTCTAGGCTGCAAACGCTTGATAAACCAGGCTGCCACTGAATGAGCCAGGTGATTCCTCGGCTGTTGGAGCTGGAAGGGCCAGACAAGCTTTCCTGGTCTAGCCTGGGCATTTGAGGAATCCGGAAGCTGAAACCCAGAGAGGTGGAGTGACTCACCCCAGGGCTCAGATCCCATGAGGTGCTTAGCCAAAGCCAGCAGCCCCCCTGGCAACCTCTTAACTCATCTTCTTGGTTTGTTTTTTTCTCTATAACAGCACCCCAAATGAACTTTAGTGCCTGTCATTTAGAGTAGAATGCTGTCTAGCTTAAAACCCTCCACAGCTTCCTGTCTCACTCAGGAGACAGTCTTCACTGTGAGGCCTGCGGCCATGGCCACCCCCATGCCCACACCCACTTCTCCAGGTCCCCTTTGAACCCACCTCCCCCTGTGCATTGGGCTCTTGCTACTCCGCCTTGCCCCTCTCTGTCTCTAGAACACGCCTGCAGGCCCTGCCTCTGGGCCTTTGACCCTGCCCCCCTCTCTGCCCAGTGTGCTCTCGCTGCTCTTCTTCATTTGCCTCTGAAGTCGCCTTCTTCAAGAAGCCTCTTCAGCCTTAGCCTCCCTCACAGACCTCCACTCTGCTGCTCAGATGGCTCTCTCCAGCCCATTATTCTGTTTTATTTTTTATTTTCTTGATAGTTCTTACCTTGCTCTGAAGTTACTTTATTTGGCCTATCTGTGTGTCCACACCCTCCAAATTAGGATAAAAGGCCCACAGGGCACAGCGTCTTTCTGTCCTGTCTGGCATCACCAGCCCCTAGACCAGTGCTAGACATATTAGGTACTTGCATGGGATGCGGGGGGACCCTACACCATGGAGGGTCACCCTAGGGCTTTTGAGAGTCTTTAGGTCCGATTTACATAACCTGATTCTGGGCTATGTCACTTTCTGGGAGGACTCAAAAGATTCAGTATGTAATTATACTCAATGGCTGACATTTATTACAACAAAAGTACACAGAGCAAAGTCGGCAAAGGGGGAAAGGCGCGTGAGGCAAAGTCCAGGGGAAACTGGGCCTGAGTTTCCAAGAATCCTCTCCTGGTGGAGTTTCACCGGAGGCACTTAATTCCTCCAGCATGGAATCACAACAACACACAAGAAGTGCTGGCCTCCACGGAGGCCCATTAGAGACTCAGTGCTCAAGTGTCTTATTGGGGGCTGGTCATGTAGGAACTTCTGCCTGCCATGTACCCAGATTCTGGACTCCCAGTAGAAAGCAGGTGTTCAGCATAAGCCACTTTATTTGTACAGGCTCAGTACCAGAGCTGCTTATATCACCAGAAGAAAAGTTTTACATCAGCCTAGAGAACTGTTTACTGTTCGGGTTCCTAGACGCCATTCGGTAGGGTCAACCTTGCAAGCAGGCCTTTCTAAGGATATAGAAGTCTCAGGTCAGCTGTGTTAACTGTTCTGCACAATACTTAGTAAATAGTTGTGACTGAGTGAATCTAAATGAATCAGCCCAGTGTGACTGCAGGGCCTGGAGAATTGGACCTCAAGACTCTCAAAAGCTTTAGGGTAACCCCCTCCCCCCAACCGCCTTGTCATCAGTCTCACCCTCAGATAGACAAAAGTGAGAGTGGGAGGTCTCCTCCGCCACCTCCCACAGACCCTTGGTAAGTGAAACTGTCTGGTCTCCAGGTGTTGAAGCACAACGGGTCATCCGAGATTCTCAACAAACTGTATGACACGGCCATGGACAAGTTGGAGGTGGTCAAGAAGGACTATGACGCCCTTCGGAAGAGGTACAGTGAGAAAGTCGCCATCCACAATGCAGACCTGAGCCGCCTGGAGCAGCTGGGGGAGGAGAACCAGCGGTTGCTGAAGCAGACAGAGATGCTGACCCAGCAGAGGGACACGGCCATCCAGCTGCAGCACCAGTGCGCCCTCTCCCTGAGGAGGTAGGGCTAGGGCCATCGGGGGCCGGGGGCAAATGGGTCCTATAAGGTTCCCAGCCACCACCAGGGGATGAGAACAGCATGAGTTATTGTGCTTTTTCAATCAAAAAATGCTTCTGACCAGGAAACATTTTTTTTTGACACTGAATGTGTCTTGGGAATCGTGGCTCCCTCTTCCCATCTGAACATCCCTGTTTACCTTCGGGTTCACGGACACCATTCAGTGGTTAGCCTTGCAAGCGGGCCTTTCTGAGCGTGTAGAAATCTCGGGTCTGCTGTGTTAACTGCTCTGCACAATACTTAATAAATACTGGTGTGTTCTGAGCATCCTGTTTCTTTGGTCACTGTCATGTGCCTCTCCCCTCTGTGGCAGTCACCCACCTAGCAAATAGGAAAGTTAATTATCTGGGGCATGTGTCTTCTGTCATCTTTAGAGATGTGATATATGCCCTCAAACAGTGTTTTGTAGAGGATGTGCCTGTGAATCACCAGTTCTCTGGGGCATGTAGCAGTTTCACATGAAAAGTGCTCTTTGGGGATAAATAGGTTTGAGCATTGCCAGGTTGAACCCAGACAGATGTCTCTGCTGCAGGACTTCTCAGAGCCTTCAGCGTGGTGTTGTGCAGTAGACAGACTCTCCAAGAGGGGGCCAAGATGCAGAGTTTCCCAAACATAAGTCATCAGATAATATACTTTTTTGGGGGTAATGGAGCTCCATGCAGAACCGGTGTCTATGGAGCACACTGAGAATTGCTGGTCTGGAGCCATGGGCTCTGATTTGCAGGCTGCCTGTGTGGAAGATGTCCCCCGGCCTGGAAGGACAGAGCTGTGCTCTTCGAGCGAACTTGATGACCTTGTCACAGGGCTGTACTGTTCGTATCTGTGAAATGAGGCGGTTTGACTAAATGATCGTTAAGGCCTCTTTATGCTGTTATCCTGGCATTGTTTTGTTTTTATTATTTTAAAAAATTAATGTGGCTTGACTGTGGGAGAAATATGCTGTTGTTTCTAGTGGAGTGGAGGGCATGAAGTCCTCAGTTCAACTCCTGGCATTTGTAAAGGGCTGAGAAAAATTCCAGGTCCGGGGGCACTGGTACTCCATGACTTTTCTCTCCTGGGGGTGGAGAGAGTGACTTCACTTGAAACTTCACGCTTGACTGTCCAGCACAGTAGAGCTGGCGGGAGGCAGCAGCGCAGCCGGCCACTGACCGGGCAGGGCCCCCGCCCTTCCCACATCTCGCCACCTCTCTTGCCAGGTTTGAGGCGATCCACCATGAGCTGAACAAGGCCACGGCGCAGAACAAGGACCTGCAGTGGGAGATGGAGCTGCTGCAGTCAGAGCTGACCGAGCTGAGAACCACGCAGGTGAAGACAGCAAAGGAGTCGGAGAAATACAGGGAGGAGCGGGACGCTGTGTACAGCGAGTACAAGCTCATCATGAGTGAGCGTGACCAGGTCATCTCTGAGCTGGACAAGCTGCAGACCGAAGTGGAGCTGGCCGAGTCCAAGCTCAAGAGCAGCACATCTGAGAAGAAGGCGGCCAATGAGGAGATGGAGGCGCTGCGGCAGGTAGGTGGGTGGGCCGGTGGCTGGCTTTCAGCCTCTCCTACAGCATCCCGGGAAGAGGGGCTGCAGAGTGCGTGGTGTCCGGATTAGAAGCCTCCTGAGTTGGAGTAAATGGCTTCTCACTGGAGGCCTAAGTGCAAGCTGGGTTATCAGACACTGCCTGAGCTCATGCTTAATGCCCAGCTCTAGTCTGGATTACAGGGGACAAGGCGGGAGGGAGACCCAGACACAGTCATGGCTGCCCGGAGCTTACACACCAACACTCACACCCAAACCCATTGCTACGTAATTGCAGATCAGTCCCATGCTGAAGTCAGTGATATCTCAAGGACTTGCTTATTATGAAGCAAGATACCAAGGCCAAGTTCCCAAAGCCATAGATACGTTAGGCCTCTTGTGTCTGGAAGAGCACCCTCAGGGGCCCTTTTTCACCAGCAGTGTGCATCTCACGAGTCTGCTCTTGAAAAAGTATTTCAGGCTCCTGCTGGGAAGATGTGCTAGTAGGCTGAGCCCAACATTCTTCTCCTAAAGCCTTGCTCTCTGGGGGCCACACCTCCAGGGTTGGGGGGCTGGGATGTTTGGTAGCACTAGATTGGGCCACCTAGCTCAACTCCTGGGTGGCCAATGTGGATTTTCTGTCTCCTTCCTACCTGTCAACCTCTCCTCATCGCGGAGCTCCTTGCCCTAGGTCTAGCTGAGCCCTGCGGGGGCTTGGATGGGCCCATGGAGATTCCCTTCAGTCTGTGTTGTGTGTGGCTCTGATTAGAGCTTCTAGACTTGATCACAGCAGATTTTTTTCCTATCAGAATAGTTCTCAGATATTCACATCCCTCTATTCTGCCTTTCTGTGCAGGTCAGTTAGAATGCAGCTTTCAAAGGTGGTTTATGAGAAGCAAAAAGCAAGGCGTTTAAAGGTCAGGCAGATTGGCAGGGCTGGTATGCATTGGATCATTACTACCAGGTCCTGCTGTACCAAGTGTGAGGCAGGTGATGCCCAGGGGGTGACCAGCATGTCTTTCAACCGACAGCAACTCCTCGTCAGGCCTGGGCAGTGGTAGGGGATGTGGGGAATGCATGAGACACAGGCCCCTTGCTGGGAGATGGCCCTCCTCAGTCATGTGGTCTCGAACCTCTCTAGGCCTCCGTTTCTTTCTTTCTTTTTTTTTATGAGACTGAGTCTCGTGTTGCCCAGCCTGAAGTGCAGTGGCGCAATCTCGGCTCACTGCAACCTCTACCTCCTGGGTTCAAGCAATTCTCGTGCCTCAGCCTCCCAAGTAGCTGGGATTACAGGCATGTGCCACCACGCCCGGCTAATTTTTTGTATTTTTACTAGAGACGTGGCTTTGCCATGTTGGCCAGGCTGGTCTCGAACTCCTGGACTCAAGCGATCCTTCCGCCTCGGCCTCCCAAAGTACTGGGATTACAAGTATAATTCACCGCCTGGTGAGCCACTGTGCCTGGCCTCTGGGCCTCAGTTTCTATTTTTAATTTATTTTTTATTTTTTTATTGAGACAGCCTCTCTGTTCCCCAGGCTGGAGTGCAGTGGCACAATCATAGCTCACTGTAATCTCGACCTCTTGGGCTCAAGTGATGCTCCCACCTCAGACCCCCCAAGTAGCTGGGACTATAGGCGAGCACCAGCTCACCCAGCTAATTCTTAATTTTTTTGTAGTGATGCGGTCTCACTATGTTGCCCAGGCTGGTCTTAAACTCCTGGGCTCAAGCGATCCTCCTGCCTCAGCCTCCCAAAGTGCTAGGATTACAGGCGTGAGCCCCTGCACCCAGCCAGCCTTAGTTTCTTCATTTGCACAATGGAATGGTGGTCATGATGAACAAATGATTCAATATAGAAAATACATCATTGTGCCTGCACAAAGCAACAGTGAGTTGAGATGGGCATTCATTATTATGCCCGTCTGAATCTTACTCCTCTGTTAGGATTAGGGTGAACCTCATTAAACTGTTTCTGTGGGTAAAAATGGGCCAGCCAAGTAATGGGAATTTCATACAAGGAACCACCAAGACTTCTCCAGACCCTTGAGGCAAAAGCCAGTGTGAAGAGAAATATTTACTGCAATGAAATTTTTGAAAAGCTTATTAGAATAAATTTTTAATAAGTAAAGATAATGCATTAGAATTTGGTAATCATCCTAGAAAAACCGTGAACTCATGTTCACATCCTGGTATCTGAGCACATAATTTTTTGGGGAAAATGTCAATATCAAATAAGGAAAACAAAATGATGAAGAAGGAAACTTGGAAAATGACCGAGTCAGTAACTGCTCTGAAATGTCACAGAATGTCAGACACACGCCTGGGGAATAACAGCGAGCCCGTGTGGATGGAGTTTTGAGATTTTCTTTTTTCTTTCTTTCTTTTTTTGAGATGTGGTTTCCCTCTTTTGCCCAGGCTGGAGTGAAGTGGCACGATCTCGGCTCACTACAACCTCCACCTGCCGGGTTCCAGCGATCCTCTTGCCTCAGCCTCCTGAGTAGCTGGGATTATAGACACTTGCCAGTACGCCCAGCTAATTTTTGTATTTTTAGTAGAGACGGGGTTTCGCTCTGTTGGCCAGGCTAGTCTCGAATTCCTGACCTCAGGTGATCCACCCACCTTGGCCTCCCAAAGTGCTAGGATTACAGGCCTGAACCACTGCGCCTGGCCAAGTTTTGAGATCTTTGAAGTTAATCGTGAAGACTGTTTGTAGAAATATAGAAAGCACAGAGATGCACAAAGAACACCTGAGTTCCCTGTGGTGCTGGCGTCCAGCAATGAGACCTCCAGGCCTGACGTCCTTGCGGCAACCACCGCATTCCCAGCACTCAGGCGAGCCATTCAGCCTGGAGCCCGCCTCCATCCTCCACAGGGGGTGTTGACTGGGCATCAAGTGCACCTGTCAGCTGAGGCAGGGATCTTTTCCAGGCCCTGTTCCGAGTCAGCAGGCAGGAGAGAGCCCCCGCGGCTGCCCCATCAGCTCTGAGAGCTGAAATCCTCAGCTCCTTCTCAAGTTGGTCTGGCTTCATGGATAAGAGAGCACTCTCCACCGGCAAGAGCAGACCAGGAGGGGTGGGCAGTGAGGCACCCTGGGGATTGGCCCCGCCACCCCACTGGCTGCTGCCTGTCAGGGGTCAGCTGTGGGGGGCCTTCTGGCAGGTCTAGCTCCCTCACCGCAGAGCCATCTTCATCTTGCTCAGCCCGAGGGCTGGGCTTCAGTTTCTGGCATCGTGCTTGCACGCTTCTGTCTTCTATCTGCACGTCTTGCTCCATTTTCCCCTTTCCTTCTCTATGCCCTCTCTCCCTTCTGTGTTCTGAGTGGGCTGAGGCAAAGAGGGAGCAAAGAGGTAGCATGGGGAGGCCGGGGGCCTGTCAGGATCTTTGCCAGGTTGGCTGTGCCCTTGCCTCCCTCGCCTTCTTCTTCCCAGCTCCCAGGGGAGAGATATCCTCGGGAGCTCCCCTAAGGCCGCCCTCCTGCCTCAGGCCAGTAGCTGACCTTGTCCGGGGAAGTCTCATTGCTCCCAGGAGGAGGGAGGAACTGCCTGGGGAGTTGAGGTCGGCACCACTGGAAGCTGTAGGCCACTGCTGTCTGTTGCAGAAATCTCCCAGGTTCCAACGCACTTTCCTAGACGGGCCCTGCTCACCGAGTTCCGTCTGTAGAAGGGCAGCCCCCCATGCTCCTGCCGTCTGCTGCCCTGAATGCAGTTACACATGCAGCTACAGGTCCTGCTTGAGGAGCTGAGCTCAGCTGTGGTGGATAGACTGGACAGTGCCAGGGGACAAGGCAAGGCAGCAGTGGCCTTTCCAGAACTTAGAGGCAGAGGGCTGTTGTAGCAAGAGAAGCTTCCCAGGAAGCAGAGGGAGGTGCCCTCACCCGAGAGCCATCTGCTCAGGGGCACCACTCCACACTCGGGCCCCATCCTCCCCTGGGACTCTCGAGTGGGCTCTGGCCCTCTGGGGCTGGGTTGCAGCCCATAGGCCTTTCTCACTGGCCTCATGCCTGGGTCTGGCAAGTGTCTTGTGAAGACTAGCCCATCTCTTCCCACGCCTTTGTTCACCCAGCACAGGAAGAAAGAGACTGCAGGTGGCGCTTTTAGAGCAGACTCAGACTGACATCTGATGCCGAGGCAGCCTGGGGTAGAGGAGCCAGTACTGATCAGCTCTGCAGGATGGGGGAGCCCTGGCGAGTCACTTCTAGATCCTGCGGTTCCTCACCAGTGTAATCAGAATCAGTCAGTCCGTCACTTGGGTCCTCTGGGCTTCCAAATTTTACCATTTGTTTAAGGTACCTCATTTCCCTCTCCCCTCTCACTAAAACTAAGTATAGTACTTCTTGTATTCCTTATAAGGAAGCAGTATTTTGGGGATGAATTCATTTTGGATACCAGCAATGGTGTGGGGCCCAGGGAAAGGAAGGGAGCTGTGGGCTGGGGGAGCTGCCCACCTCCTGCGCTGCCTGTCGTCCTGTCTGCACCTGGGGCCTCCCTCCTAGATGCTCATCTAGAGCACCATGGAGAAACCTTTCAGGGAATCCACGTGGTAACGTGTCAGCTCTAAAACTATCCATAAATATATTGTAAAACAGCAAATATAATGTAAATTTTTCAAAGTATTGTTTATCATAAATTCTTGACTAAATTAATACACTTTTTTTTTTTTTTTTTTTTTTTTTTTGAGACCGAGTCTCCCTCTGTTGTCCAGGCTGGAGTGCAGTGGCGCCATCTGGGCTCACTGAGACCTCAGTCTCCCAAGTTCAAGCAATTCTCCTGCCTCAGTCTCCCATGTAGCTGGGACCACAGGCACATGCCACCATGTCTGGCTAATTTTTGTAGTTTTAGTAGAGATGGGGTTTTACCATGTTGGTCAGGCTGGTCTCAAACTCCTGATCTCATGTGATCTGCCTGCCTTGGCCTCCCAAAGTGCTGGGATTACAGGTGTGAGCCACTGTACCCTGCCCCCAAATAATTCTTTTTAAAATGAAAATTTAAGAAGGATTTTTTTTTTTGAAAATAGCAAACTAAACAAACACAGCATACCATGTAAAGCTGAAAAAAAAATCAAAACTGAAATGATTTGAATGACCCCCAGAAACCGTGAGGTCTGAGGAAAGCCTGCCACTGCACTGTCACCCTCGAGTTTTGATGGTCCTTTTTGTGCAAATTATTTTTCAGCTCCTCTGCCTCTGTTTTCAGAGATGAGGGGAATTATCAACTGACTCCAGGTGTTTTCTTGTCAACTTCATTCTCTTCTCTTGTTTTCTACGTCTGAGATCTTTCTGAACACATTTTTGTAGAGGCTGCTGTCTCCTGCTGTCTGGAGAATGATCTTTAGAGGGAACGGAAGCTTTCTTCCTGTGCGTGTGTGTCTTCCTGTGTCCTAGCACTTGGGGGTGGAGAGTCTCGGGGCGGGGACACCAGTGTCATCAGCGCCTCTGCTGTCGTGCTTCTCTTTTGCATGTTTGGAAAGCCTCAAGCGGGAGGAGGAGTTATTCTTGCAGTAAACACTTGCTTTGTCATCCGTCATTTCCCTGTGTTGTCTAAGGATTATAGAGGTGTGGAGGGGGTTTTCATATGAGTGCTACTAAGAGTTTGACTTGAAATTTTAGTGGAGCATATAACTCTCTAGGGATGTGTCAAGATGCAAATGCTTTGGATTTCAGCTTTTTAAATGAACTGAGATACACAGCACTTCACCAGCAGGAATACTGGTGTATTTTTGTCTTTAAAAATAACTCAGTATGCCAGATTATAGGATCACAGACATGGCGGGGGCTAGGGGGTGCTGGTTAATAGGACCGTGGCTGTGGGGTGCAGTCACTGGGGGTATGGGGTGTGCTGCGATGGGCTCCGTGTTTCCCTCCATCCAGCTCCCTAGAGCCTCAGCCTTGGCCCCCGCACTGGTGGGAGGCGCTCCTGGTCCATGAGGCTCAGCAACCTCTCCCTCTTCCTGCCCCTTGCTCCCACCAGATCAAAGACACGGTGACAATGGATGCTGGGAGAGCCAACAAGGAGGTTGAAATCCTTCGAAAGCAGTGCAAGGCTCTGTGCCAGGAGCTGAAGGAAGCCCTCCAGGAGGCGGATGTGGCCAAGTGCCGGCGGGACTGGGCCTTCCAGGAGCGAGACAAGATTGTAGCAGAGCGTGACAGCATCCGGTATGGGGTGACCTCAAGCTGGCGTGGGCTTGCGTCTCCCCAGGATGAGGGGACCTGCTAGGGTCTGTTGGGAGGGTCGGAATCATTTACTGTATGTCCAGGTAAAGTGGGAGGGACCTGGGCTCCTCCTTTCTCACCCCTAGTTGATGCCCTAGCCTTGCCTCTTAGTTTTAGAATTTTCCATTGTTTCTCCCTCCCATCTCACTCAGCCCTAGGTGTCCCAAGTGTGTACTATGTCCACGTGAGACCGCTGTGAAGGGGCACGAGGCCGACCTCTTTTATTTGAGGGTTTCTGATGAGAAGAGCACATCCGAAGTGTGTCCTTTCAGCAGTATTCACCGGGCGCCTACTGTGTGCCAGGGTCTTAGATCTCTGGAGCAAGGAGACCTTGGGAGAGGCTTGGTCAGGCACGGCAGTGAGGGAGGAAGATGTGTAACTGAGCTCTAGGGCTGTGGGGGGCATGCAGGGCTCCCTGGGGTGTGGGGAGGTCTCCCCAGAGAGTGTGGCATTCGCACTAGAACTGGAAGCATGAGTGGGGTTTTTCCAGGTGGAAAAGGGGGAAGGGCATTGCAGATGGAGGGCACCTGTGGAGTGTGCTCAGGGCAGGGACGTGGGCAAGTCGTGGGGAGGGCAGGCTGGCGAGATTCCCAGGGGCAGGTGTAGAGGCCTTGAAAGGGAAGCCAAGCAGTGTGGGCTTGATCCTTGGCTGGGGAGGAACCAGGAGAGGCTATGGTGGTGGTGATGTTTGGGGTGGGGAGAGATAATGTCTTGCTATTTGGGAGGTGTCCAAAAGATTTCTTGTGGTTTGTCAGGGGAGAGACCAATGTCTCTAGGGGCTGGTCAGGAGATGAGGATGGCTAGGTGGTGAGGCCCTGCTAATGGAGAGCACAGTTAGGTGCCCAGTGCAAGGGGAGGGAGGCCCAGGGGCTGCTTCCTGTCTGCTTCTGCTCAGACCCCTTCCACGGGTGTCTCCAGGGGGCAGTCCTCAGCCAGGCTCTGACTGAGGCTGGGGGAGATTCGAGGCTGTGGAGAGGTAGGAACCAGTCCTCTGGGTATGTCCATTTCTGGAGGTGGCACAGAGCCCAGGCCCCTCCACAGCCAGGTAATCTGTTTCCACCTCCTTGGGGTCCTCTTTCATAGAGTCTTGCCAAGCTTGTACTTTGCACCTGCACAGAGCTAATAGAGACAGAGATGCATGAGGACTGGCTGGTATCCGAAGGGGCTCCCTTCCTAGTTGCAGGGTACAGGGACAGCTCTAGAAAGCTCTGCCTGTGGGTAGATATGAGACATGTGGTAGTGCTGGAGCACAGGCCTGCCAGGCAGGTGGGGGGTGCTTCATGCAGAGGAGAGCCACCCCCTGGCTCCCCAAGTTGGCATTAGAACAGTGAGTGTGTGCAGAGGGTGGTCCTTAACCCCAGGCACATTGAGGGTGAAACAGGGCATTGGGAACCTGACACTTGTTGCCGGGTGACTGTGGGGGTGTCTCTTCCCTGCCCAGGTCCTCCACATTCCCTCTGTCATGCACTGGGGCTGGCCTAGGTGGTCTTACCCCTAGATTCCCAAGTGTTCCTGTGCATCTGGGGATGGGATAGGTGCCGGCAGGTATTTGGAGTGAGGTGGCCAGACCATCCGCTGCAGACCAGGAACCCCCTTCCCCATGCCTCTTGAGATGACCTTGTCCTCTGCTCCTTCCACCAGGACACTGTGTGACAACCTGAGGCGGGAGCGGGACCGTGCGGTGAGCGAGCTGGCTGAGGCCCTGCGCAGCCTGGATGACACCCGCAAGCAGAAGAATGATGTCAGCCGCGAGCTGAAGGAGCTCAAGTAGGCTCGGGTGGGCACCCGCTGGAGTGGGCATGCATCTGGGAGCCTGGGGCCCCTCTCCCTTCTGGGCAAGGCAATGCTGAGTGCATTGGCCAGGGCCTCATCCTTCTGCGTCGAGCTGGCTGTTTGTCCCTTCACTTCACTCTGCCTTACTCTGTCAGTGTGTAGAATGGGTTCGAATGTCATCTCCATGTAGGGTTAATTAGAAATTCTTAGGCCAAAAATTCTTAGACACAGGGCAGGCACCATGTGCCAAGGCACTAGGAAGGGAGGACCCTGTTCCCAAGCAGTCCATCTGGGGCAGGCATGCATGTGTTATCCATTCATTCATTCCCCTACTCACTCACTCACTCACTCACTCACTCACTCGCAGAGATTTTTTAAGTACCTGCTCTGTATGGGCCAGCCTCCATTAGAGGCACTGGAGAAATGGCACTGACAAGCATACCAAGTCCCTTTCCTCATGGGCTCACAGTGCGCAGGAAGAGACACAGACCAAGGTCAGGTCCATCTAAGAGACAAGTACGTAAATGAGTAAGATGACGACAGATTGTGATTAGAGTTTTAAAGGCAATTGCAACCCCCATCCAGCAGTCTGTTCTGCTTGTGTTATTTGGACGTCCATTTGGAAGACCATTTGGGGTGTCAGACATCCTCCCCTCGATTACAGCAGCCTCCCAGGGTGTCATTTAAACACTCAGTGGCCTTTAGTAGTGCATTGAAATACAAAGATCAGGGTTTAAGCATAGAAATTGGCAGAGCCCAATAGGCCGTGGTCTAAAACCCAAATCTAGTAGGAAAGCAGTGGCTCTCCATCCATTGTGCGACATTTCCCTAGCTGTTAGTGTGGTGAGGGGGCAGTGAGAAGCTCGTGTGTGAGTGCAAGTGTGCAAGCCTTGCACACTCAAGTGCTGCCCGTCAGAAGGGAGTGACAGCTTCTCTTCTTTCCCATTCAGTAAAATTCCTAATGAGACAAAGAGCTCCATTTATTCTATAAAAACCCAGACTCTCTGGAGCTTGGGTGCTCTCAGGAATATTATAGGGGTTAAGAGGCAAGGCAAGACTCTTCACAGGAACCATCTTGGGTCTAGCAATGTGATGGAATCAAGGGGTTCTCTTCGAAGGGAAAGCCTAGAATCTCTGGCCGTGAACATGGGACATTTTGCCTCTTGTTTGGGCCAGAGTTGCCTGAAGCTTGTGCATTCAGCTTGTGTGTTCATTCAGCATGTTTGCATTTGTGCCTCCTGTCTGCTAAGTTCTCTAACTGGCAGGATGCTGGTGAGGGGGTCTGTGTTGCTGCCTGGGAAGCCTCAGGCACTCCCTGGTAATGCCAGATGAGACAGGTATAGTGAGCAATGAATGCTGAGCTCAGCTGCACTGGCCTGGGGAGGGGCTGGGGCAGTGTTGGAAGGCATTGGAGCTCTGCCCTGGAGGCTGAGTGGCATTCTAGAGCTGGCTGGTGAGAGCACAGCCTAGGCAAAGGTGCGGCCCTGGGGCCTGTCTGCTGGAGCAGGAAACACAAGTAGGTCAGGAGCCCAGTGGGCAGTGTTCATGAGCTGGCAAGGCAGCCTGGGCCCAGATTTCAGGAAGGGTGTCACAGGCAAGTCACCTGAGGATATAACGAGGCTTCTGAGTCTCTCTTTCACATCTTCATTACTAGGTCTTTCTCTGAGCTAATATTTATAATTTTGATGAAGTCAAATCTATCAAATTTTTTTTTTTGAGATGCCCAGGCTAGAGTGCAGTGGTATAGTCTTTGCTTACTGCAACCTCTGCTTCCTGGGTTCAGGTGATTCTTGTACCTCAGCCTCCTGAGTAGCTGGGATTACAGGTGCATGTTACCACACCTGGCTAATTTTTGTATTTTTGGTAGAGACGGGGTTTTACCATGTTGGCCAGGCTGGTCTTGAACCCCTGACCTCAAGTGATCCACTTACCTCTGCCTCCTGAAGTGCTGGGATTACAGGCGTGAGCCTCCGCATCCGGCCATCAGTGAACATTTTTTAAAATTGTAACAATGGCATTAAAGGAAATGTTAAGAACTACATCTTCATCCTAATATAACTATTTAAGTGGTATTTCTGTTGCTGCTTCTGTCAGTTTGCATTTCAATTTGTGATATAGTTGGCGTTAACTTTTATCCGAGGTTAAGTGGTTTAGGTTGAGATACATTTCTTTGGCCATGGATGTGCAGTCGCTCCAGCATCATTAGTTGGAGGCTGTCCTTCCTCTGTTAACTTATGCACCTTTGGTGACTTGGGGCATTCCTAGGTTCCTTATTCTGTTCTACAGACCTGTGTGTCTGTCTCCCTGACAGCAGCACACAGTCTTGATTGCTGTAGCTGTATACTAAGTCTTAAATTGGGTAGAGAGTTTCCTCCCACTTTAGTCATTTTCAAAATAGTTTTAGTGATTCTGATGCCTTTTTGTATACATTTTAGAATAGCCGTCTATATCTACAAAAATCTTGTTGGCATTTTGATTTTATTTTTTAAATTAAATTTTATTTTTTTTTTGAGATGGAGTTTCACTCTGTCGCCAGGCTGGAGTGCAGCGGTGTGACCTCCACTCCCTGCAACCTCTGCCTCCCTGATTCAAGTAATTCTCCTGCCTCCTGAGTAGCCGAGGTTACAGGCACATGCCACCACGCCCGGCTAATTTTTGTATTTTTAGTAGAGACGAGGTTTCACCATGTCGGTCAGGCTGGTCTCAAACTCCTGACTTCTGGTGATCTGCCTGTCTCGGCCTCCCAAAGTGCTGGGATTACAGGCATGAACCACTGTGCCCAGCTGGCATTTTGATTTTAATTGTGTTAAACCTCTAGATAAATTTGGGGAGAATTTGTCTTTTTTAAAAAACCACTGTGAAAACTCACAGATATCCCAGCAGCCTTGACCTGACTCTGAGTTATTGGGAAACAAGGGGGAAAGGAACCCATTTTAGCTGTTTCAAATGGCCTGCCTCGTGAGGTTCAGAGCCGTTACGCGGTGGGATGTTTCACCTCCCAAGGGGCTGTCACCGTGGCTCTCTCTGTTCACAGGGAACAGATGGAATCCCAGTTGGAAAAGGAGGCCCGGTTCCGACAGCTGATGGCCCACAGCTCCCACGACTCGGCCATTGACACGGATTCCATGGAGTGGGAAACGGAAGTTGTAGAGTTCGAGAGGGAGACGGTAAGCTGCCTCTGATGGTTCTTCTCTCCTTCTCTGATGGATGAAGGAGGAGACGGTGACCCGCTTGCAGTATCTCCCAGTTTCACCACTCCAAGTTTGGAGGTTCTCCTTTTCCTCCCAGGAGTGTGAGGCATCCTTTCCCAGCAGCTGTCCAGGCTGGGTTGCAGCTGGGGAAGGGCAGGGTCCTCGGAGGACGCTGACAGGGATGTCTGTCTGCAGTGGCCAGAAGGGGCAGGTTGCAGATACTCATAGGTTTCCATCCTGGGGATGGAGTGTCTTATCAGATGAGGTGAAGGGACAGTCCCCCACATTGGAGTGGGCAGCTTCGGGGCTTAAGAGCCAAATGTCTCTGTCACTGCTTTGTGAAATGCGTTGCTGTTGCTGCTGTTTTTGCAGGAGGATATTGACTTGAAGGCACTGGGGTTTGATATGGCAGAAGGTGTGAATGAGCCTTGTTTCCCGGGGGACTGTGGCATATTTGTCACTAAAGTGGACAAAGGAAGCATTGCTGATGGCCGCTTAAGGTAAGAGTTGAGGCCCAGGCTCTGGAGGCAAGGTGGGGCCCTTCTTCCCAGTGCAGAGGACCCGAAGAGAGCCAGGTAGCACTTAGGTGAACGTTTCCCAGCCTTAGACTCACACACAGTCTGTCCAAGGCCTGCAGTCTCAGCAGCTAATAATGCTCCGAAAGAAACAGTGCTTCTCAGTTGCCTCTGAATCTGATTATTCTTTAGTTACCAGGTACTGTCTTTTGCTCCTTTGGGTGGGAAAGTGCTCAAGGGGTATGCGTGAGAGCCCAGGATGTACATGGCATGCTCATTCAGGGAAATAGTCATGATGATAAAATAGCTAACACTATTACAGTGCTATTTGCTGAGTACTGGTTTAAGCACTTTATAGAAATTAATTGATTAATCTTTACAATCCTACAAGGTAGGCGTGATTATTGCCCCCATTTTACATATGAAGACGCTGAGGCCTGGAGGGGCTAGGTCATACAACTAGTAAGTGGTAGGGCCAGGATTTGAACCCAGGCTGTCTAACCTCAGCATTTGCAAATTTCACCACTGTGCACTCCTGCAAGAGGAGATTTTCTGAGCGTGTATGTGAGGCACCCACTCCTTGGCAGTCAGCCCCCTGAGTGAGAGTTGTGGGCGGTAGCCGCTGGTCCCACAGCCTGTGTGGGTGCTGAACTGGCTGTGCCCTTTCTCAGGGTCAATGACTGGCTGCTGAGAATCAACGATGTGGACCTCATCAACAAGGACAAGAAGCAGGCCATCAAGGCGCTCCTCAATGGGGAGGGGGCCATCAACATGGTCGTGCGGCGGAGGAAGTCCCTGGGTGGGAAGGTGGTCACGCCGCTGCACATCAACCTCAGTGGACAGAAAGGTAGCGGGCCTGTGAACATGGCAGAGTGCCTCAGGTGGCTGGGGCCCTTTTTTGTGGACAGGGGCCGGGGGTGCCCCTTAGAGCACCTCATTCACAGGGATGAGGGGCCAATGCCATTTAAATGTAGCCCATGTGCTTTTCTGGCAAGAGGTGGTCTGGGCCCTGAGTCTTGCTTTCTGAGTGTTTGATTCACCAGGGTAGATGTAACTGAGCCCCCGATTGGTGGGACTGGGGCAGGGTGCAGGCGTAGACAGGGCGCAGCCTGCTGACATCCTCTTTTGTAAGAAGATGGTAACAAAGATGAGGTAGGGTGACCCAGGGCTGGGCAGCGAGGCCAGGGGCTACCCAGTGACCTCCTGTGGCTTGCAGACAGTGGCATCAGTCTGGAGAATGGAGTGTATGCTGCCGCTGTGCTGCCTGGAAGCCCTGCCGCTAAAGAAGGGTCCCTTGCTGTGGGAGACAGGATCGTTGCGGTAAGTCTCAAGGCTGGAGCCAGGGTCATCTGCCGTGCATAGGCAGATTACATTTGGGAGGTTTGAGCAAGAAGTAATGAGCAAAGTTTTTATATTTTCCTTGTTGTGGGCATTGTACTATGTGAACATTTAAAAATAGGTTTCTTGATGGTATGTTTCTATTTACTGTAGAAAATTAGGAAATAAAAGGTCTGGGAGGGAAATAAGAATCAATTGCATTGCTACCACCTGTAGATAACCTTTCTCTATCTCTCTCTGTCCCTCAGGCTGGAGTGCAGTGACGCAATCCCAGCTCACTGCAACCTCCAAAGGCCTAAGCGGGAAATAAGAACCACTTGCTTTGGTACCACCTGTAGATAACCTCTATTAACTTTTTTTTTTTTTTTTTTTTTTTTGATATGGAGTCTTGCTCTGTCACCCAGGTTAGAACGCAGTGGCGCAATCCCGGCTCACTGCAACCTCTGACTTTCGTGTTCAAGTGATTCTGCTGCCTCAGCCTCCTGAGTAGTTGGGATTACAGGGTGTGCACCACCATGCCTGGCTAATTTTTGTACTTTTAGTAGAGATGGGGTTTCACCATGTTGGCCAGGCTGGTCTTGAACTCCTGACCTCAGGTGATCTGCCCGCCTTGGCTTCCCAAAGTTCTGGGATTACAGGCATGATCCACAGCACCCAGCTTTATTAACATTTTAAATGTAGTTCTCTACATTTAACATTCTCATGAATGTTTATCAAGGACAATTAAAAAAATTGACATCATTGTGTTGTGACTTTTAAATGCCACCCCTTTTTTTTTAACTAAATGTAATACTTATTTTTAAATTTTTTTGTTACCAAAGTAAGTCCTGTTTGTTGTAAAACAGCCAAGCAATATAAAAATATGTAAAGTGAAAAGTGGCAGTCCCTTTCTTCCCCCTTTAATCCTGCTCCTAGAGATTGTCCCTGCCCCCATTTAGAAGATAAGCACTCAGCCCAAACCATATGTGCCCCTACAAATCTATATATACCTAGATAGATTTCTTGGTGTTGTTTTGCTTATTTATGTACAGTAATGGGATCTGCAATTCGCATCCTACCTTGGATATCTTTCCAAGTGTAGCCTGGCTAATGTTACCCACCTTATGGTATTCTGTTGTTTGATTATATGTAGTTTAAATTATCCACCTATTGATGGACATAGAAGTTGTTTTCAGGGTCTGCAATTGCAAACAGTCCTGCATTGAACTTTACCTGTGTGCACAGAGCCTCTGGAGACATGTAATGGTATCTCTGAGACTAAGCTACAAATGCCGTGAGATTGCTGAGTCATAGGACATGCAAATTTAATACTTCTGACCTTTTAAAATTGAAAATGCCAGCGGGGCACGGTGGCTCACGCCCGTAATCATGGCACTTTGGGAGGCCGAGGTGGGTGGATCACCTGAGGTAGGGAGTTCGAGACCAGCCTGGGGAACGTGGTGAAACCCTGTCTTTACTAAAAATACAAAAATTAGCCGGGCTTGGTGGTGGGTGCCTGTAATCCCAGCTACTCGGGAGGCTGAGGCAGGAGAATCACTTGAACCTGGGAGGCAGAGGTTGCAGTGAGCCGAGATCGCGCCACTGCACTCTAGCCTGGGTGACAGAGCAAGACTCCTGTCTCTAATAAATAAAAAACAAAAACTGAAAATGCCATACACTTTTTCATGGCATACATACAAAATTCCAGTAGTACAAAAGGCAAATCGTGACAACAAATCTTCCTCTGGCTAGACCTCTTGTGTACTGCTTCCCACCCCGATGGCAATCACTGTTAACAATTTATTATATTATGTCCCAGACACTTTCAAAACATGTACATCTCACACATTTTTGGGGGGTTGAGGTAACCTGGATGGGATTATAATATACTCAGTTGCTCATCTTGCTTTTTGTTTTTGTTTTTATTATTATTTTTTAAGATGGAGTATCACTCTGTTGCCCAGGCTGGAGTACAATGGTGTGATCTGGGCTCACTGTAGCCTCCGCCTCCCAGGTTCAAGTAACTATCCTGCTTCAGCCTCCCAAGTAGCTGAGATTACAGGCATGCGCCACCACACCCAGCTAATTTTTGTACTTTTAGTAGAGACGGGGTTTCGCCATTTTGGCCAGCCTGGTCTCGAGCTCCTGACGTCAGGTGATCCACCTGCCTTGGCCTCTCAAAGTGCTGGGATTACAGATGTGAGCCACCACGCCCAGCCAGATTTTAGCAGCATGTCTTTTTGTTTTTATTTTTGTTTGAGATAGCCTCACTCTGTTGCCCAGGCTGGAGTGCAGTGGCGTGATCTTGGCTCACTGCAGCCTCTGCCTCCCAGGTCTAAGTGATTCTCCTGCCTCAGCCACCTGAGCAGCTGGGATTACAGACATGTGCCATCACGCCCTGCTAGTTTTTTTGTATTTTTAGTAGAGATGGGGGTTTCACCATGTTGCCCAGGCTGGTCTTGAACTCCTGACCTCAAACGATCTGCCCTCAGCCTCCCGAAGTGCTAGGATTACAGGTGTGAGCCACCATGCCCAGCCCACATTCACGTCTTTAGATCTGCCCCAAGGCATATAACTGCGTGTCATTCCTTAGTGGCAGCAGCCTAAGTTGTTGACCAGTCCCTCCCGAGGGATAGTCTGGGCATCTCTGCCCTTACTTACATCTGTGTCGTGCTGCATGGCCACTGACATGCTACTTCATAGGGACCCAGGAGTGTGCCCTGGGGTACATTCCTGGGGGTGGGGTTTGCTGGGTCAGAGGACATGAATGTTTAACATCCAGCGAGATCTTCCCCCTTTGCTCCAAAAAGGTCATGGCTTTTGCAGTCCTCCCTGCAGTGTGTGGGGGAACTCATTGCCTCACATCTTTGCCAATGTTTTTCAGATTTTTTGGGGAGCCAGAGTGTAAAAGCTATATGGCCACTATGAAAATTTTTTAAATGTGGATATGTTATAAGGAAAAAACCACAAATTAATTTACTACTTCCAGATAATCACTCTGCAGATATTTTAAAAAGAAAACTTGACTGGCCGGGCATGGTGGCTCACGCCTGTAATCCTAGCACTTTGGGAGGCCGAGGCGGGTGGATTGCCTTAGTTCAGGGGTTCGAGACCAGCCTGGGCAACACAATGAAACCCCATCTCTACTAAAATACAAAAATATTAGCCGGGCATGGAGGCATACATCTGTAATCCCAGCTACTCGGGAGACTGAGATAGGAGAATTGCTTGAACCTGGGAGGCGGAGGTTGCAGCGAGCCGAGATCATGCCTCTGCACTTCAGCCTGAGGGACAGAGCGAGACTCCATCTCAAAAAAAAAAAAGAAAACTTGACTTTGAAATGATTATAGATTCATAGGAAGCTGCAGAGATAGTACAGGGGGGTCCTATGTACTCTTCTCCCTGCTTCCCCTCATGGTTGCACCTTGCATGAGTATAATATCAAAGCTAGCATATTGACATTGGTACTGTGTGTGTGTGTGTGTGTGTGTGTGTGTGTGTGTGTGTGTGGTTGTGTGTGGTTAAACACATGTTGTTCTGTGTAACCACCACCGTAATGAAGATACGTAGCTGTTCTATCAGCACTGAGGTCTCCCTCCCACTGCCCATTTGTAGTAACACCCCCTGCTCCCTCCCATCCCTGCCCCCTGGCAGCTGATTTTTTCTCCATCTCTGTGATGTTGTCCTTTTGAGAATGTTACAGACATGGAATCATATAGTATGTGACCTTTGGAGCTGGGCTGTTTTGATTCCGCACCATGCCTGCAAGATCCACCCAAGAGGCTGCGTGTGCTGGCTGCTTGTTACTTATCGTTGCTGAGCAGTGTTCTGCAATGTGGGTGTATCACAGTTTGGTCATTCACCGGTTGCACATATACTTCTTAAGAAGGTCTGCACATAGCTGTGAGCAGAGATTCCGGGAGCAGGGTTGAGAGGTTCTTTGTGAACACTCACAGGGCCCCACTTCGCGTGGTACTTTCTCTACAAGGCCTTTCCTATCCATGGTCTTGTTTTTAGTCCCCCGCTCTCCCGAGCCACATGCATGTATTTATCTTCCATTTCCTCTGTGGAGGCAAGGAGCTGGGAAGTTCTGAGCCAAGGTCCCACGCCACATGGCCGGGCACAGCAGTGCCAAGATGTTCCCTCCGGGTCCTCGGTGTTCTGATCCCAGAAGGACATGCTCCTCCCCTAGCCTGCTGTGAAGGCTTATGTGTTCCTCTACCTCAGAATCCCCTTAGTTGGACTCCTTGGGCCTCACCAGAAAGACCTCTATCCTTTGCCAACTCCTGACTTTGGCACCTTGCATTTGGTGACTGTCTAGCACAGGAGGTTAGGTAGGCAGAGATCCTGACTGGTAGGCCTGAGGCCGCTCTGCCTGTGGCCTGACATGCTCTCTGTCCTGCTCTAGATCAATGGCATTGCACTGGACAACAAGTCTCTGAATGAATGTGAATCTCTGCTGCGCAGCTGCCAGGACTCCCTGACCCTGTCCCTCCTGAAGGTAAGGGCTGGACCTGGCTCTGCTCTCACGGTCAGGAGTATGGGCAGAGCCCCGGCTCCACATAGCCATGCTACTCCTTGGGGTCACAGGATCCTTGAGAACAGGGTGGGCATTTACTGAGTGCAGAGGGGGCAGGAACCCTGACTGGACGCTGGTCTGAAATCAAAAAACAGCAGTCAAGGCCATGTTGGGCACAGTTGGGTACATTTGAATCTGGACCCGATAATTAGATGATCTTAGGGAATTGTTGCCAGTTTTCCTAGGTATGATGATGGCATTGGGGTTGTTATACAGGAGAATGGCTTTATTTGGGGGAGGTACAAGCTAAAGTTGTTAGAAGTGATGTGTCATGGCCGGGCATGGTTGCTCATGCCTGTAACCCCAACACTTTGGGAGGCCAAGGCAGTCGAATCACTTGAGCCCAGCAACACAGCGAGACCTTGCCTCTACAGAAAATACAAAAAGCCTGGGAGGTCGAGGTGGCAGTGAGTTGTGATTGTGCCACTGCACTCCAGCCTGGGTGACAAAGTGAGACCCTATCTCAAAAATGAAAGGAAGAAGCTGGGTGCAATGGCTCATGCCTGTAATCCCAGCACTTTGGGAGGCGGGTGGATCACCTGAGGTCGGGAGTTCGAGACCAGCCTTGACCAACATGGAGAAACCCCGTCTCTACTAAAAATACAAAAATAGCCGGATGTGATGGTGCATTCCTGTAATCCCAGCTACTCAGGAGACTGAGGCAGGAGAATCGCTTGAACCCAGGAGGCGGAGGTTGCAGTGAGCTGAGATCACGCCTTTGCACTCCAGCCTGGGCAATAAGAGCGAACCTCTGTCTCAAAAAAAAAAAAAAAAAGGAAGGGAAGTGACATGTCATGATATTTGTAACTTGCTTTCCAGTGTTCTGTAGTATCATTATAGACAAAAAGACAATTTAGTGAAATATTTTTGAATCTAGATGGTACATTTATGGACATTTATTATACTTTTCTACATATTTGAAAAGTTTAATAATAGGAAGTTAGAAAAAATAGGCCGAATTTAGAAAACATCTCTTAATGAAATGGCTGGGCCTATTTTTTCTAACTTTCTATTAAGAGATGTTTTCTAAATTAACTATTTTCAAATTATTTGACTTTTTTGGAAGCAGTTTTATGTTTACAGAAAAGTTGGGCTGATACAGAATTCTTAGCACTCTCTCAACCACCCCATCACCACCATCCCCACTCCTGTCCCCAAGTTTCCCCAATTTTGGCATTTTGCGTTAGTGTAGTTAGTACATGCGTTATAATTAGTGAGCCAATGTGGATGCATTAGTATTAACTATAATGCATAGTTTACATTAAGGTTCAGTCTTGGTGTATTTTCTGTGAGTTTTGATGCAGGTGATGACATGTACTACCATTGTAATATCATACAGAGTAGTTTCACTGCTCTAAAAATTCCCTATGCTCCCCATATTTATGCAAGCCCCTGGCAACAACTGATCCTTTTACTGCCTCCATGCTTTTGTGTTTTCCAGAATGCCATAGAGTTGGAATCACAGAGTGTATAGAATGGCTTCTTCATTTGCTAATATACACTTAAGGTTCCTGCACGTTGTTTCAGTTCTTTTTAGTGCTAATTTATATTCCGTTGTCTGGGTGTACCACAAGAGATATATTTTTAACAATGAATTTTTACTTTTATGTTTAATATTTAAAAAAAATATTCAAGACATTATGCAGGTAATTTCCTTCTTTTTGAGACAGAGTCTCATTGTGTCGCCCAGACTGGAGTGCAGTGGCGTGATCTTAGTTCACTGCAACCTCCACCTCCGGGTTCAAGCGATTCTCCTGCCTCAGCCTCCCAAGTAGCTGGGACTACAGGTGCATGCCACCGTGCCTGGCTTATTTTTGTAATTTTTGTATAGATGGGGTTTCACCATATCGGTCAGGCTGGTCTCGAACTCCTGACCTCGTGACCCGCCTGCCTCAGCCTACCAAAGCGCTGGGATTACAGGCATGAGCCACTGTGCCCGGCCCAGATAATTTCAGAAAGTGTTCAAAGTTAAGAAAACTTTGACTCTTCTTTGAGTTCAGAGTGACCAGAGCCATGAGAAAACTTATCCATTAGGGAGAAGCATATGTGTTCATGTGTGTGTGCATCTCTGTCTATCTGTCTCTTTTTTAAGGGGCAGGTGGCCCATTCCTGACCATTGCTTTACCTCTGGGGATGGTTTTCAGTGGCAGCTCCAAGTCCTGCCATCTCACTCTCTCTCTCACTCCTCTGCAATCCCTGCCTAGGTATTCCCTCAGAGCTCCTCGTGGAGTGGCCAGAACATTTTTGAAAATATCAAAGACTCTGATAAGATGCTGAGTTTTCGAGCCCATGGCCCGGAGGTCCAGGCTCATAACAAACGGAACTTGATACAGCACAATAACTCCACGCAGACAGACATCTTCTACACGGACAGGCTGGAAGACAGGAAGGAGCCAGGCCCCCCAGGAGGCAGCAGCTCCTTTCTGCATAAGCCATTCCCTGGGGGACCCTTGCAGGTCTGCCCCCAGGCCTGTCCCAGTGCCTCTGAGCGTAGCCTGAGCTCCTTCCGCTCAGATGCCTCTGGGGACCGTGGCTTTGGGCTGGTGGACGTGCGTGGCCGGCGGCCACTGCTGCCCTTTGAGACCGAGGTGGGCCCCTGTGGGGTTGGGGAGGCCTCCCTGGACAAGGCAGACTCTGAAGGCTCCAACAGCGGCGGGACCTGGCCCAAGGCCATGCTCAGCTCCACGGCAGTGCCTGAGAAGCTCTCTGTTTATAAAAAGCCAAAGCAAAGAAAGTCCATCTTTGACCCTAACACTTTCAAACGCCCCCAGACACCCCCCAAAATAGACTACCTGCTTCCAGGTCCTGGGCCTGCTCACTCTCCCCAGCCCTCCAAGAGGGCGGGGCCTCTGACACCCCCAAAACCTCCCAGAAGGAGCGACTCCATTAAGTTCCAGCACAGGCTGGAGACTAGCTCCGAGTCAGAAGCCACTCTGGTGGGCAGCTCCCCATCCACTAGTCCCCCGAGCGCCCTGCCCCCTGACGTGGACCCCGGGGAGCCCATGCACGCATCACCCCCTCGCAAGGCCAGGGTCCGCATTGCTTCCAGCTACTACCCTGAAGGAGATGGGGACTCCTCCCACCTGCCGGCCAAGAAATCCTGTGATGAGGACCTCACCTCCCAGAAGGTGGATGAGCTGGGGCAGAAGCGTCGCCGGCCAAAATCTGCTCCCAGTTTTCGGCCGAAGCTTGCTCCAGTAGTGATTCCTGCTCAGTTCCTGGAGGTATAGCTGAGCCCCAGGGTGTGGGGAGGGGAGGCCTAGAGAGGGGCAGTTGGCCGAAGGAGGGCTGCTAAGTGGCCCTGCACCAGTGTCCCAGGCCCCTGTTTAGCCTGGTGCCTTTGCCTTTGCTGTTGGACTCAAGTGGGAAGTGGCCCAGCTAGGAGGTAGGTAAGTGGCGTGGAAGTGCATGGTAGTGGGAGTGTGACACAAGAGGGGAACACTTTATTGGGCATAGCATTTGGTTTGCTTTTTTAATAAGAAGCTTTTGAACTTACACAATAAAACCTAGGGCATAGACTTGCCTTGAAGGGCTAGGGAGATGAGGTGGCACGTGTGAGGCTGAGTGGGCAGCGGGACGGCCTGATTGCGTGTGCTGTCATAGTTTCCAGAAGGGTGAGATTGCTGGGGACTGTGGAAAGCATCTCAGGCACCAGTCCACACTGCTCACTGGGGACAAAGAGCTTCGCACAGCCCTCCACATCGGGCAGAGTTGTACGTGCCTGATGCACTTGTGCATTCTCACCTTTTACGTGATCTCTGTGAAAGATTCATTCTCTGTGGTTTTCTTCTGAAGTAAAGCTGCTTCCTTGAAGATGTGTAAGGCAACATGAATGGGCAGCGTTCCCATTCATGTCCCTTCCTGTGCCCCAGTGGGAGGAGCTGGTTCCTGGGGGGCAGAAACTGGCTTGCAGAGCTGCTCAAGCGTTCCACTGTTTGGTTTTTTTTTTTTTTTTCCCCTAAGATGGAGTCTCACTCTGTCACCCAGGCTGGAGTACAGTGGTGCAGTCTTGGCTCACTGCAACTTCTGCCTCCCGAGTTCAAGCGATTCTCCTGCCTCAGCCTCCCAAGTAGCTGGGATTACAGGCACCCACTACCATGCCCAGCTAATTTTTGTATTTTTGGTAGAGACGGGATTTCGCCATGTTGGCCAGGGTGGTCTTGAACTCCTGACCTTAGGTGATCTGCCCGCCTCGGCCTCCCAGAGTGCTGGGATTATAGGTGTGAGCCACTGCGCCTGGCCACACTCCACTCTTTCTAGCAGACACTCTTGCCCTTGCATCTGCAGGAACAGAAGTGTGTCCCGGCCAGTGGAGAACTCTCCCCGGAGCTCCAGGAGTGGGCACCTTACTCGCCTGGGCATTCCAGCCGGCACAGCAACCCCCCGCTATACCCTAGCAGGCCGTCTGTGGGTGAGTCAGCCAGCCAGGGGCTGGGGCTGAGGGTCGGTGTAAACTCGGGATGCCTAGTCTCCAGGGAGAGGGGAGGCAGCATTTCAGAGAGCTGCCATGTGTTTTCAGCCCTGAGGTCCAGAGAACTGGGAAATGCTGTCCTGTCTGGGATGGTTTGTCTTATAGCCATGACATGTCTTAGCTTGTCAACATGCTTTCTCCCCATAGCAACCTGGGAAATAGGAAGCATGAAAGAGACTTCCCCCCTTTTTACAAATGGAGACAGGCCAGGAGCCACAGCCACATTGTGAATTGGTGGTTAAAACTCATCTCCCAAGTCCTTTTCCCAAAAGACTGCGGCTGCGTCCTGGGATACAGGGGAAAGGCTTGTGTAAGTCCTGGGCTGGCTGGGTCCTTTGGGGCGTCTTTTCTCACCAAGCCCATTTCTAGGCACTGTTCCCCGGAGTTTGACCCCCAGCACCACTGTGAGCTCCATCCTGCGGAACCCCATCTACACTGTGCGCAGTCACAGGGTCGGCCCCTGCAGCTCTCCACCTGCGGCCCGAGATGCTGGCCCCCAGGGTTTGCATCCCAGGTATGTGAAGGCACCCTACGCTTCTCTGTACTCCAGCTGCCCAAGCCTGCCTGGACATGGAACCATGAGTGCATAAAGAGGCTCATTGGTGGAGAAGCTTCCTTGCCTGCCTGGGAGGGGACTGGCTAGAGCAGCACAGGGAAAGGGAGCCTTAGGGCTGCTTTCTGAATTCATCAGCACAAGGTTTCAAAAGGTACTGGAAGGACACGATAGTGATAGCAGCTGATGTTTGAGTGCTTATGTCCCAGCCACTGTGCTCAGACCTTTATGAATATCATTTCACCGAATCAACAGCAACCTCATGGGCTAAGTCCTATTACTGTTTCTGTCTTGAAGATGAGGAAACTGGTACTTCATAAGAGGGTGGGCTGGCTCCAAGCCACTCTTATTCATTCATTTGACAGATATTTTTTGAGCACCTACTACATGCCTTGGTCTATCCTAATTATAAGAGGATACATTGCTGAACTAAACAAATTAGCTTCTAGCTCATGTCGTGTGGTTTTTCAAATGTGGGAGGCAGACAAAAAAAAAAAATGAACGAAGTGATATCAGATGGTGCCAAGAGGCTATGAAGGCAGTCAAACAGGGTGACAGGCTGGGCTGTAACTTGGAAGAGGGTGGCAAGTTAGAGTGGGTGGTCAGGAAGGGCCCTGTGGCAGAGGGGATGCTGCTGTGACCAGAAGGATGAAAGAGGCCAGCTGCACAAGACCTGGGCTGGAGCCTCCAGGGAGAAGGGCCATCGGTGCCAAGGCCAGGGCACCCAGGCACAGTCGTGGGAGCTTGTCAAAGGGGCAGCGAGTCAAGAAGAGGTTTGAGGTCACAGGGCACAAACCCTGTGGGACCTGCAGCGGTGATGAAGAGTTTGGATTTTATTCTAAGGACAGTGGAGACCACTGTAGAGTTTAAGCAGGGAAGAGATGTCACCTCATTACATAGCTGGAAAAAGATGCTGTTGAGGCCTGGTCTCAGGGCAGCCTGATGTGGGCGATCCCTGCTCTGCCCTTCATTTTCTTAGGCACGCTGTCCCGAGTGAGGCACATAGGTCCCCTCCCCAAAGTCCTCTGTGCCTTGTCTCTCCTTACCCACTTCCTGGGAGGACAGGTTCCCCCTCCCCAGGCCCACCCAGGTTGCAAAACCTCTGTTTTTTATCACTTCTTCCTAGTGAGCCTAATCCTGACCCTATGGCTGGAGTGGGTATGATACTGACCGCCCCATGTGTGTGGCCCTTTCTACTTCCTGAAGGCTCTTAGTGGATGCCACCTCCGGGAGTGGCTGAGGGCAGCCTGCTATCCTCGGCTGATAATCAGTGGCTCCTGGGCCTCCCTTCTGCCCGCTTGGGAACCCTTGCCTGGTCTGTGTGTTTCTCCCCAGTGGCCACATCTGTTCCTGGTTCTCCTCCCGAACTCCTCACCTCTTGTTTTTACGCAGTGTCCAGCACCAGGGACGCCTGAGCCTGGACCTGAGCCACAGGACCTGCAGCGACTACTCCGAGATGAGAGCCACCCATGGGTCCAACTCACTGCCCTCCAGCGCCCGCCTGGGTAACTGCACCACTTGGACTTTGTGCTGCAGAGGGTGCCAAGCTTTTCATCTCTGCCTGCATCCTAATGTCCAGATCTGCGGGTGGGCTCCCCACACGAGCTCCTGTCACCTCCTGGGACTGAGCTCATTTCTCTACTGGGAAGGGCTGCTTCCTTCATGGGCCAGCCATGCCCATGCTGCTGTCAGAGCCATTGCTTTCGCCTTCCGCTTTCTGTGGGGGCCTTATGGTCATTCAGGTGACCCCTCAGCTAGGAGCCTTGCTCTGTGTCCCTGAGGTTGTTGGCCTCATTCTGGACTGTTTTGTATGGCTCTTCATACATTTTTGTATGGAAAGTGAACCCCAGAGGAGAGTCGGACAAAGGTAGCCCATGGAGATCTTGGGGAACTCTGGCGCTGGGGAGAAAAGATGGAGCAGCTGCCGTGTCTCTTAGGCTGCTGTTCCGTGGCTGGAAGTGAGACTTGTGCGCTCCTGTTCTGGAGCAGTCTGGGCCTGCACAGTTCATTGAGATAAATGTTAAACGTCTGCTTTTCTTGACTGTTCCATATCAAGGCTCCCTTGGGAATAAACAGCAGGGCCCAGCTTTGCATTTATTATCCTGACTGGTAGCCTGGTGGAGAGGAAGGACAGGGTGGTGTTTAACCATGAGGCCTGAAGTTTTGTTCCCTTATGGAACAATAGGTTCTTCGAGTAACTTGCAGTTCAAGGCGGAACGCATTAAAATCCCATCAACACCAAGATATCCGCGGAGTGTCGTGGGCTCCGAGAGAGGTAAGGACTTCTCGACATTCCCATCTCTCCTGCTTTTCCTGCGGTCTGACTCCTCATGGTGGAGTCTCTGGGCTTAGCTGAGAACTTCATAGTCATCTCAGTCAGTCAGTAAAAATTCACTGAGCCCAGCAGTAGGCCTGGTGGTGTGGGGGGTAGGGGGCAATGCAGAGCCTAGCATCTGAGCTCCAGACTATGCGATGCAGTGGGGATAGAGCTGTGTGTCTGGATCGCACCTGCCTCTTGGTCTTGGCTGTTGGGGAAGTGAGATGGGAGTTCACACCGGCATTACCCGCTCCTCTCTGCAGGTTCAGTGTCACATTCTGAATGCAGCACTCCTCCACAGTCACCCCTGAACATCGACACCCTGTCCTCTTGTAGCCAGTCCCAGACCTCAGCCTCCACATTGCCCAGAATCGCTGTCAACCCCGCGTCCCTCGGGGAGCGGAGAAAGGACAGGTGAGCATGGCCGGTCATCGGTGGAGTGGGTAAACCAGTGGACAGTGTGCATCCCGGCAGCGGGCCTGGGCTCTGCAGGGAAGGGGCTTAGTAGAAGCAGCAGGAGTAGCTTGAGTGTCCCAGCATTTGCTGGTGTCACCAGTAAGTGCCATGGGGCACTGGATGCAGGGAGGTGGGGCGTGTGTGGATGGCAAGGCAGGGAGCCAAGAGGGCTCACAGTAGATGATGCTGGAAATGACCTGACGGTGATCGTGCCATCATGGCACCATTTACACCTTCCTGGGCCCTTGTTCAAGCACTTTACGTGTGGCTAAGTCACGAGATCCTTACAGGGACCCTGCCAGTGTCGTTATTATTGTTATCCCTGTTTCACAGTTGAGGAAACTGGATCCAGACGTTGGAGTGACAGACCTGTGGCCACGTGGTTAGTGGCTGGCACCGGGACTCATTCTTACCCTTTGCTTTTTCCCTCTCATTCGAAGCTTTCTGTTGTGAAATAAAATATACACAGGAAGAAAGCATAAATGTGCAGCCTAGCTTTTTACTGGTACTGGTTCATTTTAGAATGTAGGTCCATCTTAGGTTTCAGGTTGACTGTAGGCTTGCTGTCTGTCCAGAGGCACCTCCTCCATGGAATCCGTCACCCCCGCGCACTGTGCACACACATCCCTCTCTGTTGTTCCCCTAGATGGAACTTACTAGATTGTGTTTATATTTAACAGCTTCTGTCTAGATTGTAGATCTTAAAGAGCTCTGATAAACTTACTTTTATTTAATCACCAAAAGAAACACAGATACTCTCTTTCATTTGAGTCCAGAAAGCTGAGGCCTCTGTAGCTGTGAGCCTCAGCAGGGGTGGGCCCTATGTTAAGAAAACATATTTTTTTTTGAGACAGAGTTTTGCTCTTTTCGCCCAGGCTGGAGTACAGTGGTGCAATCTTGGCTCACTGCAATCTCTGCCTCCCAAGTTCAAGGCGATTCTTGTGCCTCAGCCTCCTGAGTAGCTGAGATTACAGGCGCCCACCACCACGCCTGGCTAATTTTTGTATTTTTAGTAGAGATAGGGTTTCACCATGTTGGTCAAGCTTATCTTGAACTCCTGACCTCAGGTGATCCACCCGCCTCGGCCTCCCACAGTGTTGGGATTACAGACGTGAGCCACCGTGCCCAGCCAGAGAAAATCTTATATTTGACTTGAAAATCTGAACTTAAAAGGCAACCAACCAGAGAACCTGAGGGGTAACGGAAGGACAGCAAAACACAGAGGCCTGGCCCCAGTAGGGGAATCGGGTGTAACTCGGAAGAAATGCTGACGGAGCTCTTACCATGTGGCACGCGCAGGAGCATGCTGGCCTGTTTTACTCAGCCCCGGCCCTGGCCACAGAGAGGACGGGACCTTCCCCAAGTGAAGTGGGTTCTTCAGTTGTGGAAAAGGCCTTGCCACCCACTGCCAAGCATTCCCTTAGCTCCCCACAGGGCACGGAGAGCCAGGACCTGCTCCAGGAGGGAGAAAAATGTGAGTGACTCCTGCCCTCACGGTGGTTAGGATCCGATTGGAGATGAAATTTGACATGTGTGACCTGACTGAGCAACAGCTTTCTTTTTAAAAATGGCCCCGTTTCCCAGATTCTGAAGTACAGTATTTTATACTTGTTATGGAAAATCAGAGACATAGAAAAGTAGAAAGAAGGCCGAGTGCTGTGGTTCACACCTGTAAGGAGGCCGAGGCAGGTGGATCACTGGAGGTCAGGAGTTCAAGACCAACCTGGCCAACATGGTGAAACCCCGTCTCTACTAAAAATACAAAAATTAGCCAGGCACGGTGGCAGGCACCTGTAGTCCCTGCTACTCAGGAGGCTGAGGCAGGAGAATTGCTTGAACCCGGGAGGCGGAGGTTGCAGTGAGCTGAGATTGCGCCACTGCACTCCAGCCTGGGTGACAGAGCGAGACTCTGTCTCAAAAAATAAAAAACAGAAAAGTAGAAAGAAGAAAAAAGTCACAGATTATTTCTTCAACAAGAGATTCAATTGCCATTACCCTTTGGATATATATATATATATATATATATATATATATATATATATATATAAACATGCTTTATTATTTATGTACATAATCAAATCTCCCTTAATATTATGTTTTTAGCTATTTTTAATAGTTTAAGTATACTTTATAAACCTCTTTTGAGAAGCAGCTGTTGTTTAGAGAAAACTTCTATGCATATTACAAACAATTCAAATCATTCAGAAGACTATAAAGTAAAGATTATCTCTGGCTGGGCGCGGTAGCCTATGCCTGTAATCCCAGCACTTTGGGTGGCTGAGACGGGCATATCACCTGAGGTCAGGGGTTCGAGACCAGCCTGGCCAACATGGTGAAACCCTGTCTCTACTAAAAATACAAAAATTAGCTGGGCGTGATGGTGTACACCTGTAATCCCAGCTACTTGAGAGGCTGAGGCAGGAGAATCATTGGAACCCAGGAGGTGGAATTGCAGCAAGCTGAGATCATGCCACTGCACTCCACCCTGGGTGACAGAGCAAGAATCTGCCTCCAAAAAAAAAGAAAGAAAAAAAAGATTAGCTCAGATCCCCTCAACTGGAGACACCATTGTTAACACTTGGTAATGTCCTACATAAGAAGCCTCCTTGTGCATAAATCCACACATACTTTTGTTTGCAGATGCAGATAAATATAAGTGAAATGATGCCGATCGGGCCTCCCCACCCCGTGGTGTGTCCCTTACGTCTTTGCATGTCACTGGAACCTGGGAACCTGGTTCAGATCATTGTTCTATTGGGTGGCTATTGCTGTGACTTAGTTGCTTGCTCCTTTATTGTGATACACGTGTTGTACGGAGGTGGACCTCTTTCTGCTCTGGGCCTCTGTTTCATCATCTAAGGCTGGGGCAGGAGGGTGATGTAGGGGTGGCTGTGTGCTGAGGGCTCTGCAGCTCTCAACAGCACGGGGCTGTAATCCGTGTTGAATTGGAAGGGACCGTGGGTGTAGTCTGGGGTGGATCTGTCTGAGCTGGAGGGTCAAGGGAGGATTTCCAGAGTGGGCAAGTTTGGGAAGTGGGAACACTTTGGAGGGTGGGAGAGAGCAGGGACAACTCAAGAAGAATTTTAATTTCCCCTTCCCAAGAGGGCTGGGGCATAGGGCCACAGGCTGAGACTGCCAAGTGGGAAGCTGCTCTGCCTCCAGGTGGCCGGGGTGGGGTGGTTTAGGTGCCTCCCCGCTAGAATCTATCCTGACCATGTGCTGTAGAGGGGACCTGGACTGGCCCCCTCAGCCTTTGGCTATATGGTTTTATCCTGCGAGGAAAATCTCAGGTGTCCATACCTTGGAGGAATGAAGCCCTGAGTGGCGTGAAGTCCCAACGGGAGGCTCCGCATCACTTGACTGTCTTTTCTGTTATGTTCCAGGTGTCTCTGATTGTCTTTCTCCTCTGAGCGTCCCTTATCTTCTTTCTAACCTTTGTCACCTTCCAGATGTCTCTGCCACCACAGATCTCTTCTGAGGCTGCCCGTGGCCACCAGGCCCAGGTCTTCCACCATGCAGTTGGCCTGCCCAGAGGCTCCCTGCCGAGCCCCTGCCCCGGCGCCCTTGGGTGCACTGTACAGCCCCAGGGCAGCAAGTGCATGGCTGCAGCCTTGCTCCCAGCCTTCTCCCTTTACAAAGGCTTGGGTCTGCAGCAGCTTAATTTCCGTGACCAGTTTGCATCACTCTGTGTAGCCAGTAAACATAAAACTGGATTATTTTCTGTTGCCCCCTTAGGATGGAATGTCATCCCAGGAGCCATCTCTTTTCCTCGGAGGGCATCTCAAGACCCCCCAGAGTTTGTAATTGCATATTGTGGGGCAGCTCCTCTCCTGTAATGAAAATCCACATGTATCAGTGTTTATAGTTCACACGGACCGTTCTCTGTGTCTTTGGCCTGGGTGGTTGCGTGTCTGCGTGTGCTGTGCTCGTGTTGCGTGAGGCTGTGGGAATGTGATCGTTTGTCACACAGGGGTGGGCCCACCATGTCCCCATGTAGCTGTGTCACAATGGGAGCATCCAGGCTCGGGGCCCTTTCTGCACTGTCAGATCATATGCCTGATCAGAGAGCTCAGGCTCTCCCCAACCCTTTTGTTTGACCCTGAGTCCCCGAAACTTTTGACTTTTCCTTAGGCCTTATGTGGAGGAGCCACGCCACGTGAAGGTGCAGAAGGGCTCAGAGCCGCTGGGCATCTCCATCGTGAGTGGAGAGAAGGGCGGCATCTACGTCTCCAAGGTGACCGTGGGGAGCATCGCTCACCAGGCTGGCCTCGAGTATGGGGATCAGTTACTGGAGGTGAGAGGGAGCTGCCCTCCTGCATGGCGCCCATGGAAACCTGCACTTCTTCCCCCTCTCCTCCTCCTAGGGAACAGCAGTGCTCCCAAGTCCCCAGGGCCTCCTCCCTGTCCACAGCCCCGACCCCCCCACTGAGCCCATCCTGGTGTTTCCCCAGTTCAACGGCATAAACCTGCGGAGCGCCACGGAGCAGCAGGCGCGGCTCATCATCGGGCAGCAGTGTGATACCATCACCATCCTGGCCCAGTACAACCCCCACGTGCACCAGCTCAGCAGCCACTCCCGGTCCAGGTGAGTGCGGGCCTCCCAGGGCCGTCTGGGCTGGGGGTGGAGAGGTGGGTGCAGCAGCACTCTGCTCATTTTAGGGAGACCCAGGGTGCCAGCCGTAAGTTCTGGGGATCCTACTGCTGCTAAAGAGAGAGTTGACCAGCCCTGGATTTTGGAAAAGGGGCATATATAGAGAGGCTGTCTCCTCCTGAAATGGGGTGTGGAAACAGATGGCTGTGGTCCCCCTGACCAGCAGGGGCCCATGGTAGCCAGGAGTTGTGGCCCCGGGGGTGGATTCTCACTCAAAGTGTTTGGCTCCCTGTCCAGGAGCAGATGCTGTACACCTGTCTGTATCTGCCCCTGAGCTGTGGGTTGAAGGGCAGAAAAGAAGGGGAGGCATGCCCTGCAGTGCTGCGCCACAAGCTCAGCAGGAGAGATGGGATGCACAGGCAGAGGAAAAGAGACAGGATGCTCACAGCTTCCTGAGGTCAGATGCCTTTGGAGAGGGCCCCTGAGCTGAGGACAGGTGGAGGGGAGAGGACAGGTGGATGTCATGGGTCCAGGCTTCTAATGTGTCTGCTCTGCTCAGGGCACAGGGTGCAGGGCTATGTGACCTGGTCCCCATTTATAGCTCAGATCTAGTTGCCACAGGAGTGGGGGTGGCTCTGGGTGGCTTCGTACTGCTCCTTATCCCTCCTGTCCTCCGCCTCCAGCTCACACCTGGACCCTGCCGGTACCCACTCCACTCTCCAGGGCAGTGGCACCACCACCCCGGAGCATCCATCTGTCATCGACCCACTGATGGAGCAGGACGAGGGGCCTAGCACCCCCCCAGCCAAGCAGAGCAGCTCCAGGTCAGCAGACGTTGCTGTGAGCCTTCCCTGTGTCCGCTTCGGCTGGGTGGGGCTGAGCACATTCTCCAAGTGGCGTGGGCACTGGGCAGCTGGCCTCATGTGCTGCAGGCCGCACACCAGGTCTTCAGGAGTTGGGCCGGGAGCACGGCATTCCTTTTTTCCTTCCCTACTCTCTCTTTTCCTTTCTCTTTTTCTCCTGTTTTCTATTGACTTGTTTTTTCCCCTGCATCTTCTCTTTCTCTTCTCCTTTTCTTGTTCACTCGCTTTCTGAGTCTGTCTTTGGACACATTCCCACAGTCATCACCCGGCCAGGCCCTGGGCTCTGGCCACCCACAGCAGTGCTTCCCCCAATGAGGTGGCAGACCAGTGCCGGGCACGTGCAGCAGAGTCAGGGTGCTGGGAGGGCACTGCCGGCCGCCGCAGAGCAGGCAGGAAGATCACTGGAGTGTGGCAGGGGAGGTGGCAGCTGGATTAAAATGTTCAGGACAGGCAAGAGCCAAGAGTGGGCATAAAGAGAAGTCCAGGCCGAGGGAGCAGCAGAGTTCAGGAGGAGGAAGGAGCTCCATGGGAGCTGCACAGCGTCCAGCCTGGCCTGGGGCTGCAGGGAGGGCCATCCAGGCCATGGTGTGACATGATCACTCTGCCGTCCTGGAGGAGCTGTGTCTCCAGCACTGAGAGGCCTTCACCAAGCCCTGGGCAGCATCTCACAGAATGAGGCCAGCTCTGCATTCTCTATACCAGAGTCTGTCACATTGGAACTTACCTGCTGCAAGGTTTTCCTCCCGGGCTGGCATCTCCCCTGAAGCCCCCTGTATCTGTTTCCATCGCTGTCCCATCTCACTCCCTCCATGTGTTCAGCAGCTTACTTTCAGCTTCCCTTCCTTGATTGTAAGTGCCTTGATGGCAAGGGGCCCCTCTTCACAAGTTAGCAGTTGCTGGTCTATAGAAGCTTCTTCGTAGACATTTGCTGAATACATTGCTGTGCTCTGGACAGTGAGGCCAACTTTACCTTTCCTTAGGAAGTACTAAGTTAGGAAAATGAGTGTGATCCACATGGGAGGGAGGCCATCCTGATCTTTAAGGCATGAGATTGATAGCCGGGCCTGGGAGCAGGGGCACTGATTTACGGTTTTGACTGCCCCCGCTAACTGGCTTTGGACCTGGGGTCTTGCCTTCATCTCCAGTGCACCTTAGCATCCTGTCCCGAACGCCGAGCCAGTAGAACTAGAGGCCACCTCTCAGCTCCCTGTGGTTCTGAGACCCCAAGAAGCAGGCAGAAAGCGGTTAGGGCATTGGCCACTGCTTTGTCTTTTTGTGCCTCCTCTTTGTGCACAGTTGAGGAACTTTGTTTTTTTCCTGAAAGGATTGCGGGAGATGCCAACAAGAAGACCCTGGAGCCACGCGTTGTCTTCATCAAAAAGTCCCAGCTGGAGCTTGGGGTGCACTTGTGTGGTGGGAACCTGCATGGGGTGTTTGTGGCCGAGGTGGAGGATGACAGTCCTGCCAAGGGTCCTGACGGCCTCGTGCCAGGGGACCTCATCCTGGAGGTGAGTTCTGAGCTGCTGAGCAGGCCAGGCCTCCATCTACCTGCACAGTGGGCTTGCTGCCATCTCAGGTGGCACCAAAGACGGAGGAGTACAGCCTCTCATCTGGTGAGCCAGTCAGGGCTGACTTTTGTTGTTGTTGTTGAGGCAGAGTCTTGCTCTGTCGCCCAGGCTGGAGTGCACTGGCACAATCTCAGCTCACTGCAACCTTCACTTCCCAGGTTCAAGCGATTCTCCTGCCTCAGCCTTCCGAGTAGCTGGGACTACAGGCATGTGCCACGATACCCGGCTAATTTTTATATTTTCAGTAGAGACCAGTTTCACCATGTTGCCCAGGCTGGTCTCAAACTCCTGACCTCAAGTGATCTGCCCGCCTCGGCCTTCCAAACTGCTGTGATTATAGGCATGAGCTACCGTGTCCAGCCTCAGGATTGATTTTTTTTTTTTTTTGAGACAGAGTTTTGCCCTTGTTGCCCAGGCTGGAGTGCAGTGGTGCAATCTCAACTCACCACAACCTCCGCCTCCCAGGTTCAAGCGATTCTCCTGCCTCAGCCTCCTGAGTAGCTGAGATTACAGGCATGCGCCAACACGCCCAGCTAATTTATTTTTGTATTTTTTGTAGAGACGGGGTTTCATCATGTTGGCCAGGCTGGTCTCAAACTCCTGACCTCAGGTGATCCACCCGCCTCGGCCTCCCAAAGTACAGGGATTACAGGCGTGAGCCACTGTGCCTGGCCAGGGTTGATTTTTAATCCCTGTAAACCCAGAATCCTGCCAAGCCCTTCTGAGGAGGTCCCTGTGAAGCCAGGCAGGCCATTGAGGGAACCTGAGGGCAGAGCCTTGGCTCAGGCCCTGGGCATCAGGGGGTGCTCGCCCTCAGGTGATGTAGCTGCAGGACTCTGTTCTGATGAGAGAGGATGGTCTTTCTCTGTGGTCTCCTGCCTCATGGGGGAGATGGTTTGTGAGAATATAAAGGCACAAGTTGGGCTGGGTTTGGTGGCTCACACCTGTGAATTTTAGGAGGCCAAGGTGGGAGAATTAGTTGAGCCCAAGAGTTCAAGACCGGCCTGGGCAACATAGTGAGACCCTGTCTTTACAGAAAACAAAACAAAAAAATTAGCCAGGTGTGGTGGAGTGTGCCTGTTGTCCCAGCTATTCTGGAGGCTGAGGTGGGAGGATCACTTGAGCCTAAGAGGTATAGGCTACTGTGAGCTGTGATTGCACCACTGCACTCAGTCTGTGTGACAGAGGGAGACCCTGTTTCAGAAAATAAATAAATAAAAGCACAGGCAACATCAGCAAGAGGAAGGTCCCTATTCTGAAAAGCCCAGACTTGCCAGTCACCAGAACAGGGTTTTTCCTGGATAAGCTGTCAAGGGCAGGGCAGCCACTTGGCAGAGGACCTGGTGTCCAGGGAGCATGCACAGGACCTGGAGACTGGGGAGACCATGAAGACTCAGTCCTTCCTGCAGAGGGGAGGTAGCCAGAGTCTCAGTTAAGGAGGGATGTTGAATTTCTGCCGTATGGTCAGCACTGGCCCCTCTCGGGTGCCCAAGCTGCCCCCTGGCTTCTGCCTTCTGATGCATCCACCCCCATCCCTGGCAGTATGGCAGCCTGGACGTGCGGAACAAGACAGTGGAGGAAGTCTATGTGGAGATGCTGAAGCCCAGGGATGGCGTCCGCCTGAAGGTGCAGTACCGCCCTGAGGAGTTCACGAAGGCCAAGGGCCTGCCTGGTGACAGCTTCTACATCAGGTACCAGTGGCTGGGGAATCGGTGGGAGATTTGGAACCAGAGGAGAGGCTTTCACTGGAGACTCTTTTCCTGGTGAATGGCTCTCTGTTTCTTGCCCCCCAAGGCTGGGGCCATGATCATCATTCCTTGACACTCAATCTGCACGCTTATTTATGTTGAGATGATTGTGACTTAGAACAACCCTTTAGGGCTTAAAGAACCAGCTGGGCCCCCTCTTTAGGGCTTAAGACCTAGAGAATTTGGAGGCAGTCAAGCCCCGTTTTCCTGTGTGCTGTGCTCCTCTTTTTCTGGTGTCCCCCAAGCCAGGTTTGCAGATCCCTCTGCAGTGTGTGTGGACTTCCAGGCATCTTCAGTGCCCTTACTACTGTATGAAATGCTGTGGGCATTTAGGGATGGCAGCAGGCTTTCTAGGAGGAGCTCAGAGCTTTCTTCACATTTCCTAAGATCCAAGATCACAGAAAGCATGAGAACACTGATGCGGTACAACTCCCTGTCTCTAGGGTAGAAGATGACATATTTCCATCCTAGAGAGATTCCAGTCTGTAGGAACCAGGGGCCGGGCCTGGGCTTCGAGGAGGGAGGCAACTGGGAAAGGCCACCTGGAAAGGGAAGTTATGGCCTCAGATCTTGGTGAGTTCTTTGATGGGGATGCGCCCTCAGTGTTAGGGGAGCAAAGGCAGTCTTTGCCCCTTTATGTAAAACACAGGGCTCCCCACTTTGAGAATCACCACCCTCGGCGATTCCTGATCAAGTTTGGAGACAGCCCAAAGCAGAATGGCAGCCTTAGGGGCCTGGCCACAGAAGGCACCTGGTTCGTCCTTGGTGGCCAGAGCCGCCTGATCGTGTTCCTTCTGTGCTGTGGTCCAGGGCCCTGTACGACCGGCTGGCAGATGTGGAGCAAGAGTTGAGCTTTAAGAAGGACGACATCCTCTACGTGGATGACACCTTACCCCAGGGCACGTTCGGGTCCTGGATGGCTTGGCAGCTGGACGAGAATGCCCAGAAGATCCAGCGCGGGCAGATTCCCAGCAAATATGTGTAAGTGTTCTCCGGGCCTGGGGTGGGGTGGGGCAGGGGTCGCCGAGGGCCACCAGCCATGGAGCTGTCCCATGGGAGGGGGCTGGGGCCAGGGCTGCTGGAGGAGGGATTCTGCTTCTTATCTTAGCTTCTGCTCTCTACATTTTGCCAAAAGTGCTGGTCTAAAAAGCTGCTCCTAGTGTGAGTCAGTGCTGTATAGAGCACAGTGATGGGTCAGAAGGCATAACGTGTTTTAGAAAAATGGATTTATGGAGATACTCGTGCCTTGCCGCTCCCTCAAAGTGTACCATTCAGTGGTTTTCAACATATTGATAGGTGTGTGCAGCCGCCACTACAGTTAATTTTAGAGCATTTCCATCACCTCAAACAAACCCCAGACCCATTAGCTGTCAGCCCCTTATCCCACTGTCCTCCCACCCAGCCCTCAGCCCTAGGCAGCCACTACTTTACTTTTGATACCCATGGGTCTCCCTGTCTGGACTTCTGTGTGGTTGGGATTGCATAGTGTGGCCTTTCATCTGGCTCCTGTCACTGAGCATGTTTTCGAGGCAGCCTGCATCCCTGCATCATTTCCCTTCTATGGCAGGAAGCGTAACTCGTCATGTCACCAATTGAAGGCTGTCCTAGCAGTTCCTTTTGACACCGAGCTGAATATGCTGTAGTAGAAAAAATCGCCTGCTCTGAGAGCTTGCCCTGGTGCTGGTGTTTGTGTCACCCCCGCAGCATGTACCGAGGGTTCCCAGGGGCGTGGGAGGAGATGTAGCCTTGAGACCTGCCAAGGAGTGTGGGGGGAGCCCAGTGTCTGGCCCACCTTTGCTTTTCTCACCAGGAAGGGCAGGAAGGGCAGGGCAGCAGGGTCTCGATGGCCCTGCCCAGCATTGTCCCCTGTGCCACAGGATGGACCAAGAATTCTCCAGGAGGCTCAGCATGTCTGAAGTCAAAGATGACAATAGCGCCACAAAGACGCTGTCAGCGGCTGCACGCCGGTCCTTTTTTCGGAGGAAACACAAGCACAAACGCAGCGGGTCCAAGGACGGGAAAGACCTGCTCGCCTTGGATGCCTTTTCCAGTGACTCCATTCCACTCTTTGAAGGCAAGTGGCTGAGCTCATTTTCCAGTGGGCTCTCCAGATGGGGCTTGCTGTGGATCCAGGAGCTCCACAACAGGGACTTAAACAAAAGAGAGTCTTACTTTGCTTTTGTGCGCAAGTCTGAAGGTGTGTGTTCGGCTTGGTCGGGGGGTGCTGCCATCTTCAGAGCCACATCTATGGGGTGTGGCTTCCATCCTCCCAGTCACCGCCTGTCAATGCAGCTGCAGCCATCATGTCCCTGTTTCAGGCAGCAGGAGGAAGGAAGGAGTGGTAAGGCAGAAGTGTGCCTCAGCTGAGCGTGCCTCTTTCAGCAGCTATCTGGAAGCCCTAACCTGTGACTTCAACTTGCATCTCATTGTCCACTTGCATGTGCAAGAGAGGTCAAAAAGGCATGTTTTGGCCAGGCACAGTGGCTCACACGTTTAATCCCAGCACTTTGGGAGGCTGAGGTGGGTGGATCACCTGAGGTCAGGAGTTCAAGACCAGCCTGGCCAACATGGTGAAACCCTGTCTCTATTAAAAATACAAAAATTAGCCAGGTGTGGTGGCATGCACCTGTAATCCCAGCTACTTGGGAGGCTGAGGCAGGAGAATCCCTTGAACCCAGGAGGCGGAGGTGCAGTGAGCCAAGATCACGCCACCGTACTCCAGCCTGGGTGACAGAGCAAGATCCTGTCTCAAAAAATAATTAAAAAGAAAAGGCATGTTTTAGCTGGGTGCATTGCTGGCCTCAGTAAGAGGTTCAGTTACTGAGGAAGAATGGAGGGATAGCTATTGGGTAGGCAAGAAGCAATCTCTGCTGAGTGCCTTGCTTGCCATTTGTTTTTAGGTTCTTACAGGCTGCTTGGTAGTGACCAAGAGCTGTCGGTTTCTGCAGAACTTCGGCATTTCTGGCCTCAGTCCTGTGTTCATGAACAAGTCTTGTATAATCCTTATGGAGCAAGATGCTAGTCCAGGGCTGGAGTTGAGTGATAGGAGATGTCAGACATCCCCTGGTAGACAGCCCTTGTGGAAAGGATGCATTTGTCCTTTAAAGCAAGAGGCCCTTAGGAACGTGGCTCCCAGGGCCCTGGTGTGTGTCTACTGTCTACTGTCCTAGAATGTGCCCTCCCTGGCAATCAGGTGTGGGGGTGGCAGTGAGCAGCAGAGTGTAGGGCAGCTGGCTGCCTCCCTCCCTCTCTTCGCTTTTTACAATGAAGACCTTAGGCCTAGGGAGTTCAGTGGATCACACTGTAGTTCATGGCCCACTGTCACTATCAGCTGGGACAAGGGTTGGCAAACTATTGGCCATGGACCGAGTCTGGACTACTGCCTATTTTTAAATGGTCTGTGAGCTGAGCATGGGTTTTTACACTTCTTAAAATGTAAGATGTAAAAAAGTCTATTAGCCCTTTGCTGATAACAATTGCTTAATTTTGCCGTTTTGCCTTCAAAGCCTAAAATATTTACTATCTTGCCCCTTATAGAAAAAGTTTAGGCCAGGCATGGTGGCGCATGCCTGTAATCCCAGCACTTTGGGAAGCCGAGGTGGGTGGATCACTTGAGGCAGGGAGTTCAAGACCAGCCTGGCCAACATGGTGAAACCCCATCTCTACTAAAAAATACAAAAATTAGCCTGGTGTGGTGGCTCATGCCTGTAGTTCCAGCTACCGAAGAGGCTGAGGCAGGAAGATAGCTTCAGCCTGGGAGGTCAAGAGCTGCAGTGAACTGTGATCACGCCACTGCACTCTAGCCCAGGCAACAGAGTGAGAACCTGTCTCAAAAAAAAAAAAAAAAAAAAATGCCAACCTGTTACTCAAGGCAAGGTTTCTCTCTTATTTTGCTTTTTGTTTTTTTTCCTTCACTCTCTTTGGCCTCCACTCTTGTGCCCTCTGCTCCTTTCTCCGTAGGTGCCATCTCCATTATGTTTGGCATTTGTCCGGTGGTGCTAGTGTCTTTAAAAAATAGCCCTTTGTCTATTCTTCCTTTTAGCTCTTCAGGTGTTTTTCAATATATATCTTGAAGTTGTCGTTAGATACATACACCTTTTGCATTGTTACACCTTCCTGGTAAATTAACCTTTTTATCGTTATAAAATGCCCTTCTTGATCTCCAGGAATGTTTCTTTCTGAAAGTCTATTTTACGTGATATTTTTATTGACATTACCAGTTTTCTTTTGGTTATCTTTGGCACAGTTTATCTTTTTCTTTTACTTCAAACTTTTCTGTCACTTTATATTTAAATATCCCTTATAAGCAGCATGTGGGACTTTTTAAATCCACTGTGGCAATCTGTCTTTTTAAAAATTTTATCCAAGTGTAACATACATACAGCAATGCACACATTCATTTACAGAAAAGTGAGCAGTGTGAGGAATTTCCACAATCTGAACACCCCTGTGGCAGTCTTGATTGTTTCATCAAGAGTATTTACCTCATTACATAAAGTAGACATTTCCCATCTTACTGTTTGTTTTCTATTCATTCTACCTCGTTTATGTTTGTCCCTTCTTTCTTGCTTTTTAAAAATGAATCATGTGTTTTGTTTTATTCTGCCCCTATATCATCTACTGTTATCCTCTCACATCCACTAGTGTTTAGTTGTTTCTATTTTATTCTTTTGGGGGTTAAAATAGACCTCACAGTGTGCACCTTTGACTTACTGCTAAGAGAAATCATTGCTTTGGCCACTTCCCTGATAATTCTAAGACATCAAACCACTAACTCCATTTATCTCTTTTCTAACTTTGATACTATTCGCATTTTATTTTTTTATTATTTTATTTTTTGAGGCAGAATCTCGCTCTGTCGCCCAGGCCGGAGTGCAATGGTACGATCTCGGCTCGCTGCAACCTCTGCCTCCCAGGTTCAAGCGATTTTCCTGCCTCAGCCTGCCGAGTAGCTGGGATTACAGGTGCCTGTCACCACATCTGGCTAATTTTTGTATTTTTAGTAAAGACGGGGTTTCACCATGTTGGCCAGGCTGGTCTTGAAACTCCTGACCTCAAGTGAGCCGCCTGTCTTAGCCTCACAAAGTGCAAGGCACTGCACCCGGGATTACAGGCGCAAGGCACTGTCCCCGGCCATACTTTTCTCATTTTAATTCTACAGATACTTTAACTCTGACTCAGTCTGTCCATTTGCACATCAATTATTCATCGGTTTTTGCCTTTTACATTTCCATTGCTCTTTATTCCTTCCTGCAGTTTTGTGCTTCTGATTTTGTTTTCTTTCTGCTGAACAACTTGCAGAAATGTTTTTCTTGTAGTGCAGGTTTTTTGGTGACACATCCTGTCAGTGTTTGTGTCTGAAAATGTCCATTTTAATATCGTTTTTGGAGATTCTCACTGGATATAGAATTTTAGATTGGTGGATGTTTTACTTGGGTGCTTTAAAGATATCATTCCTGGTCCCTGGCTCTCTTTGTGTAGTAGTTTCCTGTGGCCGCTGTACCCAATTACCACAGACTGTGTGGCTTCAAACACACAGGTTTATCCTCCCACAGTTCTGGAGGCCAGAAGTCCACACTCAGGACCACTGGGTCAGTCAAATTGTTGGCCAACCTTCGCTCCCTCCGGGCTTGAGGAGAGAGCCTGTTCCTTGCCCCTCCCAGCTTCTGGTGGCTGCTGCCAAGCCTTTGCTGTGGCCACATCACTGTCATCTTCAAATCTCATCTGCTCCATCTTCACGTCACCTCGTCCTCCACGTGGGTCTCTCTCTCAACTCCCTCTGCCTCTCAGAGGACCCGTGGGGTTTTATTTAGGACCCACCCAGATACTCCAGGAAAAGCCCTTCCTCCCAAGGCCTTTAACTGAATCATCGCTTCTTTTGTTGCATAAGGTGTAATGCTCATGGGATCTGGGGCTTAGGACATGAGTCAGTCTTTGGGGGACACTTGTCAGCCTGCCACACTCATTGCTGGTGAGAAGTCATCTTTCCAGGCTCAGTGCTGAAGGCAGTGCCACCACCCGTCCACCACCATGAGTGGGTAGGGTTTTCTCTGCCTTCCTTTCTCAGAAAGAAACTTCTTAATTTCTTACCACACCGTGCTTCCCCCGTGTGGTTTTCTTTGTGTTTATCCTGCTCAGAAGGTGCTTAGCACTTTTTACATCTGTAGTTTGGTGGTGTGGTCGGTTTTGGAGATTCCTGGCCGCAGTTTCTTTCATATTGCTTCTGTGCTGACCTTGCCTCTCCTCGGGGTTTTTGTTCTTCGACAATACCCTGTCTGTCTCCTGTCTTCTGGGCTCTTTTTCTCCTGCATTTTCCACTTCTTTCTTTCTCTCCATGATTCAGCCAGCCTGGTTGTTTTCTACTCTTTTTTCCTGTTCATTATTCCACTCTTCTGTTGCATCCATTATGTTCTTACTTTCAGAAGTTGTATTTTATTTATCACTCTAGAGTTTCCACTTGGTTCTTTTTTACCAGGCTTTAATTCTCTGCTGAGACTTTCCCTCTTGTCATCTGTCCTCTTAAATACTTGAATCATATGTTTGTAAAGACTGCGTTTGGTAACTGTCATGTGTGGTCATCCCTGAGTCTCTTTCTGTGGTCTTTGTTTTTCTTGGTCCTGCCCCATGATATGCCTAGTTATTGTTTATTGAGATGTCAGAAGTTATGTTTAGGGGATTTTCAGGGCTCCGAGTGATGTTGCCAGCTTCCAGAGAGGGTCTGCCCTCTGCTCTGGAGATAGCCGCTGCTCGCAGATCACTTTGATCCAGCCACAGACTCAGCTGACCTCAGGCTGGGTTGCAGCTTTTGTGCAGCTGGTGGTTCACCTGACCCTAGGGGGTGGCCCACCAGTGGTCCCAGCCTGGGGTGTTCCCTAGGGCCGCTCTTCCCTAGGGAGCCTTGACTTCCAGTTTCTCACTCTTCAGCACTGGGAGGCCATGGAACACTGCTCAGTGTCTTAGTGACTGTCTTAGATGCTTAGCTTCTTGCTTTTCACAGCTTAAGAATTTGGCAAATGGCTTTAAGGGAAAACCTGTGATACCAGACTTAGTTCTTTGCCCTTCCCTTCCTCTGGAATAATGACCCACCAGGTCCTGGCAGCCCTGAACTCCGTTTTGATCTCACCTGCTTTGGAGATTTTCAGAAACTTTTCGTGGGTTCTCAGCCCTCAGCGGCGGCCCCGTGCCTGGGTTCTCAGCCCCTCAGCGGCGGCCCCGTGCCTGGGTTCTCAGCCCCTCAGCGGCGGCCCCGTGCCTGGGTTCTCAGCCCCTCAGCGGCGGCCCTCTGCCTGGGTTCTCTGCCCCTCACTCTCACTTTAGAAGTCTCCAGTTGCTCTGAAGGGGGAAAGGCCTGCAGAATGTCAGCTTCTAATACTCCAGTTTCCTTCTCTCCAGGATCTTGGCATCTCAAATTCTGTCTTGTCTCTGCCACTCTACGATGCCTTCAAAAAGATATTTCTCATTTTTTACCCAGATTTTCTAGGTGTTCTCCAAGGGATGCTGCAAGCTGTTCCATTATACCTGGGAGTGGTAATCCCTGTGTAGTAGTTTAAAAGTTACCCCAGCTAATTCTAATGCACAGTGGGTTTTGAATTCCTGCTTTAGTTTATTGCTTCCAACTGCTGCATAGCATCCCTGGTACCCCCCACCCTGCTGATTGTGCACCCACCTGCAATGGTCTAAGTGGACTCAACTCTCCACCACCCAGAGGACACTGCATGTCTTTATGCTTGCTCTTTTAGGGGCTTGTGCGGGAGTGTCTCAGGAATATATGGAGGACTGGTTTTCCTCTTATGTTAGTCTGCTAGGGCTGCTGTAACCAAATACCACAGGCCAGGCACGGTAGCTCACACCTGTAATCCCAGCACTTTGGGAAGCTGAGGCAAGAGGATCGCTTGAGGCCAGGAGTTTGAGACCAGCCTGGGCAACATGGCAAGACTCCCATCTCTACAAAAACTTTAAAAAACTAATCAAGTGTGGTGGCGTGTGCCTGTAGTCCCGGCTACTCAGGAGGCTGAGGCTGGAGGATCACCTAAGCCCAGGAGTACAGTGCTGCGATGAGCTATGATTGTGCCACTCCACTTCAGCCTGGCAACAAAGCAAGAGCATATCTCAAAAACAAAAACAAACCAAAAAACCAATACCACAGACTAGGTGACTTAAATAACAAGAATTCATTTTCTCACAGTTCTTGAGGTTGGAAATCCGAGATCTGGGTGCCAGTGTGGTTGGTTCTGGTGAGGGCTGTCATCCTGCCTTGTACGCAGCTGCCTCCTTGCTGTGTCCTCACATGTTGGAGACAGAGAGATCTCTGGTGTCTCTTCCTCTTAAAAAGCCGCAGTTCTATCAGATTAGGGCCTTGCTCTTCTGACCTCATTTAACTTACCTCCTGAAGACTCCGTCTCCAAAGGTAGTCACACTGGGGCTTAGGGCTTCAACATATAAATGTCGAGGGGACATAGTTCAGTCCACAGCACCTTTTAAAGAAAGCCATTGCCGTATGGTCTAAGGTTGGAACCCCCAGGACCATGCCTTTGCTCTGCCCTGATTAGCTGTGACCTTGGATAGGCTGTTTTTCTTCTCCAGTTGGAGTCAGTGACTCATAAGATGCTGTCTAGTCTTACAATTCTGTAATTGTGAGGACATCTGACAAAGAAGATTGTCAGGGAGGAAAAAGAATCTCCTAAATTGGTACCCCATAGTGTGGAATGTTAGTAATCATTAAGGGAGAATATGGTTTTTTTTAACCATTAACATTTTAATGTATTTCTTACCAGTTTTTTACTTAATACAACAAAGCTGGGATTACACTGCATTACACTGTTTTCATCCAGGTATTTCCACTATCATATTGTTAGCATCTTCCCATCTCAGTAATATTCTTCCAAACCATTCTTTTAAGCACTATATTGAATTCCACCCTATAGCAACTGTGCCATAATTTGAGAATATGATTCTTATACTAGTAAATGGAGGGAATGGTGACGTAGTGTCCATCAGCAGGGAAGTGGATAAGTCGATCCAGAATAAGTGTTAATGGGATGCCCAAAAGGAGCAGAGCGGCCCACGACGAATCACCAGGGATGCCTCCCAGAAACACAGCCCCGGACAAGGAGCGAGTTATAAAGTATCCACAGACACACTTAAACAATATATATTCTAGGTTTTCTTTAGCATATAAAAATCAGTTTATAAGAAGAACTAGGATACACTTCCAGCTCATAATAGTGGTTACCTTCAAGGAGCCCAGTGGGGACTGAGGTTGGGGAAGGGGTATCAGAGAGGAGTGCTGGCCTTATCCGTGAGGTTCAGATTTGTTACAGAGAGGATTTGTTTATGTAAACTCCTCTCGGAGGAAGTTCTTTGCCCCGTGACTCCTCCTCAGAGCCTTCACTCGGGACCACATGGGGTTCCAAGGTGGTGAATGTGACCACCAAACCCTCCTCCAGTTTTAAACAACAGAGCTGCTGGTCACCAGGTTAGGAAGTGCTGTGTAAAAGACTGTGTGGATGTATGTGGATAATGATCAGTTTTATTATTTTATTTATTTTTATTGAGATCTAGTCTTGCTCTGTTGCCCAGGCTGGAGTACAGTGGTGCAGTCTCGGCTCACTGCAACCTCCGCCTCCTGGGTTCAAGTGATTGTTGTGCTTCAGCTTCCTGAGTAGCTGGGATTACAGGTGTGCGCCAGCACACCCGGCTAATTTTTGTATTTTTAGTAGAGAAGGGGTCTTGCCTTATTGGCCAGGCTGGTCTCAAACTCTTGACCTCAAGCGATCCACCTGCCTCAGCCTCCCAAAGTGCTGGGATTACAGACGTGAGCCACCATGCCCAGCAGTGATCACTTCTAAAAAACACACACACAGGGACAGGGCAAGAGGAGAGGAGAGACTTTACTTACTCCCTGAGTTTGCCCACAGGTTGCTCTTCATGGAGCCTGCTGCTGCAGCTGGCACTGTGCTTGTGTTCTCCTGAGCCTTCTGCCTCCTGGTCCCTGTGCCTGCTCTGCAGTCACTCCTTGTTCTGCATATGCGTACAGATCCCTCCAGGCCAAGCCTCTCATGGACCCTTCCTCCCAAGCCTGCAGTCATCTTGTGCTCTGCCCTCCCCATCATCTCCATACTCATCCTCTTGCCCTGCTCTTTCTGGAGACTCTCATCCCACTTCCCTCCTGGGCCTGCCCAAGTGGTCTTTTCACCCTGTCATCCAGCCACAGTGTCTACTGAAGCCCGCCGCTCCTGGAATTGCCAGGCAGCTCTTGCGTGCTCTCTTGCTGTTCATGTGTTGCTCTGTTGTGACTCTAGTTAAAGTGTGTGCTTTTTAATGGCAGGAACTCTGTGTTCTATTCTTTATTATGTTTCTGAGATTCCAGCACAGTGACTTATACCAGGGAGACGCCAGGAAGATCTTGCTGGGTTTTAGACTGTGTCTCCCTGCAAGGACTTTATTCATTTGGTGCAAGGGGAGGTTTACTGCATGTATCAACTAGGATATTGGTTTGACTGCTTTAACTGAAACCAAATAACAGTGGCTTAAGCATAATGGGCAGTTTATTTCTCTGTCATGTACAAGTCTGAGCTGTGGTTGATGTGGGAGAGGCATTGCGTTCTGAGGATCATCCAGGACCCAGGTCCCTTCCATCTTGTGCCTCTGCCATTTCTTAAGGGTTATCCTCAACTGCATGGCCAGAGCTGGCTCACAGCACTCACCTGTTCTAGCCGTGCAGATTGGGGAGGCCTCACCTGTCACTGGGCAGGTCTGGGTTACACTGACCACACCTTCCTGGGGAGTGGGAGCTTTACCTGCCAAACCCCAGAGGCTGCCTTGCCAGAGAGCAGAGGAGAATGGAGATGGGGCAGGGGAAGCAGGCGTCGACCCACGAGGAAAAATCAGAGCAGAAGGAAGCTCTGGGATGAGTGGTTGAGACCAGCTGCCTCTGGTGTTCACAGAGGGCATGGGGGGTGCTCATGCTGGACTCCAGGGGTGACGATGCCCGGTTGTGCCTGGGACACGAGATTTTCAGTGCTGAAGCTGGGGGAGTCCCAGGCAAACCAGAGTGGGCGAGGTCAGGGAGCGGGGTTCCCCAGCCCCACTCAGGTCCTCCACTCCAAGCTGGGTCCGTGACGCTGCTGCTCTCTCTCCCTCAGATTCGGTGAGCCTGGCCTATCAGCGGGTCCAGAAGGTGGACTGCACCGCTCTGAGGCCTGTCCTGATTCTGGGGCCTTTGCTGGACGTGGTGAAGGAGATGCTGGTGAATGAGGCTCCTGGCAAGTTCTGCAGATGTCCCCTTGGTAAGGGGCACGGGGCACCCTCTGTGCCTACTGGGCTCTTTGTCTCTATGTCCCTGTCCACCTGCCTGCCCAGCTGTGCACAGTGGGTGGCAGTACCGGGGGGCAGATTTCACAGTGTTCCAGAAGCCTGCTGACATGGGTCAGATTCATGCATGGCAGGACTGGGTTACTGACAGCTGCTGAGCAGTGTTCTTCCCCTGCTCCCTCTGCTGGGGCTCAGCAGGGCCTGGGGCTCCCTGATTCCTGTGTCTGTGCATTGCAGAGGTGATGAAGGCCTCCCAGCAGGCCATTGAGCGGGGTGTCAAAGATTGCCTGTTTGTCGACTATAAGCGGAGAAGCGGCCATTTCGATGTGACCACTGTGGCGTCAATAAAGGAGATCACAGAAAAGGTACCCAGGGCTTCAGTCTGAGGATTAGGCATCCAGTATTAGACCTCCTGTGCACAGGTCTAGGCCCCTGGTCCGTGATCCTCTGCCCCAGCGGCTCAGACCTTCAGTGAGCCCACCGTGTTGTGTTAGTCTGAGTTCACCTGTGCCTGGGCTTGCCCTCATGGCTGCTGTGTGTTTCTGCAAGCACATCCCTTGGTGGGGATGGAGGAGTTCCCCTGTGTATGTGCCGCCCCATCTTCCTCTCTGGCAGGTGCGGGGGGTCTCATCTCTGATGAGAGTATTGAGCTCTGCGGAAAGGCCTCTCGCAGGGCATTCCGGAACGGGGTCCCCAAATGCATGTGCCGAACAATTTCACATGCACCTTCTGGGGACAGGAACGTGCCTTCCCTCAGGGTCCCTGCCCCTAAAAGGGCTATGACTCTCGGTGCCTTCGAACATCCTAGGCAGCACGAGGGCGGGGACGTCTGTGGGGAGTGCTGGTGGGGCAAACACTCGGAGTCCAAGGACACAGCCGCTCCTTGGGCTCCATTTCTCCAGGCTGCTCAGCTCGCTCGCTGGGCTTTGCTTCCCTTCTCTGTTAGATGAAGGTGTTGGCTTCTCACTGCTGAAAGTGGGCAAACTCTACTTGGGGGAATGCCCCAGTGGAGCATCTGGGGGTCGGGAGTGCACGGGCCTGCACTCCACCTGGATGCCTGGGACGACAGACATGACAGACATATTTCAGTCTCAGCCACACAAAGGCTCACCAGACTCTGGCTCTTCATTCGCTCAGTCTGGCAAAAATAAGGCTTCAGAGGCCAGGGTGGGGCAGGGCTTTCAGAAGGTCCCTGTATCTGGGCAAAGGCGGGAAAGGAAGTTTGGAGTTGGGCTGGCCAGCACCCCTAGCCCCCTAAGCCCTGGCTCCCAGCCTTGGCCTTCCTCACAGCAAGTGGGGTTTGTTGGGAGTTTCGTGGGTATGGTTTCCCCACGGTGTACTGTGTGGCTTTACTGCCTTGTTTGTGGGTAGAGCCCTGTGAGGTGAGGTGGGTCCTGCTGGTGGCAGGACAGGGGGCTGGCTGCCCCTCACTGCCCGCCAGGGCTCACTCTGCACCCCCCACCCCAGAACCGACACTGCCTCCTGGACATTGCTCCGCACGCTATTGAGCGGCTCCACCACATGCACATCTACCCCATTGTCATCTTCATCCACTACAAGAGCGCCAAGCACATCAAGTAGGTAACTGGCCCCCTGGGCTCCGCTGGGGCCTTGTCACAGGTGGGGCTGGGAGCCCAAGTAGGGAGCAGGGTGTGTTGGGGTGGGGGGTTGAGGAATGAGAGATGGGCCTATGGGTCTTGAAATAGGCAGTACGTGTAGAAAATGACCCTTCCCTGTCGGCCCTGTCCCCTACTCAGAGGTGGTGTCAGCCAAGCGCAGCCCCTTCCTCGCGCCCCTCCGCCATTTGGGTGCTGCCACTGTTTTTTGGGCATGGCCAGCTTGGTCTGCACAGCTCCCCTCTCCTGCCCCAGCCCCCTTTCCTCGCTACGTGCTGCTTAGGAGCAGGGGAGCCAGTGGCCTGGGCACAGTCCCACTCAGCCCCGAGCTGGCTCATGACTCAGGAGCCGTTGCCTTCGCTGAGCTTCGGCTCCTGTGCTGGTTGGGCCAAGGGCTCACCAAGGCCCTGCTCCATTTTGCCTTTCTGTGCTGCTGAGCTTCTGGGACCTGCGCTAGGGGCTGCTGGTGCATCTGTTCCAAGTGTGTGTGCTGGGGGGCCCTCCTTCCCCCATCTGCCCAGAGCTCCCCCGACAGCCTACAGGCTGTTGCTGTGCTTTATGTGGGGAGCACATGGGGCCTCCCTCCACAGCCTACCCCTGCCTTGATGGGGCCCCTGTTAGCCTGGACAGAGGAAGGAAAGAGGGCCTGGAGGAGGCTCAGTGCTCAGCCTGGTGTCTGGCTGTCCCCACAGGGAGCAGAGAGACCCCATCTACCTGAGGGACAAGGTGACTCAGAGGCATTCCAAAGAGCAGTTTGAGGCGGCGCAGAAGCTTGAGCAGGAGTACAGCAGGTACTTCACAGGTAGGTGTGCGTGGGCCTGGAGTGGGGAGCAGGCAGCAGGGAAGGAAGCAGAGGCTTCCTAAGGCTGTTTTCTTAGCCGTGGAGAAGCCCGCACTTTCTACATGCTCCCAAGTGCTGTCATGAGCACGTTCCTGACAAGTCAGGTGTTCAGATTGCAGTCCCTGGCCAACGTCAGGATTCTTACAGGTTGAATGTTAAGCTCACCGATCTTGGCCTCAGGTCCTGCCTGGCTTGCCTGCTCATTTTCACACGTGCAGTGGTGGGTCTGTCTCATAGCACAGGTGCAGTTTAGTGCAGCCACAGTGTCCCCAGGCAGGGCGGGGACTGGAGCAGCCCCCAGTGTGCCAGCAGTGTGGGCAGCGGAGGCTAGGGGCCCATCTGTCCCTAGCACCCTCCAGGGCAGTCCCGTTTTGCAGCGGGATTTGGCAAACCCCCCTCCAAAAAAAAAAAAACAAAAAACAAAACAAAAAAAAACAATGCTGTCCCCTTACCATCTCTGGTCTTCAAAGTGAAACAAACTCAGTGAAGTTTGGTTCTATTTTACCTTCTGGCCTTCAGCCTCTTTGGGAAAGTCTGTCATTTGCAGGGCATTAGCATTTGCAGTCACAGAGGATGGGACAGGGATTCTAACTGCATTGTGGAGAGTGTTATGATCTAGTCCAGGGACCTGGGCTTGGTGCCCATGTGTGTGTAGGTATGTGCAGGTGTGCATGCCTCTGTGTGTGTGTGTGTGTGGGTGTGTGTGTGAACTTTCATTTCCAATTCCTCACAGACTGGTATTTAGCCAAATACACTGACAATTCCTAGAGAGATGAAAATTTAAAACTCTAAGTCTTGCAAAAGGTAAGCTCTATTTTTTTCTTGTTAGATTCAACAGACATAAAATTACGACGTCCTGTTTCCATAGCAGTTTCTAGACACTCACTGTCAATTTCTGAGCATGCCTTGTTGCAGTAGGGGCTTGGTTTGTGTCCAGGTGCTGTTATGTGGAGCACACTGGAGTACCCCTGGCCTGGTGTCTATAGACCCCTTTGTCAAACTCCTATAGTACAGGGCTGGCCCAAGTTGGCGCCATCATCTTTCTGTGACTCTCCTCTTGGCCATGAGCTATCTGGCTCCTTAAACTTGTCGTTTCCTGCAGAATCCTGCTAATGATTAGACCACCGCCACATGTCCTCCAAACTTCCTTCTGATGCCCTGGGATTCCCCCAACCATTGCAAACCCAACCCAGGGTGTTAACTGCAGTGGGGTGGGCAGTTTACATATGAGTGATCAACTCAAGAGGGGCAATTTTCTTTCCCAGTTTCTTGCTGGTGAAGGAGAGTCAGGTGGGGATGGAGCAGAGTGCCAAGGAGCACAAAGCAGACAGCCACACAGTAGAAAGAGTGCAAGCTGTACTGCCTTGCCTCAAACCTGGGGTCTTACTCTGAGCTGAATGACGTGTCTGGGGGGCTCTTTTGCAGGGGTCATCCAGGGAGGAGCCCTGTCAAGCATTTGCACTCAGATCTTGGCAATGGTCAATCAAGAACAAAATAAAGTCCTGTGGATTCCAGCCTGCCCGCTCTAGGAGAATGCTGTGCTGTGGATGACTGCAGCTGGCCGCCTGAGGGGACACCAGACTCAGCTCTTTTCTAGCGACTGAAAGTAGAAGTCTGTCCGTCTATGAACATGCGGGGGAAGGATCCGGAACCAGGACCCAGAAGCACCTCCTTTGTAGACAGAGGGCCACGGCTGCGTGCGATCCAGGCCCAGGCCCACACACTCTGCCCGTGTCACACGTGTGCTTTAACACAAAACAGATAACACTAAAGACGGGTTCAGCACCCACCTTTCTTTAGCCAGCTGATCAGAGATGCTGCAAAGAGAACCTTTCGGATCACTCGTTTACAAGCCTTTTCTAAGTATTTGGTGGTTTATGTTTACTTGAACGGCTCCATGTTGCCGGTGCCCAGCCCCTGTCCCCTCTGTCAACCCCCTGTCGCTTTGGTGTTGGTTTCGTTCCCGTCTTCAGCAAAACGACCTTGGAACCTCAATGGGGGCTGCTTTGCTTTGGGAGGTTCTTGTTGGTGGGACCAGAGCTTTGACAAACCTCCTGCTCCTTGGTGGCACCTCTCCTGGAAGGACGTCACAACTCCAGGTGCTCAGACTGCCTGTGGCAGCAGAACCAGTGCCTTTGGCATTTTCCTCCCACAATGGGGAAGGTGACTTTGGCATTCTTACAAACTCGTCTCTCGGCCTTTCTCTCCTGCCTTCCACAGCCTCTCGTTTCTCCTCCATCTGTGCTTATTACTTGAGGACTGTGTCTGCTCCGTGAGAGCTGCGTGGGCAGGGCTGCAGTGGGGTCCAGGTGGTGTTCAGCTGTGCTGATGCCTGCCATTGGGTCCTCCTTAGGCTCTGTAAGTCGTGACAGCCTTCATCAGTGCAATGTTTGCAGGGTAATTCTTAAACTTTTTAGAGGGTGGCAGGTACATCAGTTCTTTTTGATATGAAAACATTCATGTTTCAGACATTGAATTGAGAGCTTTTAGGGGAAGCATAATGGTTATTGTCACTATCAACAGTCTAAAAAGAAAAACTGAGGTCTTTTTAATCTTGATTACAGCACTCACGGCATGCACCCTACTCAGTGTGGGTGTCTTCGTTTGGGGGCTTTTTTTTTTTTTGCACTTCTGAGGCTAGATATGTCTGGCTGAAGATTTGATGTGGTTCCTCCTTAAGCTATGCGTCCTGTTAATAATAGGTACTGTACTGGGCTCTGTGTAAGTGTCGTTGGGGTAGGACCTATATTTTAATACTGTTCCTAACATTTCATTTTACTAGCGAGAAATCTTTGATTTCATTTTATTCTTTGTAATTCTAGACACTAGATTGTAGTTTAGCCATAACTGATGTTTTTTAAAAAGGGATATATTTTCTTGCACAGTTGTTCAAAAAAGAGACAAGTTTCAGTCCTCAATGCTGTCCTTTGTTTTACAGGTACAAGTTTTCTAGCTCAGACAAACTATGAAAAACTGTAGACTATTCTCAAGGTATTAACTCGCAGACCCTCTGGGGGTAGGGGCTGTTTTCTAAGTTACAGGCAGAGTGGGACTGAGATGGTACAGTGTGCACAGACAGGTACTGAGCTGACAGACTGGGATTTTCTGTACTAAAATGTTACTTTGTATCAAAAGTTAAACAGGCTTTAGTACAACAAATAAAGGTCAATTTCTGTAAGGCTGTGTTTGAAGATGTGAGTTTTTAATCTCTTCCTAGTCAGTCAGCTTTCCTGTATTTCTAAACTTGAGACAGCTTCTCCTCTGCAGCACGTAGCTGGAGTTGGCTGATGTGTAGGTTCTTTCTGTCTCACATGACAATTTGCAGTCCCTGCTACCCGCTGCATCAGCCTCTCTCTCACTCCTTCCTGCCCTTCCCTGCCACCCATCTGTCCAGTGTGGCATGAACTGGTGACTGCAGCCAGGCTGCCCATCTGTGTGAGACCCAGATTCTGCCCTCTGGCCCTCACATTCAATTCTGCAGGCTTGGGAAAAGCAAAAGGGAGTGAGCTGAGTGCTCTGGGTAGCATTCTCAGTCAGGGCCCTGTCTGGGGCCCTTGGCTGGGAATGGCCCCACCTGCTTGGGGGCTGCTTTGTAGTACCTGACAGCATCACACTGGGAGATCACCCAGCATTGCTGGACTCCCAGAACAGCCCACGTGGGCCTGAACTCCGTGTTGCAAGGTGATGAGGAAGTTGGGAGGCTGGGCCTTTAGCTGCAGGAAGCCAGGTTGAGGCCTGGGGCAGAGCAGAGCCCTCCTTCTCTGATCCTTTTTCTTGGAGGGGCTTGGGGGCAGAATGTTCTCCAGAAGCTTCACTCACACTCCACTGGTGGCCAGGCTGGTGGGGGCAGACTGATGTGGATGCCTCCCTCATCATTTCCTGCTGGGTGAAGTTCCACTGTGGCCCTGCAGTCTTGATCTCACCTGTGGCCACGGGGTGTCACAGAGCTGTGCGGGGCTCTGGTAGTTGGAGTGGGCCCTTGTGTCCATAGGGACAGGGCCTGCCTCTGTCTCCTTGACAGCCCACACCCTGCGCCATCCTCAGAATGGGCAGCAGAGCCGTTGATATATTTTTTTTTTGAGACGGAGTTTCGCTCTCGTTGCCCAGTCTGGAGTGCAGTGGCATGCTCTCAGCTCACTGCAGCCTCTACCTGCTGGGTTCAAGTGATTCTCCTGCCTTAGCCTCCTGAGTAGCTGGGATTACAGGCGTGCGCCACCACACCTGGCTAATTTTGTATTTTTAGTAGAGACGGGGTTTCTCCATGTTGGTCAGGCCGGTCTCAAACTCCCGACCTCAGGTGATCTGCCTGCCTCGGCCTCCCAAAGTGCTGGGATTACAGGCATGAGCCACCACTCCCGGCCTAACACGATGGATTTTAAGTCACTGACTGGGCAGATGGGGGTGTAGGGGTTGGGGTGGTGGCTGCTGGTTTTAGGGCTGGTTTCTTTCACAGAGCTCAGGTGTGATGCCAAACCTTCACAGTTGCACTTAGGCCATCGTGATTTTATTTTCTTCTTTAGATTTTTCTGTAATTTCCAGATTTTCTACAGGTACCTTGGTTTTCTTTTATAATTACAAGGGGGGGAAAATCCTATGTCTTTTTCAGGTGGAAGGCACTTAAGTCACTGAGATCGCTCTTTCTGGACACACGGGCCTTGCAGGGCAGCCCCGAGACATGCTGTCAAGCAGCCCTGAAAGGATTTGTACCCTGGTGGGTTAGAGGCTTATTTACCCCACATGGAGACTGTGCTGGGGGGCGGGGTTGTGGGCACAGCCAAATGGGCCTCCTCCTGGAGGTGGTGTCTGTCTCACACTGGCTCAGATCATTCTGGAAAGGCAGAGCAGATTCTTCAACTCCAGCCATGAGACCAAGAAATTGAATATGAGATGACCTCTGCGGCCCCTTCCCATGCTAACAGCTATGATTCTGTGATATGGGTGGGCAACAGGACTCAAATGGAGCTTGACTTTGCTCCTGGCCTAGCAGAGACTGTGGGAAACCCCAGCTTCAAGGCAGGAGGAGACCTCATGCTTAGGCGCCGACCCTGAGCAGCTCTGGAGTAGAAGCCGAGCACCGGCCAGAAGCCTCAGGCCTTTCTTTCCAGCCAAGACAAAGCTTTGAGGCTCAACAGCAGTGGGCTAACCAGAGGCTTGGGGAAGCCGAGCTGCCACCTCCTGTGGGGTTGATGAGACACAGGGCCACAAGGGTCATGATGTCAAAGATGAAGAGAAACGTGAAGTACAGGAAGGGATGCAGAGTGAACATAAACCGCAGACAAGGGTGCACGTGCTGGCGTGGGAACGGTGGACCTCTCAGCAGATGGGGGCTCCAGGGTGGGTGGGCCTTCTGTACTGCCCCCTTCTGCTACTTTTCTGGCCTGTGGGTTCCCTCACCCTTCTCTTGTCCGTCCATACTCTTTCATTTGCTCTCCCTTTGTAGAATATAGTCTCTGGCCTCCTGATGGTTCCCCTTTAGTTCTCCCTATTACTATGTGTTTTTATCTCTTTTTCTCCCCAACTGTGAAAGATGTCATCCATAGAGAAGAGCATATCCAATATAAGTGTATAGTTTTGTTATTAAGTAGAGATGGGATCTTGCTATGTTGCCCAGGCTGGTTTTGAACTCCTGGGCTCAAACAGTCCTCCCACCCTAGCCTCCCCAAGTGCTGGGATTACAGGCATGAGCCACTGTGCCTGGCCATAAATGTATAGTTTAAAGAGTAAAATGGATAGTGTTTCCATCTTTAAGGAACAGAACACTACCAACTACCTTAGAAGCACTCGTATGTCTTCACCCGGTTGAATGCCCCACCCTCTCTACCAAAGTAAGTGCTAGCCTGACCTGTAGTGAATAATTTCCTTGCTCTTCACATACTGTTCATTTTTAAAAACATTGAGCATCAAGCACAGATTAGCTGTGTGGGGAAAGCACAGTGTTTCCAATGTTGAATGAAGTCTGCTGGAGAACATAATGTGATCTCAAGGTCAGAGTGGACTTCAGCTTCTCCAAGAATTTACAAGGGGCCCTTCTGGGGAAGCCAGGGAGCAGCAAGGCTTGAATGAGTCCTGGGCGTAGCAGGGCTGCCACCATCAGGGCCCGTGGCCACACTATCCATGGACCAGACCCTGATCATCTGGCAAGAATGTGGATGGAGGGTGCCGGCTGCTGAGTTCTGTTTTTGTAGTCCCCACAGCTGACCTTTTGATTTCGGGAGGACGTCAAAGCCGAGCGCTGCTGTGGGATGGAGTGAGGATCTTCAGCTGATCTGGAGGGCAGGAAGCTTCTCCATCATGTCAAGGTAAGCCGAGTAGAAAGAATGTGAATGGGATCGCCCGGGTGACCTGTCCTCAGCTGAGCTGCGGGAAGCCCGCAGGGATCTTGGTGCTGAGGGCTCCTGACGTGTCTGTCCTGAATCCTTGCTCCAGGCCAGAATCACTGCCCTCGGGGTCTGGTGCCAGCTCTCATCTTGACACCTCTCCTCTATTTTGCTGAGAATCTCCTGGGAATGTTGACTTCTTTTGATTTTCCTGTCCTCCTCTCCTTCGATGGATCTGTTTCCTGTGAGGAAACACTTGAGGAGAAAGGCTTAGCCTCGGATCTGAATTCTTAATCCACAGGAGGGTCACTGGGTTTATCTTCTCCTATGCATCATCTTCTTGAACAGGGCTGGATGAAGTAAAAACTAGCAAAGTCTGGCCGGGCGCGGTGGCTCACGCCTGTAATCCCAGCACTTTGGGAGGCTGAGGCGGGCAGATCACAAGGTCAGGAGATCGAGACTATCCTGATTAACACGGTGCAACCCTGTCTCTACTAAAAATCCAAAAATTTGATCGGGTGTGGTGGCAGGCACCTATAGTCCCAGCTACTCGGGAGGCTGAGGCAGGAGAATGGCGTGAACCTGGGAGGCGGAGCTTGCAGTGAGCCGAGATCGTGCACTGCACTCCAGCCTGGGCAACAGAGCGAGACTCCATCTCAGAAACAAAAACAAAAAACAAAGAAACTAGCAAAATCTGTGTTCATCCTTGTGTGTGGATTGATATGTATGGGTTGGGAGGCTGGAGGCTGGGGTGGACACGCAGACCCAGAGAGCCAAAACAGCAAGGGCCGTGAGCACCTGCTGCAGGCCACTTCCCTGTTCTTTCTGGAGCTTCAGTTATTTATGTGTTGGGGATCCTGGACAGTTCCCTCATTTTCTCTTCTCTTCTCTTTTTCTTTTCTTTTCTTTTTTTTTTTTTTTTGAGACAGAATCTTATTCTGTCACCCAGGCTGGAGTGCAGAGGTGCAATCATAGCTCACTGTAGCCTCCAACTCCTGGGCTCAAGCGATCTTCCCGCCTCAGCCTCCCAAGTAGCTAGGACTACAGGTACACGCCACCAAGCCCAGCCAATTTTTAAATTTTTTGTAGAAATGGGTCTCACTGTGTTGTCCAGGCTGATCTCAAACTCCTGGCCTCATGATTCTCCCATCTTGGCCTCCCAAAGTGTTGGGATTACAGGCGTGAGCCCCTGGATCTGGCCAGCTCCCTCATTTTTTGGTTACTCCAGTGTCGTTTTGTCATTTTACTCTTATTTTGTGGCGATTCACTCAACTTTCATCCTTCAGTCCCTTCTCTTGAGTTTTTCAGTTTTGCTAACAAGTTCTTAATTTCCAAGAACTCTTTTATATCTTCCTGTACTTGTTTCATGAATACAATATCTTATCTGAGGATAGTATTTTTTTTCTTCATCCCACATAATTCCATTTCCTCTAAGGTTGTTTTTTTTTGTTTGTTTGTTTGTTTGTTTGTTTGTTTTTGCCTTGGTCTTGGTTTTGCACATTAGAGGTTTTAACTTCAGGTGTCAGGTAATCACTGGGTGTCGACTGATGAAGCCTGGGAAATGTAAAAGTCCAGATCAAATGGGTGAGAGTGCGGTCTTTTGAGTCTTTTGAGTTTCACTGTAGGATGGTCTGGCTGGGCTGTTCACTGGGGAAGCACAGCAGTGCTCTCTTTAGGTCTTCAGAGATTTGCCAGATTACCCCAAGGGGCCCTTCCTATGTGATGGGAAGGATCGGCCTGGCCGCATCTTGGAGCCCAGTAGGGGAAGAAGGCTAGGACTCTTTGCACTCAGCGTTCAGCATGACAGCATATGGTCACTTCATCCTTTTGTTTTCAGTGTGGCGCCCATTCTCTGGATCCATGCTGGCATCCCCTAGTTCCAAACCTCACTTATACTCTCTAGAGAATAACCTCCTAGCTTCGGCCATGTTGAGGAAAAGGCTGTAGCTCTGTAGTTTGGAAACTAGGAATGGGTTTCTCACCCAGCTTTTACCCATTCCATACTTAAGCCTCCCCTCCACCCCAACTTCCATGGGGTAACAATGCCACAGTTCTATGTATTTAAAGATTCTTAGCATTTTCTTCTGCTGGTTTTGGGTGTGGTATTCTCAGGTCTGCTAAGGAATTTGCCACTGGTCTCTCTCCTTTTCAACTTCTAAAATGATTTTGTGGTTGTTGCCCCTCTGCTTTCCCTGTATTTCTAAATTAATGTCCTTTTAAAAGAAATTCTTTTACTATATTTACTGTTTTGTAGTAGGATTTTAATAGAGGAGCAAAATTAAGTTTATGTATCAATCTGTGATTTCTTAACCCCAAAGTAAGGTTTTTCTTTGCTATTATTTTACTGTCATTTATTGGAGTCTTGAATGGCCTAAAATGTATACCTTATTCCTTCTAACAGCAGCATCCCCTTCTAATTTTTGGGTGTGTTGGCCAGGCTTTAATTAGAGAGGAAGAACCAGTGTATTTCATATATATACAAATTTGTTAAAGGAATTGGCTTGCAAGATTGTGGGTGCTGGCTAAGCAAGTCCAGAATCAGGGAGGTCATGGGCACAGACCACAACTGTTGTCTATGGGCAGTCAGGAGGGAAGTGAATGAGCAGAATGGAACTCCACAGGCACAAGTACAGCAGACGCCACTGCCTGTGGGTGGAATTTCTTTTCTTTTTCAGGGAAGCTTCAACTTTTAAGGCCTTTTTAGGCTTCTGCTTTTAAAGCTTTTCAACTGATTGAATCGGGCTCACCCAGATCTTTCAGGATACTCTTTTTTTTTTTTTTGAGACGGAGTCTCGCTCTGTTGCTCAGGCTGGAGTGCAGAGATTTGGCTCACTGCAAGCTCTGCCTCCCAGGTTCATGCCATTCTCCTGCCTCAGCCTCCCAAGTAGCTGGGACTACAGACACCTGCCACCACGCCCGGCTAATTTTTTGTATTTTTCAGTAGAGACGGGTTTCACCGTGTTAGCCAGGATGGTCTCGGTCTCCTGACCTCATGATCCACCCATTTCAGCCTCCCAAAGTGCTGGGATTACAGGTGTGAGCCACCACACCCGGTCCAGGATACTCTTAATATTCATCACATCTGCAAAATACCTTCACAGCAGCACCTAGCTTACATAACTAGGGACTGTCACTGAGCCAACTTGACATGCACACACACACACACATACACACACATCATCACAGTGGGTTTACCAGTAAATTTCTTCACTAGTTTCCCATAACTGAGCATTTGGATTACATTCTTGTTGTTACTGTTATTTGTGTTTATAGACTTATTTAACATTATACTTACAGAAGCTTCTGTGGGGAGTTTTTAGTTTATAGATAAGGATATCAGGACCGTCAATTACAGTAAACTGCCTGAGCTGTTCTCTTATGCTGTGTACCATTAAGAATAAAAGAAAATTTGTTTTTTTCTGAATTGCTGTCACAGATGGGATGTGCTGTGAGGAAGCTTAGGAACATGTAAGCTACTTTAACATACTCTCACTTAAGTCATTTAAAGATGGGCAGAGGTGCTGAGAACTAAGTAAATATGACAATAAGAAGTGGGAATGGCAGGGCCTTAGATGCCCACCTGCAGACTAGAGTGCTGTGTGGGGCCAGGCTGTGCCCCGAGCACATGTAGGGTGTGTGGCCGGTATCTGACACACATCTTAGAACACAGAGTGGAACAGAACAGAATCAAAAAGTTGCTTCACCTTCAGCAACAATACATGCTGGTGTTGCTTTTCCATAGAAATAAAAAGTGATAAATCTAAAATTACATGATATTTTGCTGTAAATAACAGCTCATTTTTATTAAGGTTATCTGCTAATAATAGAATGAAGATAAAATACATTTAACCTTTGTATTTTACAAGTTTTAAGTTTTTCTTGATGCTTGGTAACCAGTTTTTGCATTTTTGTGTTTGAGATATATTAAATATTTACTTTTGTTAATATATTGTATAATTTCTAAATAGTTCCTCTTGTTCTTAAAAACCAATGTACTTTTTCAAATTGCATTTTTCATAACACCCTAAATACTTATTACTTAGTAAAAATACTAAATATTTTTAAGGGCTACAAGATTTGGACTCAGCAGTTGATTCCAGGAGGCTGCTGCTTGAGGGAATCTTCATTTGTGATGAACACAATTGTTTGTTTAAAACCAAAAATCTCAAGAGTTGAATCTGAAAGATGTGTGTCCATGTACATATCCTTGAAGATCAGAAGGCAGGTTCCTTATTTCAGGTTAAAGCACAGATAATTGGCCCTTAGAAATGGAACCAATCAAAATGTCTACAAATGCAGAAGACCATGAGAGGGAATCCTACCAGGAGAACACCTTTGGGTCCCCTCAGGCTCCTCACTCCAGTTACCCCAACAATTGGAGAAGAAAGGCCCAGGTATTGGGGAACAATGCCAAAGCAATGCTTGATCCTGGCTGGAGCCAGTTCTTCTGTCCTGTACCACTGGGCTTGATTTTCCTGTGTGGTGTAATAGATGGATTATATGGTACTGTCAATGTCGTTAGTATTAAGAGGTTGGAGTTACCACTTATAACCCAACTCCCTGGTCAGCAAAATCCTGTGCAATATCTACGCTGCCTGGGAACGGAGCTCAGGATGACAAGCCAACTGCAGATGAAGTTGTGTCAATATCCAAATGTGTTCCTGATGATACATTCTTCTGTGCTGTTGTTGGATCTGCAGAAGATCATTGCCAATGCTGATCAGGTTCAGAGAGGTTTAAAGCCTTCATGCTGTCTATTCACAAGTGGGAACTGACTCAGTCTCTTAATCACAGCTCTGCCGCACCTGTTGATTAGGTCAGTGTGCAGCCTTGGGCTGATCTGTCATAATGGCATCATTATGACATCATTCTAGAACCCAGGTACAGAACTAGCTGAGCAGTCAAGATGGTGGCCGCACATGCCCAGGTGACAAAAGCCAACACAGACCAGTGTATGGATGGGACAACTGTAATCCCTATAGGCAGCAGCAGAGATCCAGCCATTCCTGGCTGCAGTGAAAGAGGTTAAAAAGGCTCTCGGAAAGTTTGACCTGTGCCCAGATGCCACCTGGTACCCCACGAGGATTAAACTGTCATCCAAGATGTTTCGTAGTCATTCCACAGCAGCCAGTTGGTGGAACAAGAAACGCACAACATCATGTGCTGGGCTTAAAGCCCTGGAAAGGAGAGCAGGAACTATAATCACGATACTTTGTGCTTGTCACTGCATCAGCCTGCATGGTCAGGCATGTGGGCATCCCCTAGGGGACACAGTGCCCTCAAGCTTATTAGATAGCTAGATATGACAACTGAACCATTCTGTGGGGGATGAATTCAGGGATGAAAAACAGAGGCCCACAGAGGGCATGGTGCATGTCCCCACAGTGGGGAGCCAGCCCGTCTGTGGGAACTGCTGGCAGAAAACATTCCTCTTCCAAAACTGCGGGCCTCAGATGACCCCCAGGACCAGGTGGAGGCCTGACTTCTTGATTGCATGAAGGATCTCGCAGGCCACACCTCCGAGCCGGGTTGACACAGGTGAATAAAGGACTGGATGATTTCAGTGGGTGGGACTGAAAACCTCTTTGGCTTGGAAGATCGCTCTCTGGAAGGATTTGGTGATCAGACCTTCCTGGGGCATTTTTTTTTCCCAAAAGTAGAAGGGATATAAAAAGATTTACACTGAGAGCCCCTGTGCCCGGCCCGCAGTGGCAGTGTGCCTGCGGCAGGTGGCCACTCGGGTGTTTATGTCGGGTCGCGGGGTGTCACGGCAGCCTGGCAGACTACCTGATCAGCAGCGGCACCAGCTACGTGCCCGAGGACGGGCTCACCGCGCAGCAGCTCTTCACCAGCACCAACGGCCTCACCTACAATGACTTCCTGATTCTCCCAGGATTCATAGACTTCATAGCTGATGATGAGGTGGACCTGACCTCAGCCCTGACCCACAAGGGCTGAAGACGCCGCTGATCTCCTCCCCTGTGGACACTGACAGAGGCTGACATGGCAATCGGGATGGCTCTGATGGGAGGTATTGGTTTCATTCACCACAACTGCACCCCAGAGTTCGAGGCCAATGAGGTGCTGAAGGTCAAGAAGTTTGAACAGGGCTTCATCACGGACCCTGTGGTGCTGAGCCCCTTGCACACCGTGGGTGATGTGCTTGGAGGCCAAGATGCTGCATGGCTTCTCTGGTATCCCCCTCACTGAGACGGGCACCATGGGCAGCAAGCTGGTGGGCATCATCACCTCCCGAGACGTCGACTTTCTTGCTAAGAAGGAGCACGCCACCTTCATCAGTGAGGTGATGACGCCAAGGATGGAACTGGTGGTGGCTGACGTTGAAAGGTGTGACGTTGAAAGAGGCAAATGAGATCCTGCAGCGTAACAAGAAAGGGAAGCTGCCTATCGTCAGTGATCGCGATGAGCTGGTGGCCATCATTGCCCGCACTGACCTGAAGAAGAATCGAGACTACCCTCTGGCCTCCAAGGATTCCCACAAACAGCTGCTGTGCAGGGCAGCTGTGGGCACCCGTGAGGATGACGAATGCCACCTGGACCTGCTCACCCAGGCGGGTGTCAATGTTGTAGTCTTGGACTCATCCCAAGGGAGCTCGGTGTATCAGATCACCATGGTGCATTACATCAAACAGAAGTACCCCCACCTCCAGGTGATTGGGGGGAACGTGGTGACAGCAGCCCAGGCCAAGAACCTGATGGACGCTCGTGTGGACGGGCTGCATGTGGGCATGGGCTACGGCTCCATCTGCATTACCCAGAAAGTGATGGCCTGCGGTTGGCCCCAGGGCACTGCTGTGTACAAGGTGGCCAAGTATGCCCAGTGCTTTGGTGTGCCCATCATAGTCGATGGTGGCATCCAGACTGTGGGGCACGTGGTCAAGGCCCTGGCCCTTGGAGCCTCCACAGTGATGATGGGCTCCTGCTGGCCACCACCACGGAGGCACCTGGTGAGTACTTCTTCTTAGAAAGGGTGCAGCTCAAGAAGTACCAGGGCATGGGCTCACTGGATGCCATGGAGAAGAGCAGCAGCAGCCAGAAACGATACTTCAGCAAGGGGGATAAGGTGAAGATCGCACAGGGTGTCTCGGGCTCCATCCAGGACAAAGGGTCCATTCAGAAGTTCGTGCCCTACCTCATAGCGGGCATCCAGCACAGCTGCCAGGATATCGGGGCCCGCAGCCTGTCTGTCCTTTGGTCCATGATGTACTCAGGGGAGCTCAAGTTTGAGAAGCAGACCATGTCGGCCCAGATCAAGGGTGGTGTCCATGGCCTGCACTCGTATGAGAAGCAGCTGTGATGAGGACAGCGGTGGAGGCTGAGGTGGTGGAGGGGGTGCACCCCAGTGTCCACCTTGGGGCACAGTCTCCCTCCATCACTGAGTGGTACACAGATTTGCACTATGGGTTCCCCAGCTCCTTTCCAGGGAGAGAAGAGGGGAGGTCCTGAGGGGTCTGCGGCCCCTTGCTTGGCATCCCCTGCAGAGTCAGGACTGCTTCCTGGGCCAGGCTGCCCTGGGAGCCCCCCCTGCTCAGCTAGCTGGGCTCTCAGGCCCTGCACCTGCCTCAGGTCTTTCTTGCTGCAGCCTGCTGCAGCCTCCTTCAGCCTGGCCCCCACCCCAGGGGCAGGCAACCCCTCCTGGCTTCTTCTCTAGGGCAGCTTCCTGCCCCCAGACCCCCAGGAAATGGTGCTGTCCTGGCCCTGCCTCTGGCCCTTCCAGGGTCCTGTCCCCTCAGCCATGTGGCACTTCTGAGCTCCTGACCTAGGCCAAGGGGAGGTCTCTGCCCCCTTCCCCGGCCCTGGGCTACCCTTGGGTCCTGCTCCTCAGGCTACTCCCCTGTTCCTGGCCCTGGGGAGGAAGCTGCCCTGGTCATGGCTACCTGCCTGTCATTCCTGACTCACCACCGTCCCGAGGTGTACCATTCCTGCCCTCTTCCTCAGCTGCAGTTGAAGGCTTTAACTTTGCACTCTTTGGGATCACAGTTGCGTCAGTGTGTATTAAATAATCAGAATAAATCAAGCAGGTTTCAATGCCTCCAAATATATATCTATATCTATATAGATATATATATAGATATCAGTCTCATGCCACTCTTCATCCCAAAAAGTAACACTATTTTTATGCATTTCTAAATCCCTACTGCTGCTTTCTGCAGATACCAGCTAAATCAAATGTGAATTCATGTTCCCTCCTTCACACCCAGAAGGTAGCATACATAAATGTTCAGTATCTTAATTTTTTTCCACATAACACAGAAAACAGGTGCCGTGACCCTACTGCAGTCACTGCTGTGGTGGCAAATGGACTCGTTAGAGGAGGGGAGTCCGAAAGTGCAGAACTGCCAGGCAAGGAGCCTAGAGGCAGGAGAACGCAAGTCCATGTCAGTAGGGGGAGGGTTCAAAGTGCATCCTGGGGAGCCTGCTTCCCTGGCAAAGGTGCTACCAAAATGCTAACCAGTCCTCGAGAAAGACACAGAAGACTGGGAGAGGGGTGTGTGTATATGGGGTGGGGGTGGGGGAGCCCTGGGGCTATGGGAGCTCTTAGCAGAAGAGTTGCAGCCCCTGTCCTGGGAATCACATGTAGTGATTCCTGAGTGTAGAACAGCCATTGTGTATCCTGGGGTCACAGGGAACAGAGATCTTCTCCCGAAACTGGACAAGGAAGAGTGCCTGTCTGGGCTCACCCCCTTGATGCTTGTGTGATATTTTGAGCTTGAAGTGTTGGATGAGACCTTGAGACCTGAAGGGAAGGGAGGAGCTTGGAGGGAGGAACACCAAGTATGTCAAACGTCCTGGGAAGTGAAGAAAGAAATGTATATTGGCCGCCACCAAGAAGAATATGGAAGGGAGTTTCCCCTGAGGACTAGGAGTTGTCGGTGGTCCTCCAGTACGGTGGGTGGAGATGCTGCCTTCGGGATTCACTATGGGTGATGACTGGATGGGACCAGAAAGATAAAAGGGCTGGACCTCTGTGGTCTTGTGCAGTGTGCACCACCGTGGGAATGGGCTCTAATTGCAAAACACCTGCAATGTGCCAGACATTATACTGGGTGACTTTCCTATGCTTTTATATGTTTGCCCAGGGTTAAGGTCCTTTATTCTTTTTTTTTTTTTTAATGGTCAGTATTTCATTGTGGCATTCTTTTATTCAAATTAAAATTAAACTTATTTTTATGGAGATCAACGTAATTAACTACATGTCTAATATAAAGAGCAATAAACCTTGTTATTTTAAAACCACACAACATTATTTTGATATTTTGAGCCAAACATGCAAAACTTGACTTAAAATTGCATATTTGATGCATTTAAGATAAATTCTAAATGAAAATCTAAATCATGCTTTTATTGTAAATATTAATATAGGCACATGGAAAACATCCAAGCAGTATAAGCAAGGCATGAAGTAAAAAGTCTGAGTCCATCGACAGTGTAAAGGGTCTGACTATTACCACCTTAACTGTGATCACACTTCACTTCAGTAATAATTATAGACCACCCAAATGAAAATGAGCAGCAGCTACTTATTCTCAGTGTGGTATATACACAGAGAGTCAGCCACAGTCACTTGCCATTGCAGACACTCAAAGGCAGTCAGCGGAGTGAGAAAGCTTTATGCTGGGAAAAGGGGAGGCTTCAGGTGAGCCTTGATCAAAGGCTGTTGGCATCTGGAGGCTGTGGGTGAGCTAACTAGAAGCAGGGTATCCTATGTGATTGGTTAGGGAAGCATATTTGGCCTTCTCTGGTTGGTCCTACTAAAGGATTTTCAAAACAGAGGCAAGAATTAGGGAAGCTGGCAGGTACTGATCAAGTCCGGGCCATTTGGGACCAAAGGCTACAGGGGTTGTTTGGCTTCCTGGACTGGTTACTGCAGACTGTGGGTCAGAGTTCTGTTTTTGTATATGATCTGCCCATGGTCTGTATATTCTAGTAGATCCCATAATGAAACCACCAGATATGAGTTACAACATGAAGTAAGTAAGTACACAGTGTCAACTGGAATGTGTTCTTGCCAAAAATCCTCCACCTGGGTCTTATCAAGGCTTTAAATCCAACTGCTGGTTTATAGGAAGTTTAGGGAATGAAGACACAATCAGGCAAATCTAAAATGAAGGATATTCTATAAGACAATGACCTGGTCTCTTCAATGCTATGGATTTAAAAAGGGCTGGGGAAGGAGGGCTGGTGGGAGGACTGTTTTAGATTGAAAGAATGTTGAGACTTGAATAACCAAATAAAATAAACATTGAAACAGGCCCAGTTTTCTCATAAAACTGAAGCTTGGGCCGGGCGCGGTGGCTCAAGCCTGTAATTCTAGCACTTTAGGAGGCCAAGGTGGGTGGATCACCTGAGGTCAGGAGTTCGAGACCAGCCTGGCCCACATGGCAAAACCCCGCCTCTACTGAAAATACAAAAATTAGCCAGGCGTGGTGGCATACACCTGTAATCCCAGCTACTTGGGAGGCTGAGGCAGGAGAATCACTTGAATCTGGGAGGTGGAGGTTGCAGTGAGCCAAGATGGTGCCACTTCACTCCAGCCTGGGTGAAAGAATGAAACTGTTGTCTTGAAAAAACAAAGTGCTCACTTCAGCAGCACATATTCTAAAATTGGAACGATACAGAGAAGATTAGCATGGCCCCTGTAAGGATGACACTCAAATTAGTGAAGGATTCCATATTTTAAAAAAAACAAAAACCTTGAAGCTTGGAAAACTTACATTTGTCTTATCTGAGTTCCTTTCTTGGGAAACCAACCATCGGGCCTCCTGAATGATACCGGGAACTGAGACTTTCCAGATCACTGCCACTGGACAGTGAGGTGCACCTGCTCCTTGTTGACCAACTTCTTATCCCTGCCTCATTCCTGTTTTCCCACATGTGGTTACAATGAGATGCTGGAACCCCTTATACTACCGCCTGCTGCCTATTGACCAACTCCTCGTCCCTGCCCCTCTTCTTTTCCCTTAACTTTAGTTGGTGGGAAGGGACGTATTTGAGGCTGGTCTCCCTTCTCTCTGGCTGACATCACTCAAATAAAATCTTCTTCCCTGGCAATACTTGTTGCCACAGTGATTGGCTTTCTGTGTGGTGAGCAACAGGACCTAGACCAAGCCCCTGGTGATCAGCAACAACATTTGGGAAACAATTGAGATTTTCATATGGACTCAATTATATGGTATTGGGGAATCACTTATTGTGTTAGGGTGTTAATGGCATCTTGTAGGGGAATATGTTGAGGCAAGGTAAACTCAACACTTTAAAGATGCAGCATCTGAAGTAATTTCCTCTGAAATGGCTCATTAAAAAAAATTTATAATGCAGTATGGCGAAATGTAGTCTTAGATCTAAGTGGTGAGTACATGGGTTTTCATGACAGAAAAACAGACTAGTCTGTGTTTGTACTTTTTGTAATCATGTTTAGAGGGGAGTCTATTGTGCTCTATCTTAAATTCCACTTAGTAACTACTGTTGCAGTTTAATGTCTATACGAGCAAAAAATAGTCTTGTATTCCCCTTTCATATTTTTTCCTAAACATAATTATAATCCACCTACTAGATTTTTTCCCTACCCAATGCCATGGAAATTTTCCTGTATCAGACCATGTGGATCTGCTGCATTCTTTTTTATGGCAACACACATAGTATTTATTTGGGAGAATGTACTCACTTATTGAGTATTGATAACTTCATTTTTTATAGTCTTTCCACTGTTAAAAGCATTATATTACTCTAGTCTCAAAGAAACAGTGAAGGAGGCATTGAAGGAAATAGGCTGGTTGTTTGCTGTAAGAGATAGAACGTAGGATGCTGACCAGGATGGTTGAGAAGGTGGTCAGCCCAGCCCAGAGCTGGTAATCGGAGGGGACTAGTGTCTGGAGAAGCAGCCAGGTGTGCTCATCCCTCAAGGGACACAGCATGGCCAAGGGAGGTGGGAGCCAGAGGAGAGGGGAAACTGACCATGACTAAGAGCCTCTCCTTAAACTCAGCCAGTTTCAGTGAAGGTCATGGTTTCTAAGGTTTAGCTGTGAGACATCCTCATTAGGTTTTTTAAAGGGAAGGCGAGGGTTAAAGAAAGGGAGTCGGCGGCTCTACAGCAATGCAGGTTCTATGTTCAGCATGAGACCTGCAGAGATGGGGGACCAGCTTAATGCCAGTGCTCACCACTGCTTACAGGCTGGGGCAATTATAACCCTGGGCAGGAGGGATCTTGGGGAGCATGTTGCCTGGGAAAAGGTTGATAACATGTTCCCACGATGAGGTGGTTTGGCCCTTGTTCTGGCTGAATGTGATGTTCTTTGTACTTTTTTACAGCAGAATGTAAGAAAGTCAGGTGGTTGGTCAGGCTGTTTCTCATGGCCCAAACCCCCATGGAATGTTTCACTTTAACCAAGATCTGTGAAATGCAGGGGTATGGGTGGAGGGTGTTTACAGAATGGTGCAGTTTGGACTAACAGTCCTTAGGGCAGGGGCAGCTGCCTTTCCAGCCACCTTATGTCTGCCTGGGCATGTGGACCCTTGGGGTTGTGTCTGTGCTGACTGGCTAATGCCATGGCTAGAGGCCTGAGATAGCCAGCCTGGCCAATTCCACCTCCAGCAGTCTGGCAGGGTTGCAGCAGCTGTTAGGGAAGGGCCAGATAGGGGGTGTGCATGGACCACACTGTGAACACATGCATGAGTGACTATGGCCCAGTCAGTGTCCTGCAGACAGGCATCTGTTCTGTTAGGACAATGACACAAATACTTCAAATGTCATCTCACAAGGGGCCCTATCATCCCTTACCCTCATCCCCCAGGGCAGTTAGGAAGGGGAGATGACCCATTTCCAAAGTGGGTACCGTTGACTGTGAGAGAGTTAGACTTCTTAAACAACCTTTTAAGGGCTTATTTTCAAGATTTTTTTTTTTTTAAAGAATTCAACCAGAAGTGATTGCTAGAAATAGGCAGGTGGCCTGGTGGCATGGGTGCATTTTCCAAATGTTTTGTCAACAAAGCTGCAGGGTCCTGCTACTTTTGTGTGTAGATCAGAGCCCAAACCAGGATCTTTGCTTGGAGGAGAACCTCCACAAAAGCCCCTCTTAGCTGTGTCCCTCCGCAAGATGAGTGGGCAGCCTTGCCCTGCGAGCTTGGACAAAACTAAAACTCCAAGCTCCCCGGAGACAGGGTGGTTCCGTGTGCATTCCTCCTCGGAGGCCAGCTTCCTCTGGATTTGTTCTTAGGCTTTTGCAGCTGAGGGCCACTGCAAAGAAAGGTTATCCAAGGAGATGACATGGCGGCGAGGGCTCTAGCTGGCCCTGTAGATGAGCCTAAAAGGCGAGATTAGAGCAGCTCAGTGTGCGTCCATGACCTCAGTGGGGATCTGAACCATCATGAAAACCATCCTATTTGTGGGCAAGAATGTCTGTTCTTGTTTGGGATCAGTGGGTCAGCAGCAACACCCTATGGAAGCAGCAGAAGCAATGGCAGCTTACAATTGTGGCTGGTTCTTAACTCTCGCCAAGAGAATGGAGAGGTTTGGCCTTTCCCCGGGGAAACAGGACTGAGCCACCTCTAGCGATTCTTGGGACAACTCAAGGGGACTAGGGTATTCCCAGGAGAGACACTGGGCCTGCTACTAATCTGGAAAGAAGGCCGAGAGTGAATTTAAATGAAATAGAAAATGCATTATCACCCTGAACACAAAAAGCAGCTCCTCTGCCCACACAGAGGTAGGATACAGGCGATCAGATTCCCCACGTTCCTGAGGCTGTCCTTTGGAGGACAGATCACAGGTTGAGTTACAAAACACATCCTACAGCAAATCCTGACGGCAAATCCAGAGACATTTTAGGAGGACAGTGTCACTGGCTTCAAATATCTGTGTGGGCGGAGGATTACCTAGGTGCTGAGGCAAGAGACTGAAGGCACAAACTGTTTCAGTATAATAAAGAAAATAGTTAGAATAAGAATAGTCATAATACAAATTAGATACAGAGATGATCATGAACAATTATCAATCATTATTATCAACATTAATCATTAGCTTTTAATATTACTCTTTGTTGCATTACTAATATAACCTAGGAATAACCGGTGGGTATAGGGTCAGGTGCTTAAGGGACATTGTGAGAAGTGATCTAGAAGGCAAGAGGTGAGCCTTCTGTCACGCCTGCATAAGGGCTGCTTGAGGGCTCCTTGGTCAAGTGGTAACGCCAGTGTCTGGGAAGGCACCGTTACTTAGCAGACCGTGAAAGGGAGTCTCCTTTCCTTAGAGGAGTCAGGGAACACTCTGCTCCACCAGCTTCTTGTGGAAGGCTGGATATTATCCAGGCCTGCCTTCAGTCATCCAGAGGCCTAAACCCCTCCCTGTGGTGCTGTGCTTCAATGGTCACACTCCTTGTCCACTTTCATGCTCCTCCCGTACTCCTGGTTCCTCTTTGAAGTTCGTAGTAGATAGCGGTAGAAGAAATAGTGAAAGTAAAGTCTTTGATCTTTCTTGTACGTGTGAACAGAAAACGCTGTCATATGCTGCCTTCTCTCTCTGCTTTGGCTACCTAAAAGGGAAGGGCCCGCCTATCCTGTAATCACGTGACTTGCTTCACCTTGTCAATCACTTAGAAGATTCACCCTCCTTACCCTGCCCCCTTGTCTTGTGTGCAATAAATATCAGCGAGCCCAGCTGTTCGGGGCCACTACCGGTCTCCATGTCTTGATGGTAGTGGTCCCCCGGGCCCAGCTGCTTTCTCTTTATCTCTTTGTCTTGTGCCTTCATTTATTACAATCTCTTGTCTCTGCACACGGGGAGAACACCCGCTAAGCCCCATAGGGCTGGACCCTACATATCTGGACGGCCATCAGAAGCAGGCCCAAGGAAAGACATTCCAGGAGGCAGATTTCTGATCAGTATGGAGAACAGCTTTCCTGCCACTGCACACATTCCTTGGTGCAAGCAGACCCCGGGCCGGGCAAGGCTGGTCCATGAATTGGCTGGGCCACAGGTCCCTGCCACTGCTTCCCTGACCCCAGTCCAATTCCTTGCTGGGTTTTCAGGTTGGAGCTCTACCTACACACGGAACTAATCTGAGGGAGTCACAAAGGGCCTCTGGTCTCCTTCCCCAGATGTTCCTTACTGGCCCTTTCGAGGTAGATAGCCCCTTACCCTGGATGTGAGGTCCTTCCCCTACTCTTTTTGCCCTGCAATCCTGCTGCCCCCACTCCAGGGCAAGATTGCTTCCTGGGAAGGGAACCCAGGAGAAGGCAGAGTTCAAGCTCTCTTCATTGGCTCCTGGGAATATATGTTTGTGTCCATGAAGACAAGTTCTTCTGGGAGGAGGCCGAGGACTCCACCTAGGATAGCTGATGAGCACCTTCTTCTTAACGACGACAACTGAAAGGACTTCTTAATAAGGTCCTAATTACTTTTCTTAATGAGGCTACTTAAAAGCAGGAGAAACATCAGCGAAAAGGATTGGTGCATTTCTACCGGAGACTGCCTTCTTGAGAGCATCAGAATGACAGCTGGTGGCCTGGCTTCCTTAATAAACTACTGGTATGAAATCAGGGGGAATTCTGACCTCACTCCGGGTGCGTGTACTGAGTAAACTGAGATTTCTGTCTTGTATGGAGAGTGAAGGTATGGCTCTGAGCATAGAAATCCCTTCTGGGTGCCAGGAATGTCTTATTCAAGGGAGTTGGTGTTAAAAGGCTTCTGGCTGTGCCCCGGTGACGTGGACAGAGTCAGCCCGGTTCTTTGGGTCTCAATGTTCCCTTCTGTAAAGACAAGGCTTGGAGACTTTCCCTTGGGATAGGGGAAGGGAACACATGGAGACCCCCTAGGAGGGCAGTGAGCCTCACGTGGATTCTGTTTCTAGAGGAGCAAAGCTGCTTCCGGTTACCTCCTGGGTCAGGGCTGCTTGCCCTGTGATGGGGCAGCTGGCCCTCAATGTGATGATGATGACACCTCTTGGGCCGGACTGGGATGGGTTGAGTTGGGCTCACAGGGAAAGTTGTCCAGAGGTTGAACTATGTCTCAGAGTGTGGCCTGACCACAAAGAGTAGGGTCTGTCTGCAGCTGCTGCACCCCGACTGGGGCTGGGCCTTCCTCCTGGGTCCTGTACTCAGCTGGGGAGAATGGCAGCAGCACCAGCTCTCTCTTGCCTCTCCCCAGCACCTCATGGCATGAGGGCTGGGACCCCTGCTCCACTGGCTAGGTCCATGGGGCCGAAGGAGGGTCTAGTTTTGACTCCTGGCCTTTTTTTTTTTTTTTTTTTTATGATATAGAAAATATTTTTAAGAAATAAAAACCTTTCTCTGCCCTGGTTATACTGCCCAGCAAAAAATTCTTCCTGCCCCTTGATATGCTTTCAGTCAAACATATCTCTCTAAAAAACGCACAGCAGTGTGGCCTGAGCTTCAACTTTTAATTCTCATTGAAATTTGAATTTAAATCACAGAGATAGTATATGGTTGTTGTGTTCAAACAACACAGAAGAATATAGAGACTCTGGAAGGAAGTTCTGCTATCGCCTCCACCCCTCTCCTCCCCACTCTCCTCCCTTCTCTTTCTGGCCTGAGTATCAGGCGACATTGCTTTGAGAGGCCACAGTATGCAGTCTGGGTTGGAGGGCCAAGCCAACGACAGGAGGAGCATCACCTCAGAGAGACTCAGCGGCAGGCAAAGCGCGATAACCACAGAAGAGACAGGTCTGTGGTGACCTCCAAGGCCGAGGCAGCAGGTACCAGCCAGGACTATGCCTCTGCCATCCACACATTGACAGGGAAGAGCCAGTGCTGCCCATCTGCACTTCAGCTCCCATGGGCTTTCTCTTTCTGGCCTCAAAGGGAAGAAGGCGTCTTCAGCTCAGTCATAGCAAAGCCCCTGACTACACATGTGGAAACCTCAGTGGATCAGGCTCAGGAGGGAAGCTGCATGACCCCGTGGCTGGCGGCATTCAGCAGGGGCCACTTTAGCAGGAAAGAGCAGGGAAGCAACATAAGCTGAAGGGCGGGGACGTGTGAGCCATGAGATAGGTGGCTGCTGTCCGCGAGTCCATTCCAGGGTCTCCTAGGGGGCTGCCAGCCCTGTGGGCCGTGGGGGGATCATTCAGAGGTGCCTCGTGTCTCAGGTCTCTCTCATCTCCTCCCCACCACCGCATGAGTTGAACATGGACATTCAGAGCTGTGGTGTACGGAATATACTGCGTCGGGGAGCAGGTGTCACTCCCTTGTCTCTGGACCGACGCTGCTGGGCTGCCCTGGTTATGCAGCATCCATTTAACTTCTTTAGGGAGCACTGACAGTGTGCCAAGCTCTCTTCTGAGTGCTCAGAATACAGGTTATTGAATCAGACATGGGCCTTGCCCTCGAGATCCTGACAGCAATCTGGTGGTGCTGATGCTAGCGGGATGAGCTGTCACCTTCACTCACACAGCAGACGGCAACACAGCCTCTGCAGGGAGTGTGGAGTATGCACTTTGTTTAGTGATGAGCTCCTAGAGTCCTAAAACACAGAGTCCTTTATTTATGTCTTTGGCCCCACTGCCCCAACCTTTCACTGTGCCCACCATCTCTGGGCTTTTCAGCCTCCTGGTAATCCAAGAGACCCTCATTGGTTGTTTTTGAGCACAGGTAGCTTTTCCCCTCTGAATGGCCCTTTGAAAGGTAATCCCAACACCCGCCCTCACCAGTCCCCGTACAGGAGCCATGGCTCTAATAAACAATCAAGTGGCAATTATCCACTCAAGGATCATCTGTCTTGGGAATTAGTTTTTGTTGTGGTGGTTGTTTCAACTGACTTCTCAGATACTTTCTCTCCAACATGGTTGGTGAGTTATCAGAGAAGTGGGACTCATTTTACTATTGCCAATACTCGCTGCAAGAAAAAGAGAAGCAAAATAGTGAAGTGGAAAGAGCAGGAGCCAGGAGCCTGAGGACTTGTACCCTAGTCTTGATTCTGACGTGAGCTGGCTCACAGGCTTTTATCGTGGGCATTATTCCCATCACCTGTGAGCTTGAGGTTGCAAACCAGTGTGTATTATTTGTGGGAGCACGTGGTGTATTTTAAGTATAAACAATGCATGGGAGCTATAAGGAACTTAGGGACTGCTCTCAAGGAGGCAAGAAATAGGATACAGGAAGGGAAAACAGTCCTTCGGTTCTAATTCTGCTGCGTGAGAGGAACAGTTTGTATCACAGAGCGGCGTAACTTGTAGCTGGAAGGAGCAAGGAGAAAATGTAGGCCAAGGGGTAGATTGTTTAAATGGATTAATTCTTGGACTGTGCACTCAGCTTTAGCAGGGCTGTATCAGTGGGACTCCTGTGAGGCCTGGCTTGTGGATGGGTCCTGTAGACATTTGTGATTTGCTTATGCAAGGTCACTGAGGGATAGTATAGGCTTAGAGACAATTTTTTGAGTTCCCAAAATAAAAGGACAGTGTATATTTGAACTTCAGAACCCCTGAGAATCCTAGACATTGGTTAATCCTCCCAGCTCAGCCTCTTGAGTAGCTGGAACTACTCAAGTATCATGTCACACCATGCCTGGCTAATTAAAAAAATTTTTTTTTTGCAGAGATACGGTTTTGCTATGTTGCCCAGGCTGGTCTTAAGCTCCTGGCCTCAAGCAGTCCTCCCGCCTCAATCTCCCAAGGTGCTGTGTTGCTCCTAGATAATCCCAAATTTATGTATCTGTGTGAGGGGTTTCTTAGTTCCAACAACCCATAGGCAAGGCCAAAGGTTTCTGTCACTTTTCCCTGTGTATTTCCTAAAACAGCCCCATCCTACCATACCCTTCCACCTTCAAGGCAGCTACAGCAGGCACTTATGCTTCATTCTCCAGAGTTCTGTCCCCTTGGCCTTCTGACTCCTGGGGGTTTCCATTACCTTCCTGTGAGCTCAGCTATGCATTAAAATTATGTTTTATAAATTGCACCCAACATTTTCTAGGCATTTTGTTGCAGAAAGCCCTTCAGGTTGTCTTGTCTGCCCTGGTGCCAGAAGAGAAGCCTCATGAACATCAGCAGCATCTGACTTTTTACAAAGGAATCTGAGCTAGGAGAGTAAAATAGTAGGATTTGCTAGAGCTACATACACAGTGTAAGGATGCTCAGTCTCCAAATTGTTCAGTTTGTGGAAATAGCTTCTAATAAACAAAAGGATCTTACTTTGTATCTGTGGTCCTTTTTTTGTTTCTCATTGAGAATAGCTTTAAGTGTTTGAGCAATTTTCCATCTTGCATCGGGGAAGGTAGGATTCTTTAGGGTGAGAACTTTTCAGCAGTCAGGACAAGAAGCTTACCTTGGTTGATCCTGGTTAATTGAAAGTGACAGACAAAGCCTCTCAGACTTCCCCCCCTCATCTCAGGCTGGATGCTGGTGAGCTTATTCAGCACTGGTTACAGCAAGTCCTGTTCCATTGACCAACCAGCTCTCTTGCCACATGGGCCATCTGTCCATTAATATGGGGTGTGACCATTTATGGAAATGACTACAAACCCTCATCCTACTCACAGCCTCAACATCTATTGTATCTTGGTGGCCAAGTAGGAATAAGTAGCAAAGTTAATTTCATTGTGACTGTATTCTTTTTTTTGGTCCTCCCTGTCTTCACTTTATTCATATAAGTAAAGAAAACTCCTATTAAAGGCAAAACAAACAAAAAACAGGCAGCCAAGGAGTTTGAGAGTAATGTAGTTTCATAAACAGCACCTTCAGATATGTATGATCTCCCGTGATTTGCGGGTATACCACAAACAGTTTTTTCTTAAAAGTATGGGACACACAGTTTGATGTCAAATTACTGAGAGGAAGATCAAACCCTGCAGATTTCAGATTTCAGATTTCCCTTGATAGTGGCTGTTTTACTCTGACATGCCTAAAATTAACATATGTCACATTTAAAAATGTATTACACATATTCACGTAAGCTTAAGAAAGGGTATCATGAAACAAGGAAATTGAAACACACGTCAGTGATAGAAGTTAAAGAAACATGCATGAGGTCAACTCTATACGATTCTGCAAAAAACAGCTCTAGGCAGTTCACTGCTACGTAAACAAGAAGTTGGAAGTTGGGGGTTCAGCTTCACTTGAAAATCGTGGAGTTGTCACCCATTCCTCTCTCAACCCTGTACCCTTATCTTCCACCTCGACTCTTGTTTCCCTTTCTTTAGTTTCTGACACTGGCTTCTTGGCTTCAGCCATTCTCAACAGAGGGAACAGCATGAGAAAAGTCAGTTGAGCTTCCCCATGGGGTTACATCTCCTCCACCTCCTAGGAAACATCCTCCCTATTTTTTTGTAGCTGCCATTTTTGGAAGGCAGCTTCCTCTACACCCCTCCACTTATGCAAACTGCTCGTCTTCACAGGTTCAGATCTAGTTCTCCCTTCTCCAGGATCCGGGAGTTTCCCTCCAATTTCATGAACGGCATCATATTTATTGTCTGTACAACTCATTTTACTCAGGGGGCAGAGGGCAGTTGTAACCTCTATGGACATTGTTCTCTTCAGACAAGCCTGCCATTTGGAGAGGGATACAGTGGATGGGGGATACACATGGTGAGTCAGCTGAGTCTAATACTCTTTGGAAACCAGTAGGTGACAGACGCCACAGCCAACTCTTCCCCCACATTTAGGTCGCTCATTCTTGTACACAATAGACCCTGCCTTACTTCACTCATTTCACCTCCATCTCTTCTCTCTTGAGATCCTAAATTTAACTCACTGAAGGGAGGGACCACTTCATCTGTTACATCCCTTTTGACATGCAACACAGGGCTGATTTTTCCAGAGGTTACCAGCCAAATTCCTATGGCATGAATGAATAAATGGGTGCTTCTGATTACCAAATCAGTCTCCAGCCCTCAGTTCCCTAAGACCATCTCAAAATTCATAGTTCTCCCATCATCTCTAGTCTGAAATATCTAAAATCCTCCACTTCTATTTTCTCCTTCAAATCTGGCCCTCTTAACCTTCTCATATCTCTTAATGATACAGTTATTCTCTAATACTCAGCAGAAACCTCAATCATCTTGGAATCCTTCTCTTCTTGGTCTCTAAAAATCACCAAAATCCACTGAGTTAGGTATTTCCTTTTCATTCGCACGGCTACAACCTGGGTTTCATCAACAGCCTAAGTTTAGGCCCTTATCACCCAAGCCTGGACTTTTGTAAGTGCCTCCTGCTTCATTGCCTTGAACAATAAAACCAGGCTAATCTTCCTAAGACATTGTTTTCTTCAAGTCAATGAACTGCATTTAAAAAATAAACATCCATGGCTCCTATAACTAGTGAAATAGAATTCAGATGTCAGCCTACACTCAAGGCCCACCCCCACCACCCCCAACTGACTTCAGCTGACTTTCCAGCCTTCCTCTTTCCACCTGGACTTTGCAACGTTTCTGTCCAATTGGACTGGTTTGCTCACGGGCTCCCCAAGCAGGCCTCTGGCAATATTAAATGTCTTTGTTCATCCTGCCACACGGCCCTTTTTATTTTGTCTTTCCAAATTCTGCCCAGTCTTCCAGGCTCAGTCAAGGGTGAGTCCCATCTCTTTGACACCTTCGCCAGCCACTTGCAAAGACCACAGGCTATTTACCCTTGAAGTTCTTGAAGTTTCAACTTCAGGGCCTCACACCCCCAAGGCTTGGACCTTATTATATATTTGTAACTATATATATATATTTTTTTTTTCTAAAGAAGTTCTTTCAATATTATGAACTTCGACCCCACATAAACTTGCACCCACCATTCTGATCATCTGCAGCTCTCAGCTGCAGTTTAACTGATCTGCAGGGTTAGAGCTACTTATAGTGTCTTATTCAGTAAGCCTGGAAACATACTCAGAGCTCACACTGAGTCTCCTATTTCTTTGATTTCCATTTGGATCAAATCCCCAATGGTATGTTGAATACGTATTTTGAATATATATTTCCATTCGTGTAGACTTCAGAGCTCCTGGATGCAGAGGCGGGGAAGATCTTGCCCTTGGCATCAGGGCACATGTTTTTGGAAGGATTAAATATGAGCATCTATAAAGGGAGGCGGGCAACATGAGTACCCTAAGAAAAGTACAAACAAAGTACTGTAGGGGGTTAAAGAAGAGATGGCGCTAGGTTTGGCATTTTACCCATGGTATACCAACATCCCAGCAAGGTGTGCCGGGTATGCGAGAGAATGGCAGCTGCCTTTTCCTGGTGCCTGGCTTATTCTCCACACCCTTGGCCCCCCAGCACAGCTAATGAGGCATTCCTTGTGCTCCTAGTTTTGCCACCCCAGCTCCTTTCTGGCTTCCCCAGAAATCTGTGGTCTAAAAAGATGTCAAAGTGCCTCCTAGTCTAATTTTCCAACATGCAATGCTTTTAGAAGAGCACTTACAATTTTCACTTTGTGTGTGTTTGAACAGTTTTAAACAATGTCACCCTAGACTAGACTGCAGTGGCACAATCATAGCACACTGCAACGTCAACCTCCTGGGCTCGAACTCATACCCTCCTCCTGCCTCAGCCTCCTGAGTAGGGACTACAGCCATGTGCCACCATGCCTGGTTATTATTATTATTATTATTTTAAATTTTGTAGAGATGAAATTTCACTATGTTGTCCAGCCTGGTTTCGAACTCCTGGCCTCCAGTCATCCTCCTGCCTCAGCTCCCAGAGTGCAGACAGGCATATGAACCACTGCTCCAGGTCCTTGTTTTTGTTTTTAAATCCCCATCTGTACCCATGAATTGAGTTTGTAAAGTCAACAAAAGCGAAAACTTAAATCTCTAGTTTGCCCTGGTGGACGGAGAAAGGGGAGAGAATGTGAGGGAAGGACCTGTAACTGTGCGATCCTGAAGCCAAGCTTCATTAGCTTTGCAGCCTTGTTCTTCCTTCTAACCTAAATAAACTGTTGTCTTCTTTGATTTGGTGTCCCTCACTAGCCTCCCTCTGGGGTAAGACTTCCCTTTGCTATGAATGCTGAATCCCTGGTTCAGGAATTCTTCATTAAGAAGTATGAGAAGGGACTGTGGTTTGCTGCCTTTGCTCAGGAGTCAGGAAAGCAATTTCTTTTCTGAGAAATGGATACTAATGCTTCCTTCTACTAGTCAGAGAGTCTAATGTCACTCATCTGCTCCCTTCTCTGTTTTGGCTGCCCAGCTCAGAGCTACATTTTGTGTACAGTTACTCCAGTGTTTGGAGGCAATTTCTTTGGAATTATATTTCTCTATTCCCTCTCCACTACTTTTTGGTTTCCCTGTTTTATTCTGTGTTAACAAGCTTTGGTCCGACTATTCTTGATACATTAACATAGGTCCATGTGAATCCCCATGTTGTCATTGCCCTGGTCATTTCTACCTCCTTGCTGAGAATCCTGGCCCACCCCCAGCAGGAGACCTATGGTGACATGGCCTTCTCCCCTTCAGGACAGAGCAGAAGGACTTTCTCCGCAGCAGCGGCCTCTGATGGCAGCTCTCCCAGGCCTGGCAACAGCTGTGAGGCTTCTTCAGACCCAGTTTCTGAAAGACAGCTTCAGGTCTTCAAACAGACCTGCATTTATTGGACTTCTGTTAGGGCCTGGTTCCCTAAGCCCTGAAGGGACTGCCCTTCTCCCTTTCTCCTCATCTTCAAGACTCTCTCCAGCCTCAGGGCCAGGGGCAGCACCCCTGCAGGCTTCTTTGGTAGCTCTTTTTGCAGGTTTCCTCTTCAGTGGATCGAGTCACACTGGCCACTGAGCCTGAGAGTCTAGTCCCGGCTCAGGAGGTCTGGTTTCCCTGGCAACATGGGTGGGGCTGAGCCTCCCAACTGCCCATGACAGTTATTCAGGAACTTTCAGTTGGTGCTCACCTGCTTGCTGGGGTTGACGGGGCGGTGACTGTTTAACTGTATTTTACAGAAGCGAGGCAAGGCTTGGTCAGAGTCTTCCAGGCTGGGACTAAAACCCAAGTATCCTCTCTCTGATCCATTTGTGATCTTTTACATCACACTCTGTGTCATCAATTGCTCCAATGTCACCTCCAGCCCTATATTAGAAATGCTAGGCTTGGGGATGTTTCAGGATCCCTATCAGATGGTCAAACACAGCCTGATTCTGATCCAGGGGAGAAATCTAATGCCAAACTTCACCTAGGGCAAGTTTTCCGAAGTGTGGTCACAGGACACCTGAATCAGAATCATCTAGAATATTTGTTTTAAATGCTGAGTCCCAGGCCCCAGTCCTTACCAAATCTCCTGGGGATGGGCCTGGAAAGAATGAAACTAGGCTCCTGTGTCTCACCATACACAAAAATAAAATAAAAATGGATTAGAGACTTAAATCCAAGACCTGAAACTACAAAGCTACTAGAAGAAAACATTGGGAAAATGCTCCAGGACATTGGTCTGAGCAAAGATTTTTTTCTGTAAGACATGAAAAGCAGAGGCAACCAAAGCAAAAATGATTTTTTTTTCAATGGAGTTTCACTCTTGTTGCCCAGGCTGGAGTGCAATGGCACGATCTCGGCTCACTGCAACCTTTGCCTCCTGGGTTCAAGCGATTCTCCTGCCTCAGCCTCCAAAGTAGCTGGGATTACAGGCATCCGCCGTTACACCTGGCTAATTTTTGTATTTTTAGTAGAGACTGGGTTTCACCATGTTGGCCAGGCTGGTCTCGAACTCCTGACCTCAGGTGATCCACCGACCTCAGCCTCCCAAAGTGCTAGGATAACAGGCGTGAACCACAGTACCTGGACTTTTTTTTTTTTTTTTTTTTTTGAGACAGAGTCTTACTCTGTCACCCAGGCCCGAGTGTAGTGGTGCAATCTCGGGTTACTGCAACCTCTGCCTCCCTGGTTCAAGTGATTCTCGTGCCTCAGCCTCCCAAGTAGTTGGGATTACAGGTGTGCACCACCACACCCGGCTAATTTTTGTATTTTTAGTAGAGATGGGGTTTCACCATATTGGCCAGGCTGGTCTCGGACTCCTGGCCTCATGTGATCTGCCCGCCTGAGGCTCCCAAAGTGCTGGGATTACAGGTGTGAGCCACCATGCGTGGCCCCCAAAATGATACTTTGGATTACATCAAACTAAAAAAGCTTCTGCACAGCAAAGAAAACAATCAACAAAGTGAAGAGGGAACCTGTAGAATGGAAGAAAACATGTGCAAACGATCTTAGACCTTTCCTCTTCACCTCATAGACAGTAGATTAGTGGTTACCAGAGGCTGGGGAAGGGGAGGAAGGAGGGGGAATAAATAAATAAACATCTTCATTACCACTAAACTGTACACTTAAAAATGGTAAAGGTGGTAAATTATATATGTATATTTTATCTCAATTAAAAATACTCAAATAAAAGGTAATTTTTAAAAAAGTTACAGTCTTCTGTATCACTGTAGGAAGGTTGTAGTTAATAACAATATATAGTTTCAAATAGCTAGAGGGAGGATATTGAATATTTCCAACACAAAGAAATGATAATGTTTGAGATGATGGATATGCTAATCACCCTGATCTAATCATGATAACATTTCTATCAAAACATCACTATGAACCCCAATGAATATGTACAATGATTATTTGTACATATATTTATAAATATCTTTGTACTAGTCAAAGAGTCTAATGTCACTCATCTGCTCCCTTCCCTGCTTTGGCTGCGCAGCTCAGAGCTACATTTTGTGTACAGTTACTCTAGTGTTTGGAGACAATTTTTTTTTTCAATGGAGTTTCGCTCTTGTCACCCAGGCTGGAGTGCAATGGCGCGATCTCAGCTCACTGCAACCTCTGCCTCCTGGGTTCAAGAGATTCTCCTGCCTCAGTCTCCAAAGAGGCTGGGATTACAGGCATCTGCCACCACATCTGAATATTTTTTGATAGTCAATCAAAAAATGAATAAAGCTTCTATGAACATTCAAAATAATGCAAATTAAAAGAAAGGAAATGATCACCCTGGAAAACATTTTTAAAAATTAAAAGGCTTAGGTTGGGCGTGGTGGCTTAAGCCTGTATTCCCAGCAATTTGGGAAGCCGAGGCAGGTGGATCATTTGAGGTCAGGAGTTCAAGACCAGCCTGGCCAACATGATGAAACCTTGTCTCTATTAAAAATACAAAAGTTAGCTGGGTGTGGTGCCGCATGCCTGTAATCCCATCTACTCGGAGGCTGAGGCAGGGGAATCGCTTCAATCTGGGAGGCAGAGGTTGCAGTGAGTGGAGATTGCGCCACTGCACTCCAGCCTGGGTGAGAGCGAGACTCCGTCTCAATTTAAAAGAAAATTAAAAGGCTTTGCTCTGTAAAAGACTTTTGCTCTTTACAAAGATGAAAAGGCGAGCTACAGACTAGAAGAAAATAATTGGAAATTACTGACAAAGTACTCATATCTTGAATACATAAAGAATTCTCAAGCTCAACGTCATTAGCCATCAGAACAATAAAAATTAAGAACAACTTTGGGAGGCCGAGGCGGGCGGATCACGAGGTCAGGAGATCAAGACCATCCTGGCTAACACAGTGAAACCCCGTCTCTACTAAAAATACAAAAAAAATTAGCCAGGTGTGGTGGTGGGCACCTGTAGTCCCAGCTGCTCGGGAGGCTGAGGCAGGAGAATGGCATAAACTTGGGAGGCGGAGCTTGCAGTGAGCCGAGATTGCGCCACTGCACTGCAGCCTGGGCAACAGAGCAAGACTCCATCTCAAAAAAAAAAAAGACATCATCCTATTTATAGCATTCTGCTTTTAGTAGTGATATTTCCATTGACAAAATATAGTAATTCTCAATTGCTAAAAATGTCAAATCCTAGAAAATGTAGCTTTTTTTTTTTTTGAGACGGAGTCTTGCTCTTATTGCCCACGTGGGAGTGCAATGGCGTGATCTCTGCTTACTGTAACCTCTGCCTCACAGGTTCAAGTGATTCTCCTGCCTCAACCTCCCAAGTAGCTGAGATTACAGGCACCCACCACCATGCCCAGCTAATTTTTGTATTCTTAATAGAGACAGGGTTTCACCATGTTGGCCAGGCTGGTCTTGAACTCCTGACCTCAGGCGATCTGCCCGCCTCGGCCTCCCAAAGTGCTGGGATTACAGGCATGAGCCACTGCACCCGGCAAATGTAGCATTTCTTTTTCTTTTTTTAAATTATACTTTAACTTCTAGGGTACACGTACACAACGTGCAGGTTTGTTACATAGGAATACATGTGCCATGTTGGTTTGCTGCACCCATTAACTCATCATTTACATTAGGTATTTCTCCTAATGCTATCCCTTCCTCTGCCCCCCACACCATGATGTCTATGAGTGATGTTAACATTGTTCTCAAAGAGCTGTTGGCCAAAGATTCATTTGGTGAATTTTATTTGTCTGAAATAGATGATTTTTATGATTCAGATGATTCTGATGTTAGTTCTGTTTAGAATTAACTCCAAGAACAATTTTTATATTTTCTATTTTCTTTTCTTTTTTTTTTTTTTTTTGAGATGGAGTCTCACTCTGTCACCCAGGCTGCAGTGCAGTGGAGCCATCTCAGCTCACTGCAACCTTCGCCTCTCAGGTTCAAGCGATTCTCCTGCCTCAGCCTCTCAAGTAGCTGGGATTACAGGTGCCTGCCACCATGCCTGGCTAATTTTTGTATTTTTAGTAGAGACTGGGTTTCACCGTGTCTTGAACTCCTAACCTCAGGTGATCCACCTGCCTCAGCCTCTCAAAGTGCTGGGATTACACTCCTGACCTCAGGTGATCCACCTGCCTCAGTCTCTCAGAGTGCTGGGATTACAGGCGTGAGCCACCACGCCCAACTGTATTTTATTTTTACATTGAAAACCAGTCAGATTTGCTCCAAACTTAAAAAGTGTGTTTAGGTAAAATTTAATGAGCGCTGGCAACGGCTGCACTTTTTAATTTTGTAAACAGAAAAAGGGTTAATAGATGCTAAAATTAGTGGGCAAAAATAGAATGAAAAAGAAGAGATATGATTGGTCTCAAAATATGTCTCCAGAAGATACTAATTATAAAGGGGAAATAGTAACTTTACAGTTAATAAATGTGACAAGCATCACCTTAACCAATTGCTAAAAATTAACATGAGTCATAAGACATATTGGCATCTTGTACCTCTTGATAAGACTGAGAAGGGCACAACATGGTTTCTGTAGTGTTCATGCCAAAATTGCATAACTACAACCTAATGATGAGAAAATATCAGACACAAGCAAGTTGACAAACATTGTGCAAAATAATGTTTTGCAAAAAAGTGTCAAAATTATGAGCTGTCTCAAATTGGAAGACTAGGGACATGTGACAACTAAATGCAATGTGGTGGCCTTGATTGGATCCTGGGCCAGAAACATAACATTAAATTAAGAGGCATTGGTGAAATTTGAATAAGGCCTATAGATTCATTATAGTATTGAATCTGTGTTAACTTCCTGATTTAATGTGTTGGTGTACAGTTTTTCATGATAGCCTCTAATGATTCTTTGTATTTCTGAGATATCAATTGTTATGTCTCCTTTTTCATTTCTGATTTTGTTTATTTGGGTCTTTTTTTCTTAGTCCATCTAAAGGCTTGTCAATTTTGTTTATCTTTTCAGAAAAAAACTTCATTTTGTTGATGTGCGTTTTTTAGTCTCACTTTCATTTATTTCTGCTCTGATCCTAGTTATGTCTTTCCTTCTACTAATTTTGGGCGTGGTTTGTTCTTGCTTTTCTTGTTCCTTGAGGTGCATTGTTAGGTTGTTTATTTGAAGTCTTTCTACTTTTTTGACATAGGCACTTATTGCTAAATACTTTCCTCTTAGTACTGCATTTACCGTATCCCATAGATTTTGGTATGTTGTATTTCCATTTTCATTTGTTTCAAAAATATTTAAAATTTTCTTCTTAATATTCTTTCATTGACCCAGTGGTCATTCAGGAGCATGTTGTTTAATTTCCATGGGTTTGTGTGTTCTCTGAGGTTCCTCTTGTTACTGATTTCTAGTTTTGTTCCATTGTGATCAGGAAAGATACTTGATGTGATTTCTATTTTTACAGTTTGTTCAGACTTGTTTTTTGGCCTGAGATATGATCTATTCTGAAGAATATTCCATGTGCTGATCAAAAGAATGTGTATCCTGCAGCAGCTGATGAAATGTTCTATAAATGTCAGCTAGGCCCTAGTATGTGGTTTCATTTATTTTTATTTATTTATTTATTTATTTATTTTTGAGATGGAGTTTTGCTCTTGTCACCCAGGCTGGAGTGCAATGGCACGATCTCGGTTCACTGCAACCTCTGCTTCCCAGGTTCAAGTGATTCTCCTGCCTCAGCCTCCCAAGTAGCTGGGATTACAGGCGCCCACAACCATGCCTAGCTAATATTTGTAGTTATAGTAGAGACGGGGTTTCACCATGTTGGTCAGGCTGACTAGTATATAGTTTCAGTCCACTATTTCCACTATTTCTTTCTTTCTTTTTTTTTTTTTTTTTTTTTGTGACAGAATCTTGCTCTGTCACCCAGGCTGGAGTGCAGTGGCCAGATCTCAGTTCACTGCAACCTCTGCCTCCCGGGTTCAAGTAATTCTCCTGCCTCAGCCTCCCAAGTAGCTGGGATTACAGACACGTGCCACCACGCCTGGCTAATTTTTTTTGTATTTTCAGTAGAGATGGGGTTTCACCATGTTGGCCAGGTTAGTCTTGAACTCCTGACCTCAGGTGATTGCCCACCTGGGGCTCCCAGAGTGCTGGGATTACAGGTGTGAGCCACCGTGCCTGGCCTAACTCTACTACTTTTTTTGTTGGTTTTCTGTCTGGATAACCTATCTGTTACTGAGAGTGGGGTGTTAAAGTCTCTTACCATTATTGTATTGCAGTCTATTTCTCCCTTTAGATTTATTAACATTTGCTTTACTTGGGAGTTCCAATGTTAGGTGCATAGCGATTTATAATTGTGATATGCTCCTGAAGAATTGACCCCTTTATTATTATATAGTAACCTTCTTTGTCTTTTTTTTTACAGTCTTTGATTTGTAGTCTATTTTACCTGATATAATTACAACTACACCTAGCCTTTTCTGGTTTCCACTTGCATGTTATATATTTTTCCACCCCTTCCGTTTCAGTCTGTGTGTGACTTTGTAGGTGAAATGGGTTTCTTGAAGGTAGCATATAGTAGGGTCATGTTTCTTTATCCATTCAGCCACTGTGTTAGTCTGTTTTGCATTGTTATAAAGCATGCATCCCAGGACAGCTCTGAATGCAGCCCAACACAAATTCATAAACTTTCTTGAAACACTGTGAGATTTTTCTGCTATTTTAAAAAGTTCATCAGCTATCATTAGTGTTAGTATATTTTATTTGTGGCTGAGCACAGTGCTTCTTGGCACAGGGAAGCCAAAAGATTGGACACCCCTGTAATTTAAAGAAATATCTGAGACTGGGTAATTTGTAAAGAAAAGGAGTTTATTTGGCTGACAGTTCTACAGACTATACAAGAAGGACGGCACCAGCCTCTGCTTCTGGTGAAGGCCTCAGACTGCTTCCATCCACGGTAGAAGGCAAAGAGGTAGTAGACATATCACATGGCAAGAGAGGGAGCAAGAGAGAGAAAGGAAGTGCCAGATTCTTTTTAAACAACCAGCTCTTGCATGAACTAATAGAGTGAGAACTCACTCATCACCAAGGGGATGACACCAAGCCATTCACGAGGGACCCACCCCTGTGATGTAAACACTTCCCATTGGGCTCCACCTCCAGTGTTGGAGATCAAATTCCAACATGAGATTAGGAGGGGACAAATATTCAACTATATCAGCCACTCTATGCCTTTTAATTAGAGAATTGAGACAGTTTACTTCCAGTGCTGTTATTGATAAGAACTTACCTGTCTCATGACCTCCTTTTGGGGAGGTCATGGTTCCCTGTTTGTTGTTGTTTCTTGTGAGTATCCATCTACGTCTTTGCATTGAAGGGTTAGTTATTTATTCCAATTTTCTCCGTTCACTTTTGTTTTTTATTGAATATATCAGCTTAGCAAATCTTTGCTAGTAGGTCGCTGCCTCCATTTCGGCTGTAGATGGCGCCTCAAGCCCAAGTTCACGTTGGCTCTAGTAAATGGTCAGAGCCAAATGAGGGAGGTCCCAAAGGGATTGTCCAGGCAGTGTGGGACCGCTGGCTGGGGGTTTGTGCTGGGGAGTGGGGGTTGCTGTGGAATGTACCTCCTACAGTGTGGTGCTACTGAACAGCCGCTCTTTGATTTGTTGTCTCCTTTGGCTAAGTTTTTGACAAAGCAGAGTTTCCAGGGCTGGGGATAGTAGTCCCACAATCCCCCTTTGTCTCAGCAGTGGGATTGCTGGGTCATATGGTAGTTCTAGTTGTAGTTTTTTGAGTGACCTCCATACTGTTCTCCCGAGTGGCTGTACTAGTTTACATCCCCATCAGTAGTGTATAAGTATTCCCTTTTCTCTATATCCCTGCCAGCATTTGCTATTTATTTATTTATTTATTTATTTTTTGATAATAGCCATGTTAACTGGGGTGAGATGATACCTCCCTGGGGTTTTGATTTGCATTTCCATGATAATTAGTGACGTTGAGAATTTTTAATGTATTTACTGGCCATTTGTATGTCTTCTTTTGAGAAATATCTGCTGAGATCATTTGCCCATTTTTAATGGATGATTATTATTATTTTGCTGTTGAGTTCCTTGTATATTCTGGATATTAATCCCCTATCAGATGAGTAGTTTGCAAATATTTTCTCCCATTCTGTAGGTTGTCTTTTTACTTTGCTGATTGTTTCCTTTGCTGCGCAGAAGATTTGTAGTTCCATATACTCCTGTTTATTTTTACTTTACCATATACTATTTGTTTATACCATATGCTATTTGTTTATACCATATACCATATACTATTTGTAAACCGATTTATTTTTACTTTACCATATACTCCTATTTCTTTGTTTTTACTTTTGTTTCCTGTGCTTTTGCAGTCTTATTCATAAAATCTTTTCCCAGACCAATGTCTTGAAGTGTTTCCCCTGTTTTATTCTAGAAGTTTTATCACTTTTGGCCTCATATTTAGGATTTTGAATTTATTTTTGCATAGGATGAGAGGTAGCTGGGCACAGTGGCTCACACCTTTAATCCCAGCACTTTGGGAGGTCGAGGCGGGTGGATCACAAGGTCAGGAGTTTGAGACCAGCCTGGCCAACACAGTGAAACCTCGTCTCTACTAAAAATACAAAAATTAGCCAGGCGTGGTGGCACGAGACTGTAGTCCCAGCTACTCAGGAGGCTGAGGCAGGAGAATTGCTTGAACCTGGGAGGCAGAGGTTGCAGTGAGCCGAGATCATGCCACTGCACTCCAGCTTGGGTGACAGAGTGAGATGTCTTAAAAAAAAAAGATGAGAGGTGAGGGTCTAGTTTCATTCTTTTTCATGTGAATATCCAATTTTCCTAGCACCATTTATTGAAGAGACTGTTCTTTTCCTAAAAAGTATTGTTGGCACCTTTGTCAAAAATCAGTTGGCTGTTGTACACTCTTCACAATAGTAAAGGCATGGAATCAACCCGAATGCCCATCAATGACAGACTGGATAAAGAAAATATGGTACATATACACCATCGACTACTATGCAGCCATAAAAAGGAATGAGATCATGTCCTCTGCAGGGACATGGATGGAGCTAGAAACCAGCAAACTGATGCAGGAACAGAAAACTAAACACCACATGTTCTCACAAGTGGGAGCTGAACAATGAGAACACATAGACACAGGGAGGGGAACAATACACACTGGGGCCTGTCAGGGCGTGGGCAGCAGGAGGGAGAGCATCAGTAATGCATGCTGGGCTTAATACCTAGGTGATGGGTTGATAGGTACAGCAAACCTCCATGCCACACGTTTACCTATGCAACAAGCCTGCACATCCTGCACGTGTATACTGGAACTTAAAATAAAAAACTTAAAAAAAAATCAGTTGACTGTAGATATGTGGATTAATTTCTGTGTTCTCAATTCTGTTCCATTGGTCTATGTGTTTTTATGCCAGTACCATGCTGTTTTGGTTATTAAAGGTTTGTAGTAGATTTTGAGTTCTGGTAGTATGATACTTCCAGCTTTTTTCTTCGTTCCTTGTGCTCAGTATTGCTTTGGCTATTTGGAGTTTTTGTAGTTTCATACAACTTTTAGGATTTTTTTCCTGTTTCTGTGAAGAGTATCATTGGTATTTTGATAGGGATTGCATTGAATCTATAGATTGCTTTGGGTAGTATTGTCATTTTAACAATATTAATCCTTCTGATCCATGAGCATGGAATGTCTTTCCATTTGCATCTTTTTCTATTTTTTTCATAACTGCTTTGGAGATTTTTTTGTTGAGGTTTTTCACCTCCTTGGTTAAATTTATTTTAGGTGTTTTATTTATTTGGTAGCTATTGTAAATGAAATTGTCCTCTTGATTACTTTTTAGCTAGTTCATTGTTCATATATCGAAACACACATTTTGTATATTAATTTTATATCTTGTGACTTTGGTGAAATTGTTTATCAGGTTTTTTTTTTTTTTTAAGAGTACTTAGGTTTTTCTGTACACGAGATCATGTTATCTGCAAACAGGGACAATTTTACTTCCTTTCCCATTTGGATGTCTTTTATTTCTTTGTCTTGTCTAATTGGTCTGGTTAGGACTTCCAGTATTACCTTGAATAAGAGTGGTAAGAGTGGGCATCCTTGTCTTGTTCCAGTTCTTAGAAGAAAAGATTTCAGCTATTCCCCATTTAGTTAAATGTTATCTGTGTGTTTGTTATATATGACCATTATTATATTGAGGTACTTTCCTTCTATACCTAATTAAGAGGTTTTTTTTAAATCATGAATGGATGTTGAATTCTATCAAAAGCTGTTTCTGTGTCTATTGAGATGATCATATGGTTTTTGTCCTTCATTTTATTGATGTGATGTATGAAGTTTATTGATTTGCGTATGTTGAAACATCCTTGCATTCCTGGAATAAATCCCACTTAATCTTGGTGTATTTTCTTTTTGATATGTTGTTAAATTAAGTTTGCTAGTATTTTGTTGAGAGATTTTGCATTAATGTTCTCTAGTGATATTGGCCTGTACGTTTTTTTTTTTTTTTATTGTGTTCTTGTCTGGTTTTGGTATCAGGGTTATGCTGGCCTTGTAGAATGAGTTAGCAAGAATACACTCTGCTTCAATTTTTGGGAATAGTTTAAGATGGACTAGTACTAATTCTTCCTTGAATGTTCAGTATAATTCAATGATGAAGCCATCTGGTCTTGGGCTTTTCTTTGTTGGAAGACTTTTTATTACTGATTCAATCTCATTACTTGTTATTGTTCTGTTTAGTTTTTTTTTTTTTATTTCTTCTTGATTCAGTCTTGGTAGGTTGTAAGTGTTCAGGAATTTGTCTATTTCATCTAGGTTTTCAGATTTATTGGCATATAGGTTTTCATAATAGTCTCTAATGATCCTTTGTATTTCTGTGCTATCCTTTGTGATGTCTCATTTTTTTTTTGTCGTTCAGTTTATTTGCTTGGGCCTTCTTTCTTTTAAAGTTTTAAATTTTGATGATGTACTACTTAACCTTTTTTTTTCTTTTACGAATTGTGTTTTTAATGCCATGACCAGGAACTCTTCACCAAGCCCTAGGTCCTAAAGATTTTCTCCTGTGTTTTCTTCTAGAAGTTTTATAGTTTTACATTTAAATTTATAACCCATTTTTAATTGGATTGTTTGTTTGTTTTTGCTGTTGAGATGTTTGAGTTCCTTGTATATTTTGGATATTAATCCTCTATCAGATGAGTAGTTTGCAAATATTTTAAGTTGATTTTCATATAAGTTGTGAGGTTCAGGTCGAGGTTCATTTTTTGCCTATGGATGTCTACTTGGTCAAATACCATTTGTTGAAAAGACCATTCTTCCTGCATTTGATTACTTTTGCACCTTAAAAAAATCAGTAGATTGTACCTGTACAGGGCTACTTTGGGGTCTTCTAGTCCATTGATCTATGTGTCTATTACTCCACCAGTACCACAAAGTCTTGATCACTGTAGCTATGCAATGTCTTAAAATTGGGTTGAATTATCCCTCCTACCTTAGTCTTCATTTTCAAAATTGTTTTAGCTTTTTAAGTTCCTTTGCCTTCCCATATACATTTTCAAATAATCTTGTGTATATCTGTAATTTTTATAGAAATTGTAGCAAAAGTATATATTAACAGCATGGTGGGTGTTGTAACCCATGAATATGCTATGTCTCTATTTCTCTTTATTTATTTTAATCTTTTAATTTTTTTGATCAGCATTTTGTCATTTTTTACATTCAGTCTTGTATAGGTTTTGCTATATTCACACCTAAGTATTAGAAATTTTTATTACAGTCATAAATGGTATTTTAAATTTCAGTTTCCATGGATATATAGTAATACAAGTGTTTTTTGTATGTTGAACTTGTATCTTTCAGTCTTACCATAATTCCTAGGAGTTGGATGATTTTATTGGTTTTGTTTTGTTTAGGTATATTCCCTGAGGATTTCTATTTTTTTTTTTTGTTTTTTTGAGATGGAGTCTTGCTCTGTCGCCCAGGTTGGAGTGCAGTGGTGCGATCTCGGCTCACTGCAAGCTCTGCCTCCCGGGTTCACGCCATTCTTCTGCCTCAGCCTCCCTAGCAGCTGGGACTACAGGTGTCTGCCACCACGCCCAGATAAGTTTTTTTTTGTATTTTTAGTAGAGACGGGGTTTCACCGTGTTAGCCAGGATGGTCTTGATCTCCTGACCTCGTGATCCGCCCACCTCAGCCTCCCAAAGTGCTGAGATTACAGGTGTGAGCCACTGCGCCCCGCCTCCCTGAGGATTTTTATAGATGATCATATGATCTGCAAATAGGACAACTTTTTCTTGGTGATTTTTATGTATTTTATTTACTTTTATTTTTTTGAGACAGAGTCTTGCTCTCTCACCAGGCTGGAGTGCAAAGGTGCAATTTTGGCTCACTGCAACCTCCGCCTCCTGGGTTCAAGCGATTCTCCTGCCTCAGCCTCCTGAGTAGCTGGGACTACAGGTGTGAGCCACCACACCTGACTAATTTTTGTATTTTTAGTAGAGACAGGATTTCACCATGTTGGCCAGGCTGGTCTTGAACTCCCGACCTCGTGATCCACCCGCCTCAGCCTCCCAAAATGCTGGGATTACAGGCATGAGCCACCAGGGCTAGCCTTTATTTCCTTTTTTTTTTTTCTTTTTATTGTTATACTGGCTAGCCCTTCCAGTACTAGAAGTGATAAAAGACATCCTTGTGTCTAATCTTAGGGAGAAAGTACTCCATCTTTTACCATTATATATGATGTTATCTGTAGATTTTTTTTTTTGTAGCTGATCTTTACTAATTTGAGAAAGTTTCCCTCTTAAGTATTTTGAGAATTTTTATTATAAATGAGTGTCAAATTTTGTAAAATTCTTCTTTTGCATCAATTGACATAATCATGTAATTTTTTTCCTGTAGCATGGCAATATGGTAGATTACCTTGATTGATTTTCAAATATTGAACCAGCTTTGCATTCCTGAAATAACCCTTACTTGATGGTGGTATATAATTCTTTTTGGATATTATTGAATTCTCTGCTATTTTTAAATAAGGATTATTTCTATATTCATCAGGGCTGTTGATCTGTCATTTTCTTTTTTTTAAATATATTTGTCTGGTTTTAGCATCAGGGTAATATTAACTTTACAAAATAAATTGGGATGTGTTTCTTTATTTTCTATATTCTGGAAGAGATTGTGTAGCATTGGAGTTAATTCTTCTTTAAAATTTGGCATAATTCAGTGGTGAAGGCATCTGTGCCTGGAGATTTGGTTGGGGGAGGAGTTTTAAAATTAGGGGTTTAATTTTCTCAATAGTTATATCGCTATTCAAACTTTTTATACCATATTAGTTGACTTGTGGTCATGTGTGGGTTTCAAGGATTTGGTTCATTTTATCAAAATTGTCAAGATTTATGTGTGTAAAGTTGTAGTATTCCTTTATTATCCTTTTGATGTCTGTAGGGTCTGTAATTATATCTCTTGTTTCATTTCTGATACTATATTTTCCCTCTTTGCCTTTGTCAGTCTTTTTTTTTTTTCTTTTTTTTTTTGACAAACTCTCACTCTGTTGCCCAGGCTGGAGTGCAGTGTTGTGATCTTAGCTCACTACAACCTCTGCCTCCTGGGTTCAAGCAATTCTTGTGCTTCAGCCTCACGAATAGCTGGGACCACAGGCGTGCACCACCATGCCTGGCTAATTTTTGATTTTTAGTAGAGATGGGTTTCACCACGTTGGCCAGGCTGATCTTGAACTCCAGGCCTCAAGTGATCCACCCACCTCAATAGAAGTTTGTCAATTTCACAAATTTTTTGAAATAACCAGTTTTTGCTTCATTAATTTACTATGTATTTTTTTCAATTTCATTTACTTCTGCTATTGTCATTTTTTCTTCCTTCTGTTTGCTTTTTGTTTCATTTTCTTTTTTTTCCCTTTTTTTTGTTTTTTGAGACAGGATCTTGCTTTATTGCCCAGGCTGGAGTGCATGTGAGGATTTCAAGGATTTGGTGCGATCTCAGCTCACTGCAATCTCTACCTCCCAGGCTCAAGCAATTCTCGTGCTTCAGCCTTCCACATAGCTGGGGTTACAGAGATGGGGTTTCATCATGTTGGCCAGGCTGGTCTTGAACTCCTGGCCTCAAGTGATCCACCCACCTTGGCCTCCCAAAGTGCTGGGATTACAAGTGTGAGCCACTATGCCCGGCCCCTGTTTAGTTTGTTCTTATTTTTCTAGTTTCCTGATATAGGACCTTGTAATATTAATTTGTGGCCTCTTGTCTTTTCTAATATAAACATTTCACTCAGTACTATAAATTTCCCTATCAGCACTGTTTTGGCTGCACCACACAAATTTGAATATGTTGTATTTTCATTGTCATTGAATCGTCATGTACATATTGGTCCGTATAGGGACAGATAGTAAATACTTTAGATTTTGTGGGGCACAAAGTCTGTGTCACTCCTCCTCCTTTTTTTCTTTTTCCTTATAACATTTTCTGTTATAAGGAAATATAACACAAAGTCTGTGTCACTCCTCCTTTTTTTCTTTTTCCTTATAACATTTTCTAAGTGTAAAAATTATTCTTAGCTTACAGCTTGTACCAAAATTGGCTCGTGGGGCTGTAGTTTTCCTATCTCTGCTTTAGACCTATTTCTTACCTTTCACAGTCAGAGTATGCATCTCTAGCCTAGCATAGTGTATGTCCTGGTTGAGCTTTTCAGCTTAAAATGCACACACACACACACACACACACACGCAATTGCCTTCCTTCCTTCTTGCAATTTTTCTACAACCTTCTTTTTTTCTAGGACCCATTTCAGTTCTTACCACCACTTCTATGAAATTTGTTCTACCTGATTCACTCTACATCTGACTCTCAGAAAACTTACTGAATGTGGGTTTGATAACACTATCTCGTGCTGAGCACAGATTGCCATTATTTGCTACTTATGTATTTTAATTTCATGTATTTTATTTCTACAACTGGACTGTAGGTTCCCAGAGAGCTAGAATTTATCTTAACTTCAACTATAATAATAATGCTTTGTTTTAAAACAACCCCTTCTGGATTATCAAGCTTTATAAAGTGTTTTGTGTGTGTGTGTGTGTGTGTGTGTGTGTGTGTGTCTATGTGTCTGTGTGTTTTAGTTCATCATGAGAATCCTGTGAAGCAGCCAGGGCAAGGAATTTTATCTATAGTTGATAAATGAAGAAACCGAAGCTCAGACAGTTAACATGGACCAAGGCTCCAAGGCTAGTAAAGGACAAAATCAGATCTCAACCTCAGTGCTGGCCCATTGCTCCCTTCAGCTCCCTGAAACCCAGCAGTGGGATGGGCACATTAAACATCCTTGACTTAGCCTGTTGAGTATTAATGTCCATTTCCCTGGCCATGTCACCCAGTCCTTAAGTCCATACCTCTACTTCTTCCCCTCCCTCTGCACTGTCTTTCTGCTGCCTACTACTGTTGTTTCAGTGAGAACTTGGACTGTCATCCTTTAAGAAGACATGGTCAAAATAGGAACCTCGATTCTTTCATATTTAGAAAATCCCTCTCTAGAGAAAGAGGACTCGACCTGACACTATATTCATTCCCTGGAGCTGTTCTTTTTTATTTTTTTGAGATGGAGTTTCACTCTTGTTGCCCAGACTGGAGTGCAAAGGCACGATCTCAGATCACTGCAACCTCTGCCTTCTGGATTCAAGCGATTCTCCTGCCTCAGCCTCCTAAGTAGCTGGGATTATAGGTGCCTGCCACCATGCCTGGCTAATTTTGTATTTTTAGTAGAGGTGGGATTTCACCATGTTGGTTAGGCTGGTCTCGAAGTCCTAACCTCAAGTGATCCACCCGCCTCGGCCTCCCAAAGTGTTGGGATTACAGGGATGAGCCACTGCGCCCGGCCTCCTGGAGCTGTTCTTGATAGGAAGGGCCACATTCCATTGGAGGGGGCTTATCACTCAAGGGCTTTACAACTGTCCCCAAAGAAAGACCATTTGCTTGTCATTGCCTTGTCTTCCATGATAACACACTGAGGATGGGAGCCCAGGCCTGTTGGGCTCTGGCACATGAAATTGGCTCCTTTGGGGCTTCTGCATTTACAGTGAAGAAGTTAGTGGAGAATCTAGGGATGGGATTTTCACACCCCAACAAGTGACTTGAAAAACACAGAAGCAAATGAAGGCCTGCTCACTGCTGCTGTGAAACAAATACTCTATACTTGTCCCCACCGTGAGCCGGATCTCCTGAGGCTTTGAGGAAGGTCTTCAGCTTAGACTTGGGATTTCAGAATAGCCATTCCCCTTCCGGACACCCTAAGCCCGAGCCTGAACCCTGCCTGGTGTGTGCTTGCCAGTGTCCTTGCTGTCTTCACACAGGCACTGGCCCCACAGGCTCTGCCTTACCCGGGAAGGGCTTGCCCACCACCACCCCCATCCCAGAGCTAAAAGACAGCGTGCGCACAGACCTTGTCCATGAGTCAAACTCCCCCAAATCTGACTTTCAAAGGAGAAGATAAATGGGACCCAGGCAAGGAGGTTCCCTTGAGCACATGATGGGAATACTCAAACACTGGATGGCTCTTTCTTCAGTGCTCAGCACCCATTAATTTAAAAATAACACATCTCAGTCAGCTGGGTGGCCATGGTTCTGTGTGCCTATAGTCCTAGCTACTTGGGAAGCTGAGGTGGGAGGATCCCTTGAACCCTGGATTTTGAGACTGCAGTGAGCTATGATCACACCATTGCACTCCAGCCTGGGTGACAGAGTGAGACCCTGTCTCTAAAACAAACAAACTGTAAAAACCCAAAACAAAGATAACACATCTATCATGCCTGGAGAAGCTCATTTTCCTATAAGACCCCTTCTTCTGCCCAGTCCTCTACAATCATTCAAATCTTTGTGAGTACCTCCTCCAGGAAGCCTCTGAAGGCTGGATACCTTGGGAGGATAAATAATGGATACCATTTACTGAGCACTTACTGCAGGCCAGCTGTGCTAGGCACTTTCCTCGCATTAACTTACTCTATCCTCACAACAACTTCATAGGGTAGATGCTATTATTCTCTGCACTTTATGGAAGATGAGGCCCGGTCACTTGCCAAAAGTGTGAAGTTTAGTAAAGCAAGAGCCTGGAGTTTGAGTGCAGGTATGTGCTCCTGAACAGTATATCCTATTGGACCTCCCATCTTTCTATCAGTCAAGGACATTAGTTGCAGACAATAGAAACCAATCTTGGCTGGGGTCATCAGAAAATGAACCTCTGAAAGGATAAGAGGTGGCTCATAAAATCTCTGAGAGAGTGCTCACATATACCACATACCAAAATTGGAAGAATAAAATTTCTTGAAGGGTAAACCCTGGCTGGATCCTCCCCAGTCCCATTTCTGCTTCTTAAGCACATAGGAAGATGAGGTTTTTCAGCCTGCCTTTCAGTTAGGCCGACGGAGCATAAGGGGAAATTAATGCATAGTGTTTCCAGGCCTGTCCCTAAAATTTCTTGCCATATCCTTGGCTCTCATGGTCCTGTGAAAGAGAAGGAGCTGCGATGCTGGAACCACACTAGGAACAGCCCAGGGCATGAGTCACTGCCTGGAGATGCACCGCCCAGACAAGCTGTCCAACCCGCCTCCACCCGTGTGTGATTGGAAAGCAAAACTGCTGAAATGTTGGAATTTATTTGTTTCATGGGATGACCTAGCCTATTCTGACCAATAAGACCGGAAAATTAAGCTAGGTGGCTTCATGTTCAAGGCCAGCCTCCCAAATCATAGGCTAGAACTGCTTCAGTGAAGACAGTAATGCCATCGCTGCTGGCATAGATGCTGCAACTTGCACCACTATCACCGCTGGCCCTGGACAGTGGACACTGGACAGAGCCTGTGCTTGCTGCTTCTGGAGAGTAGGAGCTGACACTACGCTTGCTCGAATACATTCTGTGCAGCTGGATCATTAAGATATGGATTCTACCTTCAAAGGGCCAACTGTCTAGTCCGAGGAGTGAAAATCCACAAAAGGCCGTTGTAATAAAAGAGAAAGTGCTGAGTCTGCTGGCAGAGGACAGTTACTAGACTCTGATTCCTGGAAGAAGAGAGGATTTTAGGTCAGGATAAGTTGCCTATGTGGTTTTAGGCTCTTGGGATATTGTCTAAGTGTATGTCAAATTAAGTTACTATCTTTTGAAATTCAAGAACCTAAGGAAAAATACCTGAGGAAAAAAGAACCTGAGGATAAAAGTGATACGGAATTAATTTTTACCAACCAAAAGAGTCCTACAATCCCCAAATACATAGTCTCAGTGTATATATAGGTATGTATATGTACATTTATACTCCAGTCTTCACTCTCAGGTCAATAGTTACCTCTTTCTCTTCCAGTATAGCCTTATTTGGCAGAGTGAAGTAAAAGGTAACTTTATTTGTTGTTGTTTTAATTATAGGACATTATGGTTTTTTTTAGATCTTTTATTAATGAACGCAAAGTCCTATCCTTTTCCTGTCAGTACTTTCATTAATGGCACAATAACAACACCACCATCAATTGTTTTACTAGTATTCTTAATTGTCATTTGGGTTTCATGTCTGGAATAGTTTTCCAAAAAAAAAAAAAAAAAACAACTCATTGTATTCAAATGCTTTTCCAGGAAGGTTTATTTAATAGTTAATACACAGAACTGTTAACATTGACCTCCTCACAATCATTCTTGGTTTTTCTTCTTCTATTTTTTTTTTTTTTTGAGACAGTCTCAGTCTGTCACCAGGCTGAAGTGTAGTCACAGGATCCCAGCTCACTGCAACCTCCGCCTCCCAGGTTCAAGCGATTCTCCTGCCTCAGCCTCCCAAGCAGCTGGGACTACAGCGCATGCCACCAGGCCTGGCTAATTTTTGTACTTTTGTAGAGACAGGGTTTTACCAAGTTGGCCAGGATGGTCTCGATCTCTTGACCTCGTGATCCACCTGCCTCGGCCTCCCAAAGTGCTGGGATTACAGGCACATTCTTGGTTTTTCATACTCATCAATCATTCCTTCACACATCTAGTTTCCTGACTCATAACATAAAACGTTGCATTTCTTAGTATCCATTTAAAATATAATTCCTAATGAAATTATTAATGACATATTAATGTCATACTTTTACTATATGTTTATGTTCCCAATCTTCCTGGGTCCCTTGATGTTTGCTATTGTACAGATGTTAATAAGGGATAGCAAAAGATTGGAAACAAGCTGAGTATCCAGAGAATGGGGCCTGCTTCAGTTATGGTACATCTCACAGTGGAATACTAGGTAGTGGTAAAAAATAATGAGGAGGCACTTCACGTTCTGATGTGGATTGATCTTCAAGATTACAGTGATGCCCTGCCTAACTAATGTTTTTGTCAGTGATGGACCACATATATAATGTTGATCCCATAAGATTATAATGGAGCTGCCCTATGCAGGTATACCGTTTTTAATCTTTTCTACCATATTGTTACTGTACTTTTTCTATGTTTAGGTGTGTTTAGATGCATAAATACTTTCCATTTTGTTACAATTACCTACAGTGTTCTGTAAATTAACATGTTTAGGTTTGTAGTGTAGGAGCAGTAGGCATTACCACATAGCCTAAGTGAGTAGTAGGCTGTTCCATCTATGTTTGTGTAAGTACTCTAAGATGTTCACAGAACAACAGACAAAATTGCCTAAGGCCATATCCCTGTCATTAAGTGATGCATGACTGTATTAAGAAAGACAGCCAGCCTGGGTGTGGTGGCTCATGCCTGTAATCCCAGCACTTTGGTAGGGCGAGGTGGGTGGATCACCTCCCAGCACTTTGGGAGGGCGAGGTGGGGGGTCAGGAGATCGAGACCATCCTGGCTAACATGGTCAAACCCCGTCTCTACTAAAAATACAAAAAATTAGCTGGGTGTGGTGGCACACGCCTATAGTCCCAGCTACTCAGGAGGCTGAGGCAGGAGAATCGCTTGAACTCGGGAGGCAGAGGTTGCAGCGAGCGGAAACCCACGCCACTGCACTCAAGCCTGGGCTACAGAGCGAGACTCTGTCTCAAAAAAAAAAAAAAAAAAAAAAAAAAGAAAGCAAAATGCAGAATAGACTGTAGAGAATGGTCTCACTTTTGTTATAAAAGAGATTTAGGACATGTATTGGTTGTAAAAGCATGAAATGCCTCTGTGAGGATTTATCCAAGAAGGAGATAACATTTGTTGGCTATTGGGAAGGAAATTGTGTGGCTGAAAGGCTGTGTTGATGGGGAGAATTTTCAGTGATAATTTATACCCCTAAATACATCAGTGTGTATTTCCTAAGTGTGAGAACATTCTCTTACATAACCACTATGCAATGATCCAAATTTGGAAATTTAACACGAATATACTATAATCTACAGCCCATATTGAAATTTCAGTTGTCTCAGTCATGACTTTATAGCCATTTTTTCCCCCAGTTTAAGACTGTCTTAGTTCATTCAGGCTACTATAACAAAATACCGTAGACTGGGTGGCTTATGAACAGAGATTTATTTCTTGCAGTTCTGGACACTGGCAAGTCCAAGAGCAAGGTGCTGGCAGATTCAGTGTCTGGCGAGGGCCTTGCTTTCTGGCTCATAGATGGTGACTTCTTGCTGTGTCCTCACATGGTAAAGGGGTGAGGGGTCTCTCGGCCTCTTTTATAAGGGCGCTGATCCCATTCATGAGAACTTACCTCCATGACCTAATAACCTCCTAAAAGCCCTAACTTCTAATATCATCACTTTAGGGGTTAGGATTTCAACATTTGATGGTAAGGATGGGAGTTGCAGGGGCACAAACATTTCAATCATAGAAAGAACCCAACTCAGGATTGCATATTGCACTTAGCTGTCTTGTATCTTAGTGTCTTTTAATTTGGAATGGTTTCAAGGACTTTCTTTCTCTTTGTTTTTGTCAACAGCAGCAATGATTAAGCCTCTTTAAGTGGCTTCTGAGGCAGTAGACGTAGACAAGTGGGAGCTGGGTTTAGAGAGTCAGAGGATAGAAAATGATAGGGATGGCTGTCAGCTTCTGCCTAGTTTGTGGTCTAATATGCAGAACCCCTTTGTGGGCTTCTTGGAATAATGGAGTCTGGAGAGGGTGAGAATATGCCCCTGCTTGGGGAGGTGGCAGATGGGGGTAATGTTTACAGTCATTCTAAATTGGGTCTAAATAGAAATAGGACCGTATTTTGAGATCATAAGCTGATGAGGCCGGGTAATATTTAGAATGCTTTCTTAGATAGATTTATTTTTATTTATTTATTATTATTATTATTATATTTTGAGATGGAATCTCACTCTGTTGCAAGGCTGGGGTGCAGTGGCACGATCTTGGCTCACTACAACCTCTGCCTCCCAGGTTCAAGTGATTCTCCTGCCTCAGCCTCCCGAGTAGCTGGGACTACAGGTGCCCACCATCACGCCAGGCTAATTTTTTGTATTTTTAGTAGAGACGGGGTTTCACTGTGTTAGCCAGGATGGTCTTGATCTCCTGACCTCGTGATCCACCCGCCTCAGCCTCCCAAAGTGCTGGGATTACAGGCGTGAGCCACGGCGCCAGGCCTCATCAATGTCTTTTTACAGTTGGTTTGTTTGTGTTGAGATTTAAATAGGAGGACTTTCTGGTGTGGCCCTGAAGGACAGTAGTGAAGGAAAATACTCCTACTGGGCATAACTTCAAGCAGTACCCCTGATTGTTTATTTCCGGGAAAGAAAAGGTTACCAGAGATATAGATCTACACTGATTTATGGGCAGTGGCTAATGGTTTAGCTGGCTGGGCTTGGAAGGGACACAATTGGAAAAGTGGTCACAAGGCATTCGAGGAAGAGGTGTATGGACAGACCTCTCAGATTGGCCACAAAAGTGAAGATATCTGCATCCCATGTGAATGCTCACCTAGAGTAATTACAGCAGAAGAAGATTTTAATAATCAAGTGGGCAAGATAATCTGTCCTCTGGATCATCCAGCCTCTTTCCTCAGCTACCTAAAGTGTTCATGCTCAAAGTGGCCAAGGCAAGAGTGATGTGGACTGTCCACTTACTAAGGTCTAATGCCTACCACCACTGCTGAGTGGCCAACCTTTGAACAGCAGAGACCAGCTGAGCCCTCAATGGCACCTTTCCTTGGAAGAACCAGCCAGCCTTTGCTTTTTCTGCCTGCAATACTCCTGCCAGAACTATTATCCATATACAGAAAGAATGCCTTATTCACCATGGTGGTATGACACTCTGCTTTGCTTCTGGCCAAGAAATTCATTTTACAGCAAATAAAGTTCAGCAGTGGGTTCATGCTCATGGAAATCGTGGGTCTACCTTACCGTCTTGATTATTATAGCTTTATAGAAAGTCTTAAAATCAGATAGTATAAGTCTTCTTTGTTCTTTTTAAAATTGTTCTGGCTATTGTAGATTCTTTGTATTTTCACATAGCTTTTAGAATAAGCTTGTGAATTTCTACCAAAAAAAAAAAAAAAAAAAGAAAACCCTGTTGAAATTTGAATGGGATTGTGTTGAATCTGTAGATGGATTTGGAGAAAATTGGTGTCTTAACAATACTGAGTCTTTCAATCCATGAACATGGCATATCCCTCTATTTATTTAAGTCTTCTTTATTTTATTTCAGCAATATTTTACAGGATTTTATTTTGTTTTTTGTGTTAAAAATTTTTAAATAGAGATGGGGTCTTTCTATGTTGGCCAGGCTGGACTCAAACTCCACTCAAGCAATCCTTCTTCATCAGGCTTCCAAGTAGGTGGGACTATAGGCTCATGTCACCATGCCCGGCTTACAGCTTTTTGTATATAGGTCTTGTGTCCACATTTTGTTAAATCCAGTCCTAATTATTTTAAAGTTTGTGAGGCTATTGTATAAATGGTATATTTTACATTTTCATTTCCCTATAGTTTATTGTCAATATGTAAAAATCAATTGATTTGATTTTGTAATTTATGATATTGACTTTGTAATTTATGATTTTTATAAGTTTTCTTATTTTAGTAGTTTTTTGTATTTCTTAGGATTTTTACACACAAATATAATTGTGTCCTCTGCAAAAATGGTTTTACTTCCCTCTTTCCAATCTGTTTGTTTCTTCTTCCCTTCCTTTTCTTTTGTTCTTTCTTTCTTTTTCTTTCCTCTTTCTTTCTTCCTCTCTCTCTTTTTTTCTTTCTTTCTTATTAAATCTTTTCATTTCCATAGGTTAATGGGGAACAGGTGGTGTTTGGTTACATGAGTCAGTTCTTTAGTGGTGATGTGTGAGATTTTGGTGCACCCATCACCCAAGCAGTATTTACTGAAACAAATTTGTGGTCTTTTATCCCTTACCCCCTTCCCACCCTTTCCTGTTGAGTCCCCAAAGTACACTGTATCGTTCTTATACCTTTGCATCCTCATAGCTTAGCTTCCACAAATGAGTGAGAACATATATTTGGTTTTCCATTCCTGAGTTACTTCACTTAGAATAACAGTCTCCAGTCTCATGCAGGTCACTGTGAATGCCATTAATTCATTCCTTTTTATGGCCGCGTAGTATTCCATTGTATATATATACCACAGTTTCTTTATCCACTCATTGATTGATGGGCATTTGGGTTGGTTCCATGTTTTTAAAATTGCAAATTGTGCTGCTATATCTTTTGTATGTGTACAAGTATCTTTTTCATATAATGACTTCTTTTCCTCTGGGTAGATAGCCAGTAGTGGGATTGCTGAATTAAATGGTAGTTCTACTTTTAGCTCTTTAAGGAATCTTCACAGTGTTTTCCATAGTGGTTGTACTAGTTTACATTCCCACCTGCCTCAAAGGTCTCTGAAATGCCTTGGAGGCTTTTTCCCCATTGCCTTGGATATTAGCACCCGTCTCCCTTTTAGTTATGTAAATATCTCTAGCAAGTGGTTGCTCCATAGAGACTGGTTAAATACTTGTTACCAAAAGGAAGTATCTCTAGTAAGTGGTTACTCCATCGCCTGCTTGGATTCTTCCCTTGAAAAAGCTTTTTCTTTCTTTGGCACATGGCTAGGCTGAAAAATTTCCAAACTATTATGCTCTGCTTCCTCTTTAAATATAAGTTCCAACTTTAAGTCATTCCTTTGCTCCCACATCTGAGCTTATGTTGTTAGAGGCAGCCATGCCACTTCTTAAACACTTTGGTGCTCAGAAATTTCTTCTGCCAGATAACGTAGATCATCACTTTGACATTCAAACTTCCATAGATCCCTAGCGCATGGACACAATACTGCTAAGTTCTCTGCTAAGGCATAACAAAGGTGACATTTGTTCCATTTCCCAATAAGTTTGTCATTTCCATCTGATACCTCATCAGCCTGGACTTCACTGTTCATATCACTATCAGCATTTTGGTCACAAGTATTTAACCAGTCTTTAAAAAGTTCCAAATTTTCTCTCATCTTTCTCTCTTCTTCTGAGCTCTCCAAACTTTTCCAACCTCTGCCCATTACCTAGTTCCAAAGCTGCTTCCACATTTCCAGGTATCTTCATAGCAGTGTCCCACTCCTTGGTACCAATTTTCTGTATTAAGCAATTCTTGTATTTCTATAAAAATACCTGAGACTGGTTAATTTATAAAGAAAAATGGTTTAATTGGCTTATAGTTCTTCAGACTGTACAGGAAGCATAGCACTGGCATCTGCTTCTGGGGAGGTCTCAGGAAGCTTACAATCATGGTGAAAGGTGAAGCAGGAGCATGTGTCTCACATGGTGGGAGTAGAAGCAAGAGAGAGTAGGGGAGGTGCCACACACTTTAAACAACCAGATTTTGCAGAGAAAGCACCAAGCTATGAGGGATCCACCTCCATGACCCAGACACCTCCCACCAGGCCTGACTTCCAACACTGGGGATTTTATTTCAACATGAGATTGGGGTGGGGACAAATATCCAAACTGCATCAACCTCTGATGTAAAAATCCAATAATCAAGCAGCAATATTTTAAGTGCAGCACAGAGTCTTCCATGTCATTATTTACAAGACCTGAATCTCTTTACATAATAACAAAATTGAATACAGACTTAGCCATTAAGTCCATTTAAAAAATCTGTCCTTTTACATGGTGACAGATTTCATTTTTTGTTATCTTTCTCTTTATCTTTTGCTCTTCTTTGACTTCCTTTTCTTATGTCTGTGTTTTTTGGCTTTTTTCCAATTCCCCTGCAGTACCTGCATGTATGGTTTTTTTTTTTTTTTTTTTTAATGTTTCTTGTGCTTTTCCTTTTCCTACTTTTTATTATTCTTCCTGCTATTCTAACTTTCTGCAGAACTGGCCCTGCTGCTATGGCCTCAAGTCTGGCCTCCAGAAGGGCTCTGACTTCTGCTCGGACTCTGGCTCCTCCTATGCCTACCTGGCCAACTGTGTCCAGGCTTTCTTTTGCTTTCTCCTGCTTTCTCCATTATCTTATCTTTCAGGACCTTAGAAGTGTTTCCTGAAGTTTCCTCATCTTTTACAGATACATAACTTCCACTGTCACTTTCATTATAATCTGGCTCAAAAGCAGCTTCATCAGTGTCTCTAGTTAAGTCAGGGGACAGTCGAGAGGAGTGACTTAACTGGGGTTTAGGGTTGGTAGCATTCTTCTCAACTTGCCCAGTAATTTGCTCTTTCTCAATTTGTGTGCCTGGTGGAATAACAATATCAAGTAACTGATTGCCACTTGACTCTTTGTTGTTCTTTGCTTCTAATATATGTGTCTCATGATCTTCACAAAGACTTTTATCTACAAATTTTGCCCCTTACCTTGAGTGTTTAGTATCATAAGTGGCTTTGTGATCATGAGGTCTTTTGGTCTCTTGAGTGACTAGAATTACTTTTTTTTTGGAATCTCCTCTGCCATTTTTAAGAAACTCTCTTTCCTCCATCAGCTTAGTTTTCCGTTCAGATCAGAAGCTATAGTTTATTGTTGTTGTTTTTATTTTTTATTTTTTTCATGCTTTGTACATACTTTTTATTTGTTGAATAAATGAATATTTGTCAATATGTACATAACCACATAGAGCGAGCATTAGATTTAGAGAGCAAAATATTTGGGTTCTAATATGCAAAGCCACTTACCAGCTATGAGGGCTTCAGCAAAGAACTGAATCTGAGCTCAGCTTCCTCAACTGTAAAACTAGGTTATTTGGACCTATGTGGCCTACCACACAGGCTTATTGCAAGGTTCAAATGCAGAAACATATGAAAGTGCTATGAATACAACTTAGAGCAATACAAACATAACAAGTAATAGCAATGGAATTTCAAGCTGAAATTCACACCCTTGGATTGTACCGATGTACTGATGGAGTCAATGAGAAAGTGACAAAATAGCTGATTACTAATGAGAGAGAACATGCCATTCTTCTGAGTGGGAAGGATTCTGCAACATCCTGTAGCTTGTCCCTGCAATTAGTCACTTCCCAAACTTCACAAAGATGTCAGAGACTCACAATCAATAACTCTCTCACAGAAGCACATGGGCCAAATGTCCCACGTTTATTTACATATGAAATGTGTTTCACACAGTTATTATGGATGGAGTGCATAACACCTGACAGCAGCAAGACCTTTTGAGGAACCGAACGTTGACTACAGTAGATCATGCAAGTATCTATAGATACACAAAAGAATTCCTTTTCTTAACAACAAAAAAAAGTACAAAACATGTTCAGGGATAAATGTAAGATATGAAATGCAAAATAAAACACAAAACAAGCCTGGGCATGGTGGCTCACACCTGTAATCCCAGCACTTTGGGAGGCTGAGGTGGGCAGATCACGAGGTCAGGAGATTGAGACCATCCTGGCTAACATGGTGTATCGGGGGACCTGCCCTGATAATCACGTAGGTTCTTTTCTATTTTCCTAAGCGTCAGCTGGCTTGAGAAATAAAGGGACAGAGTACAAAAGAGAGAAATTTTAAAGCTGGGTGTCCGGGGGAGACATCACACGTTGGTAGGATCCGCGATGCCCCACAAGCCACAAAAACCAGCAAGTTTTTATTAGGGATTTTCAAAAGGGGAGGTGTGCGAATAGGTGTGGGTCGCAGACATCAAGTACTTAACAGGGTAATAGAATGTCACAAGGCAAGTGGAGGCAGGGCAAGATCACAGGACCACAGGACCGAGGCGAAATTAAAATTGCTAATGAAGTTTCAGGCACCATTGTCATTGATAACATCTTATCAGGAGACAGGGTTTTGAGATCAACCTGTCTGACCAAAATTTATTAGGCGGGAATTTCCTCTTCCTAATAAGACTGGGAGCACTATGGGAGACTGGAGTTTATTTCACCTCTGCAATCTCGACCATAAGAGACAGGTACGCCCCGGGGGGGCCAGTTCAGAGACCTACCCCTAGGTGCGCATTCTCTTTTCTCAGGGACGTTCCATGCTGAGAAAAAGAATTCAGCGATATTTCTCCCATTTGTTTTTGAAAGAAGAGAAATATGGCTCTGTTCTGCCCGGCTCACCGGCAGTCAGAGTTTAAGGTTATCTCTCTTATTCCCTGAACAATTGCTGTTATCCTGTTCTTTTTTCAGGGTGCCCACATTTCATATTGCTCAAACACACATGCTGTACAATTTGTGTAGTTAACGCAATTATTACAGGGTCCTGAGACGATATACATCCTTCTCAGCTGACAGGATTAAGAGATTAAAGACAAGACAGGCATAGGAAATCACAAGGGTATTGATTGGGGAAGTGATACGTGTCCATGAAATCTTTACAATTTATGTTTAGAGATTGCAGTAAAGACAGGCATTAAGAAATTACAAAAGTATTAATTTGGGGAACTAATAAATGTCCATAAAATCTTCATAATCCATGTTCTTCTGTCATGGCTTCAGCAGGTTCCTCCGTTTGGGTTCCCTGACTTCCCGCAACAATGGTGAAACCCCGTCTCTGCTAAAAATACAAAAAAAAAACTTATCTGGGCGTGGTGGCGGGCGCCTGTAGTCCCAGCTACTCGGGAGGGTGAGGCAGGAGAATGGTGTGAACCCGGCGAGCAGAGCTTGCAGTGAGCCAAGATCACTCCACTGCACTCCAGCCTGGGCGACAGAGCAAGACTCTGTCTCAAAAAAAAAAAAAAAAAAAAAAAAAAGAAAACACGAAACAAAACCAAAAAATAGAACTCTCTCAGAGAACTATAAACGGAAGGGACAGAAGAGTACCTCTGCTGCATTTTAATAAAGCAGAACTACCGACGTTAAATATACTTCTTGAAATGGCTGAACTAAACCCGGGTGGCCCCGCGCTTAAGGTAACGGCCAATTGCAATACACAGGCGGCTGCATTGAGAAGTCAGTGGTTGACGTTGTGCATCCCAACTCTAAGTATCAGAACATTTGGCAGTAGCACCTAGAACAGGCAATGCCAACTCTTTTGACAGCAAAGGGTTAAGTCAACTGATTTTTTTTTCTGTCAAGAGCCAGAGAAATACTTGATATTCTTAGTTGTGTTTCTGTAATAGTTAATAAATTACATGACAAAAACCTGACTATATAAATCTATTGGTCTAACTACGTATTTGTAACTTTTATAGTAGTCCAGCCCTTTCGTTACTTTCCCTCCTTGTGCTTTTAAAGCCAGCCTTGCAGATCTGCCTAGAAAACCAGTCCCATTTTTTTCTTTAGAACAGCCTTCCCCATGCCCCAAAATGGAATTGAGGAAATCAGCATTCCTTATTAGATTCCTGGCTTCAGTTTTTATCCACGGCTGGGAAAGGAGCGACCTGCAAGGCTGCTTTAAACACCCTTCGCATGGCCTGAAGAAAAAGGCACGCCCACACTGGAGTGCAGTTGTCTCACATGTGAGCTCACTCCTTCAGGGCAGGCACATCGAGGAAGTGCTAAGACACTTAAAAGTTCCTAGGGTTTTTGAGACCCACAATTACTTACAATTTATGTAGTGTATTCTAAAAATTAAAAACACTAAAAAAGGCATTATTTTAGCCTGTAATTAGTTAACCTCTTCAAAATCCAAACATACAAAATGGTTTATTTGAATTCAGGAGCTGCCCCTGTTACTAAGAACTCTGTTTTAAAGAAACAGTACAAAAAGAAAAATTCTGACCCAAAACAACTCAAATCGTTTGCCACTAAATACTGATACAAATGTGTAACAAACAGTATAAAAAGTTATTCATTTAAATCTATACAAACTCTTTGAAACTCAAATACTGTTTTACTACTTATCGAGGATATATACAACGAGGTGAAGGAAGGTACGTTGAAAGAGAACATATTGCAACAGCCTAGACAGTACTGTTTATTATACTGCAAACTTTTTGTAACAAAAATATCTTTTTTATTCCAATGTGGACAGGGATTTTCCTCATGTACCTTCTGTGGCTATTTCTTGGCTGAGCTCATCCTTTTGGATTTGATGAAGGCCATGCCATGTATCCGCATGTGAGTATTTAAGGCAGCTTCAGTTTCAAAAGTTTTCACGCACACTTTGCACTTTCTGTCTGACACGGTGCCATTGGGGGATTCATCCTCATGGCTGGGTTTGTTCTCCTGTTGGTTATCTTCCCCAGCTCCATTTTGCTTGGACACTGGCTGAGGTTCCTTTAACTTGTGTACAATGAAGAGGTGCCTGGACAGAGAGACGTGAGACGTGTACCAGAGGCCACACTCCTGGCACTGGTAGGAAGAACTATCAGATTTGTGCTGAGGGATGTGTTCGTGGAACTGAAGCAGGTTTTCGGTGGTGAAGCCACACATGGCACTCTTGAGAACCTTAAAAACATTGATTTTCAGCTTTTTCAGTGGTTGAGTGATTGCTCCTCAGGAAGGCCTGAGCTCCAGAACTGGTTCTTCCAACTTCCACTTGGGACTGGGGAACTTGGTGTCTTCTTTTATTTCTGTTTCCTCCTCATTGGTGGCATCTGTCATTTCTTTCAGGTCAGGGTCCTTGAGGCTGTGCATCAGCTGGACGTGCTTCTCTAGCATCAATCGTTTGGTAAAGGTACGTCTGGAGTCTGGGCAGTGCGAGCAGGCATACACTTTCCTGATGCCTTTGTGCTTGATCCGGTTGTGCTGGCACAGGCTGTGGGATGAGCTTGTCACACTGGCGGCAGGGATGTTTCTTCATTTGCTTCCCTTGCTCCTTCCTCACGTGGGATATGTACACATCTCTCTGAATGAACAGGCGGTCACACTCCCAACACGTCCACCCAGGACTGGCCACTTTCTTGGTTTCCACTGATTTTTTCACAGGAGATGGAGATTTCTTTTCCAATTTCTCTTTCCCATTCATGGATTTGGTGTCCTCTTTGTTCTGATTTGCTGAATTTTGAGTTGCAGGCTTAATGCTCAAAGGCAAGTTTATACCCAAGTTTGGAGGCCCTTCAATACTTTTCAATGTTCCATGCATAGACTTGATATGGTCCATCATAAGTTGCTTCTGTGCATATAAAAGATAACAGTCTGGACACTTGAAAACAGACAACTTCTGGTTTTCAATGTGTTGGTCAAAGTGGCGATACAGCAAGGTTTGCAGGGTGAACACAGTGTCGCACATGGAACACTTATATATTATTTCTGGTTCTCCTATCTTGATGCCAGGATGCTGTGTGTAGGTGTGGGAATGTGTGCTTGGGGCGGACTTACATGCCATTGGACAAATAGGACACTTGTAGAAGACTTCACAGTGAGAACCTTGAATGTGAGACTGCAGGGCAGCCACATCAGAGTATACAACATTGCAATGCACACATCGAAAACCAACTCTCCTCATGTAGTGCAGACAGTTCTTGGTGACATGGGTCTGGAAGTGCACCGACCTGCAGATGGCCCCGCACTCAGGGCAGGTGTAGAGAGATTTGTGCTGATGGATTCTCTGGTGTGATGCGTAACTGCACTGGTTAGGAAGCAGCATCTGGCAGATAGTGCAAGTCTTTTGTCCACGTGTATCTGCAGCCTGCTGGAAATGTGTAGCCATTGATGTCTCATACTGAAGACTTCATTACACTCCAAACATTTTAGACTATGTCTACACACTTTGGAGGGGTCTTCATCTAGGGGCATGGCTGGGGTGATGGGAATGCTTAAAGGAGCCGATATGACTGTCCCAGTTATGCCAGACTGAATTTTTGTGACAGTGTGTGTGCCAGCTCCCACAGGGCTCTGAAGAGTGGAAGTTGAAGTGGAAATATTGCTTGATGGAGAAACTATCATTTGACCTGCTGGGACTGGCTTTAAAATGAAGTGGGAGCATTGTATTACCACCCCTTTCTCCTTATGCCCACGGGCATGGGAAAGGAGGCTGCATTTGTTGTAAAAAATGAGGTTCTTTGTACCATGGTTGCATGTTACTTCGATGCGCATGCTCTGTCTGTCATAGTGCTGGGTCAGACTCTTTTCAACTGCAAAGGAGTCCCCACACTCCAAGCACTTGTACCCACGCGTTGGTAACGTGATCCCTGCATTGGTGGGAGGACTCAGGTTTGGAATGTAAACAGGGACTGGATTGACACTGCTCAGCACCTTGTTGAAAGCTTCCACCACAGAACTCTGCAAGGACGACACCACCTGGACTCGAGACACCTTTTTGGGGGGTTGCGAGGCTGCTGCATTGATTATTGCCTGCTTTATTTGTTGCTGAGCTTTGGTTAGCACTTGGCGGAGTTCAGAGGTGGCCTGGGCACCCTGAGGCAAAAGGTTAATGTTGGCAAGGTGCACAGTCTTTGGCACGAGTTTGGCGTTGGCCCGGCTGGGTGCCGGCACCACGACAGTTTGCTGCTGGATGGCGTTGGCGGCTTTAATGATGGCGCTGCTGGCGCTCTGGACAGAGGCAGCAGATATGACTGTGGCTTTCACTGTGGTGTTGTTAGCGAGCTTCAAATTAATGACTCGGGATCCTGCCGTCTTCACTTTCGTTCACAGCAGACACTGGGAGGAAAGCAGTAGCCACAGGCTTGATTGTGACCTGTTTAGGGGTGAGCTCTGCAGGTGAAACTGCATTGGTCATGACCGTGGACTGGAGAGGCGCCCTGAGGAGAGAGGAAAGGATGGCAGCTGATGCTGGAGATGACAGAAGGAATGTCACAGAGGCCATCACAGACGCCGTCTGCTCAGAAGATTTCTTCCCAGAGTCAAGATCCACTTCTGGCAATACCCTGGTCACTGTTCTCTTGATTTCCCCAGAAGACATCTTAATGGTTTTTATGCGGACTTTGAGGATTGCTGGTGCGGACCCTGCAGGAGAGGACGGGGAACTCTTGCTGCTGTTCTCACTTGAGATGCTTCTGGGATTATCCGGTTGCTTTAGGGATGGTTTTTTTGGTCCCGTTTATGAGATTCTGGGATTCAGGAGACTTGTCGGTGGCTCTCGGACTGTCGTTTACTTCTTCTTCTTCTTTTTTTTTTTTTTTTTGAGACAGAGTCTTGCTCTGTCACCCATGCTGGAGTGCAGTAGCGTGATCTCGGCTCACTGCAACCTCCGCCTCCCAGGTTCAAGCGATTCTCCTGCCCCAGCCTCCCAAATAGCTGGGATTACAGGCGCGCACCTCCATGCCCAACTAATTTTTGCATTTTTAGTAGAGACAGGGTTTCACCATGTTGGTCAGGCTGGTCTCGAACTTCTGACCTCATGATCCACCCGTCTTGGCCTCCCAAAGTGCTGGGATTACAGGCATGAGCCACCGCGCCTGGCTGTCATTTACTTCTTTTGGTAATGGGGAGGATTCCCTCGAATTGGCCACTGGTTCTTTGCAGGAGTCTGAAGCCGCCTTTTTAGCGCTGAGAGCCATGATGGCAGAGCTGCAGGATGAGAGCTTGGAGGATGACTTTGTCTTTGATGGCGCAGTGCCGGGGAGGCAGGTGTCATTCTTCTCGGAGCTCAGCTTCCCATCCAGGACTCTGTTTTCCAGCACATTGTCAGAGTTTTCCTTCAATTTATCCTCTGCTTTTCTGACTTTAAAAGGTTCATAAACACTCAGGTTTATAGAATTGGCTTCTGCTTCTCTCTTAACAACTTTGTTTTTCTCCATATTGCCTGATGGAGAGAGTCCAGTTTTACTGGAGTTTTCCCCTCCAAATGCCTTCAGCTTATCATAGTCCTGCTGGGGAGCCGACCCTGTCAACACGTTCGACCTGAAGCTTGATTGCACGTCCTCCTTGTCAGGGGGTCATCCACCTTGATCTTCTCGTCGTCACCACACTCTTCAGCACTAGAGATCGGACTAAACTGGCTGAACGTCGAGTCTTTCGAAGTCACCTCAGAGGCAGGCACATCTCCTTTCAAGGACTTCGCTCCATCTTTACTGTAACTGTCAAGGGAGGACGCTGTGAGAAACCCATTATGTAGGCCATTGCCAGTGGGGTTGTAGCCGTCTTTCTCCCCGCCCTCTGTCGCCCAGGCTGGAGTGCAGTGGTGCAATCTTGGTTCACTGCAACCTCCACCTCCTGGTTTCAAGTGATGCTCCCACCTCAGCCTTCCAAGTAGCTGGGACTATAGGCATGTGCCACCACATCCAGCTAATTTTTGTATTTTTTATAGAGATGGGGTTTCACTATGTTACCCAGGCTGGTCTTGAACTCCTGGGCTCAAGTGATCCTCCCACCTTGGCCTCCCAAAGTGCTGGGATTACAGGTGAGCCACCGTGCCTGATAAGAGTTTTTTTTTTTTTTTAATGTTATAAACACCTATTTCTGTTAAGTTTTTTCACATCTCTCAAGATTATGATTTTTCTCTTTTATCCTATTAATGTCACGAATTACACTAATTTTTCAAATATTAGACCAACTCTGCATTCTGGGATAAGTGCCGCCCCCCTCCAAGTCACATGTATTATCCTTTTTCTATATTACTATGTTTGATTTGCTAATATTTTGTTAAAGATTTATATTAATAAGAAATACTATTAGCCTGTAGTTTTCTTGTAATGACTTTGTTTTTCTTATCAGGATAATACTGGCATCATAAAATGATACAGGAAATATTCTCTCCATCTGTTTTTTGAAAGTGTTAGTGTGATATTGGTGTTATTTTCTCCTTAAATATTTTATAAACTTCACCAGTGAAGTGATCTGTGTTGGTATTTTCTTTGTGAAAAAAACATTTTAAAACTACAATTTCTATTTCTTTCATAGATATAGTATAACTTAGATTATCTCTTCTGTCATTTTTGTAATTTGCTTCTTTGAAAAAATGGATAATTTCATTATATCCATAAATGTATTTGCATATGTTTGTTTATATTATTCCTTTCTATCATTTTAATGTTCATAGGACTTGTAGTTATGTCTCCTTTTAAACTTCTGATATTGGTAATTTTTGTTTTTTCTTGAGCAGTCTAAAGGTTTATCAATTTTATTATACTTTTAAAAGATACAGCTTTTGCTTTAATTGGGTTATCTCTGCTGTTATCCATTTTCTATTTCATTATTCTTATTCTCACCTTGATTTTATTCTTTTCTTCTATTTATTTTCAGTTTATTCTATCTTTCTAGTCTTTAATGTGGAAGCTTAGATGATTGCTTTTAGACCTTCCTTCTAAGTACCACTTACCTGTTCTACAAATGTCTTTTTGTTCTCCTTTTGCAGTCCTAATTGTTCTATTTGTCCCTGGAGGGCACTGGGCGTTTCAAGTGTCCTGCAACTGAAGCTACCTGCATTAGACTCTTCATCAGATTTTAAAAAGGGTTTGTGACCAGAAAATTTCAGACTATTTGATACCAATTAAGTATAGATTTTTAGGTAATTTCTTACAGAATCTATCAATTGTACACTTCTACATAATAAGGCCTAGAGCAGTTGACTGAACATTGTGGGGAAAGAAGATGTGTGTTTCATCTTTTTAATTCTCTTTCTCTCCCACTTCAGGAGAATCGTTGCTGCATAAGGCCTCTCGGGTCAGTGCCGTTTCCCTCCTATTTTTCTTTATGTGAAATAGCATAAATTCTGGCTGTGCCCAAGTTTGTTGGTGAGCAGAAAGTCAAACTCTCCCTTCAGACTCAGTAAGTTTGTTAGAAAAACTGATTTCTGGATTTGGTTCTAGTCTAGCACAGATTAAGAAGTAGAAATATGTTGAAATGAGGATAAAGAGCATTTTAAATGAAAACAGAGATCCAGTATGATGAAATAGGGGTAAATTCTTTTTTGCTTCATTTTCCTCCAATTTCATTTTAAAACAGGTGATTTTTTTAAAAGAAGATGTTTTTGTTCCAGTGGGCATTTGATGCATTAGCCTTCCTGGGCCTTCCCAGCAGGGATATAGACCTAGCTAAATGACCTGGTGGTATTTTCTCTGAGTCAAGTTAGCATTAAATATGGTCCCTGGATATGGAAAGGGATGGATAATCTAATAGTCTACAGATGTCAGAAACTTTATTCTCACCTTTTCTCTTCATATTTTAAATGTGTAAGTCTTTTTGAAAAACATTTAGACTGCCACCTCCAATTAGGATATAGAAAGTTTCAAGAGATCATTGCTCTCACTGAAATAATGTGAGTAAGCTGGATAAGCTACAGAAGCATAGTTGTTAAAAACCCAAGCTGAGGATAAAGAAGTGGAAATAAACTAAATTCCATAGTGCAAAGAGCCCTTGCTAGGAAAGTGAGACCCAAGGCTGCTTTCCTCATAGGGGTATGGTGGATGGAAGATTGAACCCACTATAGATGGGAATTTTTGCAGATGCAAGGAGAAACTAGCTGAACTTTTAACAAATTTGCATGAGCTGGCAAAATGTATTAAAATCCCCCAAAGTCCCAAATACAAAATGACATCTATATGCCAGTTCTCATCTACAGGGTCTTCACCAACTTCATAGCCCTGTCCTGGTAAAGGCTAAGGACAGGAAATGAGGGTAAAGAGATTTCTCTAGGACCATCCACCCATCAACTCTTCCTAAGTCTTCACTGAGAACCTGGCAGCAGGAGGAACAGGGAAGGGAGAATTAAGAGAGACTTGCTCAGGGCACACCTGCCCACTAATTCTTTCCAAATGTGCACATAACTAAATAGAGAAGACATGTTTATAAAAAGCAGGAAGGGCTGGGTGCGGTGGTTCATGCCTGTAATCCCAGCACTTTGGGAGGCTGAGGTGGGTGGGTCACCTGAGGTCAGGAGTTCGAGACCAGCCTGGCCAATATGGTGAAAGCCCATCTCTACTAAAAATACAAAAATTAGCCAGCCGTGGTGGTGCACACCTGTAATCCCAGCTACTTGGGAGGCTGAGGCACGAGAATTGCTTGAACCTGGGAGGTGGAGGTTGCAGTGAGCCAAGATTGTGCCACTGCACTCCAGCCTGGGCAGCAGAGTGAGACTCTGTCTAAAAAAAAAAAAAAAGCAGGAAGATGTAATGAATAATCAAGAGAAAGAAAAACAACAACAACAACAACAACAACAAAAAAACAGAATGAGGAATGACCCAGATGTTGAAATCAGCCGACAAAAACTTTAAAATAAGTATTACAACTCTGTTAAAATATTCACTGGAAAAGCCAAGCAAAATGTGTGAACAGATTGTAAATTTCGGCAGGAAATCTGAAACTCTACAAAAGAATAAAATGGGAATTCCAGTACTGAAATGAAAAATTCATTTGAAGTACTTATCAGCAGACTGAATAGAGCACAAGGGAAGATCCATAAACTTGAAGATAGGTTAATTAAATTAATCCAAACCGATGCATAAAGAGAAAAATTAAAACTCAAGCAGAATAAATACAAAGAAAACCATACCAAAGCACATCATGGTCAAATTGCTGAAAACCAATATTAAAGAGGATATCTTAAGTGCTATCAGAGAAAAGGGGCAAATACATTTAAGAAGGTAACAAGAAGAAAGAATGATGGCTGAATTCTTATTAAAAATGCAGAGACAATGTAATGGCTTCTTTAAAATGCTGAAAGAATTTAACAAAGCATTCAAAATACATACTTCAAAAATAAAGGCAAAATAAAGACATTTGTAGACAGGAAAAAGCTGAGGAAATTAGTCCAGTAAGTAGACTTGCACTACATAAGTCTACAAACTATAAACATTTTAGGTTAAAAGGAAATGACACCTGATGATATGGTTTGCATCTATGTCCCCACCCAAATCTCATGTTATATTGTAATCCCTATTCTTGGAGGTGGGGCCACCCGGTGGGAGGCGACTGGGGGCTGATTCATCATAAATAGTTTAGCACCATTTCCTTGGTGCTGTTCTTGTGATTATGAGTGAGTTCTCGTGTGATCTGGTTGTTTGGAAGTGTGTAGCACTTCCTCCTTTTTTTCTCTCTCTTTCTCCTGCTCCCTTCTTATAAGATAGCCTGATCCCACTTTGCCTTCCACCACAAGTATAAGCTCCCTAGGCCTCCCCAGAAACAGAAGCTGTCATGCTTCCTGTACAGCCTGCAGAACCATGAACCAATTAAACCTCTTTTCTTACAAATTACTCAGTCTCAGGTATGTCTTTATAGCAATGGAAGAATGGCCTGATACACCAGATAAATCCTGGATGTGTAGGAAAGAAGAGCGTTGGAAAGGGTAAATATGTAGAAATGTGTGTGTGTGTATTTGTGTAGATGCATGTGGATGCTCACATACATCAAGGCACTATTATTATTTTATTTGCTTAATATTTATGTCTATATATTATATAAATATGTATATATTATGCATGTGTTTAATACATATTAATATGTAATTAATATATTAATATGTATGTATTTATTAAGCAAATAATAATGTCTTGATGGATGTGAGTATGTACATGCAGGCACATACATACATATATATACACATATACATACATATATATACTCATATGTAAGTAATATATATGTATATACACACACACACATATCACTTTCTTGGCTCCATATTGAAGAATGAATACTGGTATACTGGTGGTGAACTCCCTCAGATTTTATCTGTTGAATATGTCTTTAGTTTGTATTTATTGTTGGTGAGTTTTTTTCCTGGGTAAAGGAAATTGTAAATTTGTATGTTCACAGGTGTATTAGGCCATTCTGGCACTGCTATGAAGAAATACCTGAGACTGAGTAATTTATAAGGAAAGAAGTGCAGTTGGCTCACTGTTCTGCAGTCTGTATAGGAAGCAGAGAGGCATATGCTTCTGGGGAGGCCTCAGGAAGCTTTTACTCATGGTAGAAGGCGAAGCAGCAGCAGGCACTTCATATGGTGAAAGCAGGAAGCAGGAGCAGGAGATGGGGAGTGAGCAGGGGTGCCACACATTTTTTTTTTTTAGACAGTTTCACTCTTTTTGCCCAGGCTGGAGTGCAATGGCGCGATCTCGGCTCACTGCAACCTCTGCCTCCCGGGTTCAAGCGATTCTCCTGCCTCAGCCTCTTGAGTAGCTGGGATCAGAGGTGTGCACCACCATGCCTGGCTAATTTTGTATTTTTAGTAGAGATAGGGTTTCACCATGTTGGCCAGGCTGGTCTCAAACTCCTGACCTCAGGTGATCCGCCCACCTTGGTCTCTCAAAGTGTTGGGATTACAGGCATGAGCCACTGCGCCCGGCCAAGTGCCACACACTTTTAAATGACCAGATTTTGTGAGAACTCACTATCACAAAGACAGCACCAAGCCATGAGGGAAACACCCCCATGATCCAAGCATCTTCCACCAGGCCCCACCTCCAGCACTGGGGATCATAATCCAACATGATTTGGGAAAGGACAAATATCCAAACTATATCATTCCACCCCTGGCCCCTCCTAAACTCATGTCCTTTTCACATTGCAAAATATAGTCATGCCTTCCCAACAGTCCCCCAAAGTCTTAACTCATTCCAGCATTAACTCAAAAGTCCAAAGTCTCATTTGAAACAAAGCAAATCCCTTCCACCTATGATCCTCTAAAATAAAAAACAAGTTACCTCCAAGGTACAATGGGAGTATAAGCATTGGATAAACATTCCCATTCCAAAGGGAGAAACTGGCCAAAAGGAAAGGGCTACAGGCTCCATGCATGTTTGAAACCCAGCAGGGCAGTCATTCAATCTTAAAGCTCCAAAAATAAACTTTTTTGACTCTATGTCCTGTAACAAGGGGACACTGGTGCAAGGGGTGGGCTCCCTAGGTCTCGGGCAGCTCCACCTCTGTGGCTTTGCAGGGTACATCCCCTGTGGCTGCTCTCAGTTTAGTGCTTGTGGCTTTTGCAGGTGCAGGGTACAAGCTGCCAGTGGATCTACCATTCTGGGGTCTGGAGAAAGGTGGTCTCCTTTTCACAGCTCCACTAGGCAGTGGCCCAGTGGGGGGACTCCGTGTGGGGGCTCCAACCTCACATTTCCCCTTGGTACTTTCCTAGTAGAGGTTTTCTATAAGGACTCTGTCCCTGAATCAGGTTTTTGCATGGGCACCTGGGCATTCTCATACAGCCTCTAAAATCTAGGCAGAGGCTGCCTAGCATTCTTCACTCTTGCATTCTGCACATCTACAGGTTTAACATCACATGAAAGCCACCAAGGCTTATGGCTTGCATTCCCCAAAGTGACAGCCTGAGCTGTACCTGGGCCCTTTTGAGCCACAGTTGGAGCTGGAGCAGCTGGGATGTGGGGAGCAGTGTCCTGAAGCTGTGCAGGGCCACTGGGCCCTGGGCCTGGCCCATGAAACCATTCTTTCCTTCTAAGCCTCTGGACCTGGGAGGGGAGGGACAGGCACGAAGGTTGTCTTCAAAATGTCATGGCCTTTTCCTCATGTCTTAGATAAAGGTACTTGGCTCCATTTAGTTACACAAATATCTCGTACAAGTGGTTATTCCACAGCCTGCTTGAATTCCTCTCCCAAAAAAGCTTTTTCTTTCTCTGTCACATGGTCCAGCTGCAAATTTTCCAAACATTTAAGTTCTGCTTCCTGTTCATATATAAATTTCAACTTTATTTCTTTGCTCCTGCATCTGAATGTGGACTGTTAGAAGCAGTCAGGTACATCTTGAACACTTTGCTGCTTAGAAATTTCTTCTGCCAGATACTGTCAATAATCACTTCAAATTTCCACAGACCTCTAGGGCAAGAGCAGAATGCAGTCAAGATCTTTGCTAAAGTATAACAAGGGTGACCTTTGCTCCAGTTCCCAATAAGTTTCTGATTTCCATCTGAGACCTCATCAGCCTGGACTTCACTGTCCATATCACTATCAGCATTTTGGTCACAACTATTTAACCAGTCTCTAAGAAGTTCCAAATTTCCCCTCATCTTCCTGTCTTCTTTTGAGCTCTCCAAACTTTTCAAACCTCTGCTCATTACCCAATTGCAAAGCTGCTTTCACATTTCCAGGTATCTTTATAGCAATGCCCCATGCTAGGTACCAATTTTCTACATTAGGCTGTTTTTGCATTTATAAAGAAATACTTGAGACTAGGTATTTATATGAAAGGAGGTTTAATTGGCTCACAATTCTTCAGGCTGTACCGGAAGCATAGTACTGGTATCTGCTTCTCGGGAGGCGTCAGGGAGCTTTTACTGATGGTGGAAGGTGAAGCAGGAGCAGGCACTTCACATAGTAAAAGCAGGAGCAAGAGAGAGAGAGTTGGGGGGAAGTGACACACAGTTTTAAATGACCAGATCTTGTGAGAACTCACTATCATGAAGACAACACCAAGCCACGAGGGAGCTGCCTCCATGACCCAAACACCTCCCACCAGGCCCCACCTCCATCGTTGGACATCACAATTCAATATGAGATCTGGGTGGGACAAATATCCAAACAATATAAGCAGTTATTTTCTGTTGGGAAAAGCTGAGTGTTGACAGAAGCTGAGGCAGGGTTTGCATGTCTGACATAATATAAAAAAGTCTTGGAATATGTGCGGGGTCCAGGGTCTAAAGCCCCTTGTGGCCTTTGGAACACCAAGCTCTGTGCTAAAGGGTAGAAGGCTACCCTGATGCACCATAACTTAAACCCAGGGCATAAAATCCCTCATGGCTTGGATAGAATCCAGGGCTCGAGGCTCTGGAATGTGTCTAGACTTGCTGGCTTCTTGCTCCTTGCTCTCTCAGGATCGATTGTATCTTGAGTTAAAAGAATCTGCTCTCCATTATCTCAAGTAGCAGAGCAAATGCTAAACCATCACAGCTGTAAATCATGTGCTTAATGCAACATGCCCTTTTGACCTCCACATTCTCATCACCTGTTTCTTTGTTGGATTACCAATAAATAGCATGGGCTCCTAGAGCTCAGGGCCTTCGCAGCCTCCATACACTAGTGATGTCCCCCTGGTCCCAGGTTTTTCTCTCTCAAACTGTCTTTTTCTCAATCCTTTGACTCTGCCAGACTTTGTACCCCCACGACTTGGTGTTGGGTCTGATCACCCCAACAATTTTCTTTCAGTGCATTGAGATGGTCATTCTACTGTCTTCTAGCTTCCATTGTTTCTTTTGAGAATTTAGCTGTTACTCTAACTGCTGCCTCTGTAAAGACATCTTTTAAGGTTTCTCTTTGTCTTTGTTTTTTTGCAGTTTCACTATAATGTATCTACATGTTGATTTATTTTTAAAATTTTCTGCCTTGAGATTTATTTGGCTTCTTAAACACGTGGTTTTGTGTCTTTAATTAGTGGGTTTTTTTGTTTTTTTTTTTTCTGAGATGGAGTCTTGCACTGTTGCCCAGGCTGGAGTGCAGTGGTATGATCTCGGCCCACTGCGACCTCCACCTCCCAGGTTCTAGCAATTCTCCTGCCTCAGCCTCCCAAGTAGCTGGGGTTACAGGCATGCGCCACCATGCCCAGCTCATTTTTGTATTTTTAGTAGAGACGGGGTTTCACCATATTGGCCAGGCTGGTCTCGATTCCTGACCTCATGATCCACCTGCCTCAGCCTCCCAAAGTGCTGGAATTACAGGCCTGAGCCACTGTGCTTGGCCTTTTATTAGTTTTGAACACTCTTTAGTAATGATTTATTCACATTTGCCTCTGTTCCCATTATTTTTTTCTTTAGGGACACCAATAAAACATATGCGTTAAGACTGTCTCACCATATCCTCTGCATCTCGATCTGTCAATAAGCAATTATTTTCATGTCTCTTCACAATTAGGGCTTTCTGAGCAAATGTTATTGACATCTGAGTTAAGGTTAGAGGGTGTTAGGACTAAAGCCATCTGCTCCCATTCAAAGGGCAATAAGATTTATCATCTTCTAACTCCCACCCACCCCACCTCAGGCCAAATGCTTGCATTCTGTAGTAAAGACGTTCCCATTTTTCTTTCTGAGACTATTAATTTACACTTCAAAGGGGTATAAAACCTGGAACCATGGAGCCAGTTGCTTCCATTCTGAAGGATTGTAAATGACTGGAGAGCAAAGGTGCTTCTCTCTCTGAAAGAGGATTGTAGCTGGGAATGGTGTAGTCTATATGAATTACGTTCCTAATTTAAACTGTTAGATTCATAATTTCAGAATTTCTCTCCTTCAAAAAGTCCTCTGCATAGGCAGGCTCATCGAACTAAGCACTTTAAATAGGTGGATTTTATTTATGTAAACCATACCTCAATAAAGCTGTTAAAAAGATAAAATCAGGCAGAAAAAAAGTTATTGAATTTTTAATTTTAATAGTATTGTATTTTTCAATTCTAAAAAATCTATTTGGTTTTGTGAAAGGAAAATAAATCTTGGGGCCCCCAAATTGCTAAGTTAAAGGCAAAAGTGAAGCTGAGAACTGCTTAGAGTCAACCTGCCTCCCATTCTACCCAAAGTCACCCCTCTGCTCACTGAGATGAATGTATATCTGATTGCCTCCTTTGGAGAGACTAATCGGGAACTCAGAAGAGTGCAACCATTTGTCTCTTATTTACCTATGACCTGGAAACCTTGCCCTGCTTCGAGTCTTCCCATCTTTGCTTCGAGTTGTCCCACCTTTCCAGAGCAAACCTGTGTTCATCTTGCATTATGTTGATTGATGTCTCATGTCTCCCTAGAATGTATAAAACCAAACTGGGCTCTGACCACCTTGGGCACATGTTGTCAGGACCTCCTGAGGGTGTATCACAGGCACATGTCCTCAATCTTGGCAAAATATACTTTCTAAATTAATTGAGACCATCTCAGATGTTCAGGGTTCACAGTTTCCTTACATATCTGTTATGTCACTTTTTATGATTTCCAGTTTTCTGCCAAAATGGTTTAAATAAACTTTTATCTCCTTGAACATAGCAGACCTATTTATTTTATGGTATCTGCTGATGATTCCATTATTTGCAGTTCCTGTGGGTGTGTCTGTTTGCTGTTTCTGTTTATTCTCATCCATAGCATTTTTTTATCTTTTTTTTTTTTTTTTCTTTGAGACGGAGTTTCGCTCTGTCGCCCAGGCTGGAGTGCAGTGGCACGATCTCAAGTGATTCTCCTGCCTCAGCTTTCTGAGTAGCTGGAATTATAGGGGCCCCCCACCACGCCCGGCTAATTTTTGTATTTTTAGTAGAGATGGGGTTTCGCCATGTTAGTCAGGCTGGTCTCAAACTCCTGACCTCGTGATCCGCCCGCCTCAGCCTCCCAAAGTGCTGGGATTACAGGCGTGAGCCACGGCACCTGGCCTCATCCATAGCATTTTATCTTCACGTGTACTTGGTTATCCTTGACTCTGTGTTAGACATTGTGCTTGGAAAACATAATTTAAGGCCTATACTGTGCCCTTGTCTTCTAAAAGTAGGTTCTTTATTCGTTTTGCCAGGAGACTGGGAGCACTACCAACACAGGATTACCTTAATTCAAGTTCAGGCCTTGTTGTTTTCTCCAGCACTCAGATTTTTGAAGCACATTTTCATCTATGCGAGGACTGGTTTGTTTCTTGTTATTCTTACTTCAAGTGTGCAGCATTCTGGGGTCACATCCCAGAGCCAGATCATATATTGGGTCTGACACGTGGTGGGCCCTGGATGCCAACTTTTTTCCCATAGTATCTTGAGGCCACCAAAGCCCAGAAGCGCAGCTAAACTTGGAACAACAGAAGCCCAATTGTTTTACTAACCTCTCTAGATTCTGGGCCTCTTTTGGAACTTGGCCAGATAATTTTTCACTATCTTGCAAGCTCTGTGATGCTTGTAAGGCCAAGGAGGGAGGATCACTTGAGCCTAGGAGTTCAAGACCAGCCTTGGCAACATGGGGAAACCCTGTCTTCACTAAAAATACAAAAAATTAGCCAGGCGTGCTGGTGCATGCCTGTAATCCCAGCTACTCGGGAGACTGAGGCAGGAGAATCGTTTGAACCTGGGAGGTGGAGGTTGTAGTAAGCAGAGATTGCACTGCTGCACTTCACCCTGGGCAACAGAGCGAGACTCTGTCTCAAAAAAAAAAAAAAAAAAAAAAGGAAGTGAAGTCTCAGAGCCTCTGCTTGGGACCCCATTGTAGCTTGGACAGGGACCAGAACCAGCAAGAACATCCCATCAACAGACCACCAGCGCCAATTGCAGGCTACACCTTCCATAGCGACACCGTGTGGCAGCATCCAGCAATGGCAGCATAGGGCTGGAGTTGTTCTTTGTCCATCTGGTGCCAGGGAGCAGGACTGAAGAAGAAGGATTCTTGGACAATACAGGGGAGGAGGGAGGGCCCAGAAAGGAGGCGTTGGACTTCCTGTGCATCAGGGTAGGCGAGTGCTGAGGCAATTATGAGAGAAGGCGAGCTCACATCTTTGCTCTGCCACAGCCTGGGGAGTTGGCAAGTTACTGCATCTTTCTGCCTCCGTTTCTTTATTTGCAGAATGGTGACAATAATAGAATCTATCTCCTAAGGTGGTTGTGAGGATCAAATGAATTAGTGCATGTTGAATAGTGCCTGGTACATATTAGGTGCCCAGTAAATGTTGGAGGTTGCTGTTGTTATCATTATTAGAAAAGATGAAAAGGGATGAGACAATATTGGCACCCAAGTTAGCTTATGCCATAAGATGCAGAGGTAGATATCATAATTCTCACTTTACAAATGATGAGACTGAGTTTCAGAAAATGCAAATAATTTGCTCAAAAGCAAACAGGACTGATAGCACCAAATGTTTTCCAGAAACTGAATTTATTGCCAGTAGAGATCATATCTGCATGGAAACTCTGATCTTCCGGTCTGACTTGTGTTTCCCAGAAGTTTGAACTTAACCTAAAAACCAGATCTCCACGATGCTTCAGTCAGGATCAAGTCAGATGCAAAATTTTATGGCAAATGAATGTGAAGTCCAAGTGAACCACACAGGGGAAAAAACCTTCATTTTTATTACCTCTGATTTCTTTTTATTTAATCCATTCTCTTTTTCCATCCTCAGTGCTTCTGCTTGAGTTTAACTCTCATCTCCTGCCTGGTCTATGCGTCATCATCATCATCATCTTCTTCTTATTATTATTATTATTTTGAGACGGAGTTTCACTCTTGTTGCCTAGGCTGGAGTGCAGTGGTGGGATCTCGGCTCACTGCAACCTCTGCCTCCCAGGTTCAAGTGATTGTCCCCCCTCAGCCTCCGGAGCAGCTGAGATTACAGGCACCTACCACCATGCCCGGCTAGTTTTTTGTATTTTTAGTAGAGACGGGTTTCACCATGTTGGCCAGGCTGGTCTCAAACTCCTGACCTCAGGTGATCCACCTGCCTTGGCCTCCCACAGTGCTAGGATTACAGGCGTGAGTCACCATGCCTGGCCCCGTCATCTCCTACTTAGTTGTCTTTCTCCCAGCACTGCTGCCCTCTAGCCTGCCCTCCATGCATGTAGAAGGGTGGGGTGGTTTTCCTAACTAAAATATCCCCCTACCTAGATCCTTCCAGAGACCGCCCCCCCACAACTCCTGTAACACTGCACAGCCTCCTTAGCTGTGTTCAATCTGACCCCGTCTCCCTGCTGAACCTCTTTTTCTGCTGCTATCTCAAGAGCTGGGTTCTCTTTCTTTTTGTTCCTGAAGCATTTAGGCACAGTCCTACAATAGCACTCACCATGTTTTATTGCAACTATCGTTTGCACCGAATCTTCCCAGGAGACTGAATTCATTGCCAGTAGAGATCATATCTGCTCCCCTGGTGTCCCCTTAGTCACCAACATGGTGCAAACTAGAAAGTGTTGATGAATGGGGCAGATTATCCTTGGGGCTCATTTAGTATACAGAGGTGGCCACTCGAGTTTAGGATCAAATGCAGCTCTTCTTTATATTACGGGGAAGTAAAAAAAAAGGGGGAAAAAAGTAAATGGCCATTACACATTATATCAATGTGTCAATTCTATATATGCTAAGAAAACTCAAATAATGCAGTTTGGCTGTACATCAGAGATCTGTAATCAACAAGTGGAAGAAAAGATATTATCATGGCCAGAATTTATAGAGGTACTTTCTTGTGATATCAGAGAACAGCACCTCAAATTGGAAAGCTTAGGCAGGTCCCAAATGGCAGGTTAGAAGACCAGAGTACTAGAGTAGTCTGTATATTTATGGGGGCACGCTGGGAGCATCAGCAGCAACTCCTTATTCTTCTAGCTGTTAGTGGTACAGCAGCGAAGTCAGGCATTCCTAACTGAGCTACTTGGATTCAATCCTAACCTGGCTGTGCTACTAGCTGTGTGACCTTGGATAAGTTCCTCAGCCTCTCTGTGACAAAGTTGACTCATATGTAAAATGGGGTAGTCATAGCACACCCAGTGTTATTGTGAGGAGTTAATATTTACAAAGTGCTTGGCACAGTGTCTTAGTCCATTTCTGTTGCTATAAAGGAAAGCCCAAGGCCGGATAACTTATAAAGAAAAGAGGTTTATTGGGCTCACAGTTTGGCAGGCTGTGCAGGAAGCATGGCACCAGCATCTGCTCCTGGTGAGAGCTCCAGGCTGCTTCCACCCATGGTGGAAGGTGAAAGGGAGCCTATGGGTGCAGAGATCGCTGGTGAGAGGAAGAGAGAGAGGAGGGAGGAGGTGCCACACTCCTCTAAACAAAAAGCTCTTGCGAGAACAGAGTGAGAACTCACTTATCCCTCCACCATCCCCCAGGGAGGGCATTAATCTATTCATGAGGGATCCACTCCCAAGATCCAAACACCTCCCATCAGGCCCATCACCACCAGCCCTGGGGATCGAATTTCAACATGTGATTTGGAGCAAAAACATCCCAACTATAGCAAACTGTGTCTGGCAAGTAGTAAGCAGCACACACGTGTTAGCTCATGATGTCACCCATCCAGGAATCAGTCCTATTCTAATGAAGGCTAACCCACAACATCAAGGTGTCTGGGAGAGAAGGGTCTTGCTTCCTTCCATTCACTGTGATTCTCCACACTCATGCATGTCTAGTTCTTGTGTCACATCGAGTGTAGCTCTGGTTTTGAAAACACGTAGCCCTCATTTCCCTTCTCCTGGAGAGCTGTGGTCAACAGCTTGGCTCGTTAATGAGCCATCATTCCTCTGAGAATAACTGTATCTGGACCATCTGATCAGTATATCACCTGAACGCATTTGGCTCCGCATGGCCTGTCTCCCTGAGAATTGGCTCCCTTGTCTCACCTCCTTGGCATTGCAAGTTTAAAAACAAAAGCTTTCTGGGCTTTGAGTTATGGCCGCCTGCTGTTTCTGTTGCCCAGCCGGCACTGAAGAATGTTCTGTCTTAGGCGCTTCCATTATTGGCAACAAAGGTTTTTCCCCCTGATATATTGCTTAAGTTGCATCAATTGATTAATGATCTGTAGAGTGCATTTTCTAGCACTTTTCCATCGGTGTCTCCTGAGTGGGCTCGTTCATGAGCAAAATGTGTCTGCTTTTTTCTCTCTCCCTTGCCTCACTCACGGCTGTTTCTGGGTGGTGTGTGGTGGGCAGGGAATGGGGTTTCATGGCAAGAGAGGAGCTGGATCCTAGGATTCATCTGTCAACAGTGGGCACTCGAACCACCCCTTCACTTCTTGGGGCCCAGGGTCTTCTGTGGAATGAGAAGGTTGGACTTGGGATTGCCAAGGCTCCTTCCAGCTCATTATTCTTTGATGCTTCTCAGCTTCTCTCCTGATTCCTGCCTTAGAGCTGACCATTCAGGAAACCCCTTAGAGGGGGTGGCACAGGGAGCCCCCGTCTGCTGCAGTTGGAGGAAGTTCAAGACATATAATGGCCAGACTTCTCAGCCTGGAGGCCTGGCCCCCAGTAGAGGCTCTGCTGATGCAGAGGGTCCATGTGCTCCTAATGAGACCCTGGATTTGGAATCAGTGACGATGACTCCTTGAGGATCTCCTTTGGGACCTGAAGATCTTGTCCAGTTGCCAGTTAACCAACATTTCAGTGAGACTAACAGTGGCTTCTAAAGAGGCTGAGACCAGGCCTCTTGCTTCTGTTGCACTCCTGTGACATCCAGCATAGGGTTGGGCGCACTGTAAATGTTTCTAAAGATTTCTGAAGAATGGTAAGAAGTCAATGGTAGGATGTGGCTGCTGAGAAACCTGATGTCATCTCAGGTTGCATTAATAGAAGCATGTTAATTAGAATGAGGGAGGTGATAGCCTCACTGTTGCATGCTGAAGAGAACTTATCTGTAGAACACAGTTCCATTTTGATTACTCACTAATGCTCCATGAGAGTAGGCACAGTGTTTGCCTTTTTTGCTACTGTGTTGCCAGAAGAAGCACTGGGCCTGTCAGATACCAGGCTTGCAATAAAGGTGTCACCTGCCCAACAAAGAGAGATCTTGGGCTCCTTCAAGATTGCAAGGAGGATCCTCCACATGTCTCATGAAGAACTGCAGAAGTAGCTGGAGAGATTTAACCCACTGACCCCAGGAAGCCTGAGAGTTACCCCCAATTATTTGAAGAGTTGCTACATAGAGGGGAATTGTAACTCTGAGTCTTGTGTCACAAGACTCAGAACTTAGTAATTATCGGAGCATCCACAAATAGATTGGGTATGGTGGAATGGTGAGCCTTCTGTCACTGGAGGAACTCAAGCCTAAGCCAGGGGGCCACCTGGTGGAGATGTCACGAACATTCAAATGTCACCTGGGGAGGGGCACAGTGTACCTCTGTGTTTTTTCCTGCCTAACATCTATCCTCTCTTTTAGTCATAGTATCCTGTTTTTCATTTGAAAATCCCATTGATTTCAGCCTTGTGGGACTTGGTGATCCCACTGAGTACAGTTGTGGTGGGGACTATTTCTCAGCGTGCCCCATGCTCCCCAGCTAAGTGTGACACAAAACTTAAGTGAAGTTTCCTTAGAGTGGTGATTCTCAAAGTATGGTGCCCAGAACAGCGACATTGGCATCGCCTGGGAACTTGTTAAAAATGCACAATTCTGGAGTTCTACCCCAGAATCAGGAACTCTGTAGGGTCCAGCAATCTGTCTGCATGAGCCCTCAAGAGGCCATGTATTTTATTTTACATTCCCTGCCCATTCCCTGCCTGCTACACCACCTAGAAGCAGCCATGGGTGAGGCAAGGGAGAGAGAGAAAGGGGAAAACGTTTTGTTCATGAACGAGCCCACTCAGAAGACACCAGTGGAAAAGTGCTAGAAGATGCACTCTATAGATCATTAAATTCATGCTTTTAAGGTCCCTGGAGCCTGTCCTATTAGGACACAAGTCTTCAGCTTTTTAAAAAATTTTCCAATTCTTTGAGCTTCTTCTTTTACTTTAAATAAACTCTGAGTCTTCTTTTGCTTCAGTTAGCTAGAGTCAATGTTTGTGGCTTAGAGTCAAACAGCCCAGTGAACACCGGATGGGAAGGATTTGGCCAGATGAGCCCTAAGGCCCCTTCCAGCCTCGCCACTTTGAATGGATGAGTGAATGAATGAATGGTTGATGGAACTGAACCAGATCCCTTCTAGTTTGAGCTCTGAGAGAAAGTCAAGTGACGGTGGTGGGAGGCAGGGGGAAGGTGAGGAATGTGACCACTGCAGATGCTGATCCCAGAATGACCAGAGTTCTGCGAGGACTAGGATTAGGACACGCTCAGGGAGCCTGCCCCTGCTGAGCGCTTCTTTTCTGACTGGCTGAGTGACCTGAGGGAAGCCATGCAAGCTCCCGAGGTCCCATTTTCCTCTCTAAGGAGAGGATTATTCTGTGCTCTTTGCTCCTTCCTCTTCTGTAGCTAAATTAAAATGCACGCGTGACTAACAGCAGCGCTGGGGTGGTCTGCGTGGAGTGCTGCCTGTTGGGCTGTGAGCAATTTGCCGAAAAAGTCTTCATCCTGGTAATTTGGGCCAGATGCTTCAGTGCAGACCCCGCTGACTCATCAACAGCCCTGCCTTCCTGAAGACTGAGCTGGGGGTCAGCTCTCCACTCATGCCATCTGCCTTTCCAGAAGCACCCTGCTGGAGGGGTGCGGGGGAGTGGGGGGCAGGAAGAACACGCACTTAGGGAGACTACTTGGTGTGGGGGGATCTGAAGGATGGGGAGTTATTTTAGCTGGCATGAACATTTATCGGAAGGAGGAATTGGTATAAGTGATTGTCTACGTGTGGGACTCAGGGGGCTGTGAAACTTGCATGCATTTGGAAGAGGAAATGTTCAAAAGCACCAGTTCACGATATTTTCACAGCTGTTTGGGAAGCAGTCTGTGGGCAGAAGCAGCAAGCTCAGGGACAAGTGAGAGAGCTGATGGTTTGGCAAGATGGGCAAAAGGCTCTTTATAGCTTTGCACCCTTTGTTCTTTCTGCTGCTCTCGGCTTCTCTTTCCTCTCATTTTTCCAGATCCTCTGGACTTCTGGGTTTCTGCCTCTTGTTTCCATATGTCACCTTCTGTGGCAGAGCACATTTTGGTTGCAACTGACTATTCCCCAACTTGTAACAACTTGGGGACACAGTGGGGCTTTATTGACACCTGGAGTCAAACCCTGAATTTGAACAACCAAGTTTTAGAAAGGGAAGGTTGCAGCTGGATTTCAGGAATGGCCGGAACTGGGACTTGAACTCTGTTGGCGGAGCCTCATCTTTGCTTCTCTCTGTGTGGTGGTTTTATCGTCTCTTACCATAGACCAGCTTCTGCTACACGGTCGGAAATGTGATTGCCAACAGGTCCCCGGTTCACCTTTTGTAATTCTGACGGCTGGAGAGGGGCTGGCTTTTACTTTCTTTTCTTTTCTTTTTTTTTTTTTTTGAGACGGAATCTTGCTCTTTCGCCCAGGCCAGACTGCAGTGGCGCTATCTCGGCTCACTGCAAGCTCCGCCTCCTGGGTTCCCGCCATTCTCCTGCCTCAGCCTCCCGAGTAGCTGGGACTACAGGCGCCGGCCACCACGCCCGGCTAATTTTTTGTATTTTTAGTAGAGACGGGGTTTCACCGTGTTAGCCAGGATGGTCTCAATCTCCTGGCCTCGTGATCCGCCCGCCTTGGCCTCCCAAAGTACTGGGATTACAGGCGTGAGCCACCGCGCCTGGCCAGCTTTTACTTTCTCTATCCCAAGTTGAATTAGGGAGAAAGCTCAAGACTAAAAATCACAGCTCTGCCAGTGACTATCTGTGTGACCTTGCAAGAGTTCATCGCTCTGAACAGCAGTTTTCTCGCCTGAGAAGTGGGAATGAATATAGCTCCCAGATCAGAGAGGCAGGTATTGGCTGGTGGTTGGGAGCAGAGGCTCTGGAGCCAGAACACCTGGCTACAATTTCAGTTTTGCTGCTTAGATGCAGTGTGACTTTGGTCTGGGTCCCCAATCTGTGAATGTCCCAGCTTTCTCATCTCTAAAATAATGGGGATGATAATGACACCTATTTGTAGGGGTGGTGTGAGAAGTAAATGAGTCAATGCTTGTAAAGAATGTAGTTCATTGAATGGCATTTGGCAGACAATCAGTGCTAGCATTTACTCCTTGCTGTCTCCACAGTTCTTGGTGACATTTCTCTAGGGCCTCCCCATGGCTGCCACTTAACCAGGACAGGCTGTGAGCTCTGGGCCATTCCCTCTGCAGCCAGTGGCCCCTCTGCTTCTTTCTCTGCTACTCCAGAATGGAAGTGAGTAAGAATTGAGAGTGATGTTCTTATATTGAATCTGTTCTGATTTATAGTTTTAAAAAGTAGCCATTCTAGAACCTTCGTTCCCTATTATGAGTGGATTGCTTTTAAGAGTAGCTTCTATTCTGAGCACTGCATCAAATGCTCCATATTCATGATTTAATTGTAACAACAACACAACCAGGCAAGAGTTCCTAACCATCCCCCCACCCCTTTTTTAAATAGGTTAAGGAAATGCACCTGTAGTTAACTAGCCAGAGATCATGCACCTGGCTTATGAAGGCGGCATGATTAAAACCCAGCTCTGTCCGGCTAGAGGCATCTTCTGGGGAAGGCTGAGCCGAGATTGAGCGTGGAGACCACGTTTCCTGGAGCCCCAAGGCCTGGGCATCCTGGTGGCCTCGGCGGGAGCTTCTCATCTGCCTCAGTCTCCCCTGCTCCCTGAGTCAGGCAGGCCTGTTTGCATAGAAGCTTAACCTCTGCTGGCTGGTGTTTTGTTTGCTCACACACTGACTTTCACTCTGTGCGCCTTTGCCTTGACTTGTTTCCCAACTAGAGAATAGGTTCTATGTGGTGGGTGTTGTGCCCAAAGTCTTTGTCTCCCTCACTCCCCTCGCCCAGGGCAGGAGATGGAGCTCCGCGCCTCCGTGATCTGGGCTGGAGGAGAGGGAGAGGAGCGCGTCAGTCCCGCTCCCCGCCAGGCGGTGGCGCCAGTGTGCAGGCCAGGCCGGGCTCAGCGTGGCTGTGGCGGCTCGGCAGCTGCAGCCCAGGCTCCTCAGTACCCCACCGGGAGAAGCACTCGTTCTGGGCGTTACCTGTGGGGGCAGGGGGCAAGGGGAGAGGCGCAGGGGAGTGGCGAGGTTGTAGCAGAGAATGTGGGCGTTCGTTGGCCCCGCGGTTTCGGGCTCCTGCTTTCTGGGGACAGCCAGCATGGCCCTGAAGTCCGCCGCCCTTCAGAGCGCGCCCCTCAGAGCCCAGGGGTGCCCGCGCCCGCTCCGGTCCCTCCGCCTTCTGCGGAAGGAAAACCAGGCCCTGGCTCGCTGGGACGGGTCCTTTCGGGGACTGCGGCTGCTTCCCTGTTCGTAGACTCAGCAGCCGGCGATGTGACTTCAAGGCCCCCTCGAGCTCTGCCTTCTTAAAAAATAAAACGTAGACCTCTCCTTAGCCATGTGGGTTATGTGAGAGCAGCCTGATGTGGTGCTGCTATTCATTCATTCATTAGTTCATTCACTCATCTGGGATCGAGAGCATGGTGTGCCAGGCACCTTAGCAGAGCAGAAGACAGAGCGAGAACCCGGCAGACACCGCCACTGCTCCTGTGGGATCTGAGGTTTAGTGGGGACACAAGGAATTGAGCACATGGCACGGAAAGTGCCCTTAAACCAGCCCGGGAAGATGAAGGCGAGCTTCCTGGAGGAAGAGGCACCTAAGCTGATGACTGAAGGCGAGAAAGAGTTGACAGGGCTTAAAAAGGGGGGTGGGGGTGGGATTGAACATGAGGCCTCAGGGACTCCTTGTTTTTTCAGCGGGTGTGGGGAGCTGGCTCTGTGCTCTCCCATTTTTGTCACTGAGTGCAGAGGCCCATGACCTGGGTAGGGAGGAAGCTTATTTCCGTCTGTCCCTGTGCAAGGCATGCACAGGGTTAGGACTCTGATGAAATCGAATTTTCTTTCTCCCCAGGAAAACGATGTCTGTATGGGTCTCCCCGGTTTTGCCCACAACTGCAGGGTCCTATGGATGCCCAGTGGAGCCCACGGTGAGAACCTGAGGGTGAGGCTGAAGAGACCATGCTCCCCTGTGGTAAGTACCTGGCTTCCTGAACCGCCCTTCCTACCTGCTGCCCCGGTGACTCTGCCGGCCTGTGTGTCTACACAGGCTGTGGGGAGGGAGGTGCGGGGGGTGGGCTCTGCCCTGGCTACTCGCCTTGCTTCCATCTAGTGTGGCTCTGCGGGGCGAGCCTACTCCCCTTAGGATACCCTTCTGGTTTTGATGGCGTGAGGCAAGTGTCATTCTTGGCCCACAACAGCACCCCAGGATGCCCGGTGAAACACAATGGGTTTTCCCAGCAGGGTGGGGTGAGCTGTGCCTGGCTGGGCTGGCCTCCCTGCTTTCTTCATTTGTGGTCTCTGAATGACGGGTTCCTGGCACCCATATCTTGGGGCCACCGGGGCGGGGCTTGCTGCCTTTCCCCTGCTGTTTGGTGAAGGGCCGAGACTGCCAGTGTTCCCTGCCAGGCCAGTACTCCTCCTCTGGTGGCCTCCCCTGACCAGACGAGGGTGGGAGGCAGTGCCCTGGAGGAGAAAGGGCTTGGGGGTTGGGAGCAAAAGGCTGAGGGGCTGGCCATTTTGGGCTCTTTACCCACAGCAGGGTTTTTACAAAGTCCTGCAGGCTAAGGTGTGAACCTTGGTTTCCTACTATAAAACAAAGATGCCCATGCCTATGGTGACTTGGGTGTAGTATGAAGCTATGAGATACAAGGACAGTGACAGTAATGATAACCAGGGCTGCTGCTTATCAATTTTTGCTAAGCCAGCTCCTGTGCATGGTCTTTACATTTGTAAATCATGCATGGGGCATAGATGTGAGCTGTCTACATACTGAAGAGCACAGTGTTACTGAGAGTGGGGTGGTGATGACTGCTGTCCTGGGCTCCCTAGACCTGGGTGAGCCCAATAGCAACCCCAGGCCTCCTGTGTAACCTAGACAAGTCCACCTCCTCTCTGGTGCTTATGCTTTATCATGGAGGCGTTTGGCCCAGATGACCCATGAGGGTCCATCCTGTGAAGTGGCCTTGGGAGTGTCACCATCAGGAATCTGCCAGGGATGCTGAAGGCAGGGGACAAGGAGACCAAGGTGCTGGTTATTGATGACAGGTGAGGATGGGAACCTGGTGGAACCAAGATCTGACCCTTGAAGGGCCTCCAAATCCATGGTTCCTCATTGGCAGTTATTCTCAGCCCTAAGAAGAGGGTGTCCCTTGCTGGAGGTGATTCGGAATCATCATGACAGTGGGGCATGGAGGCTTTGTCATCCCAGCACTTTGGGAGACCAAGGTGGGAGGATCGCTTGAACCTAGGAGTCAGAGACCAGCCTGGGCAACATCATGAGACTCATATTTCTACAGAAAATTTAAAAATTAGCCAGATGTGGTGGTGTGTGCCTGTACTCTCAGCTACTCAGGAGGCTGAGACAGGAGGATCCTTTGAGCCCAGGAGTTTAAGGTTGCAGCGAGCTATGATCATACCACTGTACTCCGGCTTGGGCAACAGAACGAGATCTTGTCTCTAAAAAAATAAAAACAATAATAAAAGCAAAAAAGACAGGGAAAACAGAATCACTGAGACTTTTTGGTAAATGAGACTTCCCTGTTGGGAGTCAAGCTGCCCTGGGGAGTTAGCCTTAGGCATCAGAAGCAATAAAGGTAGAAAGCAGGCCCAAGCTCCATGAAAGGCCCGGAAGGACCCGTAAATCCAATCAACAAGCTGTATTAAACACCTTGCCTGTTCAAACTTAGGTCTGGTAACCATTTACTGGGTTTGCAATGTTATTATTAAAGTTCAAAAAAATGCCAGTGCCATCCCCATTGCCCCCACAATTTATACTTTTCTTCTCTTTGCAATATTTTCCATCTGCCTCCATTCTCTCTGACCCAAGACAAAAATAAGAGCCACCGTTTAATGAACATGTATAATATGGTTTGGCTGTGTCCCTACCCAAATGTCTTCTTGAATTGTAATCCCCATAATCCCTAGGGGGATACCTGGTGGGAGCTGATTGGATCATGGGGGCGGTTTCCCCCATGCTGTTGTAGTGATAGAGTGAGTTCTCATGAGATCTGATGGTTTTATAAGGGACTCTTCCCCCTAATCCTCACTCTTCTCTCTCCTGCCGCCATGTGAAGGACCTTGCTTCCCCTTTGCCTTGCACCATGATTGTAAGTTTCCTGAGGCCTCCCTAGCCACGTGGAACTGTGAGTCAGTTAAGCCTCTTTCCTTTATAAATTACTCAGTCTCCAGTATTTCTTTATAGCAGTGTGAAAATGGACGAATACGATGTATTGTGTGCCAGGCCCTGTATTAAGTACTTTATGAGCATTATTTCATTTAAGATTTCTGTGAGGTAGCATCATTATAATCACTTCCTTTTTATTTATTTTTTAATGAATTTTTGATTGTTGATTTTTGTTGGTATATAGCAAGTCTATATATTTACGGGCTGCATGAGATATTTTGATACAGGCATGAACTGAATACTAATCACAGCATGGAGAATGGGGTATTTATTACCTCAAGCATTTATCTTTTGTGTTACAATCCAATTATAATCTTTTAGTTATTTTTAAATGTATTAAATTATTTTTGACTATAGCCACCATATTGTGCTAGCAAATACTATGTCTTATTCATTCTAATAATATTTTTGGGTCTATTAACCATCCCCACTTCCCCTCACTCCCCCACTACCTTTCCCAGCTTCTGGTAACTATCCTTCCACTCTCTGTGTCCATGAGTTTCATTGTTTTAATTTTTAGCTCCCACACATAAGTGAGAACATATGTTTGTCTTTCTGTGCCTGGCTTATTTCACTTAACATAACGACCTTCAGTTCCATCCATGTTGTTGCAAATTATAGGATCTCATTCTTTTTTTGTAGCTGAATGGTACTCCATTGTGTATCTGTACATTTTCTTTATCCATTCATCTGTTGATGAACAACAGATGAATTTTGACTATTTCCAAATTTTCACTATTGTAAACAGTGCTGCAGTAAACATGAGAGTGCAGATATACTGATCTTTGATATACTGATATCCTTTCTTTTGGGTAAATACCTAGGAGTGGGATTGCTGGATCATATGGTAGCTCTATTTTTAGTTTTTTGAGAAACCTCCAGACTGTTCTCCATAGTGGTTGTACTAATTTATATTCCTACCAACAGTGGACAAGGGTTCTCTTTTCTCCACATCCTCGCCAGCATTTGTTATTGCCTGTCTTTTGGATAAAAGCCATTTTAACTAGTGTGAGATGATATTTCATTATAGTTTTCATTTGCATTTCTCTGATGATCAGTGATGTTGAGCACCTTTTCATATGCCTGTTTGCCATTTGTATGTCTTCTTTTGAAAAATGTCTATTCAGATCTTTTGCCCATTTTCAAATTGGATTATTTTATTTTATTTTTTCCTATAAAGTTGTTTGAGCTCCTTATATATTCTGGTTACTAATCTCTTATCAGATGGGTAGTTTGAAAATATTTTCTCCCATTTTGTGGGTTGTCTCTTCACTTTCTTTATTGTTTCCTTTCCTTCTCAGAATCTTTTTAACTTGATGTGATCCCATTTGTCCATTTTCGCTTTGGTTGCCTGTGCTTGTGGGGTATTGCTCAAGAAATCTTTGTCCATTACAATGTCCAGGAGAGTTTCCCCAATGTTTTCCTTTAGTAGTTTCATAGTTTGAGGTCATAGATTTAAGTCTTTAATCCATTTTGATTTGCTTTTGTATATGATGAGACTTAGAGGTCTAGTTTCATTCTTCTGCACATGGATATCCACCTTTCCCAGCACTATTTATTGAAGAGACTGCCCTTTCCCCAATGTATATTCTTGGCACTTTTGTCAAAAATGAGTTCACTGTAGATATGTGAATTTATTTCTGGGTTCTCTATTCTGTTCCACTGGTTTATGTGTCTGTTTTGATGCCAGTACCATGCCGTTTTGGTTACTATAGCTCTGTAGTAAAATTTGAAGTCAGATAATGTGATTCCTCCAGTTTTGTTCTTTTTGCTTAGGATAGCTTTGATTGTTGTGTGTCTTTTGTGGTTCCATGTAAGTTTTAAGATTGTTTTTCTATTTCTGTGAAGAATGTCATTGGTGTTTTGATAGGGATTGCATTGTGTCTGTAGACTGCTTTGGGTAGTATGAACCTTTTAGTAATATTGACTCTTCCAATCCATGAACATGGAATATTTTTCCATTTTTTTGTGTCCTCTTCAATTTCTTTAATCAGTGTTTTATAGTTTTCACTGTACAGATCTTTTATTTCTTTGGTTAATTATTTGTCGCTATTGTAAATGGGATGATTTTCTTAACTTCTTTTTCAGATTGTTTGCTGTTGGCATATAGAAATGCTATTGATTTTTGTATGTTGATTTTGTATCCTGCAACTTTACTGAATTTGCTAATCAGTTGTAATAGTATTTTGGTGGAGTCTTTAGATTTTTCTGACTATAAGATCATGTCATCTGCAAATAATGATAATTTGACTTCTTCTTTTCCAATTTGGATGCCTGTTTTTTCTTTCTCTTGTCTGATTGCTCTAGCTAAGACTTCCAGTACTATGTTGAATAACAGTGGTGAAAGTGGGCATCCTTGTCTTGTTCCAGATCTTAGAGGAAAAGCTTTCAGTTTCTCCTCATTTGCTATCATCACCTCCTCTTTAGAGATGAGGAATCTGGTATACAGAGAACATAAGTAGCGTGTCTGAGGTTACATTGTTAGGTTACATCCAGAGCCTGATTCAAAACCAGGTCTGTTAGACTCCACTGAATTGTGTTCCACAAAGTAAGGAGATATTTTTTGGTTTTTTATTGTCCCTTGTATTGATCCGATGTGGCTAGGATTGTTCACCTGACTTTACGTTGACCATACTGTTCTCCCCAAAAAGCTGGCCAGTTTGTGTTTTGTTCCTCCTGTCCTTCTGCCTAATAAACTTTGGGAAACCTAAGTGTCCCCAAAAAAGCTGCAGGCAAGTCAACTGCTGTGGCCTCCACTTTTGGCTCAGGGTCAGCCCCTCTCAGTCATAGCAGGACTCAGCCCACCTACAGGCAGTGACATCAAAACATTGGGTTGGAAGAGGCTCTGAGGTCAATAGACGGAAATGGAAATGTTTCTTCCCTTTGGCGTTTATTTTCTGGGCGGCAGGCCTTAGGGAGGAATTGTGGGAGGTGAAGGATTCATTCTTTCTAGCATCAGACTGGTTTAGTGGGCTTCTTTGCCACTTCTTCAGTCCAGTGGTGATTGCCCTGTGCCAGGTCAGACAAGAGGGAGGCCCAAGGACATCCAGGGAGCAGCTGTTCCCAAAGTCATGGTGACAACACCCTTTCTTTTTTTATTTTTATGTTTTTATTTTATTATTTTTTTTGACATGAAGTCTCGCTCTTGTTCCCCAGGCTGGAGTGCAATGGCGCTATCTCGGCTGACTGCAACCTCCGCCTCCCGGGTTCAAGCGATTCTCCTGCCTCAGCCTCCTGAGTAGCTGAGATTACAGGTGCCCGCCACCATGCCCGGCTAATTTTTGTATTTTTAGTAGAGACAGGGTTTCTCCATGTTGGCCAGGCTGGTCTCAAACTCAGGTGATCCACGTGCCTCAGCCTCCCAAAGTGCTGGGATTACAGGTGTGAGCCACCGCGCCCGGCTGACAACACCCTTTCTTTTGGGGATCCTTCCTGTCTTGCCCACTGCCCCCCTGCCAACAATAATCTCACTTCCCTGTCTTCTAGGAAAGGAGCAATAACTCAGTAATAATAAAGAATAAGTGACTATCAATGTTGAGTAGCTCCCTGCTCCCGAGGGGTGGTGAGGGGTGAGACAGGAGCTGCATCTCAATTGTAAAGTTGAAGGAATTACCATAACTTCTGGAACTTCAAATGTCAGTGAGTGGCTTGGGGAAAGGATATCCTAGGTTGGATGCTGATGCTGCTAGTAGTCACAAAGTATTCTCGACCTTTTTTTTTTTTTTTTTTTTTTTTTAGCTTTTAGGTTTAATTTACAAATGCCAACCTTCAGGCCCATATTCAATGGGTTCTCACCAGACTCACTCCCAGTCTCCTTGGTCTATGCACTCTGAAAACAGCTCATTAGTTTCCTCCAGGTGTCTCCCTCCAGGGATTCCACTTAGCAGGTGGAATCCCCATAAAAATCCAACTGTTGGGTGCTTGGTTTTGAGTGCCACTAGCCTGATAAGCCCAAGATCCCCTGGTATGATTTCGGGAGGCCATGGGCACCGCCCTTTTAATGTCATCCCCAAAGCTTTGACTACATCCCAGGGTGGCTTTAGACTGATGTAACAAAATACCATAGACTGAGTGGCTTATAAACAGCATAAATTTATTCCTCACAGTTCTGGAGGTTGGGAAGTCTAAGATCAAGGCACTGGCAGATCTGGTGTCTGGTGAGGACCTGCTTGCTGGTTCATAGATGGCACCTTCTGGCTGTGTCCTCACATAGTGGAAGGGGCAAGAGGTCTTTCTGGGGTCTCTTTTATAAGGGCACTAATCCCATTTGGAAGGGCTCCACCCTCATGACCTAACCACCTACCAAAGGCCTCATTGCCGCATACCACCACATTAGGGATTAGTTTCAGCATATGTATTTGGGGAGGATACAAACATTCAGACCATGGTGCATCTGTAGTGTGGACAACTCCTTTTCAGTCATCAGAACACCTTCTGCTTGCCTATCCTTGCAGGCATTATGGCCCAATGAGAAGGAAACTGAACTCAGACCAAGGAAACTTGGGTTTGAGTCCCATCCTTGTCACCATTTTTCTATCATGTGATGTTGAGCATTCAACATCCTGGCTCTCAATTTCCTCAGCTATTATAACTCTTGACCACTTTGAGAGGTTTTTTGTCAGGATCAAATAAGATAATATAAATAAAAGTAATTTTACATAATTTTAAGCTGAATAGCGATTAGGATGCTTGCAGCAAACAGGCAAAATAAAACAAAACCAAGACTGGCTGTCTTAGTCTGTTTTACACTGCTCTAACAGAATACCTGAGACTGGATAATTTATAATGAACAGAAATTTATTGGCTCATAGTTCTGAAGGCTGGGAAGTCCAAGATCAAGGTGCTGGCCTCTGACGAGGACCTTCTTGCTGTGTGACCACATGGCAGAAGGTGGGAGGACAAAGACAGGGCAAGACAGAAACACAAAAGGGACCAAATATGCCCTGTCATAAGGACATTAATTCCACCCATGAGGGCAGAGCCCTCACAGCCTAATCACCTCTCAAAGGCCTCCCCTCTTAATACTGTTACAATTAAATTTCAACATGCATTTTGGGGGAGACAAACATTCAAACCATAGCACTGGCTTAAATAATAAAGGAGATTTATTGGGTCCTATAAGTGAAAAGTCCAGACTGGACACATTGACACTATGGTTTCTCTGTGTGTCTCTCAGCTCTGTCCTTCTCCTGGTGCTGGCTTCATCCTGAGGCTTGAGCTGTGGTGGCTTCAGGATTCATAGGTTCTCACAACAACCCCGGTAAGAGAGACTCTTGAGAAGGAGGAGCAGTTTCCCCGAAGCATCCACCAAACCTACCCTTGTATCTCATGGGCCCGAATTGGGACATATATCTGTTGTGCTCTCTGAAGACACTCCCAGTAAATGGGACTTCTAAATTTTGATATATAAAACAAAAGAAGAAAATATGACCTCTACTTCTAATACTGTTGGAGGCTATAACCTAGTTATACAGTGGAAATTGAGGTCCATAGAGATTAAGTTATATGCCTAAATTATATTGCAGAGTGGAATTTAAACTCAGGTTGTTGACTGCAAAGTCTCTAATTTTTCTTTTTCCCAGTTTACCTCTTTTTAAAATATGAGCATATCTGTAATGTTTTTGTAAGAATGACCATGTTCAAACCCATGTTGTTTAAAGGTAAAGAAAAAAAGGATGACCATGTCTATCAAAAAATTCAATGTAGAAAAGTTCAGAGAAGTAAGTAAAAGTAAACTGAGATCTCCTATCCGATGATAAACCACAAATACATTGGTAAACATCCTTCCAAATGTAACACTGCATAAAATCACATGTAAGTGTACAACTTAATAAAAATGGAGTCATATTCTACATGACTAAGACTGCGAATTGCCTGCCAAGTGTATATTCTCATCTTCTCCTGTGGTAACAGGGCTCTTGGCCACATGCCCAGTAGAAAAAGTTCTTTTCTAGGCTCCCTGACAGATAGGAGTGGGACGTGGCTCAGTAGGAGTCCTGGTAAAAGCTATTGTGTCCCTTCTCTGGGATCCCCAGACATGACATGATGGCTGAAGCTCCAGTAGCCATAATGTAGCCTTGAGGGTAGAAGCCACCTTCTAAGGATGGCAGAATAGAAGGACTGAAGGATCCTGAGCCTCTCATAGTTTCAAGGAGCTGCCACACAAGCATAACCTGTCTATCTCCAACTTCTTTTATGTCAGAGAATAAACCATTAGTCTGTTTCAGCCATTAGGCTTTAAAAACTATGTACCTTATGCACATTTTAAAGTTGAAATCTAAAATTCTTAATAAGTTTAAATAGTTTCAAATAATGTAATTCTGACTTACTGAAACTGTTAACATTCTAAAACTGTCACATCATTCTTTAAAGTGCATTCAGAGGAGGCTGGGCGCAGTGGTTCATGCCTGTAATCCCAGCACTTTTCGAGGCCGAGGCAGGAGGATTGCTTGAGCTCAGGAGTTCGAGACTAGCCTGGACAACATGGGCAACCCTGTCTCTACCAAAAAATATAAAAATTAGCTGGGTGTGGCAGCTCACACCTGTAGTCCCAGCTACTCAGGAGGCTGAGATGGGAGGATCGCTTGAGCCCAGGAGCTCGAGGCTGCAGTGAGCCCTGATTGTACCACTGCACTCCAGCGTAGGTGACAGAGCGAGACCCTGTCTCAAAAAACAAAGTGTATTCAAAGAAATATAAATTTTATAATAATCTGATATTCACTATCATCTACTTAAAAATACATGAATAAGGCCGGGCACAGTGGCTCACGCCTGTAATCCCAGCACTTTGGGAGGCCGAGGCGGGTGGATCACGAGGTCAAGAGATTGAGACCATCCTGGCCAACATGGTGAAACCTCGTCTCTACTAAAAATACAAAAAGTAGCTGGGCATGGTGGTGCACGCCTGTAGTCCCAGGTACTCAGGAGGCTGAGGCAGGAGAATCGCTTGAACCCGGGAGGCAGAGGTTACAGTGAGCCAAGATCATGCCACTGCACTCCAGCCTGGGTGACAGAGCAAGATGCTGTCTCAAAAAAAACAAAAACAAACAAAGAAAAAACACAAAAAACAAAACCATGAACAAAACCTCCTTTAACGGTTTAATTTTAGATCGTTCATTTTTCTGCTTGAACTCTTATTTTCATTTTGTGTATCTTATAGGAATTCAACCTAACATACTTTTATGCTTGAAAGTCTTTTATAGATTACATTTGCCAATGTTTCTACAATAAAATTCCATACACAGGAACACATACATTAAAATCCTTTCTTATTTTGTGCGACCATACATCTCTGAGGATTAAAATTTTGTCCAAATTAAGCTACATTACAATTTTAATGAATATACAATTGAGAAAAAAGTATTTTAAAATTTTATAAATAATAAACATAAACATAAATTGAGAAATGCATTTCTTAATGAGATGAATGGAGTATTTTTCTTCAACTAATTGGTTTGTTCATTCATGGTTGAATATTACATACTGCTAGAATGAAACAGGATTCAGCTAGTCTTCCTATTAATTGTTTTTGTAGATGTTAGCACTCAGAAACCTTGTTCATGTAAATAAGTAAATAAAAATGGAATATGTTTTATTATAGCACTGTCATGATTCTTTGAACTTTTTATGAATTGCATGCTAAAATTGCATAATGATATATCATCAAAACCATTTTTAATATTCTGTCAGCTAATAGTTTGATTAAGCCTTCCTTTAATTTTCTTGAAAGCAAGGAATTAGAAATCATTGGCTTCATAGGATTTGCAACCCAATCGTTAGAGTAATTCACGTTCTCAGTTTCTGGGAATTGTATCAAAAAGGCTATGCACCAAAACCTATCAAATGACTATTAATTACCTTCTCATTCCTTTACACAGGGGCACTTGTTTAAACTGCTATTCACAAAACGTGTTGGGAGATATCCAAACATAAATTTCAATTTACCTTTATCAGCATAATATTTTTGATGGAATGCTTTTGTCTGAGTGCCAGCTTTAAACATATTTTCATCCAAACATTGGAAAATGTCCACCAAATATCCTAGATGGTAAAGCTAGTTCTTATTGCCAAACCAATGAGTCAAGATTATTTATTTTGAAATATGACACACATTCAGAAAATTGCACTAAGCAAACTTTTACAAGTCAACAAATAATCAAAAGCCAACATCCATGTAACTATCACTCTTTTTTATTATTATTATTTTATTAATATTATACTTTAAGTTTTAGGGTACATGTGCACAACGTGCAGGTTTGTTACATATGTATACATATGCCATGTTGGTGTGCTGCACCCATTAACTCGTCATTTAGCATTAGGTATATCTCCTAATGCTATCCCTCCCGCCTCCTCCGACCCCACAACAGTCCCCAGAGTGTGATGTTCCTCTTCCTGTGTCCATGTGTTCTCATTGCATGTAACTATCACTCTTTTCTGGCATCCTAGAAAGCGCAGCTCCTCTCCTTTCCCACTCACACTTCCCTCCCTTCCTGCTAGAGGATACCACTATCCTGACTTTATGGTAAGCGTGCTTTTCTTCTTTATAATTTTACCATGCATGTACTTATCCCTAAACAATACAGTTAGTTTTTGCTTAATTTTGAATTTTTTATAAATGGAAATCTTACTGTATGTTTCCTTTTGTGTTGCAACATTGTGTTTGAGAAATTCATACATATACTTACATGTGTTCATTTTCATTTTGCTACAGTTGTCCATTGTATAAAATTAGTACAATAAATTTACCCATTCTGCTGTTAATGGGCATTTAGGTTATTTCCAGTTTGGTACTACAATGAATCATGTTGCTATGAATATGCATTTCTGTTCTACCTAGAAGTAGAATTGCTGAATTCTAGAACATGTCTGTCTTCAATTACAGTATATAGTGCCAATGTTTTTCAAAGTGGTTGTACCCAAATTGCACTCCTACTCATAGGAGACTGCTTGTTGCTTCACGTCCTCACCCACACTTAGGTTCATCAGCTCAAAGACCACACATTTGTACCTTCTTTGTAACTCCTGCATATACCTTTGCATTTTATGTAGCTTCTGGAGGGCACATGGAGGTAGCTCACCATGGTTTTAATTTGCATTTCTCTGATAATGAATGAGACTTAGTTCTTCCTGTGAGTTGCCTGTTAAGACTTTGCCATTTATCTGTTGCAATCTTTATTTCTTGCTGTTTTGTAGGAGTTCTTTTTTATATTTTGGATATGATCCCATTAATACTTACATGTATTACAATGTTTTCTCCCACTCTGTGATTTGTCTTTTTACTTTTAAATGGTTGTTTTTGATGAACAAGAACTTCTTTTTTTAATGGGGTCTGAGTAACAAGCTTTTCCTCATTGGTAGTTCTTCTTGTGTCCTGATGAGGAAATTTTTCCCTACACTGGGGCTATGAAGGTAGTTTCTCATATTATCTTCTAGAATCTCAATGAACACAATTTTAAGCAATTTTTACTTGCTGTGTTTTTCAATTCTAGAATTCCCATTTTTTTCCCCCAAATCTGGTGTGTCTTTTTGTATAGTTTCTGGATTTTGCTGACATTGTTTTTTTTTTCCTTTTATCTGCATATACACAGGAAGCACAGAATTTTTAAAACTTTTAAATTATGAACAATTTGTGTATGGATCTGTGTATTAAATATGCACAGGCGGAAAAAATAGTATAATGAATTTCTGTGTATTCACTCTGCTTCAATAACGATCAATATTCTTTAATTCCTTTACAAAATGTATTCCTTACTCCCTCCCCCATTGCTGCTGCTTCTGCTCCCCTCCTTCTCCTCCTTCATCATCTTCCTCTTCTTCCTTTTCTTCTTCCTCTTTCACTTCCGCTTCCTTCTTTACTTTAAAGCAATCTAAAGCTTTAAATTTGAATTGTAGTTTAAAGCAAATTCAAAGAGCCAGGCATGCTGGTGTGTGCTTGTAGTTCTAGCTACTTGGGAGGCTGAGATGGGAAGATCACTTGAGTCCCGGAGTTTGAGTCCACCCCGGGCAACATAGACCCCCATCTAAAAATATATATAATTAAAAAAAGCAAACCCAAGATGTTAGCGTATTTCTTTAACCAATATGAACTTTAAAAAATATATAACTGGTTGGGTACAGTGGCTCATGCCTGTAATCCCAGAACTTTGGGAGGCTGAGGTGGGTGGATTGTTTGAGGTCAGGAGTTCAAGACCAGCCTGGCCAACATGGTAAAACCCCATCTCTACTAAAAATACAAAAATGAGCTTGTTTGGTGGCATGTGCCTGTAATCCCAGCTACTTGGGAGGCTGAGACAGGAGAATCACTTGAACTCAAGAGGTGGAGGTTGCGGTGAGCCGAGATTGCCCTACTGCACTCCAGCCTGGGTGACAGAGCAAGATTCCATCTCAAAAAACAAAAAAACAAACAAACAAAAAAAACACCCCCCCCCCCCACACAAAACGTATATACATATATACATTTATATATATATATATATATATAACCACAAAATCACACTAAGTGATATTAATACTGATTCCTTAATGTCACCTACTACCTTGTTCACCTTCAATTTTCAGTATTCCCAGATTAGCTTTACAACTCTTTAACAATTTAATTTTTTTTCAACCCGGGCTCCAGACAGGGTCTACACATTGTATTTGGTCATGGTGGCACAATTCTCCTTCCACAGTATAGTTGTTTTAAAGTCTATATATGATAATGCCAGTATTTGGAGCCCCTGTGGGTCTGTTTCTAGTGTTTATTGTTTCTGCTGCTGCTTTTGTTGTTGTTGTTGTTGTTGTTGTTGTTGTTGTTGAGACAGAGTCTTGCTCTGTCACCCAGGCTGAAGTGCAGTGGCACAATCTCAGCTTACTGCTCCTTCCGTCTCCTGGGTGCAAGCTATTCTCCTGCCTCAGCCTCCTGAGTAGCTGGGATTACAGGTGCCCACCACCACATCTGGCTAATTTTTGTATTTTTAGTAGACATGGGCTTTCACCATGTTGCCCAGGCTGGTCTCGAACTCCTGACCTCAGGTGATCTGTCCGCCTTGGCCTCCCAAGTTGCTGGGATTACAGGCTAAGCCACTGGGCTTGGCCTGTTTCTGCTTCTTTTCTTTCATATTGTCTTGTCTTATGTGGCTGGTTATCTTTTATTGTGTGCTTGAATTGTATTTGAAAAGTTGTTTTTTAAAAGATAATGTTTAATCTAGGAGGATGTTTTCTTTTTCTAGAGAGGATTTGTTTTTGCTTCTGCCAGATGTTTGGGGGCACCAGCTATCCTGCATCACCTTATTCCAGATGTAAAGACTGAAATTAGTTAAAGCTGGTTTAGACTGGGTACGGTAGCTCACGCCTGTAATCCCAGCACTTTGGGAGGCCAAGACGGCGGGATCATTTGAGGCCAGGAGTTCAAGACCAGCCTGGCCCACATGGTGAAACCCTCTTTCTACTAATAATACAAAAATTAGCTGGGTGTGATGGCATGCACCTGTAGTCCCAGCTTCTCGGGAGGCTGAGGCACGAGAGTCACTCGAATCTGACTGTCAGAGGTTGCAGTGAGCCACGATCGTGCCACTGCCCTTGTGCCTGGGTGATAGCGTGAGACTGTCTCAAAGAAAAAGTTTTATGTTGCTTCAGGGACTATTTTGTTTCTCTTTTACTCCTAGGTACCACTGCTATGGTGGGCCTTGGTATCCAACTTGTGTCCCTTTTGTCTTGTGAAGTAATAGAAGCACTCTTCAGGTCGGGCACGGTAGCTCACGCCTGTAATCCCAGCACTTTGGGAGGCTGAGGCGGACGGATCACGAGGTCAGGAGTTCAAGACCAGTCTGGCCAACATGGTGAAACCCCGTCTCTACTAAAAATATAAAAAAAATTAGCCAGTCATGGTGGCGTGCGCCTGTAATCCCAGCTACTTGGGAGGCTGAGGCAGGAGAATTGCTTGAACCCAGGAGGCGGAGGTTGCAGTGAGCCGAGATTGCGCCACTGTACTCCAGCCTGGGTGACAGAGTGAGACTCTGTCTCAAAAAAAAAAAAAAAACCAAACAAACAAACAACAAAGAAGCACTCTTCAGCCTCTTCGCCTCTCATTCTTATAGTTGGCTTTTCCAGGCAGAATTATCAAACGTCCCCAGGAGAAAAGCAGACCGACCTCTATGGCACCAGTTGCATCTCTGAATTTCTGTCTTGTCCTAGATCTTGGCCAGCTTTTTTGTTTACCTGTTTTTTGTTTCTTACTGTTTTAGTAGTTCTCCTATGGCTTAAAGGGGATTTTAAAAATACTACGTCCCCATTTTCTATTTCAATTAAGCCATCCTTAAGAGATTGGTTAAATATTCTCAATTTGCCATTAGCATCAGATTTAATTTATATTCTAAAATTGAAGTCTAATTTATATAAATAAAATACAAAAATCCTAAGTGTATAACTCAATAAATTTCTCCATATTTATATATACATGTAATCAGTTATTATTATCTCAAGTAGATATATTAATATAAAATCCCATGCAAACCTCACTTCTGAATTTTAATTCTAAGTAAAAAAGATAAGGTGCCATGAATGTGTCACCAAATGAAATAAGATGCTGCTTCATTCAATATTTTTCACTGACAGGTTTTTTTCCCCCTTTACTCATTGAGCTTTCCTTCAGAAGCAATGTATTCTTTGACAATACTTAGAGTTTGGAAGAGGTGAGATATCATTAAATAAAAATTGTCATCACTCCTAAACATCACTCTACAATATGTCTGAATTCAAAACATCCCAGTATAGTCCAAAATACCCCATTTCTAACAGCATGTTTCACCCTTAACTGAAATGTGTTTAAGGGAAAAATAATGAGCTATTGGGTAGCAATGAGAGCATTGATTTATGGTACCTTGATTAAGGGAGGCTTTGTGACACCAAGATTTTGAATGGTTCCTTTGTTTGACATCCATGAGCAATGCACCATACTATGATTCAAGACAGGCGAGAGATACACTTTTCTTTTGTAAACTAGGAGAAGGAAAATTATTAAAGGAGCCATAGGAAAGGAGACATTGGGAAAGAGTAAATGTGGAAGTTTAGTTCTGGAAATGGATTCTCTTAGATCCATTTTACCTGAATTATTTTGGAAAGTGCTCACAGACCCAAGGACACACATACCCTAATAAAACTATTGTTTGAAGCCACTGGAGTCTACTTCATACACCATCAGCTGAACATGATTCCTAAATGATAAACTATAATCTTTATGTTATAGGATTGTTGTGTAGGTTTAATGAGATAATGTATGTAAGTTCCTTAGCAACCATTACTTGGCATGTAATAAAAATGCAATGATAAGCTACTTATTGATCATCACTTTGATCATCACCAACTGAATGAATACATTCATTCATTCAAATATTTATTGCATAAAAGCAATTCTCAAGGTGTTTTATGGTATACTCTGATGGCCTTTACCACTGAACAAGTGTTCAAGAGGGGACTTCTTAGTTTGGAACAAAGAGCAGAAGGTGGTGAAACCTGGATTCTTGCCTCAGCTCAAACTTTGGGAGCTGTGACATCTTGGGTTTTGGTTTCATCATCATCTGCCCAAATTTTTCACTGGGTTGATCAAGAACTTAATAAGAAAGTGAACATGAAATCTTTCTGAAATACTGCAGAATGTGCAAGGAACCCCCCACCTCCCACTTTTTTTTTTTCAAAGTCCAGTTTCCAGGCTTAAAAGGAACCCTTAAGATGCCATCTCAATCCCTATGGGCCAAAGTTCCTCTTCATACACTGGTCTCAAGCCCTTTTTGCCTCTAGACTCTTCATGTGAGAACACTCTTCCATAAATAACAGCTTTCATTAGACACTATAATTCCCACACAGGGAAGATAGACACAGCAAAACCAGGGAGAGGTAGGTGGGGAAGGAGTTGGGACAGCTAGTTTGTAAAAGCCTCTTGTGGAATCAACAGCCTTCTCCCTGGAGAGACGGTTCTTCCTCCATCTCCCATGAAACTACTGCTTGGCCCAGCATTCCCCAGAGTGTGGACCAAGGGGCACAAATGCCATGAAAGGTGGATCTAGATGGAAGGCAGGAAGGGCAGTGAATAAGAGTGTATCATGAGGCAAGATTGCTGTTCCCCTTTCAATTCTCCTCACCACTGCTGATGACTTCTCTAACTTTGGTTCATCTCGAATTTTGACAAGGAGAAAACTTGTCTTTGGGCAGGTAGTCTTTAGTTAATTTTTTAATTAATAGTTTGGTTTTCATTGTGTTTTTTTTTTCAGTTATCTCCTACTTATGGCAAGGGATATGCCGTAAGTAGTAGCTAACACTTACCAAGTACTAAGCCGTGTTGTGAATCATTTCTTTCTTTTTTAGTAGAGATGTTGCTGAGGCTGGCCTCGAACTCCTGGGATCAAGTGATCCTCCCACCTCAGCCTCCCAAGTAGCTGGGATTACAAGTATGAGCCACTATGCCCAGCTATTTTTTTTATTTAAATTTTTTTAGAGACAGAGCCTTGCTGTGTTACCCAGGTTGGTCTCAAACTCCTGGTCTCAAGCGATCCTCCTGCCTTGGCCTCCCAAAGTGTTGGGATTACAGGCATGAGCCACTGCACCCAGCCTGAAGCTAATTCTTAAGTAAAGAATAAAAAGTAAAGGTACTATGTGGATGCATAAAAATTGAGACAGAGGTCCTCAAAAGATCCAACTTTGGGAAATATCAGTTTAGCCCAGGCTCCACTGTCCTGCCCCAAGGGCTGACAGTCTGGCAGAAAGTCAGTGCAGAGCTGGCTGGACTGAAGGAAGAAAGGAGAAGCCCCTTTGGTTCTCCATTTAAAGCCATGGAAGAATGGCCCACCTGGATATGGACTGACTTATATTCTTTTATCCCTCTTGTATTTTTCACCATGCAATTGTATTACCAATTTGAACAATGTGATGTGATATAATCTGATACAATATAAACCAGAGCTTTTTCCAGTAAACCTAGCATGGCAGGTAAGGGTCATTAGGATTAATGGATTAACACATGTCAAGCATTTAGGATAGGGCCTAGTGCCATGTAAGTGCACTTATAAGGGTATTGGGGGGTGAAGGTGGTTAACAGAAGCTGAGATGGGCTGAGGGTTGTGGAGGAGGAGCTCTCTCACAGTCCTGGAAGAGGCAAGTCCTCAATGAGCTCCATCCATGGTAGCTCAACAATGGGCCTGTCTGTTGTGGTTCAGGACTCACTTCATTCTGGGCAGTTGCATGGATCTGCCAGCGTGGGCTGGGGATGTGAAACATTCTGCCTGGGTGCCTGGACAGCCGCCAATGATCCGAGCCTCTATGCATTGCCAGCTGCAGGACCTCACCTCCACAGGAGTGGAACATTGATAAGTTCCTGAATGAACACTCATCAAATCCTTGCCCTGTGTTGAGGGCTGCATGCAGCTGGCTGATGAATTGGGAAAGTATGTGTTTCCAGACACCACCACCATCAGGCAGAAGTGAGCTGTTAAAGCCAGAGGAGATGGATCCTTCTATATTTCTTTAAAAAATTATTTTTAAATTCATTTTTAAAATTTTACTTTTTTGGAGGGGGTACATATGGTAATTTAATATATTAATATAGTTTTTTTTTTTTTTTGAGACGGAGTCTTGCTCTGTTGCCCAGGCTGGAGTGCAGTGGCGCGATCTCGGCTCACTGCAAGCTCTGCCTGCCAGGTTCACGCCATTCTCCTGCCTCAGCCTCCCGAATAGCTGGGACAACAGGTGCCTGCCACCACGCCCGGCTAATTTTTTGTATTTTTAGTAGAGACGGGGTTTCACTGTATTAGCCAGGATGGTGTCTATCTCCTGACCTCGTGATCCGCCTGCCTCAGCCTCCCAAAGTGCTGGGATTACAGGCGTGAGCCACCACGCCCAGCCCATTCATATAATTTTTAAAGACCAAATCTGTGTATATGGGATATCCATTGCCTTAAATATTTGTCTTTTCTTTATGCTAGAAACATTCAAATTATTCACTTCTAGCTATTTTGAAGTGCACAATAAATTATTGTAAAATGTAGTCACCCTCCTGATCTATTGAACCAGCTCTTATTTCTTCTATACTTATTAGACAGACCAATAGACGGAGAGAACAGGATTAGGCAGGAACCCAGGCAGCTCAGTGAGCTCGAGTGCTTGGAGCTTGGACGTGCTTACATGCTTCTGATAGGCCCTTACCTTCTGCAGAGCTCCTCCATTTGTAGAATATCCACAGGCATGTTGGTAGTTCAAGGACAGAGCTTGTATAGAATGAACATGGCCAAATCACTGATTAGCCATCCAACCCCAGACAAAACATTTTTCCCTTTGGGCCTGATATGGTTTGGCTGTGTCCCTACCCAAATCTCATCTTGAATTGTAGTCCCCATAATCCCCACATGTCCTGGGAAGGACCATTCAATTATCTCCCATGTGTGTGGCAGGTAATTGAATCATAGGGGCATTTTCCCCCATGCTATTCCCATGATAGTGAGTAAGTTCTCACGAGATCTGATGGTTTTATAAGGGGCCTCCCCCTTAACTCTGCTCTCATTCTTCTCCCTCCTGCTGCCATGTGAAGAAGGATGTGTTTGCTTCTCCTTCTGCCATGATTTTAAGTTTCCTGAGACTTCTCCAGCCCTGCAGAACTGTGAATCTTTTCAATTTACCCAGTTTCAGGCAGTTCTTTATAGTAGCGTGAGAATGGACTAATACACAGCCTCTGCATCCTCATCTGTAAAATGCAAGTTGTAATTAGTACCTAACTTAAATGGTTGTTGTGTGGGTCAAATTAGATAAGGCAGGACAGGTGCCTGGCACACTGAGGGTGATGCTGCTCTGGGCAGGCAGGACCAGGGGACTGGGCTGCAGGAGGTGAAGCTCCTACCCTCTGACACATGGCTGCTAAAAGGACAGAGCCCTTTTTTCAAGCCCAGTGGCCTCTACCTTAGGAAATATGTCCCCACTATGGTGTGATGTCCAGCCTCTGAAGTGCCATAAAATGAAACAGTGAAGTTCAAGACTCAGAAGTCAGCCTGTGATTTCTATAAGTTCAGATAGACAAGAATTTGGTTTATTTGATTTACATCAATGTTATGGACAGAAATGTGACCGAAGTCTTCGGAGTCTTCAGTTAGAGGTGAGCAGGGGCTTAGTAAACTGAATAAAGAGAAGCTTTATTTGCATCTCCATGGCTAAAATGAATCATACGGGTTTTAAATGAGATGTTCCACTTGTTATGCAGTGCCTCAGAAAATGCATCTAAACTTCCACATATATGTTAGATGTACCCAGGCTCAGAAAAGGGTCTTTTGTGGTGCGAGACTTACACAGACAGTTCAGCATGAGGCTCTGGAAACTGCTTAGGTTCAAATTCTGGCTACACCTCTATACCAGGAGCTGGGTAGCCTTCTGGCACACTTCAGCTTCCTCATGTGCAAGATGGTGCTGAGAGTGGTGTCTATTTCACAGGGGATCTATCAATGGAAATGGGGCTCAACAGAATCTAAGCTAGATAAGGCATTTAGCACAGGGCCTGGCAAACAAGATGAGCTCCATGATCATAGCTATTATCATAATTAAGACACAAAGTCTCAGTTAAACTTACAAAGCTCTATCCTTGACAGCCAAAGTATGAACACATTGTTCTTCCCAGCTGTGGACTTGAATGCTGGCTGAGACTGGAGCCTTGGTTTCTGAGCTCACAGATGTCTCCTACCTTCATGAAGCCAGCCTCTGCATTTTGTGTGGCTCTGAATTCTCCCCGCTCCTGCCCTCCCCAGCCTGCTGCCCTCCCTAGCCTGCTGCCATCCCGCCTCAGGCTCAGCACAGTGGGTTCTACCTAATGGTCTGCCCGCCAGCATTTAATATGCCATGCATCAATTGGGGGAGGTTGTTCTAGAAGGGATGGCAGATCGGCAATGCCTGAGGATGGGACCAAAGAAAAAGAGGCCAGTGGGACCCTGTTGGACAGATGCCTGGCTGTGACTTCAGCAATGACCTTCCTGATCAAAGGTGGTGCTTTCTTTCCAAGCAACATTTCAGACATCTAATAATTGATGGGATGATGCTAACTCACAACGAGTTTTAATACAGCTGCTCCTGGGTAGTTTGTTTACCCCTCTCTGACTCAATTCTTTATCTCAAAAAGTAGGAAGAAAAAATATCTGCCCTTCTAGGCATTTATAAGGATCAACTTAGCTTGTAAGTATAATGTTCTGCAAATGTAAATGCTCTCTCTCTCTCTCTCTCTCACACACACACACACACACACACACACACACACACAGTTTTGGTTTTTCCATCTCTCAACCTAATAGGCTAGTAGAAGATAGGAGGCCAGAAGTCCTTTTTCCCAACATTAATTTGATCCTGTGCATCTTCCTTCTGTCTTCGGCTGCAGCCTCTAAATAGAAGAGGCCATTGTGGGGCTTGCTGGGCAAAGGGAGATGGAACATGAAAGATGATGATGATCCTAGTGATTTATCTCCTAGTTGGCTCAGGAAGCAGACCTTTTGCAGGTGAGAGATTTGTGAGCAAAAGGCAATCCCTCTTTGAGAGCAAACAATTTGGAGCTGAGGTGCTTGCTCTGGCTGAGGGGAGAGCGTGTTGGCAACCCGCCCTCCCTTAGTGTGAAGTCTCAGCCACCCCAGCTCAGTTCAGTTCATCAGGACTCTGCCTCCTGTGGGCTTCTGAACTTGCCCCTCGCCTCAGCTCCTGCTCCAACTTTGACATGTACATAGCTCAATAAATAAGTTGATGATGATGATGATGATGATGATGATGATGATAGGGGGTTTGGTATGGATTATTTTATTTAATTCTCTTGCCATCCCAGCAAGGCAAATACTATTATTATTCCTATTTTGCAAGTTGACAGAGACACAGAAAGGTTAAAATGCACCATTTTATAAAGTCATCTGCTTGGGAACTCGAAATCAAGCCCTGGAAGTCCAACTCCAAAGCCTAAACGTTTTACCCTTAGTCGTTACTTGTTGCCCACCACTTGGAAGAAAGGAGGGAGGGAGGGAGGTGGGAAGGGAGGAAGGGAGGATCTCTTCCAGGCTGTGAGGATGAAGTGAGAGACTGTGGGCGTGTGAAAGAGCTTTCTAAAATATAAAGTGTAAAAACGGACTAGAGTATCATTGTTAGACCAAAGCTGTCCTCTTTCAGGAAGGGAAGTGTGCCCTCTCTGAGCCGAGAGTTCGGGATTTCTAGCATCTGCCGAGGCTCTCAGGCTTTTCTACCCTTCAGTGAGCTCTCTTTACTTCAGTTCTAAGGGGTCTCTCCCTGGGAGGTGAGGGGAACAAGCTCACTCCTGAGAAGTGGGAGGTTCAGAGACTTCCAGCTTTGGCCATCTTGCTGCTGTGTGTGACTTTGGTTGAGTCCCTTAACCACTGTGTGCCCAAGAATGCCCCTTTGTATTTATGAGAAATCACCATGGCCCTGCCCAAGCCATAGGGTGAGAGTCTGTGTGAAATAGCACTGAATTCAGTTGCCAGATTTCCAGTGCTCCATGGCCACAGGTGGCTAGTGGCTAGCCTTTGGACAAAACAGACGTAGAACATTTTCATTGCTGCAGAACATTCTATTAGACTGCACTGCTCTATAATTTAATATTTGTTTACAGTTTTTTTTCTTTTGAGATAAAACTTACAATGCAACACACAAAATCAAGGTACAGAATCTTGCCATCACCCTGGAAAGTTCTTTCATGTCCCATTCTAATTCAGTCTCTACCCCCATTTCCAGAGGAAACTGCTGTTTTGATCATTCTTTTAGCCATAAATTAGCTTTCTGTGTATGTGAAAGACTTTGATTGGCATTTCTAAGGGTCCCCTGAAAGCTTGCACCATTTTTCACCAGAGAGTCTTGGGACTAACAATTTCCAGCCTCTCTCCTCAGTTCACTGGGTGTTCCTACATCTAAAAGGCAACCTAGGCTTCAGCCAGTCTTTGGGGCTTGAAGATGGCCTGCCTTTGGGGAGCCACTTTCCTCTACACTATTCCACTTTCCTCTGTTTAGATCTGACCCATTGGGAAAGGGCTGGACATATTTCTCTCTGTCTTAGTGTGTTCCTGCTGCTATAACAAAATAACAAAATGTCTGAGACTGGGTAATTTATAAAGACCAGGGCCCCAGCAGATTAGGTGTCTGGCAAGGGCTGCCCCCTGCTTCCCCCTTGCTGTGTCTGCACAAGGCAAAAGGGCAAAAGGCAAAGGGGTGAACAACCTCGAACCTCTTCTATAAGGTAATTAATCCCATTCATGAAGGAGAAGCCCTCAGGACCTAGTCACCTCTCCAAAGCCCTATGTTCGAATACTAATTCCAACACCTTGGTGATTAGGTTTCAACATGGGAATTTTAGAGAGACACAGATATTCAGGCCATAGTCCCCACTGTGTCCCTTTCTAGGAGTGTATGACTGGCATTCTCAATGCAGGCTTTCAGCCACTGTTTGCAGGGTAGCCAGGTGGATGGCAGGGGGCAGGAGAGAGAGGCTGCCACCTTCTAAGGACTGTCCTCCGAGCTGGAGTTGGCCCTGAGGATACAGTCTAAGGCCATATCCACCCAGGCTGCTTGGTGACTGGTGGTCCTGATCCTGGAGTGGGGATTGCATGATTTGAATCAAATGTAAGCTGCAAAGTGGGAGCTCTGAGCTTTTGGCTTAAAATTCTGGAAAGGGGTAAAGAATCACACTTTACCTTTATGCTTCAGTGGAGATGAAAAAAGTTTCTAGAAGGAAAAGCCCAACCCACCTGTTTGCAGAGATGCTACACCAAAGCTTGGAAAATCCTAAGTGCTCCCAGCTGCCCCCAGGCCAGCCCCTCCCAGTCCTACCATCCCTGGGGGTGGCCAGAGAAGGCACCTGTGTGCTGAGAGCCAACCAGGAGGAAAGGAACTGCGATTCTAGGGACTTTTGAGCTGGTGGGGAAGGACCTGAACTGACTTTTCCTGGGTGAAGAAAGGGGCCCCACTGGAGTGAGGTGGGAGGAAGGAGCAGAGAGGGATAAGTGTCGCAGTGCAGTGCTGGAGTCTTCCTGAGCCATCAAAGGGTGGGGGATGACTCCAGTGCCCAGCAGGAGGGGACTTGTCTGCTCAGCTTGGGAACTATTACTTCCCAATGCCTGCTGGTTGTGATCACTTCAGTGTGTACTGATAGGCAGCTAAACCCAGATGAAAGCAAAGGGCCTTGTGACCTGGATCCCAGGAAGCGGGAGAGTGGGCGGCTGAGGACACTGCAGCTGGGAGGATGGGACTCAGGAAGGATGCAACTGGGAGCTGACCCCCAGAGTTGCAGGAGGGAGCAGCGTTCCTGAAGCTGATGGGGAGGAAGCAGGCTCAGTATGGGAGGGGACCAGGGACACTTCTGGCAGCAGGGAGAACACAGGGATCCATGAAAATGCACCTTGGCAAGGCAAGAAAGTGATAGGCAGGGAATCTCCTCATGGAACACATGTGGAAAGGGAAACCTTTTTGGTTCACTGGGTAAAGGCCCCTTGAGAGCGTGCGTGCGTGTGTGTGTGTGTGTGTGTGTGTGTGTGTGTTTCAAAAGAGGAATGGATTGGCGATTCACACCATTAGTATAGGTTTCGACTAGATTAGTGTTTCTCACTCCTCTTTCAGATTTTTGACCTATCTGTGACCACGTTTTGGACACAAATAGCTATATGATTAAGGAAAACTTGAAATCAATATCATAAGGGAAAGAAAGAATAATCATGAATCATAAATAGAGGATAACCCTTAACAATCACTACACCCACCACAGCAAACTCAACCAGTGTTCATCCTAGCTTGGAACTACTGCCGGTGTCGTGGTCCATGTCAAAATTGAGATAGCAAATGTTCAATCCTAAAGAGAGACCACCTCCAAATAAGGCTTTTTCTTTAAGACAATCAGAAGGCTTGGGGATGAACTGAGAGGTAAACAGCCTCGCACTGTGTTTCCCGCTAATGGCCCTTGTGGGCCCCACTACAAATCCCCACAGGTGGCTTAGCTCTTGATTGTTTCTTTCCCTGCCATCTCCTGTGGCCTGGGGGGAAGACTCTCCCTTTCCTCACCACAAATGCTGTTCCCCAATTTGTAAAACAAGTTTTCTGGTTGGAGAACAATTGCTAGGCTCCTTGGTGCTGTAGCATTCCTTCCATTCAATCCATTGGCCCCTACAGGATTCTTCTATTCCTGGAGGATTTGTCAGGCGTTGCCTTTCACCAGCCATCATCCAGGGAAGGGAAGGGGTTCATGCTGGCATCAGCTCCTTCCACGGGAAGCACCTGTCGGCCTGGCAGGAGGAGTACACTCCACTATTGAGCTTCTGCCTCCAAACTGTCCTCTGGGCCTTGCTCTTCTCCCCATCACCCTGCTTCCGGGTCTTGCCCCATTGAGAGCTTTATGCAGGCTAAATGTTGGTTTGAAAAATAGGATTCTGATGAAAGATTATTGTCTGCCTCCTTACTTGGGCTTTTGAGATGGAGCCTGTTATTATTTGATTTCGTTCAGGGACACCTTCAAAAGAAGGTGGGGGGGGGTGGGGGAAGCCAATTTATCACTGAGAGTGATACAGTCAGAGAGGCAGGTTTCATTTGAGGCTTTGTTTAAAACTTGGCAGAATGCTTTGAAACGTTTTCACCAGCAGGCGGTCAGCAGCATGATGCCCACTCATACTAAGCACAGCACCTATGTCAGAATACAGCAACAGCTGGCTTGAAACAAGTTCATGATGGGAAAATTAGGCCGGAGGAGTGGAAGGTAAATTAGTAGGTAATTATGCTCTTAACACAGGAAGAGTTTCTATAATGAATCCTTTAACCAGGCAATCCCTGGTGAGTTTTAAATAGAATTGTATTTTTTTTTCCAGGCTATGGTAAGAACTTAATAAGATGACCATGTTTAAACCAGATGCATTTTGGGGATGGCTTTCCTTCTGGAAACCACTATCTCCTTTCTGTCTCTGTGAATTGGCCTATTCTGGGCATCTCATAGAAATGGAATCACATGTGGCCTTTTGTGTCTGGCTTCTTTCACTTAGCATAATATTTTCAAGGTCAATCCATGTATCAGAACTTCATTCCTTTTTAGGGATGAATGATTATCTTCTGTCGTATGGATATACCAAGTTTTAATTATCCATTCCTCAGTTGATTGACATTTGGATTGTTTCCACTTTTTGGCTATTATGAATAACACTGCTATGAACATTTGTGTATAGATTTCTGTGTGGAAGTACATGTTCTCATTTCTCTTGGGTATATACCTAGGAGTGGTATATACCTGGGTCCTACGGTAACTTCATGTTTAACTTTTTGAGAAACTGTCAGATTGGTTTCCATGCAGCTGTAGCATTGTACATTCCCACAAACAATGTCTGAGGGTTCCAGCTTCTCTACATCCTTGCGAACACTCATCGTCTGTCTTTTTGTTTCAGTCATCCTAGAGACTGTGAAGTGGTATCTCCTTGTAGTTTTGATTTTTATTTACTTAATGCACACCTGGAATTTAAACTCAAGCCTCAATTCCCAAGTCCCTGCTTTACCCACAATGCCAAAAAACAAGAGGAGCAATGATGTGGGGAAAGGGAATCTTCTACCATTCCCTCCTACTGTGTCTAGGGAGAGAGGGATTTGTTCAGATTCACTGTATGAAAACTCTATTGGACATAATGACAGTATGGGACAGTGTGTTATAGATGATACAAAAAGCTCAGGCCACAGCTTTTTGGGAAGTCTGTTTTTTAAATAGACTTTAAAAGATGAGGGCAGAGAGGATGACATGGAAATGTGGAACCAGTTCATTTAAGACACAATAGTAAAAAACAAAACAAAATCCATCATAGGGCTGGGCGTGGTGGCTCACGCCTGTAATCCCAGCACTTTGGGAGGCCGAGGCGGGCAGATCACGAGGTCAGGAGATCAAGACCATCCTGGCTAACATGGTGAAACCCCGTCTCTACTAAAAATACAAAATAATTAGCTGGGCATAGTAGCGGGCGCCTGTAGTCCCAGCTACTTGGGAGGGTGAGGCAGGAGAATGGCGTGAACCCAGGAGGCGGAGCTTGCAGTGAGCCAAGATCACGCCACTGCACTCCAGCCTGGGCGAGAGCGAGACTCTGCCTCAAAAAAAAAAAAACAAAAAACCATCATAGTACCAGATAGATGATAGACATTCATATCGCCAACAGAGCCAACAAGACAGTGATTTTCAGGGCACGTGCCTACCATTCCCTCCCTCCAGCCTTTTGGGGGAAGGCTCCCTGATGTAGGGCCACTATCCCTGCTTGAGTTGTGTCTAGTTCCTCAGGTTATGGGGGCAAAATCAGCACTGAGTACCACCACTCTCATGGCTGATAATTCCAGAGTAATGCATTTCATCATTATAGAAGTGAATTATGAGTCAATTCAAGTCTTTTTCAAAGGGCAAGTACCACGGTTTTTAACCTTTGAATCCTCAGTGCCTGGCATATAATAGGCTTCTATAAATGTTTGTTGAATTCATCCACCCATCTATCTATCCATCTAATCAACAAATATTTATTGAGCAACTACTTTGTGTCAGGCACTGTCATGGGCTTCAAGGACACAGTAGTGAATAAAACAACTAACATTTCCCTACCTGCATAACACTTACAATCTAGTGGATGAATGAACAAAGTCAACAAGTTTGTGTTTCAAACAATGAATTTGGAGGGAATTTGTAAGCTTTATATGCTACATAAAATAAGGGGTGATTGTCACAAAGAAGTAGCAACACCACTTATGTGGTGGCGTTGACTATGTGCTGTTCACTGTTCTAATACAATATAATAGCAATTTGATTCTCACCATAACCCTGGAGCAGGACGAGCCACAGACAAAACCTCTCAGACACTGAGTTGTAGAAGGAAGGGCTTTATTCAGCTGGGAGCATCGGCAAGCTACTGCCTCAAAATCCGAGCTCCCTGAATGCACAATTTCTGTCCCTTTTAAGGGCTCACAACACTAAAGATTTCACATGAAAGGGTCGTGATTGATTTGAGTAAGCAGGCGGTATGTGACAGGGGCTGCATGCACAGGTGGTCAGACAGAAACAGAACAGGGCAGGGAGTTTCATAATGTTCTTCTATACAATGTCTGGAATCTATGAATAACATCGGTTTCTAAGTTATGAGTTGATTTTTAACTACTGGCTTTAGGCCAGGCAGGCCCAAGCCAGGTTTCGGGCCTGGCGCCGGGCTGCCTGTCTTTGGTTTTACTTCCTTGTTGTTTTTTCTTAAAACAGGTACTGAGTATAAAACAATATAAGACAATATGAGAGGGTCTGTCTCTCTTCTGTCAACCCTATTAGGTGGGAGTTATTATTATTATCTCTGTTTTGTAGATGAGAAAACTGAGGCACAGAGAGGTTAAGTAACTTGTCCAGAATCACACAGCTAGCAGGTGGTAAAGCCAGAATCTGAACCCAGGCAAGCGGCCGCAATGCTTATGATCTTGACTGCGATGCTATGGTCCTTCTAAATGTACAGCGGATATGAATTTGGCATGAGTTGGATTTTGTGCTCTGAGATCTGGCTGCCACAGCTTTTATTCATTGGGTCCATTCTTCTTGGTGCATGCCTGAGAAATTTGGGTTGGCCACAAGCTAGCCAGCCCATTACAGTGGATACAAGAACAGTTTTTCAGGACCCACTCTGTCATCTGTCTGTCCCCATAGGGCTGTCCTCAGTCTGGGTGGCTCATGACCTCATGCCCTTGAAGCTGGCCTTCCCGGAGTACATTCCTTCTATCCCTCTTGATGCCTTTCTCCTAGGTAACTGTGTGGGAATCTGCACCCACCCCTGGCAGCCCCTGAGCAACCTCTTGGCTGTGGCAAGGGCTTGACAGTCAGGAACCTGGCTCCCCAAGCTCAGAGCCACTGCTTCCCATGTGTTTTAATTTCAGGTCTTTATAATAGAGGTTGCCCCTTCAACGATTAGGAGAGACACAAGATAGAAATAAAGGTTTTATTACTTACAGGTCTTGGGAAGTTCACGGCATGCCTAGAGCCCCTCCTCCACAACAGAGAGGGAATGATCAGGGGGTGCACAAAGAAAGAGAAAGTGGGGGGCCCCCTATGCATCAGGGCTTTTATTGAAGCCCAGGGCATTATCCATGCACATTTCCCATAGGGAATTTTAATTGGTGGGTTTAAATGCAAAAGAGCAAGCAGGCATGAGTTCCAGGAGGTCATGCTGTGACTGAGAGGGGGTCACTGTGGCATATCTGCAGTCTGTGTAGGGGGTGAAAGTTAGCGGGCTGAATAGGTTGTCTCTAGCTGTCCCGTGGGGAGGTGAGCACCAGGGAGCAGCTGTGTATGACATTGAAGGACGGCGGGGAGGTGTAGCAGGAGAGACTGTGTCAAGGATAACTGAGCCCTGCTTCTGGTGTGAGAAAAGTAAGCTTATATTTAAAATGGATGCCGAGGGTGGGTCACTTGAGGTCAGGAGTTCGAGACCAGCCTGGGCAACATGGTGAAACCCTGTGTCTACTAAAAATACAAAAATTAGCCAGGCATGGTGACGGGCACCTGTAATCCCAGCTACTCGGGAGGCTGAGGCAGGAGAATCACTTGAACCCAGGAAATGGAGGTTGCAGTGAGCCAAGATTGCACCACTGCACTCTAGCCTGGGTGACAGAGCGAGACTCCATCTCAACAAACAAACAAACAAACAAAAACAAAACCAACAACAAAAACCAAAATGGATCCTGAGGCAGCATAAATTATAAGAATTCACTACATTGTGCCCAGCCCCGTCAGCATCCCCATTGTGGGGCAGAGAGGGAGGTAGGCAGTGAGTGACTGGGGTTTGGTCACATTTACCCCCTGACCCTGGTGAGCTGTGAATTTCTTTGCAAAGGGCAGACCACCCAAGGCTGGTCTCAGTATCTTTGGCTCAGAAGCTGGAAGTACCCCCAAGCAGAAACCAGGAGCGAGGCCTCAGGAGCTGGAGAAATGCACCAAGGACCCTCAGAAATCCAAGAACCTAGGCTGCTAGAATGTTCTGCTAATCAGAAAGCTGGTAAGACTTGGTGTGCCTCACTCACGGCTCTACCCAACCTACTGCTTAGACCGGGGCCATGCACACAACAGGCCCTCTCAAAATACCTGCTGAATGAAAAGGCTGAAAAGTAGATCCTATCTAGTCCAATCTTCTTCTTTTCCAGGAAGGAGAAACTGAAATCTAGCAAGGAGAAGTGACTCGGCTAAGCTAGCATTTGTAGACAATAAATAGGAGAACCAGAGAACCAGGCCAGGCCACCGCTGTGCGCTTTAAAAGCATGGTTCTTTCCATGGCACCAGGTGGTGGCCCCAGGCGGTGGAGGTCGGCGGGATGCCTCTCCTGCTGGCATCCATGTTCAAAGTCCCTGTCCCCACCCTTGATCTCCAGGAACATCTGCTGATTCGCAGCCTAAATGAATAGTGGGAAGGCAGAGAGGAGCCAGTTCACCTTTGCGGTTAGAAGGGCTTTCATGAGAGGAGGGGAAAGAAGAGTGGAAAAGGGGGAATAACAGCAGCAGTAATAGTAACAGCTATGATATTTTTGGGGACCTACTTCTAGCCAAGTCCTGCAAATAAACAAAGCAAATAAGGGGAACTTTCTTTTTCTTTCTTTCTTTTTTTTTTTAGACAGTCTTGCTCTGTCACCCAGGCTACAGTGCAGTGGCGTGATCTCAGCTCACTGCAACCTCCACCTCCAGGGTTCAAGCAATTCTCCTGCCTCAGCCTCCCAAGTAGCTGGGATTACAGGCACCTGCCACCAGGCACGGCTAATTTTTTTTGTATTTTTAGTAGAGATGGGGTTTCACCGTGTTGGCCACGATGGTCTCGATCTCCTGACATCAAGTGATCTGCCCACCTCGGCCTCCCAAAGTACTAGGATTACAGGTGTGAGCCACCATGCCTGGCCTGGAAACTTTCTAAATAGATTTTTAAAAAATATATAAGTGGGTCCAGGAACCCCAGACATGACCTCAGCTGTCTAGTGCTCTGCGTAGCAGTGGCTAGCAAAGCTCCCACTGCCTGAATCATGGGCTGTCCATGGTCCTGGGGCACACAGCCACAGCACAAGCTGGTGGCCCTGGAAAGCCTCCCGTGAAAGGGAGCACCTGACCTGTACAGCCACACCACATGCAACTAAGTAGCTTCCTCTCATACTCCAAACCAGGTGGATAAGTGAGAGCTACCTCCCAGCACTGTAAACCACCCATGGGAACCTCCCACCAACTCACCTCCATGACACCCAGGGTTAAAGCTGATAAGGTCTCTGTCAGCCTGGTCTTTGAATGATTTAGAGGAGGAGAGTGCCCCGGTCTATAGTTAATTGAAATGTGATGAAAGGGTCTCCTTAGCATGGCACACAGCAGACATTCAGCACATGGGAGTTCCCTTTCTGCCCCTACTCCCCAAACCAAAGTCTACTTCCAAGAAAGATGATGGCCTTGCATCTTCTTCTCCCAGGGAATTAGCAATTTAATTGAAGAGTCTTAGAAATCATAGCCCAAAGCCTCAAAGAAATGCATTTCAAAGATAATTAGGGAATATAATAAAAACCACTGAATGGTACACTTAAGAAAAATTGAAATGTCTTGACATTTTTCTGCTGATATATGAAAGAATCTGAATAAAAGTTTTCCCCAGTTTGCTAACAATTCTTGTTGCTGGAAAGGGGTCTTGATCCAGACTCCAAAAGAGGGTTCTTGGATATCGCACAAGAAAGAACTTGGGGCGAGTCCATAGAGTAAAATGAAAGCAAATTTATTGAGTAAGTAAAGAAACAAAAGAGTGGCTACTCCATTGGCAGAGCAGCCCCAAGGGCTGCTGGTTGGCTATTTTTGTGGTTATTTCATGGTCATATGCTAAACAAGGGGTGGATTATTCATGAGTTTTCCAGGAAAGGGGCAGGCAATTCATGGAACTGAGGGTCCTTTTTTAGATCATATAGGCTAACTTCCCGATGTTGCCAAGGCATTTGTAAACTGTCATGGCGCTGGTGGGAGTGTCTTTTGGCATGCTAATGCATTATAATTAGTGTATAACGAGCAGTAAGGACAACCAGAGGTCATTTTCCTAATCATCTTGGAGATGGTTTTGGGTGACTTCTTTACCGTATCCTGTTTTGTTAGCAGAGTGTTTATGAACTATCTTGTGCTGACCTCCTATGTCATTCTGTGGCTAAGAATGCCTAATCTCTGGGGATTGCAACCCAGCAGGTCTCAGCCTCATTTTCACAGCCCCTATTCTAGATGGAGTCACTCTGGTTCAGATGCTTCTGACATTCTGAAGGTGTGGATGATAATACTGATAATAAATTGTGAAGCTGAAAGGAACTTCTCTAAACTATCAATGATAAAAAAAAAAAACCCCACCAAAATTTGACTAAAAAAAGGTAATTAGGAGAGATGCTTAGGGACAGACAAGCTTTCAGAAGGGAGGGCCCTCAAGACTCCAGAAATGGAAGAGCTTCACTTACTTCAAAGTGACAAGAGCTTTCTGAGTTAGCCACCTTTTCTGGAGAAGGGCAAACTTGGGATGAGGCAGGTGTATTAGTTCATTCTCACACTGCTATAAAGAACTATCTGAGACTGGGTAATTTAAAAAGAAAAGTGGTTTAGTTGACTCACAGTTCCACAGGCTGTACAGGAGGCATGGCTGGGGAGGCCTCAGGAAACATACAATCATAGCAGAAGGGCAAAGGGGAAGCAAGCATGTATTCACATGGCAGTAGAAGAGAGAGAGTGAAGGGGGATGTGCTACACACTTTTAAACAACCAGATCTTGTGAGAACTCACTCACTATCATGAGAACAGCATGGTGGAAATCCAATCTTATGATCCAGTCACCTCCCTCCAGGTCCCTCCTGCAACATGTAGGGATTACAATTCGACATGAGATTTGGGTGGGGACACAGAGCCAAACTATATCAGCAGGGTGTTAGAGAAGATGTACCATCCAGCCAGGATGGATGTAAAGGCAGGTTCAGTTGCTGTATCTTTTTTCAGAAGAAGGTGGGCTGTCCTCCGCTTCTCTCTGTGGCAGGGCAGGGCTGGACTCTTGTACAGGGAGATTGAGGTCCATGGAGATGCTTGAGAAGTGCCTGGACAGAATGCCCTGACCTGCCTTTGTCAGCCTCACGGAGGTCAGTTACATCCCTGTATGTGCCTGGCGTGAAGGCTGGGGACAGAGAGAAGGGAGCAGGGAGGCAGTTATTTGGGAGCTTGAGTTGTGGAGGGGCAGTGGTGACTTCTGGCACCAGGATAAAGGAATGGGGTCTGTTTCTATGGTAGAGTTTTGTTGTTTTGTTACTATCTTGACCAGGAAGAGGAGGAGGAGGAGGAGGAAGAGGAAGAGAGCAATGATAATTTCCCTTAGTGAATGCCCACTAGATGGAGTGAGAAGAAACTCTGGAATGCTTGAGATGAACACTTTTATCACTGGTGGGATGGGGACTTGGAGTAAATTAAATTTGATTTTAGAAAAGTGCTGTGATGTTTCCTTGTGTTGGGGTAAAACTGACATCACTACAGATACATCTACCAGCATATTTAAGTATAATACAATCATACTGTATCTATACCCTTAAAAAAATGATATAGCCAAAACCCTTTTATCTGATGCTGTCACTGCTGGTTAATTTTAAAGAGCAGGTTAAGAGAGTAGTTATAAAAATTATATATGCATACTTTAAACATTTTATTCTAATTTATGATATATAAACACATATTATTCTGACTTTTTTTCTACTTTTTATTATGGAAAATATTAAACATATACAAAAATTAGGCAGAATAGTATAATAAACCCTCATGGGCCCATCATTCAGCTTCAAAAATTACCAAATCACAGCCAAGTTTGTTTCATCTGTATCTGCCCTCCCACTGTTATCACTTTTATTTTTGAGGTGGTGTTCCACTCTTGTCACCCAGGCTAGAGGGCAGTGGTGTGATCTTGGCTCACTGCAACCTCCGCTTCCCAGGTTCAAGCGATTCTCCTGCCTCAGCCTCCCAAATAGCAGGGATTACAGGTGTGCACCACCACGCCCAGCTAATTTTGTATTTTTTTAGTAAAGATGGGGTTTCACCATGTTGGTCAGGCTGGTCTTGAACTCCTGACCTCAAGTGATCCCACCTTGGCCTCTCAAAGTGCTGGGATTACAGGTGTGAGCCACCTCACCTGGCCTGCATTATTACTTTGAAGCCAATCTCAGATGTAATTTTACTCATTCCCTAATATTTCAGCCTGCATCTCTAAAAGGTAAAAATTCAAACAAATGAACGTAATAACAATATTATTGCACCTACAAAATCCATCTTTAAGCTCATAGGTATCTGTGGATGAACTTTTAATGTGATATTAAGGCTCTTCTTTTATGAGGATGCATCAGCTAATTGGAGTCCCATATTACTGTCAGTCAAAACCATACCTGTAATGAGTAATGCGTAATCTACAATTTGTGGTTTACGTTTCTTTCCCGAAGTTGGAATGAGAATTTAAAGATATTTTGCAAGATATCTGAGAGTAGAAACCTCCCCAGATCACTCCTGCCTGCCGTCTTTCACAGTCACCTCACATCTATTTTAACATCATTTTGGTTTTTGGTAAAAACTCACTTATGTTGAGTATTTTCAAAGCATTTCCCTTAGCTTTCAGAGAACTGACTCTTATTTTGTACTCATGCTCAATTAGTTCTTTCGTAGTATTTAGTTATGAATAAAAAATAACAAATGCAACTTGAGTAACCAGGCCTGGCGACAAACACAATTGCTCCTGCTAAGCCCCCTACTCAACTTGTAGGAGAAGGGTCCTGGAATGCCAGAGAGTAGGCCATGTTCATCACGTGGTGTATTTTCTGTAGGGACTAAGCATCACACGATGTGGTAAGTCTGTTAAGTGAAGACCCATTAAGTGAGCATCTTCTGGGTATTTTGGAGATCTTTCTGTTAGGACAAATGGATCCACATTATTCTCTTAACAGACTGTACCACGTCCATTATATAGACATATGTTTCTTACTGGTAGATATACAAATTGTTCCTAGTTTTTGTCTGTCTACTTTGCTTTTTTGCTAATATATACAATGCATCAATGAGCTTTCTTATTCATATGACTTAGTGTACTTTAACCAGTATAGGACACATTTATTAGTGTGGAATTGTTGGGTTAAACAAAAGATACATGTATTTAAAATTATTATTGATATTACCAAATCGTTCTCCAAAAGTGTTACACTAATGTATACTCCCACCAACAGTATTTGAAGGTGTGTATGGTACACACACTTATCAACTCTTACCAAACGTTTTCATCATTACCAGTCTGATAAATAAAAAGTGGCATCTTCCTGTTGCTTTTATTTTAATGTGCTTAATTATTACAAACTTTAGGATTTTTCATTTGCTTAATGAGTATCTGCATTTTCTGTTCTATGAACTGTGAGTTCATAGCCTCTGCTCTGCTTGTCTTTTTGAATAGATTTCTGGAACTCTTTTTAATTTAGCAATATTTGCCCTCTGCCTTTCTACGTGTGACATGCATGAACGATGCGGCTGAGATGGCTAACTGCTCATCAGAAATGTGTGCTCTGCATTCTGGTGTGTAGAATTGTCCCTGGGAAGAAGCATCTAGCGAGGGACTACATTTCTCAGCCCTGTTTAGGGTAGATATGGCTATGTGAATGAGTTCTAGCCAAGGGACTGTGCGTACAGATGACATATGCTACTGCCAAGCCTAGCCCATGGGAACTTCCCACCAACTCGCCTCCATGACACCCGGGGTTAGAGCTGGTAAGACCTGTCAGCCTGGTCTTTGAATGATTTAGAGGAGAGGGTTCCCTTTTCTGTGGTTAACTGAAACCACTTGACTTGAACCATCATACACTTTAGGTCTTTTTTTTTTTTAAATATAATAGTAGTTCCCCTATCCTAACTAGTACACAAAATACCCAAGAAGTAGTCTATTTAACTTATATGCTAAATATGTTTAGTATTCGTTTTTTGACCTTTTACATGCTATTTTTCTAAACCTACAGACTTACACAACTTTACATGGTCAATATTTTTAATGACTTTTGGGTTTTGTGTTATGCATACAGAGACTCTCTCTAGCCTAAGATTATTTTTAAAGTCATCTGTGTATCTTTCTGGAACTTTTAAGGTGTACGTTTTACGTTTAAATTTTTGCTTCATCTGTAATTTTGTTTTAGTATAAGGTGTGAAATGGGTTTCCAGCTTAGTTCTTTCCCAACCCCAATGGTTAAGCAGTTTTCCCATTTTATTTATTGAGTAATTTATTTATTGCTGATTTGAATTATACCTTTATGGTATACCCAATTCCAATATGCATTTGGGTTTATATCTGGACTCTCTCTTGTAAATCTGTCTGTGCCAAATTGCACTTTACCGAATTGTTTTGTTGTAGATTTACAATAAATACATTTAAATATCTGATGAGGAAGTCCATCTGCCCACTTTCATTTTTCTCCATCATTTTTCCTAGCTATTCTCATATATTTGCTTTTCCAGATAAACTTTAGAATAAGTTTGTATAGCCAAAAGAAATTATGCTGATACTTTAACAAGGATTGCTTTGAATAAGGAAAACCAAAATTTCTACAACACTGAAATTTTGTATTCAAGAATATGTCTTTTATTCAAGTGTGATTAAAATTCCTAAGTGGCAGTTTAAAGTTTTTTTTTTTTTTTTTTTTTTTTATAGAGATCCTGCACAGTTCTTGTGAAATTTATTCTTGGATGTGTTTTTCTTTTTCTTCATATTATAAATGGTACTTTTTCTTCCAGTATATTCTCTTAACTGGTGGTTGTTTATATAAGAAGAAGCCACCAAAGTCAATTATCTTTTTGTTTCTAAAGTTTTTTAGTTGATTTAGATATATAATCATATCATTTGTAAATCATATTAAATTTGCTTCCTCCTTTCTAATACATTTACCTCTTATTTTTCTCCTTATCTAATTGCATTGGCTTGCACTTCCAGAACAATGTTGCATGATAATGGTGGTGGTGCCTTCCTGTTCCTAAAGACCATTAGAGGAGTCCTAAGTCATCTGTTGCCTGCCATCAAACCCTCTCAGCGGAAGGAGGGGGAGTTTGCTATGAGAAGCCTCTTAGGAGAGCCAGTAACCCTCTTTAGAAGGTTCCTCCCTGGCCCTTCTCTTTACAATAGTGACTCTGGCCACCCCACACTTCCTGAGCCTCACCTGCTTATCTCCTGCCCATAACTCTATGCTATGTCATGCTATTCATTCACTGTCTGTTTCCCCGACTAGAATGTAAGCTCTTCCAGGGCAGGGATGTGGCCTTTTGTTCACTGCAGCTTCCCTCTAGCTTAGGGCCCTGCCTATCACACAGGAAACAAACACAGGAATCAAGATGTGTTCTAGGAGGTGACACAATCACAGATATCCTTAGGTGACCTCCTACAACGCATGTTCTTTCTGATAACCGCCTCATATTTTCACAGCACTTCCTGTTAACAAAGCCGTTTCATATACACTGTCTTGCTTTCCCTTCTTCATAAAAGCCCTGCAAAGATTTCCTTTTTCATTGTCATTTCACAGATATGGAAAAGGCGGTTCAGAGAGGTTCAGCAACTGGCTCAAGATTGCCCAGCTAATAAATGCAGAGCAGGATGATGTCGTAGTCTTCTGGTTCTTTCTGTTGGGCTGTGCTGCTTTTCACTGACCACCCTTAAGATCTTCCATCTTGATAATAAAATGTGACTTTTTTAGTTGCTAGCTGAAGGGGAAGAGGAGAGTGAATGGGAGAATTTCATCCCCCTGAAGATGCGATTGATTTTGCCCCTGCCAGCAAAGAGTAGGACAGTGGGAAGGTGGGGCAGGGTTGGGGGTGGGGAGGGTAGCAGTGTGGGAGGAGCAGAATGTACAGTGGCCAGGGTGTTTCTCAGCTCTTTATCCAGATCCACAGGCCTTGGCTGTTGCTTCTTGGAACTGCTGGGAACAGTCACTCAACTTTGGTTTAGAGGCGGAGGCTAGATCTCTTGGTTGGTGACCCTGTGGAGGGTGACTCAGAGCCCTGGGGCCTTGGCCACTGGCTACTTGGTAGCCCTCCCTGAACACATCACTCCTTTCCAGCCACTTCGGGATGGCCCAAAGCACAGACCAAGAACACCCAGTCCTCAACCTCAGGGGTTCAGTTCTGAAGGGAGAGAAATAATTTAGTACCTACTGTGGTGCCAAGCCTGGTGCTTGGCCCCCTCACATGCATTCATTATTTCCTTTAATCTGCACTAGGACTCAAGAGTTAGAGATAATGACATCCATGAATTGACTCTCAGCAAGGTGGAGGGTCACAAGGTCCAACCACCACCAGTGTCACAGCTAGAATTCCAGCCCTGGGGACCCCCAGGCTAAAGCTTCTTCCACAGTGCCTAGAAGGTGACTTGGAGGAGGTGCTGTGAATGGCCCCTGGGGAAGGCAGGGAGGCCGGAGACCGCAGGCTCCAAGAGGGATGGGTAAACAGTTTGGCCTGGTGGTAAGGAGAGATGAGAGGGATTAAGCATAGGCTTTGCATTAAAAGGTAACTTCTGAGTCAGCAACACTGAAGGTCTTGTGTCCCTGAAGGCTGACCTTGGCGAAATAGTGATGTCAGTAACGTTTAGCTAGTGTTTCACCCCCTCCCAGAGCCCAGACTGAATTCTGATCCTGTTAGGCTTTGTATTCAGCTACAGGTCCACTCTTTGCTCCTTATCCCTTCTCTTATTCTCCCCTCACACCATGTCAGGTTCCCCCTCCTGTGTCTCTGTGATTATTGATGCTATGTAAGGGGTTCTCAGAGACCCCCAAAGCCTTCCTGGCTGTCTGCAGAGGAGTCATTAATGGGGAAATTCTGGTAGGAGGATCTCCCAGCACCCCTTATTGGCTCTATCTACTCCTGAGCCTACACTGGTGGTCCACAGGTTCAGGAAGACAGAGAGGCCTGTGGTGGCTTTTCCCATCCCTGGCCCTGGTACAAGGCCTTCCACTGTCATTGACTCCCCTCTAAACAAGCAAAGTAGAGCAGCAGCCCCATATGACAGCCTGCACTGGGCGACTCGATTTCACTATCGGAATGGAAAATCTTCAGGGGCTGGCCCCCACTCACCCACATCTCCATTAGTAGCTCCTTAAAATGCAATCCAATATCCTGGTGAATATCACTTTGAAACCAAATCTGGTGTCCCTCGCTTTGCCTTAATCCCTGTAAACCTCCTGCCGTGGCTCAAAGCTGACCCAGCACTGGCCTCCTGCGGCCAGACCCTAAAATGACTTGGCTTGGGTGGTAGGGGGAAAATGAACATGGCAGCTCATACTTACAGGCTGGACAAAAATGGACTAAATCTGAGGACACTGCCCTTTAGGAATCTGAGTTCCCTTCAACTGTAGGTGACAAGCAATCCACAAATAGGTACACCCTCAGCAAGCAAGAGCAATTCTTAGTCAAGAATAATACTGACATGGAAGGAGGGGCTGCCGAGTTGGAAGACGGGGTTATAAATTGCGTAACAAGATTGAGGAAGCCAGATCCCCTCAAACTTTCCCAAGGCCAAGCACATCATTAACTCCCTAATCCCAGCTGGTTTTATCCCAGCTCTTTCATCTGTGCCCAAAGAACAAGAGTGCCAGGTTGGCATGGCAGGGACCTATCAGATGGTCTCATCAAGGCAGCATGTAGCGCACTTGCACACATACACACACACACACACACACTCACGCACATGCACACACCCCCTGCCTCTCACTTCCGCAGTCAGCGCTCTTTTACTTCTAAGAGAAATTGACAACCTGAGAGGCTCAACGAGCTCAGCTAGCTCCATGAAGTTCCTCCAAAAGAGCAGGGTTCCAAAGATCTGGACACAGCGTCCCCAGTGACCTTCACAAATACTTAGCTCACTTCTGTTACCACCTTACACTCTGCCTAAGAATGTGAAATAGTGCTCTCTTCAGTCACCCCAACCTTCTGTCTGCTATTCAAGATCACTCTCCGGGTCTCCATTGCTTGGCAATTTCCCTCCTCTCCTTTACGTGTTTGTGTGCCGTCCCTCCCTCCCTCTCCCATTCTCTCATGCCCTCATTCTCTCTCTCTCCCTGACTGTCTTCCTCCCTCTCCCCTCTGTCCATCTCTCTCTACCTCTCTTTCTCCCCCTCCCTCATTCTGTCTCCCTGTCCTCCCTTCCCCACCTCTCCTCCCTCCTCCTCTCATATTTCTGCCCCTCTTTCTCTCCCCCAAGTCTCTCTTTCTCTTCTCTGTCTCTCCCTGTCCCTCTCCCCTCTCTCTTTCTGTCTCTCCCTCTGTCTCTCTCTCCCTGTCCCTCTCTCTCCCTATTGCTCTCTCCTCTCTCTTTCTGTTTCTCCCTGTGTCTCTCTCTTTCTCTGTCTCCCTGTTACTCTCTTTCTCCCTGTCTCTGCCAGTCTCCCTGTCTCCCCCTCATTCTCTCTGTCTCTCTGTTCCCCCTCTGTCCCCACTGCTCTTCGTATTTCTTCCCCCTTTTTCTTTCTCTCCCCTAGTCTGTCTCTCTTTTCTCTCTCTTCCTTTCTCTCTCCCTTCTCTCATTCTCTCCTCCCCTTCCTGTCTCATTCTTTCCCTCTTTCTCTCTCCCCCTCCCTCTCTCATTCTCCCCCTTCCTCTCTTCCCCTCCGTCTCTCATTCTTTCCCTCCCTTTCTTCCCCTTCCTCTCTCATTCTCTCCCTCCCTGTCTTCCCCTTCCTCTCTCATTCTCTCCCTCCCTCTCTCTCCCTTTCCTCTCTCATTCTCTCCCTCCCTCCCCCTTCCTCTCTCATTCTCTCCCTCTTTCTCTCTCCCCCTCCCTCTCTCATTCTCCCCCTTCCTCTCTTCCCCTCCCTCTCTCATTCTTTCCCTCCCTCTCTTCCCCTTCCTCTCTCATTCTCTCCCTCCCTCTCTCCCCCTTTCCTCTCTCATTCTCTCCCTCCCTCCCCCTTCCTCTCTCATTCTCTCCCTCCCCCTTCCTCTCTCATTCTCTCCCTCCCTCCGCCTTCCTCTCTCATTCTCTCCCTCCCTCTCTTCCTTTCCCTCTCTCATTCTCTCCCTCCCTGATTCTCTCCCTCCCTTTCCCCCTCCCTCTCTCATTTTCTCTTTCTCTCTCTCCTTTGCCTCTTTCTCTGTCTCTCTCATTGTCTTCTGCCTTCTATCCCCTCTTCTCAAGAAAGACCATTCTATATGTTTGTCTCATGCCTGTACAACATGACTCATCCCTCCAGGCTAAGCCCAGTTTGGTTTTTACTTTTTCCTGAGATCCCTTATGCCCAGACCTTTCTCTCAGAGTGCCAGAGGCATTTAAAAGATGACAATACCCTCCTTTTTTCCTGCTGTCATTTCTTTCTTTCTTTTCTTTTTCTTTTTGTCTTTTCTTTTCTTTTTTTTTTCTTTTTTAAGACAGTTTCGCTCTGTTGCCAGGCTGGAGTAGAGTGGCACGATCTCGGCTCACTGCAAACTCTGCCTCCTGGGTTCAAGCAATTCTCGAGCGTCAGCCTCCCGAGTAGCTGGGATTACAGGTGCGCCATCACGCCTGGCTAATTTTTGTATTTTTAGTAGAGTTAGGGTTTCACCATGTTGGCCAGGCTGGTCTCGAACTCTTGACCTCAAGTCATCCACCAGCCTTGGCTTCCCAAATTGCTAGGATTACAGGCATGAGCCACTGTGCCAGGCCTGTTGTTTCTTTAGTGCTTTGTTTTGTGGGCACTGATTCTTTCTCCCTAATGAGATTATAAACTCCATGAGGACATGTGTTTTTCTCTGTTATCCCCTGGGGTACCCACACCAGACTTGGCCATATGTAGGCCCTCAAGAAATACTGAATACTTAATTGAAGATTTTGGTTTCCTATTTCAAAAAATAACTCCTCATTGCTTAAAAAAAGCTAAAGAAAGTGAAGCAGAAGAATGTAATCAGGAAGCATTTGGATATTTTTCGCAAGATGTTCTAAGAGTGCTGCGTGTGTGTGTGTGTGTGTGTGTGTGTGTGTGTGTTGTGTGCATGGATATGCTTGCTCTCATAGGTATACATGTTACTTTGAATCCAAGACAAGATTAGGCTTATTAAGATGTTTGCTGACCACCTGCATATGGGTGCATCCACAGAATCCTTACACTGTCCTCATTTGAGATACTTTTTTTCCTTCGCACATTGTAACAAATCCACAGTCGTGTCAGGGAGCTGAGGCTGGAATGCCTAATGAGCTGTGGATGAAGAAATGATGTGATAGTATCTTCCAGATTGTAATTAACATGAGGGCCCTATAGTGCCCTATTAAAGCTGCATCTTCTTGCTGACACGTAATTCCCCAAAATAATCACTTGTCTTTCAACATCTTGATGAAAGGACTAATTGTGGAGAGCTTCTGCCTGGAAAGGCCACCCGGAGCAATTTGGGGACAATTACATGGGAACTGGTAGCTGCTGGGCACAATTACCTGGACTTGAATACGTGGTGAGTGAGATGGAGCGTGGGGAATGAGGCTTTGGCCAGGCATTCAGACAGCACCTGCCCAGGGCTGCCAGCTTCCTGGTGGAGTTTTTGCAGAACTAACATGTTGCTCTGGAGAAGAAGAATAAAGTTCTTATCAGGAATACTTGAAAGACTGGCAGAGTGTGGTGGCTCACACATGTAAGTTCAACACTTTGGGAGGCCAAAGCGGGCGGATCACTTGAGGTCAGGAGTTCGAGACCAGCCTGGCCAACATGGTGAAACCCTGTCTCTAGAAAAAATACAAAAAAATTTAGCAGGGTGTGGTGGCGCACACCTGTAATCCCAGCTACTTGGATGGCTGAGGCACGAGAATCACTCAAACCTGGGAGATGGAGGTTGCAGTGAGCCAAGGTCATGCCATTGCACTCCAGCCTGGGTGATGGAGTTAGACTCTGTCTCAAAAAAAAGAGAAATATTTAAACCATTTTTTCATAAATCATGCTAGTCATGATTAACTATAGAAAAGATAGAAAGTATAGGTAAACAATAAAACCACTACTAACATCTTGGTTAGTACAGTCACTATGATCACCACCACCACCACTATCATCATCATCAATCTTCAAAATTGCTACCATTTAGCTTATACCCGATTCCATGTACTTTGCTAGGCACCTTAAATATGTTACCTCTAGATCTAACACAATTTTGCAAGGTAGGTAACTATGGGCCCATTTTAGAGATGAGAAAACTGAGACTCAGAACTGTCCCAGCTCACCCAAAGCAATAGACATCAGAGATGGGGTTTCCATGCGGGTCTGTGTGTCTGAAGTTGGTGTACCTGCTACCATTCTTGTCTCTCCTCATCTTTAAGATGGAACAATGACCCTTACTCTCCTAGCTACCATGTAAGGCTGTTGTGAGAGTTGGATAAGATGCTGGATGCAAAAGCACTTTGCAGACTGCAAAGTCCTGTACAGATGCAAGGCTTGTAGGCAGTCCCTGGCATCCAGCCAGATACTGTACCCAGCTGCCACATAAGTGAGCAATATGGTATTTAATTGGGTCTCATTGAGACATGGAGCCTGGGAAGGTCTTTGCAGAGTCTGGGTAAAAGGAAGGAAGTGAAATGAGCACAACTAGGCACATGAGTCTGGACATCATGAGTTGAGGGGCAAGAGAATGACTGGACCACGTGGCAGGATTGATGGAACAGAAATTGTACTGGGCAGTGGAAACCCCCTGACAGTTCCCATTGGCCACACCAAGTGAGCACTTAGTCAAAACCAAAAGTGTGCCCAGTATGCAAATGCAGCCTCAAAGCTAGTTCCTTAGCCCCTCTTCCAACTAGATGGTCAACTTCTTACATAAAAATTCTAGAACCACTGCAGGTGCTGGGGAACAAGAGGGGCATGAGTTTGAACATGAGGGGTGAGCACAGTTAAGTGTCTGAGTGTGAGAAATGGGCTAGGCAACTTGGAACGAGGCTCCCTCTGTTCCTGTAGTCTGCCTCTCTGCCTCTCTCAGCTTTCTGTCTGCTTCTGTGTCTTCGTTGGTGTCGCTGTCTTTCTCCACCTCTCCTTCATTCTGACTTTTGAATTTAGAAAATATGTGGAATTCTAATATTGGGCCCCATTGTGTTTGGGAGAGCATTGGAGTCAGGAACTGGTCCTCATATTTAAAGGCATAAGTAAGGAGGACCCAGCATCCTAAATGTCTTCCCCAAATGCCAGCCAACTTCCCTGCCAGGCTTGGACGCTGAGCTCCACTCCCATGTCGGAGGTCCTGATGGCAACCTGGGAAATTAATTGAAGTTCTGTTGGGCAACTCTCTGCCAGGGCAACTCTCCAGCCCCCTGTGGCTTCTGGATTTGTCTTGGAAGAGGACCAAACCAGGAGTGGAGTTTGACCAAAAATAGGTGGAATTGACTCATAAGAGCTAACTCAGGCAGTCATTATCATCCAAAAAAGAAAAGAGATGGTGGGTGGAGAGGGAAATTGGAGAGCATCAATGAAGATGGACTTTGCCAGGAAGAACTTGTAGCCACAACTTGGGAGGTGGCAATGGTGGCTACGTGCCACTGCACATATCTTCTCCCTGGGGCCAAGGCAGAAACAGAGCCTGAACTTGAGCTTCACATCCATACACTGTGAAGGTGAATCCAAAAATGAAGGTAGCTCCCAGGCCCCCCAGTGTGGGCCACCTGGATCTGTCCTGGCATGCAGAAATAACCAGGCCTGGTGATATAATTGGGAACTCTTTATACCAACCAGGCATCTTGTACTTGGCTATGTGGCCCTGAGTCCAGTGAGCTGGGAGAAGTAGGGAGCCAATGATTGCTCATCTGTTCACTGTTGTGGTGGTGGCTTCCTTAAGAGAGGACACCAGATGGGCATGAACTTTCTTTCTCAGTGCTTTATTCTCTGTATGAAAGACTACATCTACCTTCCTTTTTGGAATGCTGCTAGGCTTAATAGAAAAAGGGGATGTTGACGCATGTTCTCACTCATAAGTGGGAGTTGAACAATGAGAACACATGGACACAGGGAGGGGAATATCACATACTGGGGCCTGTCAGGGGGTGGGGGGCTTGAGGAGGGAGAACATTAGGAGAAATACCTAATGTAGATGATGGGTTGATGGGTGTAGCAAACTACCATGGCAAGTGCATACCTATGTAACAAACCTGCACATTCTGCACATGTATCCCAGAACATAAAGTATAATAAAAAATAATTTTAAAAAACAGAAAAGAAAAAGGGAGTGTTGATGTGGTATTTGCACTGGGGAGGTTTTTAGAACTAAAGAGTGATGTAAGGAGGAAGAATAATGGATGGAGATTTTCTCAATGGAAAGTGATGAATGAATGTTTAGGAAAACAAGCCTTTGAGTTGCAGCAGAGGACAAATACTTGGATAACTTGAGATGAAAAAAATCACCTAGGACTAAAAAAATGTGCAAATGCATGGGATCTAATTGAAGTAAACACCAGGGATCTGCCAACCTATTAACTAGGTTAATAGATTAATCAGATTATCACTATTAACCACTATCAATTAGTAGATCTCAGTGATAATGCCACTGCTCCTGTATAGTCTTTGGGTCCACAGGGATTTCCAGGGAGGGGAACAAAGCCACTCAGTATCCCCTGCCTGTTCTACTATACATTGTCCCTCTACTCTGTCCTGCAATGCCACCAAGTTATTACAGGGAAATGAGGGAGACATTTTCTGTTCAAGGGTGGGACTTAGCCCCTGGAATGTGGAGGCCAAAGTCTTCATAGCATAACTTTCCACCTAAAGATGGAAAGGGTGACTTTGGGGGGGTGTTAAGAACCTTCTTAATACCCTACTTAGATGGGCTCACATGGAGGTGAACCTCAGAGATTTAGTAATGAAATAGCAGAATTCCCAGGGACTCAGCCATGGAGCCCTATCAAATCCTGGCATTCCTTGGTCCAGGGCTAACCCGGCTGATAGTCCTGTATTGGTGCTCTCACGGATCACTGCTCTGAACTAAGTTCTGAAGAGTCACTTCTTTGGGCCTCTGACCCAAGGAGTCACTCCTTTCTCACCCTGTTTCCTCTGTCCCTGGGTCTCAAATTCTACCTGCCTCTCATCTGTGGCCCATCTCACTTTCATGGAATGGAGCTCCTCTCCTCATGTCTCCCTTGTTTCAATCTGTCAAAATGCTTCATGAGGGTCTAGAAACCAAGTTTTCTGAAGGATGTTTGAAGAATGATGAGATATTCAGATTGAAGAAGAGGAGATACCAGGAGGAACCATTGCTGTCTTTAACCCACTGACGTGTGTGTAATGGGAAGTGTAATCAGATTGTGGGTGGCCCAATGTAGAATTAAGACCCATTGGAAGTTGGAGGGATTGGATTTCAGATCAGTATAAGGAGGTTAGCTGCTCCAATATTTAGGAGCTGAGCCACTACTCAGGCAGCTGATTTTTGAGGAATTTGTCATCATTACCATTATCATTTTCGGTCATCTGCATCATCATCACCATTCACTGAACAGTAGCTGGATACAGACCCCCTACTAAGCACTTTACATACATCATCTTGTCCACATAGCTTGTCACTTTATGTGCAGCGTCCTTTCTACTTACTGTTACTTCCTTTGCTCTCTCAGCCTCATCCTACCTATCTCTCAATGCCCCCTGGCATGTGGTCCTCAGGTGGCTTGGAGCTTGGGAAGAGGAATATTGACACAGCTGGGAAATCTGGGGAGAGGGCGATGGCATTAGGGAGGTGCCCACAGAACTGCATGTCTTAGAAAACCAAGTACTTGCTGGGTGCAAAGCCAAATTCACTCTCCTCTATCCGACAGCTAGGCAACTTAGTCCTTAGACTAAGAAGTAGATAAAATATAGCATTCTTTTTCTGAGTCCCCTGACCCCACATACCATGGGATATACCATCCCCACTGCCCTTTCCAGCATCCTCTACCTGACCCACACAGAGAGCTGCATATAGAAAGGAGCCATTCACAAGTTTATGTGAAATTTAAAGATTTTGATTTCTTCTTCCAGGAGAATTTTTTTCTACAAGGCTAATCTCTTATCATACAATGAAAGCCTTTGTTCCTCTATTATTAAACGAGTACGATGGTTCAGAGAGCAAGTGGGAGTGTTTTGGGGGATTTGTCAGGAAGGTTTATTTCCCTCCAACTATGCTATATGGGCAAGTGCCAGCATAAACAAGAATGGATGAGGGAATGGGGGGTTCTTGTTAATGGGCACATAGTTTCAGTTTGGGATAAATGCTTTGGTGACACTTAAACATTATGCACTTACTGCCATTGAATTGTGTGCTTAAATAAGGTTAAGATGGTAAAAAAAAAAGAGAAGAAAAGAAACTGGCTGAGCATAACATTTGGAGACATGGGGGCAGCTAGCAGAAGAAACAATGAAAAGAGTTAAAAGGATTGCTCCCTCTTGTACATTGCTTGGGGAGGTGCAAAATGGCACAATCCCAATGGGGAGCCCTCAGCAATAACCAGCCACAGTCACAGATGCTTGTGCCCTTTGACCAATGATCTCACTGCTGGGGATTCATTCTAAGGATGTGCCTGCACTTGTACAAGATGACGATGAACAAGGGGCCTCACTGTGGCAGTGTCAAGAGCAATACACGACTGGAATTGGAAACAGCCCAGGTGTCCGTTCAGAGGGAGCTGGTTAAATAAACTGTGATAGAGCTATGCAAAGGAATACAATGTAGCTCTCTCTCTCTCTCTCTCTCTCTCTCTCTGTGTGTGTGTGTGTGTGTGTGTGTGTGTGTGTGTGTGTGTATGAGAGAAAGAGATCCAGCAAGCTTCCTATATACTAATATGGAAAGTAGGATCTCTCCATAGTAAGATTTATTAATATAAAGTAAAAATAGCAAATAGCAGAATAGTGTGAATAGAATGCTACTTTTGTGTAAAAAATGGGGGGAAGCTGAATATATGTATTTGTAGAAAGAAACACTGGTGCATATGTAGGACCTAAGGAAAGTGTTACCTTCAAGGGCAGCTGTGGAGGAGGGGAGAAGGTGGATAGAGACGGGGTGGGAGCTAGGCTTTCATCATGTACTTGTATATCATTTTTATTTTTAATTATATGAATTAATACATTACCTAGTCAGATTTTTCTCAGACAAAAAAAGGAATGAATAGAGCAGCCTGTTGCAAATTCTAAAACACTATGCAGCTATAAGGAGTTAATAATGAGAAAATGATAATACTCTTAATAATAATAATAATTACCATTGAGGGTAATAATACTCTCAATACTCTCATTTGTGAAATATTTACTATTTATCAGGTGCAATGCTAAATATTTTATGTCTGTTATCTTCTTTGATCCTTACACAACCTATGGATAGAATGATTTTCAGTACTATAGATGGGGAACCTGGCAATCGGAGTAGTTAACCAAATTGTTTAAGGTCATATTTCTAGAAAGGTGCAGAGCTGCCTTTTGAACCTAGATCCTCCACTGCCAAGACGTGGCTGTTGACTCTCTGCCATACATTCCCTTGTGCTAGATGGCTTACGTGGGGAGCTTTCTTTATTTCCTGCGCTGCCAGTGCTTTCCCTAGCATGACACACCCATTTTCCAAGAAGCTTAGCTCTTCTGTGGTCTTCTTCTCTGTGCCATTCTTGGAAAAAGCTGAACACCTTGACACCGCCAGTCTGCCGCAGGCCGTGTGGTCATTCTGTCTTCAGGAGGTATTTTCGGTCATAATTTTCCTACGATATCCGGACGAGTGCCACGATTAGGCACAATGCTTCCTTGCGGTCGCTCTCAGCCTCCCTGAAATATCCGTCCAGGGCCATGCTGGCTCCACCGCCTTGGATGGAGCCCAGAAGAAGGTTTTTATGGGACACATCTTTAAACTGGTGAACGATTTAGGAATAACTTGGCTATGAAGGCAATATGCGTACAGATGCACGGCAAAGCCTTTTCCTGTGTTCAGATGACCGCAGAGCCATGCACTTAAACTTGCAAATAGGGCTGGGTAATTACATGGTCCCAGAGGAGGCCTAACAGTCAAAAGAAAATTTGGTCATAAAAATAATTACATTGCAGGATATTTATAAAAGTAGGGTCCAGAAGTAGAGGCACAGCCTCCATCCTCCTTTGACTTTAGTAAAGGGACCGCAAGTTGAGAAGCAGAAGTGCTGGCACCTGGGGGATTGAAATTCCAGGCTACCTGACCTAGGGGACAGGCCTGCTGCTGACGGGATCACCAGACGGAAGGAGAAGCTTTTTCAAAAGATTCCGTTGCAGAAGTCTGTGGCCTGCAAGTGCCCAGTGCTTTTCCTTAAATGGAGCCCAAACCGCCCTGTTCCCAGCACCATGCTTGATGACTTGTCTCTCGTACAACCGTTGGTGTATTTTTAAAGTTAATGGTGTTCTGTGCCCAGAGAACGAGGCAACTGACGTGCAAGTTCTTCCTGGAGGGCTGAGTTATGGGTGTCTCTTGGAAACTGAAGGGCCAGTTTGTTTCAGGATAAATGGTCTTATTGTGTTCTGTTTGCCTTATCTCAGCCGATTTCCCACAGTCAGCTTAGCATGTTTGGGTGTAGTATTCAGGGTTTGTTTTTGTTGTGACCAGCAGCTGAGGTATACCTGTATATCATCCTCCCCCAGGCCATAGCCTCCCCCCAGGATCTGAGTACTAGTTACAGTGAATTAAGTTCCCTCTCAGGCTGTTTGGACCTTTTCCTGGTGAGGTTTGCTGGTGGGGAGCTGGCTTTTCCTTTCAGTGATGGATATGTTGAAAATCAATGATGCTTTCTACAAAGATGTTAAGGATGACTGTATAATAGGAAGAAAAGAACAGTTTTCCCTTCTACATTCACACTCAACACAGAATACTTCCCCTCTGGTCAACAAAATGTGTGTGGGTTATTTTTTCTCATGCAACCAGATCTTTGATACCAGTTGGGTGTCCTCTAATTCAATTCAATCCTGACACCATCCACCTGAAGTTAGAGTCAGATCTCACAGGGTTAAAGATTCAGTCCCACAAGACTGCAAGACTGCCCCCATTCGGAAGCCAGTCATAAATCCCAGGCTGTGACCTGTGCTTCTGACCAAGTGGCTGTAAATTGGAGGTTTCCACGCCCCCCTCCTCTTGGTTGATTATGAGGTAGGATTGCTCCCAGACCTCACGGAAATACTTGACTTAATTTTACCCATTCATTATAAAAGGATACAACTCAGGTACAGCTTGAAGAAAAGACAGATAGGGCAAGGTATAAAGGAAGGGGTGCAGAGCTTCCCTCTAGGGGCACGCCACCCTCCCAGTTCCTCCATGTGTTCAGCAATCCAGAAGCTTCCTGAGCCTCAGCCTTTTGGGTTTTTATGGAGTCTTCTTTGTGTAGGCACAATTGATTATATCATTGGACATTGATGATCACCTCAGCCTTCAGCCCTCCCCCTCCCTGGAGGTCAGGGGGAAGAGTTGAATATCCCAATCCTCCAATCACAAGGTTGGTTCCACTGGCAACCAGTCCCCATTCTGAGGCTATCCAGGGGCCCCCAGCCAACAGTCAACCCATTAGTATACAAAAGGACAAATCACTTCTGCTACTCTAAGGGTTTTAGGAGGTGTGTGCTAGGAAACCTCCTAGTTTCCTAGCACTTGTGCTTGGATGAAGACCAAATATATATTTCTTATTAAAAATCACAATATCTACTGAGTGTGGTTGGTCACACTTGTAATCCCAGCACTTTCAAAGGCCAAGGTGGGCAGATCACTTGAGACCAAGTTTTGCCAGCCTGCCCCACATGGTGAAACCCTGTCTCTGCTGAAAATACAAAAAATTAGTGGGGGTGGTGGCGCATGCCTGTAGTCCCAGCTACTTGGAGGCTGAGGCATGAGAATAACTTGAACCCAGGAGGCAGAGGTTGCAGCAAGATCGCACCACTACACTCCAGCCTGGGCAACACAGCAAGACTCTGCCTCGAAAAAAAAAAAAATCACAATATCCAGTAACACATGCCAAGATGGGGAGAGAGCACTCTGATAAATAAGTTCCTGGAACTAGACCCTCTCTCTGACCATGTCAGTGGGAGTTTTCATCATAAGCTTTGGAAGCCCTGGCTCCTGTGCAGGTCTCGGTTGCTGTTCCAGCCACTGGCTGTCAGCAGGACTCAGAGGCTCCCATGGCTAGTGACCCACTTGGTGGCGGTTGTTCCTGCTGCCCCTCTGCTATGGGTGGTTTCTCTTTCCTGTGGTAACCCTCTGCAAACCCCTCAGCAAGATGCTGCCCCTGTGACTGTATGGATTCTTGACCCTGCTTACAGAGTTCCCAGGCTATTTCCTGAAAGCTCTCTTAAGGAACTTGTTCTGATGTCCCTAGAGTCAGGAAGTCACTGTAGAGTCACAGTTACATCTGGAGCTTTGGGGAGAGAATTCTCCAGACCTTAGTAACTGTGTGTGATCTCAGGTAGCACTTGGTAACAGCTCTGAATTCTCCTTCCTGTGTCCCACTGTGGGCTAACCAGGCAAACCAAATCCCGTGAATAACCTGGGTTACCTGCTACTCCCGAAGATGGGTATGCAAATGTGAAAGGAAAATATCTTGGGTTCCCGAAATCACTAAGCTAAAGGGAAAATTCAAGCTGGGAACTGCTCAGGGCAAATCTGCCTCCCATTCTGTTCAAAGTAATCCCTCCGCTCACTGAGATTGTAGAAAGTAGAAAACTTCCTCTTCAAAGCTTGTCTTGTTTAAAAATAAAATAATAGACACTAGGAATAATAGTTCCTTACTCTAAACCCTCCTATCAACTATTAGTTCTTACACTTTAGCCCAGTTAGTTGCTTTGGCTTACTCAGGCATGTCTGGACAGGCCCAGGCAAATCTTAGCTCATAGCTTATGCCCCTTCCTTATTTGGAAATGTTATTGCTTCCTTAAACCTTTCATAAGCAACTTCCTCTCCTTCTTTGTCCTTCCCTGCACTTACCTATTTAGGAAAGTTTCAGGTTATTAGCAAATCGGATATCAGTGAGGTCCTTCTCCAGCAAATGGATGCAGGACACAGCAGTAAGGATGACCCAAATGAGTAAGGGATAAATATGTCTGCTTTTCCTTTGTTCAGGTATATTCTCACCATTGTTCCATCTGTGATTGAGCACCCTTTCTGCAGAAAGTAAAGATTGCCTTGCTGAGAGATCTTATGTCTACGTGCTGACTTTTCTTCATGGCACCGATTATCTATTTCTAACAATTTTGGTATTTCTAACATAGATGCATATTCTGATTGCCTCCTTTGGAAAGGCTTATGAGAAACTCAAAAGAATGCAACCATTTGTCTCTCACATACCTGTGACCAGGAAGACCCCTCCTTGCTTCAAGTTGTCCCCGTCTTTCTGGGTGGAATCAATGTACTTCTTACATATATTGATTGATGTCTCATGTTTCCCTAAAATGTATAAAACCAAAGGTGTGCCCCAACCACCTTGGGCACTTGTTGTCAGGACTTCCTGAGGCTGTCTCAGGGGCACGCGTACTCAACCTTGGCAAAAATAAACTTTCTAAATTAGCTAAGACCTGTCTCAAATGTTTGGGGTTCACACAAGTCATCCACAGGTTACTTTCAGGTGGAGCCATGTCTTAGTTTGCTTGGGGTGCTTTAAAAAAATACCAGACTGGGTGACTTATAGACCACAGAGCTTTTTTTCTCACAGATATGGAGGCTGGAAAAGCCCAAGGCCAAGGTGCCAGCAGATTCAGTGTCTGGTGAGGGCCTGCTTCCTGGTTCATCGATGTTCCTTCTTGCTGTGTCCTCACGTGGTAGAAGGGGTGAGGAGTCTCTCTCAGTACTCTTTTATAAGGGCACTAATCCCATTCACCTCCCAAAGGCCCTACTTCCTAAAACTATCACACTGGGGATGAGGACTAAGCTCTGATTTTTTTTATCTTGCCCAAATTCCTAAGGGGTGTGGGGAGTCATGCCCTACAAATCATAAATTCTCATCAGATGGGTTTATTTAACCCTGTGTATCATGACTTACTTTCCAATCTGACTCTGGCATAACAAGGAAGAAAATTTGAAATGTTTTACCCCAAAATATATTTCCTTGCCATACCTTGAAATTGCCCTGCAAAGTCTCTTGTGGGAAAAAGCCACATTCTACAGAGAATACCTTTGCCCCTCTGTTTTCCTTCCTTCCTTCCCAGATCCAGGAGATAATCAACTATGATCCAGGGACCCTTTTAAGTCTGATAAGAAACAATTTACAACCTGCTGTCTCTGAAGTCTGCTATCGGAGAGCTTCCTCTGCACAATAAAACTTGGTATGCACAACCCTTTACCTTAACCTGAACATCCCTTTCCATTGATCTCAGGTCTTCAGACAAACTCAGCCAATTATCTGCCAGAAAGTATTTAAATTTACCTGTAGCCTGGAAGCCCCCACTTTAAGTTGTCCCACCTTTCTGAACCGAACCAATGTATTTCTTAAATGTATTTGATTGATGTCTCATGCCTCCCTAAAATATATGAAACCAAGCTGTACCCCCATCACCTTGGGCACATGTTCTGAGGACCTCTTGAGGGCTGTGTCAGGGGCCAAGGTCACTCATATTTGGCTCAGAATAAATCTCTTAAAATATTTTACAGAGTTTGACTCTTTTTGTCAACAGGGATTAGGTTTCAACATATAAATTTCGGGGATGGTGGACACAAATATCCAGACCATAGCAGGCTGGGTGCAGCCGAGCCTTCTTCTATAATCACAACTGATACATGAGTGCAGAAGTCAAGTTAGCTTCAATAACTAACCTATGTTTTCACTGTACAGAGACAAACCACTCTCATTCTTTCCTCCTGCTGATGAGGTGCAGAGCTGGTATCATTGCTTTAGGGAAGAGAGGGTCTGATGGCAGCAGCCCCAAAGCTACAGGAATATTGGTTTCTCAATTCAGGCAACAACTCCCTATCCACACTTGATCCTCTGATGTGGGCTTTCTCAACACTATCGATATTTTGGACCAGAAAATTCTTTGTTGTCAGGGGCTTTTTGTGCATTGAAGGATATTTCGCAGCAGACCTGGCTTCTACCTACTAGATACCCATAAGCAACTCCACTCCCACCCGAGATAAGACAACCAAAGCTATCCTCGTGAGATGGAGCAGGGACCCCTCTCAGGTTGCTGAATGTACCCTAAACATGGAAATAAAGGGAAATCTTAAGTTCCTTCAAGGGAAATTCGAGGCACCGAGCTGGCTCTGAGAAGAAAGTGAGCAAGTGCATAACCTAAAAGGAAATGGTAGCTTAAACAATAGCCAAGGACGTTAGAGCCATGAGGTGTTTGGTTCCCTATAGAAACTAAAGGTAACACTTTAACACATGTCCCTGAGTGGTTCTTCAGAAACCCAGACCCCTACCAGATGGATCTACTGGCACATAGACCTCAGATAAGGGGGAACTGAGGACTGAACTCTTACCGCTTTTGCTGGTCTTTGTTCTAAAGTTCTTCCTGAGGGGCCTGAAGGAAGTTATGCCCATGAAATAGGCAACATTCTCTACTTCTTTTTTTAAACAAAGCTTATCTTCCTTAACCAATTGCAAATCAGAAAATCTTTAAACCCACCTGTGACCTCTAAGGCCCTGCTTCCAGATATCCCACCTTTTCAAGCCAACCCACTGTGTAACCTCTATGTATTGATTTAGGATTTTGCCTGTAACTTCTGCTTTCATGAAATTTACCCATGCCTTTGAAAACCCTTACCTGCCAGCCATTGGGGAGGCTGGGTCTTAAGTGTGAGCTGCTCAATTCTCCTTGCTTGGTGCCCTGCAAATAAATGCCATTATTTCTCTTGCTGAAAACATAGATGTGGATGTTTGGTCTTAACTGTGCTGGGCAAGTGGACCTCAGTTCTGTTGGATAACACTCAGACATTGTCAAATGTCCTTAATGGGATGTCGCGAGTGGGGTGGCAAATCACCCTCATTGACAACCACTGCCTTAGTGATACCAATATGCTTGATGTTCCCACACATGTCACTCTACATGCATGTGGGTCTCATGTTTCTACCACCAGCAATGCTCCCCTCCTCCCTCAGTTCTTTGCCAGAAAACACCTGATCCTCCTTCCGCTGAGACTTTCTCTCCTGGAACCTTCCCTTACTTTCCACCTCCTGCCAGTGTTCCCATAGGATTTTAGCACAGCTCTACCTTAGCATTCACCACACTGAAGTGAAATTGTTGCTTATGCATCTGTCTTGAGCTTCTAGGGATTCAGGACAGGGTCTTACTCTAGTTTGTATCCAGCAGAGTACCTGGCACATAGTGGCACTCAGCTGGTATTTTAAAATTGGAGCTGAATGGGATCCATTGCAGTCAACAGCTAACTATGAAATGTGCTTTTATGGGTTAGCACTTCTTGTCCATTTAAGATAGTCACATGTGAATTGGCCCCAATCTTTTTGAGTTGATTGAATAGCCTCCCAATGCTGTCTCTTGGGGGTACTAAGTTTTATTCCCTTCTTGTTGAGGCAGTTCTTAACTCCCAGGGATTCCTGGATACATTTCAGGGGCCTGCAAAGTTGCTGAAAGTGTGTGTGTATGTGCAAATAGGCATTGATTCCCCCTTTTCCTCGGGGTGGGAGCCCATAGGTTTCATCAGTTTTCCAGATGGGTTCATGAGTTAAAAAGTGTTGGAGCCAATCATTTAAACATCTACTAGTGGCTCTTTTGGGTGTTGTGGAGGAGAAAGGGAGGTGCTAGACCTGGACAAGCTGTGAAATAATTAAAGATGGTTTTAGGGCTGAACTGCACAGTACAAATTATCAGTGCAAAGGAGTTCTAAGCATGAGGATCTATGATGCCAAGTTCATTGGTGTCTGTGGAGGGTCCTTGGGAGGGCCCATATGCTGTAGGGTTGTTGGCCCTAGAAACAAGTTCCTCATTCCAAATCTTTTAATGATTATAAAGAAAATGATCAATTTTCTTTATATTCTGTAGGTCCTTTAAAATAATGAATTAGTATATATCTTGAGAACTTAACTCTGTGCAAAGTCCTATGTTCATTGCTTGGAGAAAAAGTTCAGCCTTTTAGAGGAAAAAACCTGGTTTCCCATCAGCTCTGCCATGTAGGTGCTTGGGGCTTTGGACAAGTCCCTTGGCCTCTGAGTCTGAGACTTCATTTATAAAATGAGGATAATACAATCTACTCTTGTGGAATTGTTTGTTTTTGTCAGACCCCTACTTTCAGAGAAGCAGTCCTTCTGTACATCAATCGTGTTTTCTTTTATTTATTTTTTATTTTTTATTGTAACACCCCACACTTCAGGCTGGGCAGGCACTTGACCCAAGCTTGGCCTGTCCTCCTGAACTCAGTAATGAGCTGGAGAGTGGGCATGGGATCCAAAGTTGGCCCAAACAGTGTCCTTCCTTCTGTGGGGTTTTTCTAGTGAGAGATCCATCTATTCTTACTTTTAACTCAGACTGATTCAAATTGGGTTTCAGTTTTCTATAACCAAAATTGTACTGAATAACAAAGCATCTGCATTGTGAGATTTTTCGAGGAGTAGAAATAATTTATAGAAATAATTTATAGCATGGTGTCTGGTGCCTACATGCTCAAAAATATACATTAAAAATAACAGAGCATAATGTTACAATGAAGAAGCTTCTCTATTTTAACCTATATTTGAACTTGAGCTATTGAAATTTGTTAGGGATAGTCCTCCCTTGATGTCTTTGCTCATGCAGTTCTCTCTGCTTTCAATAACTCTCCTTCTCCACCTGCCATTGTACTTAGGTCACTTCTAGTTACTCCTAAAGTCTATTTTGTCTGGTATTAAAACAGTTACACTGCTTTCTTTTCGTTACAATTTGGTACATCTTTCCTCAGTCCTTTTCAGAGTCTTTAATGTATAGATATGGTTCTGTGAAATAGCACATTGCTAAGCAATTAAATTCTTCATTTGATTGGTGAGTTGAATCTATTTACAATTACTACAGCTTCAGATGTTTGAATATATTGTATTTATTTATTGTATAGCATTTTCTTTTATTAGTTCTGTTTACTTTACTTTATACTGCTTTCCCTGACTCTTCTTTTCTTTTCTTTTCTTTTTTTTTTTTTTTTTTTGAGACAGAGTTTCACTCTTGTTGCCCAGGCTGGATTGCAATGGTGCGATCTTGGCTCACCGCAACCTCTGCCTCCCAGGTCCAAGTGATTCTCCTGCCTCTGCCTCCGGAGTAGCTGGGATTACAGGCATGCGCCACCACACCCAGCTAATTTTTTATTTTTAGAAAAAAAAAATAAGAGATGAGTTTCTCCATGTTGGTCAGGCTGGTCTCAAACTCCTGACCTCAGATGATCTGCCTGCCTCAGTCTCCCAAAGTGTTGGGATTACAGGTGTAAGCCACCATGCCTGGCTGACTCTTCTTTTCTATCTTTATCTCCCTTTCCATCCCTCCCTGGTTTGGAAGCTATATATTTCATTTTTATTCTTTCAGTGGTTACCCCTAAACTTTTAATGTTTACTTGACTTAACAGTATCAAGTTAATTCATACCTCTATTGCCTTACAAACAATCTAGGAATCTTGATATGCTTTAACTCTGATGTAACAGTCCCTGTCTAGCATGTTATTGTTTTCTAATATTTTAGTTCCATCTTGTTTTGGTAATGATCAAAATTATCATTAATATTTTTTCTGTTTTAGAAATCAATGCTTGTTTAGTATTATCTATATGGTAATCATCATCTTTGCTCTTCAGTGCTTCTTTATTACTCTTCTGGGTTCAGTTTCTTTTCTCCTGAAGTTTATCCTTTAGAAATTCTTTCAGGGAGAGTCTGTTGGTGACAGATTCTGTTAGTTTTTATTTGTCTAAAAACACTTTGTGTTCAGCCTACAATTCTAGGTTGACAGTAATTTTCACTTAGTTCTTTGAAGATCTTGTTCCATTGTTTCTTGTTTCAGTTGTTTCTGTTGAGAAGTTGGCTGTCTAATTGTCATTCCTCTGTAGGTAGTCTCTCCTTTCTCTCTTGTTACTTTAAAAATTTTATTCTTTGGCTTTGGTGAATTATGATTTCTCTATAAGGCATGAAAAAGTGGGTTTTTATTTATTTTACTTAAAATTTGTGGCATTATGAATCTATGAATTCTGGTTTTTTTACTTCCCAGCCATTATCTCTGATTATTGCTTCTCCCCATTCTCCATCATCTTCATCTGGAACTCTCATTAGGTGTATGGTAGATTTTCTCATTCTATTTTCATTCATTTTTTTTTTTTTTGAGACAGAGGTGTGCTCTGTCACCTAGGCTGGAGTGCGGTGGGCATGATCTCAGCTCACTGCAACCTCTGCCTCCCAGGTTCAAGGAATTCTCCTGCCTCAGCCTCCTAAGTAGCTGGGATTACAGGCACCCACCACCATGCATGGTTAATTTTTGTATTTTTAGTAGAGACAGGGTTTCACCATGTTGGCCAGGCTGGTCTCAAACTCCTGACCTCAAGTGATCTGCCTGGCTTGGCCTCCCAAAGTGCTGGGATTACAGGTGTGAGCTGCTGTGCCTGGCCCTATTTTCATTCTGTTCTCTGATAGAAATAAGAGCCATGCCTGTGTTCTTATTTCTATCATTTTCTTTGTATATACTACATTCTGATTATGTTTCTCAGATCTATTTTTATTGGCCTAATTGTTACAGTCCAAGTGAGTCTAATCTGCTATTTATCCTACTTGCTGAGTTGTAAAATTTCTGTGGCCGTAAAAGGATTTCCATAAGTTCTATTTGGTTCTTTTCCAAATCTGTTTTATTTTCTGTTGTGTTTTTTACATTTCATATTCCTTCTTTTATGTCTAATAATTTTACACTTACTAGTTTTGTGGTCTCTATCATATTATTCATTTACTTCAAGTTCTTGGCAGTCTTATCTGATTTTGCTTTTTTTCTATTTATTGACATTTGCTCATAATGTGATTATTTATTCACGGGTTTTGAAATTTTGAATTGTGAATTCATATTAAATGAGCCTTTATCTTTAGGAATCTTTTTCATCTTGAGTTGAGGATTTGTGTCTTCTCCCTTTTTAAATCATGGTAATTAATATATTTGCGTGTGTGTAATAGATGCTTAACAAACACTTGTATTTGTTGATGATATGAAAGACCCACAAAAAGACACCAAAGATCCTCATTCCCCTTATTGGAAAGGTACCTCATTTCTCTAAGATATCCTCTCCAAGATGTTTTGATTATGAGTCTGTGAGGATTTTCATTGTTGTTAAGATATACATTCTTGAGACAAGAGGCTGCAGCTGGCCTTGGGAGAACGGAAATGAGAACAGGTTCTGGAAGGGGGAAAAGGACAGAACAATCCTTCCATCACAGGAAGGAGAGACAGCATTGAACACCAAACAAAGGCGAGTAAACAAGAATATCACCATTCCTGGGTTGAGATAGGGGAGCAAAGACAAGAATAGCATGGCTTCAAACTAAAGGGGTTGCAGGGAGTACCTCATGGTATACATCAGAGGATGGAGACTCAAAGAAAGTGGGTACAGGTTTATATAATCACACTTCTGCCTTCATTAATTGTAGCAAAGGCCAACAAAAGGACACCATGTGCCAGGCACTGTGCTAACTAAGAGCTTTACCAGGATTCTTCCATTCAATCCTCACACCAACTCACTGAGAAGGCACTGTTATTCTCTCTACTATATAGATGGAGAAACTGAAATTCAAGAGGCTAAGAAACCTAACCCACAGCCTGCAGCCTGAGAGAGGAGGAGAGCTGAAATTGGAACCCAGCTCCATGGAACTCCAGAGTGGGATCATGCAGCAACTTGAGGGCTGAGCTAGCACTTCCATTGACTCATGGTGTGAAATATTTAATCCATGTGGTTGCTCCTCCAGGGACCCTCTCATGTGGTAGGGAGAGCTGCTGTGGATGGGAAAACCCTGTTTATAGAAATTGCCAATAGCACAAAGCACATGGTAGGTGCTTAATAAATATTTACCTAATAAACACCTAATATTTTTTCCTTTGTAGAATTGAGGAACTGAGCCCTGGAGGGTAGAGTAGAATGTGTTACACTGAGACCCTCTCCTCCCCTGCCTCATCCTTGGCTTTAAAGCCCTGTGCAGTCAGCTGGAGAGACCAGTGTCCTGGGCCCTTGCCCTGCAAGGAGGCTGGGCTGGGTGGGATTCCCATGGAAAGTTCCTCCCGCAGGCCACTAATGGGGATGGGAGGCACTGCCTGGGGATGGGAGGCACTGCCTGGCCATGTGCAGCTTCTTCTCGTTTGTTTCTGCTGAGTCCTAATATGATTAATCCTCTTCTGGGTGATGAGAAAAGAATACACAATGAAGGAGATTCTGCCCTTGTCCTCACCTCCTATACAGAAGTCCGGGCTCCCTTTCAGCTGGCACAAACCCTGACACTTATAAGACAAGACCATCTGTGTTGGAGGGGCTTCCCAGGCCTGTGCTTTGCAGGTACACCCAGCATCTCAAGCATGTATCCCTCTGAGAAAGGAGACAGTCCATTGTGTGTGTGTGTGTGTCTGTCTGTGTGTGTGTGTTGGGGGTGGGGAGCTCACTTGTCAGAAATTTGCCACCAGGATCCTGTGCCTTTCCTTTAAGGGGAGAATACTTGTTTCTTACTGTGGGCACTTTGGACCCCCTTATATTACAGGCATAATGTCTCTGTGCTTTGTTAGGGAAGTGGAGCAACTCAGAAGAGGCCACTGGCTGGGACAGGTGATGTCCCTTTCTCTGCCTTGTTTCTTAGGTCTCTCTATTTATTTATTTCTTCTTCCTTCCTTCCTTCCTTCCTTCCTTCCTTCCTTCCTTCCTTCCTTCCTTCCTTCCTTCCTTCCTTCCCTCCCTCCCTTCTCTTTCTTTTTCTTCTCTCTCTGTTTCCTTTTATTTTTTACTTCTTTTCTTCCTTCTCTTTCTCTGTCCTCCCACTTCTACTCTCATACCCCCTCTTTTGTTTCTGTGAACTTTCTCATAACTCGACCCGCTCACCCCACCACCTTTGCTCTTCCCAAAGGTGCAGTATGGCACCTGCACCTGCCATTCTCCCTCACCCCTGCCAGCCTCCCAGGGCCTCCAAAGGTCCTGGCTTGCCTGCAGCCCCAGGGCTCACCCAACAGAGCTTCTTCACAGCTTCTGTCTTGACCTCAGGCTGTGTCTGAGACCGAGGAGCTGTGAGGTGCACCTGCTGAGTTTAAAGCCTCCTGCAGGGGCATCTCCTGGGCTAATGGGGCACCCCGGCCCCTACAGGCTTTGCAAAGGCCCAGATGCCATGGGGCACACTCCCTGCATGCCCCCCATCAGTGAGGGACTTCTGAAGCTCTCTGTGCTGACTCACAGCCATGGGCTCACCTGGCAGTGGGGCTCCCAATGGGGGAAAGGCCCCCCCTCCCACCCCCCCACCCCAGCCTCAGAGGCCCAGATTAGCATTTGAAAGAAAGGTCAGCAAGAAAGGATTTCCTAGGCCTGCTGGGAGCAGAAAGGAGGATGGTGAGGAAACTTTACCACCTGCCTGGCTCCCAACAGGCTCATCTGCTGGCCGGGTGGACTTTGAGAGGACAGAAAGCACACCAGATAAGGATTCTAACCTCAGCTCAGTCGCTGGGGAACAAAGAGGCTTTGGGCAGGTTATTAAACACCTCTAGGCTGCACTTTTCTCACTCTAAAAAGAGGAAGTCAGACAAAATCTCTAATGTGCTTTTCCTTCTAGAATTATAATGGCCCAGATGGCGATAGGGTCAGAGGGCTGAGTGACCCCTGATAATGCTGTGCACTGACCTTGAGGACACTCTGTGTGTGACTTTGGACAAGTTGCTTACTTAACTTACTTGAGCCTCAGTTTCCACATCTGTATAGTGGGGGTGATACTTTAGGAGATGGTGTAAGTTTTTTTTTTTTGAGACAGAGCCTTGCTCTGTCGCCCAGGCTGGAGCGCAGTGGCATGATCTTTGCTCACTGTAACCTTCATCTCCCGGGTTCAAACAATTCTCCTGCTTCAACCTCCTGAGTAGCTGGGATTACAGGTGCCTACCACCACACCTGGCTAATTTTTGTAGTTTTTTAGTAGAGATGGGGTTTCACCATGTTGGCCAGGCTGGTCACGAACTCCTGACCTCAGGTGATCCACCTGCCTGGGCCTCCCAAAGTGCTGGGATTACAGGCGTGAGCCACTGTGCCCAGCCTCGTGTAAGAATTAAAACGAGTAGGAAAGCAGTGCTTCCAAAAAGGCAGGCTGCTTGACCCCACGCGGTACAAAGGATGATTTGAGCTTATACTCCGGTCTTGGCACTCAGTGGGAAAGTCATGCCCTGCCCAATTCCCTCTCTAACCTGATTGCCACAGAGATGGTCATTGTGCCTGGAACATCTCTACAACACTTACCAATTTCTCCTTTTAGCAAAGGCAGTCTAGGCTTCAGATGGAGGGCTTTCACCTGAAAACAGCAAGCTCTGATTTTACAGCATTGTTTGCATTTATTATATTTACTTTTACACTTGCCTTCTATTTATTTCTAATGTATTTATATTTTGATTTGTTATTTATTTTTATTTTATTATTACAGTAGTCCCCCTCTTATCTGAGGTTTTGCTTTCTGCAATTTCAGTTACCTGTGGTCAACCACAGTCCAAAAATATTCAATGGAAAGTTCCAGAAATAAACAATTCATAAGTTTTAAACTGCTGCCATTCTGAGTAGTATGATGAAATCTCTTGCCAAATGCTCCATCCTGCCTGGGATATAAATCATTCCTTTGTCCAGTGTATGCACCACCCACCACCTGCCTGTTAGTACCTGAGCAGTGTTCTCGGTTATCAGATGGAAAAACTTGTATATACTGTGTGTAGAGTTCAGTGCTATCTGTGGCTTCAGGCATCCACAGGGGTTCTGGGAAGGTATGCCCTGCAGAAAAGTGAGAGACTACTGTATTTATTTACCTGCTACTTACAGTGATGTTGGTTTTCCAGGAAGATAGTGGTATAGAATTTCCTTTTGAAATAAATTTAGGTAAATAAAAGTAGTCTATTGAAGACAAATATTAGTAAGTAATTGAAAAGGCAGTATGACGATATGGTCAAAATTGTGAAGGTGGTCTAAGCATTAGGGAAATATGTGCATTGAATTTTGGGACATGTAAATTGCCCATTATGGTCTCTGGCCTCAACTATTATTCCCCTAGAAGGAAGGGCATGCCCTGCCTACATGCTTTTTCTCTGCCTACCACCTCAGCTCCCAGGCAGTGCTGATCTCACCAGTCTTCATGGAAGACCCAGGGAAGAGAGAGCCGAGCGAGCCCTCTGGGCAGTGCGATGTGTGCCTGCATTCTGTTTAGTTTGTAAATTGGTTCTGACTCAAATAATATCCCCCATTGAATTTAATGGAACATCATTTCAATGGGCCACCACATTATGAACCATTGAAGTTAATGAAAAGTCATTTCAATGAGCTACCAGATTATGAACCATTGAATTTCTATACTAATGATAAAGGGGCTGGAATTCCCTTCTGGGTCATTGTACTTTAAATAGAATATGTATTACCTTCTGAAATAAAAGCCACTTATGCATACCAACTCATCTATCTCAGTAGAGTGTCACCAAGACAGATCTTGATAGAAAAGCCAAGAGCAAGTCAAATGAAAAGCTCTAAGCCCATGACCATATATCACCCAGGGAGTTCCCAGGGCTGCTAGAGCAGTTTGCAGGTTGCTTTGTTCAACTTACAGCTTTCAATTTTGTTATTAGGAGAGAAGAACAAAATGAAATTTATAGATAACCAAAAGGATGTTTTTGCACGCTTTCAATTCAGTGTAGCATCTTGCAGAAAATGCATTTAGCACAGTGTCCTGGAGCTCACAGAGGCTTTTTCTGAAGGGAGGTCTGAGACACACGCTGGGCAGTGTCTGCCTCTAACAGTCTCCCTGTTCCAGCTGCATAGTGCTGTAGGCAAGCCATCTTTCTGGAAGCATCTAAAGTTTGCGCTTAAATAAGCCCATGTCAGAGGTCCTCAGAGAGAAAGAGCTGGCGAGGCACTCTGTGGATGCTACGAAATTGTAGTGGCTGCAGTGCTCAGAGAAACGGGAGGTCATTTCTCTTTGTGTTTGGACTTTCTAGAATGGCCAGGAAGATGGCAGGGTCTCTCCCACCTTCAGGTCTCTTTCTGGATTAGTCAGATGTCCACGCAAAATCCACTGGGGAAATTTCCCTGGTGGGAGACTCAAAGACTCAGTTTCTAGCCAAAGGTGAGGATCTACCTCTCCTTCCTGGCTCCAGGCAGCATTCCTAGAATGGTGATTCTTACATTCTGGGACTCTAACAGCATTCTGCTGAAATATGGTAAGCACCTTCTACTAGGACCTTTACTGAACTTCCCTCTTGAACCCAGAAACCAGTTTATTGGTCTGTATTTATGGCTTTTTTGCAGGACACTGCTAGATTGGGTTTTTGTTCTGGAAGGACCCCTTCACTGTTTTATTATTTACCCCCAGGGCCATTAAAGTACTAGAGATTGCCAGCTGGATACAACATACCCGAGTGAAGCCGTGAAAAGGCTTCAGGACACCAGAGTTGGAAGCAATGCCCTCAGCTCCTCAATACACTTGCAAGGCCCTGAAAGATCTGAGGTTCCTCTTTAAGGGGAAAGGACATCAAGCTCCAGATGATCCTCAGTGAGAGATATTGTCCTCTCAATATTCAAGAGTCACCTTTCTAAAGGGAACCTCTAGATTGTTCATCAGTGGGACACGACAGAGGCAAAATCCTGCCCCTGTCTCCCTTAGACCTGGCTGGATACCGCTTTCACCAATTCATGGACCCAAGTCGGCCCTGACAGCTAGCAAGAGGCCAAGACCCACAGAACCACCACCGCCCCTCTGTCAGCAGGAAGAAGTTGCAGAAGACTGACCTTCATCCATTTTCCCCCAAAGGTTTAGGATCTTGGACTCTTGAGGGGGGACGTGTTATAGTAGGTAGCCAGTCAGGTATGAGCAAGGCAGGAGAGGGCTCCCCACAACACACTTAGGAGTGGTGGGCAACCATCAGGTGATGGTCAGGGGGTTAACTGTTTCTCTAAAGTAATAATTGGTCACAGCCAGAGCCAGGGAACAGCAGTCTCCTGACAGATAGAAAACAGCTGAAACTGATCAGCAGCTTCCCAATAAGATCTCAGGAGTGGGGAGGGTTAAGGCAAGATCTTGGAAGTAGGCCAAAGTATAAAACCCTGTGTTAGTTTGTTCTCACGCTGCTAATAAAGACATACCTGAGACTGGGTAATTTATAAAGGAAAGAGGTTTAATGAACTCACAGTTCACATGGCTGGGGAGGCCTCACAATCATGGCGGAATGCGAATGAGGAGCAGGGTCATGTCTTACATGGCAGTAGGCAAGAGGGCTTGTGTGGCGGAACTCCCCTTTATAAAACCATCAGATCTCATAAGACTTATTCACTGTCATGAGAACAGCATGGGAAAGACACACCCTCATGATTCAATTACCTCCCACCGGGTCCTTCCCACAATACGTGGGAATTACGGGAGGGAGCTACAATTCAAGAGGAGATTTGGGTGGGGACACAGCCAAACCATATGAAACCCCAAGTCAAGAGGTCAAGCTATGCACTTGGTTTCTCAAGCTGCCCACTTGACCATCTTCCAAGTTGTACTCTCCTTCTTCTCTTTCCTTTCCTTCCTTTCCTTACTGTTCTAAAGCTTTTAAATAAACTTTCACTCCTGCTCTGAAAAAAAAAAATGTTTATCTTTGCAAAAATATAGCAAAAGCAGAATTTCCTGGTTTCACAGAAAGAGCCTTACCTTTCATAAAAGCATCATGGTTTATAATTTTTTAAACCATCAAATGATCATCTTTGGGAAGCAGGGTGCTTGGCAACTGTGGGATAACAAGGCTGAAGAAGGGATGCACCTTCCAGGGAGGCCACTGTGAAACAAAGGGCTTTAAAAAAAATTCCATTTTTATTTTTGATTTGAGGGTACACGTACAGGTTTGTTACAAGGGTATATTGTGTGATGCTGAGGTTAGTGCTTCTATTCATCCCACCATCCAGACAGTGAACACAGTGCCCAATAGGCAGCTTTTCAGTCCTTGCTCCCCTTCCTCACTCCTCCTTGTGGAGTCCCCAGTGTGAGTCTATTGTTCTCATCTTTACGTCTGTGTGAACCCGAGAGTTGATTCCCACTTACAAGTGAGAACATGGGATATTTGGTTTTCTATTTCTGTGTTAATTCACTTAGGATAACAGCCTCCAGCTGCAACCATGTTGCTGCAAAGAATGTGATTTTTTTTCCTGGTTGCATAGTATTCCACTGTGTACACATACTACATTTTCTTTATCCAGTGCACCATCGACAGACATTCAGGTTGATTCCATGCCTTTGCCATTGTGAATAGTGCTGTGATGAACATAAAAGTGCATGCATTTTTTTGGTACAATGACTTATTTTCCTGAAACAAAGGGACCTTGTTTTGGAGAACATTATGACAAAAGCAGACACCAGGAAAGCAAGTCAGAATTGGAAGTAAATGAAACTCTTAGAGATGTTGTACTTCCTGACTTCTCTCCTTATTCCCAAGAGGGTTTGTAAGTGGGAAGGATGATCTCAGCATTGTTCTTACTTGCAAATATTGCAAAAGCTACCAGGAAGAGGCAGGAGTAAGTCCCTGCTTCATCTGCACAGTCCCTTAGATTGCGGTCATTGGATTATTTTGGAGCACTAGGAGTAAGAAGTCAAGTCCTGGACTGCCCAGGCATTGAACTAGAGCTTTTGCAAAGATTAAATCAGGAATACTCTAAGAAAAGGATTAGAAAGCTTTTTGGTCTGTCAGTCAGGAAGACAAGTTCTGTAGCACTGAGGAAAATCTTTTTCCTTTTGGTGCCTTCTTCTCCCACTAGCAAAAATGGGTGGACTGATTTTTGCCCTGCCTACCTCCCAGAGGCAAGGCCCACAGTAGTGGTGTTCTGCTGGGGGGTGACACTGATCACAGAGAGGAAAGGGACACAGGAATCTGCAGAATCGTTATTCTGGAAATCCTGCAGAATGGTGGTGAAAGGTGAATTCTAGGCAGGGCATTGTGCCTGAGCTGTGCCTTCTTTGACCTAGCCATGGATGTCCTTTGGGGAATGAAGATGATGTTCTTGCAAGTTTGTATCTTGGCAGGCAGGTGGCGCAATGATTGAGGAGGATACGATGAGACCACAGCATTATTTTCTTCCAATGCACTGGCTTTGATGTGTTAGAAAAGAAGAGAATTACTTTGCGGGTAACATGCCCTGGCTCAAAGCTTCTTCATCACAATTGGCTGATCTGAGGCCAGTGACCTGGGGCAGGGCTGGGAAGTATCCCACGGCCAGACTGACTGCCACAGGCACCTCTTTCCTACACACACCTGCTCTCCCGAGGCACTGGAGACAGGATGGAAGCATGTCAGTGGAAATCTTCTGGACATCTTTTTTGACAACTAGAAGTCATTTGCACACAGTTTTATAATTTATTTTAAAACATATTAAACTTTGGAATCATCTAAATGCCAGGAGTATGCCATCTACTGAAATGTTATCCAATTATCATTTTTTAAAATAGTGTTTTCCATGATATTTAATGACTTAGAGAAAATGCTAACAGTTTCATGTTAAGGGAAAATAGGATAAAAGTTAGATGTTTAATCTAACCCTAATTTTGCAGAAATACACACCCAAGGAAAAGGTATGAGATAAATATATAAAAATATTAATAGTGGTTATTTTGGGGTGGTAAGATTCTATGTGACATATTCTTTTTTCTTGTCACTGACTTGAAGCTTATATGAAACTTTTATATTCCAAAGTTTATAATACATATGAATTATTCTTACAAGCAGAAGTAAATATAAAATAAATATCTATAAAAATGTAAGCATGTGAAAGCTTGTTCTGTAAGTCCCACTCTCCAGCATTATAAATTACAAACAGATAAATCACTTCAGAGGTAACAGACTTTCCTTGTCGTGCCAAGTAACCTGGCAGAGCTAAGCCTCAGTTTTCTCACCTGTAAAGTGGGAAAATAGCTACAGCCTTTTTTTTTTTTTTTTTTGAGACAGAGTCTCGCTCTGTTGCCAGTTGGAGTACAGTGGTGCGATCTTGACTCACTGCAACCTCCATCTCCCCAGTTCAAGCAATTCTCCTGCCTCAGCCTCCTGAGTAGCTGGGCTTACAGGCATGCGCCACCACATCCAGCTATTTTTTTTTTTTTTTTTTGAGATGGAGTCTCGCTCTGTCGCCCAGGCTGGAGTGCAGTGGCGCAATCTCGGCTCACTGCAAGCTCTGCCTCCCGGGTTCACACCATTCTCCTGCCTCAGCCTCCCAAGTAGCTGGGACTACAGGCATCCACCACCACGCCCGGCTAATTTTTTGTATTTTTAGTAGAGACAGGGTTTCACTGTGTTAGCCAGGATGGTCTTGATCTCCTGACCTCGTGATCCACCTGCCTTGGCCTCCCAAAGTGCTGGGATTACAGGCGTCAGCCACCGCGCCCAGCCAATTTTTATATTTTTAGTGGAGATGGGGTTTTGCCATGTTGGCCAGGCTGGTCTCGAACTCCTGACATCAGGTGATCTGCCCGCCTCAGCCTCCCAAAGTGTTGGGATTACAGGCGTGAGCCACCGCGCCTGGCCACTACTGCACTTTTTTACTTCACAAAGAGACTGTGAAGACCAAGGGTGGTTAGAAAGAGGGATACTGCTGACTTTAAAAGAAAACACAGTGGTGATTCAAGGAAGGGCAGGGTTACTGGTGGCAGTAACAGTTGAGATCTGACATCAAGTCATAGTAATAACATGAACTTTGTTAGCTGCCTTTATCCACAACAGCTTATATGCTGGTAGGACTGGTAACTAGATAATTCATACTGTTGAAGCTGTAGGGTTTTGTTGTTTTTTTATCAATTTTTCTTATTTTTTTAAGTGACAAAAAGTGTGTTTATGGTGTACATGATGTTTCAAAATACACATACATTGTGGAATGGCTAACTTAAGTAAATTAACACATGTATTACCTCACATACTTATCATTTACCTGTGATGAGAAGACTTAAAATCTCTCAGTGGTTTTCAAGTATACAAAAAAACATTGTTTATCCACAGTAGTCACCATGTTGCACAATTAGATCTCTTGAAATTATTCCTCCTGTATAACTGAATTTTTGTATCCTTGGACCAACATCTTCCTGATCCATGCCTCCTTCCTACTCCCTGTAGTTTTTTTTTTCCAGCAGGGTTTTCCTCTTGGAATTTTCATATCTCAAATTTCAGACTGTTAAATTAAGTCCCTTTTTTGAACATTCATGAAATAATGTCATGTGCCAGGAAAATCCACCAGAGGGCGCTAGATCATTTAAAGAGTCACCACCTGGCTTCTCCATCGCAAAATCGCGAAGATTGATGTCAGAGTATTGGAACTAGGTCCAGGTTGGAGGAAAAGAAAATCCATTGCACATTAATTGCGATGCTGGCCAACATTTTAGCAAATAATCTTTTTTGTTCTCCTTTTACCTTAGTCACTCTGCTTTTTTAGTATGTATGTTTATGCACTTCCTTTTACTTCTTTTAAATCAGTTAGGACTGTTCAGATTAGAATATTTAAGCTTGAAACCTCTGATTTGCTTTGAGAGCTGCCATAGACACACATGCACATGGTACAGAGGCTGCCCTTCTCTCTGGGAAGCTTTTGAATGAATTTAGAAATAAAAATAAGGCTCGTGGTGTTTTCAGAACAGAGGGTGAAGTTTCTACTTCTGTTGAGACTTTCAGTTCTTGTGCAATGGACCTCAATTTCCAGCCTGCAGACACACCTACATTAGGGGAAGATGTGCTGGGCTTAGAGTGCTTCTCTATACCTTTCCCATTTCCAAGGCTGTCCAGGGACTGGCAAGAAAAGGAGTGGTGTTGGGTAGTCAGAGAGCTCATTTAGGCTGGAGGGGCTCTGCTGTGCCCTGGAGTCTGGCCACAGTCTGGCTGTGGACATGCTGTGGACAGCATGACATGCAGGCATGTGCACATACAATTACGAGCTCAGGGGTCAGAAGATCTGGTTAGACTTGCCTGTCCATTTTTGGGGTCACAGTAATTATAGTTAAGATCTGTATAATATTTCCTTCCTTCCTTTTTCTTTTTTCTTTCTTTTCTTTCTTTCTTCTTTCTGACAGTTTCACTCTGTCATCCAGACTGGAGTGCAGTGGTGCAATTTCGGCTCACTGCAACCTCCGCCTCCCGAGTTCAAGCGATTCTTATACCTCAGCCTCCCGAGTAGCTGGGATTACAGACATGTGCCACCATGCCCAGTTAATTTTTGTATTATTAGTAGAGATGGGGTTTCACCACGTTTGCCAGGCTGGTCTTGAACTCCTGACCTCAGGTGATCCCACCGCCTCAGCCTCCCAAAGTGCTGGGATTACAGGAGTGAGCTACCATGCCCAGCCTTCTTTTTCATCCTCACATATAACCCTTCGAGGTAGGCAGGGAAGTTTCTGGCTTTATTTTGATTGTATAAATGAAGAAACACATCAAATCAAAGATACCTAAGGTTCCTTTTAAGTTTGAGGTTCTGTCTGTGCAGAGCCTTTTCCTAAATTTGTAATGCCAGGGGCCAAGTTTTCTGGAAGTGGTGCAAAAGTTTGTGAACAATGTGGAAATGGCCAGAGAGAACTGGGCAAAGGCCTGGGAATGTCTATTTCTGGTGGATGGTAGCACTCTCTCAGTGCTTACCAGCCAGGCCATTCAGGGAGGAGGTGAGAGACTGGGGATTGTAGGAAGGAAAGGATATTGACATCAACACTGAGAGTTTCTGATGATTCCTGACTAAGCCGAGGCTTTGGACAGCACAGAAGTTGCTAAAAGCTTCAATCAGCAGAGGCAGGGGTGATGAAGAGAGCAGGAGATGGCATCTGAGGGGCCTCCAAGCACCCTCTCCAAAGATGCTGAGGTGATGAAGGTGATGATGGAGGAGAAAAAGCTATAGATCCTGCAGTTGGGGTGACAGAAGTCACGGCCATCGGCTGCTTACCAGTAGACCCCAGACTGGCATTTCAGGGGAATCCAGGCTGTAGGGAATGTCTAAGAAGGCCCCAGAGGGGATTTGCTGGTTTGCAAAATTTCAATTTTGTGGGTGAGGGAATCCATTCTGGAGGTTTCATATCCCACTGGGGAGACAGTCCTATCCTTTGCTGCCCTTTTTATGTTCTGGGTGTTTTATTTTTAAATTTCAAATCTTGGCCTTGATTTAAGGAATGTCCTTAACTTTCTTGGCATTGCTGAGGCACAAAAGCAGCAAACTACAGCCATTGAGAGGCTAATAAAGGAACCTCAATGCCATAGTCACCTTCCTGCGCATCCCCACAGCACTTCTGGGTCCCGCTCCCCCAACCCAGTACCAGAAAAGGCCCAGGGCCTTTGCATGCTTGGGTCTGGTGTGGCAGGGATGCATTCAGAGTGGCTGAACACAGAGGCCGAGGTTGGAGGTACTATGGGATGGTATGGAGAGGAGGCTCAGACAATTCCATTTTCTGGAGCACACTTTCTGCAGCTCCCTTTTACATACACTTCTTTTTGAGAACCAAATACTCAAGAACTCTTACCTCATTCCATTTTCTCCTTTGACTTTGGCCTTGACTCTTTCTTAGTGGATGTGTACTCTAAACCCAATGAATGTATTCCGAATCAAGCAAGAGAGAAGCTTCAAACATCCTCTTCAGCCTCTCTGCCCAGCTCAGCCTCCCTTGCTCGCTCTTCCTTCCAGAGACCTCCAAGGACAAGGGCAGGGCTGATCTGACTCTCACGGAGACAGCCTCAGGTGTAAAGCTAAGGATGCTAACTTGGGCCTTTTCCATGGGAAGAGCTGAAAGGAACCTGAGAATTCCAATTAGGCTTAAACTAATGAGCTGGAAACTTTGGGGAAACCACTGCAGCAATGAGGGAAGAGCGTGATCATCCTCGATTTAATTAGCGCTGGAAAAACTTGGGGTCCAGCTGGTAGCACGAGGACGGACGCTGTTCAGGGGGCGCAAAGTTTCTGAAAGTGTCAGAAGGGGGATTCCCCTGGTGGTGTACGGAGACACGCTACGGAACAAACACGGACTCCTTCTTCATCTTAAGTGGGGAGAAGGGAAGACCCTAAATGGGGAACGGTGAGCCAGAATGAAGTCTGGAGTCCCTCTTCCCCCATCTGCCCTCCTCACGGGATGGATGGAGTCTGAGACTATATGAGAGGAAAGCAACCCTTCAGGGAACTCTATTGTCTATCGGGGCCTGCACTATCCCCAGGCCAGGTCGTCCTTGATCATTTCTGCCTACTCTTTGTTGGGCAGCCTCTGTTGCTAATAAGGAAAAAGGAGAGAAACCACCTGCTGCTGTCAGAGGCCACAGACCACCCGCTGGCCTTCCTGACTCTACCCTCCAGCCACACGCGGGACCCTGGGCACATAGGTAGCAGGAAGAGCGAAGTAGGGGTGGGTAGCTGTGTGTATCCTGGCGTGGGGTCCTCCTCACTCCCGAAGCCCGAGGGTCCTGGGGAGCTCAGCCTGTGGAATCCAGTTGACAGCTGGCCACTCCTCCCCTCCCCACTGGGGGCTCTTTGGGGAAAAAAACGGCCTGACCGGGGCGCCCCGCCGTCCTCCCAGTGTACCCCACCGCTCTCGGCTGGGGGCGCAGCACCTTGGAGAGAGGCGCCTGGCCCCGCGCCTGGGCTGGGGGCGCTCTACCTTGCGCCCTGGGGGTCAGGGGCGCTTGCCGGGCCGCTGCCGAGGGGCCCTGCCCACCCCTGCCCAGCCCGGAGCCCAGGCGAGCCAGCGCGGCGAGCCTCCTCCCCTCCCGCCTGGGTCGTCCTGAGTCCGCGCCCGCTCCAGTTGCTGCAGCTGCTGCTGCTGGCGGCTGCGGGGAGCGCGGGGCGCGCGCCGAAGAGGCTTGGGCGGCGAGGACGGGGACGAGGAGGAGTCGGAGGCGGCAAGGAGGAAGAGCGAGCGGAGGCCGAGGGGCTCAGCGGCGTGGCGACAGGACTAGGGGGTCCCGAGAACATGGGCTAGCAGGCGGCCACGGGCCGGCGGCCGGACGCGGTGAACCTGCCGCGGCCGGGCGCGCACTGGCGCGGCGAGCCGGAGCCGAGCGCAGCCGGGGGAGGAGGGCTGGCGCAGGGGCGCCCGGGCGGAGGGGGCCGATTATCCATTATTAACGAGTTACCACCTAATAAGCGGAGAGCGGCTCGTTAGCCGCGCGGGAGGCGCTCGGGGAAGGGGGTCACCGGCCGAGCGCAGCGCACACCCGTGGCGCACGGCGGGCGGCGCGGCGCCGAGGACACCCGGGACCGCGCGCGGAGCCGGGGCGGGCCCGGGGGCGGCGCAGACCCCGGGCGCGGGCGGCCCGCGGCGCCCCCTGGCTCTCGGCGCTCGGGGCCAGCGCAGCCCGGGGCGAGCGGGGCGCGGGCCGGGGAGGGGGAGCTGCCCGCGCACTCCATCCCCCTCCCCCCCGGGCGGGCGGCGGCGGCTCGCTGTATATATCTCGGCGCACCCCGCCAGGTCGCGCACAGCGCCCCGAGCCCAGGCGCCTCCCCGCCCCCCTCCCGCGCTCCGCGGCGGCGGCGGCGGCGGCAGCAGTAGCAGCAATATGGCTGTTGATGGGTGTTTGGGGTGGCGCTGGCGGCGGGAGGAGCTCCCCCGAGCCCCTGCGCCGGCTGCCCGTTGCTAGCTATGGCAAATGGTGGCGGCGGCGGCGGCGGCAGCAGCGGCGGCGGCGGCGGCGGCGGAGGCAGCAGTCTTAGAATGAGTAGCAATATCCACGCGAACCATCTCAGCCTAGACGCGTCCTCCTCCTCCTCCTCCTCCTCTTCCTCTTCTTCTTCTTCCTCCTCCTCTTCCTCCTCGTCCTCGGTCCACGAGCCCAAGATGGATGCGCTCATCATCCCGGTGACCATGGAGGTGCCGTGCGACAGCCGGGGCCAACGCATGTGGTGGGCTTTCCTGGCCTCCTCCATGGTGACTTTCTTCGGGGGCCTCTTCATCATCTTGCTCTGGCGGACGCTCAAGTACCTGTGGACCGTGTGCTGCCACTGCGGGGGCAAGACGAAGGTAACGCGCGCCCCGGGCGCCCGCCCTCTGCGCCAGCCCCACCGCTTCTCGGCGTCCCCTGCAGCCCACCTCCTCGCTCCGCGCCGCGCCGTGCCTCCCTCCATCCCCGCCTGCCTTCCCCTCGCCGCCTTCCCTTCCCTCGGCTCTCCCGGTGCTCTCGGATCGGGGCAGCGGGCGGCGCGCCGGGGGTGAGGAGTTGCCCCCAGCCAGTGCGCTCCGGGACGCGGACGCTCAATCCTGTCCTCTTGTTTATTGTAGGGTTGTTGGCGGCTGCGGCTGGGGCCGGGGTCGGGGACTCACAGGCTCGGGTGCCGTGGTGCGGGGTGGGGACAGCCAACTCAGCGGGGACGGAGGAAGCTGGGGGCAGCTGGGTGCGTGTTTTGCACCGCTCACCTGCCGGGGCTCGGCTCCTGGCGGTGGGCGAGAGGGAGCACATCCGCCCATACTTTAGGAACCTGTTGGGGAGATGAGTTCGTGGGGTCAGAAAGAAGGGAAAAATCCTTTGGGCAAGGGAGAGAATAATTTTGCACAAGGGAATCCCGGGGGAGGAGCATGGCCCGAGATAACAGGGGGACTTCGAGGGGCGAGAGAAGTTGGGGAGATCCATCCCACTATTGGGGGTAGCCCACGGGGCTGCCACTTTTGGAATGTGTCGAGGTCGCATATCTGATGTAACCTCCCACTCCGTCCCTTAGGTGCTCTAGTGGAACATACCCCAAGTTCTTCGGCCTCTGTTCCTTTGCCCCCAGGCCACCCACTTTGGGTCCCCGGAAATGCCACCAGCAGCGCGGAGCTGGAGCGGGAGTCCGCCTGAGGCCGCGGTTTTACGCGGAGCGTCTTCCCTGGCGCTCGAGGTGGCTAGATGTCGTCGGCTTTAGCTATTCCTGGTGCAGACGCCCACCGGCACTGAGGCTGGCGACACCTTCGATGTATGGTTGCTAGGCTCACTGCCTGGTCTGTAGTCGTGTCCCTAGAGATGTCTTCCCTTCCCCACAGCCACTGGCTGGAGTGGGGGACCCGACACTGATAGAAAACTGCAGAATAAAAAAGAAAGAACTGGAAAAAAGAGAGTGAGCCAGCTGCCTTCTTTCTGAGTAATTCCCATCCTAGGGGACTTCACGCGCGAACCGTTTTGGAGGGAAGGGAAATCCAGGGGAATAGTGCAGGGTAGATACACATTGCAGCCTCCACATGTTCACATCTTTTCTAGTAAAGTTAAACCGAGGACCCCTCAAACTTCTACAGGGCACAGCAACTTGTAGCAGCCTCCTTGGCGGCTGAGAGAAGTAGGGAAGCCTGGGGCTATGGGTGAAGGCTGGCTATGAAAACACCAGGGGGGAAGGAGCCTGTCTCTCCTGATCATTAATTATACATCCTGTTGGGTGCTGGAGCTCAGCTGTGTTTTGTGGCAGCACATTTGTGTTTTGGAAAATACTGGTGTATTGGAACAAAGGGAGAAATATGAAAACCATCATTCTCTTCGTCATTCTCTGGCTTCTCCGGAGGCCTGCAGGTGCTGGTCGGAGAGTTTTCTTTGGAATTACCTTCTCAGCCGTAGAGGTTTCTTCTTATTTGTTAAGGAGGCAAACCTCCCACCTTCCAGAGAAGCCCTCAGGTTAAGCAAAGCCCTATACACCAGATCCCTGACTAGCCTTCCTGCTGAGAACAGCTTATTCCTGGAGCCTTCAAATTCCCACATTCCCTCTCTCCATCCTTCTCCTCCACCTCCCCCAACAGTCTCGGGAATTTTGTTCCCCGGTTTACTGAGATTCAGCGACTGTCTTTAGGGGAAAGATAGCTCATAGTTGTGTGCCTCTGAAATGTTCCCTAGATAGAGTGATCTGGGTGAACTTTTTAACAGCTTGCTTTCTTTCAGGCAGGGGGCAATTTTTATCATAATGAAAACTTTTTCCATGATTGAAAATAAGTTGTGGTGTTTTTGTGAACCTGGGGTCCTAAACACAGCTTCCAAAGTCTTTTTATGTTAGGGGGTACATAAATGCAATTGCAGTGTCTGTAATGAAATGCTAATCCCATCGCACACACAAAGGATCTCCTAAATGATGAGCAAGCATAACTTCTGTCAGTTTACTCAAGAAAATAGGTTTTTGGCAACGATTAGAAAAAACAATTCGTAAATATTTGGCTATGTTTTGTAGCCCCAAGACCTGCTGAGTGGACATAACTGGAAGTGAGTTGCTGTAAGAAATCTGCCAGGGATGAGAGGTGATGGTGGTTTGTTTGGAAGATGTGAGGCCAGTATAGAATGAGTGCAGGTTCCTTTTGATACCGTAAGTCCATTTTAAAGCACACCTAGAATCTCTTGATACCTGCCCCTAGATTTGCTCACTTAAGCCATAGGTAGCCAGCTCATTATATGCAGTAACGGTAAGTTAGGCCTTTTAAAAGCTTTTCTTTCTATGCTTGAGGTCTGTATTTTTATTGCAATTGTGTGTGTGTGTGTGTGTGTGTGTGTGTGTGTGTTTGTCTTTTTTTCTTTTTTCTTTCCAAGTATTTGGTAGTTTTGTCAAGACTCGATACACAGGCATGTATTTGGCTTAAGCTTAGAATAATAATTTTTGTGCTAGATTTCCCAAGAAAACATAGGCTGCCTTTCCAGAAAATTCTACCAGCCCTCAGATGGGTTCACCCTCACCCTCCTTCAGCCCCAAGATGGTTTGATCAAGAGCTGGAGTCCAGAGGAAAGCAGGTCTGAAATTCTGTGGGAGATAAAATTCAGCAAGGAGCTCCAATTTCATGAGCGTTTGGTCTCTGGGATCGCACCAAACCTTTTTGATCAAAGGAACCCAAGACTGTGGACATGCATCGTGGGACATCTCTTCATTAGTACCTTTGGCCTCTGAATCTCAAACAGTGAATGACTTTAGTCTTTTGAAAAGAGTGGCATGTGGACTTTTTCAGAAAGTGAAGAAGAAAACATTACAATTTCCTCCTGTTGGGAACTTGGTCACAGTCATTCCAGTACTGTGTTCTTTGCTGTACTTTTTCACATTATTGTTTTTTTCCTTGTGGGATTTCATCAGAGCTCTCTATTCACTTGGGTGTGACGTTGTGAAGTTCAATCCTGTCATAGACTATATTGAATAGGGAGCTGCTCTGGTAGCCTGAATAAAGCCATGACTTTGAAGAAGTTATTTAACCTCTCTGGTGTCTATCTTTCCTTGTGTATAAAATGTGGGGATTGAATTCTGTGAGTTCTAATGTCCCTTCCTGCTCTGTGATTCGATATAGGAGAGAGGGAGGAGTTGAGGAATGAGGGTTAAAGTTTCTAGCTCAGAATGTGTTTTGCAGTTCCCTAGCAATTCCTTTAGGAATTCAGCCTTGGGACAGTTACATATCTTTATTTCCATCTTCTGCTCGTCTTCCAGCATGTGGTCTACTTCTCTTTAAATAACTGGGGAAACTGAGGCCAACTTCCTGTTGGAGCTGTGGTTTGTTGAGGGGCCTGAGTGTGGCTGGGCATAGAGTTATTTCCATTCTCAGTTTGAGCTGTTGGCCTTGTAGAAGCTTGGGCTTGATCAAGGATGGTCTGCGTGTAATGAATTATCGAGATGTTGTCTCCATGGCTGTGCCTGAGAAAACAACACGTTTTCTCTGTCAGGCTCGTGACTAATATAAATATCAGATCCCATTACAGCTTGGTAATTACCCAGGGTCTGGCCTGACGCAGTCAATCAGGGCTGGAGCTTCAGTGCCGTGGAGCTCTTGATTCCAGATTGGCCCTTGTGCCTCATCTCATCCTGTCCTGGGGATTGGCTGCACCAGATGACCTTGAGATACTCCTTTTTGAGCAGATCACTTGGGGTGGCCTTGGAGGAGTTCTTGGGTCCTAGTCACGGGGGAGCTCCAGCTGACCTGCCCTTGTCCAGAGAGCTCGTGCTCCTCATTCCTTGCTCTCTCTCTCTCTCCTTTTATTAATTTTTTTTTTTGAGATGGAGTCTCGCTCTGTCACCCAGGCTGGAGTGCAGCGGCACGATCTTGGCTCACTGCAGCCTGCGCCTCCTGGGTTCAAGCAATTCTCCTGCCTCAGCCTCCCAAGTAGCTGGGACTACAGGCGCACGCTGCCACACCTGGCTAATTTTTGTATTTTAAGTAGAGACGGGGTTTCACCACATTGGCCAGGATTGTCTTGATCTCCTGACCTTGTGATTCGCCCACCTTGGCCTCCCAAAGTGCTGGGATTACAGGCGTGAGGCACGGCGTCCAGCCCCTGGCCCTCTTTATGGAAATGCACACTTTAGTACAAGACTCTGCAATCAGGCAAACCCAAGTTCAAATCATGGATCTCACATTTATTAGCAGGGCATCTTTGACTGCCAACCATGTTGAGCTTTGGTTACATCACCTATACCAAGAGCATACTGATGCTTACTTTGTAGGGTTCTTATAGGGAGCAGGAATAATGGGCACATAGCACCCTGCAAATGCCAGACACTTAGCAGGCCTCTTGTAAGTGGTAACTATCATAGCTTCATGAAGTGCTGAGTTTATTTTCCCTTTGATTCATTGAACTTATAGCCCCTGAAGGGCGCAGACTATAACAAATAAAGTTTTTGAGCCAAAAGGAGGCTTTAGATCCTGAAGTATACTGTCATAGATCAAAAAACCATTTAGAGTCAGACTGAGACATGGGCTTATGGCTCTTGGCTGTTGCAAGGCTGGAAAGTTAGGGCAGGGCAGCAGAGGTAGGCTTCACGGATGGGGTCCTGGCAGGATGGTTACAGTTTTGATGGTGGGGTATCAGTGGACGAACATCGACAGTATGGGGGACCAGGAGCTGCTGGGCTGGCAGAAGGGAAACACTGTGGCATTTGGTGGGCAGGTATGGTTGTCCAGCATTGTACCCTTGAGGAGGGACAAATTCCATCCCTGTTATCCCAAGTCCAGAACTCATAGACCTGTCTCCCAAGTGATGTCACGGTCTCTTGGCCAGGACACTCACTGTCTACCCAGACCAGCTTTTCCAAGACACCCCCTAGGCCAGGTTTCCCCAAGTGTGTTCTGTGGCACACCTGCCTTTTAAATTACCTTGTGAAAAAAAATCAGCAGGCATGGCGTGGCTGAGCTTCCCCTTTGGAGGGCCACATCACAGGCTTGGCGGCATCCTGCTGGTAGAGAAAGTGGTTAAAATGCCCTCAAATGTGCTACCTGTGAGCAGTCTTGCTTCAGTGTCAGGGGTGCTGTGCAGTGCCCAAGGTTCAGCCTGTGATCCTGGGCAAAGACGTCATGCCTTTGTGCCTCAGTTTCCTCACCTGCAAATTGAGGTCTGTGATAGAGCACAGCCTCATGGGGTGGTTTTTTTCACCAACCCCATTTTATAGCATTTCCTAGGAGGACACTGAGAACCTATGGCCTCCCTTTGGGAGCCTTGGGCTAGCCCTGCTTCTAGGTGCCCAGGAAACTTGACCAAACATACAACAGGAGGAAAAGAAGAGCTGCCTGCCCCCTGCTGTTTGGCCTGGGGGATAAAGCATTCCAATGGTAAGTCCAAATGGACCTTCTCTTTGCCTCACAGCTATTTTGTTCCCTGGATGGGGACATTCATTGGTGGCTGATAGCCAGGAGTAAGTGCTTGCTTTGGGGCTGTCTCTCTCTTTCTCTCTCTCTCATCAGGGCATGAGAGGCCTGGTGCAGAAACAGTTACATTGGCATTCGATTGCAATGCCAGGACCTCCTTCCCAAAGTGGGCGTCCCGGCTCACACTGGCAGTGACCATGCTAATCTGTGAATCACAGCAGCCAATACCACCTTGCCAAGCTGCAGATCCCCTGGAAGGTCGCCTTTGTGGTTCCAGTGAAAGGGCTGTTTGTGCTGTGATGCCAGGCCCTGGGCCGTGTGGGGAACACTGGGTCCCTTGGAGACATCCCTGGGGATCAGACAGGGCCATGCCTTTCTGTGCACAGTCAGGGAGCAGACCAAGGATGTCTCTTTTAGAACTGCTTCTTGGGTGGGTGGAACCCCACGCATTAGGCACCTAGAAAAGGAAACCCAGGGACCCTCGGAGGCAAGGGTGTCCTAGCACTTTGGACAGAAAACCTGGGGAATGTTCAGTGGGAATATCACATCTTTATCTCCAAGGACTGGAGAGTGTCTCTAGGCCTGGGCTTCTCAAACTTTTTTTTTTTTTTTTTTTTTTTGGGACAGGGTCTCACTCTGTTGCCCAGGCTGGAGTACAGTGGCATGATCACTGCTCACTGCAGCTTCAACCTCCCAGGCTCAAGTGATCCTCTTGCCTCAGCTCCCCAAGTAGCCAAGACTTATGGGTGTGTGCCACCACACCTGGCTAGGTTTTAAATTTTTTACAGAGATGGGGTCTCCCTATGTTGCCCAGGCTTGTCTTGAACTCCTGGGTTCAAGTGATCTTCCCATCTTGGTCTCCCAAAGTGCTCCCACAGTGGTGTGAGCCACTGTGCCTGGCTTAGTCAAACTTTAATATGCTCAGGAATCACCGAGAGCTGTTAAAATGCAGGCTGTGATTCAGAAGATCCAGTGTGGGACCTGAGATTATGCTGGTCTGGCGAGACACAGGCTATACTGATGCTGTGCAGACCACACTTTGAGTATCAAGGATCTGGTCCATCCCTCAGCCTCCGTGCAGTCCATCCCTGAAGACAGGCTTATTTTTAAATGTGGAAATTCCCAGCTCTTGAAGGGGGAAGGGATGAGAAGCAGAAGGTTTGCTCTGCCAGATCGTTGGGTGGAGAAAACTCCTTTCAGACCAGGGTAGCTGTGGTTCGGGCTGGGCTCTTATTTGCGAAAACTGATGGTCCAGGTGCCTGCTCCTAAGGAACCCATCAGCGTTGTGGATTTAGGGTTGGGTTGTGGTGGCCAGAGCAGTGTTTACAGGGTGTGGTCTGTGTGTTACCCACCAATGTGTGGGCTCTTCCTCGTGCCAGTTGGTCATTCTGCAAAGGGTGTGACTTCCCGAAGTCCAGGAGGGCAACCCAGCCAAACTACCTCCTTGCAAAATTAAAGGCTGGTGGTGTCACCAGGGCTGCACTGCGGTGATGCCCCAGGCTGGCTGGGGACCACTCCCTCTGGAGTGTTTGAAGTCAGTGGGCATTAAGACTGCCAGCCTGATTTTCTGTAGGGGCCTGGGTGGGCCTTCCCAAATGGAGGGTTCAACCTCAAAGAATTGGCTGAAGAGCTGCCCGTGGAGTGACTGGGGGACACGCGTGGCACCGTGCTGTGTGGCCCTCCAATGCACTTCTTAAGAATTCCAGAAGATGAAAGTGAAAGTAGCTCCTTTTCTCACCATACCAGGGTTTTTCACAGCTCACACTGTCAGGGACTTTTTCCATGAGATGTGCTTTTTATGTTGTTTCATCATCAGAGGGGAGCACCATGAGTGTCTGCAGCAGGCAGAATGAAGAAGGACCTAGCATCGTGGCGGCCTGCACACAGTAGGCCCTCAAAGAAGTCTTCTGGTTATAATTATTGTTGTTGTTTTTGCTTTTGTTGCATATTAAGTGTATACGATGTGCCAGAAACCAAGCTAGGTGCTGGGGGAAAAATAATTAAGACCCAGTTCTGACTCCCTGCTTGTTAGGGCTTTTATTAGTACTTGACAGGCTGAGCAGAGGAAAAAACAGTTATCTTCTCATGGAATATGAACATCTGATCTCTGAATTGCCTGCAAACTCCTTGAGGGCAGGAACTGAGTCATGCAAATGTAAACACACGTAGATGTTGGAAGGCTCTTTCCAGTAGTTAGCTGGGGGCTGAACGAGAATGCATTGGTTGGGGGTGGCAAATATATTTTCCTGCTTTTTTGGGTAATTTGTTAGATGCTATGGAGAAACTCCTGGTGAAAGAGATGGGCTTGGTTTGTTGACAACATGGTGCTTGAATCATTCGTGGATTTTAATTATTCATGCCACCTGGTTTCTCTTGATCAGTAGCTAACAAGGATTTAGTTCATAATGGGCAGTTGTTTGTGAGGTGGATGAGTCAGGCACGGGAGGGAAGGGCAGTTTCAAAAGAATGGCTGCTTTAAGATGGAACTTGCTTTGTTTTTGGCATTATTTGGTGATTGTCTTGGGACATTGTGTCTAATTGCCAATTTGGAAATGTAATTGGCACTCCAGGCCCAGAATGGATATACACTTAACGTTGTCAAGCCGAGCCTTGGAATCATCTCCCTGTAAGATCTTGTTACCTGTATGACTAATACTTCTTCACGTGGCCAAAATCAAAATTATTTAACACATCTCCTTTATTTTCTATTCTTTATGCTGGTTCACTGGCCTCTCTACCAGATTTTCTTGGGGACTCAGATCCAGTGGCCTCTAGGCATTTCAAAGCGAATTCACAGGAAAGCCTGAATTCCAGCCTTCTCCCCCTCCTCCTCTTGCTCCATCCTTTCTTTTACATCCTTTTTTCCTTAGTGGCTGTCATTCCTGAGGGTTTCTGTGGAAAGTTGGTGCTGTTTAATTTTGGTTTCTAGCACAATAGGGAGGAATACTTCAATTTGGGGAAGAAGTAATTAAGGTAAACATTATGTAGATCTCCCCATTATCAGAGTTGACTTTTACTTGGGGAAGGGGTGTTTTTTTAAAAAGGAAAAATAGGATTTTAGATTTTTTTTTTTTTTTGAGATACCGTCTTGCTGTGTTGCCCAGGCTGGCAGGCTGGAGTGCAGTGGCATGATCTCGGCTCACTGTAACCTCTCCCTCCAGGGTTCTAGTGCCTCCTGAGTACCTGGCATTCCAGGTTCTCATGCCCCATGCCTGGCTAATTTTTGTATTTTTAATGGAGACGGGATTTCACCATGTCAGTCAGGCTGGTCTTGAACTCCTGACCTCAAATGATCCACCCGCCTTGGCCTCCCAAAGTGCTGGGATTACAGGCATGAGCCACCGCGCCCGGCGAGATTTTAGGTTTTTGACTTGAAGTGAAGTTAATTTCCATCTGTTAACTGCTGAAGTCTGGGACCATGATGTCTTTTGCAAAAGAGTTTTTAAGGCAAGACTGTCAGTAATATTCTTTCCAGGGTCACTTCTAACTGTACGAAACTATTCAGCCACGATGGGTCTGCATCTTTGCATATCATTGTAAACCAAATTATCTACAGGCTGTTGGGCTGCCTGTATGTGCATTTCAAGTTGGGAGTATAAGATGAGTATTTATTTTATTTTCTGGTTCCATGTCTTGTTCTTGCTCCTTCTTCCCTTTTAGAGACTGGACAGTCCTCTCTGTCTTCATCTTTGGGAGTGAACTGGGGCTGGGGGGTGGGATCGAGAGTGGCCTCTGCTGGCTGGGGGCTTCAGGTTTGTAGATTAGTAGACAACAAATAGCGACCTGATTTAACAAGTGCAGAAGCGCATGGAACTATAAATTCACAGTGGTGGAAGGAAGCTTTGGGGCCTCAGGCCCTGTGCGATTCCTCCCCAGTGCTGGAAGCCCACCCTACCAGTGTGTTTATGATCTCCTGAGGCCACTATTCCACTGGGGACAAACCCACCTTACGATGAACTTGGAAAGATCTTTCTGTTTGCACTAGTCCTTGTTTGCTTCTAGTCTGTGTCTGGGACATGCAGAACAAGCCTTGGTGGATGGTAGATTTCAAATTCTAAATCCAGTTCAGGAAGGGACAGAGCTGGGTGGTGTTTCCATGTCCGCAGTGTTGAGACGTAGAATGACCTTAACCTTAACTTGTGTTTCCTCCATGAAGGCCACTTTATTTTTCTCCCTGATGGCTTCCCTGGGTTCTTCGTCCTCCTGAGACAGTGTGGTTTCCCTTTGCCCCTTTGCCCAGAGTTCAGAAAACGACCCATTCTGGTTGTTTCTTGAAGTTTGCCTTCTGAGGTCTCTTCGGTCTTGTCAGCAGCTGTGACTGGAGGCTTTTGACTGTTGCTGGGCCATAAATTCACCTCCTTATCAATGTCACGTGCCTTGTATCTCCAAGGTTTAGCCCCCTTCTCAGTTTCACGTGGGGGTTGTAATTTGGGGGCCCTGCCAAGAATTTGGATGTAGGGTACAGAGCCTTTGTTAGGAAACTCGAGTTGGATTCCATTTTCTAGGTGTTGACTCTTTTTCACCTAGGGAGACAGACAGTGCTCTTGAACCTCTTTTTGCATCACTTGAATACAGCCGCTTCTTAGAATAGGAGGCTGTTTCTTTCCCACCTGCTCATTGGGTCTCCTTTCCTCTGGGGCTCCTGTATGCCTCTGCTGTCATCTCCCCTATTTTGCTGAACAGAAAGAAACCAGAAAAGAAAAGAGAGCAAAACACACAAAGGAAGAAGGTGAGGGAGGGCAGGAGGTAGAGGGAGAGGTTGACACCAAGGAAAAAAGAATTTCTCCTCTGAGAGTTAGAGGTTGGATAAATAGCTAATTGGATGGATTTTGGTTTTAGTTACCTCACCTTTGTCTTAATGAATAAATCATGTCAAATGACTTCACCTCCAAGGAGTAAAGCATTCTACCAGTGGGTAGAATGAGTTCACGTTTGGAAAATTTTAGCTCTTCAAACGAGACATTCTGTGGAATGAACTGATAGCACGCGGCCTGTGTGGCTCAGAGGTGAAGCGTTGGAAGGGTTTGTGGGAGATGTTCTTTGTGTGCTTGTTAACCAAGAGCAGAATTCTGCTCCTCTTTGGGAGAAGTTGCCACATTGACGTTGTTTTCTCTTTATGTGGTTTTGGAAAGTGGACCCTTTGTGGCTCTGGAAGGGGAAAAATGGGCCTCCAGTTATTCAAATGGAGAACTCAGAGATAAGTGTTCTAAGGCTTGGAGGAAAGATTTGGAAGATGAAAGGCCTTACCCAAGTGCTAGGGATTTTTATGACCAACATTAGCTGGCAACAGCTTAATATACATTGTTGTTCTCCTTCCTGCATCTGGGAACACTTTCCTCCCAGAGCTTAGAGGAATTATTTCAGCTGCCCATGAATTATGGCCGTTTCTCCTGTGGCTTGTGGCAGCCACAGCCGATCAGGTGGTAGATTCTTGAAGAGTATAGGAATGATGTCTCTAGCTGAGCCCACAAGAGGGCTCAACAGTTTGCCTCAGTCTAAAAAAAAAAAACCCAATCATTTCTTAAGTTCTTTCACAACCCTGTTTTCTCCATAGGATTTACTTTTTAACTTCAGTATTTTATATTTTGTCCTTAATCCCAAATATACTACATGTTCATTGTAGAAAACGTAGGCCGTGCAGGGGCATTAAACAAAAAGGACACAGTCACATCTGTTAGGATGGCTACTGTAAAAAAAAAAAAATAGAAAATCACCAGTGTTGGTGAGGATGTGGAGAAATTGGAACCCTTGTGCAGTGTTTGTGGGAATGCAAAGTGGTACAGATGCGGTGGAAAGCAGTATGGCAGTTTCTCAAAACAAATTAATCATTCAATTATCATATAATCCAGCAATTCCACTTCTGGTTAGATATCCAAAAAACTTAAAAGCAGGGTCTTAAGGAGATATTTGTACACCCATGTTCACAGCAGCATTATTTACAATGGCCAAAGGTGGAAGCAATTCAAGGGTTCATTCACAGATGAATAGATTAGCGAATTGTGGTAGGTACATACAACAGAGTATTATTCAACTTTAAAAAGGAAGGCAAGTCTGACACGTGCTACCACATAGATGAACATCGAGGACATCAGCCAAATGAAATAAGCCAGTCACAAAAGGATAACTTCCACTTACATGAGGTACATAGAGTTGCCAAACTCATAGAAACAGAAAGTAGAAGGGTAGTTTCCAGGGCCAGAGGGAGGGAAGTGTTTAATGGGTATAGGGTTTCAGTTTTGTAAGATGAAAAAGTTCTGGAGATGGGATGCACAACAATGTGAAACATGCACATTTTTAAGTGTGAAGTACTACACACTTAAAAATGGTTGAGATGGTACTTTTTTTTTTGGCAGAGTCTCGCTCTGTCGCCCAGGCTGGAGTGCAGTGGCATGATCTCGGCTCACTGCAAGCTCCGCCTCCCAGGTTCAAGCCATTCTCCTGCCTCAGCCTCCGGAGTAGCTGGGACTACAGGCGCCCACCACCACGCCCAGCTAACTTTTTGTATTTTTAGTAGAGACGGGGTTTCACCATGGTCTGGATCTCCTGATCTCGTGATCCGCCCGCCTCAGCCTCCCAAAGTGCTGGGATTACAGGCGTGAGCCACTGTGCCCAGCCTAAGATGGTACATTTTTGTCTTCTGTGTATTTCACCACAATTATAAATAAACATTTGAGAAAAGGGAAAAACATTCCTCCAAATTCCCCCTCCAGGAGATGACCAGCATTATCTTTGGGCACATTTCCTTCCCTGACATGTTCTTTACGGTGGCGTTCTTGTTTTCTCGGTGGGCAGCTGATATTCTTCCTCTAAAGATTGCAGCCCCTCTAGAAGCACCCAGGCTGACTTTGATGTAGGCCCTGCCCACATTGAGAGCAGACAAATGAAGAGAACAACCCTCTTTCTGCCTGTGGGGTCTGGTTTAATGGTGTCTACTCTTAGAGTGAAGTTAAGGGAGCGCCGGATTTTTGATTTTGACATATGACAAGTGACTAGCTACAGTGTCTTAGACAAGTCATAGGCTCCAGGCCTTAGTTTTCTCATGCATATAACAAATTCTCTGATTTCATGATTTCAATATAAAGCCATTTCTTAAGTCAGATTTTAAAACTATCATTTTTACCTGATAAAGAACCAAAGATTAAGTTATTGAGGGCAGTGAATCCAGGGAGAAGTTCTTGTTCTACTATAAAACACAAGAGTGAAATTTGATTGACTTGTCCCCAGAACTTCAATATTGACTTTGATGACATATTTAAGAATTACAATCTAGGGACACAGGCCCCATTGGAAATACCATCAAACCTGTCATTTAAAAAAAAAGTCTCAGAAATAGGTTTTTGTGACTCTACTATTACTTCTAATGATATAGCCACACCACTATTGAGGTTTTAATTTTAATTTTTGGTGTGGGGGAATGGTTCAGAACATCTTAGATTATAGACTATAAATAGTGTGCTATGATAGGCTGGCTTTGTTGAGGTTGAACATAAAAAGAAACATCTGATTAAAGAGAAGGTCATGCAAATCAACTTACTTTGATCCTTTTCCTTAACTTGCCCCAAAACGCAGCCTTGGAGATAGAACGTTCATCTCAGCCCTGTTCCACGGAGCATTCCAGCTGCCGAAAGCAGGGATAAGATAACTGCAGCTTCTGTGGCAAAAGAGCAAGTGTCTGAAGGGATGATTCCTAAATACTCAGTAACCTCCGAAAAAAACTCCCCCTGAACCGTAAGCAGCCAGCACATCAGAACTTACTGGAATAGTTCTCTTAGGTTACATAACATCGATTCGATTATGCTACCGGAGCCATGCATTAAATTTTAACTTGTCACAGATACATTACATTAACACTTCACAAATCCACAGAGTACCAGGTAGCTTTGGGGTGTTGGTAATTGTGTAGGACTTGCTGCAATCCAGGCAAAAATACTTACTTGTACATTTTGTTTCTTCTGTACTATAGTTTAACTCTTTTCAGGGGTGCAAACATCCTGCAAATATTCTTTCTTTCTTTTTTTTTTTTTGAGACGGAGTCTTGGTCTGTCGTCCAGGCTAGGGTGCAGTGTCACGATCTCGGCTCACCTCAACCTTTGTCTCCTGGGTTCAAGCAATTCTCCTGCCTCAGCCTCCCACGTAACTGGGATTACAGACATGCACCATCATGAACAGCTAATTTTTTTTTTTTGTATTTTTAGTAGAGATGGGGTTTTACCGTGTTGGCCAGGCTGGTCTTGAACTCCTGATCTCAAGTACTCCACCTGCCTCGGCCTCCCAGAGTGCTGGGATTACAGGTGTGAGCCACTGCACCCAGCTGTTCCAAGTACTTCTTACAAAATAAACTAAAAATTTAGACAATAGTGATTGCCACCGTAGTACTGAATACTTGATTTATGACCATGGACTAGATATGGCAGAGGTTTTTAAAACTCTGTGAACCTTTTCATTTTCCCGTGACAGGCAATGCAAGTGCTGTATTTTTAATTGGTCCCTTTTTAAAGTCAGGAGATGAAATGTTATCATGCAAATCTCTCCTAAGTTGCATGGAAACTAATAAAATCACGAAGGTTTCTATTTGTACTCTACGAACACAGACTGTAATGAAACTAAAACAGCTATCTCCAGGGATGATGCTATTTAAATTCTAGGCAGGGCTTTAAAATGATTTTCATGGTGAAAACAGAAACTAGCAACTGAGATGTTCCTGTTCTTTCTTCCTCATCTCACCAGTGCCTGTTCACCCATGTTCCTTTTTACTTCCTGACCTCAGAAAATGAATGTAAAGCAAGAACCTCCGGTCTCTAAGATAGCCTGTCTATCACTGGTTTTAGAAAACAGCAATGATTCCTCCTCAGGTCTTGCATTTATTTTCAGACTTATTGGTACTTTTGTTTTGGGAAGTCTTTCTGTGGGAATTGGAGTTACTATTTTCTTAGGGGAAAAAAAATCAGAACAAACTTGTTTGAGTGGCTTCTATGCATTAAGCATTGTTTTAAGCTCCTTATGTTTATTCTGTTATTTAATCCTCAAAACAATCCTGTGATGTAGTCCCCTTTTAAATTCCCATTTTACAGGTTAGAAAATGGATGCATAGAGAATGAGAATGTTTTTCTTTTTTTGGATAACAAACTTTGAGTGATTACTGTGTGTCTGGTTGTTTTTAAACTATATGTATTATATAATCCTCACAACAACCCAGTGAATTCGGTGGTATTATTATCCTCACTTATGGATTAGAAAACTGAGGCACAGAGAGGTTGAGTAACTGCTCAGGGTCACACACAGGTGAGGAGCAGAGCCAGTTTAAATCCAGGCAGGTGGGCTGTGGATCCCATGCACCTAATCCCACACTGTACACCTCATTTATACCTCCTTAGCTCTTCCTGGCCACAGTGTGAGGGAAACTCTGATGACATAGACAGGACTGAAAAGAGGAGTGGTGTGTTGTTCCTGGAGAGATGTGAGGTCCCTTGACAAGTTCAGAGAGTTTTGTACTACTGAATTCTCAGGTATGTCAATTCCCAGGATGAGAAGGAACCTTAAATGTTGTCTAGTTCTATTACATTCCCTGAGTCTTAGTTTTTCTTGCTGGAAAATGGGATAATCACCTTTTCTCTACCTGACAGGCAGTGGGCTATATACAGTCATGCAGGTTACTCAATGTACAACTCCAGGACTGCTATGAGATTCACATCAGATGACATATAAATGTATTTTATGAACCACAGCACATGTGCCACATCTCTGTGCTGGGGGGTATGTGGAGGCACAGAATCAATATTGGGTCATTTTTCTGAGTGTCAACAGTCTTCCATGAAGTTTTGGAGAAAAACACTATTTTTCTCTAAAACCTCCACCTCCTGGGCTCAAGCAATCTCCCACCTCAGCCTCCTGAGTAGCTGGGACTTGCAGGCATGTGACTACAGGCATGCACCATCATGCCTGGCTAATTTTTTGTATTTTTGGTGGAGATGGAGTTTCGCCATGTTGCCCAGGCTGGTCTCTAACTCTTGAGCTCAAGTGGTCCACCTGCCTCGGCCCCCAAAGTGCTGGAATTACAGGCGTGAGCCACTGTGCCCAGCAGAAAAACACTATTTTTGGTATTAACACTTACACTGTACACAGAGTATATTGGAGGTAGGATGCAGAATTTAAGTAGGTTTTTAAAAACTTGAGAGAGGGGTGTGTGTGTGTGTGTGTGTGTGTACATGTACGTATGTGTGAGATGCACACAGATTCAAGAGAGCATGGGGGACCAGCAAAGTTTGCACCCACCAGCGAAGTCTCATCATTAAACCATGGGCCTGTGCAACCTGGTGTGGAATGATGCCTTATTATCCCACATGAGATATGCTCATATCTCAAACTCTGAAACTGTGTTAGTAAAAGAATGGGAATTCTGTGAAAGAGAAATAAATATATCCAAATTCCAGGTCTGTTAAAATTTAGCGCACTTGGATGTTGGTGCGACAGAGAATTTAATCTGCACACTCAGAAGAAGGTAGTGGTTAACTCATTCAGTGGTTATGAATCTTCCTTGCCTTAGAAAGATCAATTCCTTGTGCCTCTCCACCTCCGTGGCCTGGAAATACATTATTATATTTCAATATGGCTCTCTTTCTAGGCCATTGCGCATTGTGGCCGTGTGCCTGCCAAACCCCGTGCATGGAATATTTGGAAGCAGGAGACAAATTGGTTAGTTAGCAAATCTTTATTAGCATGGCTGGCCTTTTCCCGGGGATATGGGGTCATGTAAGACATCATTTCCTCTCTGGCAATACCGGTAACCACATTGCATGATTCCAGGGCGCCACTCACATCCTGGTCATGAATGAAGCCCTCTGGAGTTGTGCAGTGCACAGCCTGCATGCCCATATACATTGTCTTTTCTAGGCATCTAGCTGTGTTTGTGTAAAACCCTTACACAACAAATTAAAAACACAGTGCAAAGCCCATAATTCTTAATGGCAATGTGAATAACAGAAACATCAAGAATTTGGGTTTCCAAAAATGGGGAGAAAACAGAACTGGCCGTAGAGGGAGTGGCCAGAGAGAACCCACTGGGGATGTGGGGTTATGACGGCAGCCCCAGCATATCCTCCAAATCCAGCCTCTGCAACAGGCGCTCTCCCTAACTTCTGATCACTGTGCAGCTCCTGACATGATACAAGAGGCCTCCCAGGCCTCTGTGCCTGTTCTAAGCATGAGCCTTGGAGAAGAGAGAATGCTCAGTGCCAGCTCATGTGTATCCCATGGACAAGGACTAATAGGACCCTGAGGACTTAGAAAAGCCTTCTCTGTTGCCAACTGTGCTATTTTTACCTCCCTCCCACAGCTCCTGCTTTCCCCAGGTATTTGTCAGCAGAGCGTCTTGCACCTGCATGGAAAGTGGCAGTTGGGGCCCAGGATGGCCTTGTGCTGTGCAGGCCACAGCAGTCTCCTTACCAGGCCTGGCGGCCAGGCCCGGCGGCCAGGCCCAGCCTCTGAGGCTGGCAGGCTGTGGTGAGGATGGTTGCATAACTGGCCTTTCTGCCGCTGGTTCTGGGTGAGGTCGAGCCAGAGAAAACAGTTCTGCAGTCGACAGCCCCTCCTGGGCACTGGTGCAACAGACAGGCTTGTGGGCCTGGTGCTGACCCCTCACGGTCAGGAGCCACCCTTGCTCTTGAGCTGCTGATCATCACTGCAGAGTGCCCAGGTCTGATCAACATCCCTGCTGGGAAAAGCGGAGATGACCTGGCGTGGTCCATAGTGATCCAAATGTGATAGAAGGCTGGGGGTGGCCCCAGTGATGGCCTACTCCTTCCCTTCCAACCCTCCACCTCCTCCATCCTCCAAGTCTTAGCTCATCTTGCTGGGAATGCCGCCTTCCTGGGAAGCCTTCTCTACCTACCCTAGTCAGCTTTCTCTGCCTCTCCCTTCCCTGATGCGTCCTCTCTGTTTGTCCTTCCATCCTGGGTGGGGAGCAGCCGTCTGATGCTGCAGCCCTATTTTCTATACAGGCATCCTGTCTCCTCTGCAGACAGCTCCTTGTGGACAGGGCTGGTCCTGGTTTCTTTCTGGATCTGTGCCTGGCAGGTGGTCCTAGAGGGCAGTGACCAGGGGTCGCTCAATGTGGTGGCTGGTCATCAAAGCAGGCCCTCAGTGAACCACGACTCCTCACGTTCATCCTCTTGGGTTGTACCCTTTGGGGCAGAGCTAGCCCCTGTAATCCATGGGTTGCTTGTAACCCATGGATTGTGGTGGAAATGATGCTATGTGACTTCTGAGGCTATGTTGGAAGAACCCTGGCAGTTCATTTGTTATCTGGGAATGCTACTTCTTAGGGAAGTTGGCCACTACAGGGGGAAGAGCGAGAGTGAGAGGAAGCATGTGCGTGGGCATACGAGAGAGAGAGAGAGAGAGAGAGAGAGAGAGACAGACAGACAGAGAGACACTACTGGGGCACCACGCATATGTGTGAAGATGCCATCATGGAAGTGGATCCTCCAACCCCAGTTGACATAGATTGGAGATGAACCCACCAGCTGATCCCTCTATGAATTCCTTACTTAAAAGTCATAAACAAAATGAAATGATTGTTTTAAGCCACTACATTTTGGGGTAATTTGTTACATAGCCATGGATGACTGGAACAAATAATTACTATTTAGTGAAGTCCTTTCACAAGGTCCAGCTCCTGCCCTCTTTCTAGGTTCCTCTTAACATCTTCCCAAGCTCTCCACACCCAGCCACTTAGGACTTCCTTCATTTCGTTAAACCTTTTGATTTTTACCTCTGGGCCTTCACACATGCTGTTCACACTGCCGGACTTCTCTTTTCTTGTCCTCCTTCTCCCCTTCCACTTAGCTGACTCCTGTTTATCCAGGGATGTGCTGGTAAGTGATTAACAACGGGATTTCTAGAGAAGAAAGTCCCTATGTACGGTGTTCGTCAATTCCTATGGTATAAATATTCCTGCCCTGGCTGGTTTGAAGATACCAGTGTGATGTCACAGAACATAGGGTATTGTTATCCATGATTGGCAGTTGTGGAAACTGAAGCCCAGAGCAGTTCAGTCACTTTTCTGGGTAGATCCCAGGCAGATATGGCCTCTGATATGCTTGGCCTTTGAGACCATGCTCTTTCCTGTTCTCCTGAAGAACCAGTAGCTATGAGCACAGGTAATATTGCTGCTGGGCCATCCTGTTTCTTCTAGACGAGTAGTCTTCCCTCTGCATTTCTTGAGTTGCTGCAGGCTTTACCTTATGCTTACCATACCTGGCCAGTTGCCAGTTACCACACCACGCTGCTGGTTTCTCTCCTGGACCATATTTATGGTATCTAGACTCTGGTGTGTGCAGTGGCGATGGAATCATTGAGGCAACAGGGACCTGTGAGTCCATCTTGAGGTTTGATAAACTGTGTATTAGTCAGCTAGGCCACCTCTGTAACAAGAGGTCAACATGTCAATGACTTAATACAGCAGAAGTTTACGTATTGCTCATACAAAGTACCATTGATGGTGTGTGTGGAGGGTGCAGTGAAGACACACTTCAGACAGTCATTAAAGACCCCGGCTCCTTTCACTTGTGGACCTGAAATCTTCTAGGGGCCCCTGAAGGTCTCTGCTGGACCCTCTGCATCTGTCCGGATGATAGGGGATGAGAAGTAAGGATCATGAGGGGTAGTTTTGTAGGGGTAGTTATGGAAGTCATTCACATCACGTCTACCCACACAGTTCATTGGCCAGAACTTGATCACATGGTATTTTAACTGCAAGGGATCCTGGGAAATGTAGCACTGCACCCAGGAGATTGAAATAGATTTGGAGAACACCTGGACTGCTGAAGGGGCTCCCGAGTCCCACACTGAGGGCTTCTGCTGTCCATAGCTGGCTCTGCCAGAACCATTATCATGACCCAATGAGAAAACTGAATGTTTACTGGGTATTTGCTAGGTGTCAGACATGGTGTCAAGCACTTTATATGCATTATCTCAATCCTCTAAATCAGCCTATGATGTAGATACTATCTGTATTTTTCCCATTTTACAGATGTACAAAAACTGGGGCTTGCAATGGCTATGTGATGTCACTTGCCCAAGAGGCATCCTTAATAAGTGGCAGTACCAGCATTAGAACCCAGGGTTTTCTGTCTTCAGATTGTTAACTCTTACCCTCTTCCTATGCTGCTCTGGAGTGCCTTCAGCTCTGCCTCTTCTTATCCCTGTCTGCAGCTTGAAAGCTACTCAGCTTCTTAAACACCTTCAGGATAAAGGGACTAAGGGGCATAACTGCCTCCCTGCTTCATGTTTCAAAGAGATTGTCACTGGTTTACGTTGGCCCTAATTCAGGGGTGGTGAATTGACAGTAGTTACCTGAGCCTGCCCTCATGATTTGAATGCATCATCTCCCAGTCTGCCCTCTCCCACTTTGAATCTTACCTGGCGTGGCTCTTTGCCTGGAGCATTGAGAGTGGAAGGCTCATGGATGACAGAGGCTGCTTCCCGGGTTTCTTGTCTCACTCCTGTGGTGATGTGCTTCACCTTGGAAATGCACTTCACTGTAGCCCCTTCTACCCATGTCCAATTTTATGTCTCAGCAAAGTAAGTTCAACAGTTCACTGCTGAGAAAACAGGGTCTCAAACGTGAGTAGTAACATAAGTAATACGGTTGCCTTTCTAAAATCCAATGGACCAGAATTGTAATGTCTCAATGAGCAACGTCTCTCATTCTAGATAGTTCAGTGTGGTCATCAGGGACATGCCCTCTGGAGCCAGCCTACTCAGGCTTAAATCATAGTTGTGTTGCTTGCTGACCTTTGGATCTTGGGCAAGCCACTTCACCTCTGCATGCCTCAGTTCACTCACTTGGAAAGTGGGAATAAAATAATACTGAAAACGCCCTCAAACAGTTCCTAGTATCAAATTGGCTTTTTTTTTTTTTTGAGATGGAGCTTCACTCTCGTGCCCAGACTGGAGTGCAGTGGTGCAGTCTCGGCTCACTGCAACCTCCACCTATCAGGTTCAAGTGATTCTCTTGCCTCAGCCTCCCGAGTAGCTGGGATTACAGGTGCGCACCACCATGTCCGGCTAATTTCTGTATTTTTAGTAGAGACGGGGTTTCACCATGTTGGCCAGGCTGGTCTCGAACTCCTGATCTCAAGTGATCCACCCGCCTCAGCCTCCCAAAGTGCTGGGATTACAGGCATGTGCCACTGCACCCGGTCTTCAAATTGACTTTCAAATGCTGGGAGATGTCACCCCACATTATCCTCCTGCTGCCTGGGGTTGTTGGGAGGATCATGTGTTAAATGCTGAGGGTAGCACTTGCTACAAACCAAGGGCTAGGAAAGTGTTAGTTATTACTGTTACTTTCATTTGGTCATCTTTGGGAGACTGTGACATTTTCCCCTAATGTGGGCATTGACAATAACCTCCTAGGTCATTGGTCACTCTGTTTCTGGTAAGTCTCCACTCTAGTCCATCCAGGTTGGATTGCACGTCTGTGGAATGTCCACCCCCTGCTGGAATGTAGCATCTCTGAAGCCTAGGACTCTGTGCCTTCCATCTTTGCATCCACAGTGCAACATTTTGAATGTTCATTTTGGTCTCTTAAATTCAGTCTTGTGAGGCTCTTAGCCTAGTTTGGAATTGGTCAAAGGCGGGTTTGAGTCCTGGCTCTACCTTGCATTAGCTTGGTGGTTGTGGCCAATTTACTTAACCTTGCAAAGCTCACTTTCTTCATTGGTAAACTGTGAATACTAAAAATACCAGCCACGTAAAGGTTTTGTGAGTATAATAGCATTTAGCATCTTGTAAGTCCTCAATAAATGGCCCTGTTATGATGAAGTTGGCCTTTATTTTAGATCCCTCTCCTTTGTCAATATAACCAGGATTGTGCTGAACTGAGGGACAGGAGACCACTGGAAGGGGCAGGGTAGCCAGGGGCCAACAGTGAGCACCAAGACGGACAGTGAGGTAGTGCTAAAGATGGAGGCAGAAAGTAGGGTTGGAGGAAAATGGGGTGAGAAATGCTCCCTTCCCTCTGCCTCTCATCACCCACGGCACACCCCTATACCACTATAGGAAGGACGAGGGAGAGGGGAATGGAGAGAGAGGAAAGGAAGAATTTTGCAGTACGAGATGTCAGGCATTGAAAGGGTTAACTCAGGGGCGAGGCCTCAGTTTGCCACCTGTAAAACGGAGGATTGGATGAGGCCATTCTGAGGGTCCCTGGTGGCTCCAGCAGTCCCTTGCATTTTTATAAGAATTGTGATTGTGCTCCTGCCTGTTCTGCCCCTACACCACCCACCTTCTGCAGCCTCAGGCAGTTGGAGATGATGTCAAAAGGAACAGAAGGGGTGGAAAGTGCTGGAGGGCATGGAATGGTTTCTCCCAGAAGGCTGAGGGTCTGAAAAGAGGCTTAGAAGCCTGGTAGCCAGAGCAGGACGGACCTGGTGGACCCATCTGGTGATCCTGGGGCTGCTCTGGGGCCTGGTGAATGGTGAATGGACCAGAGGCACCTTTTGGGCTCTGAACAAAGAAGAAAGGCCAGGCTCCAGACCCAGCCCTCCTGCCTGGTGGGCTTTTTAGTTGGCACTTTCCCCTATTTAGGAACCTGTGCTACTCTGATAGGCTGAGGCAGCCCAGGCGCCTGTGTTAAGGTTGCTTAACATCTGGTATTTGTCTCCAGACTCTTTTCTCTATCAGGGATTATGTGTTCTGAGGCACCCAAAACATCTTTCTGTACACCAAGTTCCTTCATGAAGACTTCCGGGTCTTCTTTCCACTTCACACTCCCTTTTATCTCAAGCTTATTCTGCCACAGGCATTTGGTTAAGCAAATATGTTGCTCATTGGCAACTTGTCCCATACCTGGGCCAGGTTATGAAGAGGATTCCAAGAGTGTCAGTCATGTGGTGCTTGCTTGGGGGAGCCCAAGCTGAGCTGGGGCTGGGTGAGGGATGGACAAGGGGGCTCCTTCCTCTGCTCATGCAGTGAGGTGGAAAGGGCATGGGGTTGGGGTGCAAGGACCTGGGTTCCTCTCTTGCCTCCCCTGTGTGGTCTTGGGCAAGTTGTCTACCCTCCTCATGCCTCAGTTTCCATTACATGTAGGGTGAAGACCACAGAGAAAGTTCCACCTAGCACATGAAAAATACTCAGTAGGTAATGGCTCCCATTTTTGTGATGTATCCAGGTAGAATAATGGCATTTAGCAGAAGTCAGTTTATTCAAGCTCACCTTTGAGTCTATCTTACACAAAGCACTGGTTAGGTGAGGGATGGCGATGAGCCCCGGAGAATTCCGCATGCTTCCCTTCTTTAGCTTTCCAGCTAGATTGTAAGCTCCTAACTGGATCCTTCAGGATTTGGCACACTCTGGTCTGTGGGCCACTGAGACAGGACATACATCTTCTTCATTTCTTTCTGTATTCCCAGCACCAAACACGTGGCATGTCTCTGGTGGGCATTTGGTAGATGGTGGGCGAATGAATGAACAAACGAGCATTCAGTAACCTCTTGCTGATGAATTGACTAATACTCCACACTGGTTACATTTATATTTTGGGCACTGAATCTCTTTGTTTTCTGGCTCTCTCAGGGTATTTAATTTTTTCTGGAAGCTGAGGTTGAGCCTTTCAGGCCACCTTTACCAGGTCCCAGGCTCCAAGTAGACTAGACACCCACCCAGGCCTGGGCAGTGGTAGGGAGGGTGTGACCCAGGCATTGGCCTGCAAATTTGCCCCAGCTCCTTCTTGCCAATGACTTGTCACAGGGCTCCTGAAGCCTCTCATGCCTGACTGCCTCAGAAGAAAGGGTATTTTGTGAGCTCTGTGGGTGTTAAGTGTTGAGGAGCAGTTCCCACCAGCAGACAGCCTTCACCTGTGTTTGATAAAATGACAAATTCATTTTTTTCTTCTCTACCCCATCCATCTCCTCTTTCCTTCCCTGTCTGAAGGGGCCTCTGTCAGGCCAGCCACCAGCTATCGTGAGAGGAGCCAAGTTCCTCATTGCCCTGTGCTGAACCGAACTGCAGCAAGTTGGATAGAGGAGGCAGTTTTGGCTTGAACGCAAACATCCTGTCGGAGAACAGAGTGATTATAGTTTTAGCTGCACACGGGGAAATAACAGCACAGAGGTGAATCATGGCATCTGTTTACTGCTAATTAACCCCTCCGTGTACACCAGTGTTGTATGTGAGCCGGCCTGCGGTCTGAACCGCCTCCTATAAGGAGGGCTCCCTTGGCAGCCAAAACCAGTTGGCCCAAATGCCTTGATAGGCTTCCTGCTTCACTTGTTGCCCATGTGGTCTGATTTTAGATAAAAGCATTGCTTTTGGGCCAGATAAGCTTTGAGTTCTTTAATGAAGCACTGTGTGTATTGGAGAGAGGCACAGAGCACCCAGAGCTGAAGCTGGTCAGTCCTGGTCGGCCACAGTTTATGGGGCTCCTGGGAGGTTTTAAACTCTGTGCTGCAACTGGGGAAGGTTGTGGGGGAAGGTTGGGTCCAGGGAGCTACTATTTATTGAGGGCTTACAATATATCACATTCTGAGCTGGCCACTTTACATCTTAGCTGGTAAAATTCTCACAGTGATCCTGAAGGACAAGTGTGGTTCAGGAGCTGAGACTCATAGAGGTTAAGAAATCACCTGGTGGTGGGGTTTTGGGGAGGGCCACACAGGCATCCCAAGAGGTAGAAGACAAGCTCAGACATCCAGGAACTTACAGACTTATTGTGTGTGAGATAGTTCCATACCATTTGTAATTTATTCCCAAAATAAACAGTTATTGAGCATCTATTGCATGCCTGTGCTCAGTGGGGGTGGGGGGAGTAGGGAGAGAGAATCCAGAAAGGAGTCAGCTCCAGCTTTGTCTTCCATAAGCAAATGGCTTAGAGGGGATTGTTCATTTTCACTGTTTTGTTTTGGGGCAAGGAGGTGTGTCAGGGAGGTGAGGAGGTAGAGTAGAGAATCATCCTCCACCGTGAAGTGAAGAGAGGAAGGTACCCCCACATTGGAAATATGCCTTGAGGACCAGAAGGAATTGACCAGTCTTTTGACTTTCATTTTTTAAAATTGAAGTCTAACATACATGTAGGGCATGCACAGACATAAGGTGTACAGGTTGGTACAATGTATGCGCCTGTGCAGCCGCCTGTTCTTGGAGGCAAGAGCCCTATGAGTTGCATGTGGTCTTCAGGCAGAATGAGGAGATGCCGACCACAAGCGCTCCTAGGAATTCAGAGGAAATGGAGCGCAATGAACCCCTCCAAATCTAGTTTCCACCAGAAGGGAGAGGAAGATGAATATTCATGGATCTTGATCTCTTTTTGCATCATTTACATTTTGCTTTCTCCAGATTTGAGGCTCCCCACCTGCCCCTGAGTTCTGAAGAATAATTGTTTCATGCATCACATTTTTACTGCATTGGGAGAAAAAGAGGGAAAAAGAAAATAAATTGGGAGAAGAAAAGATGATAGGACTTCTTGACTAGTTCAGCCAGTTTCGTGACCATGACCTAGAATGTGCCTGGGTCTTTGGCCATGTCCGTGAAATGTGCACATTATCTTTGGGATTTGCAGGAGCAAGGTCTGGTGCTGGGCTCTGATGTCCTGTGGCCTCCATATGTTCTTGGGAGGATGTTTTTGGATCTGGTTAGGTCCATGTGTTGGGAGCATTGGGAGCCAGGAGAAACCAGAATGCCACCAGGATTCCCATCTCTTTCTTCTCTGGACTCCTTTAGCTTGCACTGTTGCATTTCTTAAATCATGTCACTAGTCAAATATATACTTTACTGTTTTGTGGACCTTGATCTTGCCTTGCTGATTAGATTATGAACTCCTCTTTGGACTTATGATCAGAGTGCCTTGTCCTTCCCTGATGTGCTGTCCCCTGCGTACCTAGTCTTGTCTGAGCACACAGTACCTCGCCCCATGAATGCTTGCTGTGTGCACTGATTTTGCACACAGCAAGGGTTTTTGGTAAAGTTGTCTGTGGCTTGCCATTACAGGGACATAGGATTGGATCTAGATAAACCAGTAGAACAGTTTCTGTATCTAGACATCTGGGTGAACACTGGCCTTGGGGAACAGCAGAGAAGCTTGGAAAAAAAAATGATAATAAGTCACACTTAATGGAGAACTCGCTATGTGCCGGGCTGGGTATGAGGGACTTTACGTAGCTGAATCAGTGATAAGCTTTTGATTGCATGTAGCAGAAATGCTCACTTCAATGGGCTTAACATTAAAGGGACTCCATTGACTCATATAGTTGGAAAGGTGGATGACTTCAGATGAGCCTTGATCCGGTGGCTCAACGATGTCTCCATGGACCCAGTTTCTTTCTGTCACTCTAATCTGCTCTCCTTACAGTTGGCCTTGTCCTGAGGCTGGTTTGCCTCTGGGTTCACACATGGCTGCTGCAGCTCTGGAGGGCACATGCTGATCTGCTCAACCTTGTCAGGAAATAAATCACCTTTGCACCAGCATTCCTAGCACAGGTTCTGAGAGTTGCTGTAACTGAACTGGCTGAAGCCAGGGATTATTGTCAGTATCCTCAGAACCTTATGGATCTCAAATGGAAAACAAGGTCTGCAAGGAATGGGGAAGGTGGAAGTTTGGAAAGGAGTTAGCCAAAGTCCCCTACACATGGGTGGTTGCATTTAATCCTCATAGCATCCCTGTGAAATTGGCATGATTATCACCCCCATTTACAGACAAGGAAGCAGAGGCACAGAGAGGCCAAGTAATTTGGCTCAGTTCACATAGCTCATGGCTTAAGCCAGGAATTGAGCCTGGACAGTTGGACTCCAGAGCTTTGCTCTGCTAACCACTCCATGGCATTTTTCAATAAGTGCTTTTTTGTTTTTTTAATTGAGATAAAATTCCTTCTTTTAAAGTGTACATACAGTTCGGTAGTTTTTTAGCTTATTCGCAAAGTTGTGTAACCATCATTATTATCTACATTTTCATCACTCCAAAAGGAAGTCCTGTACCATTAAGCAGTCACTCCCTATTCCCTCTGCTCCCAGTCCCTGGCTGGTCTACTCTGTGTGGGCTCTCTGGATGTGCCTGATCTGGACACTTCATATAAGTGGAATCACACAATATGTGGCCTTTTGTGTCTGGCTTCTCTCACTTAGCCAATGGGAGTTTCTGACTAGGATCTACTGTGTCTGACCTCAAGGAATCTCCATTCCTATCTTTCCCAGCAGAAAAGAGACAGCACCGCTGGCCGACTCTGGAAGAAAGAGATTCTGTGCTAGAGAGAGAGAGAGCCTCCACCCTTGTACTCCGCTTACCTTTTGGGGCAGCCCGAGGCTGCGGCTCAGTGAGGGCAGCTATGGATATGCACAGTGAGGGTCATTCTGGATTCTCCGGCACCCTCTATGTGCCAAGGACTGTCTGAAGCCCTGGGAAACTGCAACAGAAAGGGCTGGGTTGGGTTTCAGTGTGTGTGGTGGGGGGTGCAGATAATCAACACTTCAGTAAATCAATGAATGAGATAATTTACAGTGGCACCATGAGACCACTGAACAGGGGATGGGATTGTGTGTGTTAGAGGGGCTGCTTTGGTGGGTAGCCAGAGAAGCCTCTTTTGAGGAGGAGATGGTCATATGGCAGAGGCAGGACTGAGGAGAAAGTGAGGGCCACACAGGATTTGGGCCAGAAAGCCGCAGGCAGAGGAGCAGCTGGTGCAGGGTGGGAACAGGGTGACCTGGCCTTTGGGCGAATTGGGGATGGTGGGTGACTGGCCGCCTTGTTTCTGTTTTCATCGCCTTGTTACTGCTTTTTCTAAATGGTTCCTCCCACACAGACATCTTTTACTTGCAGCTTCTGCTATGGAAGGTTTTGTCCACTGCTGACAGGCTGTGGGGAGTTCCATCCTTGAGTATGTTTGGGGCTTTATTTTCAGTCTGTGTTTTTGAAACTTGAGCCCTGACTTCCTCTTGTTCCTGACGCAGGCCTGAGAGTGCCAATTGGCTGTATTTTTTTTTTTAAAATGAACACTTATTATTAAAATTTTCTCTGGATAAATAAAAATTGTACTTGTTTATTGTATACAACATGTTGTTTTGAAATATGTATACATTGTGGAATGGCTGAATTGAGCTAATTATCGTATGCATTATCTCATATACCTATTTTTTGTGGTGAGAACACTGAAAATCTCTTTTCTTAGCAGTTTTCAAGAATACAATACATTGTTATTAATTGTTATCACCATGATGTACAGTAATAGATGTCTTGAATTTATTCCTCCTGTTTAACTGAAAGTTTGTACTCTTTGACCAGCATTCCTCTCCCATCCCAGCCCCTGGTAACCACTGTTCTGCTTTCTGCTCCTATGAGCTCAACTTTTTAAGAGTCCACATATAAATTAGATCACGTAGTATTTGTCTTCCTATCCCTGGCTTATTTCACTTAACATACTGTCCTCTAGGTTCATCCATGTTGTTGGAAATGGCAGGATATCCTTCTTTTTTAAAGGCTGAATAGTGTTCCACTGTGTACATGTACCACAATTTCTTTATCCATCATCCGTTGGTGGGCACTTAGATAGGTTCGATTTCTTGGCTATTGTGAATAATGCTGCTGTGAACATTGGAATGCAGACATCTCTTTGACGTACTGATTTCATTTCCTTTGGATATATAACCAGTAGTGAGATTGCTGGATCATATGGTAGTTCTATTTTTGATTTTTCTGAGGAACCTCCATACTGTTTTCCATAATGACTTTATCAATTTACAGTCCCACCAACAGTGTAACAGGGTTCTCTTTTCTTTATACCCACACCAGCACTTGCTCTCTCTCTCTCTCTTTTTTTGCTTATAGCCATTTTAACAGGTGTGAGGTTATAACTCATCGTGGCTTTGATTGTGTAGCCCTGATGATTAGTGATGTTGAGCACCTTTTTATATACCTGTGGGCCATTTGTATGCCTTCCTTGGAAAAATGTCTATGCAACGGTTCTTTTTGATAGAGATGTTAAATAAAGCAGTTCTGGGCAGAGGGAGATCAATGCAAGTGTCTATAACAGGCTGAGAGTTGATTCACTGGTGAACAGGACAACCAAGGTCCCTGCCCTCAGAGGTCTGAGCAATTCCATCATCAGTGACTAGATTGAACAGATAATCCCCTCTTACACACGTATATGCACACTTCAGCCTGGAGTGTGATGAGAGACTATGGACTATAATGCGTGTGTGTGTGGGGGTGCATCCTCTCCTTGGCCGGGGCTCAGGGAAGGCTTCCCTGCAGAAATGAGACCTACAGGCCCGGCATGGTGACTCATGACTGTAACCCCAGCACTTTCAGAGGTCAAGGCGGGTGGATCGCTTGAGCCCAGGAGTTTGAGACCAGCCTGGGCAACATGGCAAAACTCCATCTCTACGAAAAATACAAAAAATTAGCCAGGCGTGGTGGCACATCCCCGTAGTCCCAGCTACTCTTGAGGCTGAGATGGGATGATTGCTTGAGCCTGGGAGGTGGAGGTTGCAGTGAACCAAGATTGTATCATTGCACTCCTACCTGGGCAACAGAGTGAGACCCTGTCTCCAAAAAAAAGAAATGAGATCTACAGGATGAAGAGGCATTAGCCAGGGGTGGGTGCAGGGGGACGTGCAGAGGAATGGTGTCTTTGAAGACTCTGAGGCTGGAACAAAGCTTCATGGAAGGAATGAGAGCTGGAAGGACGGGGAGGACTTAGGCAGAAAGCAGCATAGTCCAGGCCACAGGGACCCTAGGAAAGAGGATGGAGGAAAGAGGATGACAATATGTTACGGGAAGGCAGGGATGGGTCTCTTTTGTGAATTACTTAACCCCTAATGGCTAGCAGTGTTGAGCAGGAGAAGGGACCTCTCGAGTGGCTGAGTGTGGGTGTCAGTTTTCCCTTGCTGCTGTAACGACCACAAACATAGTGCCTTAAGATAACACAAATATACTCCTACAGTTCTGAAGGCGAGAAGTCGGAAATCAGTTTCCCTGGGCTTTTAAAGTCAAAGCGTCTGCAGGGCTGGTTCCTTCTGGAGGCTCTGAGGGGCAAGTCGTTTTTCTTGCCTTTTGCAGCTTCCAGTAGCCACCTGCATCCCCAGTCTTGTGGCTTTCTGCTCCGTATCCAAAGCACATTGCTCCATCTCAGTTTCCATCATCACATCTCTTACTTTCTCTTCTGTGTCAAATCTCCCTCTACCTCCCTCTTTGAAGGACCTTTGTGATTGCATTTAGGGCCCACCTGGATGATCCAGGCTAATCTCTTCATCTCAAGGTCCTTAATTAAATTATGTCTGTAGAGTCCCTTGTGCCAGTTAAGGTCGCAGTCACAGATTCCAGGGATGAGGACGTGGACATCTTCTAGGGCCATGATTCAGCCCACCTCAGCATATAGATGAATGCCATTTTTATGGGAATCAGTGAGGCATGCTAAGCAGGAAGCAATGCCTTTTGCAAGCAGAGGTAGGAAGATCGGTCTAGTCCGTCAGCTGGCACTGGCCAGGCTCCACTGTCCATTATCCTCCTCACCTGCCCTAATCTTTCCTTTATTGCTCCTAAGTGATACCACGTAGCTTCTTCAGTCTCAAATCATCCTACTCAGACCCTTTTCTGACATTCAGAGCCTTCCTTATCCCACAGTTCTTTCTGTCCTTTTCCCTTCCTATCTGATAAATCCTTGTGAGTAGTTGACAAAAGAGTGCCTGAAGATGTCAGGGCAGAGGCTCACTTCTGGTCTGTCTAGTTGGGTGAGTCTGAACTTGAGGCCCCAGGGCTTATTGGAGGCAAACTGAGTCATGGAGAGGGAGAGTACAGTAAGGCCACTACCAAGGGCTGGCTGCAGAGGGTGCAAGGGTTGCACGGGTTTTGGGGTTGTTGGCTTCCCCAGAGGGGTTCTTTGTATGGTGTCAAGGTGCCTGTGGGCATTAGGTGACTAAAAGGACTGAACACGATAAACTCTTGGTGGCTCTTCCTGCTGCAGGAAGGGAATACTCCAAGTTCCCAGAGGAGACCACCCAGTGATGGAGTGAAGCTGCATCCTTGGCTCCCCTCAGCTCAGGACCCTCAGAAAGGACTTAGGAAGACGGGCACTGCCAGATACAGACGTCTTTCTGGACTCTAGGAAGGGGTGCCTTTTTTCTTTTCTTTAAGAGATAGTCTCACTCTGTTGCCCAGGCTAGAGTGCAGTGGCATGGTCATAACTTACTGCAGCCTTGAACTCCTGAGCTCAAGTGATCCTCCCACATCAGCCTCCCAAGTAGCTAGGACTACAGGTGCGCACTACTGTGCCCAGCTAATTTTTTAATTATTTTGTAGAGATGGGGTCTTGAACTCCCAGCCTCAAGCGATCGTCCCCTCTTGGCCTCCCAAAGCACTGGGATTACAGGTGTGAGCCACTGTGCCTGGCCAAAGATGCCTTTTTGAGGGCCATGAGGGGTTGCTGCTCTGGGTCTGGGCATTTCTCTGGAGGAGCTGCTTGTACAGCAATGATTGTCCCATCCCTCCTTTTAGTCCCACAGGTCAGAGTGGGACTTAGGACAGTGGGACAGTGGGACCCAAAACTTAAAGCCAGCCTGGTATTTCAGCAGTATTATCTGTTACCTAGAGAGAGGCTGATGCAGGGGTGTCTGGGAGGCTGGAGGGCTGCACCAAGGGTGGATGGCAGAGCCTGAGCCATGGGTCTAGGCCGCAGCACTGCCATGCGGCTGGGAAGATGGTAGTGTGTGGGTATAGTCATGGGTGTTGCGGCTTATCTGCACCTGCTTGCGTTCAGGCAGAAGCAGGGTAGCGTGGCATGGTGAGGACCATGGATTCAGTTCCAGCTCGGCTGCTGATAGCTGCATGACCTTGGGGAAGTTGCACATCCTCCATAAGTCCTAGTTTTCTATAACATGGGCATCCCTGATGTAGAGCATTTGTGCAGTTGTGTGTAAAGGATGTGGCAGTTAGGAAGCACCTACCAAGTGTGAGCCATTTCTGTTGTCATTGCCATGTATCAGCCAGCCTGAGGGCCTGCAGGGCCTGGCCTGGGATGTGGGAAAGCTTTCCAGAAAGGGAGCAGGAGATGGCGCCCTGTCACCTCCCTCAACTGGGCCAGAGTGTGGGGAGGCTGCTCGGGGCTTGCTCCTTCTGAAACACCCCTGACGACTGTCCCAGCAGAGGAGGGAGGCTGCCTTGGAAGCCTGGCTGCACTGTGTAGGGAGGGTACCCAGCAGAGGGCTGGGAGGTCTCCAGGCCCCTTTGAGCACTGACAGCCCATCATCTGACCTCTCCAGGAACCCACGAGAAAGCATGAGATGAACAGACAGACTTGGCTTGAAGCTCACTTCCTAGTTGTGTTACTCCTCAGGGCCTCAGTTTTGCCGCCTAAAAGATGGGAATCACGTCCCACTTGCCGGGTGCTTTGAAGCTCAGGAAAGATGAAGCATCTCTTTTAGAGGCCCTCAGGGCTGCAGGCACCATGCCAGCTCTTTCCTGTGTTACCTCCTTAACCCTCTTCAAGGAGGGCATCCGGGACAGTCCCTGGCAACTAGCAAGCACCCAACACAGGGCCCTTCTTACCAGGTGGCCTCTGAGGACCTTTCAGCCATGTGCCCCTGGGCTGCGGCTGGGCGCGGTCCTTGGGAGGGATGTCCCTCTGTGGTTCCTGGAAAGCCCGGCAGCTGGCTGCTTTGTTCTGGCCACTGGGTGTCTGCTGTTAGGACTGCGGGTTTTATGGCTGTTTCCTTGTGCTCAACCTTTTATAGGTGACCCTGTGTTTTTTGGAGCCACACCTGATGGGGGCCAAGGCCTTTGAAATGTTCCAGAGTCTTTATGGGCTGCAGCGGCATATGGTGGGTGGCCCAAGCTGCCTGACAAGGAAGGGGTGGGGGAGGGTGGAGGCAGGGAGGCCAGGACCTGCATTTCCAGGTGAGCCTGAGACCTCAGACGGATGTGTTGTTTTTCTAGTTGCCTACTTAGGTCTACTAATCTTTAGGAAGGAATGATAGCCTGGTTTATGGGATATGACATAAGTTTTTCTAAAAGGGACCTGAGATGAAGAATTAGGCAACTCTTTTTTTTGGGGGGCGGGGGATGGGGTTTTGCTCTGTTGTGCAGGCTGGAGTGCAGTGGTGCAATCATAGCTCACTGTAGCCTCCACCTCCTGAGTTCAAGCGACATAGGTGCACACCACCATGCCCAGCTAATTTTTTTTAATTAAGTAAATTTTTTGGGGGTAGAAATGAGGTCTCATTCTGTTGCCCAGGCTGGTCTTGAACTGCTGGCCTCAAGTGATCCTCCTGCCTCAGCCTCCCAAAGTACTGGGATTATAGAAGTGAGCCACTGTGCCTGGCCAACAACTTTTAAAAACTAAAATAAATATCATGCCTGCTGATTGTTTTTTCTTGAGACTTCTTTTTTTCTTCTCTTTCAGTTTCTGTTACTATGTCCCTCACTGTCCTTGACAAAAGAGGCTTTTTATGCCCACTGTGGGTTTTGCAGGTGATAGTTTAGTGTAGAATGGTAGTGAAAGCCATGGGCTTAGGGTCAGACAAAGCTTGGTTTGAATCCTGTCCCTACCACTGAACTGACTTGATTGTCACCTAGACTAGAGGAGCAACTCCTAGCATTCACTTCCTCGGGGCCAGGACAAGTTGGCATCCTGCTGCACACAGGGCAACCTGGAGAATCAAGAGAAGGCTGCCAGCCTCAGATGCCAGTGGCTCCCTAGGAAAGATAGTGTTAGTTGGTCCCCAGTAATATCTGGCCTTTATCACACACCTTTATGTGTCAGGCACCGTTGTGAGCAATTCACATTAGTCCTGGAGGCAGGAAATGTCATTAACCTCATGTTGCAGGTAGGGGAACTGAGGTTAAGTAACTTGTCTAAGGCCACACATGTAGCAAGTGGCAGAGGCAGGATTTGAATCAGGCAGCCCAATGCCAGTGTCTGCACTTAGAATCACTGAGAGCCATATTGCCTTTCTGAGGGCTGTTCTTGATCTGAGAGACTAGAGTCCTCTGTCAAGAGCTAGTACTGGGCAGCCCTGGGGGCTGGGTTGTGGGGTGTGGGCTGTGGAAGGAGTAAGGGAGGTGCTTTCTGCTGTGTAATGGGGCAGGTGGTTGGGTGTGAACTCGCCTGACTTACGGCCCCAGCTGTTTCCTCTTCTAACTCCTCCTCCCAGATGCCTGCCAGGATGCCAGAGGTTAGAGGGAGGTGTGTCCAATCATGGACTGGATCTGAGGTCCCTCTCCTTCCCTGCTTATGACACAAATGCTCAGACCCTGTTCTCCTGAAGGGACACAGAACCTGTCTCCCTGTTTGGATTGCAAGCTCCAGACTGCATCCTTGAAGTGGGACAACAGAGGGAAATCTATCTCAGCCTCATGATCCATGGACGCATCTCATTCAGTCCTGGGCTCCTTGCTGGCCCCTGGTGCTGCAGAAATCCATGGCTGAGGGGGTGGAGATGGGTGGGGGGGACCGAAGGAAGCTGTGCAAGCCTGACTCTGCAGGAAGTCCTGCGAACGCTGGCATTAAAAACACCATTGCCTGTTGCTTTATTTTTAGTGGTACAAGGAGCCCTGAGGGCACCAGGGGGGATGTGGGAATCCTATTTTTTGCTCTGTCTTGCTAATGGAACCTCTAGCAGTTTTTATGCCTGATTTGTTTCCCTCTGAAGTCTGTCATGCCTGCAGCCCCAGACTGTACTCTTCCTTGCACACAGCTCAGAGGAACATAGACGATGGTGTCAGCTGTTGGACTTGCAGCCCCACTTCCTGCCAGCCCCGGCTTCCCTGAGAAGGAAGAGGGCCGCCTCTCTTGTTTCATACCCTTCCCCATTCTTGGCTTGGTTACATTGTGCTTGTCAAATAAGCACTCAGCTCCCCTCTGAGATGAATGCATATTCCCGGAGGTGTCCCCTGGACATGCTCTGAGAATGTTCCCATGCTTGCTTTGGTTACTCAGAACCCCGAAATCCACGGGAGGGATGAGGGTGGTTGGCTGGCAGGAGGGGCTGCTGGAGGGCTGAACAAATGCCCGTGTGGGGTGCTGGTCTCCTATGGTAGGATTGCAAGGGCTGCTAGGTAGGACTGATATGTGCCCAGTGCCCAGGTGACAAATGACAGACAGCTTGTGGGGCAGGGAAGCACCTCCTAGTGTGCTACCTCCATATTCTTCTACACCATCAAATTTTAAAAACCGAGCTTTATTGAGGTATCACTCACATGCTATAAAATTTACTCATTTGCAGTGGTTTTTAGTATATACAGAGAGTTGTGCAATCATTGCTATTATTTAATTCCAGAACATTTTCATCAACCTAAAAGAAACAAACCCCATACCCATGAGCAGTCACTCCCCACACCCCTCCTTCCCCAGCCTCAGACGCTACTGAACTGCTGTCTGTCTGTACGGATTTGCCCCTTGTGGCCATTCCATCTAAATGTGCTCATACAATAGGTGGCCTTTCTGAGCCCGTGTCATGCTACAATAGTGAACCCCTATCCTATTCTATGACAGACATGAGAGTGCTCAGAACCTGAAGAGTTGGCATTATCACAAGCGCATCCCCGTCTCCCCCAAACCAGGCTTCAGTGCCAGGGCAGACATGGGAGACCTGGGAAGCCTGCCCCCAGATTTTGCTGTCAGGCATTGGTGAGTTTTGTGTCCCTCACAAGTGGGAATACATTCAAAAGACCCCTCCCACCAACTGGGATGGTGAAAAGTATAAAGGACAGTCTCATTCTCAGTGCCATTTAGAATAGGGCAGTTTTGATGAGGAGCAAGGTGAGTTTCTTAGGTGGTGTGGCTCTTCTCGAAATCAAGGGAGCTGGAGCTGGACTCCTGCTATATCCCTTGCTCAGAACTCTGTACTGCCTGGATCTGATCATTAGCAGAGTCTGCGCCACCTGCTTTGGCTCTTGGTCCAAAAAATTTGCTGTATCCTTGGCTTAGCTACTCTGTGTCCTTGAGGGCCAGGAGGTTGCCTTGAAGTCCATGTGGTTCCTGGTTGAGTCACTGACAAATAAAGTGGCCTTGGTGCTTACCAGGGCCCGGGGAGAGGAGACACCATGGTAATGACCTCAGACAATAAACAGACCATTGGGATTGGACTGTGGCCTCCAGTGTCTTGCTGACTCCTGTCTTGGAACCAAATGCAGAAGCTACTTTGTCCTGCAGCTGATGGGAATAAGCTGCCAGCAGATATTTTGGTGCCTAGATTATGAAAGGAGAGTCAATATGTAATCCACGGGTATAAAGGTCATCACATGGTCCGAGTCTAAGGCGATGGTGTTATTTGTGCTTGATTGGCGGAATCTTATGCTGACTGCTTCTTCACTTCACCATTTAGAGAGTGGACATCACACATTAGTCAATGGCACACATTTGGGTTTGAAGATAGGTTCAATTGTATCTCCGTGTTTTCATGACATCTTAGAGATCGTCCGTCCTTTTCACTCATGAGGCTTTGGGGTGGAGATAGTAAAGGTGGCTGATGTCCCTGGATGTGAGTGTGCTAGTTCAGCATGGGACCTCAGGCAGAACCTTCCCCACGTGAGCCCCAGTGACCTTCTCTGCCGAGACCCTGCCTCTTAGAGGTGTGAAGCTCAAAGGAGATCATGTTTCTGAATACATTTTGCAAAGGTGGCAAGGGCTGACCGTAAAAGCCAGGCAGTCAGACCTTCCTGCCTGTGAAGGGCCAAGATGAAGTCTCTCTTTTGCTTCGCAGATGAGAAAATTGACTTTGCTCAGTGGGAGGGATGTCTGACCATCTGAATCTGGGGAGAATCATTAAGTGCCCATTATGTGGCTGTCACTGTGTTAGGCAGTTTGACAAGCATACCCTGGAGCCTGGGAGGGGGAGTGGTGGAGTGGAGTGAGCTTAAGGACTGGAACAGAAGCCCTTGGTGCATGCCTGGGCGCTGTCACCTACTGACTATGTGACCTTGAACAAGGTGTGTCTGTGTATGTGTGTGTGTGCATGTGCGCATATGTGTGTGTGCATGTGTGTGTGTGTGTGTGTTTGAGATGGAGTTTCGCTCTGTCACCCAGGCTGCAGTGCAATGGCGTGACCTCAGCTCACCGCAACCTCTCCTCCTGGGTTCAAGCGATTCTCCTGCCTCAGCCTCCTGAGTAGCTGGGATTACAGGCATGTGCCACCAAGCCCGGCTAATTTTGTATTTTTAGTAGAGATGGGGTTTCTCCATGTTGGTCAGGCTGGTCTCAAACTGCCGACCTCAGGTGATCCACCTGCCTTGGCATCCCAAAGTTCTGGAATTATAGGCATAAGCCACTGTGCCCGGCCTCTGTGTGTGTGTTTTGTAGCAACTTCTCTGTGTCCTGATAGCCACAGGGGCTGCTGTGAGGACTAAGTGACGAGGTGTATGTCAGGTGCTTGGAATGTCAGTCCATCCCACCTCCTGCTCTCCCCACTAGGCTGCCACCTCCTCCTCCTCCATTACCTTTTGATAGGTCTGATTACCTTCATTTTACAGATGACTCTGGGTCACTCTTCATCTTTTGTAGAAATACCTCTGTAGCAAATGTCATGGGGACATTCTCATCTTTGGTAGCAGGGAGCTCACTGCCTCCTAGGTATGTTGTTCCATTTTGGAATAGCTTCATGTGAATCTTAGCATGTGCCAAGGTGGATGTGGAGTCTTTGCATCAGAATCCTGAACTGCTCATCCTGAAAAAATGATGCGATCAGCCTGCTTCCCACAGCGTATGCTCAGGGTGACTTCTTGTGACATGGAGATGGTTGGCAGTGAGCTTTCTCTTGTGACTTCACACAGGGACAAGTCTGTGGCATTTTAAGGACTAGTGAGAGTTCAGGATGGAGGTGAAGGAGATTGGCCCAGAGAGCTACAGAGTTGAGGAGAGGAGGGGTGGCACACAGGAGGACGGACCATCAGGGGCTCAGGCTGGCGGCTGAGGTGGGAGTGGTGTCATTATCTTCCGGGTCCCAGGCCTTGTTCCTCCTGACCCTGAAAGGCAGTATTGGGTAGAGGCATCCCCTTGTTTTGCAGACCTCTATTAAAACAAAGGAGAACAATCATGTAATGATCTCTCTAATTGCTGAAATGACATTCAATATGATCCAGTAGGTGCTTCATGATCACACATCGTCAACTCTGCGCAGTGGGAACTTACTTAATCTGAAGACAGATAGCTACTGAAATCTCTAGCAAACCTTATTCCTGATAGATAGACATGAGATGCAATCCCTTCAGGTTAAAAAGAAGACAAGAACGCCCACTATCACCTCTCTTATTCAACCTTGCACCCTAGGTCAGAGCCAGCGCAATACCACAAGAGAAAACCAATAGAGACATAAGTCTTGGAAAGGAAGAGATGAAGGCATCATTATTTTCTGGTGCAGCCATCATCTGGCTGGAGGAAATCGTAGACTCCGAATGTATAAATTATTAGAAGCAACAGAGTTGAGCCAGGTGGCCAAAGGTCAGATATTAAAATGCATATTAAATGCATTTTTGATAGACCAACAGCAAATAATTGGAAAACACAATAGAGGAAACCAAGGCTCCGTGTGGGGCGGGGTTTTGCATTATCCAGTGAGGCATCCACGCTGCTGATTCTCTTTCTAATGATATTTGTACAGCATGATAAAGCAGTATCGTATACATCCAGCCCACTGGGGCAAGGCAGATACCTTTATTTTGACTTTTAGGGAGGAAGAACCAGAGGCTCAGAGGTTAGAGCACCCTTGCCCAAGCTGACTCAGTGACTAGGAGGCTGAGCTGGGGCCTGGCCCCCTGGACCAACCCTCATTCCTTTTTGCTGCTTTCTACCCACCCCACCTTCTTCAGACCTTACTTTCTCCACCATTTGTCTTGTTCTGCCAGCTTTTCGTTGTCTGCCTCTAGTACCAGCTGAGCTGGGTGGGAGGGAGAGTCTGGGAGTGTTCGGATTTGGGTTAGCATCTACTCTGTAGTGTCTTTCATGAGCCACAGCCTGACCTTCCCAGGACGCTTGCTGCACTGGATGCGGGGCAGGGATGGGTTCTTCTGAGGGAGGAGAGAGCCAGGCGGTTGTTTGGCGTGGCCTGGGTCCCTCTCTCTTTGCGTTGTCTCCCCTCCCCTCCACACTGCTCCTCTGAGTCTGACTTACATCTTTGCTTTTTTGTTTTATTTAATGTGTGTTCAAAAGTTATAAAAATAGCATATGTTCACAGCAACTGGTGGAATCATAATATGGAGAAAAAGAAAGTCTTTCTTATTTACTGTTTGATGGCTCTCGGATGCCATGCACTCCTCTCCTGCAGCTTTCCTGGCCAAGTGCTTAGGGCCTAGGGTGGACCCTTCCACTTATTTCCCCAGGCCCGGGTCAAGATAGGCAAACAGGTTTTCCATTCATTCAGCAAAAATTTGCTGGATATTTACTGTGTGCTAGGTGCTGGGGATGCCACAGGGAACAAGACAGGGAAAAACCCTTGCCCTCTTGGAGCTGACAGTCCAGGGGATTAAAATATTTTACAGTGGGCCGGGTGCAGTGGCTCATGCCTGTAATCCCAGCACTTTGGGAGGCCAAGGTGGGCGGATCACTTGAGGTCATGAATTCAAGACCAGCCTGGCCAACATGGTGAAACCCTGTCTCTACTAAAAATACAAAAATTAGCCAGGTGTGGTGGCACACACCTGTAATCCAGCTACTGGGGAGGCTGAGGCAGGAGAATCACTTGAACCTGGGAGGCGGAGGTTGCAGTGAACCGAGATCGCGCCACTGCACTCCAGCCTGGGTGGCAAAGTGAGACTCAGTCTCAATAAAAATGAAAACAAAACAAAACAAAAATATCTTACAGAGAAGTGAATGCAGCCAATGATAAGTGCTATGGAGAAAAATAAAACAGGATAAAGTTCCTCCCTGTTTTGTAATTTTAAAGGAGGGATCAGGGTAGAATTCACTGAGAAGGTCAGTTTTGCACAGAGACCAAAAGGAACTTGGGAGAAAGCCATATGGCTTTCTGGGGAAGGAGCACTGAGGCCAAGGGTAAGTGCAAAGGCCCTGGGGCAGGATGTACCTAGAAATGTGTCCTGTCAATGGGACAGAGCAGAGCATGTGACAGGAATAAAGGCAGGAAATGAAGTCACAGAAGGAGGGGAAGGAATTGGAGGAGGGCAGATTGGGTAGGGCCTTGTGAGCCTTGTATATGGCTTTTCAGTTGTTTAATGAAAATGGGATCTTATTACATTCTTGTCCCCTGCCTCTTGCTTTTCTTTTTAAATTTCAATTTATTATTATTTATTGATACATAATATTTTACCTATTTATGGGGTATGTGTGATATTTGTTACATGTGTGGAATGTATAATGATCAAGTCAGGGAATTTGGGGTATCCATCACCTTGAGTATTTATCATTTCTATGTGTTGGGGACATCTGAAATTCTTTCTCTTCTAGCTACTTTGAAATATGCATTAGAAATATACAATACATTGTTGATAACTACGTTTTTCATCCTGAACATCTCTCCTGAGGCAGGAGAGATGAGATCTATATCTTCCTGTAGATATAGATCTCATTTTAAAATATAATTACAGAATTTTCACGGTATAGAGGTACCATAATTTTTTCAATCATTCTCTTTTGATGGACTTTCAGGTTGTTGTCAGGGTATGGTTTCTTTCTCCACTACATCTCATATATGTTGCCTTTCATGCTGGTGTTGAGAGAGCGGAATTCCTAAGTCAAAAGGTGTATGTCTATATAGAATATTAATAGACACTGTTAGATTTCGCTCCAGAAAGGTTGTCGCCAATTTCTCTGATATAATTCTGTTCCTAAGTCTCAGTTGCCTGGCTTTGCCCTCTAGTTGCTAAATAGCTACTCTGCAAAGAGGGGAAGTCACACCTATAAAAAGAGATGTCCCTGGAATCCTTCATCCCGTGGGAAGGTGTGTGGCCTTTTGGCATGTGCTGCTGGGAACAATATCATTCGCTCTTTTTTGGAGCTTGTATTTGATGGCTGTGACGTCAAAATAGCCAAGAAGATGAAAACACAGCTGTTGCTGTGTTATTTGCATTATGGCTAATTTTCCATATGTTTAAAATAAGCACAACACCAAGGAACTGCATGGAAACAGATTCACACCTTGTCGAACATTGGATTGTGCTCCCGTAGCATCTTAAGGATAATGCTTCCCCATAGCATCCCTTCTTGTGCGCATGTAAATCCTGGTACAACCTCTGTGGGTATGCGCTTGATTGCCAGTTCCCCCAACCCCCAATCTCCGGATGTTATGGAGCAGGATCGTGTAAACTTTGGGGTAGACTTTTCATCTGTTTAGTAGCCAAATGTATTTGTGTGATTTGTACTGTTGGACATTTAGGCCATGTCCCATCTGTTGCACTTCAAACAATGAATAATCTTGTGTATGAGTCTTTTTATGCATGTATGAGGATTTCTTTTGGATAGATTTCTAGAAGTGGAATTGCTGAATTGAAAGGGACTTGCCATTTACAAGTTGATAGATATTATGAAATTGATCTCTGGAGAGGAACCAGTGTCCCTGTCCACAGATAGTACAAGTGAGTGCCTTTTCCCTGCTTCTTCGGCAATTCGAGATCTTGCCACCCTTTTTGATTTTTGCCAGTCTAATGGGTGAGACGTGATTTATTTTGTATGAGTAAGGGTGAACATTACATGTTTGGGGGCCATTTGTTTTATGTTTGTGAATTGTCTTTCATGTCCTTTGTCCCCCACTTTTTTTCTAGTGGCTTATTAGTCTCTTATGTGGCCCAGCATGGCCTGTCCACATTAGGAGGGCATTTGATACTGTGATTGGATAAACTAACCTATCTGGGCTGGGGGCAGTGGCTCACGCCTGTAATCCCAGCACTTTGGGAGGTCGAGGCGGATGGATCACGAGGTCAGGAGTTCGAGACCAGCCTGGCCAATATGGGTCAGAAACCCAGTCTCTACTAAAAATATAAAAATTAGCCGGGCATGATGGCGCGCACCTGTAGTCCCAGCTACTTGGGAGGCTGAGGAGAAGAATCGCTTGAACCTGGGAGGCAAAGATTGCGCCACTGCACTCCAGCCTGGGCAACAGAGTGAGAGTCCATCTCAAAAAACAAAACAAAACAAAAACTAGCCTGTCTGGCTAGTTAGAGGTTGATCCGCGCTTCTTTATTGTCAGGAGTGTAAATCTATTAATAGGTGTTTGAGAAAAGGAAGAGCACCTCAGCAACAATCTAGATGGGAGCTGCATTTTGGTGTGTGCTGTACTGACTGTTCCACAAACAGGTTGAACACAGACGTCACAGAACTATGGGGCCCCGAAGTCCATGTGCCGGGGTACATCTTTTATATGGTCTCATTTTTATCCTATTACTGGGTGGAAGAATTATGAGGAAACTTGACTGTTTGCTACTAAAACCTTTTTTTTTTTTTTTTTTTTTTTTTGAGACAGAGTCTTGCTCTGTAACCCAGGCTGGAGTGCAGTGGCGTGATCTTGGCTCACTGCAACCTCCACTTCCCAGGTTCAAGTGATTCTCTGGCCGCAGTCTCCCCAGTAGCTGGGAATACAGGCGCCCACCACCATGCCCGGCTAATTTTTGGATTTTTTAGTAGAGATGGGGTTTCACTATATTGGCCAGGCTAGTCTCGAACTCCTCACCTCACGTGATCTGCCCGCCTTGGCCTCCCAAAGTGCTGGGATTACGGGCGTGAGCTACTGCGCCCGACCACTAAAACCTTTTTTTCCACTCACTTGAATTTACAACCTCATTGTGAGATTTTCTAGGCAGCTACTCCACTGGGACATTTTGCTAGTCCAGGTGGCCTAGCTGCTGTAGCAAGCAACCCTCAACTCCAGCCATGTAACACAATCAAAGGGTGTGTCTGTGGCTCTGCCCTTTCTAGGTACCCAGAATCCTCCTCTGGGTCTTCAGCTGGCAGAGGAGAAAAAGAGGGAGCAGGATCGTGTGTGAAGGCTTTATAGAGCAGATACTCTGCCCACATTCTGCTGGCCAGAACTTGATCTTCCAGTCCATCTAACTGGAGGGAGGCTGGGAAAGGCCAGCCATACGCCATTGTTATCAGTCCTGACCAGGTGCTTGGTGAACCATGGTCTCTTAGTGCCCTGTGGGACTTGTAAGTTTTTGAAGTGTCTTCTCAAGTGTGATCTCACTCCATCCTCATAGCACTGACAACCCTATGAGGAAGTAAGATGAGTGCTTCTAACTCCCAGTTCAGAACCGTGGAGACTGAGGTCTAGGGAGATAAGTGTCGTGGGCAAGGGTAGGCACTTAGGTAGGGACACAAATGGTAGGGAGACGGGGTTTGAACAAAGAGCTCTCATGCTGACTGGCCCCATCCGACAGGACACAAGAGCACCCACTCTGGGTGTGCCTGGGTCACCCTCTGCATGTAGTGGGCATGGGAGAAAAGGGCTGCTTAGCGAGGGGAAATTGGTGGCTGGCTGGAGTGCTTCTTCTATCCTAGAGTGTGGCAAGAAAGGAAGTTGTCTCTTGCCTTTTGCAAATTGCAACCGAATGGTGAGGGGTGACAGTATTGCTACTGGTAGGAAAGCTTGGATGGCAGGGACAGAACGGCTGTAAACCTGGCACCTCTGGGGGAGCTGCCCCCTCACCTTGACTTTGACCATTGTCCCTTTCTTTTCACTTTCATGGGACACTAGCGTTGAAAAATTGGGGCCTTTTTCTTCACACTCCCATTTCTCTTTATTTAATTATTTTAAAACATCTGATGCTGCAGTGAGATCAGCTGTGATACATCATCTGTTCTATTTTGAGCTGCAGGGAGACAAATGGAGAATACTGCTACCTCCCCTCCTGGCGAGGACTGTGCTCCCAGGAGCCCAATGGATGGACCGAGCCAAGGCAGCTCTGGGCACAATTTGGATGCTTTCCCCTCCAGGGGAATGCCTGGGTTTCCTTATTGTGCAGATGCCTTGAACTAACCTGGTCAAAAACTAGAGAGACAAAATCACAGATGGTTGCACAGGTTGTTGGAGTAGCAAAGACAGCACCAAGCAGCAGAAAGAAGATGAGGCATTGAGTCCTACGCTCAGGGCTGAGCACCGTCACTCCTAATTGAATGGCCACTGAACTTTGTTTCCTCATCTATGCCAAAGAAATAACATTTTTCCTACCACTTTCACTGGGTTCTTATGAGGATCACACAAGATAATGTGTATAAAAATGCTTTGTAAATGGAAAAGCACTCTGCAATTTAAGACATTATTATATTAATAGTAACAATTACCATTTCCAATTCTGGTGATTCACTTGGGGTAGGAGCCCATAGATCTCATCACTGCTACCATTACTACCCCACATTGTACTTCAAAGCTGCAATTACCTTGCACAATTTCATTTGATACATTACTGATTATGCAGTGTTAGAACTGGAAAGCATCTTGAGGATTAACTAATCCAAATGTATCGCTTTATAGATGGTGACCTGGCGCCTGGAAGGGAGAGACTTATTTGAGGTCCCTAGAACTCAGGACTGTGGGCTGTCATTCCTAGGGAGTAGGCTGTTTTACTTTGGATTATGGTTCCCTGTCCTTTCTGAAGGGCTAGACATGGGAACTTTGGGTGGGACGTTGATCCTTAGTCATTAGGTGGAGTCTCAGCCTGACTCATGTCTGCTTACTCACGTCAACCCTGCTCTGAGCTCCACTGCTCAAGGTTCTGGGCGCATGTGGACAGTGCTTAGAGGAGAAGCTCACATGCTGAGAAGCTTGGGCACAGGGTCAAAGAGAGGAGAAAGTAGGAACTAAAGTGGTTTGCTGGCAAGAAAAAGAGACCAGGGCAATTCCAGAACAAAGAAGGTGGAGGTGCTCCTGGTCTCAACCTTGGTCTTTATTGGACCCCACTGCCTTTGTGCGCTCTCTCTTACTGTCCACTCCAGGGGCTCAGGCTGCCGGGGCACACTCAGTGGGCACAGCTGCAGGACTGTGAGGCCTCCTCTAAAGAGAAGACTGAGGGTCCTCCAGCATTATTGTAAGTGTTCAAAGCGTGGTCAGAATTCATCTGGATAGAAGAACAAGCACAAACGGGTAAACATCCTGGCAAGACTGAGTTTGGCCTCATGTCATTCACAGTGCCACTGGTTGGCCCCTTTCCTGCCTCTGGGTCTTGCCCAAATGTCATCTTGCCCACATGTCACTTCTCTATTTAAGGATGCCAACTGCACCTCACCTCTTATTTGGACCATCTTTCCCAACTGGATTTGCCATCAAAATATTATACAGAAAATTTGCAAATTAGTACAGAGAATTCCTGTCTACCTGTTAGCCAGTTTCCCGTAATTGTTCACATCTTACATCACTATAGAAAAGAACAAGTTTCATGTTGGTCTAAAACTGCATGTCAAACTTTAAGCCTTCCTCAAATATCATCACTTTTCCCACTGATGCTGTTTTTCTTTTCCAGGATCCAGTCCAGGGTCCCACATTGCATGTACCCACCATGTCTCCTTAGTGTGCTTTTGTGACTCGTCTTTCCTTACCTTTCATGACTTTGACATTGGTGAAGAGTGCTGGTTAGTTATTTTCATAGGCGGTCTGTATATTTTGGTGTGTCTGATGTTTTCTAATGGTTAAAGCATATGGGTTTTTTTTTGTTTTATTTATTTATTGCTATTGATTGGGTCTCTCCTGCCACTGGAATATCTGCTCCCTCCGAGCAAGGATTCTCATTGGTCTCGTTCACTTGTGTGCAGGAACATCTGTGTGTGCCTCGCACCCATGCTCAGTCAATATTTGCTGGGCGAACGAATGAGACTGAACTCCCAGGCATTAGTGGAGCATCTGACCTGACCTGAGAGAAACGTGGAGAAGCTGGGTCCTGGCAGAGCCTTGATGGGCAGTTGGGCTGGATGGGCACTAAAGCCTCTTTCAGCATTCAGGTTCTGTGATTTTGTAACCTGATGGTGGTATCTGAACTCAAGCTAATTAAATTCCACAGGTGTTTGCTGAGGAAGTACTTGCTGTGGCATCCTGGGCTGGGCAAGGTGGGGGATTGATGGGCATGTGCGATCCAGGCTCTGAAATGCAACCACATTCCCAGGGAAGCCAGGAGCACAGGGATTGCATGTAAAACACAGGTGTCCAGTTAGTGGTTTAGAATCTAGACTTTGGATTAGTGGCTCCCAAACCACAGCCTGCTTTAGAATCACTAGGAGGACATTATTAAAACACCAATTGCTGGGTCCCACCCTCAGAGTTTCTAAGTTGCTTGGCCTGGGTGGGGCCTGAGAACTTCCAACAGCAGTTCCAGCAACTTCCCAGGTGGTGCTTATTGATGATGCTGGTCTCGCAACCCTATGTTGAGAAGTATTACTCTAGATGTTAAGAGAACACACAATTTACTGCTAATTAGCAAGAGCCAGGAGGGCTTCCTGGAGGAGGTGGTCAGGCTTGAGTAGGGTAGGATTTTCAGAGGTGGGTCTGAGGCTTGAATCTATACACAGCTGGCTTGCTGCCACCACATGCGATCTGTGGTGCCTTTTGCCTGCCTTTGCCCTGCTGGCACCTGGCCTCACTCGTGGCCTTGTCCAATCCTCTTGGTACATGAGTGATCTTGGCCAGGGGAGTCTGAGCCCCCAGAGGAGGAGGCTGACTAAGCCTTAGAATGGAGTTGACCTTGGCTGGCTGAGATGAAGTCCCTCTGAGGCCTGGACGTGGCCTGCGCTGCACAGCCTGCCTTAATGTGTTTATCTGCCTGGGCCTTGCTCGCTGTCTGCTGGCACCATATGAGGTGTTGCTGTTGAGCTCCGTGGCTCTATTTCTGTTTTCTCGCCTGGCACCAGCACAGCAGGGCAGATGAGGTGTGTGGCCACCCTTGGTTTCTTCCTGGCTCCAGGTTCTTCTTGAGGTGGGCATTTGGTCAGGAAGAACATTTGAGTCTCGCTAGAGTGTCTGGTACAGAAGCAGCTGGACCTTTTTCAGGAGGGAGAGGTTCTGGGAAGGAGGGAGAAAACCTTTAGAAATTTAAATAAATTTAGACTTAGCATCTGGCGGTGGTAGTGAGAGGTGACAGCGTGCTGGCAGTCCTCACAGCCCTCGCTCGCTCTGGGCGCCTCTTCTGCCTGGGCTCCCACTTTGGCGGCACTTGAGGAGCCCTTCAGACCGCTGCTGCACTGTGGGAGCCCCTTTCTGGGGTGGCCAAGGCCGGAGCCGGCTCCCTCAGCTTGCGGGGAGGTGTGGAGGGAGAGGCGCGGGCGGGAACAGGGGCTGCCAGCGGTGCTTGCGGGCCAGCGCGAGTTCCGGGTGGGTGTGGGCTCAGCGGGCTTAGCACTTGGGCCAGCAGCTGCTGTGCTCAATTTCTCACCGGGCCTTAGCTGCCTTCCCGCAGGGCAGGGCTCAGGACCTGCAGCCCGCCATGCCTGAGCCTCCCTGCCCCTCCGTGGGCTCCTGTGCTGCCCGAGCCTCCCCGAGGAGCGCCGCCCCCTGCTCCACGGCGCCCAGTCCCATCGACCACCCAAGGGCTGAGGAGTGCGGGCGCACGGCGCGGGACTGGCAGGCAGCTCCACCTGCGGCCCCGGTGCGGGATCCACTGGGTGAAGCCAGCTGGGCTCCTGAGTCTGGTGGGGACTTGGAAAACCTTTATGTCTAGCTAAGAGATTGTAAATACACCAGTCGGCACTCTGTATCTAGCTCAAGGTTTGTAAACACACCAATCAGCACCCTGTGTCTAGCTCAGGGTTTGTGAATGCACCAGTGGACACTCTGTATCTAGCTACTCTGGTGGGGACTTAGAGAACCTTTGTGTCTAGCTCAGGGATTGTGAACGCACCAATCAGCACCCTGTCAAAAGAGACCACTTGGCTCTCTGTAAAATGGACCAATCAGCAAGATGTGGGTGGGGCCAGATAAGAGAATGAAAGCAGGCTGCCGCAGCCAGCAGTGGCAACCCGGGTCCCCTTCCACACTGTGGAAGCTTTGTTCTTTCCCTCTTTGCGATAAATCCTGCTGCTGCTCACTCTTTGGGCCCACGCTGCCTTTATGAGCTGTAACACCGCGAAGGTCTGCAGCTTCACTCCTGCCTGAGCCAGCGAGACCATGAACCCACCAGAAGGAAGAAACTCCGAACACATCCGAACATCAGAAGGAACAAACTCCAGACGCGCCACCTTAAGAGCTGTAACACTCACCGCGAGGGTCTGCGGCTTCATTCTTGAAGTCAGACCAAGAACCCACCAATTCCGGACACAGTAGGATGTACACACACTTTGTGCGTGTGTGTGTGTGTGTTCAGCCTTCCAGGATCATTTAGGAATTTTTATTCCTTAATTGACATTCAAAACTTGATGGTAGAGGTGAGGAGAGGCCCAGGGAGCTTGGGAGAGGCCACGTTGTTTGTGCAGTTGGAAGACTCTGGGCAGGAAAGGAGCACCACATCCAAGTCAGAGAACACGGGAACAAGAAGGGCCGTCCATGTGCTTCTGATTCAGCCCCATCGTTTTAACTGAGACCTAGAAAACTAAGTACTTGTCCTACTCCAGTGCTGCCTCCCCAGTCATCCATGGCCAGACTAAATTACTCTATCTTTCCTTTGGGCTGCAAAGTCGTTTTATTTATAACACACCTCTCTTGTTTTATAAGTAGCCATGAAGGGGTTTGTTTTACCCACTAGATTAGGGATTGGTACATTACAGGTCGAATCCGGCCCACTGCATGTTTTGTAAATAAAGTTTTATTGGAACACAGATATGCTCATTTGTTCGTGTATTGTGCATGGCCACTTTTGTGCTATGTCAGAGGTGAGCATTTGCTACAGAGACTAACTGGCCTGCACAGTCTGAAGTATTCACTATCCGGTTCTTCACAGAAAATGTTTGCCAGCTCCTCCCCTGGGAGGTGAGCTCCCTGAGGGCAGGAACGGCACTCCGTTTATCTTGCTGCTTCTTGTTTCTTGCTGGTAGTAGGCACTCAATAAATGTATGTTGAATAGGCTTGAAATGCAGTGGATTGATTTGTCAAAGATGAGCGCCAGCCACATGGCTGTTCTGGCTTCCCCAGGTTTCCTCTTGCTGTTTGGCCACTTTGTGCTCCAGTTTTCTCTCTACAGAAAGAAGATAATATTATCTATCTTGCTGAGTTCGTTGATCTGTGGTGAGGGTAGAACAGGATATTAAAATATCTTACTAGAACCTTGGGCCCAGCTTCCGGTCTTCCTGATGGTTTCAATCCAGGCCTAGCACGGGACCTCTGTCTAAAATTCTCTGCTCTCATGGCCCTGCCATTCCTGAGGCACCCTTTGCCTCCAGGCTAAAGTAAACACCTGTCATTCATGATCCTCCTTACTTTGATATGATAAAATATCAGGGCCCAGACTGCAGTCCCACGGCCCTGGACTCCAGACCTACCTGTCTGTCTTGATCTCTCAATCCTCTAGGGCAGCCTTCTCCTACATCCAGAATTTTCTGCATTCTGTCCCCTACATGAATATTGCACTTGTTCTTGGGACCCTATCCCCCTCTCCCTCCTAACTTCCTACCTTGCCCCTTTCTGCCTTTCTGCTCTCAGCCTCCTGTCTGCCCTTGCAGGTCTCTTTTATGTCTGACCTTGCTGGAGTCCTTTGACCTCGGCCAACAGGAGTGACTGTCTCATTTGCCACTTAGGCACTGTCTTAGGTTTTAAATTTTTAATCTTTGTGGCTGCTTGTTAAAAATACAGGGACCCAGGCTTCATTCCCATGGAATTAGAATCTCCAAAGATGTGATCCAGGCCCCTTTGACTTTTAATAAGCTCCTAATGTGGTTGTGATTATGATCAAAGTTTGAGGAAGACTAACTTAAAATAGAGTGCTTTGCAGTATTATTTCTCTTTCTGTGGGACTCTGCTTATGTCTCCAAATAAACTATAAACATCTTGAAGGCAGATCTGGGCCTTATTTTCTTTTCAGAGTGGCACATATATCTGAAGACTGGGGCCGTGAGATGATCTGTCGGTGAGATAACTCCACCTGGGGCCCTGCATCTGATAGGCGCTCAGTAAGTGTTTGCTTGTTGATCAATAAAAGACATGAAAGCACCTGGGAAAGCAAAACAGCCTCTGCAAAGCAGGGCATTATTACTGGGAGCAGATCTGATGTGTACCTTCCACAGATTCCACTGAAGGTGTCCTCAGAGCACCGGACACTCAGGGGCCCGCAGCCCAGACACAGAAAGTCCACTCTGCTGAGAAATGCTCACCAAGCAGAATCCCTCACACTCTCTAGCTTTGTTTTCTTTGATCTCTCTGAGCTTAGGAGGAAAGGCTCCTGTTCCCTCCCTCTTGGCTTATCCCAATAATGCAAAGCCATAGAAGTGCAGGCTGCTGGGGAAAAGTTTGTTTGGACACTTAAGAATGTAGAAAAGGGTTTAGCTTGTATAAAGAGTTTTGCTTTCTCATTATAATGCTTGGAGAGAAGTGCAAATGTTTCATCTCCGCCTACTGAGTTATACTGCCTGTTTACATAAGCCTATATTCAGTGGCCTGAGAAAAGGCTTCTTGCCTTCTTCAGGGCGTGATGGTGCAATCTTGGTGTAGAGTTTCCAAGCAGAGATGATGCTACGGCCTCACGTGGTGGGAAGGCTGTGTGGCAGGAAGAATAAGTTCAAACTGTGCTTTGTTTAGAACTGTTGTGCAAAGTTGTTTCTTCCATCCAAGTATTAACTGGGCCAGACCCTGCTTAGCTGCCAAGATCAGACAAGATCAGGTGTGTCCAGGGTGGTATGGCCGCAGATACCAAGCTATTTCTAACACAAGGATGCTCTCCTTTTATTGAGCAGGGAGAAGACAGCACGTACAGACCAACCATCCTGGTTGTAAACTTGTGTCCTAGTCAGAGCTCTTTCTAGCTGGAGTAGAAAATTCTTAGGCTGTATGTAATGGAAAGAGAGTGGAGTCCAGCAATAAAAACAGATCAGGTAAAAATAGAGCTAGGAGTCAATAGTGAGGGCTGAGTTAGGAGAGTTCTCTGTACTTCCCTAGAGATTTCCAGCCATCTAAGCATACGTGTGAGTTCTTGCTTTGACAAATAAGTACTCCACTGGTATGCACATAGAAACTTCTTTCACCTGTGGGATCATTATTAACATGTTTTATGTGGAGGGAAAAATAAAGATTTTAGAACTTCTTTCTTCCCTCATGTTTTCACTCCATTAATATTAGGCTTAATTATTCAAATTTATTATATTAGAGTCTTATTGCTTAATTTAAAAAATTGAATGGATTATTAGCTTTTTAATAAACAGTGACATTTACTGTCTACTAATGAGGGCTCAAATCATGTAATTTATTGCTGCATCTCTATTTTGTTCATGAAATGAAACAGAAATTACTACCTACTTGAAACTGGACTTGTTTTCTGCGCTCCTATGAAACTGAACAGTGGAGGGTTGCTCGTGAAGGATCTGGGACATGTTTCATATGGAGCACAAGAAAAGGACGTCGAACATGCAACGGTCTGCATCCAGGTGCTAGAACCATTTTGTTTTTCCCTTCATCATCCCTAGAACCAAGAGTGTGGGTGGGAATAGCTCAGTAGAGTGACCATGTGATCCTGTGTTACAACTGAAGACAAAATCTGGCACAGAGTCTCTCCAGTGATGACTATGAAACTGACTGGTGCCCCATCAGATTCAGAAGTGGAGAGTGTTACATACTGATTTCAGAAAAATGTTAGATAAACATTGGGACCCTTTATTATATACCGGGAACAGAAAATGCATGTTGATAAAAGTTTGGGATGTTCCATTTCACTCTGATATAAAGTGTGCGTGGTCAGATTGGTTTCTATTTTTGATAAAAATGAGGTTCTGGAAAGCCATTCTGGCTCATGGGCTTATGAGAAAAAGGTTTTGGAAAGGAGTTTTGGAGTGCTCCCCTACAGAAATAGCACTGCTTTTTAATTGTTCTGTCGCTAGAGCCTTGGCCCCAAATAACAATGCATGAATCTCAGTATTTGTCTTCAAGGAGCTGTGGTCTGATAGGAGCATATAGTATACCTATATGGATGGGTATAACTGAAGGTGGTGAGGACCTGTTTTTAGATGCCTGAGAAATCCAAAAACAAGACAGGGAAGTTGTTCGTCTGGGAATCATGAAGCATGTAAACCTAATTAGGGGAGGTGGCATCTGATCTCATCCTTGCAGAATACATAATTTTTATACAAACAATGTTGAAGAGGTGATGAGAACAGAAAAGCTGGGTAAAGTGCAGAGCATGTTCAAGGAAGGGTTACAAACATTTCTTGAGGGCCTGCCATGTGCACAGGGCACCAATCTAGTGAAAGCAATCTGATAAGAGCTTGGTACAAAACCAAGTAATATAGCTTGTGCATTACCTTCACTCCTCTTACTCCAGTAATTTTTGAGTAAAATAAATGTTGTCTTTAATTATATTAATTCATACAACTGCGACAACGGCCTGGTGAAATCAGTACCATGCTTGTCCTCATATGAGAGAAGAGGAAACAGACATTTTAAGTTAAGCGACTTGCTTCAGGTCACCCGGCTAGTGCGTTGTGGGGCTGAGACTCACCCCAGCCAGTCTGACTGTGCAGGAGTTGCAGCCATTTGTTCCTCTGTTCACCTCCCCCGATAGTCTGAGTGGCCTGAGAGCAGGCATGTGTTTTCGTCCTCTTGGTACTCCTGTCATCCAGCAAACTGCCCAGCATGTGGTCAGAGTTCAGTATGCCAAGTACAAAAGATCTGCTATGGAGATTCTTAAGTGATCAATGGGTTTTGAGGGACAGCTTGGAGAAGGGTAGGGAGGTTGTTCTGGGGTCAGAGAAGAACGTGAGCAAAGGGCTAGAGTGGCTGAGAGGACTGTGCAGGGAGTGCATGCTCCAGTGTCCCTTGGCCAGGTGTGTGGGCTTCCCATAGGGAGCTGGAGGTGATGCTGGAACAGCGTGCTGTGGAAGCCTTAAGTGCAGCCGAGTGCTGGGTTCTCTGTGAGACTTCTTAGGGTCTGGAAGACTGGGTCAGACCTCAGCCTCCTAGGTGATGTCAGACAGCCAGGCCTTCTCCCAGCTCACTCTTGAGTGTCTCTGTCAGAGACAGAGTCAGAGACTGAATGGCGTATGGGCTGGATTTCAGGGAGCATGTTCTTCTTTAAAAACATTTATGGAACAAGGCCAGGCGTGGTGGCTTATGCCTGTAATCCCAGCACTTTGGGAGGCTGAGGCAGGCAGATCATGAAGTCAAGAGATCGAGACCACCCTGGCTAACATGGTGAAACCCTCCCTGTCTCTACTAAAAATACAAAAATTAGCTGGGCGTGGTGGCATGCACCTGTAGTCCCAGCTACTCTGGAGGCTGAGGCAGGAGAATTGCTTGAACCTGGGAGGCAGGGGTTGCAGTGAGCCGAGATTGCGCCAGTGCACTCCAGCCTGGCAACAGAGCGAGACTTAGTCTCAAAACAAAAACAAAAACATTTATGGAACAACTTAAATGTACCACATTCTGTGGCTATAAAGACAAATAAGGGCTTCCCACAAGTCTTACGTATATGTTGGATTGTTGGTGCTTGTTGCTAGGGGAGGACGAGTGGGTAGTGAATACCAAGGCCCCGTCTAAGGTGGTTGGGTGGTTATAAAGCACTGTGGACTGACGGTGTTTCTCTGACCCTAAGGAGCTGACTGGCAGGGTACCCAAGTCCTGCTCACTGCGTTTTTGTAACTGAGCTAAGAACTGAAGAAATCAACAAATTGCCACCAAATCAGATCCTTAGTAATGCGTGATAAAGCATGACATATGAAAGAGGACACAGAATTTAATCATCTTACCCCATAAATCCAGCCCCCTGCAATCTGTCTCTTGTGTGAATAAGACTTCAATTTACAGAAATGGAAAGTTCCTTTTTTATCTACATATGGTTATACCTCCTTTCCTACCTGGAAGGCATTTCCTTGTATTTCCTTCCTGAGTAGTGATCAGGACTTGGGGTTGGGCACCAAAGCCTTTAGGAAGTGGAGTTGGGTGTGTTGGCCTCTCCTGTTGAGTCAGGACTGAGGCTAGGCCTGAAAGGTAGGTGACAAGGTTGAAGCCCCAAACCACTAAGAATCAACACCCACTTCCTCTTCATCTGCTCTGCCCCAGGCCAGGGAGGCAACCCTGAGACCCAGGAGTAAGCTCAATCCTGCTTTACTTGCCTGGAAAGTCAAGTCACTCATCAGAGGAGGAAGAGTCAGTTTCCCTCAAGGATGGGCTCTTGGTCATGAAGCTGACTGCTGTTGTATTACTCAGATTTCAGATCTTAGAAAATTATAGCAGCATGGGCTTTGAAGGCCAAATACATGATCATCACCTCCTTTTGAGATGAGACTCTCCTGGTATGACATCCAGTACTCAGAGATGCCATATGCCTTCTGGACTTGTGTCCCTATGTGAGAAATATTCAACCATGCTCTATCAAGTCTCTATTTGTCAGGACCTGGATTCCAGCAGCCATTTGTGCCCCCGTCCATCTTTCTGTGAAACTGGGCCAGTGATGCATTGACCTCATTTCTGATGGGCTTCATAGTGGGACTAGTTGTGGTCAGACCTGCATAAGACTGACCAGGAAGAAGCCCAACCTGGGAGTCCAAGGAGCAGAAGCAAGGTTCAGGACCAGGGAAGAGCAGGCAGAGCTACAAGGGCCAGGCTCTGAGCAGTAAGAGATTGGCAAGAGCAGCCCTGCTGATGAGCCTGTCACAGAGGTACCATGATAATCCTGGACCAGTGAGTTATCTTTGTAGCACAAAGAAGGTTGGAGGCACAGATTGCTGTGGACTGAAGTAGGAGGGGAGGGAGATGCTCTCGTAATCTCATGTTGCCTGAGTCAGCTTTGCCTTGCTATTGGCGGATGGGGCTGGTGGCCTGTCATGTGTGCAGATGAGTCAGAGGAAGTGGGCCCTCCCTGGCTGGTGGCTTGCCCCATGCCTTGGGGCATAGCTAAGCAGTTGCATGTCTACTAAACAGTCTTATCTGGAAGCAAATATGGAACCAAACACCTGAGCGTCTGCCAAGGCCTCCACCACCAAGGTCAAGAAGTCCCCCGAGGGGCATGGCTCTGTGAGCTGCCCTTGTAGGTGTCCTGGAGAAGCAGGCACTTCCTTGCAGTTGGTCAAGAAGAGGCAATACTTCTTGCTTGTGTTAGGGATTTTAGAGCAGCGGATTTAGGGCATGGCAAGGTTGGGGCTACTTCCGGGGGAATGAACATTTTTTAAAAATTTTACTTTAAGTTCTGGGATACAGGTGCAGAACATGCAGGTTTGTTACATAGGTATACACGTGCCATGGTGGTTTGCTGCACCCATCAACCCGTCATCTAGGTTTTAAGCCCCGCTTGCATTAGGTAGGGAATGAGCATTTCTTCAGGTCCCTAAGCAGAGCTTGAAAATGATGATATCAACTTTAATCACTAGCAATTATTAAGCTCCTCTTCCACATATATTAAGTTGTTTATGCCTCATAATAACCCTGATGCAGGCATCATTATTTCTGTTTTACAGAGGAAGAAACAAAGATATGAAGAGGTTAAATAACTTGCCAAGGCCAATCAGCTAGCGAGCATCAGAGCTAGGATTCAAGCCCAGGCAGACCAGCTCCAGAGCCTGAGCTAGACTCAATGTCAGTGATGATGTCGTTGACCTTCGGGGACAGATTCTGCTTTTGCCCTGGTGGGTCTGGGTTGAGATGCATTGCATTTGATCTTGCTGGAGAAATTTCCAGTCTTCTCAGCCCTGGGAAAATATGTATATTGGAACCTCAGAGCTACACCCTGAGGGTATGTCTCCTGGTTTGCTGAATTTTTAAAAAGAGGTTTTACTCTATGGCCAGCTTTCTTGCCAGGAGATCAGAGACCGATGACAGCTGGCAGAATCGGCCTCTGTTCCAGCTGTCTCCTACCCTTCCTAAAACTCAGATGCTCTTTGAAGCTGTCTTCCTCCATTGAGGAGCATGTGCTTCTTCAGTGACAGCCGGAGAGTGGGACTGGGCTGGCCCCTGTCCTTCTAAGGCCACCACCTGCAGCACTCCTAGTCACCGTTCCAAGGTCACTGTGGAGGAAACAGAAGTGGCCGAGAGAGGAAAGGTGCTTCTCAAGGAGGCTGAGAGTGGAGGGAGTAAGGCAACTGAGCACGGCAGTTGGGTGGGCCCAGGCCACCAACTGTTTGTCCTGCCTGAGTTAAGAGTCCAGAATTGGGGCTGGGTGTGGTGGCTCACGCCTGTAATCCCAGCACTTTGGGAGGCTGAGGTGGGTGGATCACTAGGTCAGGAGATCGAGACCATCCTGGCTAACACGGTGAAACCCCATCTCTACTAAAAATACAAAAAATTAAACAGGCGTGGTGGCGGGCACCTGTAGTCCCAGCTACTGAGGCTGAGGCAGGAGAATGCCGTGAACCCGGGAGGCAGAGGTTACAGTGAGCCGAGATCACGCCACTGCACTCTGCCTGGGTGACAGAGCGAGACTCTGTCTCAAAAAAAAAAAAGTGTTGAGAATTGGGTATCAAACAGAGCCTGGTGTCTGTCCTGGCTTTGGCTTTTAGCAGCCTGGAATCAAATAGCCACTTACATGAAATTTCTAACACTGTCATGGATGGCAGGCAGGTGCTGGAGTCCTACTGCCTGCATTACCCCTGATGTCACCACCAGTGAGCCGTGAGACCTGAGTGAGATTGGCTATGTAACTTGCAGGGTCCTGTGCAGAATGCGAATGTAGGGTTCCTATAAAATGTATGAAGAATTTTATGATGGTGATAGCAGAGCATTAAGCCAAGCATGGATTCTTCCCAGGTGTGGGGACCTGTATGATGGCACAGGTTGTACTCTAAGCCTCAGTTTCCTCATCTGCAAAGTGGAGAAAATAGTATATTTCCCATAGGCTTGTTGTGAAGTTTAGGAAAGATAATAATGCATATAAAGTATTGGGCCACATGGTAAGGGCTTGATGGACACCAGCATTTATGAGTGCAGGGTCAGAAATTCACAGCTTCTTTTTGGGTCATTGGCAAAAGATCACGGAGAGCAAAGGTACCTGCAACAGTGGTTTAGCTTCAGGAACAGGTCTGGACTTTGGTCTCTGCCCTTGGCTGCTATGGCTTGGGACTCTGACCTCTTTTGCAAAGCACAGATGGCTCTTCTGCAGGAGCAAGAGGCCCCTCATCACATGCACAGGCCACATGGATCCAGAGACACCTACCTCCTAGAAGTGTGTGTGGGATCCTGGGGCAGGCTGACCCTGCCCTGCATTTCCCAAGTCATGGGCCAGGAGGAAGGCAGTAGAGATTGGAGCTGTTTTTGATGCGTTCATTTTTTATTTGCTGAAATATGTTGAAAGTCAGTTACCAATATCACAGGATTTCATCCCTAGAGATTTTAGTTTGCATTTCTGAAAATAAAGACATTTCTTTTTTTTTTTTTTTTTGAGATGGAGTCTCCCTCTGTTGTCCAGGCTGGAGTGCAGTGGCGCCATCTCGGCTCACTGCAAGCTCCACCTCCTGGGTTCACACCATTCTTCTGCCTCAGCCTCCCAAGTAGCTGGGACTACAGGCGCCCGCCACCACGCCCGGCTAATTTTTTGTATTTTTAGTGGAGACGGGGTTTCACTATGTTAGCCAAGATGGTCTCGATCTCCAGACCTCGTGATCTGCCCGCCTCGGCCTCCCAAAGTGCTGGGATTACAGGCATGAGCCACGGTGCTCGGCCAGACATTTCTTATATATATACTATAATCTTATTGTAGACATTGAAGGTTTTTGTTTGTTTTCTGGATTTATTAAGGATAGCATTTTATGGAAAGTTAGCTGGATATGTGTGGGGAGGGAAAGTGATTAGTATTAATCTGGTTTGCTAGGACGAGAGGCTGTTATCCAAATTCAAATTTGGCATTCAATTCAATTGCTGTTCATGGAAGAAACATCCGGGGACACCTGCCTCACTGCCCCAATGGGTCAGATGGAAATCACTTTCTAGGGGAGCTTCTGTGACTCATTTCCTTTGCTGGGATCCCTTCTGTCTTCCACCTAAACCATCACAAGGGCCTCCTGAGGGTCTCCCAGCCTCTGGAATAACACCTTCACTGGTCCGTTCTTTACTGGCCACCAGAGAGGCCTCTTGAAGACGTAACCCAGATCTTGTCTTTCTTTTTCTTAAAACCTCCCAAAACTTCCCCATTGCCCACAGCAGGAGTCTACCGGCCACTTCTTTTTGTATAGTCCATGAGCTAAGGATGGGTTCTATCTCTTTAAATGGTTGAAAAAAACAATAGACACATTATATTTTCGACATATGAACATGATAAGATATTCAGATTCAAATATCTATAAATAAAGTTTTATTGGGAAAGAGCCATCTGCATTCACTGATGTATCTTTTATGGCTGCTTTCAAGCTTACCGTGGCAGAGTTGAGTAATTGTGACAGATTGACAGCTTGTTACAGAGAAGTTTGCCCACACCTGAGCTGTAGGATAAAATTCAGGCTTCTTCGCACACACCTGTGGCCATTTGTCACTGACACCCCTGCCTCCCTGATCCCTCCTGCTTTGATAACCTTCCATGCTCTTAGCAACTCCCAGCTGCCGGCAGATGCCCTGCATGGGCCATTTCCACCTCTGTGCTTTGCCCCTTCTCTTCTCTCCATCCTTGCTGCTTCCTTGGCTAGACATCACTGACTCATCCTTGAAGAAATCCCCTTCTCCAAGAAGGCTTCCTGACCTCCCCTCTTTCCCTTTCATCCTGTTTGGTTTAGTGGCTCCCTCCCTGTTTGGACAGGAAAAACAGAAGCCCAACGACTCCGGGAGGTTGGCAGCTGGGCGCTCAGCACAGAGAAAGGAGGCCTGGGGCCAAAATGGCTCACTGAGTCAGCAGACCCAGTGCCTGGTATATGCCAGGTGCTCTAGATGTGAAGAGCACAGATGCAGGCCCTGCCTCTGTGGGGCTCACATCCCAGTGGGAGATACAGACAGTTAATGCACATTTTAACAAATATATAGGGGATGAGAGTCCATGTCTTGGGAGTGCCCTGGCCAGTGGCTAGGAAGTGGTGGCAGGTGGATTTTCTAGATAAGGAACCCAGGAAGGCCTCTGAGGAGGTGACATCTGAGTCCCGAGAGAGGCAGAGCCCTTGGCGGCTGGATACTCTGGAGCGAGAGGGAAGATGAGATCTCTTTCTTTGTCCTCTTCAGGCTCCAGGAGGTGGTGAGAGGTTGTCACTTCTCTTCTTCCAGGCTCACAGCACCAGCAGCCTAAGAGTTTACACCAGACTTTCAAGTCAGAGTCCTCCTCCCTCGTTGGGGGCTGCAGGCTTCCCTCAGACCCTTCTCTAGAGGGCATTTGATCCCTACCACAGGACTTAACTGGAAGCCCCTTTTTGAGATCTGTGAGATGTCTGGGATTTTCCGGCCAAGAAGGACTTCAGAGATAGGCCTGTCTTCATCTCAAGAAGCAAAGCTGAAACCCAGAGCAGTTGAGTCCCTTGGCCACCGGGCTGATCAGCGGCACAGCCGGGACCAGAGTTCTGGTTTTCTGACCCTTAGAGCATGAGATCACTCATCTTCTTCTGATTTAATTGGGGGATCTCAGGACAGATCAGCCACTAGAATTGGGAGGAGGCCATTAAAGGAACCCCTTGGGTCCACACACCACTCAGGAGAAAGGCCCACTGGTGAGGCCAAACTACTTCTTTGAAGAGGCTTCTCTTAGTATCACCAGTGGTGTGTTGCTGGAGGTGTCCAGAGGCACTGTCCGAAGCTGCTGGCCTCTAATCCCACCAGTTTAATTTAGCTCCAGTCCTAGGGGAGCTTTGCTAATTATAGCTAGCTGGCCATGCTGGGAGCTATAAATAGGGCAGGAGGCACCTGTTTGGTCCTTACTGGATGTTTATCAAGGTACCTGCAGAGGATTTGGCCACTGGACTGGGTGCAATGTGGGCACAGAAAGCACCTTGAACTGTGCTCTTTATTCAGTTTAGGCACCAAAGCCAATGTGAACTGTGGAGGGGGCAGGGGGATGTCACCAGCACAACCTGGAAACCAGACTGTCAGAGTTCAAATTCTGGCTTCACCACCAACTAGCTGGGAGACCCTAGTTACCCAAGCTCTTTGTCCTTTAGTTTTCCCATCTGCACAATGGAAATCTAGATATTTACAAAGAAGGCTGTTGTGAGGATGGAATGAGTGTATGTTTTTATCTATACATAAGTTACGTATGTGTGTATATATGTGTATACACATGTAGTTTAGAGTTGCCTGGTGTATTAAGTGCAATTATATTGCTTGATGTTATTTATTACCATATGAAATGGCCTGAGGACGGGACCATCTTGCATAGAAACCTGGATCTTGGAAGGAGGCTGAGTCTCGGTCTCTCCCGGTCCTTGATGAGGCAAGTTAAGTGCCTCATCTTTAGGCAGTTAAGGCAAGTTAACTGCTTCAACTACATGGCAGTTAAGAGAGTGTGAGCCGGGCGTGGTGGCTCACGCCTGCAATCCCAGCACTTTGGGAGGCCGAGGCGAGTGGATCACAAGGTCAGGAGTTCAAGACCAGCCTGGCCAAGATGGTGAAACCCCCGTCTCTACTAAAAATACAAAAAAATTAGCCGGGCATGGTGGTGGGCGCCTGTAATCCCAGCCACTCGGGAGGCTGAGGCAGAGAATTGCTTGAACCCGGGAGGCAGAGGTTGCAGTGAGCCGAGGAAAGAAAAAAAAAGAGAGTGTGTAGGCTCGTCAACATGGGGTCAGTTACTGCTGTTACCTCCTGTTTGGCATGCTACTTCACATCTGTAATTCTCCATTCTTCTCCATTCTTTCCTGTTAAACTGTGGTGCCATAGCAATGAGCATTTCATGGGATTTCAGTGAGAATTGAATGAAATAATACTTGCAGAGCATTTCACACAGTGCCTAACACATGGTGCATGGGAAACAGTGTAAGCCATTGTCGTCCTTCCTCCTCCCGTTAAATGACTTGGACAGGTTACCAGCATCTCGAGGCTTGATATCCTGTAGCTCTCTAGGCTAGAGAATGGGACCAGTGGCTTAGAGGGCAGAAGGCTAGCAGTCCTGAGACCCCTGGCCTGCAGATGGGAACTGGATCTTCTTCCTTTGCAGTCTTCTTGTTCCAGCTGTTAGCGTCACTCCTTTTAGAATCCCATGGTGAGCTTTCTTGCACGGCTGTGTGCTTCCTGTGTTTCTGTCATTGTGCCCCAGCTGGGTCCCAAGCCCTGAGGACCATATGCAGCATGTGGTGGACACTTAGGAAGCACGTCTCCAGTGGAGGGGACTTAAATGTCACGTAGTACTGCCCCATCAAGTGCTGGGAGAGGCCGAGAGTCCGCCTGCTTCCAAGATCCCTGAGGTTTTGTTTGTTGTGACATAGCAAGAGGAGTTAAAGGATGGGGGATTGTTTCGTAGGGAGAAAGAGAGGCTAAGAGGTAGAGGTGGGGACAGGATACCTGGGTGCCTTTCTGGGAGAGGAAGTCTTTTTCTTTGTCCTGTGGCTCAGAGCAAGTCTCTCAGAGTGGAGGTTTCAAGGAGGCAGATCTCTGTTAGGGAAGGGCGAGTTGCCTGGCCCTAGACCTGCTTGAAGTGGGAAGAATGTAGATTTGGCAGTCAGGCCTGCTAGTCTAGGGCCTTGTTCCTCAGACGGTGGTTAGAGGATCAGCAGCACAGGTTCCACCCAAACCTCCTGGGCATGAATCTAGATGCGTCCGGATGTGCACACAGAAGACTGAGGAGTGCTATTCTAGAACAGAGCTTCTCAAGCCAGGAGCCATTCTCCCCAATCCATGGCTGAGAAGCCTAAGGCTAGAAACATGGGCCTTGAGCACTGGATCTCAAAGCTCTAGTTTCCTCTCTGGACCAGTAGCATCAGCCTCACCTGGGAGCTTGTTGGAAATGGAAATTCAGAGGCCCAACCCCCAAGTCAGGGACTCCCCTCTGGGGGTGGGGCCCAGGGCTCTATTTTAACTGGCCTTCCAGTGGCTCTGAGGCACCAGTGAGATCGATAACCAAGAGCCAGAGCACCTGCACGTTGGAAACTCCTGGGGAGATAAAGCAAATGCTTGGAACAAATCCGAATAGCCTCTGGGTATGGCAGGGACTCTGGGAACTTCAGATGCTCCCCGGGTGATCCTAATGTGCAGCCAATATTGCGAACCAGCATTTTAGGCCTGTGAACTAAATCTCAGCGTTCTCAGCTATCAGTTGGGTAGACTAACCTCTGTTTGCCTGCCAGTGATGGGAAGGTGCCTTGGGGAGCATTAAGACTTAGCTCCCTGGGTTCTGGAAGGCACACCAGAAAGTGGGCTTCCATCTGTCCAGAAAGGTGCAGCCAAGATTCCCGTTTTGGAGGAGGCAGGATTGGATGCCCGCCATGGCCTCAGGTGGAATTGCAATGTGGTGGCTGTTTGGTCCAAGTACTAAGTGCTGTAAAGACGATAACCTGCTCTGGAAAAGGAAATCGCTAGTGCCTTGAGAGAACAGTTCATGCATTCTCCTCCTCTTGTGCTTCCCAGCCTCTGCCACCACTGCTTAATTCTGGGGCTTACCTTTAGTGAGGTCATTTGCCCTGTATTCAGGGAGCTGATGCTGTCAGCACTGTCCTAGCATTGGAACGGTGGGGCTGTTGGGGAGCTGGCCGGCTCGTTCTGGGCACTGGTGGAGGCAAGAATGAGGTTTAGAGAAATATTTACCCAAAGTAATCCCTTTGCTATGCCACTGCCCATCTCCCAGGAGGCTGGGCAACAAACACAGGGTTCTGGTCATCATTTATTGAGGGGACAAGCTTTGCCTCCCAAGGGCTAGGAGGAGGCAGGAACAAAGGGTGGTGGTACGATCTGTGGTCCCAGCCCCTGCAGTGGTCAGGCCCTGGGGCCTCCTGAAAGCCATCAGCTCCCACTCCAAGCAGGCTGCATGTGCAAAATGAATACTGGATTCAAAAGCATCATGAAGCACCAGACATGGAAAGCATTCATAGTCTTGTCTTAGAGGCAAAATTATATGGCACTTACAGTGTGTTGGGTGCACCATTCAAAGTATGACCTCATGTGATCCTCACGACCATTCTATGAGCTAGGAGTCGTCATTTCTCCAATTTTATGTGAGCAGTTGCTCTTCAGAGGTCTGTGATGGTCAGCCTCTGCATTTCAGAAATAAGGAACTAAAGGCTCAGAGATTAGATAAATGCCCTAGTGGTCATAATGAGTGAGTGGCAGAGACCTTAGAAGTCAGGTCCCAGTGGCTAAAGTACATCCTGAAAAAGAGAGAATTTAACGAGACTTCTTTTTGATTTTCAGTCTGGGATGATTTTAATACAGAATGCCTGGATTCAGTAACACCAGAAAAAACAATCCACAGGATGTTTGTGTTAAAAAGATTCAGAGGCAGTCATCTAGCACAGTAAATCCTAAATTTTTTAGACCACATCCCACAGTTAAAGCACACATTGTGTGTGCAAAGCATACATTGTGTATATACATGTGTATTATATCTATGTGTTATATATACATGTGGATACATTCTGCTAGATTTTATATATATATATATATACACACGCATAGATATTAATATATATATCTTATAGAAAGAAAAGTTCCTGAAACAATGGCTGTCCTTACCACATGAGATGCAGCTTGACATAATCTTTTCATTATAAAGAATGTTACAAAGGATAGGTCTGGGTACAGTGGCTCATGCCTGTAATCCCAGCACTTTTGGAGGCCAAGATGGGTGGATCGCTTCAGGCCAGGAGTTCGAGACCAGCCTGGCCAACATGGTGAAACCCTGTCTCTACTAAAAATACAAAAATTAGCCTGGCATTGGCACACGCATGTAGTCCTAACTACTCGGGAGGCTGACGTGGGAGAATCACTTGAGCCTGGGAGGCGGAAGTTGCAGTGAGCTGAGATTGTGTCACTGCACTCCAGCCTGGGTGACAGAGTGAGACCCTGTCTCAGAAAAAAAAAAAAAAAAAGAGTATTATAAAGGATATAAATGAACAGGCAGGTGGACAGGTATACAGGGTGAGTCTGGAAGGGTCCTGAGTACAGAAGCTTCTGTCCCTGTTGAGCGAGGTACAGACCTATTCTATTCTATTCTATTCTATTCTATTCTATTCTATTCTATTCTATTCTATTCTATTCTATTCTATTCTATTCTATTCTATTCCATTCCATTCCATTCCATTCCATTCCATTCCATTTTCTTAAAAAATAATTGCTTATAACCTGTTACATAGATTTCCTGGTCAACCAGGGGGTTGAGGCCTGCCATCTGAAATTGCTGTTGTAGTCCAGCTCTCCTGCTGTAGAGGAGGATGCTGAGGTTTTGCCTCATATTATGCTTCTCTTAGTCACAAATCTGAGGCCAAATGCAACTGTACTGAGGGCCACCCCTGCCCAGCCTGCCCCTGCTGTTACACCTGAGGCTTTGTTAAGAGTCTTCCTGGGTCATGTCTGACCTATCCTGTGGTTTTATGCCTACACATCCCCACCGCCCATGCACACACTACACATCATGGCTCCCGGGGAGGCCCACTGGGCTCTCTCTGGCCATCAACTGTTTCATGCTCCTCTCCTCTTCTGATCACTGTTCTTTTCTGCCCCTTCTGAGAATCAGAGTGAAGATTTTGAGACTTAGTGGGAAGGACTTTTAAGCTGATGGATTTAAATATAAGATATTTTGAGAGATGACTTATGTATCCAGTTCTACACCAGCTCATTCCCAACCTGAAGTCCCCCAAACTCTGAAAAGTGAGTGTTTTTACCTAATTCATGGAGGGGCTGGTGGTGAGTGGAAGCTGCCCTGAACTGCGAGGCAGTTTATGGTCTTCATTCATCCAGCTTAGTCTGAATTGTCGTGTGTCATTGAAGAAATGTTAGTGTGTGTGACTGTGATGTGCAGCCCAAACCTCAGAGATTCACCTTAATAATTTCCTAAAACCCGAAACAATTGGAATTCTAAAACACATCTGGTTTTGAAGATTTTGAGTGAGGAATCATAGAGCTGGAGATATATTTGCAGTGTGTGCATGTTATTGATTTTTTTTTTTTTTTGAGACAAGATCTCACTCTGTTGCCCAGGCTGGAGCACAGTGGCATGATCATGGCTCACTGCAGCCTTGACCTCTCGAGCTCAAGCGATTATCCTGCCTCAGCCTCCTGAGTAGCTGGGACTATAGGCACATGCCACCATGCCCAGCTAATTTATATATATATATATATATATATATATATATATATGGATTTTTTTTTTTTTTGGAGCGACAGAGTTTTGCCATGTTGCCCAGGCTGCCTCGAACTTCTGGGCTCAAGTGATCCAGACATATCAGCCTCCCAAACGTATTATTGATTAATCAATGAATTTTTTTTTGATAAGAAGTAGTGACAGATGTGAGAAAGTACAGTAGACTGGTTATCAGAAGGTTGGCCATTACTGGTTATAAAATGCACTTTTGAGGGCTTTTGTGAGGACGAACTGAGTGATGGCTATGAAGCCTTCTGGAAACTACCTGGATAAGTTGTTGTGTGTGGTCTGGTTTCTTTTTAAAATTCTGAATTGTAGTTTCTAATCCTACACTCATTTTCAACTTTTGGCCCACATCATGTGTGTATAGGGTAAAATATACCTCTTATGTTGACATCCTGTGACGAAGAATGACCCAGAAAGATACGGAGACAGAGAGAAATGTCTCTACAGTCTTTGTAGATTCTTTCCCCATCCACTCTGCTCTGTTCTAATATTTCCCACTTTGTTCTACCTTCTTACAGCATTTCAGATGCTCCTCAATTGGAACTGCTGACTACACAGGCGTGTGCGTTTTTTCCTCCCTTCCATTAGCCTTATAGGTCATTAAAACCTTGTTGCTGCTGCTTTCCTTTTCCTATAAATACATCTACATTTCAAAGTTTTGAAAGCTTATTCCTTAGAAGGCCCTGGGAACTCTGGGCTCCAAAGACCAAAGAAAGGTGTATCTAGCTTTAAATTAGGTACGGGAAAAAGCACAGATCTAGGCTCTAAGAAAGACTTCGCTGTGTTTACAATAAATCAGATTGAGGGCGTGTCAGGCTTTAAGCCAGGATTGAAAGCATGGCCTTTAGAATACCCAGGGAGCCAGACCTGGGACCCTTGCCAGGTGGGGAGTTGGAAATGAGATTTCTGTCTGAAGCTTTCCCCTACAGGAGAAATATATCCCTAGGGGACAGACAGGTGGTCCAGCAGACATCTGCAGGGGGGCAAAGGGAGAAGACAGGGGCCCTTATCTGTTTTGGCTTTGGCTTGCCAAAGGATGGAACAATGTTTGCTGTGAGAATTTGTAATCATAAGTCTGCCTTCATGCAAGTTTGGGGTTTGAATTTGTACTGCCTGGGTGACCCAGGAGACTCCACGCTGCAAAATTAACTGGAGGTAGTTTGGGGTTGGTCACACCAGAGTTCCTGTCAGAATCAAATGCACATTCTCTCTGGAGGGACATACTTGTAGCTCAAGCCTTGATGGATTCCTGTAGGTAAAACCCAGCCATTCAAGCATGAGCTTTCACTCTCAAAATCCAAAACAGATGAGGAAACCAGTCACCACGAGTGAAAGTCAGCAGAAACAACAGACAGAAGAATCAGATTCCCGAGGGTTTCAGATATAGTTCCAATGGAATAGGTAATGTATTTTAAATGTTTGAAACAAATGAGGAAGAAACAATAGACTAATTTTTAAAATCCGTGGAGATTTGAAGAATACAAATAGGACTTCCAGAAATAAAAAATAGAATAACTGAAACTGAAGATCTTCAGCAATTGGCACACATTTGTGTAAGTTATTTTTATGAGCAACATTAAGATAGCAATTCTCATAAAGATATATCAAAGAAAGTATTTTTTTTTTTTTGAGACAGAGTCTGGCTCTGTTGCCCAGGTTCTAGTGCAGTGGCGCAATCCTGTCTCACTGCAGCCTCCACCTCCCAGGCTCGAGTGATCCTCCTGCCTCAGCTTCCAGAGTAGCTGGTACCATAGGCATGTGCCACCACACCTGGCTAATTTTTTTTTTTCCCATTCAAAAGTAATTTCTTTTTTTTATTATTATTATACTTTAAGTTTTAGGGTACATGTGCACAATGTTCAGGTTAGTTACATATGTATACATGTGCCATGCTGGTGCGCTGCACCCACTAACTCGTCATCTAGCATTAGGTATATCTCCCAATGCTATCCCTCCCCCCTCCCCCTACCCCACAACAGTCCCCAGAGTGTGATGTTCCCCTTCCTGTGTCCATGTGTTCTCATTGTTCAATTCCCACCTGTGAGTGAGAATATGCGGTGTTTGGTTTTTTGTTCTTGAGATAGTTTACTGAGAATGATGATTTCCAATTTCATCCATGTCCCTACAAAGGACATGAACTCATGATTTTTTATGGCTGCGTAGTATTCCATGGTGTATATGTGCCACATTTTCTTAATCCAGTCTATCATTGTTGGACATTTGGGTTGGTTCCAAGTCTTTGCTATTGTGAATAATGCCGCAATAAACATACGTGTGCATGTGTCTTTATAGCAGCATGATTTATAGTCCTTTGGGTATATACCCAGTAATGGGATGGCTGGGTCAAATGGTATTTCTAGTTCTAGATCCCTGAGGAATCGCCACACTGACTTCCGCAATGGTTGAACTAGTTTACAGTCCCACCAACAGTGTAAAAGTGTTCCTATTTCTCCACATCCTCTCCAGCACCTGTTGTTTCCTGACTTTTTAATGATTGCCATTCGAACTGGTGTGAGATGGTATCTCATTGTGGTTTTGATTTGCATTTCTCTGATGGCCAGTGATGGTGAGCATTTTTTCGTGTGTTTTTTGGCTGCATAAATGTCTTCTTTTGAGAAGTGTCTGTTCATGTCCTTTGCCCACTTTTTGATGGGGTTGTTTGTTTTTTTCTTGTAAATTTGTTTGAGTTCATTGTAGACTCTGGATATTAGCCCTTTGTCAGATGAGTAGGTTGTGAAAATTTTCTCCCATTTTGTAGGTTGCCTGTTCACTCTGATGGTAATTTCTTTTGCTGTGCAGAAGCTCTTGAGTTTAATTAGATCCCATCTGTCAATTTTGACTTTTGTTGCTATTGCTTTTGGTGTTTTAGACATGAAGTCCTTGCCCATGCCTATGTCCTGAATGGTAATGCCTAGGTTTTCTTCTACAGTTTTTATGGTTTTAGGTCTAACATTTAAGTCTTTAATCCATCTTGAATTGATTTTTGTATAAGGTGTAAGGAAGGGATCCAGTTTCAGCTTTCTACATATGGCTAGCCAGTTTTCCCAGCACCATTTATTAAATAGGGAATCGTTTCCCCATTGCTTGTTTTTGTCAGGTTTGTCAAAGATCAGATAGTTGTAGATATGCAGCGTTATTTCTGAGGGCTCTGTTCTGTTCCATTGATCTATATCTCTGTTTTGGTAACAGTACCATGCTGTTTTGGTTACTGTAGCCTTGTAGTATAGTTTGAAGTCAGGTAGTGTGATGCCTCCAGCTTTGTTCTTTTGGCTTAGGATTGACTTGGCAATGCGGGCTCTTTTTTGGTTCCATATGAACTTTAAAGTAGTTTTTTCCAATTCTGTGAAGAAAGTCATTGGTAGCTTGATGGGGATGGCATTGAATCTGTAAATTACCTTGGGCAGTATGGCCATTTTCACGATATTGATTCTTCCTACCCATGAGCATGGAATGTTCTTCCATTTGTTTGTATCCTCTTTTATTTCCTTGAGCAGTGGTTTGTAGTTCTCCTTGAAGAGGTCCTTCACATCCCTTGTAAGTTGGATTCCTAGGTATTTTATTCTCTTTGAAGCAATTGTGAATGGGAGTTCACTCATGATTTGGCTCTCTGTTTGTCTGTTGTTGGTGTATGAGAATGCTTGTGATTTTTGTACATTGATTTTGTATCCTGAGACTTTGCTGAACTTGCTTATCAGCTTAAGGAGATTTTGGGCTGAGACAATGGGGTTTTCTAGATATACAATCATGTCATCTGCAAACAGGGACAATTTGACTTCCTCTTTTTCTAATTGAATACCCTTTATTTCCTTCTCCTGCCTAATTGCCCTGGCCAGAACTTCCAACACTATGTTGAATAGGAGTGGTGAGAGAGGGCATCCCTGTCTTGTGCCAGTTTTCAAAGGGAATGCTTCCAGTTTTTGCCCATTCAGTATGATATTGGCTGTGGGTTTGTCATAGATAGCTCTTATTATTTTGAGATACGTCCCATCAGTACCTAATTTATTGAGAGTTTTTAGCATGAAGGGTTGTTGAATTTTGTCAAAGGCCTTTTCTGCATCTATTGAGATAATCATGTGGTTTTTGTCTTTGGTTCTGTTTATATGCTGGATTACATTTATTGATTTGCATATGTGGAACCAGCCTTGCATCCCAGGGATGAAGCCGACTTGATCATGGTGGATAAGCTTTTTGATGTGCTGCTGGATTCGGTTTGCCAGTATTTTATTGAGGATTTTTGCATCAATGTTCATCAAGGATATTGGTCTAAAATTCTCTCTTTTTGTTGTGTCTCTGCCAGGCTTTGGTATCAGGATGATGCTGGCCTCATAAAATGAGTTAGGGAGGATTCCCTCTTTTTCTATTGATTGGAATAGTTTCAGAAGGAATGGTACCAGTTCCTCCTTGTACCTCTGGTAGAATTCGGCTGTGAATGCATCTGGTCTTGGACTCTTTTTCATTGGTAAGCTATTGATTATTGCCACAATTTCAGCTCCTGTTATTGGTCTATTCAGAGATTCAACTTCTTCCTGGTTTAGTCTTGGGAGAGTGTATGTGTCGAGGAATTTATCCATTTCTTCTAGATTTTCTAGTTTATTTGCGTAGAGCACACCTGGCTAATTTTTGTACTTTTTGTAGAGACAGGGTTTCACCATGTTGGCCAGGCTAGTGTTGGACTCCTGAGCTCAAGCAGTCCACTTGCCTTGGCCTCCCAAAGTGCTGGGATTATAGGTGTGAGCCATAGCACCTGGCCCAAGACAGTTTTTTTAAAAAAAATAATTTACAGTTTTACAGATTAAATGTGTCATAATGCATTGGAAAGGGTGCCCTAGCTCAGACCTGAGTGTTTCACTTAATGGCTGTGTCACCTTGGGTTACACTGCAGCCCCTTGGATCCTCTTGTGTAATTTGACTGCATGGTTTTGCTCCCAAGGTTCAATTAGATAGTTTTTGAAAGGATCTGGATTTCCCTTTAGCCTTTACTTTCCTTGGTTCTGGATACTAAATAGTTTCTCCCTTAGGAAGGGTCCATAGTTTCTCGTTTAATTAAATCAGCTCCTGAGATGAACAAAGGGACTGTGTTCATAACTGCCGGTAGTTCCTCCAGGGGCTAGGATTTGCTCAAGAGTTACACACGCTTATCTGGAAGCCCATGGAGGAGGCTGGCGGCTAAAAGGTAGGCTGCCAGCCAGAAGGTCAGTCTTGGACTGCGAGGCTCTGGCCGTGCCTCTCCACCGGGGTGGTGATGGATGGCGGGGTTCTGATTTTAAGAGGGGCCTGAATGTGGTTAACATGGTGACAGATATGGATCTTGGTTGGGCACAGCCTGCAAATTCCAATTAATCTAATCCCCCGCCTTGGGAAATCTGAACATTGCGTTGAGCTTGAACTCTACTGTAGGGCTCAGGGCCCAATCTGTTACATCGCTCTGCAGGCATCCCGTGCTCTGTCTCCTTGGTCAGCTCTTCTAGAGGACGGTATCTGCCAGGGCTCCCCCAGGGCCTGAGCTCCCTGAGCAAGGGAGAGGAGGAGAGAGGAACTGGGAAGGTCTTGAGTAGGGAGGTTCAAGGTAAAACTAGCCACAGGACAAAAACTTCTTCCCTCCTTTTCTCCCTCCTTCCTTCCCTTCCCCTCTCTCTCTTTTCCTCTTTTCATTTCCTTCCCACCTTTTCCTTCTTTTGCTTTTTCTCCGTTTCTCTCTTTCCCTTTTTTACTTCCCTTATTGTCTCTCTGTAGCCGAAGAATGCAAGACCATTTTGTTTTCATGCCACGAAGTGAGTACATGAACATTTGGAAAGTAGGTCTCACCTGGGCTTGCCTCCACCCGGAACAACTCTGGACACATAGTAAGTTTTCAGAAGCAGTCAGATGGAATCATCCTGGACATTGGTGCAGCTTCTGAACCTTTCCTGGTGTGAGTCCAAGTTATGGCAATGGAATTCTACCCAGGAAGGGAAGCAGCAAACCTGAGTAGTGCCCACCTTTGCGGGGGAAATGGCAGGTTCCTCCCTCTCCAGTGATGGGGGCTCAGCCTGCAGGGAACCTTTCTTCCCAGCCAGCCTTGGAACTCAGTGCTGTCAGGCTTGCTGATGACATCACTGGCCTTCCGTGGGACAGCTGCAGCCAGCATCAGGACACTCCAGAAATGCCAGCAGTAATTGGAAACTTCATGTTCAGATGCTTTCCACAGCATTCACGCATGGCGAGAAGTGCTTCTGCCGAGGGACTTTTCAGGTGGTGCCCCGAGCAGGATCCCTGGGAGACCAGGGAGATCAGAAGCCAACTTCCATGTTTCCTGGACCAAGGATCCTGGGGGATGGGATGGGGGGACATTCCCCAGAGGGCTGCAGCTTTCTGTCAATGGGATTTCATTTGGGTTGGTCTCCAGAGAGCCCACAGGGTAAATTTCTAGGCATTAATTTCCAAAGCCTATTTTTGCTATTCCACTTAAAGAATATTTCCATCTTTCCTTGCCTATCACTGCTGCCTGATCTTGTTTGTGCAGTAGGTGAATAGAAGAGAAATAAGAGGAGAGAAAAACATGAAGATTTTAGGGGAGAGAATATTCCGTGGAGGCACAGCAACTGCCTTTGCATTTCTGATGGTCTGTAAAGCGAGGAGGCACTGGCTTGTTCTGTGTGTCCCTGGTGAGAGCGTTAGGGCTGTGGGGAGGTGCATTCATGTGGGGATCTCAGGGGGATGGGGTGGGAGGCTCACATTTGACACCTCCTGTGGGATAGCTGCAGTGCTAGGGTTTGCGTCTCCAGATGTTAGAGGCAGTAACTGCTAGCCTGGTGCCCATCACAGATACCAGTTACTAACCACTTATCTTGTGCCAAGTACTAAGCACTGCACCAGATCAACTCATTTCCTTCTTACAACTACCCTCTTGGGTGGGAACTATCTCTGACATCATTTTACAGGTGGAAGAGAGTGACTGGGAAGAGCACAGCTGCTTAAGGTCACACAGTGCGTTGGTGGCAGGGCCTGCCCTGGAACCGAGGCTGCCCATCACCAGGCTCCTGTCCCCAGCTCTTCAGCACCAGGATCTGTTTCTCAATCATGTCTGAGCTGTGTGTTGAATGCACTGGTCCTGTCTTCCACATTTTTTTCCTCTACCTTCTTTTTATCATCATCTTAACTGTCATATTAACATACTACCTTATAAAAGTGTTGAAAAGATAGCAATTTGGGAAAATGTGCTCAGAAGTAAAAGCTCTCTCCCTGTTTCCCCGCCCGCTGCTGCATCACTGTGCTTCCTTTAAGGGAGTGCTTACCATCCGCGTTGTCCTCTAAAACGGGAATGGGAGGGAATCCCTGGAATCCCTGGAATCCCTGAGCCTGGAGGGATTCACAAGGGGAAGGTAACCACTTGCAGGAGGCCAGTGCTGGGTGCAAGGCAGGAGGACTAGGGGACACTTAAGGTCCAGCCTAAAGAGGACAGTCACTGAGAGTGGCCCTTGATGGGGCTTCCACTGGGACAGAGATGGGTGCTCCCAGAGGGCGATTTGGCCGAGAGGCAGTGGCTTCCCTTCTCACCGTCTGCCTGACTCATTGCCCTTGCCTCCTGGCCACTCTGCCAGCTTTCCTTCACCCCCTGCTGCATATCCTGCATGCAGCTGCCCAATTAAGCTCCCCAAATACTGATTTCATGATGTCACTGACTCCTCTGAACTCCTTTTACCTCCCTTTGTGATCAGAAGCCTGAACTTCTGAACTCCTCTACTCCTAAGCCAAAGAGTCCGCCCTCTGACCCCAGCTTGTCTTCCCTCTGCTATCTGGGAGTCTCTCCTCTTTTCCACTTAGTTGAGTTCCTGGTTAGTTCAAGGCTCCATTCATTCTTTCTTTCACCTAGATGCCAGGAGGAAGCTGCGAAGGCTGAGACATAAAGACATGTCACCTGCCCTCAAAGAGCGCTTGGTCTTGGGAAGGGGCATGCATGAAATCACCTTTTTTACATTTAAATTTAAATTTATTTTTGAGACAGAGTCTTGCTCTGTTGCCCAGGCTGGAGTACAGTGGTGTGATCTTGGTTCACTTCAATCTTTGCCTCCCAGGTTCAAGTGATTCTTCTGTCTCAGCCTCCAGAGTAGTTGGGATTACAGGCATGTGCCACCTGTAAAAAAAATACCTGGCTAATTTTTGTATTTTTAGTAGAGATGGGGTTTCACCATATTGCCCAGGCTGGTCTTGAACTCCTGACCTCAAGTGATCTGTCCGCCTCGGCCTCCCAAAGTGCTCGTGTTACAGGCATGAGCCACCATGCCTGGCCATGAAATCACCTTTGATCAGCGTGGTGAGAGCCACTTCAGGCTGCATACAAAGCCTTCCTCTTGCAGGAAGCCTTTATTGATTGCACTGTCACTGTGAATTCACTCTTCTCTGGAGGCTGGTGAATCCTCATCTCTGTTCTTCTCTTTTTGTTCCTTGTTTTCTGCCCGGTATAATTCACTTTCTTTTATTGCCAATATCTCTTGGACTTTAGCCCCAAGGAACATACCACACTGCCTGGCACTGTGCCATGTGCCTAATAATAAGGAGGTACATTTATATTGAGCTCTGATTCTGAAGCCTGTTCACATCTGTGATTCCCCTTACTTTGCATAACAGCTCTCTGGGACAGGTGGGACAAATGTGATAAGCCCCAGTCTGCAGAGCAAGAGACGACTTGCTTATGGGCACACAGTTCATAAGTGGCAGAGCCGGGACCAGGGACTGGAGTCTTGCCGTGGGTGTGCTACGCGGCCCCACAGAAGGATGGATGCATGGAGTCCCATTTTGTGGACTCCCCCCTGGGCCTGCAATGTGTAGGGATGTGTTAGGGGAGGATGAGAGGGCAAGAGGGGGATCTGTGGCTAGAATTCCGGAGGTTCGTTGGAACCAGGGAGGTACATGGGGTGACTTGAACCCCAAATCTTTTCATCTAGGCATGACACTCCCTTTTTCCTCTATGGAGACTGGGAATAGCAGGATGGAGGGAGGGTAGAAGGAGTAGAGGAGTCAGTGTTGGGGCTAGGGCTGGGAGGGACGGGGTAGAAGAGAGCAAGTTCTGGGGACAGAGGGCAGTCAGGAGACCTGTCAGTTCTCTCTGGGTAGCCTGGACTCTCGAGAGGACTGAAATGCATCAAAGGATGGGTAATGAAAAAATGGTGATGAGGACGGGTTGCCTTATCACCCAGAAGGGAGGAAAAGCTTCAGGCCCAACCATCCTGCTTAAACATTTGAGAATTCTATGCGGTTCTTTTAAGTATTTAGAGGTACTGGGGACAATGTGTCCAGAAAGTGGAATCCCAGCTCCTTCTCACCCCGGCTATTGATTTTTGGCCTTGCAATTACTGCAGAGGTGCTGCCTCTGTGAACACTATTAGTGCTAGTTGGAAAGCTTGAGCTTTTGAAGCTTAGCTGTTTGAGCTACCTACGGGTTTGGAAAAAAAAAGAATCTTACCATGTGTTTCTTTAGCCTGGGCATGAATCAAAAATAGTTGAACTTTTTTTTTTTTGCTCAAGTCTCAAGTTTAAAAATAAAAAAGTCACCTTTGGGCTGAGATCAAGAATGGAAAATTTCAGGGCATAGCGTAATTTTTTCCCCATCTGTTCTGGGCAAGGGATGATAAAGCATTCTGTTGGAAGATTGTGTGTAAGCATCAACCATGAGTCTCACTACTTTATTGCGTTGCAATGTCTACTTTGTTAAGATGTCTTGAAAGAAAGACTTCTTCCATCCTCCTGGCACAACTGAATGTGCTTGGTATGGGGAGACGTGTCTAACTGAATCTAAGCAACTAATTGGAATAGGCAAAGGAGGAAGTGATGAAAGTGAAGCTGCAGTTTCTGCAAAGGTGGCTTTATTGTATAAGGTGCAGGTTATTACCCCAAATGATCAATTACTAAAGTTCTGGATTGGGCAGTGACAAGTGTCTAGAGGGAATGCTGGGCCTAGGGAATTGCATTGTCATGTGAGAATAAGGCTGGGGCCACCTTTACATTTTCATTAAAAAAAGATCTGGACAGTACTTGACTGTGGTAGTAGACTTTGTAAAGGTTATTATGGTTACAGCTTTGTTTGCTTGAGATCCTCTATTTTTATAGTTCAATATTATTAAGGTATGAAGAAACTGTTTTATGGATGTCAGTTTTACTGTTTCTGACAACAGCTTGCGAGGAAGTATACATTTGTGCAACAGACCGCTTTGGATGTTAATTCTAAATTTAGAAGCCGCCTTCAATGGGTGTGGAAATCAGTTACACAAAATTCAGGTGCTTACTAAAAAAAATCTGAATATCCATGAAGCTTGTATGGTCCCTGGTGGAACTTTGAGCAGCTGAGCCTCTCTGAAGATCCTGAGGTTGTCAGGGTGTGGCACAGCAGCTGGGGGCTGGGCCCCGTGCATGCACATCAGCATCTGTGTATTGAATATAATCAGCACAGATAGGGAAGAAACAAACCACCACCACCAAACACCCTAAGTACCAATCTGGGCATCTGGGCACCCTGGATTTTCATTTTGACTCTGTCATTTACTAGTTCTCTGACCTTGGGCACCATGCTTTGCATAGCAGCCTTGGTTTCCTCATTGGTAAAATGAGGCTGTTGAATTCTATATGGCTCAAGAGTTCTTTCCAGCCCCGAAACATGCAAAAATTCAGTTTCGACTAAGAGCTTTAGCACTGTCTTATCTTGGCTGTTTGCAGTGGCCAAAATTGATAACATATTGGAAAACTTCCCTGCTGATTAAAATAGACATTGCCCTAAGTGCTGTGAGTGTCCCTGTTACCTTATCCCTTCTCTGAAACCCTCTGGGTTTCCCCTTGAAGCAGCCCCTAAAATGGCTCAGTTTCCAGCATAGCAGGAGGTCTCCAGCCTAGCCAATGGTGCCCCTTGTGAAGGTCATGGACCTGCCTTACCCATTGTTAAATGTTTTCCATCCCTCTGGTGTACGTGGAGAGCTTCTGGGTGGAGTGGACACAAATGATTTAACTTTCCCGAGTCTCTGCTTCTGCGCCAGAAAGTGGAAGGAATCATAACCAGTGTAGTGGAGGTAATTAGGAGGGTCCAAAGCTTGGACCATCTGGGTTCAAACCCTGGCCCCACCACTTAGTATCTATGTGAGTGTGGGCATGTCAGGTAGCCTTTCTTACCTCAATTCATAATCCGCAAAGTGGGGATGAGAATAGCACCAACTGTATCAAGCTGATGATGAGATCAAATAACACACAAAATTCTTAGAATAGAATAAGCACTGTAGAAGTGATAGCTCTGTGTATGTCATTAATACATTCACTGGTATCACTGAACTTTATTTTATATCAAGTGAGATAACTACTATACCATCCAGGGAGATAATGTGTGTGAAGCCCATAGCACAATGCTTGACAAATAGTTTTCAGGGAATGTTAGCTTCTATCTAAGCAGGTCCCATTGGAAAAAAAAAAAGTTGTATTTTTATATAGTTCTAGTTAGTTTCTCATCTGTGATCTATGCTATTTTTAATTGAAAAAAAAAAGTGTTTCCATACATTGTCAGGAGGAGCCGTTCCCCTGTCCCAGCCTCTCACAAAGCACACCCTCACTCCCTCATTTTTCCAGTAGTCCCAGGGCTAGACCACCTGTAGAGACAGGAAGCCTGCCTAAAGAGCAGAAGCATCTGCTCAGAAAGATCTAGTTGTTTGCTGGAGCCTCAGCTTGAAGAAGGCTCCAAGTTTATTATAAAGTCCCAGCCACACAGTTTGCTTGAGACTTTATAAAGAGAGAATGAGATGTAGAGGCTGGGCCCAAACCCACTACCAGGCTGTGGGAATGGGGGATGGGGTGCTTGGCTGGCATCTCTTCTCAGGGCCTCCTGGTCAGCCTCAGGAGATCTAGTGCTAAGGGTTACTCTGCTGGGGAAAATCTCAATGGCACTAGAGACCACTTGAGCACAGCTCTTAGGAACTGAGGAGCCAGCTACTTAGCATCCCAGAATCCCAATGCCCATGGCCAGAGCCAGAGCTGCTTAGAAGAAAAGCAAAGTCCGCAGGCTGCATGGACTGAGAACCACCTCACCTGGCTGCACATTCTCTGAGTGGCCTTGACCATGCTGTTCTCTGAGCCTCAGTTTCCTCATCAATGATAGAGTGGAGTTAGCTAGATCAGGGGCTTTCAAAAGCTTTTTCCCCTGAAACCCAGAATAAGAAATACCTTTTCTTTCTCAACCCAATACTTATGTTCATGTATGTAATTAAACAAAAGTTCCATGCAGCAACCCTTTTAATATGCAGTACTCTGTTTTCTGTGCTGTTGTTTCAGTTGAAAAATGCTGATTGTGAATGATTCAGTTGATTCTGTGACCTGCTGATGGGTCATAACCTGCAGGGTTTTTGTTTTATTTTGTTTTGTTTTTGTTGACAGAGTCTCGCACTGTCACCCAGGCTGGAGTGCAGTAGCGCGATCTTGGCTCACTGCAGCCTCCACCTCCAGGGTTCAAGTAATTCTCCTGCCTCAGCCTCCTGAGTAGCTGAGATTACAGGCACCCGCCACCACGCCTGGCTGATTTTTTTTTTTTGTATTTTTAGTAGAGACAGGGTTTCACCATGTTGGTCAGGCTGATCTTAAACTCCTGACCTCGTGATCCACCTGCTTCAGCCTCCCAAAGTGCTGGGATTATAGGTGTGAGCCACCATGCCTGGCCATAACCTGCAGTTTTAAACATATCGGGCTGAATATAGTTGAGGGTGCTTAAATGCTATGATGCTGTGATTCAGCTGGGCCAGGAATATAGAGAACAGTGGCACCCTACTCTGTGTTGGGCCAGAGATTGCTGAAATGTCTAGCATATTAGATCAACCAGATTTTTAGTTCTAAAGGTGAAACCAGAAGCATTTTTTTTTCCTCTCAAAAACACACATAGACTCAGAGGTATGGATACAATACCTGAAGGGCTATAGTTCTTTTTCCAGGATTGTCCCTCTCAGCAGGAATGGAGGATCCCTAGCTAGAGAGGAGAGCTGGGGGTGACACCTTCTTGCCCAGTGGAGGACAGCTGGTGGTGTGGCCTCAACAGGTTCTTAGGAAGGTGAGTTCCTTAGCCTTTCTACTAGTGAGGTGTTTGGGTTAAGGTGCAGCACCATTGACTGGGCCCGTGTGGGGAGGATATTCAAAGCATTTCACAATTACACAGCTGCCTGGGCACCGACAGAGTCCTAGAGAAGTGTCGACTGTGCCAGGTCCAACCCTTCAGTCGCTGGATCATGGGGAGGCATGGAGTCCCATTGTAGAGGCTGGGTGGTGGTAGTAGGCATGCAGGAATTCAGGGAAGCTGCTACTTACCACCATGTAAAAAGGATTTCAATATTTTCACCCTGGTAGGGATGCACCAGTGTGTGCTTCTCAGCCTCAGTCCTGGACGTATGCCCCATTGCCCTAAGGTTGTCCCAAAGAGGCCACCATTAGACCTCACCTTTTATGGACAGGTGGGAGATGTCTGAACACAACCACATGTTGCCCAGTGACAGGGGCTGGGCTGACCAGGACACGGAGAGTGACTTGCCTTCTGGGGCTGAGCCAGTCACTCATACTCCCAGCGTAGCCCTGGAGCTTCACTGCAACTGCTATGTTACAGGAAGTTGTACCAGCAGCTCTACACTAAGGTGTATAGTCGGTGACCACTTTAAAGAAAGACTCATTAGAAAGAGGCATTGTTTGGGGAGGCCAACAGGCCAGCTGTTGGGGACCATGCCAGAGGTACTGTGTCAAGGTACCTGGCTTGATGCTTACTTCCCATTGTCTGTTTCTTGAGTTTATTTTGCGCCATCTGCCTTCTTCCACCTGATTTGGAATTCCAGGACTGCTGTGTAGGCTTCTCTTCAGATGAGATGCAGCAGTGTTCTCAACTGGCAGGGGCAGCTTTCTTGGGGGCAGGGACTGGGCATCTGTGTTATCTATCCTGGGCCCATCTGTTTCTTTCCCCTTGACACCCACCACAGGGGTCTGTGTACAAGAGGGTTGGTTGATACCAGTTTTAATGAGGGAACCTATCTTCTTGGAACCATCCAGAAGCTGTGGTCTTTTTCCCTGGAACACCCCACCCCCGACATCCCAGTGCTGGATTCAAGCTGGTGAACCACAGGTCAAAATTTTCAGTTGCTGTCTTCCAGGGCCTTGGTTGTTCCATTGTCCCCTCTCCCTGTACCAGGATCATCGTGATCCAATGGATTTGATGGAGTTGCTACACCCAGCTTGGCGTGCAGAGGTGTTTGGCACATCCCTGCCTGTGGAATTCTACGCTCTAAGGGAGATGCTGCCAGGGTATTACCTGATTCACGAGGCATGTCCTACCATCTGTGTTATATTTTTTTTAAGATCAGAATTATGAATATTTCAGGAGTCATCTGGGATCTGAAGAAGCAAGAACCCACTTTCTGAGTCTTTTCCTTAACCATTCATAGGGGGTAAGAAATGTCACAGGTTTGTTGTGAAGGTCAAATGAAAGAGAACTTGAGAAAATTTGCAAATCCTTCAGTTCAAGGTGAAAGAAGGTAATTTATTATTAATTCATATTGTTATTATGTAGCATTTCTTAGAATATGTATACCAAATGCCTTTTTTGACTGGTGCAATCTTTCTATAATTCCATTCTGGGATGTTAGCTTATTTGCTTAGAGAATGGTGTAAAGAGGGGAGCCCGAGGCCGGCAGATCACCTGAGGTCAGGAGTTCAAGACTAGCCTGGCTAACATGGTGAAACCCTGTCTCTACTAAAAATACAAAAATTAGCCAGGTATGGTGGCGGGCACCTGTAATCCTGGCTACTAGGGAGGCTGAGGCAGAATTGCTTGAACCCAGGAGGCGGAGGTTGCATTGAGCTGAGATCATGCCATTGCATTCCACTCTAGCCTGGGTGACAAGAACGAAATTCCATGCAAAAAAAAAAAAAAAAAAAATCACTTCCTGGGCAGTCTGAATTTCTTAACCTGCCCCAGAGAGCTTAAAAACTTTAGAAAATGTGGAGGATCCACTTTTTAAAAAAATATATATATCCTCTGTTCATTTCTGGAAGCCCTAAGGAGGATGAGAGTTACATTCTCTGTCACTGCCCAAGATTCTCTCATGAACTGTATAAACAGTGTTGAACTACATGCTTGTCTCATAAACCCAGTTGGGCAAATATTATAGGCCTATTTCTGTCACCTCTGGCTGGTGGAGTGTTTGTATTTGTCCACACATCCTTTATGCCCAGGGCACGCCCTGGATAGGAGAAGCTTGTGCCCTCCCAGATGGAAAATGCCCATAACTCATCAGCCCAACATTGGACTGCTAATTGTAGGCCTGGATTCATAGTGTTCTTGAAAGCTTCAGGGTGAGATTAAACTGCCTTTTGACAGTGATTGACAGCTTTCAAGATTGAAATAATGAGCCTGGAGCCCCCATTCCCTGCAAACCACTCTGGAGTTAATTTCCTTGCATTCTTCCTACCTTCCAGAAACCTGACTCCTGTGCAGCTCTGTGTTCAATGGATGTCACATCTATCTTTTGCTCTTTTGCCAAAATTAATTGCCAGCATTATCCAAGGGAGTCTCAAACCAATCAGGTCTTGCAGCTAGAGGATCATCAATATAATACATGCTCTATTGCCTCAGTGACTTTCAGTCTCTGCCCTGGCAGGGGTCCTAGGAGATTGGTTTGAGGCATTGCAGTTTGATTGTGCTTGTGATTGATGGGCCGGAGGCTGGAGCTGAGGAAATGCCCCAAGGATTACATTTTCTTAGGGTGTTTTTGACTCACAGGTGTGCACCACCATGGAATGACTATTGTGTGCGGAGGGAAGATGGTTCCCTGGAGTTGGGCATCAGGCACTTGGTTGGGATGCTCATGACCCAGGGATCCACGCTCATCTTGATCCTCAGTTCTGGGTGTGTCTGGGCCATATTTCCAGAGTCCTGGCTTCCACCAGATGCAGCATAATCACGGTTTTGAAAGCATAAAGAGTCCTTATTGTACTGTATCCTGGTCTTCATCATCATCACTTCCATAGACTGCACTTTACAGGGCATAGAATTCCCTTTTTTTTTTTTTTTTTTTTTTTTGAGATAGTCCCACTCTGTTGTCCAGGCTGGAGTGCAGTGGTGTGATCTCGGCTTACCACAACCTCTGCCTACCAGGCTCAAGCAATTCTCCTGCCTCAGCCTCCCGAGTAACTAGGATTACAGGCACATGCTACTATGCCTGGCTAGTTTTTGTATTTTCAGCAGAGATGGGGTTTCACCATGTTGGCCAGGCTGGTCTCGAACTCCTAAACTCAAATGATCCACCTGCCTCGGCCTCCCAAAGTGCTGGGATTACAGCATGAGCCACCGCGCCTGACCCTGAATTGACTTTTAATTCCTCGCAATTACTTTGAGAACTATAATACCATTTTTAAAGGTGAAGACACAGGCTCAGAGAGATTGGGTAATTTGCCCATGGTTCCTCTGATGGTAACTGGCAGAAAGGGGAACTGACCGGAAATCCAAGCCCAAGCTATTTCTCTCTGTCCACACCATATGTCAGCTGTGTCGATTCTTATGCCATCCTCTTTGAAAAGAACTCAGAGTGCTTTTGAAAACCCACATTTTGCAATTGCTGCTTTATAGAGTGTCAATGTTTGTCTAAGTTAATTCTCAGGTAGTGACGATCAAAGATGTAACAGTTCATCCAGGGTTTACCTAGTTAATTCCAGCACAGAACCAGAAACAAGATTTCTGGCCTCTCTAGCACTAACCTCTCCAGATGCCTTCCATGAGGCATATGTGTGTGCTAGAGGCATGGAGGAGCTAAGTTTGGGTCTCTGTACTGTTCCCTTCTCATCTGTTTAACCTCCAAAGTATTGTACCATGTTCTCTGTGTCCAGTGGAAAATGATGTTTTTACATTGCATCATCTGTCATTCTTAACCCCAGAGTGGGGCTGGAGTGTTGGAACACTTCAGCACAGGACTCTGTTTAAAGCTGTGAGAAGCTCTTTTTGTTTTTCTAAGTCGGCTGAACTAGTAAAACAGTTTTACAACTGTGTTTTCAAGTTCTGTTCAGAAAGACAAGCTTGAAAAAATAGGTGATGCTGAAGTGTCATTTTAGTAAATTTTTTTTCCCTGTTAGAAGAGAGGTTGGCTCTTCCTTGATTCTAATCTTTAGGTTATTTCTCCAAGAGCTACCTTTCTGTTTTTTTTCTTTCTGCCCCATGAGGTCTTCAGTCCTGGATACTCTCATCCTATAATAGCCAGAAATGACCCTTGATCCATGGAGTTTGACTTGGGCTGAAATCAAGTTTCAAGAAATACCACAGGGCCTTGTGACTTTGTCACATGTCACCCTGGCCTGTGAGGGGGCCGTCTGACTCCCGCCCTGAAGTGTATCAGTCACATGCCCTTGTTTGTCTGCCCCCTCCCCAGCTCCCCAGCCCACCTCCCTATGTCAGTGTCCTCTTTCTTAAATCTGCACTGGACTGGGGAAGTTCTTCATCTGATGCGTTTTCCTGTGGTGTGCGTGCGTGTGTGTATGTGGTAAGAGTGAAGAGATGATCAAGGAAGATTGAGGCAGCTCGAATTTCATTATGAACGGTTCTTCTGAGAAGAGAAGTCACTTTCATATTATGAGAAAAGTTAGGAAGAGGTCAATGCCAACCTGCACCCCTCTGTGATTGGCTATCCCCTTCACCTGCCTTGTGTAATGTTGCCCCCTTTCCCTAAGACCCCCAGGAGGGCCTAGTTTGAGAAAATGGGCCGTAATGGTTGACTGTGCCCGAGAGATCAGGCTCTTCCATGTGCGGAGGAGTCTTTGGAGATGGCACCGTTTCCAGGAACAGGAAGGCCTTGGAAAGTTTGTGGGCTCCTTGGGCAGAGGCAAAGTTTCTTTTGGACTCTTCCTTAGTCTTCCTCATTTCCAAATTTCAAAAGTGTTTTCTCTTTCTCTTTCTTTCTTTTCTTTTCTTTCTTTCTTTTTTTTTTTTTTTTTTTTTGAGATGGAGTATTACTCTTGTCACCCAGACTGGAGTGCAGTGGTGCAATCTCGGCTCACTGCAACCTCTGCGTCCCAGGTTCAAGTGATTCTCCTGCCTTAGCCTCCTGAGTAGCTGGGATTATAGGTGCACACTAGCACGCTCAGCTAATTTTTGTATTTTAGTAGAGAGGAGGTTTTACCATGTTGGCCAGGCTGGTCTTAAAACTCCTGACCTCAAGTGAGCTGCCTGCCTTGTTCTCCCAAAGTGCTGGGATTATAGGTGTGAGCCACCACACCCAGCCCAAAAGTAATTTCTTTGGACTCTTCCTTACCTCATCAGAGAGGAGCTGCTACTTTGTTGCCACAGACTGTCCTCAGAGAGCCTTTGATCCTGTCTCTGCTGTTCCCTGTGCTGCAACCTGGGCTTTCAGCAGGCGAAAGACACAGCAGACCTGCCCATAGCTGTGGGCAGTCCGGCTTGGCTTGTTACCAAGAGATTTACTCAGCTTGCTTTGAAGAGCTTGTGTCGCCCAGTGAGGAACCCTGTGGGCTTCTCCTTCCACTCTGTGTTGCCAGTGGCCTACATCTGAGCTGCCCATCGTAGCCACAGTATCATCTGTTGGAACCTTAAAAAAAAAAAAAGTCGATCCCTGCTCAAGACCTACAAAACTGGAATATCCAGGAGTGGAATATCAAATCTGTGTTATTGAACCCAGATCCACAGGGAGTTCTGATGCTCTTCTAGGTTTTAGAACCATGTCTGTTTACTCATTTACTAGCCAATGGGGAAGCTGGGAGGAGGGGCAAGATGACACTTGGGTGGGGCCTTCTGTCCTTTTGGTTACCTTGAGCATAGCTCCTGGCCTTCCTGGTGAAACAGCCTGCTGCTGACCTTGAACCTGGGGTGGGTTCAGCAGGACCCTCTAGTCCCTGATGGGGCATCCCCTGGGAGTAGGCTTGAAGTAGAAGCAGCTTTCTGGGTGTGGGATGCCCCTGAGACATAGCAGGTGGGCTCACTGCTGAGTAACTAGAGGTGCCCAGGCCCTGACTGGGTGTGCATTATGGAGGAACAGCTTGGTGCACTGCCTGCAGGGTTGCCTGGTGACTGCCCAGCAGGAGGGAGGCGAGGGCACTTCTTGGGCTGGTGCTCACTGCTGACCCAGTGGAGGGAACATTCATCTCACTAGAGGAGTGTCAACGGCGCCTGGTTCCTGCCTTCTCAGCTCCCAAGTGCCCCTTTCCTTGCTGCAGCAGGAGAGGAGACTTGGCCAATGGGGGAAGAGTCATTTATCCATGAGCTCCAATTCAGGAACATTTGAAATATTGACAGGCTGCCTTTTAAAACATTTACAACAAAAATAGTTTTATGGAGTCCCACGGGGGAAAAAAAAGAAGAAAAAGTTATATTTCTGATTTCACTCAATAAAGGAATGATACTGAGAATATCAGCTTTGTTATTTCATCACTAAAATGTTAATGTCTGTGCTGTTTGGGAAGTTGCAATGCAGAGGCAGCTTTCTCCCCGCCTCCCCACCCCGCCACCCGGCGTTTTTTTGTTTTGTTTTGTTTTTTGTTTTTTTGAGACAGGGTCTTGCTCTGGGGTACAGTGGTGCAATCTCAGCTCACTGCAACCTCCACCTCCTGGGTTCAAGCGATTCTCATGCCCCAGCCTCCCCAGTAGCTGGGACTACAGGTGTGCACCACCATGCCTGGCTAATTTTTGTATTTTTAGTGGAGACAGGGTTTCACCATGTTGGCCAGGCTGGTCTTCAACTCCTGGCCTCAAGTGATCGGCCTGCCTCAGCCTCCCAAAGTGCTGAGATTACAGGCGTGAGCCACTGCGCCTGGCTAACCTTTTTGGATTCTTAAATGTGTTCATGGGCTGCATCAGGAAGCCAGGCCACCGCTGGTCCCTAGGTCTGGGGTGTTCACAAGAAAAGAAGATCATAAACATCATGTCAAAGGCAGGAAAAACAAAACTCTGCCCTCTGTGGTATTAAGTCCCAGTACTTGAAATTCCAAATGTCCAAAGGGGAGCAGAGAGCAGCACACACATGTATCAGTTGCTTGTCCACCTGGTAGTTGAGTGCCTTCACTGGGTATGTGTGGTAGCTACAGCCTAGACAGTACTGCTCTATGCTGGGCACTGTGCTAAGTGCTTGCCCTATATTAACCCTTTTAGTCTTCCCTACATCCCTGAAATGTGTTTATGCACTTCTTGTTCCTGTTTTCATATGAGGAAGCAGACCCAGAGGATGAAGTAATCTTATCGAGGTCACACAGCTGGGAAATGGAGAAATTAAGATTCAAACCAGACAGGCATCCTCCAGAGCTAATGGTTTAATCCAGGCACTGAGTTGCCTTTTCCCAAAGTAGAGGATAAGTCAGTCAGGCAGCCACGGCCCTCAGGGTACCTCCAGCACACCTCATGCTGGGCCCCTTTGTAGTGGCTGGGCTCTCCCCTTGAAGAGTTTTCTCCATCTCTTGGTCTACAATCTAGCTTCCCAGCCTTCTGCAACCAAATCCTTTCCTTACTGGTCAGAAATGCCTGGAAATTGCAGATTAGTTCAGGGAGATTTTTCCCACCATGGGTCAGAGAGATTTTTCCCACCATGGCTCAGAGAGGTCTGAGCCTCTCTGTCACTGACATTTGACCTCATCCTCGTCACTTCTGGCCTTCCAGTGGGGCTGGTCTGTTCTAACCATCTGTAAGCTTAGAACTGTACGGTCCCCTTTGTGGAAATCTGCTTCCAAGAGTGGTCCCTGGAAGGAGAAGGTGACTTCTACATCTGTCCTCTGGTTGATGGCTTGAATAGATGTGCTGGCCAGGTTGGATTGGAAGGTCTCAGTCTTCCCAGCAAGCTCCACACACACCATGCTTAGGGGAAAGAGGCTCTTCCTTGATGGCTCCAGGCTGCAGCATCAGTCGAATCCTAGCTAGAATTTTGAAGCATCATTGTGCTCATCAGAAATATTTAATTAAGGCTGCATATTAACAGTGTGTTTTTCCAGGCCCTAGGCAGGACCAGTTTAGTTGGAAACGGTTCCTGGCCACATGGAGAGCAGTGCCTCAGATTGGAGGTGGAAAGAGCATCAACTGTGGGGCACAGGGATTTGGGATCCAGTCTGTTTCTGCTCTTCTTTCTATAGGTCTGAGTTTTCTCATCAGTAAAATGAAGCCATTAGAAAGTTGGAGCTTTTGAGATTTTTGCTGGGTATACATTTGTCCAGAAGTATCTTCCCACCATGGCTCAGGGGGTCTGTGCCTCTGTCTGTGACATATGATGAATTTTTAAAATTGGATACACAGAATTCTCTAGGGAGAGAGAAGAATGAAGGTAAATGAGCCCTTCCTCTGTCCTTCCCCTGTACATATAAGAGCATAATTTAAAGTCACCCACTTTAAGTACAATATTTACTTAAACTTGCATAGGTTTTTCCTGTCACTCCATGATACATGTTTTATTTAATATAAAAATAGTGGTAGCTGGGTGTGGTGGCGTGTTCCTGTAGTTCCAGCTACTCGGGAGGATGAGGTGGGAGGATCACTTGAGCCTAGGAGTTTGAGAGCAACCTGGGCAACATAGCAAGACCCTGTTTCTACAAAAAAATAAATAGGAATAGCGTTCTTCCCACATCTCTGAATCAGTTGAATACTCTATGAGTGTGTCCCCTGAGTGGGCTTTGTATGCCCCTGACTCCAAAATCTTGGTTGGAGTCTTACATCTGGGAGGTGAAGCTTGAGGGCTAGGGCCCATGTACTGCTTGGGTTGTGGGGGGAAATGTATAAAAATAGCCCCCCACCTGGACAACCTCAGAGTCTTATTTTCACACTGCTTCTAGCATCTGCCTTCATGGACCTAACAATTATGTCAACATCCTACCTTGAAAATGCTCCACTTCTGAAGATGTGCTTCGAGGGAGTACACACAATCCTTGCCACTCCCCCAAGCCTTGCTTCTGCCCAGACGCGGCCTGGTTCCCTGGGGAGAGGCATGCCTGAGTCTGCCGAGACGCCTGCTCCAGAATGTTTTCAGGGCCCGTTCCAGCTCTTAGGTTCTGTGGATCTACGTGAGATCACAAAGCTGAGACAGGCACACTGACAACTGGGTAGATGGCACAACAGTAAGTTAATCCAGGAGATAAAAGAGAAAGCGAGACAGGAAAGAATAGGGTGAAATCCCAGAGGGAGCGCCAGGGCCCCTGGGACTTCCAGTTGCTTCCAGCGGCAGAAAGAGGACAGCTCCAGCTGCTACAGCACCTCCCAGGACCAAACATGGGGAAGTCTACCCAGCAGGTGCTGGGAGAGAGGCAGCCCCAACCAGAGCCAATATCAGATGGGAGTTCCTAGGGGAAGATGATCCCACTGGGCTTGGGAGTAGGCTGGGATCCCTCTCTTCTCCAACCCTTCACTCTCCCATCCAGTGCGCTCCTGTCTCTTCCTTCTCTTCTTTTCTCCTTTGCTCTGACTTGGTCCTGGTGGTGAAGGACCAGATGTGAGCATCACTGCCTGGCTTGGGAGAATCTCTTGGGTGGCTGGGCTGGGGGTGCGTGCACAATGCTGAATCTTACTCCATTTGTTTTCAACTTATTCTTGCTCCCTTCTTAGCATCCTGCTCTTCTAAAAAGGAAACTGTGATTTCCCTGAATAAACTAGTGCTTTCATTGTCCAGCATTGGCAAGGAGGAAAATGCTCTGAGAGGGCAAAAAGTAGTTGGATGACCCTGACTCTCTCCAGCTTCACCTTCCTTTGGGAGAATTTCTCACGTATTTAGTACGAACACCTACATACTAGTTTTAAGGTGGTGCCATTTTCCTCTAACTGTGGTGGGCCAAGCTTGGGTGCATGACTTTCTAACCTTTCGCTAATTGTCTATGTTGCGTTGAGAGTCTGGTGGGATGTTTAGACAGGACGTTACTGAAAATGTGGAGACAGAAAAAAGGAAATGAATGGAGGCTGACAGAGCTAGATAACTGCCCTGTAGGGCATAGCTCATCTTAGCTCACAGACCCTGCCAGAGTCCTCATTTTTTTGGCCTTCTTCATGGGCTGGGTTCGCTCTTCTCACTGCAGCCCACAACTGGTTATCCACCCTTCTAAAAATCCCCTGCTAGGAGAGTTCAGCCCAAAGAGGCAGATAGGAGGATCACCTCTTCCAAGGAGTTTAAGGCCTCTCTTCTGGGTGCTACTTTCCTGTTAGATGCTTTCCTTTTCTGTGATGATTGAACTAGGGAAGGAGAACTTCCCTTCCCCATCTAGGGAGAGAGACTTCCTCTCCATCTGAAGGGTCCTGGCCTTACTCCTCAAGATAATGGAGAAGAATTTAATATAGTAAATTCAACATCTCCAGCCAGTATGGGAGATATCATAAGGGACAGGACACATATTTCCTTTTTAGCTCCAGTGCTCCAGGCCTCAGCTTCCTTGTTTGTGGAGTATGCATATTTAGAGTTCCTACTTCAGTGTTGAGGACTCTCTGTGATGGTGAGGTTAATACATACAAGGCATTTAGAATAGTTCCCAATGAATGACTTTTATCAGTGATGTGTTCCCAGCAGGTCTGCTCAGTGTGTGAGTCTAGTCCATGAATGGCCCAGAGTGGGAAGATAGCATCACCATCCACGACTCAAGTGAAGCACATCATGATTTTTCAAAGTATTCATCTATGCATCCCTTATTAGTTTCCATACCAACCCCAGAGTGTAAGCTCCACAAGGCAGGGAATTTGTCCATCTTGATTGCCACTATATCCCAAGTGCTTAGCATAATGTCTGACTCATAGTAGATGCCCAATAATTACTTGTTGCATGACTGAGCTCTGTGAGTTAGATGGAGTGGGTAGTATTAATCCATTTGACAGAAGAAGAAAGTGAGTCCCAGAGACATGATATGACTCTTCTAAGGTTGCATCAGGAGTTAGCCACAGAGCTGGGGCAAGACCCTGAGTCTCCTCAGTCCTGATGCAGTGCTCCATCCCCAGTGTGCTGTTAGATCTATCAAGAGTTGTGCCTGCTGGTAGGTTGGAAGCAGGGAATAAACCCTGAGCTGCCACCAGGTCAGCTTCATGGATTCCATTGACCCTGCTTCTCTGGGCCTCTGTGCACACCTACATGTGTACATGCTGGGAGTCAGAGGCTGTAGAGACTGTAGACTAGTGGCATCTGCTACATGAAATCCTGCCAAGGGACAGCTTTGGAGAAGCCTTCTGTCTGCCCCTGAGCTAAGTGGGGGTGGAACATCTGACCACATGCCCTCTTGCACCAGGCGTTGTCCACGTTAGGCTTCCAAGTGTTGGGCGTGGTTGCAGGGTAAGGCTGCATGATTGCACCAGGCATGTTGGTTTGGCCTCCCTGAGGTGGTGCACAGATTGCCTTTCTGTAAATAGGATGTCTGTCACCTGAGGCATTTGTACCAGGCACCTCATTCCTTTTTTGGCTTCCTGTGGATTTGGAAGGAAACTCAGGGGCCATTTTTTTTCATCCTTTTCCCTCCATATAAGACTATACCAAATATATTCCAGAGATATTATTTGCTCTTAAAAAGGCTCAAGAAATAGGCCTAACTACATCTGAAAGTTTTTCTAAATCAAGGGTTGGCAATTTTTTTTTTTTAATTTGTAAAAGGCCAGATAATAGAGATTTTAGGCTTTTCTGGGCCATGCTGTTGCAGCCACTCAACTATGCCTTTGTAGCATGAAATCAGCCACAGACACCCCAGAACAGATGAGCATGGCTGTGTGCCAATAAAACTTTATTTATAAAAATAGGCATCGGGCTGGATTGGGCCCTTAGGCTGTTGGTTTGCTGACTCCTGTTGTAAATGGTTATCTTTGGGTCAGCCCATCTTTGGTCTTGCTAGTCTTGGGTGCTGCTTGAGTCAGATAATCCAAGAGAAATAAAATTCCATGTTGACTCCTCTCCTTAGCCTCTGCTTCAAAACCTTTTTAAGAGAATATTTACTCAAGAAAGAGCTTGGAAGGTCCTGGAAACATGTGCCTTTCATGCAGATGCCTTACTGCATGGAGAAAAGCAGGCTTTCACCCCAAATTTCTGTTGATCTGGAGAAGCCACACAGAGGTGGGCCCGGTTGGGCAGCCTGTCTTGGGTGAGTTTGGGTTACTGTAAAAGCTCAGACACTTGGGTTCTTGGCTCTGTATGCCCTCCCTCCCTGTCTTCCTAAAGCCAAGAAAAATGAAAGGCGAGGGCTGTCTGAACTAGGGTGTGATATTTAAGTCTTAGTGGGTAGGTTGAAATATAACGGAGCCGTTCTGTTCATTGAGCCAAGCCTGTGGACTCCTTAATAATCCATGGTCGGGATTGCAGCCCTGTGGGGAGGCAGTGGGAGCCTTCAGCAGCTTGAAAGTAGATGTCTGGATTCCAGGAGGTACAAGCTTCCAAGAAGGAAATTTTCGTAGCTCATCTTTGCACAGGAAGGTTTTAATGGAAATTTGAACACTCCTAGTAAACACCCTTGCTATTAGCATCTTTCATTTTGACAGAGGAGTTTTCTTCCTCTGTTCTGATGGGTTATCCAGGCTGGGCTGGGTTCCTGTGTGGAGTTATGGGCTCTCTTTAGGGAAACATTTGGTGTGGTAGAAAGATCTTGGTTTCTGGAATGAGATTTGTGTCTTGACCATGTGCCATTAATTGTAGGTAAGATCCTCAGGCAAAGTCTTTGACTTCTCTGAGCTTTGGGTCTCACTGTTGCTGGGTGATGGAATGAGAGTGGGTTTACAAAGCACCAAGCACAGAGCCCGACACATAGTAGGTAGCCTAGAAGGGAAAACAGAACTCCAGTTGCTAATGCCCAGGTCTGCCCCGCCATCTTTGGGGCTGGGTTATCTGTGTGCTCCCCTGACAGGGAGCCACCCAGGATTCACTTTCAAAGATGGGAAAGGAGGCCTGAAGGGGACATGCTACCACGGAGTGAGCAGGCATTCCTAAGAGTCGGTCTGTCCTTTCCTCTCCCACTGGAGATACTCAGCCAGTGTGGGGGCCATGCAGCACCGGGGAAGGGACACATGTCTGGGAATATTGGGGATAACCTTGTGTGAAATTTTTCAGAACAGGCCGGCAGTGGCCTGGGACATGGATAGCTCAGGCTGCCTGCTTTGCTCCTGTGCTTGTCCTCGTGACTTAGATTCTTCAAGATGGAGGGGCTCCCTGGCTGGTCCCCTACACAAGGCCCCTATATCTGTGCTGGGTGGTGGTTCTGATCCCTTTTTCCCTGTGGGGGTGGATCAGAGCTTCCTGTGGCTTCTCGGTGGGGCTGGAGGGCCCTAGCACACTGTGAACTAGTGGGAGGCAGTGAGCTGGGAATTCAGTGGAGGAGGGAGAGGGAATAGGAGGAGGATGAGGAGGAAGAGGAGGAGGCAGTTGAGACAGTTCTCTCACTTATGCAGAAAGTGTGTGATGAAAGTGTGTGATCACAGCCAGCCCCACACAGACTTTCCTCCAAATGAGAAGGGAGTGAGAAAATGTAATTTTAGTGTCTGGCTTTTGACTGACTCCCTGTGGAGGTTCCTTCTGGGCTGTGGTGTTGGGTGTCTCTCCTTCCCTCCAAGGGACAGCCAGGCCTGGGCCTGGAATAAGTGAGTTCAGATGGTAACTGGGGAATGGCCATAGGGAGGGAGTGAAGAGCCGTGCCTGTGCCCCAGGGGGCTGGGGGGCTTGGATTTCAGGACATCAGGGAGGTGACATCAAGGACACTGCAGGGGGGATTTAGGGACAGGGTAGTGGGGTCAGTGCCTGACTCAGTCCGAGCTGAGCTATATTGGGTCTCTGTTCCTACGCTGAGGCATGCTTTCCCAGGCGTGAGGCCATGTTTTCCAGGCCACAGTCCACAGCCTCGCTGCCAACACAGGTGTGCATTTTGGTGGAGGCTTGCTACCCTCTGTGTGAAACCAAGGGAGCAGAATATTTCCCTGAAATCGGGGCTCCTGGAACATGACCCTGCCAGGAAGCTCAAAGTCCTGGGAGAATATGTTCCAGGCAGGGCCCGGGGGGCACCTCCATGCCCCACTGCCTTGTGGCTCCTGGCACAGGAGATGCTGGACAGTATATACTCTGCTGGCTGGACAGGCTCTCATGTCTGCATGTGAAAATCAGGTTCTGGGGAGTTTATAAACCAAAGAAAACCCCTCCACCCAGCCCACAGAGTGCCAGCGATTCCCTCAGTGATTCGTGTGTGGAGGATTCACACTTGGTGGAAAATCTACTTAACATTTTTATCCTATTTTCCCTCCACTCACTGTCAGTCCTCATGTGTTAGGGGAGTGGAAACTCATTTAAATATGAGTCTATGAAAAAATTTAATTAGGAAGATAAATTGAAAAATGCATATAATACATTTCCGTGTCAGACATAAATTACTTTATCCACACCACTGCACCCCTCCAGTTAACCCAGGGAGTTGGGAGTTGTCTGTGGGATGAAACCCTCTTAGGAGATTTTCCGGAGGAACCCAACTATTAGGAACTCCTTCAAAGCAGAACTTAAATGATAGCATATAGTTAAGTACATATTAGAAACTTCATGATTCCATTTAAACTAATCATTCAGTGACTTCATCGTGGGTCAGAAAAAATATGCTCTCTTCTCGGTACATTTTGCACCTGCAGAAGGATCACTTGGGGAGGAAGAAGATGGGGTAGATGAGGGTCACATGATTTTTGTCTTCCTATGTTGGAAGACAATGCTTATGGAAGGGGATTAGACTTTTTGCTGTGTCCCCAGGGAGCAGAGTCAGTGCCATTGGTTAGAAGTTATAGAAAAGTGGATTTGGGGTCAATATGATGCAATACTTTCTAGCAAAGAATTTTGGTTAAAAACACAGGCTTTGTATTCAACCACAATGAAAAGCTGAAGCCCAGCTCTGCAAACTACTAGCTGGGGGACCTCAGGAAAATTTACTTCTCTGGGCTTCAGTCTCTTCAACAGGAAGACGGGCAAAACTATAGTGAAACCTCATACCTTCATAGAGTTGCTCTGAAGATTTAAAGAATACGCTTAGCTCACAGTTAGGGAAATTCAGTGAAAGGTGGATATTATTACTAGAAGATAGGGTAGCAGTAGAAAGAAAATTTGTGGTCCTGTAAAATTGAAGTTGCCCTGCAGTGGGATGGGGCATATGAGGATAGTGAGTGCTTCATCATCACTGGAGATTTTGACAGCAGCTTGGTGTGTGGCTTCTTCTCAGGAGTGATTTTTGGAGATTCAGGAATCAGATTCCTGGGCTAGATGCCGTGCTCTTCAAGTTTAGCTGTGACCCTCTCAACCACTTGGGAATTTTTTCCTTTAAACAATTATAACAATTGTTTTTGAAAATATCAAAGTTCAGAGAAGAAATTTAAAAATTACTCAAAAATCTCACTTCCTAGACATAACCATCATGAACATTAAGAAAACTCACGTAATCTCTCTATCATCACACACACACACACACACACACACACACACACACACACAGCTGGAAAGATATGTAGATCACAGATTGACAGGAATAATTTTAGAATAATGGGATCACACTCTACATCCCAATTTTAACAAAGAGTATTAACGTACATGGCTTAAATTTCTAAGAGGAAACAAGTACATCTAAAGGAAGTTCTGAGTTCTGGAAAAATATGTCTTCATTGAAATGGATATCTTTTAGAAGAGCTCATCAAGGTTATGAAAAATTTTAAGAAGATGGAGTCATTGCTTTCTGTTAATACCTAGTTTCAATTTTAGACTTTTGAGCCCATGTTATAAATGATGAAAAAATTAGCAATCACCTGCTTCTTCCTACCTCCTACCCCCTTTCTTATTTTAATTATAGCTTATTTTTACATTGTTAAGGCTGATAATATCTAACAAGTCCCTGAGTTGTTTAGTCTCAAGCATGTCCCCTACGTAGGAATTCAATTTCCAGTTGTATTCTTTCTGTTCTAGTTTACTCGACAATCTAAAATGGGATTATTTTGGTCTTTGATTTGTTTTCTTTGACCTGCTAACTTTTCTGAATTCATTGAATATATGTTTTTGTTAATTTCTTCTATAGCATTAAACATTTGCAGGAATTTTCTTTGTTTCTTTGGTTATGTTTTCTTCTAGAGAGGTTCTTCATCATCATAATAGCACAATATGCTATTATGTTCCTTATTTTCCTCCTGTAGTGTGTGTTCACAAGTGCCATATTTTTTTTATCTTGCATATGTTTAACTTGGGTAGCTCTGTCCACTTCTTCTAATCACTCTGATATTGAGGGCAAATTCTTTAGGACTCCTTTTGTGACTTACCTGAAACCTCTGCCATGGTGTCAGCTCCAGTTTGAGATGCTTTCTGATGCCTGGGAGCATTATAGGGGAACATGGGAGATGAGGGTGGTCAGACTCAGAGCTGTGTGCTCCTTTGGGTAGGACCACATTTAACTCTTGCATGACTTTGTTAAATGTGCTGTTCCAGGGCTCATTCCACTAATGAGGGGATATAGGAGGGGATGTCCTTGCCATTTAGATGATCCCCTCAATTAAGCGTTGAGCCCTGGAACCTGTGTTTCTGTGAGAGAAAGAGAGAGAGAATGAGAGAGAGAGAAAGAGAGAGAGAATGAGAGAGAGAGAAAGAGAGAGAGTCTTGATTGTTCATGCTGCTGTTTTATAGCTCTTTTTCTAATAGTTCTCAATCTGTTTCCCCAACTCTCTCCGTATTAAGTCAGAAAAGAGGAAGAAATGATGTCACACTCACAGTCTGCTTCTCTGCAAATATATAGTAATTAGTGAGAAGTCTAAAGATTTTGGCCTCAGCAATAATACTTCTGAAGCATGGGGTGGGGTTAGGAACCTGACAACTTCTGCCAAATCCTGTTCCTGCCCCCACCCTCACCCCAGGTCTTTTAGATGTTGATAGTATGAGTGTGTGCCAGTTCCTTGTTTGATTGCTGCTTGCTTTTCTCCTTCACTTATTGGTTTTTGTTTTTTTGTTTTGCTTTGTCTGATTATGTATTGGGACACTCTGCCATCTTTCTCCAAAAGCCTCCCTGCGTATCTTTTAAAAAAATACAATTTCCTAGGCTCAACACAGAGCTATAGAATTAGATTCCCTTAGGGGAGGGCCACAGAAATTTATATTTTTATAAAACTTCCAAGGCGTTCTAACAATCAGCCAAGTCTGGGATCCATTTTAAGTTTCCCCTAAGATTCTTTCCAGTGCTGAGATTCTGTGGTTCATTGTGTTCTCTTTAAGAAACAGGGAGGGGGTGTTAGCACAGGGATTCTGTCATATTCTCAGGCATGGCATCCTCTCACTATGCAGAAGAAGGGCTTATGTCTCTCTTTATGCCAATTCTTCCTTTTGTCTTGGTCCATTTGGGTTGATATAATAAAAATGCCTTGCACTGGGTGATTTGCAAACAGTAGAAATTTATTTCTCACAATTCTGGAGGATGGGAAGTCCAAGATCAAGGTGCTTGTGGTTTTTGGTAAGAGCCCACTTCCTGCTTCATACATGGAGCCTTCTGTGTCCTCACATGATGGAAGGGACCAGGCAGCTCTCTGGGACCTCTTTTATAGAGCAGTAATCCCACTTATAAGGGTTAAAATTGCTACATATAAATTTTTGGGGAGGGACACAAATATTCAAACCATTGCAAAGGGATAAGGTTGGAGGATCTTCTCATTTCTCTTTGTCACAATGACCTAAAGATACCCTCCATGTTTTAGCAAACTTGCCCTTGAGTTAGTGAATGGATAAGTTGTTCTCAACTCTGGCTGCACATTAAAATCACTTTGGAAGCTTTTAAAATATTGATGCCTGGGCCTCACCCCTAGGCATGTGGAGTTAATTGGTCTAGGGTAGGGCCAAATCACTGGCCTTTTCTTTGAGTTCCCTAGGTGTTCTATCTAGCGTGCTTCCAAGACTGAGAACCAGTAGATTGTTCTTTCTTATTTTTTTAGTGACTCATGATCCATTCTCCATTTTCCTTACTCCTATCTCAAGCCTTGATTTTGGAACATGTACTTTCTACACACTGAATAGTTTCTAAGGTAATGTTACTTAGAACAATAGAGTCACGTAGTTTCAAGAATGGGCTTTGGAGTAATAGAAATCCAAGTGTGGGTCCTTTTTCTGCCCCTGCTGCTTGTGTGAGCTTGAACAAGTAACCTAACTTCTCTATTTCACAGTCTCATGCAAAATAGGGATTTTAATTCTACCTTGCATTGTTTTGAGGAACAAAATTAGTTTCATATCATATTAATTACATGTTACACTAGTTTTCTTGTGGGTAGAGTTTTTCTGACATATTATTTTTTGTCTTTTTATTGTCAATCTTTTAATAAGGCTTTTCTATATGTTTCTTACAATCATCAAATAATTGAATTTTGTTTAATGTTTTCATCTGGTTTGATAATCTCTGTCTTTTAATAGGTACGTTTAATTCGTTTATACTTAATATACTCACTGATACAATATGTGAGTTTTTTCTGCTGTTTTATTTTGGGTTTCTTTGCTCCTCTTTCCCCCTTTCCTGTCTTATATTAAAGGAATTGTTCCATATTTCTTCTTTTTTTAAATTTTGTTGGTTCATAAGCTGTAGATCATATTCTGTTCTCCTAGTGATTACTCTTTTTTTTTTTGAGAGGAAGTCTTGCTCTATTGCCCAAGCTGGAGTGCAGTGGTGCGATCTTGGCTCACTGCGATCTCTGCCTCCTGGGTTCAAGCGATTCTCCTGCCTCAGCCTCCTGAGTAGTTGGGATTACAGGCGTGCACCACCACACTCAGCTATTTTTTTTGTGTATTTTTAGTAGAGTTGGGGTTTCGCCCTGTTGACCAGGCTGGTCTCCAACTCCTGACCTCAGGGGATCAGCCCACCTCGGCCTCCCGAAGTGCTGGGATTACAGGCATGAGCCACCATGCCCAGCCTTCTCCTAGTGATTACTCTTAAATTTTTGAGATACATTTTCATAATTCTGGGAACATTGAAAGTGATAACAGTATTTTTACTCAAATAATGTATTCAAAATATTCAGCACAATGCCTGACAGTCATTAAAATGCATAATAAATTCCAATTGCTAGTGCTAGTCTTACTACTGCCAGCACTACAATTAATATTACCATTTTTACCCAAAGAGCCACTAAGTATTATTTTTATCCATAAGTATGGTATCAAGAAGATGAACATTGTGAAAGTTATATGAACAAATTATAGTCTGAACAGTGCCAGTTTTTCCCAAAGGAGTTTGCTCATTTGTAAAATGTTATACTGATTATTCAATGAGGTAAGTTCTGCAGAGTGCTTAGCCCACAGTAGGTGCTCAATCACTGTTAGCCTTTATATGGATACCAACCTGGACTTCCCTTTTAAAACACCCCAGCTTTGCCTTATTGCTCTGCAAGCCAGTTCTAGGCATGTGTCTCTTTGGCTGTGACCCTGGATCCAAAGCTTTTGGGGACTGAGTGTGGATGTGACTGCTCTGCTCCACCTGGCTGGGACATAGCAGGACAGGCAGCAACCCAGGTCTGTGAAATCAATCATGATGATTCTGGGAGGAATTATTGGTGAATTAGGGGGATGCTCCAAGGGATGGTCCAGATGGAGGTAGGTGTAAAGTGGAGTTTTGCTGGAAGGAGTTGTTTTTGCACAACATATTGATTTCCTTGGGGTGGGAGAAAAAAGAAACAGCAGCTCTTCGCTGCTCTCCCAGAGTGGTGGGTAGGAGAGGACAGGTGGGAGTCTGTGGGCCCCTTTAGCTGGTTATTTTTTTAGATGTACCATCAGGTAGCTGCAACTGTATTCCCACTGCTTCCCCAGCAATGCAAAGGGCAGATTACGAAGCAGAGCTGGGCTGGCAGCAAGTTTTGCTTTGCTTTCTCCCAGCGGCCAACAGCATTTGCATTGGTGGGTGGTGCACACACTCTGCAGAGAGAGGGCGATACCCAAGCCCAGGGCCCACAGACTGAGCACAGAACAGAAAATTAGGGCTGGGAATTCACCCGTGGCTCCTCAGTGTCTGTGTTGCCCATCTCTGATAGACTTCCAAAATAGCAGGGGCCAGGAATTTGGTGGGGACACCTGGGGATGAGGGGCCCTGCCAGAGCTGGGTTCATTCTTGAGGGAATGTCTCCCAAATCTGCCATTTAAGAGGATAGAGTTTCGGTCCCCAAGCTCAATTCTGCCTCACCTCCATGCTCCATTATCTGGGTATCCCCAGGCCACTCACTTATCCCACCCATGTCTATTCTCTTACCTGTAAAACTAGAATTGCAGGTATTTTAGTGGATACGTTGTTGGGAGATGACTCATAGGTTTTGATCCCATCTCCATCTCTGCATTATCTTGGACAAGCAACCTGACTTAGGTGCTTGCTTGTCTTTAAAATGCAGAACGTTAGTACCTATCATGCTAGCTCATTGGGAAGTTGGGAATGGCAAATAAGAGAATGGCCTTGCAGGCTCTTGAGGGAACAGAAAAGAGAAAAGTGGGTTCCTCAGAGACATATGCTCTTACCTAGGGTGGGGGAGCTGGTTTATGAATGGTGTAAGTCTCAGAGTCTCCAGCTTCTTCCCTAGGGTCCTCCCGGACCAACCAGCCTGTATTGGAGTGTGTTCAGCCTCTTGGGTAGATGTAGGACCGTGGGTGGTGACATGAAGGAGACAGGTTACTGCTCAGCAGGAGGGGGGACCTATGTACGGAGCCTCCTAGCCTCAGAGGCAGCTGTTACTATGCAGAGCCTTCATGCTGAGCCCTGTGCTAACCACTCCACACACACTGTCCCCTGAATCAGTCTTGACAACCAGCCCTTCACAGGCAGGGAGCAATGGGATTAGATGCCTTTTGTGGCACGAGAACAGGTTCATAGAGGCCCTCTGTTGGGTCAGATTTTAACTCCATATCCTTAGGTTTTAAGGAGATCCATGGAGTCTGTGGCAGAGGGACCAAGGTGGGGGAGGGGGTGCCATTGATGGATCATAGATGGGACTCACCATCTAGCTGGGCTGTTGAGGACTCCATATTAGCCTGGGAGTTTAGTACTGGCATTCTCCAAGACACACGTGAAGAAATTGAGGTTCAGAGAGGTGACCTTGCCAAGGCCACACAGCTAGTAAGCTGTGGAGCTGGGATTCTAACTCAGATCTGGTTGACTCAGAAGTCCAGCTGGGGGTAATGATGGCAATGAAAGCTCTAGAGTTGGAAGAGACCCAGACAAAGCGGGTTTGGGGCTGCTTCAGCGACCAAGGATCTTGGGGAGAATCCTGGCCCACGAGACCACAGTGGATTCACCTGGGTGCTGCTGGCCAAGAGTTTGAGTGTGAGTGTGTATGGGTATGTGTAGGGTGTAGGGTATAGCACATGTATGCAGTGTGAGTGTAGAGTATGTGAGTGTGACAGTATATGTGTGTTTGTGAGTGTGTAGAGTATGTGAATATGAGAGTATGTGTGAGTATGAGTGTGTCTAGTGTATGTGTGTGTGTTTAGAGTATGTGTAGAGTGTGTATGTGAATGTAGAGTATGTGGGTGTGTGTGAGTGTGTGTAGAGTATGTGAATGTGAGAGTATGTGGATGTGTGTGAGTGTGTGTGTAGAGTATGTGAATATGAGAGTGTGTGTGAGAGTACGTGTAGAGTATACGAATGTGAGAGTATGTGAGTGTGTGTGTATGTGCGTGTGTATACAGTGCCTCCCCAAAGGCCCCACTCCACCAGCAGCCTGCCCATCCATCATCATAACGGGCGTGGAAGCCCATTCCATTCCTGCTGAGCCCTGCCAAAAAATCAGTGAGGGAGAGCCAGGAAGAATGTGCGCCGGGAGGAGCAGGCAGCGTGTTGCAGTCCGAACGGCCCACTGTGATGATTTGGGTGACGATGGGGCCAGCGGTGCCACCGAGACTCTGATGGCTCCTTAGGAGTTGTTATAGTCACAATAATAGATTGTTCTCTGTTTCTCAATGCTAGGTCCATTCTTTAAAATTTTTTTTTCTTCCTTTAGAGGCAGAGGAGGAGATGGAGAGTTGGTGAGATTAGGATTTTAGGTGTCTTCAAGTCAATTCTGAAACTCTAAGAAGAAATAGAGAATTCTGAGTGATTTTAATTTTTCTGCAGTCATGGGGGGAATTTCCATAGGGAAGATGCTTTCCAAGGAAGCTCATGTGTCTTGGACTCTGAAAGAGCCCTTCTCAGGCCTGGTTCTGGCATTTGTCCATGGTTTGGGGAAGGTGGGCCCTGGGTGGGGGCAAGGATGTGACTTTTGGAGCAAGGTGTGGGCACTGTAGGCTCAATGTGGTTCTGCTGGGGTGGTGTTCTTGTGGCTGAAGAATGTGTCCCCTGAGTTGGCACAGTGATGCATGACATAGGATGGACCAAACGGAAGGCATTTCCTGTCACTGAAATTAAAGGAGCAGGGGGGTGGAGGGGAAGCAATGGAGCAGAAGAGGAGTTTGGTTCTAGGAGCATTCAGAAGTCTTGGGAGTGTTGGGTTAGGTGACACAGTTCCTGTCTGTCCTGGGGCTCTATGTACTCCCCCTGGAGATTTCACTGGAACTGGTGATGTCCCGTGTTTAGGGCTATCTCTGGAAAATAAATATGAACATAAAATAATAAGAGGCTGAACCTACGAAGGAAATGAACTAAAGTCAATACACATTTTTCCCAGACACCATACAAGGTCCTGCAAATCACTGGGAAATGAATGGGACACAAGACATCACACTCCATGCGGTGAGCTTTGTGTTTGGTTTTTCCCAGTCATTGGCTGTGGTGAATCATGTGTTCTCCCTGTGTTCAAATGGCTGTTGAGAGAAAGGTGTGGATGTTGGCAGCTCTGGGGAGGAGACCAGTGATGACACCAATTGAGGGTGCACTATGGTGTTTAGATCATTGGCTTTTAAAATTTAGTCAATGACTTCTGAAGTGGGCCTTTTTGCTTCCAGCTGACAGACATATCAGAGTGCGGGAGACAGAGTACCCAATTCCAACCCCAACATCCTGCCCACAAGCTGTGGGAACCTGAGTAAGTTACTCACCTCTTTGTGCCTCTACTTCCTCATCTCTACCTGGGGGAGGCAGTCAACGTACCTAATGTTATTTTCATAGTAAGGCTGTTGCACAGAATAGATGAGTTCGTAGGTATGAAGCCCTTAGCTTTGTATCTAGCACATTCTAAATGATAAAAATATTGGCATTACTGTCACTAATGAGGATATTGAAGATCAGTGAAGTGAGGGAATTCTCCCAACACTGGGAAGAAAGACCACAGCAGGAAGTAAGCTCTGGGAAAGCCCATGCTGTCTGATTCTAACAAGAAGGATGCTGGCGTCCTCCTGCTCCGAGATGCCAGGAACTGTGGCCTCAAACCTGAGGGACAATTCTAAACTCCATCTCTAGACAAAGAGTAGTTGCCAAACCAAATAATTCCGCAAAATACACATGCCAGTGCATTTTCCTTTCTTTGTCTTAATTTTTATGGATACATAATAGTTTTATGTATTTATGAGGCCCCTGTGATAGTTTGCTGTGAGCACACAATGTGTAATGATCAACTCTGGGCACCTGGGATACCATCACCTCAAACATTTATCATTTCTTTGTATTGGGAGCATCCCACATATTCTCTTCTAGCTATTTTGAAATGTAGAATAAATTCTTGTTAACTACAGTTGCCCTGTTGTGCTACTGAACACTAGATCGTATTCCTTCTATCTACCTGTATGTTTGCACCTATCAACCAATCCCTCTTAATATCCCCTCCCCACTACCCTTCCCAGCTTCTGGTAACTACCATTCTACTCTCTTGCTCCATGAGATAGTTTTTTAGCTTCCACATGAGTAAGGACATGTCATATTTGTCTTTCTGTGCCTGGCTTATTTCACTTAACATAATGTCCTCCTGTTCCATCCATGTTACTGCAAAGGACAGAATTCCATTCTTTTGTATGGCTGAATAACATTTCATTGTGTATATGTACCACATTTTCTTTATCCATTTGTTCATTGATGGACACTCAGGTTGATTCCGTATCTTGGCTATTGTGAAGAGTGCTGCAATAAATACAGGAGTGAAGAGATCTCTTCTGTGTGATTGCTTTTCTTTTGGGTATATACCCAGCAGTGGAATTGCTGGATCATATGGTAATTCTATTTTTAGTTTTTTGAGGAACCTTCATACTGTTTTCCATAGTGGCTGTACCAATTTACATTCCCACCAACAGTGTATGAATGTTCCCTGTTCTCCACTTCCTTGCCAGCATTTGTTATTTTCAGACTTTTTGATAATAGCTGTCTTTTAAAAAACTGAATTATAACTACTTCCATCCGTATTTTTCGGAAGGAGGGGAATAAACTTCTTGGACCAAATCTGATGAGTCCTGAGATATGTGGGGTAGATGAACAGGAGTCAATGGTGGGACCTTTTGACTTTTGAGCCCTGGTTGGAGTATTTTGGGATGTTAGAGCGTCCTTCTGGAATTAAGATGTGCTTAGTAACTGATGTGTGGTTGCTACTGGAGTGTGTGCATGTGTGTAGAATTTAAGAAATTATAATTCATGCGCCACCTTCATATAACATATTCATGTAAAGATTGGCACTTGGTGAATCTCCACGACCCTTATAGCATCCCTGTAGTTTGTAGGTGTGGTTGTAGATATAGGTTGTAGATTATGGGTTATAGGTTGTAGGTATATATGGTATAGATTGCAGTTGTAGGTTGCAGGGTATAAGTTGGAGGTACAGGGTGTAGGTTTTAGTTTGTAGTTATATGCTGTAGGTTATAGCTGTAAATGGTAGGTATGGGTTGTAGGCTGTGGGTTGTAGGTATAGATTGTAGGCTGGAAACAGAAAGAACATTGATCAAACGTTTGTCACTTCTTTGTTTTGGGAACATCTCAAATATTTTCTTTTAGCTATTTTGAAATGTAGAGTAAATTATTATTAACTGTAGTCGTTCTGTTGTGCTACTGAACACTAGATCTTATTCCTTCCATCTACCTGTATTTTTGTGCCTATTGTATAGATAGACCTGGACCTTGAACCCAGAACTTTTGATGCCCAAATCCCTGATCTTCCTGAGTATATTAGGTTCCTTCAGGAAAAATGAGATGCTTTTCAGTGGTAATGTTTATGCTTCGCTATAATAAATACACATAAACGTGGATAGAGAAAGGACCTCGTATCTAGTTTCTTCCTAGGACACCAGTTGGTTATCGTTTGATGCATTTTCTTTAAGCCTGCTTGTACCAATTTTTTAAATTATTTCAACTTCTTTAGCTCTGACTGTACCCTCTGCCAATTTTGTATGCTGCCTTCTGCCTCCCAGTTACTATAACAAACATCTCCTATGTAAACCCTTTTTATGACTACATTCTACTTGGTATGGCTGCACCATAATTTCTCTAGTGTAGGATATTTAGGCTGTTTCTGCTGTTTGGCTATTATAAATAACATAGCAATAATCATCTCTGAGCTAGAAGTTTTCCTAATGATTTTATCTTTAGGTTTCTGGGATGAGCATAGGGCTGGATGTTTGCCAGGCTAGGGAGAAGCTGGGGAGGAGCCTGGTAACGCCCTGAGGGGGAAGCCTGGCCTGGAGTTACCTGGCTGCCTGGCTCAAGTGTGCCCTTGGCAGGGGCTGCTGGCCTAGAGGCCAGCACCAAGCAGCATAGTGGGCCAGCTTTGGCATAGATGGAGCAAGAGAGGGAAGGGTTCTCCCTCTGTAATCAGGAGTAGAACATTCAGGCATGGAGCTAAGACAAATGAGTACCTTTTAGAGCTTTGGCTCTATAGAGACAGTACAGGTGGCCATGAGGTGGTAAGGAACAGTCACACATTTATAGCCTCCCCACAGTTCATCCTTCTGATATTTCTGCCCTGAGTTACCAATGAGCAACAGGCAGTTCTCTCCCACAAAGCCTAAGCAGGGGGAGTTCATCCTCCTTTGTTAGGATTTGATTTTATCAGAGGGATATTTGGAGGTCAGTGGCTGGAAGAATAATGCTGTCAGAGTTTGGTGACTCTTGCCGGGCAGTGATGGAGGTGGGGGAGGGGCAGAGCCTGGCACACAAATCTGGGGAAGAGTGGTGGGATGCGGGAAGAAAGACTGGTCCCTGTACTCAAGGAGATTAGGATCCTTAGGGCTTTTACTTCCAACATTTACTGTTCCTCCTCCCGGGATGCCTGCCTTCCTCTTGTTTGGCTTGTGTTTGCAAATGAAGCAGACAAGTTCTAGAGAAGTTAAATGATTTGTCCTAAGTCATGTAATCATTGACTAGGGAAGGGAAACTAGACCCGGAGCTCCAGCTTCACGGGTGCCCTTTCTCCTGTGTCATGCAGCCGCTTCTGTGTGTTGGCTAGTCTGCCCAGTAGACTCTGCTCCTTGGGGCTCTGGTTGTGTCTGACCTTGTTGAATCCCCTGCATGTGTAGTATGACCTTGTTGGGGTGTCTCAACACTGGGCATGTTAGCAACACTGAGGGATGAAAGCACTGTCATGCCCTGGATGGTCAGCCCTGGTTTGTTGAATGCACGAGTGTTCATATGTCAGAAATACATATGCATTCACTCTACAAATATTTTCAAACATTTATTATGTTCCCAGCATAATAGTAGAGCTTCTACTATTGCAGGGGAGAAAGTCTTCAATAAAAGTTATAGAATAATTAATTACAGATGGTAGAGGAGCTAAGGAAGAGAGTGATTTCAGGTTGCCAAGAGAACATACTCAGAGAGGCATGATAGCTTTTGGGGACCCTGTCAGTATCATCAGGATAGCCCGGACTCAGAAGTTAGTCTCTCATAGAGCCAATAGGAAGGTTTTGGCAAATCTGGATTTTTTCACTTGCATTCTGGTTTTGGTTCTGCTATTGACTATCAGGGTTACTTTGAAAAAACCATTTGCTTCTTTATGTCTTGCTTGCTTTATCTGTAAAATGAAGAGGTTGTAAAATTCTTCTGTAAATCATTTAATTACCACCCTCTTCCCCCATGGAAACAAACCTAGAAAATCCTAACTTTGCTTTAAAAATATTCAGTACATGGAATATTTTAGTGTTCATGTTTTCTCTTTTGAGTGGGGTTTGGCCATTGGCTGGTTCTTGGATAAAATTTGGAGGGAGGTATTCTCCAGGCTTAAATGAGTGAAAAAGTCTGGGAAAAAATAAACCAACCCTACCTCCTTCCCACCCAAGGAGTGTCCTTTGCATCTGGCATCGCTGTGTTTTCATTCGCTGGTCAGTCCCTCATCTGCTGCCAACCTCTTCCCTTCCTGGCTTGGTCAGAAGGTCCAGAGAGCCCACTGTACTGGCGGGGAGAATCTGTCCCTTTTGCGCACATCATTGGGAACTCAAAGTCATCTCGTGTTGGAGTCAAATGACGTGTTAGCACACGCCTGCTTGGGGGATCCTCCTGCAGTTGGCATATTGCGTGACACACGGGGGGATTCTCATCGTGCTGGAATGCATGGCCAGCCCCTTCTTTCTCCAAGCACAGTTCAGTGCATTTTCCCCCCAGTTGCTGCTTCTCGTAGGAGATTATTTCTGATTCGTATTGAGTTGTTACTGGAAAACACTTCAGAGAGATAATGAGCTGGGTAGTTTTCCTCTTCATTTTTCTTTGTTGTTGTTGAATTCATATGGGTAACTGGGCTCTCCACTTACACTTTATTGATTCCTGAATTTAGGGCATAGCTCTGTAATTGGCAATTTCCTCAGTGCCACGTGGGCAGAGAGAAGTACTGTGCCTGGGGCTGCTGACTCTGCAGGAAGCTGTAGGGGCACTTCCTTTTAGCCCTGGACTGACACAGCTGAGTGCCCGTGGGCAAGTCCCTTGTTGCCTCTTTCTTGGCTCTGGTTTTTCCTTGCTGTCTTGTGAGGGGTCAGACCAGATGACTTTGAGCACCAGCCCTTCCAGTTCTTGAATTTTCCAGGCTAGGTTGGAAGCCCTTTTCTTTGGTGGGTTTATGCATGAAGGGCCGGGTGTTTCTGTGTTCACGGATGACACTGCTGATCCCATGTGCTCTTGTCATTGTTTTCCTTGGAGGGCTGAGGGATGTGTGCTGAGTCACGCACATGCACAGCCGGAGTCCCTTGTGACTAAGCTGTGCATTTGCAGGAGCGCTGGCAGGGTCGGTGGTACAGCCTCTGAACTGGGACAGCTTGAACCCAGCGTTGCCTGGAGTGGGAATAAACCTTGACCTTGCTGGCGTGGGTGAGGGGCACCTGCCCAGGGAGCTAACTGGTCTGGACTCATACAGTGCTCTCCTTCTGTCCATTTCAGTATGCTGGCTGTCAGCTTTGTTTATGCATAGATGAATTACTCTCATTTCAGATTATCGTGGAAAATCTTGCTGTCAAGTTCTTAGGACAGGATTAAGTAGAATAGGTGATAAAGGTCATTGGCATTATTTACAATCTCTTGACTTTCATTCACCCCCATCTGCTGTAGACAAGCTGGATGCTTACAAGAGCGGCAAAGACTTGGGACTTAGAATCAGGCACACCCAAGTTTGAAGCCCCGCGTGGTGCTTTCTGGCTGCGTCACCTTGAACGCTTGCTTCCCCAAGTCTCGGTTTTTCTAAAATGGTAGGAAACAGCTTTGTTTGGCCTAAGAGGTTTGCTGGTGGAGACTAAGTGAGCTACTGCTGTGTTTTGCCACACCTCAATGCTGGTGGGATGCAAGATGCTTTGAGGAGGGACACAGACGAATTTCTTATTATAGTTGTGTATTTGAATACACTTGTGGAAAAATAGAACTAGTACATCAGAGCTCGTGATTTCACAGATATTATTGCCCAGGACAATGCTAATTTGAAAAAATCGAGACAATTTCAAGTTGATTTCAAGGATAATATGCACTGAATATTAGTGCAGGCAGGCAGGCGGGGCAGAAATCAGGAAGATGGGAGAGAATGACAGAATTTGGAGTACTACTGAGACCTACACTACAGGTCTCCTATAGAACATGTGGTGGGAGCAGAATAAATGCATCTTTCTCTTTGTGTCTGTCCTGGTACAAGGAATGTTTGGGGCATTGGTATAAGAAGCTCCCAGAGAAAAGGTGATGGTGACTTAGCTTTGTGCACTGCATCACCCTCACAGGCAACGCTGTCTGCTCTAGGCGTGACTTGCACTAAGTGAATGTGGACAAGATGGCCACTTTTTCTAGATCCTTCTGGGGAAGCTGTTAGTTGTAATAGTGTTAGAACCTAAGAGCTAGAAGAGACTTTGGAGATGATTTACTGCATTTTATGTTAGACTTAGACAATTTTTTTACAAAAGGGAAAAATTAAAAAGCCCCAGAGAGACCTGGACTTACTCAAAGCCACACAAGTAGTTGAGCACAGTGGCTGAGATGAATCATTTTGTGTCTTTCCCCAAGGATCTCTCTTTCCTTGTCCCTCTGTCTATCCTGGTCAATAGCATCATTGTTTGAAGTGAGTTTTTGGAACAGGACCCAGCTGCATTCGGTGGGTTAGTCCAGCACCACAAGGATCTGTCCTTTAGCATTGCCTGTGTCTCTGGCCTTCTCGTGTTAGTTAGAAGATTGAGGAGGCAACCATGTAGACACTGCTGGAGGAAGAGGAAACGAATTTAAAAGTCACAAGTTTTGGCCTCAGATGCCTGTGGTGTTGAACATTATTAGCTTTGTTGTCGGGGCATGCGCCTGACCTCCCGGAGTCTCAATTTCCTCCTCTATAAGGTGGCTTTTACCTCTGCAGGTTTGAATGAGGTAAGAGGTGGGGAGAGCCTAGTACTTGGCTCCCTTGAAGAAAGTAGCGGAGACTGAATCCAAGGCCAGGCTGTCCACTCCAAACTGGGATTAGGATGTCATGGTTCTTCAGCCCCTGACTTTCCTGACAAAGGCCCACGTGGGGGCTCTTGGTTGGCCTGGTCACTCTCTGCTTGGGGTGTCCTCATTCTTTTCCCTGGAGAGGTTCTGGGATCAGGGGTGAGAATGGGGTTAAGTTATCTAGGAATTGAGAGTCCCTTCTTCATAACTAATTTTTCTTTCCTATCTCATGACTTCTAGATAATAGTCTGTAGTTTTAACTCATTTGTTATTTATATAATTTCTCTGTGCTCGGCTCTAAGGGTATAAGAGTAAATTAGATCTGGCCCTTGCATGGAAGAAGCTTACAGCTGAGGTGGGGAGCTCTGTCTAGCATGCACAGAACATGGTGCTTTGACAAAGGGTAGGTGCCGGGGAGTGAGGTGGGAGCCCTGAGGAGGAGATCTTAACAAGGGAAAGCCTTCTACAGCAGGCAGGGGCTGAGCTGGGTTTGAAGGGCTGAGAGGAGCTAGGCTGGCTGAGGTGGGAGGGTGCTGGGGTGGCAGGGGCTGCACTCCTGGCAGAGGGAATAGCACAGGAAAGGCCCAGAGGTGAGCTGGGAAACCACAGGCAGAGTGGTGCAGGGGGAAAAAGAGGGGAGGGCAGGAACACAGTGGGGGAACTTAGTGCATAACAACAATGCCCTCAACCCTTTTGCCTGGCTCTTCACCACGTGAGAGGACTCAGGGGAGAAGAGTCTGAGTGCTGTGCCCTTTCTGAATTCTTTTTTTTTATTATTATGGTAAAATATACACACTATAAAATTGACCATTGTGAGATTTTAAGTATACAACCAGAATTCTGTTCAACCATCTGTGCTACTTACTTCCAGAACCGTCCAGCACTGCAGATGGAAACCCTGGACCAATGGGGAGTCACTGCCGTTCTCTCCTCCATCCAGCCTGAGAACCTGTGATCTGCTTGCTGCTTCTTGAGGCCTATTTGGATATTTCCTATGAGTAGAATGATAGGATATGTGGCCTTTTGTGTCCGGCTTCTTCCACTTAGCATAATGTTCTTGAGGTTCACCTGTGTTGTGGCATGCAGCAGTACTCCGTTCCTTTAGTTCTGTGCATGGCCACACCACATTTTTCTTATTCATACATCAGTTGATGGACATCTGTGTTGTTTCCGCCTTTGGCTATTGTGAATAGTGCTGCTATGAACACTTGTGTACGAGCTTTTGTTGGTATCTTTTCTTTTCTTTTTTTTTTTTTTTGAGATGGGCTCTCACTCTGTCACCCAGGCTGGAGTGCAGTGACACAATCTCAGCTCACTGCAACCTCTGCCTCCTGGTTCAAGCGATTCTCCTGCCTCAGCCTCCCGAGTTGCTGGGATTACAGGTATCCGCCATCACACCCGGCTAATTTTTTGTATTTTTAGTAGAGACAGGGTTTCACCATGTTGGCCAGGCTGGTCTCAAACTCCTGACCTCAGGTGATCTGCCTGCCTCGGCCTCCCAAAGTACTGGGATTACAGGCATGAACCACTGTGCCAGGCCTGTGTTTGATTTGGGGTATATGCCTAGGAATGGGATTGCTAGATCCTATGGTAATGCTGTGTTTAACTTATTGAGGAAATTGCTGGATTCTTGAGGATGTGTTTCAGGTCCACCCTCTGTTGTTGCCTTGACCTTGTTACTTGCTCTGTTGGGTGCAAGCTCTGAGGCATGGGCTAGACACCTTGTGCCAGGTCCTGTTTTCCATCCTCACAAGCAACCCCAGGTGGTGGGCACTCTTCTTGGTCCTGGTTTTCAGATGAGGAGATGCAGGCACAGAGTGGTTAAGCATCATACCCAAGGTCACACAGCTTGTGAGTAGAGGGTCTGGGAATTGAACCCAGACAGGCTGTCCAGAGTGCAGTCTCTCCCCAACACACCCCATGGTGCCTCAGAGACAGGAGTCCCATAGACAACATCCTGGATGGAGCCTGTAGCCTCCTGATGGTGGTTGGAGGCTGTGCGCACAGCATGGAGCCCGAGCCAGCCCCTGGGGATGAGGGCTGCACCAGGGCCCACTCAGCCACCCTCCACCCTGTGTTCTTTCCTTGCCTTGCCTCCCCTCTGCACTCCTTCCTTGTGCCTCCTCCTCACTCCCCACCAGCCTCACCTCTCTCTCGCTCTCTCTCTTTCTTTCTCTTTTAATAAATGGAAATGGTTTATGGGCTCTTCTAGAAATTGCACCTGCCTTCTGGTTATAACTGGGGAGAGAGAGAGGAAGAGACACAGAGAAGAGACAGAGAGGCCTCCTTCAGCAGATCTGGGTATGCCCATGGGACCTCCTGGCCTGGACATCCTGGTGGTGCTTTCAGGCCTGCCACAGAAGTGACCCTGAGTTGGCTCTGGCTCTAATGTCTGAGAGTGCCTTCTTCCCCTCTCCCCCTGTGACTGCCTGCAGGACAGCGCAATTCCTCTGCCATTGTGTAAGCAGCCCCCACAGATGATACTCCATGCTAGGGAATTAACTACTTGTTGAAAAGCACTTGTGTGTTCCCCTGGCTGAGGCTGAAAGTGGGGGATCCCTGGGGAAGGGGGTGGCCTGGCTATGGATGGGGAGAAGGCCCTCTGGGGAAATGAAGAGGGGAGCCCCAAGCCAGTTCGTCCTGTGGGAGCTGGCCCAGATTATGGTTCATAATGTAAATTTGGGAGTATGCCAGGGCCATATTAATACTGCATGAGGCAGTAAGGGGACCTTGGGCTTGAAACCCGAGCTGTGGCCTAGAATGGAACTGAACAGTGGGCCTTGTCTTAAAGGGACATGACGAGCTCCCAGAAGTATGTGTCGGCATTATTTCCCTCTAATGCTGTTTACTATATTTGTACACAATGCCCCCAAAGGATTTGAAAAGGAAATGGCAATGTAATAAGAGAGGTATTTTTTGTTGCACATGCGAGCATGCTCATTGACTTAATTATTGTTTCTTTTGTTACCTTGGTGAATTAGAGAGGGGGAGATATGGAGAGGGAGGATGGGAAGTTGGAGAGGGGGAAGAGAGAGAGAGAGAGAGGAGAAGGAAACCCATGTCTACTGTTATTTTGCTGAAATCTATCTCAGCGAGTAGGCAGATTGAGAAATCAAGGATTCATTCACAGGTAGAAAAAAATGAATAACACTTTGAAAGCTCAGAAAATCAACACAACAGAGAATTCAGTTTCAAGGTGCCACTTTTGACTCTTCTGCTGCTCTTTGAATTGAGTTCATGGCTGTGCTCATCGTCTCCATGGAGAAGGGCAAGTCAGTGCCATTTCTTGTAGGAATGATCGGGCCACTAACATTTGTCTAGAAACCAAGCAACCGAAAAGTGCAAATATCTGGATGCTATTGGCTTTTGAGAAAGAAAGGATGTCAGGCATTTATTTGAAAGGGTAACCTCCATCCAGATAGTGTTGTAGAGCATTTTCTCAGACATTAGAAAGATTCAACTGTGTACAGTAGTTTTAGTGTTGAGTGTTTCAGAATATTTTCATTCTTTCCAAATTGGGGGTCCACTACATTAGTTAGATGCTTTTGATTACTAATGATCAAGAACACTGACTCAAATTGGCTTAGACAGTAAGGAAATGTATCTCCCATAAGAGAACAGAGTTGGGGGAGGAAAGGCTCCACTATGGATGGATCAGTGGTTCAGTGATGTGGATGAGGCCCTGGGCCCTTTCTTTTCTTCACCCTACTGTCCTTAGTGACAGCTTTATACCAAGTCTGATTTCTCTCATGGCCGCAAGATAGCTGCAGTGGTTCTGGACATCACATCTGGACATGGCAATGTCCAGAGTCAAGGCAGGGACCATCTCTTCTGGTGAGGACTTTATATATAGAGAAAATCTTTCTCCAAAGCCCCCGATACTTCTCCCATTTTTCTCATTGACCAAAACCAGGCCACTTGCCTGGCTCCAAATCAGTCAGTGTCAATAGAATGGGAATGCCCTGATGTAAACTAGACAGGACCCACCAGCTGGTGAGGGAATGGGGTCAGTTTATCTGAGGTGCAAGACACTGTGGAGAAGGAGTGGGAACCTGGACAAGATGGGGCCATGTTAGTAACGAGGAGGAGGGTGACATCTTTTGCCTCCATGAATAGCAAAGGGCAGTTCTCACTTAACTGGGGTGCACATGGCATCACAGAATGCTAGAACTTGGAAGGGAAATTAGAGACAATCTTCTTCAATCCTTTCATTTTACACATGAAGAAACTGAGCTCCAGGAATGAGGAGGAGTTGCCCAAACTCATGGATCCACCCTGGGCCCCAGGCACCAGCTGTGTGGGGCCAGTGGGCCGTTGAAGCACTCTAGTCAATGCCACACAGCCTGGGAGCAGTACCAGAACCCAGGGTGGGAAAATGTTGGCAGGGCTTCCAGAAACTACTTGTAGGGCCTGTCATTTTCATTCAATAAATGTATTGATCAACCATTGAGTCTCCAACCCTGCACTTTCTGGGTGGTTATGAGAAAGAGTAAAGTTAAAGAAGCCTCAAGGCATCTGGAAGAGAACGGGTTCCAACCTGTAAGGACATATTCCAGGCTGGATGTGCTTTCTCTTCTGGAGATAATTCTCATTTTGGTCTCTTTTTTCATATTCTTACTGCCTGATTCCAAGGACTTACAACAGTGTCTAGAACACAACTGGTATCCATAAATCCATATGGAATTATATTAATTAGAACTGCATGAGGTCCAGAAAGTATTGTTTTCATCTTATTTTAATGTGTATACATTGGCTACAAAATTAAGTCATGGTAGATATCGTCCAGATAAAATTGTCCAAAGAAAAATCGAACACGGTACCTTACTGAAAGTGAGCTCATTTGAGGACTGTGATCTTGATGGTTGGGTATTGACTGGGTTAGGGGGTCAGGCAGTGACAGCGGCTTAGCCTGCTGGTGCTGAGGGAGGCCGGGGATCATATCCGTGCAGGTGATCCATGACAGCCCTCGACCCCAGTGTTTAGAGGAAGTGGATGGGCTCATATTATTTCCTCCTCTTCCCTCCCGCATAACCCTCTGAGTAGTCTTTAGAGCCTTCTCTTACCAGCTAGGTGGCTCTCATTGTGCATGATGTCAATTGCAGAAAATGTGAGTGGGGAGGTAGCTGATAGATAATGAGACCCAGGTCCCTCAGTCCCGAGCTGCCACCCTAAATAAAGCAATAAAGCAACCCACAAGCTGCATCAGTGTGCCTGGTATTTTCATTTCTCCTCTAGAAACAGGTTTCTAGGGCTGTCGAGAATTTGGAACTCATACCACACATACCACCATGCTGAGGTTTCTAAATTCAGGCTGCGGTTTCTGCATGTTTTTGAGAGTGTCAGAAACTTCAAAACATTTGAAGAGTCCCAGAGGAGAAGGGAATATTCTTCTTCTTATTATTCTGAGAGAGCATAGTTTGCACATTCTTGGCTTCTTCAGCATTTGGATGCTGGAGCTCTGTTGGTCTGAGGCTGAAGAGCAAACTCTGCCAAAGCTTCTCTTACCGTGGGGATGGAAAGTTTTCTGTGTCTGTTTTATTACTTAGGCATTCCACGTTCTCCTTCGACATCTCACATACTCCTGCTGCTTTCCTTTGTGAGTGGAGACCTCGCTTTCTTTATAGGTGGTAACAGCTGTGTTCTCTAGAGAGTGAATTTTTGCACCACAACCCCTATTCTCACAATAACTTCACTTGGACATCGAGGATAAGTTTCCATGTGAGAAATATTGTTTAGTCATTTATTTTAAAAAAGCTTTTAAATTATTTAAAACAATTTGTGGGTTACATAGTAGGTGTGTAGATTTATGGAGCCCATGAGATGTTTTGATACAGGCATGCAATGTGAAATAAGCACATCATGGAGAGTGAATATTCATCTCCTCAAGCATTTATCCTTTGAGTTACAAACAATCCAGTTACATTCTTTAAGTTATTTTAAAATATACAATTAAGTTATTATTGACTATAGTCACCCTATTATGTTATCAGATAGTAGGTGTTATTCATTCTTTCTATTTTTTTGTATCCATTAACCATCCTGCCTCCCCTCCAATCCGCCACTCCCCTTCCCAGCCTCTGGTAACTCTCTTTCTACTCTAATTTGATTTTTTAGATCCCACAAATATTTTTACTTTTCAAGTTGAACTATATAATATGATACTAAAACTTGAACACACCACAAAGTATATGCATATTCAAAACTGAACACACCCATGGAACTAACATCCAAATCAAGAAACATAGCTGCTTTACACTTTCTTGAAATAAGCACTTACCTGGAGATGCAAAGGCACTTGCGTGCTCTTTCAGTAGCATTTCTCTTCTCCAGCATCTTCCCTTGACATCAGCCTTGCCTGCACATTGCCCAGTTGGGCAAATTTCTCTCCCAGGTAGAGGTTACCAGGCTTGCATTCCCTATGTTTTAGCTTCTGTCTTGGTCTTTCTGTGTGTTTTTATACCTCCATTTGAAGCAAACCCAACACATGAAAAGCTATATTTACCAATGGGACCAACTATTGGGGCAGTGTCTACTTACTATACATATTTTTAAAAAACTGTTTCTTTAAATTGGAGAGCTCCAAGGTGACTGATGTTAATAATTTATAACTATTTATTAAGCACCTACTATGCGGTTCTGTGGTGTGATTGCAAGGGGGGGGGGCACGTCCAAGGTTGAGTAAGACATAGCTTCTGTTCTTAAGGATGTCCCAGTCTAGAAGTGGAGATAAGCTATGCATGAGCTTGACCAAGATCTTGCTACAATGAAAGATAGCTGGGAAGAGCATGAGAGAGTTCAGGGGAGGAAAAGACCACTCCCACCTGTGGCATGGAGGGTCATTCAGGAGGACTACATAGAGGAGGGGGCACTTTACATTGGCACTTAGAGGAATCTGCCCCTTGATGGGACCCAAACTTACATTTATGATGTGAAAAATGGAAAGGAGACTTGTTATGCTTTAACAGTAGGTGTTGCTATTTAATGTATGAAGCTTACTCAAATGGAAGAGTTTGGGTTTATTAAAGGAAATTAGAGGTCTCTGTGTTAGCAGTTCTGTATGTTCAAAATGTGATACAATGGGTTTACTTAAACCATTGGTTGCCCCAAGACCCCTTTCTTGAGGAATTGGCAGCTTGGCAGAGTTTGCACCTTTGAAGGCTGCCCTGCAAGGATAAAGACCTCCATCCAAGGGGAAAGGCCAGAAGCAGGCTCAGAGCTAGGTCCCACAACTCTGCTTCCCTGTATCCGGCCCCCCTGCCAGCTCACTCAAGCAAGCCCTGTTTCTGGGCAGCAGCAGCTGTGAGGTGTGGGTGAGGGGCTGTTGCTAGGAGCAGGGATCCAGCTTGCCTTTTCTGACACGTGTGTTTAAATTAGCATCTTTAAATGCTGTTCCCGACAGTTATTCAATTTTGAAACTACTGGGGATTTTGGGGCAGGTGGAGAGTGTTAAGGAGGAGGCGAGGCAAATGAAAAGGCAAAACATTTGGGGGAGTTTTTGAAAAAGTTAAATAAGGAAAAGAGTGTCAGCTGGGGGAAAGCACATCTCAGGCCCCATTGCAGGACCCCTTCCCCAGTGGAGTCATAGAGTCCCCTACTCTGCCCCAAGGTGTTGGAGATGGCTCATGGCTCATGGGAATGTGCAGGAAGTCCCCTGAGTCTTATTTATTTATTTATTTATTTATTTATTTTGAGATGGAGTCTTGCTCTGTCACCCAGGCTGGAGTAGTGCAGTGACATGATCTTGGCTCACTGCAACCTCCGCCTCCTGGGTTCAAGTGATTCTCCTGCCTCAGCCTCCTGAGCAGCTGGGATTACAGGGACCTGCCACCACGCCTGGCTAATTTTTGTATTTTTAGTAGAGATAGGTTTTGCCATGTTGGCCAGGCTGGTCTGAAACTCCTGACCTCAGGTGATCTACCTGCCTCGACCTCCCAAAGTGCTGGGATTACAGGCATGAGCCACCGTGCCTGGTCCCTGAGTCCTCTTAGGGTCTCCAGAAATCACTATATCAAGTGAGGTTTGGGGATGGGCACATCTAAGTGATAACCACCCACTAGGCAAAAGGATCCTGGTGTTGGGAGATGGGGTGAGAAACTGGGGTGGGTGTCATTCATTCAACCGAGTCATCACTCTCAAGGGACCAGATGGAGAAAGGGAATATAATAAGAAAAATGATGATGCTTAAAATAAATATTGATAATGCCCACATTTTCAGGGAACTTCTATGTGCCTTAGATATTTATTTATCCAAGAGCCTCACTTCTTTTTACTTGTCCGATCCTTACAGCAGATCTCCAAAGAGGTTCTCTGTTATCCATGGTTTACAGATGAGGAAACTGAGGCACAGAGAGGCAGTTAAATCACTTGCCCCAAACCACTGAAGCCATAATTGGCGGATCTGGGATTGAAGCCCAAGCTTCCGGGCACTAGTGTGTGGGCCTCTAATCTTGCACTTTGCTGCCACCAGAAATTAGGCACCAGGATGGTAACTGAGGAAACCAGACAAGAGTGAGAATGTAGGGGTGGAGGATGGAAGATGGGTATCAGGGAGGTTTTCTGAGTTGAAGACAGTCTGTCCTGTGGCTTCTTAAAGGTTGCTTTCAGATGAGGGTGACACAAAGGTGTCCCCCTGTCCTGGACATGATTTAGAACCCTATCCACAGAGAACATGCCAAATTTTATGCACCTCAGGGCCTTTGCACATGCTGTTTTCTTTGGCTGGAATCACTGTTCTCCCTGCTTTGTGTGTTATGGTTCTTTCTCATCTGTCACACTTAGTTTAAAGCTGCCTCCTGCAGAGGCTGACACGTCGTAGCAGTTGCTCCATGAAAGTGTTGAGTAAATGGATGAAGAATAAAGCTCTTGGCCTTTCAGGGAATAACTATAATGAGAAATTTGGAAGATCTTTCTGCAGCTGAGCCTTTGGAATTTTGATGTCTTCCAAAAGCTGGGGTTGTTAGGAGAAGAGGTACCAAAGTGGGGCTTCATCTGTAAAGACCCAGCTGGAGCTCTTGTTCACGCCTTTCCCTGAGGCTGGAAGGTCTCTTGGATGTCACAGGCTGCCTCTTTAAAATGGAGACAGTGGTGGACTTTCCTCTCTGTTGAGGATGGGAATGAGGATGAGGGAGCAGGCTTGGGGTGAGCCTACCATCCAGGGGCAGTGAACTTTATATGGCGTGGGATGACCAGTGGCCTCCCCTGGGGTGGCTGCTGGATATTGGCTGATGGATGGTAGAGGAAACACTATTCTCATCTCAATTCCTGGATTGGTGTGGGGGCCAAATGAGATCCCATCATTCCTAATTAAGATGTAGTTACATTAATGATAAAGACAACAATGGCAGCTAATACTTAGAGAGTGCTGCTACCTGCTGGTCACTGTGCCAAGCCCTTTAGTGTGCCTTATCCTTGAGTCCTCACCAGCCCCTATGTGCAGGAACCTGCTGAGATGAAGTGACTTGCCCGGGCCACACACCTGGTAAAGTTGGAAACCAACTGGAGCCAGCCCCAGACCTCACATTGCATACCCCAGACCTCACACTGGATACCCTCACACTGCACACCCTCACACTGCATACCCTCACACCACATATCCCAGACCTCACACTGCACACCCCAGACCTCACACTGCATACCCTCACACTGCATACCCCAGACCTCACACTGCACACCCTCACACTGCATACCCCAGCCCTCACACTGCATATGCCAGACCTCACACTGCACACCCTCACACTGCATACCCCGGACCTCACACTGCACACCCTCACACTGCATACTCCAGACCTCACACTGCACACCCTCACACTGCACACCCTCACACTGCACACCCTCACACTGCATACCCCAGCCCTCACACTGCATATGCCAGACCTCACACTGCACACCCTCACACTGCATACCCCAGACCTCACACTGCATACCCTCACGCTGCATACTGCACACCTCACACTGCATACCCTCACACTGCACTGCATACTGCAGACCTCATGTATACCCTCACACTGCATACTCTCACACTGCATACCCTCAAACAAGGCCCTTTTCTGACTGTCACTTGCACCAAACAGAATGCAGAAGTTTTCTAACTTGAACCTTTGAAAATTTTTTCTGTTCTGTGTTTCACGAAGGGATGTGTTAATTGTTGAGGTAATTGCAGAGTTCCCTGGCTTTATAATCACTCATGTTATTTATTGTTCTTGTTATTATTAGTAAAAGCCATAGTAATTCAGCCTTTGGGTTGGAATGGCAGCAGGAGCCAGCTGAGTGACCTTGGCCGTGATATTAATACTCTTTACAGTCTTCCCTCGATTATCCAGGCTAATGGAAAGAGAACCAGTGCCCGCAAATAATCATAAAACAAAAAAAAAATCAATTATCTTCTCAGTGGAGTGTTGACTGACACGTGGGTCCTACGCCTTTTATGAGGCTGGCCTTCAAACACAGCTGCATCTTTGGTGATATTTCAGAAAGCGTGAGGTGGGAAATAATCCCTGTTTTGCAAGTCAAGGATGGAGAAGGAGCCTTTCATCTCTGGATAGAGATGGTGTGTGGATATCACCAGCTGCCAATGGAGGGGTCAGTGCTGTTATTCTCTTTCCTAAAGCAACTCGGGGGTGATGGAGAAGGTTGCCTTAATCCCCTCTGAGCATTTCACTGGCTGATGTGGACTCATGGAAAATGTCAGCGTGCTGGCCCAGGCCAGGCGGGCTGAAGCCAGTGTGTCTTACAGCTCTGTGGAGCAGACGTGGTGTGTGGCTTGAATGGAAAGGTCATAAAGGCCTGGGACAAGTGAGTGGACGGAGCCAATGGCACTGTCTGGTAACACTATATGGAAGATGAAATTGTAGTGTGGAGCTGAGAGGTGCAGGGCTGGGGAAAGAGACCTCAGCATTTTCCATGATTAACTTTCTAATAGTAACCATGCGTGGACAGTGGGTGCTGGGCAGCAGGGAGACAGTCTTCTCCAAGCGTGCATTCATACAGTGCAGGCGGCTTCCCACTATCTTTGGGTTTTCTCCATTTTGTCTGAGGCAGGGATCAGAACATAGACCTATTGTCTTTGATGGCAAAGTGAGGAGGCAGCCAACTTCATGTCCTCCTAATTGACTCATTTCCTCCCCGCTGGAGTCCCCAAAGCATAGGTGACCAAGAGCTCCCTCTCAGCTCTAAGTCATGAAGAAACGGATGCTTAGAGAGGTTACCCAGAAGCTGGGGACAGAGCTGGCACCACACCCAGGCCTCCTCCCTTCCAGTCCTGTGCTTGGGCAGGCAGCCTGTGGGCTTCTTCCTTCGGCCCTGTCCCCTTCCCTCAGTACTAACACGTGCTCCTAGATTTCTGAGCAGCCCCTAGAGAGAAGTGACGGATTCATACTAGAGTGTTCATGACTTCATGTATCACTTGCCTGAGAGTATTTTTAAATGGATGCTGGGGGAGGGCATTGCTTAACCCAAAGGAACAAGAAGTGGACTATGAAATTTCAGTCCCAGGGCCTGCCATGTGTTGGCCTGTTCTGGGTGCTGAAGATATAGTGGTCAGCAAGACACACATCCTCTCTCCTTTGAGACCTCATATTTCACTGGGGGAGGCAGAAACATAGTAAATAAATAATAAACTAACTTCAGATAATGAGAACTGGTTTTAGAATATGAAACAGGCTAAGGGGATAGTGATGTGAGTGCAATGGGGAACCTGTTTTATGTAGTTGGCCAGGGAGGGTCTTTCTAAGGAAGTGGCCAATGAGTGGAACAAGATCAACTTGCCTGGAAAAGGAAACTATGGGGGATCTTTGAGGGAACAGTACTTCAGGTGTGTGGAACAGCAGCTGTGAAGCCTCTGGGGAGGGAACGAGGCTGGCTGCTGGAGAGTTTCCTTGGCTACCCTGATTAACGGCCCCTCTTCCTGCCTCCCTTCCCTATTTTATTATTTTCTCTGGGGCATTTGTCACCATCTTATATTTGTCTTAACACACCTTATATTTCTCTTATCAGTTTGGCTTATCGCCTGTTTCCTCAACTACAATGTCTGTTGCATGGAGGCAGTACTTTACCTGTGTTTTTCAGTTCTACACCCTAGGAATGTGCCTGGGAAATAGTGGTGCTTGATACCTCCTTGTTGAATGGGGAAATGAACAAATGCATGGACTCAGCAAGCAAGGCAGACGGTGGGAGGAGATGTGACCAGGAAGATGGGCAGGAGTCGGAGGGGGAGAGGCTGAGAACACGGGCCCTTCAGTGTCTGTGTCCTTGTCTCACTGCTGCTGGGAGGGGCTGGCAGAAACTGGCCTTCTTGCCCCATGAGCCCCAACTCAGCAGAACCACCCAGCAGGTCTTAGCATCCCCAGCCTGGCTGCTCCCAGTGGATGCAATGCTCATTAACCATGGAGCTGGTAATAACACGCCCATGTCCTGCACTGCACTGGTGCCTCAAATCTATGTGTTCAGCCTTGGTGTAAAATCACTAGGAGCCAGGGACAGAGGGATTCCAGGGACCCCACGCCCAGGGGGCCTGAGAGGCTCATCCTTCGTGTCAGCTTGTGTTTTCCAGGGGTGGTTTTGCCTGCCCGGTTACTGCTGTGGAATTGCCTCTGGCCCATTTATGGTGGAGGCCTGGGTTCCGGTGACACTGCTTTCTTTCTGTACACCTTGAATGAGGTCAGGCAGCTCTTCATAGAGGGAGGAACTCTTCCTGGAGTGCCAAGGGTAGGGTCTGCCTAGTCCCAGTCTCTCCAGCCTGAGTTTGCATCAGGGAGAAAAAGCACCAGCACCTTTTTCACCAATGCGCCCTTCCCCACATTCACACACGCATGTTCACATGCATGCACATGTATGCAGGCCGGCTTCCCCTCACCTTTTGTTTTTTTTTTTTTTGTAAAAAACACACATCCCTATGTCCACAAACACCCTCACCCTCACTTCCTCCCTCATCCACAGACACCTGTTCCCCAGTGATGCACATTTGCTCACACACCTGCAGCTGCTCACACATGCCTGCATGAGAGGCCCTCTCCACCCTTCAGTCTCCCGTACACCGGCAGGTGCCCACCCCACACCAGCCGCTCACACAGGCACCCCCGTTTTAGCCTCTTACACTTGCACAGGGGGCCCTTCACCTGCTTTGCAGCACCGGAGCCGGAGCCCAGACACATGATGAGGCATGAGAAGTGGAAAGTTCTGCAGGTGCTCTGCCCACCGTGCAAAGGAGGAGGCAGAGGTCCAGCTGCCTCTCAGCATATAGAGGCTCAGAGGCCTTTGCAGCATGCAGAGCTTTTGGAACGTATCTTACTTTCTCATTCTTAAATTCATTCGGGTAACCACTGTTTACTGTGCACCTACCATGGGTCAGGCGCTGTCCTCTGCACCGGGCATACTGCAGAAAACGAAGCAGATGCAGGCCCTGCCCTCATTGGGTTAGGTCTAGTAGTGGAGACAGACCACAGACAGGACAAATAGGGAAACAGGAGAAGCCAGGTGGCCATAAGTGCACAAGCACAAATGAAACAGGGAATGGGAAAAAATAGTGCTATGGAGGGTGCATGGAGAGAAAGCTCTTTGTTAAGGGGAGTTTGGAGCAGATTTCAGGAAAGGGCCATGTTGCAGGCAGAAGGAAGAGCAAGTGTGGCCAAGACCCAGGAAGGATGGGAGGAGGGTGGCTGTGGCGGGGCGGAGTAGGGGGGTGGGCTGTGGGTACTCTACATGATGGGGATTTCTTAAACATCTGTCAGACCCAAGAGACTGTGATCCTCTGAAGCCCCTGGATATGTCAAATTCATCTCAGTGGCCTTATGCACCCTTCGCATGCACCTGGTATAGGCCAGTGCTCAGAAAACATTTGCTCCTGGAGAAGTTGCTGGTTCAGTTCTGTGTGGAGCTGCTCTGTGTTCCAAGATCTGCGCTGGCTGCAGGGATAACAGGGATGGAAGAGAACCAGCCCTTCTCTTGAGGAGCTCCCTGCTAGTGAGGGTCAATCAAGTGCCTGGAAGTTGTGTGTGGGCATGCAGAGTGCATGATATGCCAGGTGCCGGGAAGCCTCCCAGCCCAGGGGCTGGAGGGAGGGGCACTGCTTAGTGGGCAGCTCTTTGGAGGAGCTGATGCTTGAACAGAGTCTTCAGGAAGGAGAGGAGTTAGCCCTGGGTGGGGAGGCAGAGAAGGAAAGAGACACTGAAAGCCGAGGGGTGAACCACAAATATTTGGGAAATGGCACCAGCAAGGTGTACAGCAGGGGTTTCCAAAGAGTTCCTGATTCCCTCCTCAAAGTGATGGGAGCCACACTTCCTGGCTTATCAGTTGGTCCTTGCCCTCTGGCTGGTGCTGTGTGTCTGAGAGGCAGCCTAGGAAGACCTCTCTGGGGAGAAGCAGAGAAAGATAGCGACCTCTGAACGTGCTCCCCAGAATTCAGTCACCCCATCCTACCTATGAGAGGGGACAAACTGGCAGTCTACAGGTGTGTTTGGTTTAGCCCATGTGGCTTCATTGTTTTTTAATTTTTTTTTTCATCAATTGCCTATATTTACAAAGGAGATTTTGGATAAAAATCTGGATTGCTAGCTGTTTTTGAAAAAATAAAAGATTGAAAATGTACCTTTGTGTGCCTGTGTCCCCTCATGGTGATGATTGGTTTGGGCAGAGCCATTGCACGCTCTCCTTTCCCCCCCATCCCCCGGTGCTGAATGCAGCACCCCTCACTCACCGTAACAGGCTGGCTCCTGTAGACACATGACCTTGGATCCTTTTTTGGATTAAGGAAGCAAACATGTAGGATTGTGCTTCTGCAAATTCTCAGAGATGGCTTTTGAGCCCTTAAGCTCTTCTGGGGCATTCTCATTTCTCAACTAGAGCTAGCGGGTGAGAGCCCTCTCTCTGTTTTCATCTGCTGCAGGACAGCTGGACTTCACTGTATCTCATAAAGAAAAGGAGGTGGGGTGGGCAGGGCCCTAGGCTGTATTACTGGAAAAAAAACAAAAAAAAACAAAACAGGCAGTAGCTCCTGGTTTCTGTAAAAATGGTGTCTAGACGTGAGTGAAGAGGCAGAAGGTCAGAGGGGATTTGGAAATCTCAAAGGCTGAGCACAGAGCGCCCACAGGTGCAAGGAGAAAGTACAGGGCCAGGGCCAGAGATTTCCTTTCTCTTGTTCCTCAGCTTATTCTTACCCTATTCCACCCACCCTGCCACTGCCAGGTGCTCAGCGAGTCTTTATTGAAAGAGAGATTATTAATATGGTGAAATGTCTGAGATGGTTCTCTCTCCGCATACCCAGTAATACAGGGTCCCTTTGGCTTGTGGGAGTCACATGTGGCCATTTTCAGTAGTTGGGAAGCCTGGGGGCCAGCTGGGAGTTGTCACTGCGTTGGGAATCTGCCTCCTGGGCCTTTTTATTAAGGCGTGGAGTTGTGTGCTGTTCTCTTACCTCTGGTCCCTGCTTGGAGGAAGAGGCTGAACTTGTACCACCTGGGCAAGCCAGTTTGCTGTGACCACACATGGATTAGGTGCCAGATGACCACCTGGGGAATGTGCCAGTCAGGCAGCCAGGATGCAAAGTGATTCGCTTCCCCCTTGCCAGTATTTTCTAGGGCGTGGTGTTTGCCCGCATCTTCTGGTGAGGCCTGGCTATCTCTGAGGGGCAGACCAGCACACCTGTGGGTGCAGCAGCTCACAGGAGTCTGTTGGGCGGCACTGCCAGGCCCTCGGGACCCTGAGTAAGGTCTGACGCATCAGGGCAGGCAGAGGGGAGGCCACATTTCGCCTGCCACTGATGTTAGCGGGGAGGCCCCAGACCCAGGTGCCAGGCGGGCAAATTGATTTTTCAGCCTGCGAAACTTCTAAAGATAGGCACGGGTGGTGCTCTGTGCTGGCACTGGGAGTGACAGGCCATCTGTGAGTCACAGTCCCGCCCGCTGGAGGAGTGCAGGTCCTGGGCAGGCAGCACTGCGGTGAGAGGGGCCCAGATGCAGGAGGGGAGGGCTAATGCAATGAGCTTGAGTCAGCCCTGCTTGCCAGGCCAGGATCCTCCTCCCAGGCCGGCACCAAGGAGAGTGTTCTACTGCCTGGCTCCAGGAAAACTGCTGCTGCCTGTAATTTATGCAGTTTCTATGGCTGAGTGGAGCAGACATGGCCTGAATGGATCATTGGAGTGGTTTGTGCTTCCCTCGCCCTGTGGCCTCACATATTTAACAAAATTGGTTGCTTGGTTTATTTCTTGAATCATCACTTGAAATCTCTCAGCTTCATTCTGAATTCCTCATCCCTCTTCTCCCCTTGTTTCCTATTTTCTTTGAATTATTTGGCTGGCTCTTTTTGATATTTGTGACATTATCTTACATTTATGCAGCACTTTACAGTTTGCAAAGCTCTTTCACATACATTATCCAGGCAACACATATTTACTAAGCTCCAAGGCCTTGGAATAAGTGCTAGGCTCCCGGGAGGCAGCAGTGCATTCGATAGCTACGGTGGCTGCTCTCAGGGAGACAGTGATAAGCTACTGCTAACTTGTAGGAAGACAATAGCGTGAGATGATGCTGAGGGTTTCTTTGTGATGGATGGGAAAAGCCTCTCCGAGGAGAAGACATTTGAACTCAGAGGAAGCCAGCCAGGAGGAAATTTGGGGGAAGAGCGTTCCACGTAGTAGCACCAGCTAGTGCAAAGGCCTGGTGGCAAGGATTAGCTTGCTTGTTTCTGAAACAGCAAAAACGCCACTCTGAGTGGAGTTTAGGGCATGAGGTGGTGATGGTGGGGGTGGGGGAAATGCTGGGTAGGGGGAGGCTGGCAGGGGCCGTTTTTCAGGGCTTTGTTGGCCATGGTGAGGAGCTTGGATTTCCTTCTCAGTATTAGGTGACATATTGGAGGAATTTAGGCAGCCACGCGTGTGATCTGGTTAACACTGGTGAAGTTCACTCTTGTAACAGTAAGGCCAGGGAGTAAGGGCAGGAGTGGAAGCAGAAGGGCCCCTCAGGCCACTGCACTTGTCCTGGTGGGAGTTAATAGTGGAACGGTGGCTTGGACTTAAGGCTCAAGTCGGATATACCGTCTCAGTCCTTACTATCTGGAAGTCCAAGATCATGGTGTTGACAGGGTTGGTTTCATCACAGGCCTCTCTGCCTAGCTTGTAGGTGGCTGTCTTCTCCCCATGTCTTCACACTGTCTTCTCAGTGTAAGTCTGTGCCCTAATCTCCTTTTCTTATAAGGGCTCCAGTTATATTGGATGAGGGCCCACCCTAATGACCTCATTTTAACTTAATTACTTCTTTAAAGACCCTGTCTCCAAATACAGTAGATGCCCTTATCTTTAGGGGTTACATTCCAAGACCCCAGTGGATGCCTGGAACTGCAGATGGATAGTACCGATACCTGTATATACTGTGTTTTCTCCTACACAGGCATATCTGCAATAAAGTTTAATTTATAAATTAGGTACAGTGACAGATGAGCAACAGTAATGAATAATAAAATTGTGCAATTATAACAATATACTGTAATAAAAGTCATGTGACTGTGCTCTGTCTCATTACAGAGCACAAAAATTCCTCATTGTACTGTACTGTGGGTAACTGAAAAAATGAAAAGTGAAACTATGGATAAGGGGGGACTGTGGAGTCCTAATTAGGGAAAAGGAGTCAGGCTGGTGGGACCAGGGGAAAGCAAGAGATAAAGCAGATAAGCTATAAATCTGCCTTTCTTCACGTCCAGAGAATTTAAACAAAAGAGAAACCAGATAAGTTACAGGTCTGCCTTTCTTTGTGGCCCAGGGCATATGGCCCAGGATATATGACCCAAGACATTTGGCCTTCATGCCCGGATAACATACATAACTCCCGGGCTTCCTGCTCACCATCAAACACCTCAATTTATCAAACATCCAGGCTGACAGAGGAATGCAAGTTAAGCTCCCTGCTGCCTTGGCATTATCAATCAGCCCAAGTTCCATTCTCTAAAATCTGCAGCAAGCTTTTGTCTTCTGGAAGTTAGCTTCTCTCAGGCTAACTTGCCCATTGTCTCTCAGGCAACATATTTCCCCACTTTCTCTAATAAATCTGCCTTTCTTGACCTATGATTTTCTTGGTAAATTCTTTTACCCCTGTGCCATCAGCCTGCATTCGCCCATGACAGGGACGACTGTATAGTCACATCCTGAGGTCAGCTGACAGTACGCAGATGAGCTATTTACCAGATAAGATGATTAAATAACAGTCATTAAAAAGAATAACCAATCTTTATTGAGCACTTACTAGATGCCAGGCATTCCCCAAGCATCCTGCTTGCTTTATTTCTGCATCACAGAAATTCTATGAACTAGGCATTGCCATGATTTTCTCTCCCTTAGAGATAAAGAGGCTGTGGCTTGGGAAGTTTTAATAACTTGCTGTGTTCACACAGCCAGGCACTGGGAGATCTGGGACTTGCAAACGTGCTCTTTTCTGACTCCAGAGTCCATTTTCTTAACTACTATGAAATGCTTCCTTTAAGAACTTGTCCCAGAAGAGAATGGATGTTTCAAGTTCTGAATTATACTTGATTTCTTTGGCATTGCAGAAAGTAGACAGATTTCCTGTATGGTCCTGTATTAAACTTGTATGTGAGGGGTTTTTGACTGTCTGCATCAGTGGTTCTCAAAATGGGGTCCCTGGGTCAACAGCATCAGCATCACCTGGGAATTTGTTAGAAATGCACATTCTTGGGTCCCAGCCCAGAGCTGCTGAATCAGAAACTGAGGCTGGGGCCCAGGACGCTGGTTTAACAAGCCTTCCTGGTGATTCTCATGCTCTATGAATTTTGAGACTGCTGATCTGCAGCAGCCCCAACATACTCACAGGTGTTTGCATGTGGAAATTCAAGGCTCGATGTCCTTGAGGAACCAGACTTCCAGGTTTCAGGTCGGATGAGGAGTGGAGCAGCACTGCTCACTCCATGTGTTGTTAATCGGCGTTATCTCCATGTGTTGGAGATATGTTATTTCCATGTGTTTCCACATGGAAAGTCATCTCCATGTGTTGTTAATTGGCGTTATGCCAAAAAGGTGTTCAGTGGTCAATATGTTTCAGAAACATAGGTTTCTCCTTTTTTATTTTTCTAAAGAAGCAGGGCCTTTCTTGTTGCTCAGGCTGGAGTGCAGTGGCGCTGTCATAGCTCGCTGCAGCCTTGAATTCCTGGGCTCAAGTGATCCTCCTGCCTCAGGCTCCCAAGTAGCTGGGACTACAGGCGTGTGCCCCCATGCCCAGCTAATTTTTTCTTTTTTTTTTTTGTAGAGACAGGGTCTTGCCAGAGAAACATAGGTTTCTTGGTTACAGACCTTTCATATGTTAATTATTATTCTTTTGCTGTTTTTGAAGATAACAATCTTTGTGCTTCCCAGGCTTATTTGATCCTGAGATCCTTTGTTTGAGGAGAAGAGAACAGGACTATGTTTGAGAAACCTGCACTCCATAGAGGCTTCCAGGAGAGGACATAAATAATTGAATTGGGATCCTCACAGTGACGGGTTTCTTTCAATCAGTCAATTAAGTGGTATTTACTAGTAGGTATGCTGTATTTCTTCCTGTGGCAGAAGCTATGCACAATTCCAGAAATGAATAGGGATCCTTATTTGTCAAACACTGACTCTATGGCAAGTGGAGTGCAAGACCCTACAAACTTATGAACCTGATACCATCACCCAATTAGCAGATGAGCAATCTGAGGTCCAGGAAGGTGACATTGCTTATCTTATCACTGAGCAACTGTGGAGCTGCGATTGTACCCCAGGACTGTGTGAATCCCCAAATCTCTTTTCTTTCCTTTCTATACTCCTGTCATCGCTTGGAGCTTGAAGTGGGGGGTAGGAGTGGGGAGAAAGGAGCAACACTCATGGAAGGAGAACCAGGCCTCCAAGCAGCAGCAGTGGGATTGTGCTAATTGGGTTATGATATCAGCCCCATAAGGTTGTAGGGTCTTGCACTCCACTTGCCATAGAGTTGGTGTTTGACAACTAATGATCCCCAGAATTTAGCTGTGCCTTGCTGAGGGTGGGAGGAGGACTGTTAGCCCAGCAGCATTGAGGAGTAAAGTGGATAACATCCAGTGAGCCATTCCCTAGCACAGTTTTAAAACATAACGTTAATTTTTGTTTTTCTTATTATAAACATACCACATGCTTCCCGAAGGAGATTCTGAAAATACATAAAAGCATAAAAATGCATATCCATTAGGATGGCTATTATCAAAAAAGTTGGAAAACAACAAGTGTTGACAGGATGTGGAGAAATTGGAACCCTTGTCCATTGCTGGCGGGAATGTAAAATGATGCATTCACTGTGGAAAACAGTATGGCAGTTCCTCAAAATATGACACATAGAATTACCATGATCCAGCAGTTCCACTTTGGGGTATATAACCAAAAGATATGAATGCAGGAAATCAAAACGATATTTGCAAACCCATCTTCATAACAGCATTATTCACAATAACCAAGAGGTAGGGCCGGGCATGGTGGCTCACGCCTATAATCCGAGAACTTTGAGAGGCTGAGTCAGGCAGATCACTGAGGTCACGAGTTCGAGACTAGCCTGGTCAACATGGTCAAACCCCGTCTCTACTAAAAAGACAAAAATTAGCCAGGCATGGTGGTGTGCACCTGTAATCCCAGCTACTGGAGGCTGAGGCAGGAGAATCACTGGAAGCTGGGAGGCGGAGGTTGCAGTGAGCCGAGATTGCATCACTGCACTCCAGCCTGGGTGACAGAGTGATACTCTGTCAAACAACAACAACAACAACAACAACAACAACAACAACAAAACCCAACAAAATGACAACAACAAAAAACAGTAACCAAGAGGTAGAATCAACTGAAATGTCCGTTCAATGTGGCATAGACATACAGTGATTATTCTACCTTGAAAAGGAAGGTAATCCTGCCACATGCTACAACATGGGTGAACACACCTTGAGGACATTATGCTAAGTGGAATAAGCCAGTCGCAAAAAGACAAAACACAATACTGTGTGATTCCACTTATATGAGATACCTGGAGTAGGCAAATTCACAGAGACAAAAAGCGAATGGTGGTGGCCAGAGGCTGGAGGTGGAGGGAATAGGGAGATGTTTTTGGTTACAGGGTTTCACCATGGGTTGATGAAAAAATTCTGGACGTGGATGGTGATGATAGTTGCACCACAATGTGAATGTACTTCGTGCTATAGAACTAGACACTTAGTTCAATACCAGCCTAGGCAACGTAGTGAGATCATGCCTTTACAAAAAGAAAAAAAGAGAGAGAGAGGGAGAGAGCACCTCTACAAAAAAAAAAAAAAAAAGAAAAGAAAAAAAAAAGAAAAAGGAAAAGTGGTTCCAATGGTAAATTTTATGTGATATTTATTTTGCCACAATAAAAAGAGCATAAAAGTCAAAGCAGGCTGAGTGGGGGGACTCGCGCCTCTAATCCTGGAACTTTGGGAGGCCGAGGCAGGCAGACTGCTTGAGCCTAGGAGTTTGAAACCACCCTGGGTAACATGATGAAACCCCATCTCTACAAAAATTACAAAAAAAAAAAAAAAATAGCCAGGCATGGTGATGCGTATCTGTAGTCCCAGCTACTTAGGAGGTTGAGGTGGGAGGATTGCTTGAGCCCAGGGGGTTGCGGTTCAGTGAGCTGAGATCGTGCCACTGCATTGCCGGCTGGGTGATACAGTGATACCCTGTCTCAAAATAAAATCAAATAAAAATGAAAGCAGCAGTTAAATCCTAGAGATGATTGCTGTTCATATTTGAATGTTTTATGTCACTCTTTTCTCTATGCATTTAGATGCATACATAAATATCTTCCTGTTTTATCAATAATTCTTTGAAGCTATGCTTTTAAATGATGCATATTAGTTTCCCAAGTAGATACACTGCAGTTTACTTAACCATCTCCCTATTGTTGGTCCTCTGAGTTATTTTCAGTTTTTCAGTGTTTCAGGTTGCACTGCAGTCAAGAACTGAATATGTCCATTTTTATTTACATCACAGACTTGTTTCTTTAGGACAGATTCCTAGAAGCAGAATTGCTGGGCCAAAGGATGCACATGTTTTTTAAGATTCTCTATACATTGCCAAGTTGCTTTCCAGAAAGGTCATGCAGCTTTCATGAAATCTCACCAAAAGTGTGTGAGAAAGTGGCTTTTCTGTTAGCTTTCCTTCCCTTTTCAAGAGGGAGCTCAGGGGATGCAGAGAAAAACAGGAAGGCAGTCTGGTCCCTTCAGATCTTGGAGCTGGGTCATAGCTTGGGCATGTTGTCTCTTGGGCAGTGAATGGGCACCTCGTTAGAGCACTGGGACAGGGCTGATTGGCACTCTGGCCACCCAGGAGCGTGGAGCCTGCCTGCAGGAAAGAACAGTCAGTTCATGGATAATCCCTTGATATTGGTGCTCTGGTTCTAGTCCAGAGATTTTTATCAGGGCTGACTGCAAGTTCAGCTCTGGGATGGGGCAGTGGGGGTAGTCTGCTGAGCTGGTCAGACTGAGCTTCCTGATTCGGTCCTCAGGTCATTTCAAGGGAACACATTGGAAAGTCATCTCCACGTTGCTCTTCTCCATTGTACGCAATACAACATTTTAAGGAACAAACAGTACCTTCTTCCTCATGAACATTATTCTGTTTAACAGGGAGCCAAACGAAGTTGCAAGAGTCCTCATTTTCCCATGGTGTTCCATAGAGCTGTTTGTATTTTTAATAAAAAACTAATAATTCAGAGGCTGCAAAGCATTTGTTTTTAAATTTAAAAATGTTTTATAGACTATGGAAACAAAAGTTTGCTTCCCCTGCCCATTTGGGAAACAGAGCACTGCTCTCATTCTTAGGGGACAGCATACACATGGGTCTGGGATGCATGGCCTGCTCCTCTGGAAGGAAGTTTTGCCATGGGCGGCTGGAGGGGCTTCAAACACTGAGCCAGAGAGAGGGTTAGGAGCTGAGGGCTTCATAGGAACATCTGTCTTTTACTCTCTCTCTTCATATTTCAAAGCTCTCTCTCTCTCCCTCTCTAACACACACACACACACACACACACACACACACTCTCTCTCTCTCTCTCTTTCTCTCTCTCTCGGAACATCTTTCTCTCTCTTTCTTCATATTTCAAAGCTCTCTCTCTCTCTCTCTCTCCCTCTCTAACAAACACACACACACACACTCTCTCTCTCTCTCTCTCGGAACATCTCTCTTTCCCTCTCTCTCTTCATATTTCAAAGCTCTCTCTCTCTCTCTCTCTCTCCCTCTCTGTCTCTCTCCCTCTCTAACACACACACACACACACACACACTCTCTCTCTCTCTCTCTCTCTCTCTAGGAACATCTCTCTTTCCCTCTCTCCATGTTTCAAAACTCTGTCTCTCTCTAACTCTCTCTCTCTCTTTCTCTCTCTGTCTCTCTGATAGATGCATACAGATTTGGTATTTAAAAACATCAACTCTGACTGTGTTCTTGGTTTCTCTCTAAGTATAAGAAGCCAACAAGGCTCCTTGAAGATTCCCTCTTTTGATATTAGAATGATCTTGAAAGGAGCTCTAACCATACCCAGAGTAGGGGGGCTCCCTTAGGTTGAACCCCTAGATGTGCTGCAGCCAGTGGGGAGATGCTGGAAGAAACAGATTGAATCATGGACCTGCCCATCAGGGTCATCTGAGGAGTCTCACTGTTGGTGGTTTCAGATCTTCCAGAAGAAACTCTAATTAGCTCTACACAAGAGCCAGAGGGGTTAGTCACCAAAGAGTGATTCACCCCATCACTCTTTGGTGAATTTAACCAAATTTAAATGGTGATAGGGAATTCCTTTTACAATTCCCTAAGAGGAAATGAGAGAAAGAGTTGGTCTTTCCCAAGCAGCATGGTTTTCAGGGACTTGCTTCTCCTGGTGCCTTCTCTAGTCAGTTGCCAAATCCTCGTGGCTCAACTCTTCTCCACTGCTGCTGTCTCTTTTCTAGTTCAGGCTTCCATTGCTGCTTGCTTGGACTCTTGCAGTACTCTTCCAGCTGGTCTCGTGACTCTGTCATTTCTGATTAGTCATACATCTTACTACCCACTTAAACTTTCTAAATGTTAGCTAATTACTTCACTTTCCTCCACAAATACTCTTTCATGGCTCCTCATTAACCAAAGGAAAACAAAAAGTCCAAACTTCTCTTCTTGGTGCTCAAAGATCTCCATCATTCCTCCCTGTGTTCCTGGGCTGCAACCCACATAACTAGTCACCCCTATCTCCTGCCTTATGTGGGAGTTCATTTTATCTTTTCTGCTTTCTTGTCTGTGTATCCTGAAATTCCACTCATTCTTCATGGCCTGGGGCTAAAGCCAGGAAGCTTCTGTTTTTGATGTTCTAAGTTAGAAGTAACATCTCTCTCCTCTAACTAATGAGCTTCCCCCCAACCAAAGCTTCTACCCCATTTCCTCTCTAATGGCACTAATCTTTTGTATCTTCTGTTAGGGTTTTTGGAATACTAGTGACATCTCCTAGAGCCTTGTAAAGCTCTTATTTGCCTTCAAGTGCCCCCCATTGCCAGGGCATGGAGCCTTGCACAGGGCAAATATTCAGCAATGTTGGATGAATAAATGAAGAGTGACCAAGGGTTGCCAGTGGTAGTCAGTCTTTATTTTCACCCCGCACTGCTATTTGCCCTGTACTCACTTGGACTGGTTCCTGCTGGTGAGAAACTTGCTACCCAGGTACCACTTATTTTAAGCACATTTATGCATTTCCAGGCACGTAGCAAGGGGGCAGCAGGTTAGTGATTCATGAGTAGGTGGAAAAGGTGATTGCCTTGAGAGCTGCTGACTCAGCCGCCAGCCGTTAACCCTGGTGCTCCTCTGGGCCCTGAATCAGTGAGTGGATGGCATGAATGAACAGATGGCCAAGGAATCTCAGGAGACCCGAGTCTCCTGGATTTGGACTTTCCAGCATTAGAGGTGCACAGCCCAGAGCCTCACAGGGAATGCTAGAAGCTGCAGTATAATCATGGCACATTTTCCTGGAGAACCAGTTCTTCTTGAAGGTTTGGGAATGAATATTATTTTGTATTCAATCACATTTGTCATGAGGAGGAATAAAATATGCATACATATTTTAAAAGATAAAATGCAACAATTTAAAGAAGCTTCCTGGCTGGACATGGTGACTCATGCCTGTAATACCTAGTGATTTGGGAGGCTGAGGCAGGAGAATTGCTTGAGCCCAGGAGTTCATTGCATCATAGTGCAATGAGCTATGATTGCACTACTGCAGTCCAGCATGGGCAACAGAGTGAGACCCTGTCTCTAAAAATATAACAAAAATAAAAAGATAAAATTTAAAATATATATAAAGAAACTGTCTGCTTGTGGAAGGCTTGCTTCAAATTCTAATCCAGACTCCCTGAGGTAGGAGGTAAAAGTTTCTTCTTTTCTGCCTTCAGGGCTGTCATGGGAAAGTTTGCAAGGATCTGGGCTAGTCTGGCACCCCTCTCGGTTGCTCGGTTCCCCATCACTGCCTTCCCACTCCATGGCTTCTCCTCTGCAGGGTGTAGACTATGATGAAGGTTACACTTGAAGAGCAGTGAAACAGAACTGGGTTCCAATCCTGCCAGCTGCACAGACACCATATCTGGAGGGTGATGGGGCAAGGGACATGCTCACTCTCCCTTTCCAGAAGAGATAAAGCCATATGGGCAACCTGCTATCACTGTGAAAAGTGAGTGGAATAAATTGTATAGTGAGTGAAGTGTAAGCTCATGGCGGCAGTGTAAGAAACACATTCTTGCCAGGCAGGCAGATAACCAAGAAAGGACAATTGGGAACACGTCAGCTGATGGAGATGCTACCCAATTGTATCCCTATGTGGAGAGACCCTCCAGCACCATATCCCAGCCACCTGCGCCCTGCCCCCCATTGGACCCCCTCTTCACTGTTTGCCAAGCTGAACATTGGACATGTCACATGTTCCCTCCCTCAGTGCCTGACTTACTAAACAGAAAATGCCCAGTGAAAACTTAGGTAAGATGTCGCACAGTGTTTGGCACTTGATACCTTGTTGCTAATATGGTGGGGACCCCTTCCAGCACTGAAAAATCCCGCAGCACTTGTGGCAGCTCAAACAGAGAATGTACCAGTCACTGGCTCCCCTGAGTTTCTTCAGAAATTGTTTAAGGAGTGCTGGATCCATGAGGGCAGAGGCTTGTCCCAGTCACTACACTGTCTCTACCTGCTGGAACAGGTGCTTAGTATGTACGCCTGCTCTGTGCTGGGCCCATGACTGCACAAGGACAGCTGACTTCAGAGGATTGCTCAGGATCACTGAGAAATTCATTTGGCAAAATATTGTGAATTTAATGGCCTCTTCAATTTGAAATAAAGCCACCCGGCTTTTTGAAATAGAGCTTCCTTTGGGAGCTTAGAACTAAATTCTTGGCTTCATAGAATGCCCTAGCTGGGTGGACGGAGAATCCCAACATATAGATGTATCTAGAATGTCAGAAGTGAAGTGATCTGTCTCTCCAAATCATTGGTGCTAGGGAGAAAGAGGTGAGCATGCTGTCTTTTTAAAGGATTCAACTAACTCTCAGAGCTTTGGAAGAAAGAAAAAAAATCCAAAATGTGTACTAGGTCAGTTTTTATTTGGAAGATGGATTTTATTGTTATATTTTTAAACTAGGAAGTCTCTTACCACTCCCATTCTCCTTCCCTGGCCTAGAGGGGTGGGAGTTCAGATCCCTGCAACATTTTAACCCAAAAAGCTCTTACCTGTTTACCTTTCTTTGATAGAGTTGCCAAGTGGTCTTGGTTTTGTTTTGTTTTTCTTTTAGAAGAGAGGATCTAGCTATGTTGCCTAGGCTTGTCTCAAACTCCTGGGCTCAAGCGGTCCTCCAGCTTCAGCCTCTCAAGCAGCTAGGATTACAGGCATGTGCCGCCACACTCAGCTCACCGAGCGGTCTTGAACAAAAAACCCAAATTGGTCCAAGTATGGATTATACACTAATGATATTTATCACCATCACTATCGTTGTCATTATCAGTTTTATTATAGTGACTTCCAGTTCGGTATCTATTGTGGGTGCTTGGAGCTTTTGCACATGTAATCTTATTTAATCCTCACACCAACCTAGGAGGAAGGTATTATTATTATTGCCCTTTTCCAGGTGGGAAAATTGAGGCTCGGAGAGTTGTAAGTGGCTTGCCTGATGACAAAGGGTGGGTGAGTGGTAGAGGCAAATTTGAACTCAGTGAAGAAAGAGTTCAGGCTTTGCTGTCAGATGGACTGAAGTTCTTCTCTTGGTGTCCATGGGGGTGCCAGAGATGTGGGGGTTCTTCTTTCTCCTTCCAAATCAGACGCAACTGAAAGTCTGAGGACTCAGCTTCAATCTGAGCTCTGATTTCTCTAGAGTATCCAGGATGGAAAAGGGGATGGTAAGATGAAGTTTGCAGGGAGGGCTTCCTGGAGGAGAGGGCTCTGAAACATGAGAGCATTCGGGCAAATAGGAAGGGCAGGTATTTTGGTGGATCCAGAGGCAGGTGGATTCAGAGGTGGGTGGCTCAAGAGTACGGGCCTCCGTCTCCTCGTCTTCCTAAGCATATTTAACTGTGAATGAAGCAAGACAAGAGGTGTATTTCTCCATGTAAGGGAAATGCTATGAAGAAAAGGCATTTCTGGTGTCAGAATCACGATTGTCAGTGGGAGTGTCAGGAAGAAACTTCGTGACTTTTTCTCTCTTCCCAGGCGCCCCCAGCTGTTAGGTTTCATGGCAACCCAATGTGGTAGAAGGCAGTTTCTTTTCCATTCTTGCTGTTAGATTTTTATGTTGTGTGACCTTGGGGCTGCCTTAGGGCCTCTCTGTCCTTCATGGGTCTCACCTGGCAGAGGAGGGGGATACACAGGGTGATTTCCATAGGGACTTACAGCTCTAAAATGCTCGAGTGTATGATCTAATCATGATGACACACAGTCAGCCACAGTGAAATCCCTGACACATCTCAAATTTGAACTGCATCTTTATGAGTGGAAAAACTGTTTCCTGCCCCACAGGACATTTTGATTTAACTAGGACACACCTGACCCTGGTCTGCTCACAGACAGAGAGAATTTGTTCTGTGGCCCAAGGCCTCTGCCTGCCCCTGCTCCCACCCCACCATGGGTAGCAGTGGCCACGTGGTACTTGAGGACAGCATCCTGGAACTTGCCCAGGAGTCCGCTGCATGCTGGCTTTCTCTCTTCTGCAGAGACGAGGGGCCCAGATCGGGTCAGCCTCTGCTCAGCTCTGCAGTCTTGCCAGGGGGAGGAGGAATCAGGCTGGGGGGCAGGGATAGAGGGCCGTGTGCATCAGGGAAGGAGGCCCTGAGATGACAAGCTCCATGAGTCACTCAACTGGCCGCTCCAGCCAGAGAGCATCAAGGAGGGGTTTATGACACTGCCTCATGCAGCAGTGATCAGCCATGAGGTGGCATCCATCCATTGTCAGGGGACAGTCCATCCTCCTCAGGCACATGCACAGAGGATTGGGTGCAGAGGAGTTCACCCTCAACACCTCTGGGTGTTGGGAGGCAGGAGAGCAGTGGGGCTGGAGGCACAGCTCTGCCAAGCATTCCTGAACCAAAGCAAGCCATCAATGAGTGCTCACACCGTGCAGGCACTGTGAGCCTGTGTCCACATGATCTCATCTTGTCCTCAGGGCCATGCCAAGAGGAGGCACTATTCTTCTTCTTCTCAGTTTATGGATGATGATAATGGAGGCATAGAGAGGTTAAGCAACTTGTTTGATGTCACCCAACAATGCTGAAATGGGGCAGGATTTGGCCCTGGCCCTCCAGAGCCTATGGGCTTAATTGTTGCCTTGGTGGGTCTTAGCCTTGAGCCTGCATTAGAACAACCTGGAGGGCTTGGCCCCACTCCAGAGTTTCTGATTTCGGTCAGGTCTGCGATAGGTCTGAGAATGTGTGTTTTTAATAAGTTTCCATTTGAGGTAAAGCCCAGGGACCACACTAGTCTGTGCTGTACTGACTCATCATCCCGTCTCAGTTTCCAACCTCCAAAACCAGAGGGTTGAGCTTTCTACCAGTTCTCTCCAGTTGACCAGTTAACGCAGAAATTCCAGCCTTCTAATCACCCATAATTATGTTTAGTTTTGGACAACTTAATATATGAGAGAGCAATAGTACTTCAGTAAACTCCTCTACTGCTACTGGGTTTCTGTCACTTGTCTCCTCTTATTTTTGACAATTTGATGTTTTGTGTTGTGAGGCTTCCTTTGTGCCTAAAAGTCATTGACTTTTAGATACTCACTTTGGATTATCTCCATCAATGTGAAACCTCCTGTGTTGCCTTATTTAATGTCTTTTGCCTTGAATTTCACTTGCTTGGATACCATTGCCTTTAACTTGGCATCACTCCTTAGCTTGCTTTTTACAGTTTGGTAGAGATGGTGTCTCACTATATTGCCCTGGCTGGTTTCAAACTCCTGGCCTCAAGTGATCCTGCCACCTCGGCCTCCCAAAGCAGTGGGATTACAGGTGTGAGCCTCACTTGATTTTTGCCTGGCATATTCTGGTTTATTCTTTTACTTTTAACCTTATTTTGTCACTTGGTTTAGGGTATATTTCTTATAAACAGTGTATAATTTTATATATTTATTTATTATATATTATTGCATATAGTTAATACTATATATAATGTGTACCACACATTTTGATTGTAATAACTAATATGTTTTGGCCTTTCTGTTTTTTAAAAAATGCTTTTTGCAGTCTTTTTTGTCTATCTGTAATAGATATTTAAATTTTTTATTTTATACTTTTCTTTATTAAATTGGAATGTCTACCCATGCTGCCTCTCAAGTATTTAAAACTATTGTTCAACCATATTTTGCCAATGGTTAATGTATAGAGTGAAATAGCCTCTTACTCCTTGCCACGTAAGATAAATAATTTTTCTTCTTTTCATTCCCCCATTCCATAATATTACACTCATGCTTTTATGGTATAATCTGATATTTAAAACTTCTACTTATTATTATTATATTTTTCACATTTTATCTTCTCTTCCAATAAATTTTAGTTTTCATTTTCATTTTGATTTGTAATCACAGTTGTAACAATTATTTAAACCTAATAGATCTTAGGGTTCATTGCCAGATCTTTATTACCATGGACATCTCCTGTTGTTGAATTCCTTGTTTTGATTAATGTCTTAATTACAAATATGAAAAATTTAACACCTGTTTAATCTTCTTGAACAACGTATTCTGCTTTATCGCACTTTGCACTTTGTTTCTTTTAATATGAATGACAACTTGGCCCTGCTGTTGGGTTTTGCAGAGGAGACATCAGATATCAGCTTGATTTTTCTCTTTTTTTTTCATAGATAATCTGATATCTTCTGTTTGGATGCTGATAATTCTTCACCATGAAATTAAAATATATGTATGTATGTGTATATATATATGTGTGTGTGTGTGTGTGTGTATGTGTGTGTGTGTATATATATATATATATATACATGCCTACTGAGCATTTTGACTTTCAGACTTGGGTCTGTCTTCTGTGTTAAGAAACTTTTTTTTGTTTTCGTCTTTTCAGTTAGGTTTATTCTGAATTGGCTGCCTGTCCTCTATATCTGTCATCTTTTTGTATAATCTGTCTTAGACCTCACAGTATTTCTGCTTCTGTATTTTTTTCCTCTTCATTTTGAGAGTGCTTTCTAAATGTGCCCTTCATAACACATCTTGTTTCAGAAATAAGTTCTCTTGACTTTTACTGCAGACATAGAATAGATGGTTTCTCCAAGTTCAATTATCACAATATCACACGAGTTGTTTACTGAGCACAGACTGTCCTCTGTGCACTGTGCTAAGCACTTTGTGTGCATTACCTCAGAACAACTCCAAGGGGCATGTGCTTTGTTTGTCCTCATTATATAGATTGGGGAAACGCATGTCCAGAGGGTTGAGCCCTACTCAGCCTCATCTGGGTACTGACTGGGGGCCAGGACTCAGGTCCAGCCAGTTTCACAGCAGAGCCTGTGCTCTTGGCCATGATGATAATGGCACTTTCCCACCCAGTCCTTTTTTTTTTCAAATTTATTTATTTTGAGTGCTGCATTCTCTACCTTTTATAGTTAAGAATGTTTTCAAGGTCTGGTGGGAGGTTTTCGTGTTTTGCATCCATGAATGCAGTCAGTGTTTGCCTGTAAATAGGGAGGGTCAATTCTCTTGGGCTCCTCTGCTGTGCACCTCATTGCCCATAGAATGCTACTCTCGGATCTTGCACTAGAGCACTGGATGATGAAGTGAAGCCTTGCAGAGACCTGTGAGTCTGGGTGAGTGAGCTGGAACCATGAATAGTTCCAGAAGGGGAACTTAATCCTGTGATATTTCTTCTCTGTGTTTGGTAAAGCCACTGCACCTTGTGCCAACTGTTTGCATCTGGCTTGCTGTTTAACCTGGCCAACATGCCAGGTACAAACTGTGCTTGGACTTGTCCTCCTTCCTGGAGCTGCCACCTGCTGTGTCAGGGACAAGCCCCTGCCCTGGCCAGTTTTCTTCTGGATGTATCTGCCATGTGATTCCCAGGGCTTCTCAGAGCTGCTGCTGCTGCTGAACACTGCTGTGATCCATAGTGACCAGGGAGTCCCGGTGCCTGATACTTGGCTCACCTCCCTGTTCAGCCCTACTGATGTAGGCAGCTCTGATGTGAGGTTCTTCAAGGGCCTCACTCCTTGTTTCACAACCATCCTGCCGCTTCTCAGGGAGCAAAGCTGCCCAAGGGGCCTCCCTGCCTTCTCTTTTTCTGCATAACTGATTTTTTTTTTTCAGATTCCTTTAGGTTTTTGGCACATTGATGGCACCTGTTCCTAGTTTGCTGAGCTGTGGCAGGTTTTCCAGGCATACTGGATTTGTTTTGATTTTGAAGCAGGAATCTGGGCAGGAGGGCATTGCATGCCTGAGCTCTTGTTGCCATGGTATTTGTAAATGGACAAATGTAAATGAAGCCAGTGGCAGCATCCTTCTCCCTCCACTGCCCATGCTCCTGAGTGTGGGAATTGGGGGACAAGTCACTACTTCTTCCTGACTTCTCCTTTACTCACCTGCAAGTTAGCCACATCTTCCACTTTCTCCCTTATTCCCCACCTCAAATACAAAGTCCTAGGAGAAGAGGACTGGGAGCACTGGATTTGATATTGAATTGGAGAAGACCATTACAACCTCAGATTCTAAGATTCTGTGATAGCATCTGTCCTGGTGATCTAAGTCGGGTTAAACTCAGCTCTCTTTTAGGAGATCAAGAGGTTTTATAATATAGGTTGGGTCCCCTGCCAGTTCTTCTTACATATCACACAGTCTTAGTTTGGGGACACAGTTTTTGGAAGCCTGTCTGCGGGGGTTCTGGAACTCAGGGGTGGATGCAAGAAAGCAGCATTGGTTCTTTGTCACGAGGTGAGAGCAACAGTGTCAGGAATAGACTCTGTGAGCTCACCCACCCTCAAGGGGCATCGACTTCCAGTGCATCACTTTCAAGTTCATCTGTGTCTGGCCATAGGCTTGGTCACATGCTGAGGTTTAGTGCATGAACCATCATGTCTACTGAGGTACCTGACACTCCAGAGGCATTCAATATGTTATGCAAATGGCCTTCATGCCCAGGCTAATTAGGGAGTCCCCATTGGACTTTGATTATTCATAAAAGACAGTTGATAATAAAGCCCTGGCTGCTTTTGAAAATTCATCAAGTAAGAATGCAGGGTTTTTCCAGTGGGAGCTCAGACAAAAAGCCAGTGGAAGGACACAATAGGATCAGTGCTGAACTCCCATGGTTAGTTCGCTCTCTGAGATGCATGCACAGACCTCTGCAGAGGCCTTGGGCAACACTGGTCCTTTTGTTCGCCTGGGTCCTTTTGTTTGCCTGGTCAGCAGAGTAGAGGGTGGTGTCCTAGTGAGGACAAAGGATTCAGGAAGAGCAAGGTAGTGTGGGTAGGGGCTGGTAAGGATGGCGAGTGGGAAGACAATGAGCAGAGCTTTGGAGAGCAGAGTTTGAAGTACTTGTGGGACACCAGGTGAAGACAGCCAGGTGACAGCAGGAGCCAGGTGTCCTCAGGCTCTTGCTAGTGCTGTGTCCTGGTCAACACACTTAATCTAGCTGAACTTCAGTTACCTTACCTGTATGTAAAATGAGGATGTTCATAGCTCCCTCACAGTGATGTTGAGAAATCAAGTAGGTAAACAAACATGGTATATAGCTTTGGGGGCCCACTGGTCTGACAGGGCGCTCAACCTGTCCTCTTTTTTTTTTTTTTTTTTTTTTTTTTTGAGACAGTGTCTCGCTCTGTCACCCAGGCTGCAGTGCAGTGGCGCAATCTTGGCTCACTGCAAGCTTTGCCTCCCGGGTTCACGCCATTCTCCTGCCTCAGTCTCCCAAGTAGATGGGACTACAGGCGCCCGCCACCACACCTGGCTAATTTTTTTGTATTTTTAGTAGAGACGGGGTTTCACCATGTTAGCCAGTATGGTCTCGATCTCCTGACCTTGTGATATGCCCATCTCGGCCTCCCAAAGTGCTGGGATTACAGGCGTGAGCCACCGTGCCCGGCCCTGTCCTCTCTTTCTTGAATGGTGCTCCTTCTAGAGCATTCCTTGTAACATGCATGAGGTGGTCTCTTATCTTGAAGACCCGCACCTGGTGAGGAGGGTGACAGACAGGATTCTGTTGTCAAGGAGGTGGTAGGAATGGAGTCCAGGGTGCTGCTAAGGGAGGGCCAGGCTGTATGGTCAGGTGGGCACAGCTGCATGGAGGATGCTTCAGGGGCTCTGGAGAAGAAATGAGTGACAGAGCTTTCAAGGACCACCTTCTAGGGGTGGGGCTTCCAGGCCTCCAAGGAGGGCTCTGTGTCTTTATCAGACCGATGGCTGCCCAGAACCTTTGGCAGAGGGGCTCAGCCTGCCTTGGTGCCAGTGAGCTTCCACACAGGAAGACTTCCTGAGGCTGGTGGCTTTCCATGAGCAACTACAGGGAGGAACCGCGGGGGTACTGGTGGCTCAGTAGCCTCTGCTTCCTCTGAGGGAATGGAGGGGTCAGTCCCTGGTGTGGGGGTCTCTTCCCTGTCCTCTGCTCATCATGAGGCTGGCTTTCCTCTTTTGCCCACCCCTTGGGCTGGGACCAGAGCACAGCCAGTCACCAGTATGGTGGCCCAGCACGGCAGGCTGTGCCTGTCTGTGTACACGCCAGCTCCATGAGGTGGAAGCTTTGGCAATGGGCTCCCAGGGAGCTTCCCCGCAGGCTTCTCAGGGGAATGTGTTGGGAGTAGATGCATGGAGAGTTCGTTTTTTCTCCCTTTCATGAATGAGAAAACGGGCAGAGAAATCACGGCACTCATTGGCCGATGTTTCTGTTGGTGCAGATTACCAAGGGTGCTGAAGTCAAAAGGAGTGAGCCACAGTCAGCCCTCTGGGTGGTTGACTGCCACTGGGGCCTTTAGACCAGGAAGGTGTCGTGACCGAGGTGGACCTGGTGGTGAGATGCAAGGTGTGGCAGCCTGATGCGGAGGTAGCAGAAGGGAGACAGGCCAAGTCAGGGCAGCCGGCAAGGGGCCCATCACAGAGCAGTGCAGGCGGGAGGCCACAAAGGCCTGGGCTGGGGTAACGTGGGGGCTGGAACCGGGAAGCTCCTTCACACATTGAGCCTACTTCTTGGGACTCTGTTCCAGTATATTAGTAATGTTAGGAATTTCAGTTTGGCTTTTTAAAAAGCTGTTTTTCCTTTGAGGAACTCAAATATTATTGGTTGAATTGTGTCTCCCCAACAGATAATGAAGTCCTAGCCCTCCGTACCTGTGAATGTGACCTTATTTGGAAATAAGGTCTTTGCAGATGATCAAGTTAAGATGAGATCATTAGCGTGGGCTCTAACCCAAAATAACTGGTGTCATATTTATAAAAAGGGGAACTTTGGACACAGAGACAGACATGCACACAGGGAGAATGCCTATAAAGATGAAGGCAGAGATTGCGGTGATGAATCTGTAAGCCAAGGAAGGACAAGAAAACTAGGAGAGAGGCCTGGAACACATGTGCCCTCACAGCCCTCAGAAGGAACTGACCCCAACGACATCTCCATGTCAGACTTCTGGCCTCCAGACCTGTGAGACAATGCATTTCTATTATTTAATCCAACTCAGTTTTTGATACTTTATGATGGCAGCCCCAGCAGACGAATTCACCAAGCTTCCCGGATCCCATTTCTTCACTCTCTGGAAAACTGCTCCCTCTGGTGTCTGAGAATCACACGTATGACCTCCCTGAGGGGCTCAGGGTTGGCAAGGCCTCCCCATCTGGGTGGTGAAAGGTGCTCTCTGGGCTGCAAAGAATCCAGACAGCTCTGTGAGCAGCGGCTGCCAATTCACTGACATTGACTGACTCTGGGGACTCTACCCTTTTCATCCCCATGTGCCCGTTTGTCCAGCCCCTGCAGAAACCCCTGTGGGGTCTGGCAGTAAGCGAGGCTGCTGTTCCAGGGAATGTGTGTGCTGAGGCTAGCCAGGCAGCTGGGCTAGCCTCCTCCTGCACAGTCCTTCTTAGGAATGTCCTAAGTACCTATTCAGCCCTGGCCTGAAGCAAAGGAGGCACTGGGTAATGAGGACTGGGACCCCATTGCTCATGGTCCAATTGGCGAAATGCCAGATTAAGCACAGATCACTTTTCAAAGTCAAAGGCAACGTGGTGAGTTTCTTTGGCATTAAAAGTCCTCTCCCATGGTTATCCCATTCTGAGTAGCCAGTTGTGTATTTATTCACCCAGCCCTGTGTTGCGGTTATTGTCTTTTGAGTGTTTGATTCTATCCCCTTTATATGACTCATCAGCCCCCAGAAAGCAAAGGCCCTGTCTTGTTCAGCCTGGCACAGGGGCAGCCGAAATTCCCACAGGGCTCACCTCCTTCGCCTCTGCCTGAGATGTCTTATCAGCGTCACTCTCATTCTGCAGGGGAGGAAACCAAGACTCCAGGGTGGAGTGATTGGCTGTATGTTTCACCTGCAGCCACGCGAGGCCCAGAAGTCTTCCAGTGCTTTGGAGGTTCACAAGAAATATGGTGACTCAACTGGAACCACATTAGAGGTCAGCATTTAACAGGTCCCCTCAATTTTCCCACAAGGGCCAGTCTTGTGTCCTCGGCTATGACCATGAGCCACTGGGGAAAGAGATGCTCTCTTCCCTGCAGCTGCACGGCTCCCCGTGCTGGGTTGGCCACACACTCCCCACCCAGTGCACCTCCGTTGATTGATTGACGTGGTGTTAAACATGTGGCCTTTTGCAGGCAACTCTAGGAGGGTGATGAGCTTTGCAAATCTGCCCAGTGCCTAAAACTGAACCACACACATAATTCACTCACACGCACTCGCTCAGTTGGGCGTGCATTCTCACTGCCATCCTGCCTCCAACTCACGCTTGACGCCTCACAGTTCTGGACTTCTCTTCTACCACACAGCAGTGCCTGCCCTGGCTGGCCAGTACTACATTCCTGACCTTTGGGTTTTGGGTCCCTGGGGGCAGCTTGCTGCCATCCGAACCACCAGGCCCTGGCCCTCAGCGAGGCTTCTCCAAGTGTTCTGCTGCCTTACTTCTGCTTTCGAAGCACCATGCCTGTCCTGGGGTGGAGTCAGAAGTCAGAAGAAGAGGCTGATTAGCCGGGGTGCCCTTGGAGGGGCCAGGGTCTCCTGATCTGCAGCCAGGGCTCTGCATTTAGGAAGCCTTGTCAGAAGCCTGCAATTGGCATTGAATCTGTTTAGAGTGCTCAACCTAGTGCCAGGAACTGTGGGAAATCTGAAGACATGATCAGTTTCCAGAGAGTCAAGACAACCAGCAGAGGATTCAGGTTAATAAACTTAGACTTGTGTTCAGCTACCTGGTTCAAATCCCCATTCACTGGCTTTGACCACAGGAGAATGATTTCACTTCTCTAAGCTTAATTTCTTTGTAAAATTTCACAAGGTATTATGAGCATTAAATATGATAATACATGCAGAATGCTTTAGTACATTGCATAACACATTGTAGGCACTAATACATCTTACCTTACAATACTCTGGCCTCTCCTCTCCACTCCCATACAAGCGAGGACTCTTAGACAGTGCCTGTCATGTGCCAGACATCTGTAAAGGGATCATATAAGCATTAACTCATTTAATCTTTACAGGAACTCAGGGAAAGACTGAGGCACAGACTGACGAACTTGTCCATGGTTCCAAGGTGCAGAACCAGGGTTAGACCTAGACCGTGAGGCTCTTGCATCTGTAGTCTTGCTTAGAGCACTACTTGCAAAGAAGCCTTGGGTAACTTCCCTATACCTCCATTTCATCATCTCGAAAATCTAGATGATGATGATACCAGCTAGGATCCTCAGGAAAGTTCCCTGAACTTCATTAAGGGCTTAGAATGATGCCTGGTGCATCCTCAGTACAGAGTAAATGCAGTGGCTTCAATAAGAAATACAAGTACACAGGTGGCCAACAATTCAAGCTATTAGATGCAGAAGGCCAAGGAGGTGATCCAGCTCTTTCATTATGGGGAATCAGAGCATGCAGATCAGCAGGGGCTGGGTTATGAGAGATGAGGAGTGGGCTGATCCAAATGAGAGGTCAGCTTGAGCAGAGGGGAGGATGTGGGAAGGCAGAGAGTGTGGAAGCCATGTGTTGGGAGCAGGGTCTGAGAACATCAGGTTGGGGACAGCCCACGAGGGACCTTCATTAGCAGTGTGGATTTTCACCTGCACTCTGTCGGCAAGCACTGAAGGTTGTCATTAGCACACTGGCTGTCACAGACCAGAGGGGCTTCCCATTCAGTCAAATCTTGCTGCCCATCCCCAGTGAACGGAGCAGTAGGCAGTGAGGCGGGACCGGCAGGGCGTACAAGATGCTCGCCCATTCCCTCCATTTGAATTGGGCTTGGGACATCCCAAGGGGCTGCTGCCTGGGCCCTGAACACATCTAAGGGCTATGGGTTTATGGTCTTTCAGCTGCTGTTTATGTCACAAATGCCTGTCACAGAAGGGGCATTAAAAATAACCGAATGGCTAATACCATTTCTCAAAATAACTACTTGCAAAGTGCTTTGCTGGGGCAAATGGCTACTAAAATTAGACTCCCTGGTGGTATATGTAGGGTGTGTGTGTGTGTGTGTGTGTGTGTGTGTGTGTGTGTGTATGACTTCTAAACCCATTTCCCCCCAGGGTGAGGCCCACAGTTTGCACCCTTTTGTTCTGTGGTCCCTTCTGTCATAGCTGGGTGTCCCAGAACAGTGTTCACCCAGTCACCCCAAGATGCCCTCTTTCATCCTGCAGTCCTCAGCAAATTGGAGCCACTGCCCTACATTGCCCTGTTGTCCTGCTCTAAGGAGCAGAATTTTGAAGAATCTTGGAGGGCGGGGTGGCCTCATTGTAGCAGTGGCCTAATTCCTTGGTGTGCCAGGTAATAATAGCACGCCGTGGGGGGAATCTCACTCAGCATGCTGTCCGAGGGGAAACTGGGCCATGGAACAATGTGGCAGCCCCACTCAAGGTGACCTAGTAACTGAGGGCACGGACACACGATTTTCCAGGCCCCAGTTCCAGATCCAGGCTCTAGAACTCTTCAGTGGTCTCCTGGGCCAGTCCTTTGGGCCACCAGGCAACCAGGTCACTCAAATCCAATCAACTCTCCATCCACTAATAATACAAAAGGAAATGTGGGATCTTAAGAGCAAGTTAAGAAAACAAAGTGAATCAGCACTGTGGGGGATTTTGGATTCAGGACAAACAAAACCTGAGAGCCAGCGTTGGTTTTCTTTTAGATAATGACTTGCACGGAAAGAGGTGGACCTCAGTGTCTCCATCTTTGAAATGGGGGAACACTGAGTTATTTAGCAACCATTTATTGAGGGAGTGCCTGATGTGGGCCTGGCTCCTACAGTAGGGCTGATTAGGGCTCCTACAGTAGGCCCTGGAGTTACAAAGAGTGGTTCAAGGTAAAAGCAAGGTCAAGATACATTTACAAGCCAGTGTGTTGTCTGTACGTGGCAGCCCTATAAGGACTGGGGTTCTGTGTGGTCCTAGAGATTTCGGTCCTGGAGATGAAAGACTGTGAGTATTTACCTGGAATGGAGGCCCAGGGAGGAATGAATTTCCCTACTCCTGTGAGAGCTGTATGTAAATAGACTGTTTCTGTGTTGGAAAGAGCACAGGCAGAGTCTGTGACTTTAGGCAAACTGCCTAATTTCTTTTCAACTGCTAAATGTGAATAAGCACAGCACCAACCTCCTAGGTCTATTGTGAAGATTAAATGACATAACCTAGTGTGGTCTTAGCGTGTTGTAGGCACTCTACACACTCTATCGTTAGTAGTAGTCATATTAATATTAAACTAGCAAAAACTGTTTGCCCAAGAAGTTCCAGTAAATCATTCCCTTCAATCAGGGTGATGATAATTTTATTTTTTAGTATTATTAAGTCATTGCTGTCTGTAAGGCCATCAAAGAGCTGGAGCCACTTGCTGGAATCAGGCTAGGTCAATTTCTGAATGCTGGAATGAGGTTGAGGGGAGTGAGGTAGAGGATACATTTTTAAAAAGTTTACATGTAATCAAACCCTGGTCATTCACATCTCCTGTTAGATTCATTATGGGAGTTGGATATTTAAGAGGAATCTTTGCCACAAATTCATGTGTAAACCCAATAATTCTCGACTGTTAAAAGTGGTGGGAGCCCTAGATATTAGGATATAGGGTCATTTAACCCCGTGGTTCTCAACCAGGCATGATTTTGCCTCCCATGAGACATTGGCAAATTGGGGTGGGTGCTGCTGGCATCCGGTGCGTAGCGGCCAGGGACACTGCTCATCTTATAATACACAGGATAACCCTCCTCAATAAAGAGTAATCTGGACCAAAATGTCAACAGTGCCGGGGTTGAGAAACTCTGTCCTAACCTGAAGATGAGACAACTGACCACCAGGAAGGGGGAGTGACTTGCTGAGGTTAGGCAGCACAGCTGCACCAGAGCTGGGATCCAAAGTTTGAATCAATTGACCAGAGGCCAGAGGCCAGACAGAACCTTGATACTGTCATCTCACCTGTGAAGTAAATTATCAACCTCACCCATGTGAATGAGGCCTTACTCTATAGTATTTTCAAGGCTCTTTCTCTTGTGATATTAAGCTCTGCTTTGGAAAAACCAGGTTTTCCTATTCTGGGCTTGCTGATAGAGTAAGGATGGTAGATTCAGCAAATGAAAATAAGGTTGTCCAGGCCAGGCGCGGTGGCTCACGCCTGTAATCCCAGCACTTTGGGAGGCTGAGGCAGGCGGATCACCTGAGGTCAGGAGTTCGAGGTCAACCTGGTCAATGTGGTGAAACCCTGTCTCTACTAAAAATACAAACAAAATTAGCCGGGTATGGTAGCGGGTGCCTGTAATTCCAGCTACCAGGGAGACTAAGGCAGGAGAATTGCTTGAACCTGGGAGGCAGAGGTTGCAGTCAGCCAAGATCGTGCCACTCCACTCCAGCCTGGGCGACAAGAGTGAGACTCCATCTCAAAAAAAATAAATAAATAATAAAAAATAAATAAATAAAAAGAAAATAAGGTTGTCCAGTTACATTTGAATTTCAGATAAGCAAGATAGGTTTTTGGTTTTTAGTTTTTAGTTTAAGTATGCCCTATGCAATATTTGAGACATACTTATGCTAAAAAATTATTTCTTGTTTATTCTGAATTTCAAATGTAACTGGCACCCTATCTTTTGTCTGTCAGCCCTGTGAGCTCTACCCATCGCCCTGAGATCACAGGTAGGCCCTGGGGTCATCTACCCCTGTCTGAGGCTCCTGCAACCCTTATGACCCCCTCTGCCTAGAGGGGGAAGATGGGAAGGGGCAGGTGGGCCTTGAGTGGAGCAGGCATTCCTAGCTCCTGGCCTGTGGGTGCCTGGGAAGAGCCGGCTAGCCACACTGGGCTAAAGGGCCTGTAAGTTGAGAGGTTGGCCAAACTGTCCCTTTTTATAACAGGAGAATGGTTTAAATGAAGTGTCAGCAGGTGACCTATGGCCCTGGAAAACCAAGTCTGGAGAAGTTGTGGCAACTTTGCCCCTGATTGGGGAACAGAGTGTCCTCTGCACTTCTACTGGTTTCCAGAGAACATGGCTGCCCTGGCTGAGGAGCACTTGGACATGGTACCTTCCAGGGCTGAGGTGCTGTCTCCTCGTCACCCCTGGGCTCTGGGCCTGCCCCAGGGGCCAGAGTTGGGCGGTTGTTCCTAATACAGGGGGAAATGATGGGCAGGGCTGTGCACCCACAGAGCTGCTGCTGAGCCGGCAGCTCAGCCTTTTTGTTTAGAAGAGGCCTAGATGTGGAGCCTATCAACAGATCAGAAGGGGATGCTGGCTCAGCTGCTCCCTCACCTTGCCTTATCCCACACCCCTTTCACCTTTGCTTCCTTACCAGCCCAGACACCAGGCTCCAAACCAGTCAGTGCTCAGGGTCCGGCAGCCAATGGCACAAGGTGGGTGGCCCACTGCCCTGCCCCATTCCCTCCGCCTCCCAATCCATGGTCCAGGCTGTTGCTCCCAGGTGTCAGGATGCCATCCCCCTTCCCCAGAGCAGCTTCCTGCTAGGAAATCTCATCCTCACAGCTCCTCCTAAAGGGCAGTCAGCTGGCCACAGCCACAACTTGGTGGCCTTTCTTCCTGTTGGCTCAGAACAGCCTTTGAGGGTCTTTGGGAGTAACTGCTTAGGGACTCACCATGTTGTCTGCCATCTTGTCGACATCGTTGGGCCACCTAATGACCAGGGCTGGCTCCACCTGGCCTTTGCTGCATGGGTGCTTATTAATAGGCATATATTGAATGAATATATGCCTATATTCACAGAGTTGAGGACAGTTAACCCATATTGCAGAAGGTGTCTGATGATAAAGGCTGAATGAAGTCATTGGTTCTCAAACTTGAGTGGGCATTAGCATCACCTGGATGGCCTTGTTAAAACGCACAGTACCAGCCCAACCTGGGGACTCCTGACTTTGTAGTTCTGGGGTAGGGACAACTTTGCATTTCTTACACATCCCCAGGTGATGTTGCAGGTCCAGGGCCATCTCTGAGGACCACTGGCTTAAGCTGGTGCCCTTCTCAAAATGTCTTGCATTTCCATTTTACTTTTATTAAAATATTCCTTAATTAACAATTTTTAAAAATCTTCATTGACTACTTACTCTGTCCCATGCACGAAATTTTGGGGATAAAAAGAGAAAAATTGCCTCAAGGAACTCACAGTACAGTGAGAGAATTGCCCATGACAAACAATGACCATTTAATCTAATTACTTTTATTGGGATATTGTGTTGAAGGTGCAATGGGGGTGTGGTAAGGGGAATGTGCAGTGTTGTTGGGGGTATCCCTTTGAGGGCAAGTGTGATAGTGTCTCTCTCTCTCTTTTGTATTGCACTTCTCTCTCTTTCTGTGTATTGCACCAAAAGTATATACTTTTTGAAGAAGTATACACTTCTTTTTGTGTATTACACTTCTGTGTGGCTTGTTTTCCCCAGTTGACTTGCGAGATTTCTAAGGGGAGAGGCTGAGGTGAATCTTGGTCTTCTTCATTTAAGTGTGTTCCAGTTGACATACCAGGCAACCAAAAAAAAATGTATTACCTACAGAAAAGAAGTTCATATCAAAGAAGTGAATGCCTAATGGTGGAATTTCAGGGCCAAGTCTGTGTGGGGGTTTACTCATCTAGATTCTACTATATGTGTTGAGTTCTAGGGCTGAGCTGGATGGAGAGAAAGTTAGGCAGGACGGTACCTTTCCTGGTTCCTACCATCAACATCGCTGACTGAGTTTATGGGGAACACTGCTGGTATTTCATCCTGCAGGGATTCTTGAAACCTGCCATGAGCTAAGACAGCTCATTTTCAAGAGCTTTAAGTGGTCCTGAGCGGATGCTTAGCTGGGGACTTGTCATGGCCTGAGGTGACATACCCTTTCTGCAGAGGGAGAAGGCCTCTGAACCTTTCTTTCTTCAGAACCTGGGGGACTAGGGAGGAAGGGAAACCCCTCCATGACTTGCCTGCTTGGGGCTAGGAGCTGGAAATGGAGACAGAGGAAGCTGCTTCTTATTATGCACAGGGCCAGGAGAAACCCTTGGGCTTTGCCCGGGGCCAGGGCTGGCTTCCCTGTGACTTTCTCTCCACACACCCTCTCATCCTCCCTGGCTTCAGGAGTGACAGATAGAAGCAGAACTAAGCCGGCTGTACCCATCATTAATAACAGAAATATTCAGGATAGCTCATTCTCATGGAGAGCTCACTGTTCTTTGAAAATACCTTAGATTCACGAACAGATTGAAAAGGGTCAAGAGAGGTTAAGAACAGCCAATATTTATAGAGCTTGTGCTCTCAGCCACAATTTCAAAGTGTTCTGTGTGCATTACTTCATTGAATCTTTAGAACAACCCTGGAAAGTGGGGTATAATTGGCTCCATTTTAAAGAAAACAATACCTCAGCTATGCAGTTTGAGTAATGGTCCCGAGATCACTCCAAAAGGAAAAGTGTAGCACCAGATTTGGAATCAAACAGGAAGACTCCAGAGCCTAAGTTCATTCTCTGCGGTCCTGCTCTACTTGGTGGTGGGGAAGGGGAGGGAGGAGATGAGGTGAGGTTGAGGAAAGAATACTTCAGTGTGTGCTTAATCTGCCTCCTCCTGCACCCTGCCCTCCTCCTGAAGGTCTGTCCTGGCCACGGCAGCCTACATTATGTCCTCTTTCCAGCTTCTGTTTTGACCTGGTATTGACATTTGACTTGGCATGGCTTATCATTATCTCTATCTTGTTAGGATTGCAACACCCTAGTGAGCAGGGAATGGCCTCCAGCTCCCTCAGGCTCTCCTAGGATACCTTACAGCAGAGGTCAGGGTAGGGCTGATAAACACTTATAGTTGCCCAGAGCCCGGTACCTGGTCCACAGCTAGGGTGACCAAACATTCTAGTGTGTTTCAGTTTTGGCACTAAACTCTGGCATTCTGGGAGGCCCCACAATACTGGTTGGTCACCCTATATCTCATTTGACAAGCAAGGACATTGGTCCTTGGGGGACACAGTGTGGTCCCAGTCTCACCCATGGTTATTGGTGGAGGCTGATCCCAAGGCCTGCTCTCTGACCCTGATCCAGTTCCCTCTCCTCCTGCTGCTTTAGAAGTGAGGGCTCAGTCTCCTGCTCTTGCTTGTTAGGTCAAAAGCTTTTAGAGACAGCCACTGTCTTCTCTATGGGCTCTGAGATGCTTCTTATTCTCTTTTGGAGAAAAGACCCCCACAGTCAAGAAGCTTTGGCTGAGCCATCCTTACTTACAGAGCTTGTGCTGGGCAAGTCTTGGAGGGTCAGCCTGTGTTCTCTAGGGGCTTGCTAACAGAAAGGAAACGGCTTTTCCTCGAACCACAGAGCACAGCAACTCTTCAGACACGCTCGGTCAGCCTGCAGGGGCAGGGGGTGGTTGCCAAATTCTAATGATCAGAAATTAGAAACGGGAACAGTGAATTCTAGACCAGCAGCCTCCAAAGTGGGATGCACAAAACTATCCTTTGGAATAGGGGAAGAAAATGTTAAGACATCTATTTCTATTTACGTTTATCACTCTTTAAAATGATTACATCTGTGTGCACTTTATTGCGTATGTAATATGAGCACCATATGGTGCATGATGGGCATACAAATACACACGTGGGAGTGGACACTGATGGGGGTTGCTCATTCAGAAGTGCTCCCTATGTCTCCACAGCTGTATTTTAATGATCATGAGGTGGGCTGGCTGGAAGATGGTCACTTTCAGCAGAGGAGGTTCAGAAGAAGGAGAGAGTGAGTCTTAGAGTAAATTGGCTTAGAACATCCCTTAGTTGATGTTTAATGCAGATGATGCTTAAGTGTTTCTGGATGGTGTGTGATTTCTTGGAGCGATTTTGTGCATCAGGAAGTGAACTTCCTGCAGCCACATTTTGCACATCTTGTTCCATTACTTGTCTAACAGGATGCTCACATTAGCTTGTGGGTGACAAGAGGCAGGCTAGACAGAGCAGAGGTTCTCAAAGTGGAGTTTTCATATCAGCAGTAAGAGCCTCACTTGGGAAGTTGTTGGCGATGCAGATTCTTAGGCTTGCTTTCAGCCCCACTGACTTAGCGACTCTTTGGGTGGGGCCCAGCATGTCTTGTTTGGACCATTTGTCCAGGTGATGCTGATGATAGGCAAGATTGAGAACCATGGAGATACACAGGCAGGGGCACACAGTTTGAATCCTGGTTCTGCTCCTGCTGCTTCTGTGGCCTGGGACAAGTGACTGATGGCCCAGAGCCTTGATTTCCCCATCTGACAAATGAGAGTGATAACACCTCTCTCCTGGCATTAGTATGAGGATTAAAATAGGAGACAACTGATGTAAAGTGCTTAGCACTGTGCAGAGCACAAGGAGTTACTGCATATCTAGCCTCAGTTGTGATTTTTACCATTAATTGGATTATGATGGGGGACGGCAACTTCTATAAGGAGGTGGCACAGAAATGTCTGATTTCTCCTTCCTTCTTTCAGTAGCTCTGTGACCTTGGGCACATCATTTTCCTTGCCTATAAGATGTAGATAACGACACCCACGTAACGGGATAAGTGAATGGAGGTGCCTGCAGTGCTTTGCACTTTGTAAAACACCAACTGAATAGGAGAAGTTTCTAGAGAGCTCTTTACTGAGGCTGCTTCTACTTTGTCCTTTCTGGAAAATACTTCCCCTCTGCCCAAATAGTAAATGAGAGAGGAGAAAAAAGCCAGAAATCCCACGGTGCCAGACTTGCAGGCACAAAGAGCCTTTGCACCGTAGGTGACTTTGTTTCCTGAGTGCCATTTTTGGCCCCTCCCACCCTGGTCCTCCTAGATCCTGGCCTCAGCTTACTTCCCCTGTGGTTCCATGTTGATTCCTTATTAAAATGTCACCTGCAAGTCATGAAAACTCAGTGTGGTTTCCTGAAAGAGGAGGGGCAGTGATTGTCCAGAGTGTTCTTTTGTCACGATGAGAATTGCTTGGGCGACAGTGTCAAGACAGCAAATAAATTGCCTCCTCCCCTTCAATGTCTCAGTGCTGTTTTTGCAGCATGAATGGTTCCAGTGTGGAGATAATCCTTGCTCATCTTTTCACCAGGTTCTTGAATGTGGAAAATGGGCAAACAGTTCTCCCTCACCACACACTCCTGTTATTTCCAGTGTCCCGTGGCCATACACCCATCAGCAGAGAGGCCTGGAGTGGCAAGCAGGGGTGGCTGGAAGTCTGCTCTCTTCTCATGAGAGTACTGAGGGCCCAGTGAGGTGTCTGTAGAGCAAGATAGAGCCAGGTGATCGGGGAAGAGAGCCCTCCACCCCAGTTTTCCCAGGAGGCGACAGGCCCCATCTCTGGGGGGAGTGGCGCATGCCTTTCTCCTCGTCACCTGCCCCGATGAGCCCCACATGGATGAAGTGAGAGCCTGTGTCACCACCCCGGCTCCTCAGGAGGCTGGTGATGAATAGGGATGGCAGGAAAAAGGAGCTGGGCTCTGCTGTGACATGTCTCTATTTTTCCAGAAAACTGCCGGATGTCCTTCCCTTGTAAAAGTTGAAGAGAACAGAGGAGAGGAGAAGGGTCGGAGCAGAGAGATTTCTGATATGCTGTTAGTGGCGCTGCCAATTAAAAAGAAATTAAAACAGAAATCTCCGTGGGCTGCTGGAGTGAAAAAGTCTCCTCTCCTGGCCCCTCTAAACCCTTGAACAAATTAATTGGTTGGATGTTGACTGGGTACCAGTGAAATTCTTAGATATTAGGTCTTGTTCTATGGTAGGCACAGAAGAACAAGGGGTGTGTGTGTGTGTGTGTGTGTGTGTGTGTGTGTGTGTGTGTGTGTGTGTATGTGAGAGAGAGAGAGAGAAGAGAGGAAGGATGGGGGAGAGAAGAAGGGAAGGAGGGAGAAAGGGAAGGAGGAAAGGAGGGAAGGAGAGCAAGAGAGAGACTTGGGGGCATCGGGGTGGGTTGGAGCAGTTCAGGGATTGAAATCATGCTGCATGACATTTGGGCATTTTGGGGTAGCTGAGACAAAAACTGCTGGAATTTCATTTTGAAGATAAGAAAAGGACTAGGAAAGAGAGCTTCTTTAGGCCAGAGGAGAACAGATTGAGGCTGTGAAGGACTCTTGGCTCCCAGCTCTTCTTGTTCTCTGTGGACTTTCAAGCTTCTGCAGGGAGACAGTGAACTGGGAGGAATATGTAGTGACTGTGAAGGTTACATGTGGCTGGAAGGGGCAGGCAAAAGGTCCCAAATGGCCCTGTGGTGCTTTAGTTGGCAGAGAGATGGACAAGTTGATCCTGCCCTTATGCCGTCTCATGCATTTGTCCAAAAGCTTTGTTTCTGCTGCGTGGTCAGAGACAGAAGGAGGAGGCTGCCTCCCCTTCCTGGGACCTGGATGTTTTGGTTCATCTGGGTTCCTTTCTGATTTTGTGATGCCCTAAGCCTCCTGTCCCCACAGCCCTTCTTTCCTTTTTGTAGATTCTCTTGCAAACTTACAAAGTGTCTGTAACCTTTGGCCCTGGGACCCAGCATGAGCAGCTTACTGGAGTCAGGACAGATGCACGTGGGTGCTGAGCAGAGCCCTGTGGAGCCTCGGCCTCTGGCCTCCTTGGCCAGCTGCTGCCCTGTCCCAGGGACAGTGTGGCTTCCCAGGGAGCACTTCACTCCAATCTCTGAGCCATAAAAAATTAAACTACAGGGCTATCAAATATTTAATCTGCCTGAATAATGAACATGGGCAGATTCTTATGAATTCTTTGCTTTGATTAAATAAAATTGAAGGATGGGAACTGTCTGCTTGGCACGTTAGCTGAAGGCAATGCAGGGTAGGCACTTTGTGCCAGGGATCTGGCCCTGAGTCTGGAAGAACCATTTGGTTCATGTTTCCTCACCCACTGTCTATACTTCAGTTGTGGATAGCCCTCTGGTCTTTATTCTTCTTACCTGTAAAATGGGGATAATAATGATAATACTACCTCACTTACAAGATTAACGTATGAGATTTATATCAAAAGCCTAGTACCTGGCACCTGTTAGTTTCTTTCTTTTTTTTTTTTTTTTTGAGACAGAGTCTCTCTCTGTTGCCCAGGCTACAGTGCAGTGGTGCGATCTCGGCTCACTGCAAGCTCTGCCTCCAGGGTTCACGCCATTCTCCTGTCTCAGCCTCCCAAGTAGCTGGGACTACAGGGGCCTGCCACCATGCCCAGCTAATTTTTCTATATTTTTAGTAGAGATGGGCTTTCACTGTGTTCACCAGGATGGTCTCGATCTCCTGACCTTGTGATCCGCCCGTCTCGGCCTCCCAAAGTGCTGGGATTATAGGCGTGAGCCATCGTGCCTGGCCAGGCACCTGTTAGTTTCTAAACAATTGTTAATATCATTCATTACTTTATTTCTAAAACAGCATGATTGAATTGAGCATTTCCTTGGACTTGGAAAGGTATGATTTTGGAGGAGGGTGAACCTGTGTAGGCTGTTGCAGGGAGTTCCTTGACATTATCAACTGACCAGTCCATCAACAAATTTATTTGTTCATTTATTTATTAATTCAAGGATGTTGGGTCCATTTTTCAGTTAGACTCTGGAAAGATAAGTGATTGGTCCTATCCCTTAAGGGAAATATGCTTTCATTGGAGAAATAACATGTACACGCTGTGTGTATGTGTGTGTGTGCACGCGTGTGTATGTGCATACACATGTGTATCTTTTTTTTTTTTTTGAGATGGAGTCTCACTCTGTTGCCCAGGCTGGAGTGCAGTGGCATGATCTCAGCTCACTGGAACCTCCCCCTTCCAGGTTCGAGATTCTCCTGCCTTAGCCTCCCAAGTAGCTGGGATTACAGGCGCCCGCCACTACCTCCGGCTATTTTTTTTTTTTTTTTGTATTTTTAGTAGAGACAGGATTTCACCATGTTGGCCAGGCTGGTCTCGAACTCCTGACCTCAGGTGATCTGCCCACCTCCGCCTCCCAAAGTGCTGGGATTACAGGTGTGAGCCACCGTGCCCGGCTGCACGTGTGTGTCTTTATGTGTTCACCCTATGGGGAGAGAAAAGGTTCATGAAAGTTGAGATTACTGTGGGTAGGGTTGTCAGGGAGGGCTTTGCCGGGAGGGGGAAGCTGCGCTAGGCAAGCTGTGGCTCCAGAGTCTTGGAGGCGCCTGTAACAGTCCCTGCGGTTTCAAAAGAATTCAGAGAGGGGAGCCATAGCCTGGTCTCCAAATGTGCAGCACCTTCTGGGCAAGCTTAGACTTAAAGGATATCATTGTAGATAATGATTTGCTTATTTCTTGCTCTAGGATATGGGGACTGTTTCTTTTTTTCTGGGATGCTTTAATAGGATAGTAAAAGTAAACGTGTCCCTGTCTGATGGCCCTTGGCTCAGCTGGAAGAAGATCAGCTCTGCTGCAATTTAGGAAGAGATAACTGGGGTCCATCACGTGGCTGGTTCAGACCAGGGTTTTATGACTGGGATTTGCCTGCTGGAGCCCTGGGTCACTGTGCCAGACTCAACCACAGGTCACAATCTGGAACTGGATCCTTGCTGCCAGATGGGAGGCGGGCAGGGCCAGCCCTATGCTGTCATTGGCCTGTAGCCAGCTCAGGTCTGGTGGCAAGTGAAGGACACATCCTGATGTCTGAGTGCCCTGCAATTTATTGGCTTGTGGTTTAGGGGTGTGGGGGACAAACACCAATGCCACAGTTGACATATATGGGCGTCGTATTTGGTGGGGTCAAGAGTCCGGAGGGAGGCGCATCCAGCTTCTGTCTTGGCTGCAGGCCAGGTCTGCCCATGAGACGGTTCTCCTCCTTAACCTATTCAATCCAATAATCGATGAGCAGGTATTTTCTGAGATCTGAAGTGTCAAGTACTGAAGACATCACCAGGCTTGGCTCCGTGGGACACACAAGGAATTATAAAGCAGGACCCCCTCATCCCCCTCAGGAGCTAACAGTCCAATTGAGGGAAGCAAGAGAGACAGACGCACGTGAAAGGTTAAACAACTTGTCCTAGCCTGAAAGACAAGACCCGTGGGAAACAATTCAGGAAATGTCACCAGGCAGCATCTTCTTAGTGCTGCAAAGATCTGGAGGAACGAATGACCAGCCGGGGCACAGGGGCGAGGGCTTAGGCTTCTGGGGTCCGGTTACAAACTGTGACACCTTGGCCACCTGGGTTTACCTGTGTGAGTCCTGGTCTCTATATCCCTCAGATGGGCACAGTAAGACCTGCCTCAGAGACATGGGGAGGATTTAATGAGACAATGTGTATAGCACATTGCCTGACGAAGGGGAAAAACCTCACTGTGATAGTTAATTTATTGTCATTGGCTGCAGGGGCCAGAGAGTCTTTGGGGAGGCTCTGCTGGTAAAGGCTGAGCCTAGCCTTGTATTGCTCATCTTTTGGATAAGGTAAGGATGGAACCTTTGTGAAGAGGAAGACTGGACACCTCCTGCCCCCTCCCACTGTGGTTTGAGTGGATTTTATCCCGCATCTGTTGTTTGCCTGGCATTGGATGGCCCTCCACACCAGAGAGCTAATGCCTGCCTTCATCACTAGTGTCTCTGTCTCTTTGTTTCATCAGCTTCTTTATGTGAAAAGAGAGAAATGATCTCTGTCTCTTTCCAAATCCCAGCAAGGCTGAATAATATCTGTGGATATTCTTTTCTATTTCTTAATACCCTCGCATTGCTTATGAAAATCCTATGGGCACATTGTAAATTATCTGCAAAAAACAGCAGAGTGCAAAGAAGCAGAAATAAAACCTCCCATAATCACAACAGAAACATCTACTACTGTTCATGATTCGTTTTATTTTCCCCCAAATATATTACTGTGCATTTTTCTTTATAATGCCGAGATCCTAGAATATGTGCGATTTAGTGTTCTGCTTTTCTTCTTAACATTACGTTATCAGCATTTCCAAGTGACACTGGGACTCTATAAACATATTTTAAATGACTATATCTTATATGGATGCTCACTCCTTTTCCTTATATTTGCTCTTTACTTTTTCCTCTTTTTTGCTATTATAAATAGCATTGTACTGAAATCCTTCTGCAGGGTTATGTACATTACCTCATTGGTTTATTTATTTAACAGACTTTGAGTATCTACAATGTGCAATACAATGTGCTTTTAGTTCTGAGAGGAAACCATCTGAAATAGCAAAAAGAGACATAAATGAAATACCTCACATGTAGAGTTTTGTGATACTCTTTTTTATAGTAAGTATACCTGGCTTGGAGTAACACTGTGGGCCGGTTAATTGTTCTGGGCCTGAATTTCTGCATCTTTAGTCACTAGATGGTTTCTAAGCTGCCTCTTGTCTCCAGCACTCTGTGGTCCTGACTGCAAATGTAAGAATCACCGTAGCATTCATCTATCCTTGTGACTCACTAGGGCTGTTTGTGTTTGGAGCATTCCTGGTGCACAGATGATGTGTTGATGGACTTGGACACAGTCTGTTCTCTTCCCCTCTCAGTCATGAGCAGAGCGTTCATCTGCTCAGTGCTTCTTTTTAATAAGTAGTTCAGGGGTTGACTGCAGCTCAGCTCTGTTGGGAATTAACACAGACATAATAGACTTTTATAAAAGTGTGAGCAGAGCAACTAAGCCAGTACAGACTCTTTGCCACATCCTGACATGCTAAGAGAGAGGTCCCCTTTAAAACGCAAGCAGGGTAAATATTAGAAAAATGGCAAGAATTCATAGAGCATAAAGCTCATAATAAACTCAGAGAATGCATTGTCCTGAGAAGTGGTAAAGGAAGGAAGTGGAATAGACTTCAACAAAATGGCATAGAATTAACGGCAGAGGGTATCATGTACCTGCAGGGTATTTGAACCGGGTGATTTTGTGTGGCAGTGCCCGGGATCCACAGACCCTAATGACACCCAAATTTGTGAGGCATTCTTCTCAGTTTATAAAGAACATGACTGAGACCACCTAGCACATTTAACCGGGTCTGAAGGACCAGCTAATTTCCTAAAAATAGCAGTTTCTTGCTGGGCATATGTCTTAGGCTTTGCTGGCTCTAAGAACTTAATATTAACAATTCACACAGAAGGAATCGTGTTCAGGGCATTGACCAATACTCAGCTCACCTTTGAATGGCCAGAGGACACAGCTCTAAAGAAAGGTGTGCAACAAGGAGTGTGGTTGAGTGGGCATGTTATCTTCCTAGGTCACAAGTAACAAAGTGCCACTCCCCAACTCCATATTCATAACAGACATCCATAATCTATCAGGATGTTCTTTCTAGCCAAGCCAAGATGCAACTTCAGGATCTTTTTTAACACAGTGCTCCAGGCAGCCACTACCACACAGATGGGGTTCATTTGCTCCTGGAATAAAACCTTGTCATCCCTAGACATAGAGGCAGTCTTTCCCCTGTGAGCCACAGCATATGAGAAAATGTCACCATCTAGAAGGTTCCTTGGTAAGCACAGACATATGGTGGCCTGATAAATTGCCTTTCTCTACCCTTGGGATCTTTGTCCAAGGAACTAGGTGCCATCTTGAGTCAGACTGGCAAGTGTGGGAAAATAGAATTCTTATTCCTATCAGCCAACAGAATCTTCAGTGTTTCGTGTTATGATAAGGAGTTACACTGCAGACATTTCTCAGAGGGTCTGTTCCTGTGTTTTATCATGTTTTCCATGGCAACCCCTGTGGGATCCACGAAGTTGGTATTATCTCCATGGCACAGATGATGGAGGCCCAAGGAAGACAAATGACCGGCAGGAGGCAAGTCATGCAGCTAAGAGCTTTTCCTGGAATCCAGGTGTCCTGCCTTCAGATGCCAGTTCTCTTGCTGGTTTTCGTTTTTGTTTTTCTAAAAATGTTTTCACCTGTCAAGTATGTGCTACTATGAATTCTGGGAGGGTAGGGTCGTGTCTTATTTATTTCTGTGTTTTTGACTGCTTTTCCTCTCCAATCTCAAGTGCTGTGACTAACACATAGGAAGTACTCAAGAAAATATTTATGGCATATAAGTCAGTAGAAAATCCATTCATTCATTCATTCATGGAAGAAACAAGGAGGTGCCCCGACCTCTTTTGCATGCTGGCCTTTCCAAGTCTGCACTGGGATTGTGCCCTGAGCTTTCATCATAAGAGCAGGGTTCTGGCTGTGAGGCTTACCTGGGCACATGCACCTGAGCAGCAGACGATGACATTATCAGTCCACTGGAGACATTTTCTTCCTCATAAAAAGGCTAGTCATTAAATCCTTATTTGCAGCCTGTGACAGCAGGAGCCAAAAGCCTCTGACCCGCTCAGGACCTGGGGTTAGAGCTGCATGGACCCTGAAGAGAGGGATCCCTGTGCTAAGGCCTTCGGACAGTGGCCCTGACCGAGCAGCAGAGGGAAGAGGGCTTAGGGAGCGGGAAGCACCAATGCTGGGCTTGCAAAGGGCAGAGCAGCAGGAGAGAGGCTGGCATAGGAGGGAGGAGGGCTCACAGGAGTGGGAGGTGGATTGGATTTAGGGCCATCAGGAGGGGTGGGAGGCCAAACAGCTCAGCTCCCCAGTCCCTTTCTGGGGCCATCTTTGTTTTCTGATTTATAATGTGTCCCCTTTGCGGATGGCCTTTTGACATGTGCTAATTATAAATTGTCCTTTGGTGCATTCCGAGAGTTCTAATAATTAGAATTTCTAATTCCAGTCCTCTGAGCTGCTCCCAGCAGCCTCATCCTGTGAGAGGAGCTTGACTCATTTGCTCTCCTGCTCAAAGTCGCTGGAGGAGGCCAGCACCGTGCGGCCTGGAGGAAGTATCCAGGTTTGGGGGTACGGGTGGAACTTCTTTCTGCAACCCAATACAGATAACCCAGAAGACCCTTCTCTTTGTGGTTGTGGTTTGTGTTGAAGAGGAAGATTTTGAAGTCAAATTGACAGGGCAGGATGGTCTATGAAAAAGAACCCTGGACTCTGGTTTTAGTCCAGCCAGAGCCTCACTGTGAGACCCTGAGCAAGGAGATCTTTAGACCTCAGTTTCCTTGGCATAAATCCAAAGGAATCAGATCTGTGATTGCCAAGGGCCCTTCCAGTTCTGAGATTATTTGAATCTGTGAAATGTGCATATGGCGTGTTCTGGGTGGAAGTCCTCAGGTCATGTTTTGACCCTGCTTGTACTGGCTACAGGACTTTGTTTGCAGGCCATGTGATAACAAGATATTAAGTGACTTTGTTAAAGGTCAAAGTAAGAACCCAAGCCTTGTGCTTTTTTTTACACTGCCTTATTTTCATCATTAATCTCCCCTTGCCTTGGTTTCTTCATCTGTAAAATGGGAATAATAATACCTGGGAGATTGTATTGGTGAAAGCTCTATGTAAAATGCAGACCACTAAGCGTGTGTAAGGATCTTAATTTCACTTCTAGCCTTTGGGAGATGCAAGTTACGATTTCTCCCCTGCCTCCTTCAGCACGAAACCACAATCCTAAAGCATCTTTAGGACTGTATAGTAATGTGGCACCTAGGTTTGTGGTGGGGAGAAGACAGGCACTCCGGCCCCAACTCTGAAGACCCACCTTGCCTTGCCCAGGGAGTTGCCCCTTGGGGAATCTGATAAATGTAGATGTCAGTCTTGAGAAGCCACTGGGCACCCACCTGTCCTTGTCCTCTTTCGTAATGGTGAGCATGCTTGGCATAGTGTAGACTTTCACTGGTACACAACACGTGCACTCCTATTATCTCATTTACAGATGCCCGGGAGGGGGACAAGTTGAGGCACTTAGCAAATAGAGCAGCTGGGACAGGAACGAAAGCTCCTAGCTCCAGGAAAGAGTCAAGCAGCCTCCTGACATCACCCACACCTCTGTGTGCTCCTTCTGCAGTTGTCCCACTCTGTCCTCCAGGGCTTCTCCCTTCTAGGCTCATGATCTGAGGCTGCCCCTTGCTACCCAGGGGCAAAATTGTTAGTCCTGGAAGGCTCTTTAAAGGTCATTGTGGGCCAGGTGTTTCAGTTAACTGATGATAGGATGGGGGCCAACATAATTGAATAGTTCCCAAGACTGAGCAGCTTGCTCAGGTAGCCTGGCTAAACCCACCAGCTCTCCCGGCCAGGCCAATGTCCTTTCTCTGACACCCTATTGCTTTTCTTTCCTTACATTCTCTCAGGGAGTCATATACAATGACAGAGAAGTCCAGGGCTCTGTGTTGTTTGGCTGTCCAGTCTTTGGGAGAGAGAGAAAAAAAAAAGAATGTGGAACCTCCAGACAGGGCACACCCTACCGCGCCCCATGTGAGTTTCCTGAGGTGCTGTAACAAAGGACCATCGCCTGGGTGGCTCACACAACCGACAGTTACCTTCTCACCCTGCTAGAGGCTGTAAGTCTGAGGTCAAGGTGCCAGCAGGATTGGTTTCCTCCGAGGCCTCTCTCCTTGGCTCTTGTAGATGGCCGCCTTGTTTTCCCTGTATCTTCACATGGTCTTTTTTCTGTCCATGTCCTAATCTCCTGTTCTTATAAAGACATCAGTCCTGTTGGATGAAGGCCCACCCTAATGACCTCATTTAACCATAATCACCTGTTCAAAGACCCTGTCACCAAGTACAGCCACATTCTGAGGTCCTGGGGATTAGGATATGAACATGTGGATTTGCAGGGAACCAATTCAGTCCGTAACACTCTCTCTCACATCATGCCGTGTGTGATTTACATGTCTTTGCTGTGTGTCTGGCTCTTGTAGACTTTGCGTTTTCACCCCTGTCTTCCTGTTGGAAGTCTTGGTGAATGATCAAGGGAGAATGTAGGCCCCAGAATGGAAGGAGTGTCTCAGGGACATTAGAGAGAGGGAAGCAGAGAGACTGCCCACCCACCCTTCATCATTGTGACTGCTCTAAGGACCGGCCCTGGGTGAGGCGGAGGAGGAGCGCACCTGTTCAGAACGCAGCGAGGCTGAGCGGGGAGCTAGCTGGCAGTCCTTCTAGGGAGTGTAGCTGATTAAAATAATTATATTAACTGGCCCTCAAAGAGACTTATTTATAGCCATGGTGACACGTTATTAAGGATCTAATTTGGATCAGGACTCTGGGAATCTTATTTTTAGGCCCAGAAGAGAGCCCTGCAGGCAGGTGACCAGGAGGTCTCAGATGGCTGTGTATTCACTCTGTCGAGTCAGGGATTCTCAAGGTGGGAGGCAATTGGAAAGGTCGCACTGGCCCACCCTTCCCCCGATGTCTGTCCCCCTGCTCCAGTGTCCCACTGAGAGACCATCCACCTCTTCTTAAATGCCTCCTGTGCCAGGGAGCCTGTTTCCATCCACGGAGGCCCCTCCTATCTTGTGAAAGTCAGGCTCTACTGAAAAGCAAGAGAGAGATTTCTCTCTAAATCTTCTGTCTGGTGGTTCTGGTCTCCCCCTGGGGATGGACAGAATACATCTGACCACTGGGCCACTCTCTTCAGGCCCTTGAAGACAGGGCTAAAGCTCTTCTTGGCCTCCACTGCTCCAGGCTGGGGCCCCCAGTTCATCAGCCCCCCTCAGGAGATAATTGCAAGAGCCTTCACTGCTCCGTTTCTCAGAGGATGTGAGTGTTCAGTTCTGCGGTCCAGCAACTCCTCCAATGCCTGCCTCCTGGGGATAGCTGTAATTCTGGGTTGAGATGAAAGTTGGCCAGTTGAAGTCAACTGGCCTTTGGTTGAGGGCCTATGGTGAAAACAGACTTCATCTAAAAAGAACTCAGTCAGCAGGCACCTGCACTTTGGAATCAGGGAGGAGAAAGATGGAGACTAGGAACTGACAGAAGGGTTTTCCTCGTGTGAAGGGCAGCACCAGGCCATGAGGTGACCCAGGGCAGGCCACAGCCGTGGAGGGTTAGGGTACAGCACCCTGGTGGGTGGCCCCGCTGGGAAGTGCACATTTGGGTTTTGGTTTGCCAAACTCACCCTGCCCAATCCTAGTACGAGCCCACCATGAATGTCAGACAGCATAGAGTAAGTGCACCTGGAGCCCATCCTGAGCCCTTGAGCTAATGTCTTCACTCCTCTGATCTCTGGGTTCCACCTGCCTCCTTTGTTGTTTGAAGGGTGGAACGGACTGATGCCTATGAATAAACACAAGCTCCAGCGCTCTCCACAGATGTCACAGATGAAAGACTAAAAGCTGCTTCTGCACGCACAGATATTTATATTGTAGTGCCAAACAACAACAGAATAAAAAGAAATAATTTTTAGATGTGGGAAAATCAGACTCTAGAAGATGTTTTATAGGAGCTATCATGGTAGGATGGGGCTAATTTTCCAAATGCCTATTTTCCTCTGCTTCCTTTTAAAGTTCTCTCTCTTTTTATTTTTTTATTAAAGCAAGGAAATAAACAGTATGTGTGTGTGGTGTGTGTATGTGTATGTGTGATGTGTGTTTAGTATGTATGCTCTCTGTGTGTGTGTGATGTGTGTGTGACGTGCATAGTGTGCCTAGGTGTGCTATGTGTATGTGTCTGTGTCTGTGATGTTTGTATAGTGTGTGTGTAGTATGTGTGTGTGGTGTGTGTATGTGTATATGTGATGTGTGTTTAGTATGTACGCTCTCTGTGTGTGTGTGATGTGTGTGTGACATGTGCATAGTGTGCCTAGGTGTGCTATGTGTATGTGTCTGTGTCTATGTGATGTATGTATAGTGTGTGTGTAGTGTGTGTGTGTGTGGTGTATTTGTGTGGTGTGTATGTGGGCAGTGAATATATAATATATGTGTGATATGTGTGGTATGTAGTGTGTGCAGAATGCGTGGTGTGTGGGTATTTATGTGGTGTGTGTGTGTGGTATGTGTATGGTGCATGTGTGTATGTGGTACATGTATGTGAATATGTGTCATGTGTGTGGTGTGTGGTGTATGTGTGTGTGGTGTGTGTATGTGGCATTATGTGTGTGTGATGTGTAGTGTGTGGTGTATGTATGGTGTATGTGGTGTGTATATATATATGGTGTGTGTATAGTGTGTGTATACCACTTGTATGTTTATGTGTGTGTATATATGTGTGATGTGTGTATAGTGTGTACATGCGTTGTGTATAATGTGTGTATAGTATGTGTGTGCTGCGTGTATATTTGTTGGGTGTGTGTATATGTGTGGTATGTACGTGGATGGTGTGTGGACAATGCGTGTATGTGTGTTATGTGTGTATGTGTGATATGTGTATATAATGTGTATGTGTGTATAGTGTGTGTGGTGTGTGTGTGTAGTGTGTGATGTGTCTATATGTGTTGGGTGTGTATTATGTATGTATATGTATAGTGTGTGTGGTGTGTGTGTGTGACCTGTGGTATTTGGTATGGAGTGTGTGCAGTGTATGGTGTGTGTGTAGTGTGTGCTGTGTGTATGTGTATGGTGTGTGGTGTATGGTGTGAAGTGTGTGTGTAGCATGTATTGTGTTACGTGTGTGGTGCATGGTGTGTGTGTAGTGTGAGTTGCATTGTGTGTGGTGCTTGGTGTGTGTATGTGTGATGTGTGTTATGTGGTGTGTGTGGTAAGTAGTGTGTGTTGTGTTACATGTGTTGTGTTGTGTGTGTAGTGTGAGTTGTGTGTGGTGTGCACTGTGTAGTGTGTGTTGTGTTACATGTGTGGTGTGTATTGTGTGTTGTATGTGCGTTGTGTGTGTAGTGTGAGTTGTGTTATGTGTGTAATGTGTGTTGTGTAGTGTGTGTTGCATGTGTGGTGTGTATTGTGTGTTGTGTGTGGTGTGTGTGTAGTGTGAGTTGTTATGTGTGTGGTGTGTAGTGTGAGTTATGTAACATGTCTGGTGTGTATTGTGTGTTGTATATGTGTTGTGTGTGTAGTATGAGTTGTGTTATGTATGTGGTGTGCAGTGTGTAGTGTGTGTTGTGTTACATGTGTGTTGTGTGGTGTGTGTATGGTGTGCGTCTATCCATTGGATGAGCCGGGCTGCCTCTCTGAGGGCAGGAGGCCCTCTTGCCTGCTTCATTCCCCACCCCGGTTTTCTCCTCACTGCCTCAGCTGGCATAGTTGTGCTTGATTTAGCTCAAGGAACAAAGTAAGAGAATCCAAGTTTTTGGACAAAACAAATGCCTAGAAATTGTGCTTCTAAAGAAGTAGTTTTTGATGGCTCTTGTAGAGAAACCCTGGTTGCTTGAAATGAGGTGAGAGTTTCCCAAGTTAGACCCCAGTAAGATGGCGGAGCCTGCACACAGGCTTTAAAAATGATTAAATTACTCGTTCAGTATGATCAGGATTATGGTCAAGTGCCTTCTTTCTGCTCTTCTGTCTGACTTGCAGCTAAAAATAAAAGTCAGGAATTAGATTCTTCTTTTTCTTCTCCACTGAAGAGCACCCTTTGTGGTCGCTGGCGCTGGTTAGGAGGAGATCCCCTGCCCAGAGCCCTCATGTGGGGACAGGATCTTCCGGCAGCACTGGGTGTTCAAGGTAGGGTGCCGGGCCTTTGGTTTACATTTCTGGATGAAGCTCTTCTGCTGCCCTACCCTCCCTCTGTCTGAGGCCACCCGGAGTCTTCCCTTTGCGGCACACAGTAAGCAGCTTTAGTGACACGTTTCCGGGCCTCACCTCCTCAGTTTGCTGAGTCTCCATTACATCTGTGGCACCGTTTAAGCAGCCCATAATCATTTGTGGGGTAAATTAATACAGTACATGTCTCAGGCCCTCCCCCAGGATTGGCATAGGGAACTGAGAATTCCACCTGTTTCCCTTTCCTGGATCCTTGCAGTTGGTGACCAGTGGAGAAGATGGCCCTGGGGTTTCCTCCTCAGCCCCAAATTCCTACATCCCTCCAAAAGAACCTCAGAGAGCAAAGGCAGCCGGACGCATCCGACCCTGGCCTCCTTCTCACCACTGCTGACAGAAGGAGCAGAATCTTGGCAGCATTGTTAGGTCTTCATCTGCTATTAGCTGATTAAAAAGTTAAAAAAAAAAATCTGTATCCCTGGGTAGCCCAGCCTGTTCCTTGCTGCAGTTGAAGACTGACCGAGGAGCTATCAGCGGCTTCCCGGCCACTGTGGTGCCATTTTTGGCCTCAAACCCATTGTGAATTGCTATCTTTTCCCCCAGCCATCAGCCGGAAGATCCATTAACAAATTAAAATTCCCTCTAGAGTCAGAATGGCTTTGGTTTCTGGGTTCTAAATGACCTTGATTTTAATTACCATGCCATACAGGTTTGGAAGAAGACACCATCACTGAATCCCTGGCTCCTTGCTGAGGCAGCAGAGAGCTGGGGTATTCAGTTTGGCCACACTTCTGGGCTTGTGGGTGATACCTCTGAAGTCCTTATTGGTTTCTAAAGGTCTTTGTGCCACTCCCAGTTTCTCAGTCAGCTGCCAGTGAGTTCACACACCTCTGAGAACTCTTCCAGGACCCCCAGTAAGCTTGCTCTAGGCCCCAAGGAGTCCCCTCTGGCAACCGTTATATTCAGGGACCCTTCTCAAGACAAATTTCTTGAGGAGACACAGTTCTGGCGCTGCCCTCTAAACGCTGTGTTTTCCTTAGGTGGCCAGGCAAACTGTCCAGAGTGGTGTCTGCTCTTCACCTCATCTTGAAGGTGGACGTCTTGACCAGAAATCCTCCTTCTCCAATAAACTGGAAGGAGAGGCTTCTAATTTCTGTAATGTGGGGACTTGGATGGCGTGTGGATCTCTAACTGCATCCTAAGTTGTCTAATATTGATAAACCAAGGAGTAGCGGGGTTCCTATTGTGGCCTTTGAAGGTATTGGGTGGAGAGAACACAGGATGGGCAGGCGGGTCCTACAACAGTCAGCAAAGTACATGGCTAGAGCAAAAGAAACCTTATGCAAGTGCAGATTTGGGACTCAAACCATTCAACCTTAAGGTGCTTGGGGCGAAGTGGTCGGGGAGGGTGGTGGGGATTGTGAAGTGTGTGACTTGTCTGCAGAATTTACTGTTCTCTGCTTTCATTATAAGCCTCTTTTCTCACACAGAAGAGTAAGATGAAGCATGCAGAGACCAGGTTGGGTTAAGACTCTGTACTAATCACAAGTAGTGCAAGAAACATTTGCTGGACACCTACTGAGTGCTGGGAACTGGGTACTCAACACATCTCTGTGAGGAAGGGACTATTATCATTTCTATTTTCTTGATGAGGAAAGGGAGGCACTGTATTAGTTTGCTAGGCCTGCTGTGACAAAGTACTACAGGCCAGGTGGCTTACACAACAGAAATTAATTTTCTTACAGTTCTAGAGGCCAGAAGTCTGAGATCAAGGTGTTGGCAGGGCTGGTTCCTTCTCTGGGTTGTGAAGGAAGGATCGGTTCCAGGACTCTCTCATTGCCTTGTGGAAGACTGCCTTCTTCTCCCTGTGTATGTATCATCTCCCTCCTGTATATGTCTGTGTCCTAATTTCCTCTTCTTCTAAGGACACCAGTCATATTGCATTAGGACCCACCCTAATGACCTCATTTTAATTTTATCACATCTTTGAATACCCTGTCTCTGAATACATCCCATTCTGAGGTACTGGGCATTAGGACTTCAATGTGAATTTTTGGTGGGGAACATAAATCAGCCCTTAATAGGCACAGAGGGGCTAAGTAACTTGTGTGTAGACACAGAGCTATAGGAGAAGATGGCAGGCATTCTGACTCCAGAATCCCCTGGTTCTGACAGAATCCCCTGACAGTTCTGACAGTTCGAGACCAGCCCGGCCCACATGGTGAAACCCTGTCTCTACCAAAAATACAAAAATTAGCCAGGCATGGTTGTGCACATCTGTAGTCCCAGCTACTTGGGAGGCTGAGGCACAAGAATCACTGGAACCCGGGAGGCGGAGTCTGCAATAAGCCAAGATCGCACCACTGCACTCCAGCCTGGGCGACAGAGTGAGACTCTGTGTCAAAAAATTTAAAAATAAATAAAAATAAAAATAAAAACAAGGAAACAATATGATTGTACTATTCAAAGGATAATACTTAATTTGCAAACTTCATATTAATTCCTAGTGTACTACCAGAATGAGATCTGGTAACAGGATAAAAGTTTAAATCAGATGATCAATGCCATATTTTTTCCTTCCATGAATACATCTCCAGGAATGTGTACATAACCTAATCAGGAATAGCTTCAAGGTCAAAATTCGTGGTCCCTGTGAATGTAGAACTCGGCGAGTGGCCAAGTGGCCCTGCTGTGCCTCCCTGCCCTTTTGGAGCAGCCTTTCAGAAACTTCTGGACTCTCTGACCACTGTCCTCTCTCAAGTCTGGAAACTTGGGAACTAACCTTGACCTCGAGTTGGCTTTCCCTAGGGGCAAATGCAGGCGCTGGTGGAAAAGGCTATGGCCTTTATAGTCTCTGGCAGCTCTGTGTGTCCACACAACTGTGATGCTGTGACATAGAGTTCTGCCACTGGATTCTATGACTGAGGATGAAGTCCAACTAAATTGCCATGTCTGGAACCCTGTTGGATCATCGCACTGGCACCCTGGAGTCCCTTGGGATCCCCTATTCGCTCAGCATTACATCTGCTGAGCACTGCTCAGTCAACATTAGTGAAGACAACTGCTTCGGAGACGGACTTTCCATCATCAAAAAATGCAACCAACAGAGAGCTTGATTAAAGTGTAGTTATTTGGTGTGAAACATGTCCTGCCAACAGTGTGGCAGTACAGACATGAATTAAGATGAAAACTGACACAGTCACTGAGTCTCAGCCTCTGAGAAGCAGCTGCAATGTAAGAGTTTTTTTAAAAACTGGTGAATCTATAAGGCCAAGAGCCAGGAGAGGTGATGGTGCACATCAAATGGAGGTGGCAATGGCTTTATGACATGGTGCCCTTCACAGTCTGGCCTAGAAGTCACCTTAAGATCACAGGCTAGGCTCTGCGTTCCTCTAGCTAGATTTTTCCTAGCACAGGGGTCTGGCTTTCTTTTTTCTTTTCTCTACTTTTTCTTTTTTTCCTTCTCCTCTTCCTTTTCCTCTCCTCCCCTTTCCCCCCTCCCTCCCTTTTTTCTTTCTTTCAGGTCCTGTCTATCTGATTGCAACTTCACTGCCTCTAGGGCTTTCAAATCAAAGGTGATAACCTGCCTCCCTCATGGACATCAGCATCCCACGTGACAGAACAGGCAAGCCCTCAGTTCTGTGAAGGGTGGTCACAGCAGACGGAAATGTCCTGCACAGGAGGCTTGTTTGCTCATATTCTCCCCTCCTTACCTTTCTGGCTCCTTACTCTCTCACTAGAGCTACATTCAGCCTGTCTCTTGCATCAGTCTTTCTGTGACTATTGAAGCCTTCAATGGTTGATTATATAATGCAGTGAACTCATTTCTTGTAGTTGATTACAATTTAACATATATGTAATATGTAGTATTTGTTTGTGTACTTGATTGGCCTTTGTCTCTCACTAGAGAATAAGCTCTTTGAGGACAGGAATCCTTTCTGCCTATTTCACTATTGCACTCCAGAGCTCATGCAGTAGGTTCTCAATGCATGTTTGTTGAAAGACTGAGTGAGCATCGTTTGGGCTCTCTAACCATCCTCTGAGATACATGGGTGGCTGTGTCAATTGGGCTTTGGAGATGAAGAAGCAGCTAGCCAGCAGATGATGCAGGCCTGGGCTTTCTTAGCACAGTGTGTTTGGCTCAAGAGGACCACAGTGATATCAGTTACTCCCCTGCCCACAGGGAGCTTGCTCTCTAGTTAGGGAGACCAGGCGAAGTGAGGGAGAGTGGGTGTGGAGAGTCCATGCTAGGCACTGAGGATCGAGGAGTGAGGGCAGCCAGGCTTCAGAGGGGCAGAGAGGTCTGGGCCAGGAAGAGGTGGATGCAGCCCTGGGCCTCATGGTCTATTTTTGCCTTAGTTCCTGATGCTCCCGCCAAGGGTATGCCCTTGCTGGGCATCCTACTTCCTGCCCACTGAGCTCCTGCCAGGAACACTTTCTTGGGATGGTCCCATTTTCTGCCAAGGGTGGATTTGGATCTCTTCTTTCCCTCTTAGCATCCCATGGGTGTCTCCATAGGCTGAGGCAGGTTGTGGACTGCCCAGCCCCGGGAAGCGTCACACATCTAGACCACCATATGGGCAGTGCCTCCTGAAGCTGTGCAATGGAGCAGCCTTGGGCTGAAGGATGGAATTGGGAATCTGGCTTGGACTGGTTCACCCTCTTAATGTAATGTATAAAGGAAGAGAATATTCCTAGGGAGAGGCTACCCCTCGACCAGTTTTTCTAGTCTATGTTGGAGGGAGCCCACACTCATTAAATGCCTGCTGTTTGCCAGGTGCCGATAGGGTGCTTTGTATATGTTAACCTTATTCAATCCTCTTGATAGCCCTCTGACACTGGCATTGTTATTATCCCCATTTTGCAGATGAGAAAGCTGTGGTTCAGTATGTTTAAATGGCTCACCCAAGGCAGATACAGCTAGTGAGTGGCAGCATCCAGAATCAAACTCAGGCTGTTCTAACTCCAAAACTCTGAGTATTTCTGTAATACCAGAATTCCTTTTAAGACCTGGGAAAAGCCCAGCAGCCCCAGGAGGTGCCATCCTGGAGCCAGAAGGAGGGACCAGCAAAGTTGCCTTACCATTTGCATTAAAACACCCTCCATAGCTGTAGACTGACTGGTGCCCCTGGGTCTGCAGGTACCAGCTTTGCACTTAGTTGAATCTCCAGCCTTAAGTGTCCTTCCCAAAGCCCAGGGAAGGCAACGCAGTTTGCTGCAGGGATCGTGGCCTATGCAAAGGCCTCATTGCCACGCTCAGCATCATCAGAGACTGTATGTTTGGTCTCTGGATGGAGGCCGAGAGGGACTCAGGCCTGGCCGTCTCAGAACTTAATACTTGAGTTACCGAGTGTGTGTGTGTTTTATTTTGGGGTGTGCTTAAGTCTCTCATCTATTTTTGTTTTAGAATTTTGGCTATTCCTTTGTTACCTACCCAAGTTGATTTATACACGGCCGTCGTCCTGTGCAGAAGGCAGGTAATTGGCCACTTCAGCCCTGGGCTAATGGAGGGAAGCAATTCATTTGATGAAACAAGTTAAGCAATAATTTAGAAACTTTCTATCTGAACCCTTGTGATATCATATCCTCCCAGATTTATCCTCTTAACTCTGTCCAACTCAGGCAATAGTCAGAATGTCTTTTCCCTTCCTGTCCTCACACCAGTCTGGGTCAGCTGTCAAGGACGTGGGCACCTTGAGGTACTTAAAAGAGTTTCTCTTAGAGGGCCGGGAGCCTGGCTTCCCGTCCTGGCCCTGTTTCTCACTGGCTGTGTGACTCTGACCCACTCACTTAACCTCTCTGAGCCCCAGAAGCCACATTTCTCAAGTGCAGTAGTGATATTGAATGTCCCAAAGGCAATGGGTAACACCAGACCAGGGATTTCCAGATGAAATGCTCTGGCTTACTTAGCATGACTCAGACCCGCTGCTTCCCCATTAGCAAGAGGCTGCTTTATAATTTTTTTTTTTTAATGGAGAGATATCAAGGCTTAAAATGACATTAAGAAGTCTTCTTCCTGACTGCAGTGTGTCCTTCAAGGATCATCTCCCCATCTACCTCTCTGTGTACTAATGACTCCAAGAAAGCGGAAGGGGGCAGCCTGGTAGAAAATGGAAACGTTTTTCTGTAAAGGCCCTCCCATGCTTCCGAGGCCTGCAGATGAAGGGTCTGACTTGAGCCTCTCAGAACCCAGGAGAAAGAAACAAGCCTCACTCATCCTGTAGCCCAGAGGAAGAAATTCTAGCACCCAGAGAGGTCAAGCAAGTCCTGCAAAACCACACAGCAATTTGATAGCAATAGCTGGACCAGGAACTCAGGGATTTTGACTCCTAATCTTGTGCTTCTCAAACTTTAGTGTGCACAGGAAATCTGAGGATCTTGTGGCAATGTATATTCGGGAGGTCTAGGGTGGGGTCTGAGATTCTGTTTTTCTGATGAGAGCCCTGGTGATGCAGATGCCGCTGGTCTCTGGAGCTTACTTGGAATAGCAAGGGGCTCCAGAAAGCTGGGAGGCTGGGGTCTTTGCAGCCCAATCTAGGAGGGAGTAGCCCTTCCAGCTCCTGTCGCCTGTCCCACTTCCTGTTACTAATTTGCATGTTGCCTCCTTTCTTTCCCTCATGCTCCTAAGGCCTGGGCACTCCCTTCTCTGCCACCCCCTATGCTTCCCCAGCCCATTTTCTCTGGTTCCGTCTTGCTCAGCCTTTAAGTAAACAGCACTTCTCAGCTGGGTTGCATGAGGCCTCCTGGCTCAGGAGTCTGCTGCTCTGGGCTCACAGTCCCTGTTCCATGGAGATTTGAGTGCCTGAATTAACTCCCTCTTGGAGCAATAAACCACCCTGAGTGCTAACCTAGTTTGTATTTTTAGCGTGTGCTCCATCAATTACTTAACTTGCAGAGCGGCTCCTCTCTGCTCATCAGGGAGGTGCCACCAAAGAATGTTCTTCCTCAGGCTTTTGTGAGTTGCCCCTCTCCTTGGTCCCACCTCCTGTGAGGTCAGAGTCCTTTCTCCTTGATGCTGTATCCTTGGTATTTAGGAGGCAAAGGTTATTCACCCCGTTTTATAGAAGCAGAGGAAACACTGAGGTCCAGATAGGGTGACAACACAGTACAGTGTGATGGTGCCAAGAAGCAGGTCTCCTAAGCCCTTCACCTTCCCACTGTGGGGAGGTAACAAATGATGGTGGGTGGTATCTTCCCAGGCTACGCAGGGCCAGGAGGCTCTCTCTGAGCCAGTTTTGCAAGATAGTGATATGAAGGGAAGCAGGTGGGGGCCATGCACTGTGTTACCTCAGGTAGAAGTGAGCTCCTCACTGTGGTTTTTACTTGTAAAGTCCAGCCAGAAAACCTACATGCTGGGAGAATGGGGCCAGGACCACTTTAGTCAGTGGTTTCTTCCACCTTCTCCCCACCCCAGGAGGACCTTCAGCCATCCCTAGATAAGTCAAGACTTGGTTTGAGTTTCATCGAGGTTTCTCCCACCTCTGGCAGAGGCATGGATCAGCAACACTCCACCAAGAGGCCAGCAAGATGCTGGCTGTTTCCCAAGCTGGGATGGGGTGAGAGAGTATGGCTTGGAAACTCAGAGGTGATAGAGGCAGCACCGGCTTCCTGAGCCAAGCTCTCCCCATGGACCCAAGGCCCAGGCATGAGACGACTTCATTCATCCGTCCATTGAGGAAACGTGAGCACTAGTTGTGTTCAAGACACCAGGCAGATGCTGTGGGTGGGCGGGACTCTCTCCCGGGGGAGAGCCCAGGGCACAGTCCCTTTCCCAGGGACCTTACATCTTCCAGGGAAAGCTCCCATGTCTGTCTGTAAAGGTAAAAGCTAAAAACATCACACAGTGTGTAAGTGCATGTGTGAGGGTGTGTGTGTTTATCCATGTGTGCATAGGTATATAAGGGTCTCTGTGAGCACATGAGCATCTATAGATGTGTGTATGTTTACGTGTATGTATGTTTACATGTCTGTGTGTATGCATGTGTATTTATATGTCTATTTGAGTGCATACATTTGTGTTTGTTTGTAAATATATGTGTTTTTACGTCTAAGTGTGTGTGTGCACATGTATGCATTTGTTTCTCCATGCATATATGTATTTAAGTGTATATATGTTTCTGTGTATGTGTGTGTGTGCTCATGTGTGTATGTGTTAGCATCAGTGTGGGTATACATGTGTATATTTGTGTTTAGGTGTGTGCATCTATCTGAGTATATGTGCTGTGTGTATTTATGTTAGTGTGCATGTGTCTGTGTGCCTGTTTCATTGTGTGCATGCGTGTATGTGTGTGCATGTATGTGTTTATGTTAGTGTGTGCATGTTTCTGTGTGTGTCCGTGTCCGTGTGTATGTGTATGTGTGTCTGTGTTGTTTATATTAGTGTGTGCATGTGTCTGCTTGTGTGTGTGTGTGCATGTGTGTGTCTGAATTTGTGTGTCTGTGAGCATGGTACTTTGGGCTGTGCCTCTGTGAAGCCCCATAGTCAGTGGGGAGTCCCCACACAGCCCTGGCTATAGGCTGCTCTGGAATTTGCCTTTGATGACTTAGATAGGCATGAACAGGACATGTCCCCTGGGGAAGATCTGTGAGTCTGTCCTGGGTGTCCCCGGGGCAATGGGCAGACTCACGGGGAAGGAAGAGGAAGACAAAGCACACAGGGTCAACACTATTGCATCTGGAGCGTGCCTGGGCCCATGCTGGATATGTGACAGACTCAGAAGTGAGCCAGACCTGTCTAGTTGGGGCAACAAGCCCCGTAAGTGTTCTGCCTGGAGGGGTGCTGAGGCAGGAAGTAAGGAACCTCTGTGGAGGGGTGACCTAGTCCAGCCCTAAATCAAGGGTAGAAGGCTGGGTGATCTGTGTCCCCACTCTCCTCAGTATTGAAATCTCCTTAAGCCCAAGACTGTACTGAATCATGAATCAAGACACATCCATGTCTGGTCCTGACTCTGCCGTCACTGTGTGACCTTGAATAAGTCGCTTGGCTTCTCTGGGCCTTGCTTCCCTCCCTGTAAAATGAAGACATTGGATCATCTCATCATTTAACAGGAACAATGAAATTCTACAGCGAAACAAGTTGCCCCACAAATAGCAGGGTGGGGCAAGGGTCACCACAGAAGAGCAACTTGGAAGTGGTCTAAGGATGTGGCTAAGAAAAGAGGGAGGGTCCAGGGAGGCCTCTTTTTTGAAAAAAAAAAAAGAGGGAGTACAAGTGCGGTTTTGTTACATGGATATATTGTGTAGTGGTAAAGTCTGGGCTTTTAGTGCACCCATCACCCAAATAGTGTACATTGTATCCAATAGGTAATTTTTTTTTTTCTTGAGACAGAGTTTCACTCTTGTTACCCAGGCTGGAGTGCAATGGTGTGATCTTGGCTTACTGCAACCTCTGCCTCCCGTGTTCAAGTAATTCTCCTGCCTCAGCCTCCCAAGGAGCTGGGATTACAGTGGCATGCCACCACGCCCAGCTAATTTTTGTATTTTTAGTAGAGATGGGGTTTCACCGTGTTGGCAAGGCTGGTCTTGAACTCTTGACCTCAGGTGATCCGCCCACCTCGGCCTCCCAGAGTGCTGGGATTACAGGCTTGAACCACCATGCCCAGCCCAATAGGTAATTTTTTATCCCACACCCCCTCACCGTCCCACTTTTTGGAGTCTCCAGTATTATTATTCCATTCTGTATGTCCATGTGTACTCAGTTTAGCTCCCACTTATAAGTGACAACATGGGCTTTTAGTGTACCCATCACTTTCTGTCTGACTTTGTTTCTGAGTTAGTTCACTTAGGATAACGGCCTCCAGTTCCCTCTGTGTTGCTGCAAAAGACATGATTTCATTTTTTTTCTAAGGCTGAGTAATATTCCATGGTGTGCGTGTGTGTGTGTGTGTGTGTGTGTGCACGTGTGTACCACATTTTCTTTATCCAGCCATCCATTGATGGACACTTAGGTTGATTCCACGACTTTGCTAATGTGAGTAGTGCTGCAATAAACATGAGTGCAGGTGTTTTTTTGGTCTAATGATTTCCTTTCGGTAGATACTCATTAGTGGGGTTGCTAGATTGAATAGTAGTTCTATTTTGAGCTCTTTGAGAAATCTCCACACTGTTTCAGGAAGGCTACTTGAGCTTGGTCTTAAAGGATGGGTGGAGAGGGAGGCAGAGAGAATAATAATACAGGAAGAATCTGAGAGGTGGGAGAGCGCAGCAGACTTTATCAACGAACATTCATATAGCACTCACTGTAGAGCAGGAATCATTCTAAGATAGGGGTTAGTAAACTATGGCCTGCAGGGCAAATCTGGCTCACTACCTGATTTTATAAATAAAGTTTTATTGGAACATCCATTTGTTTACATATTGCCTATGGCTGGTTTGGAGCTACAAGGACCGAAGTGAGAGGTTGTGAGAGTCTGTGTGACCTGCAATGCCATAGAATATTTGCTATCTGGCTCTTTATGGAAAAAGTTTGCCATCCTTCTTATAAGATCTTTAAAAGCATGGGCTCATTTAATTTTCTTGACAACCATATTGGAAAGTTATTGTTATTGTGTCCACTTTATAGATGAGGAAATGCAGGCTCAGAGAGATCAAATAGTGCGCCTAAGGCCACGCAGTGAGGAAGGAGGAGATGAGACATGACCTCAGGCAGTGGGCTCCAGAGAGTCTGTGTTCTGGCCACTGTGCTATGCCAAGAGCGGGCCCCTGGGAGGAAGGCTAAGCTGTGAAGATTTTGGGTGCTGGTCTTCAGAGCACTTTCTTGACCTTGCCAGGTTTGTGACCAGCACAGTGATGTCTCAAAGCTGTGTTTTGATTACCACAATAATGTGGGTATTCGGGGACCAGCCTGCCTAATGGGGACGCTCAGTCTCCAACTGTGTCTCTCAAATGCTAGACAGTTCTTGGAGGCAACACCTACATGCTGTTAGCCAGGCACTGCTCACAAGGGTTTCTCCATAAAGATTTCCGATTTTAGCTTATTAGTCAGTGTTTGTATAGTTGCTGCATGCTGTGGTCTGTGTCCCAGCTGCCTGCTGTAGATCACAAATGCTTGGAAGGCCTGGATTGTGTCTCTCTCTGTGTGTTGTCTCCAGGGAGAATGGCTTGTCATCAGGTCAGAGGATTCTGGGGCCACATTCCCATTGCGAAGAAGCTGTCAAAATGCCTGCATCCAGAGGTGCTTCAACAAGAGCAGAGGTGATGTGCAGGAAGGGCTGGTGATTGTGGCAGAGGCTGTGAATGCCCTGCCCATGCCCCCAGGCCACTCTATTCCTATCCCACTCAAATGCCCCTACTGTCAGTGCCTTCCCTCCCCCTACCAGTGTGAGCCAAGACATCTGGAAGTGCCTGCAGCAAATACCCCCAGGTGCAGCCCTTGCCAATGATAGACCCTAATGGGAGTATAAATACCCCAGATTCTACCCCTCAGATGACACAGCTCTGAGGCATGGTCTATGCCAGTGCTACCCCTATGATTTTCTGTAATGATGGAAATGTTCTGTATGTGTGCTGTCCAATATGATAGCCACCAGCCATCTGTGGTTATTGAGCTTTTGGAATTTGGCTAGTGGACTGAGGAACTAAGTTTTTCAATTCAAGTAATTTAAATGTAGATAGCTCAATGTGGCTGGTGCCTTCCATGTTGGACAGGGTGGTTCTGCCCCATCTCCCAGAGGTCTCCAGTGGCATTGAGCCTTGGTTGTCTGCAGCAGTGTCCTGACCATTAACAAACCCTGCCCTCTCACTTTCCCATTTTATTTCCCCACTCCCCAGCTGGTTCTCCCCTGGGATCACTACCCAAATAAACTATTCATGTAAGCCACATGAAATTGCCATTTTTGAGGTTAAAAAATGGTTGAATGTCAGTATTTTCAAATGATTAAATTTGCACTGAAATCTCTACCATGCATGTGTGTCTGGGGAACCCCACCATAACAGGGAGTTGAGATTCGTGTTTGTTCATGTGTGTAAGTTGAAGTCATTCCCTGTCCAGGCAGGGTTCTAATCCCAGCTCTGCTTCCAAGTGGCTGTGTGGCCTTGGAAACTCTCTGTGCCTTGGTCCTCAGGGAGGAGGACCTGCCCATACCCCTGGCCTTGGTGCCTGCCCTATCTTTAGAATGGTTGGAAGGAACAAGGGAGCTCATAGATAGGGCTATTTGTTAAAAGAAGCCAGCACAGTGAGGAGGGAAGGTGCCCTCCTGCATGGGTGGGGCCATTCTGGGGCACAGTGCCCTGGCTGCATTATCCCTGGGTGGAGGATGCCTGCTTGTGGCTGATGGAATTCAGACAGTGTGTTTCTTTGATGCTACAAGACTGGCTTTCCTGCTGCCCCACTTTGTATAATCGGGTCTTTTTGGCAGGGAGGACTTAGTAGCTAGCGTGAGCTCCCAAGTAGGAACTCTAGGAATATTCACTCGGGCTGCCGTTTGATCTGAGCAAGAGCATGATTTGATGGGAGGCTGCTCTGGGCCTTACATTTGTTTCCCTCATTTAGAAAAAGGCAGTAAACAGTTTTTAACTACATTGCGATTGTGAGGCTTTTCCTATATAACTTTTTTTCCTGGAATGGAACCAGACAGGATGGAGGCACTGCACTCGCAGGCAACATGGGTTTTCCCAGCCCCTCCATCTTCTTGACCTTCCTAGGGATTTGTTAATTCAGCTCAGATTGGCCTTTCCAGGAAGCTACCAGGCTCTCAGAATGCCCGTGCTGGAGGGAGGCTGATCCCACCAGGGACCCCAGAGGAAACCCAGAGTTCATGCCAAAATATCTAGTAGAAGGAGTTTATATGGGGAACTAGTTATAAAGGTGTCCAAGGAGATAAAAAGCCAAGCAAAAAATGGAGAGGCAGCCCAGAGAATAGCAATGGCAGGAAGCTGCTAGCATCCTAGGGCTAGAGGGGGAAGGGAGGAGCTGGTTTTCTAGAACTCAGGATCCAGCAGCACCTGGCGGATGCTGGAACTACAGAAGGCCTGCTGGGCTGGGCAGGATCACAGAGGAAAGGACTCTGGGGAGGGCAGGATACCCAGAGGTGATAGATATAATGATGGACATGTTCTCTATCTGGAGATGCCACCAAATGCAGAAGGAGGGAGAAATGTCCTGGTTTCTGCCTGCCCCCACCCTGCAGACTTCTGCCTGCATTCCTGCTGAATAGAACAAACTTCCCTAGAAGAAAGAGCGAGGGAGCCTGGGGAGTGTAGTCCACAGTCTACAGACGAGGGGTAAAGACTGGGTCTCAGAGCAAGCAGGCCAATGACTAGCAGGGCGGCCCAAGAGCCTTTAAGTGAGAGGCTGTCATCCTGGGGCTGTGAATGAACTTCGGAGGGGTCCTTGCCCTTCTAGGAAGTGCAGGCATATTTTGTCTCTATGTAAGCACATGCATTTCTCCAGAAAGAAAGTTGATATCTTCAGATTCTCAAGTTGGTCTGTGCCACCAAAAGATTCAACATAATCAATAACCAGTAATCCAACCAGCTTATCTTAAACATGGGAAGTCTCAGGGCTCAGAGAAACACCCATAGCGACAGTGTCTATACTCTTGGTCTAGGGTCCTACTGGATGTTGTCCTTCAACTGTCCTGGAAGATCCAGCCTGTTAGGAGAGTCCCCTGTCTGTTCCCTGCCTCTCCAGAATCAACTGTGTCCCATCTTCTTGGTCAGCTTTCCCTGATCTCAAGCACACAGACCTGCTTCCACAGTGCACTTCTGCAGCCTGGGGAAACCACACCATGGATGTGGATCCTGGTCTAGATGCGCCACATAGTGCTCGATGCAGGCAGAGCTGGCACTGGAAAGAGGGCCCAGTCTCCTCCATGCAGCCTCCCTCCTTCAGCAAACATTTGCCTTGCACCTGCCATATGCCAGACGTTTTGCTAACTGCCGGGGATATGGCACTGATCAAGATAGATGATGTCCCTGCTGTCACGGAGGTAGAAGTGGAAACAGAAAACAAACAAGAGAACAAATGCAGCAACAAGGTCATTTCTGATTATGATAAGTGTGGAGATAATAGAGTAGGGGGCTGGCAGACAGTGATGCGGGTAGAGTCTGGGGGCTACTTTTGATGGGAAAGGTTTCTCTCCGGAGGTCCTGTGCAAGCTGACATGAGAAGGATGAGAAGGAGCCAGCTTTCCAAGGTCTCCAGAGAAAGTATGCCACATGGGGACAAAAGCCAGTGCAAAGTCCCTGGGGTGGGAATGAGCAGAGGAAGAAGAATCCATGCCTATGTGGCCAAAGACGAATCCTGCCTCACAGTCTTTGACTCTTTTGACTTCCCCTGTCGTGCCTCCTGCAGACTCTTCTTGCTTCCCTGGGAGAATGGGTGGCAAAGAGTGCCTTCCTTAGCCATGCTTCCTTGTCAGCACAGTGCCTGGCAGGTGGCTGGAAGCTACAGCTGAATTTTTGCAGTGTCTTTGAGATGCCAGGAGGATGGCAGATCATTTCTGTTCAATTCATCAGCCACACAAAAGCCCTGAGATCAAAGAGCATGGGCTTAATTTATTTTGTTTATTTTGCAGAGGAAATAGTGCTTCCTTGGACTGAAAGCTCTGAGGACTAAGAGCTGAATGGAAAGGGGGCGTTTGGATTAAATGAATGGGCTGGCCAGCTCTGACCCAATTTCCACCCAGTGCAGCAGTGATGGGGGAGGGAATTGCCTTCTGGCTCTCTGCTCTGGCCCAGGGGCTGGTCATTTCTCAGGTCTGGGCCTTCTGTGTGAGTCAGGTTTGATGGAAGTGTCCTTGAAGGTGATTCATGGGGAAGAGAGGAGGGGAACCGGGAGTAGTGGCCTCAAGCCCTGCCTGAGTTCATCCTTGGATCCCTCAGCCTTTCTTGACACTAGCTCATCACCTTAGCAATGAGGACAGGTGCAGATTCAGGTGAAGCTCACCTACATTTCATAGGAGCCTATCAAATGTGAGTGGACTCGGAGAAGGAAATCACTGAGCCTCACATGGCAAAGGAGCACTCAAAGTAGGGAATTCTGAGGAAGCCTAGAATGGGCTGGGCAGGGAGGGCAGGGTACAGTCCCACTCATCATCGTGACCAGGCTGGACCTGTGATTGCAGTGAATGAGACTTGGCCAGGAGAGGCTTGGGTCTAGGAGTCCTGGGTTCGAGTTCCATTAATTATTTGACCCTGAGCTGGTGACTTTTTCTATTTTAGAAGCCTCAGCCTCTTCACATTTTTGAGTAGGAGTAAGGGTAGCTGCCTGTGCTTGGGCTTGGTGTGAGAGCCCGGTTCTGAAGATTGGAAAGTATTGCCAAGCACATGGTAGGTACTCAGTAAATATCTGTTTACTTAAATGAAAGAATGCATGAATAACTGAAAGAGATCAAAGCTGATATATTCTTCTAGAACTTTATGACTACAGGGAATGAAGATTAATATGGCAAGGATAGGGAGGAAGTTAAAGCCAACTGCCACAAGGTACCTGTGGTGGAGGGTCCAGGGTTCTAGTGGCTTGGCCCACTCTTTCAGGTGCCCTCATCTCAGAAAGATCAATGGTGCAGACAGACTGCAGTTTATCTAGTTCACATTGGATGGATGCCTTGGATCCACAGCCCTAGGATACTTGGGCCCATTTTTGGATTTCTTGCTCTTCTAGATTGTTTTAGACAGCAGTCCATATGAAGACCTTAAGAGAGAATATAGCCCAAGAGTGATGGAAGGCTGCAACCATGACATTTTGAGTATGCTCCACTAATTAAAAATTAAATTGTTAATCCCCAAGTAAAGAAGGAAAATGTGAGGGCATCTGAAGAAGAGAGCATGTTCGTGTATCGTGATCGCTGATCAACTCTAGGTTTAACAGACAGAACTTTATGAATGAGGAATGAGGAGTCATCTAACTTAGGGTAGAGTGAAAGGGGGTCAGGTGGCTAAAACACAAAACTGGTGAAAACTGCTAAAGATAGCCACAGACATTTGTAAAATTATAGGCAGAGAATTAGAAGATGAACGAGATGGGAGAGTATCACTGCTTGGGAAATGTGACACTGTTAGCAAACAGAGAAACAAACTAGAAAGTGAGCATTTCTGTTTTTTTTCTCTCTCTTGTTTCTACCTAGGATTACTGTCTTTAGAATGAAAAAGAGAAAATCTCTTGCACAGAGCTAGAGAGGCACTTTGAAATGCATTTCTAGGACCAGAGGGGCTCTATGGCTGGGTCCTGAAATACACTGTAGATGTGGTTGCAGAAGTGGGGAGTCTTTTGATGGACTATTTTTTCATTATGGGTTCAATTTTTTTGCCTTTTTGAATGCCTGGTAGTTTTTGATTGGATACCAGACATTGTGAATTTTACCTTGTTGGTTGCTGGATATCTTAGTACTCCTATAAAACATTCTTGAGCTTATTTTCTGGGACATGATCAAGTTGTATGGAAACAGTTTGATCTTTTTTGGGTCTTGCCTTTGAGCTTTATTAGGTGGAACCAGAGCTCTCTTAATCTAGGGCTAATTTTTTCCCACTACAGAGACGCTGCTATTCTCAGTACTCTACCAGGTGCTCTGTGAGCTTGAGGTTTCCACTCTGGCTGGTGGGAAGGTGAACCGTTCCCAGCCCTGTATAAACTCTGGGAAATGTTCTGTCTGCTCCTTTAGGGTGTTTCTCTCCCCCACCTTGGATAGCTTTCACACATGCCTGTGTCCACCAATACTTAGCTAAAGACTCAAGGGGGTCCCTCTGCTGACCTCAAGTATTCACTGGGCAGTTCTTTTTGCTGCCCTGGCCTGTGAATTCCAGCCTCCTTGGCCTTGCTGGAATCCAGCCTTCATCTCCTCAACTCAGGGAGACATCTGGGCCCTGCTGGGGTCCTCCTTCTTTCTGCTGTGACTTGGACGCTCTCTCCAGACAGGAAGTTGAGGCAACTGTAGGGCTCACTTCGTTTCTCCTCTCTCAGGGATTGCTGTCTTCCCCTGACTGAGCTCCAGTGTCTGAAAATCATTGTCTTGTCTGAATTTTTAGTTGTTTCAGGTGGGAGGAGAGATCTAGTCCATGCTACTTCTTTGGAGAATCTTTGAATGGTGAGATAAGATTATTTATTTATTTATTTATTTATTTATATTTATTTATTTTTTACCTCTAGCATTCTGGAACTTCTTGTGCTTGTTAGAATTTCTCAGTGGGTGTCAGAAGATGGATGCTGTAATCTGTATTCTAATGATGTCGTGGCTTATCTCTGGAAATACTCTTGATTGGATTTTAAAACTGAGTGCTTAGGAGCCCTTAGAGAGGCAAATGCTGGTCACAGGGGCCAAGCTAGACTCTATGCAAACAGGTCAGGCTGGAATCCCCAGTTATCAAGGGACTGAAGTTAACCTGAAACGTTTCCTTTACCATGACTTAACCTAAGGTGCATGATAATGAGTGTTAACTGGGTACCAGGCTTGCCTTTACACCAGGTTCTGTCCTTATAGCAACCCCGTCAGCTAGGTACCCCCATCCCTGTTTTCCAGATGAGATTAAGGAACTTTCCCAAATTTAGGGTCTGAATTCACATCTGCTCACCCTTAAATGAGATGCCGCATTGGGCAGCATCTTTCTTATCATCTTGATTAGGGAGGATCCAAGAGCTGGAACTTGAATATGAATCAGTAAAACAAAAACAAAGAATCAGACACAAGATAAAGGATCCCTCTTTGTCCCTGAATTGAGATAAGAAAACATCATCAGAAGCAGATGGAGGCTAAGTACTGATTCCCAGAAAAGGCCTCATTTTTAGAAGGGTATTTAGAGATTATTCAGTCCCCAACTTACAGCTGTGGTTGGCAGAAGCCAAGTGGCCAACAGCTCTTGAGGTGGTGTCATACTCATGGGCAGACAGAAACTTCCCTGACAGGATTTTCCCTTAAACCTCCATCGCATGAAAGGACTTTTTTTGCGCATTTATAAAGTGTATAATTACTATCCCAGTAGCTAGATGCAACCTTGTCAATTATAAATAAATCATCACCTCGCCTCCTCATCACCACCCAAATGTCTTTCACACTCCAATTTAATTAACTCACTTACTTTATTCTCTAATAAACTTTCACAAAAGTTAACCCCCCATTCCCAGCTCCATCTAGCAAAGAATGCTGGCTGGATGTCAGCCATGTTTTGGGCCCCCACCTGAATCTCCGCCTCAAATGTAACTCAAATGTGATCATCTCCCCCATCTGGGGTCTCACATGAGGACATGAGGTATGGGACATGACCAGGAGGCATGGCCAGTCTTACTGTCTGGATTGCCCTGGGGGTCATGGCAGGCGAAAAGATCAGAGAATGAGAAATTCCTTCCTCCTTCCAGAGGCCAGGTGGGAGGGCGGGGGAAAGGGCAGGGTCTTGTTGAATTTTGTTAAAAAGCACTTTGCTCTCTTGGAATGCTATCTCATGTCTAAAGCAGCCAAGATCATTAAGTAAATATAGGATCTGTGCTTTTATTTTCACTGCTATTAGCAAAGTTTGCAGGAGGAAAGAGACATTGAATGGGGAGTTTCATCAAAGCCAGGGGTGTTCCACAGGAAAATACTTGTTAGGCCTAGTTTCCTGTGGTGAAAGTCTTATACATTTCAAATATGTTTTGTGACTCTCCACAAACTTTTTGTTTCCTGCAGGTTTGTAATTGAGATATATGCCCTGGGGAGAAAAAACATCCAGGCATCCAGGTCCTTAGAAATATAGGTGCCCTGATAGGACTGTAGCTGGCAGACTTGCCCATAAAACAGGTGAGGCAGGTGCTTGAACATGTGATTCACATGTTGCATAGACTGCCTACTCCTGGGCAGGGGCACACTTGGCCTGTATTTGAATACACCTAGACTTCAAACTCAGTTTGTGAATCACCTCCTTTGGAAGCTGTCCTTGCACCCTAGGCTGGAAGCGAGCTTTCGTCCTCTGAACTTCAATTGCCCTGTATTCATACCTCTGTAGTTCGGGCTCTGCTCACTTTCTACCTGGGATTTGAGTTGGTACATGCCTTCTCACCTACTCGCCTGGACTGGACTCTCCTTTGAAGACAGGGTCGAGGTTGAAGTCATCTTTGTGACCCCTGCAGGGCATTGCACATAGCAGATGTGACCTCTCGCTGGTGGTCAGATCAACTTCAGGGGCACAGGGTTCCTCTTTTTATCTGCCCGATGGCCTTTGTCTAGTGTATTGCTCAGGATGACAATAAGAGGAAGATTCTCCCCCTGTTTAATTCCGGGATGTCACTGGTCAGGCTCCTCTTGTATCTCAGGGGTCCAGGGCTGAGGGCTGTGGCTTCAGCTGAGGCTCTAGGCTAAGCCAGTAGGGCTTGTGTCTTGTATTATTCTGTTCTCATGCTGCTAGTAAAGACATACCTGAGACTGGGTAGTTTCCAAAGGAAAGAGGTTTAATGGACTCACAGTTCCACATGGCTGGGGAAGCCTCACAATCATGGCAGAAGGTAAATGAGGAGCAAAGTCACATCTTACATGGCAGCAGGTAAGAAGGCATGTGCAGGGGAACTCCCCTTAATAAAACCATCAGATCTCATGAGACCTATTCACTATAATGAGAACAGTATGGGAAAAACATGCCCCCATCATTCTGTTACCCCTGACTGGGTCCCTCCTACAACACATGGGAATTATTACAATTCAAGAGGAGATTTGAGTGGGGACACAGAGCCAAACCATTTCAGGTCTACTACTTTGGTAACCTCCTGGAATGAGTCTCATGGGGCCCTTCTATCCCCTGTACTCATGATAGTATGACTCTTTGGGTGGGTCTGAGGCTGGACATGACTGGTGGTGAAACCCAAACTCTTATTAGAGAAAGTATATCCTCTTACTAGTGAGATACCTTAAAGTTTTGAAAAGGAGGCTTTTTATGATAATAAAATTATGCTTTTATGGGAGAAAACTTGGCAAATACAGAAAAATTATAAAGAGAAAGCAATGTCTGTAATTCTGCAATGCAGAAATCACATTTGGGTGTATTTTATTATTATATAATGAAATGTTATTCTGAAAACTTAGATTGGTTAATATATATAAATGTTAATATGTATATTGGTTAATATACATAATATATGTAAAGCTTTAAAATATACTTAGTTTAAAAAATAAATCTGGGTACAGCGGCTCACGCCTGTACTCCCAGCACTTTGGGAGGCCGAGGCAGGTGGATCACCTCAGGGCAGGAGTTCGAGACCAACCTGGCCAACATGGCAAAACCCCATCTCTACTAAAAATGCAAAAGTTAGCCAGGCATGGTAGCGGGCACCTGTAATCCCAGCTACTCGGGAGACTGAATTAGGAGAATCACTTGAACCTGGGAGACAAAGGTTGAAGTGAGCCAAGATCGTGCCACTGCACTGTGTCTCAAATAAATAAATAAATGAATAATAAAGCCAGGCATGGTGGAGGACCACTTGAGCCCAGGAGTTGGAGGCTGCAGTGGGCTGTGATTGCACCACTGCACTCTAGCCTGGGTGACAGAGTGAGACACATTCTCTATTTTAAATTAAAAATAAATAAATAGGCCAGGCGTGGTGGCTCACACCTGTAATCCCAGCACTTTGGGAGGCCGAGGCAGGTGGATCATGAGGTCAGGAGATCAAGACCATCCTGGCTAACACAGTGAAACCCCGTCTCTACTAAAAATACAAAAAATTAGCTGGGCATGGTGGTGGGTGCCTGTAGTCCCAGCTACTCGGGAGGCTGAGGCAGGAGAATGGTGTGAACCCGGGAGGTGGAGCTTGCAGTGGGCTGACATCCCGCCACTGCACTCCAGCCTGGGCGACAAAGTGAGACTCCGTCTCAAAAAAAAAAAAAAAATTAAAAATTAAAAAAAAAATTGAAAAAGTGAAATGAAATAAAAGTAACACATATGGTAAACATTGAAATAACTTATAAAAATATAAAATGAAAAGTAAAAGTTTTCTGCCCACCCTACCCCACCCACCCTAATCCTGGAAACCTCTCTCCAAAGATGTCTACTCTTTCTAAATTCCTTTGTATGCCTGTGGGTCCTGGGAGGGATGCATATACCAGCATTTACATGTGTGAATACTTAGTTTATTTATTGATTCTTAAACCTAGAAACATGTAATGAGCATTTCCCCTTGTGGTTGCTGACATTTCAAAACTATTTTTAATAGCATCACCCTAGTTTATCATGAGGATATCCAGTCTTTATTTTCTGTTGTTGGGTGTCGAGTTTCTTGCCAGTTTATTTCTTATTAAAGGTAACACTTCAAAATAAAGGCAGCTTTTTTATTTAATATAATTTGGTGTCTCTGCTTATTTTTTTCAGGATAGGTTTCCAGAAATGAAATTATTGTAGCAAAGAACAGATTTTTTTTTATTTCAATGGCTGTTTGTAATTTTTTTTTTTTTTCGGAGTCTTGCTCTGTTGCCCAGGCTGGAGTGCAGTGATGCGATCTCGGCTCACTGCAACCTCCACCTCCTGGATTCAAGCGATTCTCCTGCATCAGCCTCATGAGTAGCTGGGATTACAGGCATGCACCACTACGCCTGGCTAATTTTTGTATTTTTAGTAGAGACGGGGTTTCACCATGTTAGTCTGGCTGGTCTCGATCTCCTGACCTCGTAATCTGCCCGCCTTGGCCTCCCAAAGTGCTGGGATTACAGGCATGAGCACTGCACCCGGCCTGTTAGTAGTATTTTGTTACATCAAATTAAGATACATTTTCAACAGAAATAGGACCATTTCTCTTGCCCATAAATTCTTTTTGATGATTTGAAGATTTAAAAAGTAATACAAGAAAATATACTATTGATAAAAATTTCAAATAATACAGAAGTACACGGAGGGAGAAGAAAAAGGGGCCCTTTCTGAACCTCCCTTCTCACATCTGAAAGAACCCTGGAATTGGACAGACCTGAATTCAAATTTAGATGTCGCTGCTGATCAGTTTTATGATGTTGCGAGTCTTGATTGTCTCATATGTAAAGTGACTATGTCAACAATAGCCTTGTAAGATTGTGGTGAGGAAAAAGTGAATGTGTGCAGAGGCCTGGCCGGTGGCAGGCACTGTGACAATTATCGTCTTTGTTGGTAGGTTGATTGCCTGTTCTCTGTGTCATGTGTACCCAGCAGACTCCAGTTGATATCACCCTAGAAAACAATTTCCTCATTCTGATAAATGTTGGCCCTTTTCTGCAAGATTGCTTTAAATTTGGAGCCGATGGAATCACAAGGCTGTGACCTCTCCATGCAGGAGACAGTGTTTCTAGCAGCTTGAGGGGCTGCAGCTGCCCCACCGAGCTTCAACGGGTGTCCTGGTGCAAGGTTGTCCTACTTTTTGAGTAGCAAGGTCTTTTCACCCCTTTATGAGAATGGGCACACTCTGGATATCTATTTCTGAGAACTCTGACACTGGAGAGAAAACAATCAGTTGAGAGAAATCCCAGCTTGGATGGGCATTCACTGAACATCCCCTTGGAACATCAGCCTGCTCAAAATTTTAGGCATGACACCGTAAACCCTGCTATTTATATTGCACCAGATTCTGCAAATATCTTTAGTAACACTAAGCCCTCGGTTGTTTTAACTGCGTCTCTAATTATAACCTTTTTAATATTTACAGTGGTGTCATGCCATCCTGATTAAAGTGCCGTGGTGAGAGATGCTGTTGGCACCTAGTAGCAGCATTGCTGATGAGAAGGTGTCACTAAAGCTGACCTTCCATCACTTCTTAAGTGAGCCATCATTTAGGATGGACACAGAGGTACCAATGAGCCCCTGTTCTTGATCCCAGGATCCAAAACCTCTCAGGTGAGGCATCTCCTTGTGTGTTCTTCAGGAGCCAGCATGCTGTGTGATTCCTAGGGAGCCAGAGGAAGCCATGCTCTTGTGATGGCATATTTATTTCATTGGCCTCATGTCATTTGGTCTACCTGATCAGCAGCTGCTGTGAGTGTGCCTGAAAGAGTGGCAGGCTCTGCAAGAGCTCCGTCAGCAAGTAGAAATGCTAAATTATCTCATGTGTTTATCAAAGGTTTATTGAGCACCTTTTGTGGCAGAAACATGGGCTATAATAATAATGACCATTGATTGAATTTCTGGTGGGAGATGGGTACTGGTGGAGACCAGTTTGAGCTCATGATGTTTATTAGGAATCCACCTCTGAGAAGGGAGAGGCAGAGGCCAGAGTGACAAGAGGGACAAGTCGAGAGCTGATGCAGCTTCCACAAAACCTCGGCCAACCCAGCAGACAACTCTGGAGTGGATTTATCCAACAGAGATGATCCCTTTGGGCCCAAATTGCTGTGCTTCTGTACCCCACCTCACTCTGTCACCAGATGCAGGCTGTCCCAGGAAGGGTGACCTTGGCTGAAGCTGTAGCTGAGGCTGAGCCTGAAGGAACCGACAGCTGGGGGCTGTTTGCAAAGCCGTCTCCCTGAAGCTGGGCCTCAAGTCCTTCTTCGAGGTGAGGTTGGGGGCAGCACATCTCCATGGCATGCAGAGCTTGATGAGGAGCTTGAGTTTGACCTGACCCTGAAGGGCAAGTGGGGCTTTGGTAGGCAGAGAGGAGCAGGAAGAACTTGCCAGCTAAGCAAAACAGTGTGAACAAAGGTATGGAGGTAGAAAGAGAGGACTTTGTAAGGAAGTGCCAATATGGAAAACATTGCAGTGTGGACGCCTGGGCAGAGAGGCTGTCACCTTGAGAAATGGCCAGGGGCCACCTCTAGGGTGACCTTCTCTGGTGTTACTTTCTAGCTATCTTCTGAAGCCTGTCTTTCCTGCCCACTCTAAGGAAGTCAGGTCAACTTAGGGATGTGTCTTCCCAAGTGACCCCCATTGGCCTTTGTTGGTTGTCCTCCAAGTTATTGCCTTGGGCAACTGGGCAGATTATCTGCATCTTCTTGCACAGAGTATGGATTTTCAAGGCTCAGCTCATCCTTGACTAAGATTGAGGTGACTTCTAGGGCGGCTGACCGGGGCCTTGAGAATCTCCCTGGGCCCTTTCATTCATTTCTCTTCATGGGCTCTTTTGGGGTGGGTGCCAAGGATCTGGGTACAGCTTCCCTAACTCCCAAGCTTGGAGAGGCCACTCTAGCTCTTGGACTGGCATCTGGGCCAGAAGCTACCAGCTAGGCAACCCATATTTGCTGGGCATCTAATAGCCCCTCAGATGGTGAAAGGCTGGTCTTTGGCCTGGATGGCTTATCTGTTTCCTCAGACAGCTCCAGACTGAAGGGACTTCATAGGCAGTGACTCTGTTTAGTTTCACTGGTGGTCCAAGGGCCTCCTTAGCTAGGCCCTGGGGGAATCAGGGGCTGTAAGAGTGGGACACCGAACAGAAGTTTCATCTCATGGAGGCAGGATTTAGAAAGTGTAGATCTCTTTGAAGAGAGGTTTCAGGGAGAGAGGTTTCAGGGATTAGGGTCCAGCCAGCTCCCTCCCGATGCCAGCCTTACCTGCTAAGTGCCTTCTAAGCTTTCCCACTCACCCTGTCTGTGTTTCCAGCCTCTTGTGTTTATCTCTCTCTCCAGCCCACACTGCCTTTTGGCCGAAAAGGGCCATACCTTGAGTCCCTGTTGCATGAAGTTGGATTTCCTTTCATGTGTCCTCAGAGGCCCTGGCTTGGGTGTTGTCATGGCATTTTGTGATTTGATGGAGGAGGAGAGATAGAGCGGCCCCATCGCCTGTTTGCGCTAGCCTCTCTCAGCTTGACCGATGACTGTGATGACATCTGTGGACAGTAAGCAGGTCCCTGGTGGGATTGAGTTTCCTGAGCTATTCCATATCAGCATTCGAGAAGCCAGTACACTGGCTGCTAATTGTGCTAGCTTGTACCTGGGGCTGGGTTTGGGTTTCAGGTCCCTCCCTTCCTCCCTTTCTCCCAATGCTTGGTCTTATTAGGAAACATTGCATCGCTAAAATAACAATTACTCTACAGATAGAGTAATAGAAGTGTTCAAAGGTAGGGTTAATTAGAAACTTTCATTAAAGGACCTTGGACCTTGTTGCAATTGGTCATTCATTGATATTTTTCTGATCAACAAATCAACCATAGTTTCTTTTGAATAATTGCAAGATTTTTTTTATTTTTCATATGTGTGTGTGTGTGTGTGTGTGTGTGTGTGTCTGTGTATGTGCGTGTGAGAGAGAGAGAGAGAGAATATGGACGATGCAGAGGTGGATGGAGGATTATTTTCTGTTAAAATCCCCAGCGTGGCTCAGCTCACCTGTGGGGCCTGCCTCAGCTCTGCATGCCAGCTTTGGGCTGCCAGATAGTCTTGGAGCTTGCCTTATAGAAAGTGGGGATCCTAGCCCCATTTTTTTCCTGTGGCTTCCCTGGGTTTTTCTGAACATGAACAAACCTTGCTTTCCATCTCTAAACGCTGCTGGGTGGTCCTTGCCGTTGGGATTCTGGAATTCTGGCCCTGTCTGGGGTGAGCCTTGGGCATCTATCTCATAGGCACTCATGCAACCTCAGTTGGGTTGCTATAGAAACCAAATCTCATGGCCTGCTGGGGGCCTGTTTAGTTCTTTATGTCCTGCCTCTGTCTGGGGAGATAATGTGGATGGTGACACTGTTGTTCACTGCTCAAGTGGAGAATTCCCTCTATCACCCAACAAGGCTTTTCAAGGACCCAACCACAGAAGGGACTCGGTAACTCTTGGGTGTGTTTTTCCTCTTGCTCGGTGGGGGAATCCACCTTCAAAGAGGCTGCCCAGCTGCTCCCTGGGACTCAGCAGGTTCACTGGGGCTGGTGGTCCTCAAGTCTTTTTGAATGCCGGGGAAGTTCCCAGGACAATCTCCAGAGTGGTTAGGAGGCCTGGAATTGATAACCACCCTGAGGACAGCCCCCGTCTCAACATGGGAGACAAGAGAGGCATATGGCATGGCATTATAGCATTTTACAGCTCATGGACCAGCTGATAGGATAGTGAATATAATTGCCATGTGACAAACTAAAGTGGCTACAAGTGAGCTAACAGGTGTCGTTTCATTATTAATTTCAATCAAAGTCATTAGTTGCTATTTAGGGATCTGGCTGCTTGGCCACCTACACCGTACTTCATCTGGCTGCTACAGCTTTTGAAGAAGACAGAGAAAAGTTCTCTTTCTCTCCTCCTCCTTTCTTCATCCTTGGAGAATTTACTATGGCAAAACATTGGGTAAGTCTCTGGACTAAGTCTTTTCCCAGTGCAGGAGTCTGAACAAGTCACTGCAGTAATTTTGTATGCTGGCAAGCCCCAGCCCTATTAAGTAAGGTCCTGCAATGTGCTTGTCACCTTTCTAAATTAGAGCCTCATAGTCTCAAAACGGTCCTTTGCAGAAGGATTTCTTTTTTTAATGACTTAGCATACAGGTCAGTATCCCATGTGTACTTAGAAAGGATTTGTAATCTCTATTTCATATGCAGGAAGTCTCTCTCCCTTTTATAATTTTAATTTTATTTTTACTGATAAATAATAAATGTACATATGTACATGTGATATTTAATATAGTCATATAATTTGTAAAGGTCAAATCAGGGTTATTGGGATATCTATCATATTAAATATTTGTCTTTATGCTAGAAACCTTTGAATTATTCTCTTCTAGCTACTTTGAAATATATAATATTTTCTAAACTATAGTCACCCTACTGATCTATCAAACTCTAGGTCTTATTTCTGCAGAAGATATTTTTATTTTCATTTTAGCATTCAGTATTTCTTTATCACAAATCTATCCAAAGATTGTCTCCTTTGGTTCCATTTGAAAAGCAACCTAGAAAGCACTTTAGAGGTGGAGCTCAGATGTTGCCATTTCTGAATTAGAAATAATTTGGCTCAGAAAGGTTAAAGGAAACAGCACAGTTGACCTAGCTAGGAAGTGGCACAGCTAGGAATTGATCCCTGGCCTCTGATTCCAAAGCCCACTCCCTCCATGTTCCACGAGAGCCAATGCAGTGCCAGGCAGGGTAGATTCCTCGTGTGCTGGGGTCTCTGAACTTCATGAGGGGCTGCCATTCTCTCCAACTGGCAGCGTCTCACCCTGCCCTCCGTGTTCTCTGTGAAGCCTAGTCCAGCCATACTCCCAGCCTAAGAATAATTTTCCAAGTCATGACCACAACCCATGAATGCTCTGCAGATGCCCATGATGGGGGGATAGTGATGGATCTCAAGGAGGTTGGTGGCTATGCTAGACCATGAATGCAGGGCTTCTAGACAAACAGAAACCAGTCCCTGGCCTGCAGGAGTGTCCTGGAAGCCTGCCGGGACCACTGAGAAAAGCTTTCCATTGGGAAAACATATGTAGGCCCCTGGGAGGGACAGCCTTTCCCCCTCTTTTGGGAGCCAGTCTGGCCCCTCGTGGGATGATGGTGGCCCCCATGGGCTTTTTCTTTCACTTGATTTCCCTGTCTATGTGTGTGTACCCAGCCACCCTGGATCGTGGGTGTCACCATGGTATCCTGTCTCTGAGCAAACACATGAGCGAAAAAACAAACAAGCATTAGGAAGGAGGGCTCTCCCCCACACCTTGGCCACCTATGCGGAGTGAGGGACCCTGAGCCAGGTAGGAGGAGGGAAGGTGATGGAGATTAAACAGCAGGTGTCAGACAGTCAGGGAAATGCGTTTGGATTCACACTGGATGGTCAGGAGCCCCAGGTACCAAAGTCAAACATGCTGACTCCTGTGGCCACCTGGTCATTCCTCTTGGGTGTGAAGGAGGAGGAGGGGAGCGTGGAGAAACCAACAACTTAGCAAATGTGTGCTGAGTCCCATGCATATAGGTGATGGGAGTTGGACTCAGAGAAAAGCTGCCAGTAACACCCCTTAGCAAGCACTTGCTGTGTGCCAGGCTCTAGATGACAACCTTTACCTGCTCTCTCGATAGGTCCTCATAAGCAGTCCCTAGAGGTCAGTATCGTTATTGTGCCCATTGTACAGGTGGGGAAGCTGAGGCACTGAGCAATGAAACCTCTTGCCCATGATCTTACAACTAGTAAAGTAGCAGACCCAAGAGGCCAAGCCAGGCTCATCTGACTTCCATGCCAGGTCCCTGCTAAGATTAGGGGTAGGGAGAACAGCTTAGGAGCTGGGGCAGGAGAGTGCTTATGTGTGGAGTAGAGAAAGCCCATCCTAGATGGGGAGGTGGCGGGGGTCTAGGTGGCAAGGGGAACCCTGGGTGCCTGGCTTCCTCCTGCAGGCACTGGGAACATTTGCTCTGCTCACCTCCTGGCTCTGGATCCAGAGGAGTCCATTCCTCCAGGTGGCTGCTCTCGCCTGGGAATGGGGTGGGGGTGAGAGTGAAGGCTGAATGTGGGTGCAGTGAGTGGTAAGGTAGGAAAAGCTGTGGGTGGCTAGAGTGAGGTCTTGGCCCCATAGGCAAGGACATGCCTAAAGCAAACGGACCTTTCGAGTCTCCTGGGTGATCTCTTTCCTAAAACCCACCCTGACTCTAAGAACTGTGAGTGACCCCAGCACATCTCCTTGCTGGCGCAGTTGAGACAGGGCTGTCCCTAGCTCATCCAGGACAGTTCTGAAGCCGCCCTGAGGCTGTGGTGGCTCAGGTGGAAGACAATGGCCTGGAGGGAGGGAGTGAAATCCTACTCTCCAATCCTGCCAACTAGGGACCCTCTCTTTGTTTGCAAGACCAAAAAAAGAAGAAAAAAAAAAGATCTCAGGCTATTGTCCAATGCTTCTATTTATAGCTGCCAAATAATTAAGCGGATCAGCCCTTCCAGGATCAGAAGGGGCCATCTAGCTGGTGGACCATATGGTGAGTCTGCAGGGTCGCAGAGTGGTTAACAGGAGGGAAGAGAGGGGAGAGAGTTTGTAGAGCCTCTTGTTGATGTTCATGCTTCATTTCTTCTCAGTGTGTTTTTGGTCAACAGAAAGATTAAAAATAGCATTAAAAAATTCTGTTCTCTGGATATAACCCTGCGAGGGGGTGGGGGGACTTTGGATCATATTTACTTGCTTCCCTGATGACGCAGAGTGCCAAATTCTAAAGTCCTTAGGATGGAACCCAGCTGAAGACTTCCAGCTGAAGTATCCCCCTTCTTCCTTCTTTGGTCAGTCTCTGAGGAGTATCATGACCTTAACTTCTTGCTTTCCTCTGTCAAGACCCAAGGACTCCTTGGCCAACACTTTGGGGAATTTATTAATTTTCTCCCTGCACCCCTAGTGTATCCAGTGTGTCATCAGCAGACATTTGGGTCATGATGCTCCTCTACTCTACTGAAATTCCTCTATGACTCCCTATTACTTATAAGGCAAAGTTCAGACCCAGCCTCAGCTCACCCTTCCTGCACCCCTGAGCCATCTTCAGTCGTTCAGGGCCCTTCACCTTTCCAAACATGAGAGCTGGCCCTTTGAATTTTGATTCTTGGCCGGGCGCGGTGGCTCACGCCTGTAATCCCAGCACTTTGGGAGGTCAAGGAAGGTGGATCACGAGGTCAGGAGATCGAGACCACCCTGGCCAACACGGTGAAACCCCGTCTCTACTGAAAAAAAAACAGAAAAAATTAGCCAGGCATGGTGGCTGGCGCCTGCAGTCCCAGCCACTCGGAGGGCTGAGGCAGGAGAATGGCGTGAACCCGGGAGGCGGAGCTTGCAGTGAGCCAAGATCGTGCCACTGCACTCCAGCCTGGGCGACAGAATGAGACTCTGTCTCAAAAACAAAAACAAAAACAAAAAAAGAATTTTGATTCTTGCTGGAATGCTTTCTGCCCTACTCTCTCCTGTTCAAGTCCTGCTCACTCTGCAAAAGCCAGTGACATTTAACCTCCCAGGCTTCCTCCAACTCAGAATGAGCTCACGGTAGAGGGGTTTTTTTCCTCCCCTTTTCTGGACCGTTAGAGCAATTTTGTCTGAACACTTTCATTTGACAATTAATCATGTTCTCCCTGGCAGCATCTTTCCCACTATTATCTCAAAGAATTATTTAAATATTTTATCAGCATTTAAATCTTCACTTTTGTCTTGCTCCCTCCCCTGGACCGAGTCTTCCTGGAGGTCAGAGAGGGGGTCTTGGGCTTCTCTAGCAAGCAGCGTTTTGTGGTGGTCACCTGTGCAGGCTTCTGAAACTGTTGCCCATGTTTCACCCTTGCTCTGCCTCTTACTTAACCCTGTGGCCTTAGGAAAGTTTTAATTTCTCTCCTCCTGAGTTTTCTCACCTATAGAATGTGGATAAAAGTCACACCCACCTTGTAGAGTTGATGTCAGTATTAAAAACGTGCAAAGCGCTTAGACCAGGGCTCTGAGGTATCTGCTGAGCTCCTTAGTATGCCTCTTTCCCCTCCACCCAGCATCTGGCCCACTGTCTTGAACATAGGAGATGGCCAGAATTTGCTTGTTTTTTTTCCTTTGGTGTGGCGTCATTTGTAAAGCTCTGACCCAGAGAGGATAGGAAGGTTTCTTAAGGTCACATAGCAAGAAGTGGTGGAGAAGCTATGGTGTCAGAATTGAGAGTCCAGCACTCCCAGCCCCCGCCCTGGCCCCAAGGCCTTTCATAGGCAGCCCTCTTGCAGGGTCTTTACTGTGCGTGGGACACTGGAGAAAGCTGCTGTTTATGCTCGAACAACTTTTGCATGAATCAGATGGACTTGAAGATTGCCACCACTCTGCAGGACTCCAGGAGGACCATTCACATTGCATTCTGTGGGCATGGTATCCCCTTGAGGTGTACGAAGAGGCCCCAGGTGGGAAACCTCCCTGACAACCCTCCCATCCCACGAATGCAGCTAAAAGACACAGGAGGTATCAGGGCCACAGAGTGAGAATAAAATCCCACTGGAGCAGGTGAAAGGGCTCCGAAGATAGGTACCGCTGCCCTTTTCCGAGTACTGCCTCTCCTGCTGTCCCCTGGCCACTTTCAGAGAGCCCATGGGTTGACTTAGCCTTCAGGGTTTAGGGAGATATTTTGGGGTGGTGAGCTTTTCCCAAATACCCATCTCTCCCTGCTTTGAGCCAGGGGAGAAATCAGAGCTGGTTGGGATGTGTGTTGTGATGATGTGTGCAGATGTTCCTGGATCAACACTCTCCTTCCTGCCTGCCCCCTTCCCACCCCCATACTCCCCAGCCACAAAGGGAATGGGATGAGTGGGTTTCAGAAGAGGCCAAATTATTTCTAATTCAGAAATGGCAACATCTGGGCTCCACCTCTAACGTACTTTCTAGGTTGCTTTTCAGATGGAACCAAAGGAGACAATCTTTGGATAGATTTGTGATAGAGCAATACAGTAAAATTTAATGTTTATGGTATAATCTAGGTGATGGGATACAGGTATTGTCTGTGAAATCCTTTCAACCTGTTGTATGTTTGGAATCTTCTCTTCTCTTTTCTTTTCTTCTCTTCTCTTTTCTCTTCTCTTCTCTTCTCTTCTCTTCTCTTCTCTTCTCTTCTCTTCTCTTCTCTTCTCTTTTCTTTTCTTTCTTTTTTTGAGAGAGTCTCGCTCTGTCGCCCAGGCTGGAGTGCAGTGGCATGATCTGGGCTCGGCCTCGGCCTCCCGGGTTCAAGTCATTCTCCTGTTTCAGCCTCCCGAGTAGCTGGGACCACAGGCATGCACCATCACCCCGGCTAATTTTTGTATTTTTAGTGGAGATGGGGTTTCACCATGTTGGTCAGGCTGGTCTTGAACTCCTGACCTCAGGTGATCCACCCGTCTTGGCCTCCCAAAGTGCTGGGATTACAGGCATGAGCCACCTGGGCCACTACACTCGGCCTTGTTTGAAATTTTCTTAATAAAATGTTGTGGAGAGAAGGAATAAGGACTTTGTAGTAGCCAATCCTGGCTCTGCCCCTTTTTAGCTGTGTTACCTTGGGCAAATTACTTAATGTCTCTGAGCCTCAGTTTCCTCATTTGTAAAAATGGGGCCAATCTTACAACATATCATAGAGTAGTGAGATAATACATTTGAAGTACTTCTTTGTTTTTTTTTTTTTTTGAGACAGAGTTTCGCTCTTGTTGCCCAGGCTGGAGTGCAATGACACAATCTCGGCTCACTGCAGCCTCTGCCTCCCAGGTTCAAGCAATTCTCCTGCCTCAGCTTCCCAAGTAGCTGGGATTATAGGCATGCACCACCACGCCCGGCTAATTTTGTATTTTTAGTAGAGACGGGGTTTCTCCTAATTGAGGCTGGTCTCGAACTCCTGACCTCAGGTGATCTGCCCGCCTTGGCCTCCCAAAGTGTTGGAATTACAGATTCAGGCACTGTGCTTGGTACTACGTTTTTTAGAAACTGGATGCCAACAGAAAAATTAGAGCCCACATGAAAGTCTAGTTTTCTTCTGGTGTGGCGGCCCATGCTTCTAGTCCTAGCAACTTGGGAGGCTGAGGCGGGAGGATCACTTTGAGCCCAGGAGTCTAAAGCTGTAGTGAGCTATGATTGCACCACTTCACTCTAGGCAACACAGTGGGATCCCATCTCTAAAAACAAAAAAAATTAAAATTAAACCAAACATTTAAAAAAGTATAGATTCCCAACTTCTCTACACTGGCAGCATGGGGCCCAGCATTCACCTAGGTCTGGGTAGCAGCTGCACCCTTGGCCTCCGGGTGTGTGATTTCCAGGCCACCATAGGCTCTGATGGCCCATTCAGTTCTGTGATCCCAGCCTAACTCTTTAAAGCATTTGAGTTTGTCACTCCTGATCGCATGCAGCCTCTTACTTTAAGGAAGACGACCCGAGTCAGCCAGGTAAGGGATTTGCCTGAAATCATCTATTTTGTCCACAGAGCATGGTCCTGGCCCCGGTGCAGGCCTCCTGCCTCTGTATGTTGTGGCCTCTCTTTGTGGGTGACTAGCCCCTGCCATCAGAAGCCCATTAAGCTCTGTGAAATTCAGAAGCTTGGTCCAATGGGTCTTGGTTGTGGCTCTCAGGGGGCCTGGGGATAGGTTAGGAATGTATGTAACACTGTTTTATAAAATTATCACAAACCAAGTTCCCCTTGGTGACTTGTTCTGAATTTTCTATCCATGAATGTTTTTATATCTTTCTGCTCCAAAATTTTACCTGCTGTAAAACTATATAAGAACATTAAAAGACATTTACAAAAGCAGTCATAATCCCACCACCATAGCACAGCAGCTGTTCCTATCTTTGATTTTTAGAAATGCTTTCAATCACAGAAAAGGCTATTATTTTTATCCGGTGCCACTGACAGTATATTTTAACCGAACTTCCTGCCTCCCATCCTCCCACTCTCCCCTTCCTTTTTCTCCCTGTCTTGTGCTTTTCTTTACCCTCCATCCTTTCCCACCTATTGTCCACCAGGTACTACAATCCTTCCATCTTACATCCAGAGTTTCTGGAGGGTACAGCCACACAATGCTGCTCCGTGGCAGCCCTGGCCCACCCTAGGTAATGGAGTTCTGTGCTCTGTCTGGTGGTCAAGATAAATTCCAGATCCTGGGAGGCAGAGTGGGGAACACCAGGCATCAGCAATAAGCTAGACTTATGGCTCCAGGCTCTCTTTTCCCTCCACTAAAGTGGAACATTTTGGCTGAAGGAGTGTGTGTGTGTGTGTGTGTGTGTGTGTGTGTGTGTGTGTAAAGAAAGAAGACTGGAATAGTAGGACTTTAGGCACCAAGAATCCCCTCCCTTGCTAGCCTGGCATATTCAGATAATTTTCTTTTGATACCTCTGACCTGTAATAAATTTTAAGCTCCATATGGTCATCTTTACTGTGTATGGCATTCTTAGCATTTATGTATATTCATGTCAATAAATAGTTATTGCACTGTGTGCCAGAGGGGTATGTTTTAGTAGATGGTGATAACAAAATGCAAATGGCACTTCCTTAGGAAGTTCCATGTCATGTGCTGCTGGAAACAGCCCCTGCTTCTAGTGCTGTAGTACCTGTGTGACCTTGGCCAAATTACTTCACTTCTCTGTGCTGTTTCCTTTTCTGTATAATGGAGATTCTTAACCCTGCTGGGAGGATTAGTTAAATGAGATACTGTAAGTGAAGCATGTAGCACAAAGCTTGGCGAACCAATGGTGCAGAGATTCCAGTTCCCTCCCCTTCCTTTCTCTGCAAGTTTTCTTTAGTGCTTGCACTCCTGCCAAATGGTTAGTAATCTGTTAACAAACACTTAAGTCTTTAGGGGTGCTCAGACGACAAAGGGTTGCTTTTGGAGAGTGAAGAATCTTCTTGTAATATAAATAGTCAACTCCAATTCCAGTTTTAAAGTTTGGTACGCCTTGAATTCAACCTGTTAAGTTAGCCCAGCTCTATCTGGGGTTCTGGAAAAATCTATCCAAGCCTGATGTTGCTTGAGAGCAGGGCCTGGGTATGTGGCCTGTGAAGGCCAGCTTTGCTGTGATTTTCACCAATTTCCTTACAAACGGATTTTGGACCAGACTTGTGCAAGCTTCCCCCAGCAGGTCTTAGGAACATCTGGGGATCCAATTCAGCCTTTTCTGACGTTCTCTACGTGCAGGGCCTCCACCAAGTCATTGCCTTCATTTCTTAAGGGCCATTTGGCTGAACTTCACAAAGTGGTGGAAACACATATTGCACACACAGGTAGTCTAAGATCGGGAATAAAAAGATTACAAGTCCTCCCCTTTCATAGGCATCTGGGTCCCATGGTTCATCCAAAATGAAGACCTCTGAGCTCTGTCACTGCCAGGTGGATGGGTTGGGTACATTCCCTCCTCTCTCTCTGCTTTTCTGTCCTCATTTGTAACCCGAAGACCATAGGATATAATGAATCTGGGAGGGCCAGAAACTTTGGAAATCTAATTCAGTCAACAGACCTGTGTTGTTTAGGTGCTGTCTTTCTTCCATGCGCTTGATTTCTTTGACATTAAATAATCTGCTTATGGTGTTATAGGACCTGGATGTTGAAAGAAATGTTAAAGCTCATTTCAGCTTTATGGTTTCCCCACACCACAGGTGGTGTAGCAGATACCTTCTAGTGATATATGGACAGGACCCTGAGTCACCAAGGAGGGATTTAGTTCATTTCCAGTTTTCTTCCAGTCTTTCTAGTTATCTCAGGGAGAAAGTCTCGGTTTACTGTTTGAACATCTCTTAACCCTTGCCTGTCTCCCTTTTGAACAAAGGCACAGAACAGCCCCCATTGAGACTGCATGCAAACGGAGGCATCTACCTAGAATTTCATACCCTGGTTTTGTTTTGCATTTATTTTGAAAGTTTTCTTCTATTTTGTTTATTTTGAAGGTTATCTTCTATTTCTTCACTGGTGATACCAGTTTTTCACATGTGGTAATGTTACGGAGTATCCTTAAGATATATTTATTTAAGCTGGGTGCAGTGGCTCATTGCTGTAATCTCAGCACTTTGGGAGGCTGAGGCGGGAAGATCGCTTGAGCCTAGGAGTTTGAGGCCAGCCTAGGCAACAGAGGGAGACACCATCTCTACAAAAAATTAAAAAAAAAATAGCCAGGTGTGGTAGCACATGCCTGTAGTCCCAGCTTTTCAGGAGGCTGAAGTGGGAGGTTGAGCCTGCAGTGAGTTATGATCACACCACTGCCCTCCATCCTAGGAGGCAGAGTGAGACTCTCTCCCCAAAAAAGATATCTTTGTTTAGTTAAAAAATTTGACTCCATTGAAAGAAAAATGTTTAGTGAATAGCATAGGAGTCATGCAGCTAGGGCAGAAGTTGTGATGGGAGTATGTGAATAACACATTTAAGAAGCACTGATCCAGTCCTTCTTCTAGATTAGTCCAAAACCCGCTGACCTTGACTCCATTTCTGACCCCACCAGTGACAAATAACAAGGGGGAATCTCCCACTAGCCAAAAAACTCCTTGGAGGCAGGGGTGGTGTCTTTATCGTCCTTGTATTTCCAGTGCTCGACACCGGCACTTGGACGTATTCATCTATTTCACCCGTATTGATGGAGCACCTGTTCCTCAGCAGCTGTGTTCTGGGTTCGGGGGTCCTGTCGTGAGAGATGCCATGTGCAGCATTGAATATCTTCATACAAAAGAATGTATGTCAATCCATAATGGTCCAAGACATGCATCACGCTAATAGGGGAGCCTCTCGCTTAGGAGAGGGTTGAGCTGGTGCAGGCTGGCCTTGAGATGTGTGTCGGGAGACTGGTTCTCTCAGGGATGGTGTTCTTCCTGAACACGATCTTCCCTGTTCTGACCGCCAGCAGCTCCAGCCCACACTGTCCAGAACAAGATACCTCCTTTCCACAGGAACGAGACACACTTCCACAGCAGCAGGAAGAATGCCTGTTCTGGTGCAGTCTGATTTTCAAGCAGTTTGTTCTTCTACAGAGAAAATAGCCTAGAAGGTGAGAGGCAGGCCTGGCTGCAGATGTCTAGATGTGCCAAGGCCCCTTGCCAGTGGTCAGCAGGCTGTAGCGCTGGCCTGAGCTTGTAGTTAGTGGGGACTGTGGTTGGGGAAGCCGAAGGAAGCTTGAAGCTAGGTGGTGACGTTGAAGATAAATGTCCCGTGTGTTGAGTGAGGAAGGGACAACTCTGAGGTTGGGGCGTGTTGGTGACATAAAAAGTTTAACTGAGCTTCCTAAATGGGAGGCATTCTGTATTTGGCTGTGGCTTGATGGAATTGCAGTTACCCTTGTGGCGTGGGAATCAGCCTCGGGACCATTAGGATATTATGATACAGTCCCTTGGTGCCACTGATTGGCGGTGTCAAACTCATCTGTCAAAAAATGAAATCGATCAGCCAGGAAGGATGCTGGTGTTGAGGCTGACATACCTTTTGAGCATAATAACTACTGTGGCTTCCGGTGCTTTGACAAAACCTCAGATACATGGCCTTCTGGCTGAGCATCTGTGATTTCATATTGTTGGCGCATTTGTTATTTCCCTGGGGGTTGCAACCCTCTGTAACTTTGCTGTGGCTGAACTAAAAAAGAAGGCATACACGGATTCTACAGAAATTATGATTCTATGAAAGATTTTGAGGAGATGAGGTATCTTTCAGAGTGCAAAGTGATTTTGGAATATAAAGTATTCCTTTGGGAAGAATTACCTAGAGATTTGTCACTGACCTGTGTTCTTGAACTATAAAACATGAATATGTGGCTTAAGAAATAGTTTTTCTTAAGGCTGGGCACAGTGGCTCATGCCTGTAATCCCAGAATTTTGGGAGGCCAAGGTGGGCAGATCACTTGAGGCCAGAAGTTCAAGACCAGCCTGACCAACATGGTGAAACCCTGTCTCTACTAAAAATACAAAAATTAGCCAGATGTGGTGGTGTGCACCTGTAGTCCCAGCTACTCGGGAGGCTGAGGCGTGAGAATTGCTTGAACCCGGGAGGTGGATGTTGCAGTGAGCGGAGATCATAGCATTGCACTCCAGCCTGGGTAACAGAGTGAGACTCTGTCTCAAAATAAAAATAAAAATAAATAGTTTCTCTTGACAAATAAACAACAAATTTTTAAAAATGAAATCACCTTTGTTTTGAAAAATTGAAACTTACCTCATGACCATTGCCTGATTCCTGAGTCCTGCTCCTCTCTGAATATGAAGTTGCGGAGTCTTTTTAAATTCATGAACAGATATCCGTGATCTTTTCTCACCTTCAGGGAGGTTCAAGGCTCCCTAATCTCTACTCCATCCCAATCATGAACACTTCCACCCTCACTCAGTCCCTTCCCCCTCACCATTCATGACCCTCTCCTTCTTCCCTCCCTGCCCCTTCCCCCTCTGTAAGTCTCTCTCGCCCAGGTGTAGGATAAGAAAGTGTTTTGCAACCTGTTTGGTAGTTTTTTAAAAGTTGAAAGTTTAATGATTTGTTGTTGTTTTTTTTGAGTGGGACCAGAGTGTCCCAGCCTTAAATGGCTCTTTTGAAATGACAGTATGGAAGAAACACAACATTGAAAATGGGGACCTTTGAGATCTCTGCTGTCTGGGCCTGGCTCTGCCACCACTTCCTTGTGTGAGGGTGTATCTGGCCTTTCCCTTTCATGGGCCTCTGTTTCTCATTGACCATAGAAGGGATTTAGGTCCCTCATTTGAGTGAGTCTCTTCATTTCTGCATGCCAGTTGGCTTGTTGCTGTGACAGTGACTCCAAAGCTCATCTTCAGGCTTCTGCTTCTGAAGTTCATGAGTCTGACACTGGATGGCTGTACTTGGGTTCCACAGTTGTGAAATGGGGAAATAAGAGAAGCAGGATGACTGCTTGTTTTTGATGGATTTTACGAAGAGCATAACAGAGTAAGAGTAACAGGTGAGCAGGGCCTTCCCAGCCTCACGCAGTGCCTAGAATAGTGCTCATAAGTGACTGATTAAGTGAAGGAACATAAGGTGATTCTATGAGTTTTGTGCAAAGCAATCAAAAAGCCTCAAGGAGGCAAAGTCCCTTTGGCCTCTCATTAAGCACTACTTTATCCCAGTAACCCGAAGGTGCTCAGAAGGGGAAAGGAAAGGAGAGAGGTAGAGTGCAGCTGTGGCTCTGGGAGCCTGGAGTCCTGCAGGTGTGAGAGGCTTGCTGTATGCTTCTCCTGCCCCGAAGCTGAGCATCCCAACCTCCACACCCTTTGCTGTGAGCCTTTTTTTTTTTCAGAGATAGAGTCTTGCTCTGTCGCCAGGCTGGAGTGCAGTGGCACGATCTTGGCTCACTGCAACCTCTGCCTCCCGGGTCCAAGTGATTCCCGTGCCTCAACCTCCCGAGTAGCTGGGACTACAGGTGTGCACCACCACACCCGGCTAATTTTTTATATTTTAGAGATGGGGTTTCACCATGTTGGCCAGGATAGTCTCAATCTCCTAACCTCGTGATCCATCCGCATCGGCTTCCCAAAGTTTTGGGATTACAGGCGTGAGCCACCGCTCCCGGCCTTTTTTTTTTTTTTTTTTTTTTTTTTTTTTTTTTACAACAGACCAGACTTCAGGGGCATGCTGCAAATATCTAGCAGTTGCTGCTGCATTTGTGTTGCAGCTGCCCTAGGGCTGAGCCCTTAGTCTCAACTCAGTGGTCTGCAAGCTGCCTGTGTATTCTTTGGACTGGCTGGAGCCAAGGTAAACCAAGAGGGGGCCCCAGGTCTGCCCTCTGGCTGAGACTCTTGGCTGTTCCTGCATCCATACACTCTGCTTAGAATGTCATAAAAGGATTAGAGAAATCCCTAGGACACTGTTCTGTTCCCAGGGCTGAAAGAGGATTCCTGGAATACCAGAGGCCTCAAGGTATGATTACATTTCAATCCCCATGCAAAATTGTAGAATGTCATACCATCCAGTTTCTCTGTCAATATTAGTTCTATTGTTTGCAATCTGAGAATGGGAGCCAATCTATGGCCTCTCCAGTGCCTGCTTTTGGCAAGAGAGACCATCAAGAGACTGAATGACCAGTCACTGCATGTTTTCTACCTAGAATGATAGGAAACTGGTCCCTTGATGTACTGTCTTCAGGAGGGACATTGGGCTGGCTGATCTGAGCTGGAAATTGATCTTTTATCTTTCTGAACTGGCGCAAGTGAAGAGATGACAGTAGATGTGTCAGGGAAGCGGGGAGCTGCCATCCTAAAAGGAGTAGTTCCCTGCAGCCTGGAGAGGCCAGGGTAGAATATTTCCCAAGAAAATCATGAAGAGGACAGAGAGGATTGGGGAGGCTTTATTGTGTTGGTGACGATCTGTGAATTATAATCAAGGCATGTTGATGGACAAGTCCTTAGCATGTGTTGCCTAACAGTTTATTCCTTCCACCTAACTTAATGGAGGCCCACTCTGTGCTCGCCACAATACAAAGATGTATTGCATTGATACAAAGACGAATCAGCTTTAGTGATTCTCATGGGAGTTGTACTTATAGTAGATTAGCAGGTGCATGGACATGATGTAAGTGGATGGCGCCTCCTTGCACCCTCCCTTGTTATGACCACTGTGAGGTCCTTCTCAACTATGTCTGCAAAAAGTGCCTGCTTTGTCTGTTCTCCTGGGGAACAGAAATGCTGATGTTTCACTAGGCGTTGTTCCTAGGTGAGTATTCTGGATGGTGGTGGTGGAGCCTATAAACCAAAACATGTCTGAAAGAGTTCTCAATCAATTTAGAGGTTCATTTTGCCAAGGTTGAGGATGAGCCCAGGAAAAAGAGATAAAGGCTACAGTAGACTCTGTGGCCTGTGCTTTTTCCAAAGAGGGTTTTGAGAACTTCAGTATTTAAAGGCAGGAGAGTGGGAAGGAGCAAAAAGAGGGACACTCAATAGTGCATTCGGCTCCTGCTCAGTAAATCTTGTATTTTACATAAGATAAAGTAAACATAGAGTAGAGGAAGAAGAAGTCAGATCTGCATTTGTCTTGAGGTGGGCAGAGGGATGATTTCTAGTCTTGTCTTTGTCCCTTACCTGTGAAGATACATTGTCAGGGTGAGAGAGGCTACCTGGGGAGATAGGTGACCTTCTCTCTTGCAGCAATCTGTTTAGGAACAAAGAGAAAGCAGCTTTTGCATGACAAAGTTCACTCTTTCTTTTGGCATAGTGAGTTGAGGGTCCCAAGATTTTACTTTCCTTTCACAAACCAAATTGTGACATGGCTGTGAGAGGATGGTTTCTTGTATCTTGTATCTTCTTGAGGATTAATCTAAATCATTTGTGTAAGAGAAGGAGGTAGACTGGGAATCAGGACTTCAGCTTCTATGCATGGCTCTGACACTCATCTCTTAGTAGGATTTTGAACCCTGACTTGCTTATTGCTTCAGTTCCTCTTGTTCAATGGAAAGGTTGGGTTGCCTGATATATCATATATATACATATATGATAGATACATATTAACATATATATAAATCACAATATTCTTTGGAACAGGAACTCTGAAAGATGCAAATATAGGAATAAAGGGGTTTTGTTTGAGAAAGCTTGCAAGATGTTAGGTCAAACAAAACAATTAAATAGTGTTCTTCTTATTGCAGAACTTTTTAGGGCCTTTAATAGACTACTATGGGGAATTTCCAAAAGAGGGTACAATATGCAGTGATTCTCAAACTTAGTTGACCATAGAATACTTGTGTTGGGGAGAAGCTTATGAAATTAATATTCCTTGGAATTCTACTTTGGGAATTGTAAGGGTAGACCAGCGATGTTCAAATGGTGGCGATTTTGCCCTCGAGGGGACGTTTGGCCATGTTGGGAGACATTTTAGTTGTCACAATTAAGGATGGGGGTGGAATGGAGGAGAATAGCTACTGGATAGATGCCAGGGATGCTGCCAAACCTCCTGCAATATACAGGACAGCCTCCCACAACAAAAAGTTTATCCATCTAGCCAAAGTGACAATTGTGCTGAGGTTGAGAAACCCTGAACTTAAAACCCCCTTCTGTTCCTGGCTCTAACACTTGGGGGATTAGGTGGTTTGGTGACCCTTCCGAACTTGGCATACCAGTTCACCCTCAGGCATCTTTGGCTCTTGAACTGTATATTATTCTCTAGAAGGCAGGAGAGGTGAGGCCTTTCATACTCATCCCTGCAGACCTGCACATTTCTGGCACCAGACCCATATATCTATATATCTATATATTCATTTACCACAGCCCAGCATTCCTGGCAGCCTGAGAGCTGGTGGCTAGTTGAGAAGAACATTTAGTCTCCCTTTCCTGGGTCTTGTTTCCACCCCTAGTGGCCAAGCTGGGGCAGCTCGCTTTGCTCTGTGGTCTGACAAACTTGGATTTCAAAACCCACTGCCTGCCAGGAGCAGTTCCCGCAGACAGAGCTCAGATTCCAAGAAGACTATCTGGCTCTTAGAGATCCATCATCTTTATGAAGTTTTAAAATCACAGATGGTTTTTATGGATATTCAAGGTATTCCAGCCTTTCATGTTTTCTCTTCATCCCTCTTTCTTCCCCAATCACACATTTTTCTCCAGTAACCAAAACACAATAGGTAATGGAAATTCCATTACAGGCTGACCCACAGAGACTGCATGGGACCAATGCAATTATGTCTGGAGCAAAGCACTGTCATGACTAATTAGCCTCTCACATAAATGAATTTTCCTATGGATAACTTCAGAAAAATCAGCCTGCAAAACACACTCCTTATTAGTTTTCCTTCCTTCTCTGGGCTTCGGAGTTAGGCTTTCCCTAAGGATTCTCTCCACCACTGGGCCACGTGAACAGTCTAGCCCATGGTGGAAATCCATTTTCTGCTTGCTCTTCACCCCCTCAGTCCTGTGCTTAGTTTCATTAGAGACTAAGTCTCATCAGAGACCTCGTTATTTTTAGGGTGATGAGCTATTTATTGAGCAACTTGCTTCTCTCTTGGAAGGCAACATAGGCAGTGATGAGCAGGGGCTCTGTCACCCCAGCTCTGCACTGACAGTAACTTTGGGGGAACCTTGGAGAAGCCACATTGGGACCTCCTGGTTTTGTCTTCCCACCTGTAGAGAGGGGCATTGTCCTTGATCTAGAGATATCAGCTGTGATTGAATGAGTGTAATTCACGGAGCAGACTTTATTGGCCACTGAATTTAGAAGGGATTATAAAACACATCTTCCTTCAAAAGGATGCTTAGAGCTGGGCATGGTGGCTCACACCTGTAATCCCAGCACTTTGGGAGGCCGAGGCAGGTGGATTACAAGGTCAGGAGATCAAGACCATCCTGGCCAACATGGTGAAACCCTGTCTCTACTAAAAATACAAAAATTAGCCAGGCGTGGTGGCATGCACCTGTAGTCCCAGCTACTCGGGAAGCTGAGGCAGGAGAATTGCTTGAACGTGGGAGGTGGAGGTTGCAGCAGTGAGCCGAGATCATGCCACTGCACTCCAGCCTGGGTGACAGAGCGAGACTCCATCTCAATAAATAAATAAATAAATAAATAAATAAATAAATAAATAAATAAATGAATGGATGGATGCTCAGGATTGGATGACTTATTGGGCAAAAGCCTGGGCCCTTGCTTAATTGGTTCAGACATTTGTTGAGTGTTACCTATGTGCTAGGAAGTACTGCTATTTCTTCTGAAGGTTGTAGAATCTCTAAATATAGAGACAAAAAGAGAGGGGAGGGAAGGCCCTTGTGAGGTGTTAGCAAAGACCTCCCACCACCACTGACTGGCACTGATTCAGTATCTGTATCTGGGTGCTGTGCCAAGTCATCTCCACATCTCAGCTAACACCCTCTGTGGTGCATATTGATAGTGCCCCCTTCCAGGGGAGGGCACTGAAGCTCACAGAGGTTAAGAACCCGTCCAATAACATCTGAGTTAGTAACTAGCAGAGGTGAGATTTGAGCTCAGTTCTATCATACTCTAAAGCAAGCCTCTTCACTCTGTGTCTGCTGTGAGCATTGTTTTGAATGGGTCCTTGATTCCCAGCCTGTATTGACTTTCCACTGCCTGGGTGCTCCAGCCAGGCTCAGGGCTCTGGGGAATATATAAGTGACCATCTGGGCTGGGACAGCACCATGATGCTGATGTGCACCAGGAAGGGCTGCCTTTGGGAAGAATTGCTGTGCACTGCACTCAGAAATTGCATGTGCTAGATGTTGGAGCTGAACTCCCCTAAGAGGAATTTTCTAAGTGGATTATGAAATCAATTTAGTGAGTTGTAATCAATGTTAAAAAATACAGGATATCAAAGTACATTCCATGTAATAGTGTAGGTATTGTTTCATGAATCCTGTGTTGCAATTACTTGTATAGTAGGTATGTGTGGGTCACGATGTAAAATGTATTTCTTACTTTGGGTCCAGGTCACAAGTTGGAAAGCGTGGCCCTGGAAGGAGGTGGGGCATGCAGCAGTGCTGCAGAGGGAGGTGTGCAGGCTTTGCCCTTTAAGGCTCTGCTGGGGATGCCTTGAAGAAGGCAGAGGGCACAGCAAGTCCTGGCAAGTGGGTCAGCAAACTCACTCTGACTGGCTCTATGAAGTGCTGCAGGGGCTTCAGAGATGTTATAGGGGAGGCCCCTACCATTTGTCAAGAAAGTGGGAGAGAGACTAGCTCTGCTCCGCAAGACAAGAGACTATAATAGTCAACATCTACAAGAATAATAACAGCAGCACACTGTATCCATCTTTAACTAACACGAACTCTAGCGCAGACTGTCTGGATTTATATCCCAGCTCAACCTCTTATAACTGTGTGACCTCGAGTCGTTCACCTAACCCCTCATGCCTATTTTCCTCATCCGTAAAATGGGCATAATAATAGTACATACTACATAAACTTGTTGTGAGGATTCAATGAGTTACTATTTAGGGAGTGCTCAGAACCATACCCAGTAGACAGTCATCATATATACATGTCTGTTATATACAAAAAAAAGTCATATAAGCTTTATATGAGTGCCCAATAGAAAGCTTTACCAAGGCAAGACTTGAAGCAGGCCTTGAAGATTACTCCATTGGATCTTCTTCTTTTCATCTCTGTCATCAATAACTGTTTATTTCAGGGGCCATAAATATGTTCCAGACACTGCAGAGTCCTTCACGTATGTCCTACAGTCTGGTGAAGTGGGACTCATATGCTCATTTTACAGATGAGGAATGAATATTTAAAGAGAGTCCAAGCCAGGCCCCGATTATTCTGGCTGTGTAGTCTGTACTCTTGAATCAGACGACACAGTCCCTCTTTGGCCTGCCATCTGTGTTGTACTGGGGTCTGGAGATGGTTGGTGTCCTGTTCTGCCCCTTGCTTAGCTTATCCTCTCTCAGCCTCAGAAACCAAGGCCCTGTGTGGACAGAAAGCACCGCGATGAACACAGGTGCCTATTTGAAGTGCTCTGTTGTCCCAGACTGGAGGCCAGCAGACTCCTAAGCAGGATGTGTCACCTAGCAGAGACCCATGCATTTTTAAATGTCCTCCTGCCTTTGGAGACAGGTCCTGAAAAAATACCAGAATCATTAGGACTCTTAGTCATCCAGTTCAGCCTTGGGGAGCTGAGTATCACAGCCCTGTTGTCAGCAGCAGAAGTCCTGCCACCTGGACAAGGCTGGGAAGGCAGCCCACATTGCCGCACCAGGGAGACCCCAAGACCAATGCCTCTGGGGTCGATGTGGGATGATTGGTGGTTGACTGATGGCAATAAATGAGGACAAGGAGAAGGCAGGGCCCCTCAGCTGCATGCCATGGGCAGGTTTCAACAGAGTGTGGGCTACATGTCCAGATCTCACCCAAGCACTGTGGACAAACATGAAGGAGAAGGCAGGGCTGCTGCCCACATGGGGAGTCTCATCTATTTGGGGAGATACCAGTGCTCAGAAGCCTAAATTCAAGTGCTGCAGGAATCCAGGGAGGGGGCATTTAGGGAAACTGGGGTGGTTGTGTAAAACTTCCCCCAAAAGAGAAAATTCAGGTGAGGGTAACCAAGATTTGGAGTGACTACAATGTTAAATAAATCGGGGCAATGTGTTTATAGATAATGTGCTCTCCTTCTGCAAGCTGCCACCAGCCTGCCAATACTTATATCCTCATCCATCCATCCATCCATCCATCCATCCATCCATCCATCCATCCACTCATCCATCCATCCATCCATCCACTCATCCATCCACCCATCCATCCACCCATCCATCCATTCATTTATTCAGCACATACCTCCCAGGTGCCTGCCCTGGCCCAGGCCCAGTGCTAGGCCCTGTGTAGACAACGAGCACAGTTGCATGCTGCCTCTCCTTCCTGCTCATGGTCTAGTGTGGGAGACCAGCATTGAACAAATAAATCAGCAAATAGCTGTGAAATTAAAATCACAGTGAGTCCAACAAAGGAAATGAATGGGTTGTGATGAGAAAGAACAAGGGGGCCCTAATTTGGACTGAACCAGGCTGAGTGCATCTGTCAAAATCATGCCTATCCTTTGAGGCTCAGCAGAAATACCACCACCTTCATTAAATCAGTCTGTTCCTGCCATTTAACAGGTCCTCTGCCATACTCTCTTCCTCCCTGGTGTCATATTCTACCTTGATTTAGTTTTGGGTACTTGTCTGTTTCCCCTGAGAGATCTTCAACTCCTGGAAGGAGAGATTGTATTTTTTTTTTTGTCTGAGAACCTGTTGTGAGTAATCCTCTCTCAGAGATGCCCAGGTGAATTGTTGAATGAATGAATGAATGAATGAATGAACACAGATCTTCATTCCTAGCCCCAGGCTTCCACTATGGGTATATAGCAGTCCCTGTGGTGAGAGCACCAGCTCCAGAATCAGCTGCTTACTGACTTTGTGACTGTGGGCAGGTGCCTTGACCTCTCTGAGCCTTCATTTGCCATATGGGGGCAGTGCTATAAATAGTTGTAAGGATGGAAAAGATTAGGGCATGTGCATTACTTAGATTCATACTTGGCATATAATGCTTTATAAGTTAGAAGGAATGTGCTAGACACATCCAACAACTCTCAGAATCCTCACAAATCTGCTGCAAAGCACTTATAATTATTCCTGTATTATAGCTCAGAAACCTGAGGTTTCAAAGGATTAACTAACCTGCTGTAGTTTGCAGAATAAATTAGATTTTAACACAAAGCAAAACAAACCAACAAAACAAGGCCAATATGCAAACCTGGGATTGTCTGACTCCAAAAGCTTGTCTTCCTTGACAGTGTCCCATTCCTCTGCCAAGCTGAATTCTCACCTCTGCAGACAGAGGCTGAGATGTTTGCATTTTGGAAGCTCACCGCCTGGCCAAAGGCTAACATATTGTTCATGGATGGACTGGACATTTGAAATTACATGCTGGCCTTGGGAGGGAAGAGAGAAGGAATGCTTGACTTCCACGGGGTGCCTCTGCCTTACCCATCTCAAAGAATCAGACCCCTCTCTCATTTTTCAAGGGCCTTGGGGTGAGCATCCTAAAAGTCTCACAGTCTGTTGCAGCAGAAAGCGTGGCTTTGTCCCCCCTATAAAACATCTGGAGATTTTCAAGTTTGTGCAGACCCCATGTGAGCAGCCAGCCCTGGGTTGGCATGGATTGGAGAGGCAGAGAAGGCATTCACTTGGCTCTGATTTTTCATCCTGTGGCCTCAGAGCTTCAGAATACAGAGTCCCTACCCCTGGTGTCTCCTTCCTCTCCATCCACCATGACAAGCTGTGTCCACATTCTCTTTTTGGCTCTTTCCTAAGGTATCGGGCACAGGACTATGTCTGCCCAAGAATAAAAATTATACCCCTTATATTTCCAAAAGGAGAGGCATATAATTTATGACTAAAACTGGGGTACTCTGACTGAAAATATCTACTGCTTAGCCGTTTCTATGTCGATTAGAGAAGGTGTTTATAGCTCAGAACTAGAGGAGAAGAAACCATTTCTTTGTCACTGAGAAACTCCTTGCCAGGGTCTCTCAGTGAGAAACAGGACATGTGGAGCCCAAGATAGGGCAAAGCCAAGTCTCCTTATCTTATTTAGTGACATTTTTTTAAGAGTAAAAAATAATCACATGCTTTTTGCCAAATCCAGCCCTAAGGCATGGATCCAACAAAACATCACATTAATTAGATAATCTAATTTCCAAAAACAGACCCCAGCGCAGACACCCACTGTCTAGCAGTGATGACAAAGGGAACAGACAGCTGACATCGTGGCTTCCTCCTTCAGAGTTCATGTGGACACCTACCAAGAATAAGGCCTTGGCCAGAGCTTTATCTGTCCTTGGACTAGAATGTTTCTTAGTGATGCCATAACAACGGGGTTGACTTAAAACAATGTTAATTTATTGTCTCACAGTTCAGAAGGCTGGAAGGCTTAAATCAAGATGTCAGCAGGGCCAGCCTCCCTCTGAAGCCTGTAGGGTTTCTCCTTCCTTGCATCTTCCGTGTTTCTGCTGGTGGCTGGCAGTCTTTGACTTGCAGCCACCACTCCAGTCTCTGCTTCTTTGGTCATGGGGCGTTCTCCCTATGTGTGTCTCTTTCCTCCTCTCCTAGGGACACCAGTCATATTGGATTAGGAGCTCACCCTACTCCAGTATGACCTCATTTTAACTTGATTACATCTGCAAAGACCTTCTTTCCAAATAAGGCTTACCTTCACAGGAACTGGGGATTACTATTGAAACAAATCTTTTGGAAAAAAACACTGCAACCCATTACAGGTGCCTAAGACTAGAAAGATGGGTCAGAGCTGCTACTGCCAGTGTGAGAAAGTGGACAAGTTGGAGTTCACCTGGGAATAAGATCCTTGGATGGAGGAGCAAACTCCAGCTAGAGGACCGAAGCCTTGAAATCATTTATTCTGCAGATCAGTGTTTCTCAAAACGGGGTTCCCCTAGCCATCAGCATTAGCGTCAGCTGAGAAACATGTAAGGCATGTAAATTCTTATGCTCCAACCTAAGCCTACTGAATTGGAAACTCTGGGCTGGGGTAGTTTCTTATTTTAATAAGCCTTCCTGGTGACTCTGATGCACACTAAAGTTTGAGACCCATTCCTCTAAATTCTGCCGTCTCTCCTCACTGCATCACTTTTCAGTGGGGCTGCCCTTGGACACTGGCAGATATTTTGGGTTAAAGAAGAAAGTTATTTGGTCAAAATGAGTGTGGGCAGCATTGTATTGGTCTATGTTGAACAGGTTCCTTGACTGAAGGCTATCTCTGAGCTTTTGCTATGCTGTATGCAGTGAGCATTGAACATTTGTTAGAAGAGGAATGATGGCATTTCCAGATTTCACTGCAAAGAGAAGTGTCCCTTTTGTATGGAGTTTCCCATCAGACTGGTGTTCCGTGAATTTACACTGGGAAACATGGCTCTAGTCCACATATCAAGGCATTCAGTGAATTTTTATGAACCGCCTTGTGAGAACAAGACACTGTGCTGGAGAGATACATCTGTGAACAAGACGTGGCTTCCGTCTCTAGGAAACTGATAGTCTAGTGCAGGAGCTGGCACACCACAGGCTGTGGGCCAAGTCTGGCCTGCCATCTGTTTTTGTATGGCCCATTAGCTAAGAATGGTTTTCACATTTTTAAATAGTTGAACAAAAATTTTAAATGAAGAATATTTCATGAAACATGAAATGGTATGAAATTCTGATTTCAATGTCTCTAAATAAAATTCCGCTGGAATACAACCACACTCCTTTGTTTATATATTGTCTAAGGCCACTTTTGCCCCCCAGCAACAGAGCTGAATAGTTGCAACAGAGACCATATGCTAAAGCCTAAAATATTTCCTATCTGGCCCTTTACAGAAACAATTTGCCCACCTCTAGTCTAGTGAAGCAAAGAGGCCCTGAACAAGTACTTGCAAATGCCTTGAGTGTTATGAAGGAGCAGTGCAAAGACCACATGATTGGAAGGTTTTATTGACTGATAGCAATGGTGGTGGTGGAGTGGAGGTGGAGGGTGAGTTAGGAAAGGCTTCCTGGGGAGAGATCTTAAATATGAGTAGGACATCTGGAATATGACTGTGTGAAGAAGGTTGTTACAGGAAAAGGAAACCTAGGACATGCAGATCCCTGAATTAGAAAAGAGGAGTGCTCATTGAAGGAATGCAAGAATGTCCAGTATTGCTGTGGATTAAGGGAGGTGAGGCCAAGAGTATTTCAGTATGTGGCCAGATGCCTGGCAAAGGCCAGATGTGCCAGAGCATCTTCGACGGCCATGCTGAGGGCCTTAACTTTTGCCTAAGAGCAAGGGGGAGTCCCTGAGAAGAGTTTAAGCACAGGCATGATGTGACTGATAGAAACCTTGTGGTATCTCTCTGGCTTCAGTGTGGAGAATGAGGGGCAGAACTAAGTGGGAATTGTACCATTGCATGATACAATGTAAATGATTATGAAGCTTAGGAGTCAACCAGGGGAGAGAAGCTGAGATGGAGAGAAGTGGGTAGATTTGAAAGGTGAAGGTTCTCTGTGATGCTTGGCCTCCCTCCTGCCAGGCCCTTTGTGTTCTCTGACAACCTAAAGAACCTTCCTTCCTGGTTACTGGGTCTGTGCTCTTGGACCCTGATATATTAATAAATATTGATTGTTTGTTGCACACCTGCTACAAATCCACCAGGCCCAGTGCTAGATGCTATGAAATATAAGAATTAATAAGCCCTGGCTCCTGACCTCAGGTTCTTAGCCGGGAGACTGATGGATGTAGCCACTGGACTAGAATGTAATGAGGACTGATAAGCAGAGAAACAAGTGATATCTGAGGGGACTGATACCTGAAAGGAAGTATTGAGCAAACAGCCCTGGAGACGTTAGCTCTACTGAAGAGGTCTGGAGAGGCTTCATGGCAGAGGCAGCGTTTAGGCTTTCTCTTAAACAATGTGTAGGATTTGGGAAGGAGAACAGTGGTCATTAATCCAACATGAGCACAATGACAGGTCTATTAACAGCCTCCGGTGGGTGCAGGGGAGGCTAGGGGAGCCATGTGGCTGGCATGAGCCATCAGTGGAGGCTTACAGAGAGCAAAGAGGTGCTCCTGTTTTGGAAACTCAATCTAGACTCCTGATTGCTTCATGTGCCTGACAGTTCAGTGAAGGCTGTGCTGGGACCATGAGTTACCCTCAGCAGTGGATCAGCAGGGCAGCAGAAGACCCACTCTTTCACTGATGGCCAGGGCCCTGCGTACCCCAATTCACTTCAGGCCCTTCCAAGGCAGGTACAAATCATGAATCACATTCCCCTCTCTATGACTTTGTTTATAGGCAGAGCTCTAAAGCTGGGATAACAGCAAACTGCATCAACAAGTTCTCTGGGGCCTCTAGCCCATTGATCCTATGACTTGTTGTGATTGCCCCTGACCTCTTCACTTTCTTCTTCAGTTTGGTGCTTTGGCCACTGGGACCAATGACTTCCACTGAAGTTTTCTGGTTCTCAGTCCTGCTTTCCAGGGCTGTGACACAGGGTGATTTGCAGACTGATTTCTGTCCTGTGCCAGAAGATACTTAATAAATGCTGGCAATGACGATGGGTCCCTGAAGAGCAGTTTGCCCAATTTATTTTTTAAAGACTTTAAAAAAATAGTATAGACAGAAAAGTCTATAAAATGAAAAATTACAAAATAGCAAATTATTATAGAAAATTTGTGTCACTACCACTGAGTTCAAAAAATAAAATACTGTCGGTATCCCCAGAAGCTTCCCTGACCATCCCTTCTCCTTGGCTGGCGTCTCACCTTTGACGTCTCAAGTTCAAGAAATCTGAGTAACAACTCTTTCTGCCTAGCTTCTAGTAAGAAAAACAGCTGCAAAAGGAGAAAAACAAAACAAAACAAAACAAAGAGACTTGGGATTCAGGTAACCACCTGACCTTTCTTCCGGATCTGCTCCTCCAAAAAAGGTCTCCATCCCTGTCAGTGCTAAGGGCTGGATGGTTAGTTGTTATGGAGACGTGGGGCGTCTTTCCAAGACGCCAGCAAAGTTGATGCCTGCAGCGCTCTGGCAGGTCCCTCTGCTCTGCAGGGCTCTTCTCTCCTTGCAGTTGGCAGATCCTTATAATAAGAGACTTCTGAGATGTAAAAGGAACTCTCCCCTCATGTGACCTTCATGCCAGTCCCCCTGGTGCCACCCCACCTCAGTGCAGTAGCTGAGCAGTAACAGAGGGACAGCCAGTTTCCCTCTGTCCAGGGGAGATTGTGGGTCTTCAGGTGAGAGTGTGGCGGCACTAACAACAGCCTAGTCACAATTCATTAGTAAACTTGGCATTCAGGTTACTGACATTTTTGCAAACTGCACTTTCTAACAATTACCCTCTGGTTAAAATCTGTATTTGTAGAAGGAGGCCAGTCTGAAAAGGAATGAGGGGAAGAACGACTTCCCCTGGAGAAGTCTGAATGAGGTGGCCCTCTCTTCTAAAAGAAAGGTGTGTGCCTTTTGAGATTTCAATTATTGAGCCACTTCCATCGGGAGCTCTTCAATTATTTATACTGGGTGTGTTGCAAGTAGATTCACCAATTTAGAAAGTTGGGGGAAAGAGGGGACATGGTAGGAGGGAGGCCCCCGTGGATGCAAGTGTGTGGGCAAGTCCTTTTGGCTTCCTCTTGGCTCTTTTTCTGGATCCAACTTCATCGTAGGGCTGGACCAGCCACTTTGTCAAGGGTATCCTCCTCACTGAGGTCTGGAGATGGGGACAGGGTGTGGATGCCCCTGGGTGTAGGGAACCGACACTTCCAGACACTCGGTGAGCTCTGTCTGGGTGGAAAACCTCATCAGAAGCCAGATTGAATCACACCAGTTTCTAAGACATTCCTCAACCATGTTAGGCAAAAGAGTCCCCCACTGACAAGCTGGGGTAGAAGGAAACCTGATATAATTTTGGAAAAAAACCTTACTTGAGAAAGAAGGTTCTCACAGCTGCCGAGTCTCTCTCGACGTCCAGGGTTGGAGGGGTCCCAGGCCATGGAGAGAAGATTGATGGGTCTAGCGGAGCCAAGTAGAGAGTTGAGGCTTTGCAGGGCCAGGCGCTTGCCATCCTTAACTCCCATTAGGGATCGAGAAGGAAAAGGAGAAGGAGTTCTCTGAATCCAATGGAAAAAGAAGTCCTGTCTCCTTTCCCTGGGCTGTTGAATTGTTTTTATTTCACATTAGCAACTGCTCTGGACTCTCTTGTGTTTGGCTGCTGTGTTGGAGACCTAGATCCAAACTAGGGTGTGTGGGAACCCAGGGACATAGAGGCTGAAGTTTTGGAACCCAGCCAGTTCTTCCAAGGGGTGAGGTCAGAGGCAGAGTCCAGGGAGCAGGGCAGCTCTGGGAGCCTGGTTCCTCAGGCTGGGCTGTGCTCGGAGCGGTAGATCCTGACTGCCGCTGTATGCCTGGTAACCTGGCCATCTTTCTGCCTCCCAAAGTCTGTCTGTCTTGCTAGCCCTTGGTTTCCTGAATGGGGATCATCTTAAGTGTGGGGAAAGGCTGTCTGACGACCTAATTGGGACAGCTCTTTTGACCCGAAGCCAAGCCCCATCCAAGTTCAGCAAATGGAAGAAGCGGGAACATGTTCAGTTGGTGAGGTCTATAGGCACAGACTGGATTAGGTCCTAAATCATGGTGGAAATTTTCCTGGCACGGGACAAATCCTTTTGTAAACAAGAACATTCATCTTTCTTTTGACTGACATGCCTGGTAGGGCATGTGCCTCTCAGAAGCTCCATGTCATCTGATCTCATTTGGGATTTAGTGTTTTTATTTGAAAATGTAGCTGCCCTGAGGAACAGCAGTTAGGAGCCAACCCCCAGTTTAAGCTTCAAGTCATGGAAACTGGCCTGGTTTACCCAGACGTCAGTGATGCCTGGGAAAGCTCTTGCTTTTCCAGTGCCCACTGAGCAGAGATTTAATTTACTCAATCGGTACGTGTCTGTTAAGCACATTGCTGTATGCCAAACACTTTGGGCATAAAAGGTATATAGGCCTTGCCTTCAAGGATTGTCCAGGCTAACTGGGGCAATGCAACATGCATGGACCAAAAGACAGCTAAGTACCTGTCCCATGTGGAATTGGGGGAGCAGATGTGGGCCCTGGAGACAGGACAGGGAGAGCTTTGGGGAGATCTAGCCAGGAAGGAGAACTTCACTGCACCTCTGGGATTTGATCAGGGAGGATGAAGATGGTTGGGGAGCAATGGGGAGAGCATCCCAGGAGTGGGAACAGCCAGCACGGAGGTGTGGCAGTCAGGAGGACCAAGTCATAGCCGAGAAGTCAGGTGGAAGAGCAGGTCAGTGACGAGTGGGGAGGGCAGCCGGCAGCCTCAGCTCCAGGCCTTGAAGATCAGGCCTTGAGGAGTTTGACTTCTATGCTTAGGGCATTGTGGACTTGGCAGGATTTTTGAGATTCCAGAAGATATGAGCGAAGAGTGAAAACAAAGCAGGACAGAACAAAAAACAGAATTTCTTCATTTATTATTTCAGTGCACTGTGAAATGCTCACCGTGTGCTAGGTGCTGTTCAGGCTTTGAGGATGTGGAGTGGGCAAATCAGGCAGACTCTGCCCTGACTGCTAGAGAATAAGCACACGTGTGTGATGAAGGTGGTAGTGGTGGGAAGCAAAGAACAGCAGCGAAGGGGATGACCGTGTTCCCTTCCGTGTGGGGCACTGGGCTGTGACTTACATTGCTCTCGGGTTACTCATCTTTTTACTCCAAATTGCTTGGAGTCCTCTGTTGACTCTGAAGGGAATATTCAACCATAAACAATTCATCCTATCTGCTATCTGTGGTTGAATTCTTTCTTCCCAGTTGCCCCTTGGGTGGTGGCTTGGGGCCACGGTAACACTTGTAGTATTTCCCGGGAGGTTGTTATAGTTCTGTGCATTTCCTGCAGTAGTGGTAGTGAAGGCATTAGATGCCAGGAACTCAGGCGGTTGGTATGGCCCTGAGCTCTGAAAATGCTTGCCTTCCCCTTTCCCCTATTGTGTGGGCCAGCAGCTTGCAGAGCTCCTCCAGCCCTGAGAGACCATGCCTCCATCCCTCAGACCCTACCTTTCCTGGCCCCAAGGCTGCCTCTGGCTAGTGTGACAGACACACCCTGGGCCCCTGAAGTCTGAAAGCCACATTTTTCGAGGGGAACCTGGCCACTATGAGTGTGGAATATTGGGGCCTTAAATTTCCTGCCTGTAGAATGAGGCATTTGGGCTAGGGGAGTGGTTCCTAGACTTTTTGTGGGATAATCAATGAATTTTTATAAAACAGAATATCACAAGGCCACCAGCTTTTTATTTTGACAAGCAAAAACATAAAAAAAGAAACTGTCAAATGCCAGCTCTGCCACCATTGTCATTTCATTAAAAGGACATGTTAATACCCAACAAAGGAGTAACGATATAATGTCAAAGAAAAGGACAGTTCTTCCTGGGAGAGGCCCTTCATCAGTTGTCTTCCACTGACACACACAGTGCGCTGTACTGAGGCTTTTCATTCCGTACCACATCAGGGGCAGCACTGCCCTGTGGCCATGCAGGACCCATGGGAACAGAGCACCTGTGAGCTACCTGCAGGAGCCTTTGCTGAGGAGAGTGAGGCTCCTTGGGGGCTGGATCCTCCTCCTGGTCTACAGGATGGCAATGGGCTCCCTCCGGTAAAAGTTAACTTGGCACGAAGATTTCTGCATTCTTTTATGAACATGAGGGTTTGGGATTTCCTGTGTGTTTGGTTATCCATATCCCAGTCTGCCCTGATGAGAAACAAATGTAATTTTTGCCTTCCTGCTGGGCCCCTGCCACAGTTTTCTTGTCTGGGCAGGTCTTGAGCTGAGCTTCTGGGGCAGGATGGGCTGCCCTGCAGACTGGCAGCTGAGTCTCCGAGTCTCTGATGGACAGCAGGCTGTCTTGGACCCTGCCAGGGTCATCCTGGCTGAGGACTCTACTAATCCAATTCAAAGTCTCTATGGCTCTGATAGTGGACTCTGGACTGTCACTTATATTTTCCAATTTTATTAAGCTAATTGAAAGAGAAGGAGATTGTTATTTTACAAATACGGCACATTGGCCAGGATGTATGTATTAGCCCTGAAAGTTTGGAGGTTGCCTTACTAATTTTAGGCAGCATATGTGGCCATTTGAGAACATATCTAATGTCTAATGAGCATTGTATTCCCAGGTTGGATCCCCGTCCCCTAGCCCATTTCTCCAACTCTCTGTCCGTACATAGTGGATTATAACTGAATTTAGATGTCTGTACTACAGGATTTTGTTACTTAGAAGCCATAGGTTGTGAGATGGTTGTTTCAGTAGTAGTAGTAAACAGAATTTTATATGGAGATTCCATCTCTGTTCTTGCACATTGGACCTATCCCAAGACAGTGTGGAATAGAGAGAAAAAATATGGCCTTCAGAGTTAGAATGGACTAGATTGAAATTTCAGCTCTGCCACTTACAAGATGGGTAATCTTGGAAAATTACCCAATCTCTCTGAGCCTCATGACATTCCTACCTTGCAGCCAGGCGTGGTGGCTCACGCCTGTAATCCCAGCACTTTGGGAGGCTGAGGCGGGCAGATCACTTGAGGTCAGGAGTTCCAGACCAGCCTATCCAACATGTTGAAACCCCATCTTACTAGGAAAAAAAAAATTACTGGAGCATGGTGGTGGGTGCCTGTAATCCCAGCTACCTGGGAGGCTGAGGAGGAGAATCGTTTGAACCTGGGAGGCGGAGGCTGCAGTGAGCTGAGATTGCATCACTGCACTCCATCCTGGGCGACAGAGTGAGACTCTGTCTCAAAAGAAAAAGAAAAAAGAAAAAAAGAAAAAACATTCCTATCTTGCAGGCTTCTTGTGAAGATTAAGTTGGTGTAAAATCACCAAGGACAGAACACAGTAGATGTAAGAGGGGATCAGTGATCTCCTGAGCACCAGTTGACCCCCTTGGTCCTCAGGGAATGGGAGAGCAGCTTTGAACCTGGCTCTGAGAAGAGCTGAAAAGGAATCTGTCCTGCAGCATTTCCCGGGGGAGGGAAATGATGCTTGATTGACTTGCCCAGGGTTACAGAGCTGAGACAGTGCGTGCAAAGTAAGGGACTTAACAATCCAGGCCTCCGGGTCAGACAGTTTAGAGCTGGACAGACCTTGGGGAGTGTTTACATGGCTCCCTGCATTTGAGACAAAGAAACCTGAGGCACAAGATGGTAAGGACTTGTTAAAGGTCACCTGGCCTTTTTCTACCATGAAGACTTCCAAAGAGTAGTTGTTCACACCCAGCGCAGGGGTGCTTCTAAGAGTGAGAATCTGGACAGGGCACCCAGAAAGCAATGGCTAAAAATGCCTCAATGGTGGAGCACTGTAGGTCCAGCCGAGACACCCAGTAAACTCACAGGGCTTTCTGACAGCTCGGGGTAATCGGTTAGGTCCCAGCTTCTTTATAAGTTCCTGTTGCCTGAATCTGTGGACAGTGTGTCCCTTCCCTAAAGGTACAGCCCACAGTTAGCAAACACAGTAACTGCTAGGTGAATTAATCAGTGCAAATGTCTTAAGCCCTGCTGGTGCAGAGTCTCCGGGGTGCAGAGCAGGAGAAGTGATGGCAGCCAGGGAGAGGTTGGACTATGCAACTTCCCAGGGGCAGAAGTGAACTCTGCCACTCCTGACACCAGCTCTAGGAAAGACCTGGGTCCCCTGTTGCCCTATTTCTCTGGTCCTTGAGTCTCAGAGTAACCACCTCCTCCATCCATTCCCTTTGCAGAACTCTTGCCATGAAAACCCCAGCTGGTGGTGCCCATGCTATGCTTGATTTGCTTGAGCTGCTTTGGGTAATCTGCCTAATACCCTAATATGCAGGATTATTGGTACCTGGGAGAATGCCCGTGGCTGGGAAACCCGCCCAGGAGGTGAAAGAGGTTGCTGGGTGGATGTCCTCTTTGGCATGGGAGGGGGGACACGGAAGACCCAGCCCCAGCATTCGGGGCTGGTGAAAACCTGAGGCGAAGGAGAGGAGAGCAGCCCGCGGGGAGGGACCAGCAGCCCCAGGGCTTCCTAAGGTATTGAGGTTCAGACACTTCTGGATCTTAGGCCAAACTGTGCCACAGGATGTCATAGTTATTGTCATGAAACAAAGCATTTTTTAAAAAGCTAACATGGGGCCGGGCGAGGTGGCTCACTCCTGTAAATCCTAGCACTTTGGGAGGCTGAGGCAGGTGGATCACTTGAGGTCAGAAGTTTGAGACCAGCCTGGCCAACATGGTGAAACCCTGTCTGTACTAAAAATACAAAAATTAGCCGGGTATGATGACACACGCCTGTAATCCCAGCTACTAGGGAGGCTGAGGCACAAGAATCACTTGAACCTGGGAGGCAGAAATTGCAGTGAGCTGAGATCACGCCACTGTACTCCAGCCTGGGCAACAGAGTGAGACTCTTTCTCAAAAAACAAAACAAAACAAAACAAAACAAAAAAAAGCTAACATGGGCCTATGGACTTTTACTCAGGGGATTTCTAATGTTTTTCCCCAGAAAATCCCTTCACTCAGATGCAGTCTAGCACAGAACCATAATAGGTGAAATTGCTCAATGCAGAGGCGCTTTTATTTCCGCGGGGTCCGGGGCCCTGCCTCCTCTGCCCTCCCTTGGTAACCAGCCCCCCTGGGGCACCTCACAATGCTGGGCCTCAAGGTACAGAAAACTGTGGATTTAACTCACCACCCCCTCTCGTCTCCCAGATAGGGACTCTTCTCAGAGAGGTTAGGTGACTGGCCCAGGGCACACAGCCTGTGCCTGGCTTCATAGCTTCTGGTCCAGAAGGCTTCCCCCTGCCCCCACCCTTTGGTAGGAGAGAAGGAGCCCTTCTGCATTGTGCCCAGTTGAGGACAGCAGCATGTGGGGCTGCTGGGTCAGTTTCAACAGACGAGAGGAGATGGGGCAATGGAGTGGCCAGGGAGAGGGTGGGGTGGGGCTCCTGGCAGATGGAATGAGTAACTCAGAGCGCAGTCCATCAATGAAGGCTCAGGGGAAATGGCCTTCTGATGTTGACCAGGAAAATTTGAGGACAAAGGGGCTGTGAGGCATGAGGCCCTTCCTTCTCTCACAGCCCTCTGGGGGTCAAGCATCCTGGGACTATCCCATGGTTCCAGGGTGCTGGGCAGAACATCCAGCTTCCAGGGATGAGAGGGGCTTCCCAGCCCCTACTCTGGTCCCAAAAGGGCTAGCGGAGATGGTTTTGTGCTAACCTGATCTCTCCTGTTCCCTGTCAGAACCCTACCTCCCACTCAGGTGCGTCAGGCCCGGCAGAGCTCAGCCTCTTAGTGCTGGAGACCGCTGGGCAGAGCGTGCTAAGGACTCCAAGGATACGCATGGCGAGGGAGGAAGCCAAATCTTCCTTTAGCAGCATCTGCATAGAGAACCGTGGTTCTTAGCAGGAGGGCTTCACAGCCCGTCAGCTTGGCCACGCTCATTTCCAATGTGATACTCTGCTCCACGAAGGGTGAATTTATGGTTCCGGGCAGGTTCTTGGCAGAGAAAGGAACTGTGTTTCTCTGTCCTTGATGGAACTGCCCTCCATAGGCACAGGGCCCTGGAAGAAGGGTCGTGATGGTACAAGCAGTACCCAGAAGTGGCATGAATTGAGTGCTCTTCATGTTAATAAACCTTTCGTGGGCACTTTGCAGCAGCCAATAATCCTTGCACATGCATTCTCCCGTCTGCTGCTCACACTGTTCCCGGGAGGACAGCAGGATGGGTACGTGTCCCTTTTTGGCATCAGACAGCTGGATTTAAATTCACACTGTGTCTTCCTGGGCCAGCTACTTAACCTCTCATCTGTCAATGGAGGACATTAGTACCAACGTCATAGAGTTACTATGATCATGCTAAAAAACAGTAGTCGATAGTATAATTATTGTTAGTAGTACTATTTACTAGTAATATCTATTCTAGATTGTGCATGGTAAGAACTGACTTTCCATTTGCTGTAGCTCTCCTCCCTCCTCTCCTCCTTCCCCCACTCCTTCCTTCCCTCCCACCCACCAAGATTTGTCAGGTGCTTACTCTGAGCTCACAGGGATTCAATATTGAAGATACAGCCATAAATGAAACAGACATGGTGAAACCCCCATCTCTACTAAAAATGCAAAAACTAAACAGGTGTGGTGGCACATGCCTATACTCCTAGCACTCAGGAGGCTGAGACAGGAGAATCGCTTGAACCCAGGAGGCAGAGGTTGCAGTGAGCCGAGATCACGCCACTGCACTCCAGCCTGGGTGACAGAGAAAGACTCTGTCTAAAACAAAACAAACAAAACAAAAAGAAACAGACAAAAACTCTTTCCCTCATGCAGCTTGCAGACAGCACACAATGATGAAGTAAAGGAAGCAGGTGGCAGACACACTCCGGAGAAGACAGCACAGACAGGGAGAGGTCGGGATGAGGTGGAGAGCTCATGGACAAAGTGAGGATGTGAACCAAAGCTCGAGAGAAATGAGGGTGCAGCCACGGGGATCTCTGGAGCAGAGGCAGAGGCCAGTGCAGACAGCCCCGAGACGGGACTGGGTCTGGAATGTCCTGGCAGCATGAGGAGGCCATTGCATCTGAAGTGGAGCTAGTGAGCGGCAGACTCGCAGGATGACAGGCACGAGTGGGGCTGATTGGGTGTGAAGACTTCACTTGTCCTCTGAATGGGCCAAGAAGCCATAGGAGGGTGTTGGGTACAACAGTGACATGATTTCAGTTACATTTTTGAAAAGTATTTTTCTTCCCAGATGGCCTTTGCCTAAACAACTTCCCAGATCCTGGATGAGGAACCAGTGTCCAAAGAACTGACACGTAGTTAAACCCGAGGCAGACTTGGAGCTTCAAGGCTTGGCTCTAGGCAGGCAGCAGGGAGGGGCCCTGGGATCCCCTCAAGGCGGGCCCAGCCAGCTTCTCATGCCTGAGGCAGTCATCCAGCAGGTGTGGTGCCTGCAGTGACCTTGGTGCCTGGTTCAGCTTGACAGGTGTCAGGAGTGTGCCTGGGGGTGAGAGAGTCCAACCGGGTGAGAGCAGGTGTGGCAGCAGCTCACCCTGTCAGGGAGGGTGTGCCCAGCATGACAGGTCACCTGCTGAGACTTGGCAATTTGACATCCTGTTAGGGTGCAGGGTGACAACGGGGGACCTGCCCTGCAAGTTGCAGCTGGGTAGGAATCTGAGTGTTGAGCCCTGCGTTCTGTGAGGGCTCTGGCTTTGTGGCACAGGACTTCTTTCTCCAGAGCAGCCCTGCTTCCTGCCCAGAACCAGAGGACAGTGACTCCACTTGCCTGCCGTTTGTAAAGCAGTTGCTTTCAGAAAGGCAATGCTCTGTTACCAGATTAGGGCTCCTGCAAGAATCAGGCAGGGTGACAAGGCAGGACTCATCCCTGTTCATAGAAGAGAATATGGAGGGTTTGAGGAATGACATGACTTGCTGGAGGCCACCCAGAAAAGTTGGACTTGGTCCAGAGTATCTTTTGATTTTCATAGTTCTTCCTGCCACACCACAGACCTGAGAGTCCCAGTATACTGGGTCTAATTCAGCAAGGATGAGAGACGGAGACAGCCAAATCTGAGGGATGGGGCTGTGGGGTCCTAGGATTAGCACAAGCTTGCTCTCCTGTGCTAGACCAGAGCAGCTGTCGTGGCTGGGGAAGGCTGGGCCCTTTGAAGACAAGCAGGATTAGCCCTTGTCGTGACCCTCACACCTGAACCCAGTACCAGGCTAGGTGGAGCCTTCTGCCAGTCCTAGGAACACCCTGAACTCCAGGTTCCAGGCTGGGGCAGCAGAGTGACTGTCACTTGGGCTAGATTTGGAGCAATTGTCTTATCGGGGAGGCAACAAGAGATAAGGGAAACAGAGCAACTGGGGCTTGCTTCCTGGCCCGGTGGTCACCTGGCTGGGCTGGGTGGCCCTGAGCTTGTGGCTTTCCCTCTGGGCCTCAGTTTTCTCATCTGTACACTGTGTGTGTGGTAGTTGGGTGGTGGTGGGGATCCTCAGGAATTGCTAAGGTCCCTTCTCAAGCTTTGGTCTTTGATCTTGTGATTCAGCGGGAAATGCCCAAACGCATCAGATGAGGTTTGTATCTTGAGCACCAGGTGATGGGGTGCAGTCAGGCCCTTGGCCCCAGGTGACATAGGAAGGGTGAGCCCCTCTGCGGCCATGTCAACAAAAAGTCATCGTGGGGAACACCACTAAAGGGAATGGGGAGAAGGCATAGAAAGGGGTGAGGGTGTAAGGCTGGGCACAGCCCCGTGAGAGGTTGCCTGGTAGGGTGGGTGTCGGGAGGGGACTGTGGCCACTCTTCTCTCTGGTGTTCCCTGCCTCCTGTGCCTGCACCCTTGCCCTGAATTCCTCCCCACCTTCTGATGTGGGCACTGAAATTAGATGTCACTGTTGCCACTGAGAGGCAGCTGTGGCCTGCTTTACACAAGGCTCTAGTGGGGAGAGAGGGCAGGGTTGGAGGCAGATCCAGAGTGGCCTCCAGTGCAAGGCCGAATCCCTTTCTCAGGGAGCTGCCAAGGGCAGGGGGAGGGCTCCTGCAGGACCTCCTCTTTCTGAGATGGCCTCCCCACGCGATGGCCTCACCTCTCATTTTTCTCCCTATTCTTCCCTCCATGTTCCTTTCTTTTCCCAAGACATCTTTTCTTGCATTTCAGAAGATCTGGTGGCCTGTCCTCCTGAAGCTGGGGTAGCTGGAGGCTGCAGCCAGTGGGGTTTCTCTCCCTTACACACACAGACACACACACGCATGTGTGAGCACACACACAGATGCACACACACATGCACACATTCTCAGACATGCACACACACGTACACACTCACACGTGCACACAAACGCACACACACATGCACACACTCTCACACGTGCACACACATGCACACACTCTCACACATGCACACACACATGTGTGAGCACACGCACTCAGTGATTTCCTGACTGACATCGGGCTGCCCCTACTGGGAAGTGCTTCCTGTGTAAGGACAGGGTCCTCTGCAGTGGGAGGTGGAAGGTTTGGGCGTGGCTGCATATCCCCTTTGCTATTTGGAACAAACCATTTGTTCCCCTGTGAGGCAGTATCCTGTGGGGCCAGGAGCAAGAACGGAATGCTGGGACTCAGGAGGCAGCCTCTCCCTGGTCCTCAGCGTTCTCATCTTAAAAATGGGAGGTTGATCTAATGGGGCGAGTCAGAAGGGGTCTGAGATGTCACTGGGTCTGGGGTCCACCCTGTGCGGGAATCCCTGCCCCAGCTGTCCTGGGTGGTGGTCACACAGCGCCTACTAGAAGCCCTGCAGGAGTCACAGCACCTTGCCTTATAGGGACTTCTTGCTCATTGGAGGATAACAGTGTTAGAACCTGCACCTCCTTATCCTCCATTCTGTGATTATTTATTAAAGGTTCACTCTGGCCAGTGTGCCTCCCAGGGCCACTGGTTGATGAAAGTGGTGCAGCTTCAGTGGATTACTCTTAGAGGCCCCAGCCCCATCAGCGGGTGCTTCATCAGGGCAGCTGTAACCACTGTGTGCCCGGGACTGTGCCAAGCTTCAGCTTCCCCACCACCTTAATGAGGCGGCATGTTTGTCCCCATCTTACATGGAAGAGGCTGAGACTCAAGGGTTGATGGGCCACAGCCATCAGCTTGGAAGTTCTGGAGCAGGTACAAGCCCAGGTGGGCTCTCTGCTTCCAGCCTGAGCTCTCAGGCTCTGTGCCTTTTTCTGAGAGATACCTGCTCTTAGTTACCCTGTCTGTAAAATGGAAATAATTTCACTTGCCTGTTGGATGTATTATAAGGTTTAAGCAAGACAATGCATAGAAAACACTTAATTCTTAGTTGCTGGCACCTAGTTCTGGCTTGTTCAATGGTGGCCAACACTCTTATAATGGACTCTGCCCCTGCATGTTCCCAGCAAGGCTACTGAACCTTCTCTGCTTTTTCTTTGGAGCATGGAGTTATAATGCCTGCTCCCCATAAGAGGTGCTTTGGCCAGAGTGAAGTCAGTGGTGGAGAGAGGGGCCTCTTCCTCCAGGCACAAGATCTGTGGCTAGCCTGGTGGCTAGTCTGGCCGGCTGGCATCAGGCTTTAAATAGCTCCCCCATCACTCCTCCCAGTCCTGCTTCCCACACATGGTAATTAAGCTCACAACATCTAGTGTAAGCAAATAATAACAAGGGCATTATCTCCCTTTAGTCTGTGTTTTTCCTTGCCTATCATAAAGTAATTAAAATAATGAATGCCTTGTAAAACAATAGGTAAGAGGGCTGGCGAAATAGCATTATCTGCCACATACCTCTTGTGCTATGAATTACTGATGCAGTTAACCACTGTGACTGGAGGGCCCCCCTGCCTCCCAGCCTTTTTCACGTTGATTTCTCCTCTCCAGGGTCTACCAAGGGGCTGTGGAACTTGGGCCCCCAGGACTGAGGAGCAGGGAGCTATCTTCCAGGTCCCCACGTGGTGGCCAGGGACCAGTTCAGAAACATCCTGGGAGGCTTGACTCAAAAGGAAACACTAGAGCCTCAGATGTGGGACGATCTCCCTGCCCTCCTCTTTTCCTCACCCCTCCACCAATGTCCAATATTGAAACAAGCAGGTGGTTCTGTCCTTGGGTGAAGGGAGAGGCCAGGAGAGAGCTGGGGGTGAAGATCCATGTCTCATTTCAGCAGTCACCGAGCCATACTAGGGTAGTCAGGAGCTGTGGTCCCCAAAGTAGGCTTCCAAGCCCAGCAGCATCAGAAGTGCCTGACATCTTGGTTCGAATGTAGGTTCTGGGATGGGCCCAGCACACTGTGTTTCAACAAGCCCTCTGGTGTGCTTATGATGCCCGCTCATTGTGATAACCATTGCTTTATGGTGTCAGGGGCACGAGAAGAAGCAAGGGGTGCTGGGATAATTGCTTGAACCTGTGTTTTGTGCTATTGGACACTGTTTAATCCTGACAATGCCTGAGGGGCTGGCAGTACTGTCCCCATCTTATTGAGGTCCCACAGCGGTGGCAGAGCTGGATTTTCCCCCGAATCTACACCTTCAGTTACCATGGTTGACCCTGTATCAGGGCCTCCCCATCCTCCTAAATACCCTCCTGTTCAGAGTCTCACAGGGCAGAGGCTCAGGGACCAGGGCAAGACCTAACAGGTCCTATCTGAGGCTGGCCTGGGAGGCTTGGGCAGCAGGTCCCACACATGTCAGCAGGCAGCCCCCAGATACATCTGCCCAGTGGCCTCCCCCTCCTGGGCCTCCTCTTGGATCATTGTAGCTCTGTGGGGCTTAACACATTTGGAAAGAAAATATTAGCGTCCAGGGCTGCAGGTCCCACTTTTCTCTTCCCCAGCTTCCCTGAGCCACAGGCAGCCAGAGGGAGAGAAGCAGGAATCGGGACCAGCTTCCTGCCTGCCGTGGCCAAGTCCCCAAGAGGATGACTCACCAGTGCACCCTCCCCACCTGCCTCCCACGTGCCTGGCCTCCCTCTGCCCCGCCCCCTTTGTCACTGCAGACAAAGCTTTTCACCACTGTCTTTGGTTCTTCCCCTTACTCCAAATCACAATGATCCCCAGTGTGGCTTTGCCTTGGGAATTAATTCCAGAGTTTTAAATGATGAACATAATTTGCTGGCATCTTTTTAAACATCTTCATCTGCAGTCATAGTTGCAGTGGGTATTTGTGTTGGGGTCCAGTTAAATGTACATTGTTAGATAAATAATAAGGTTTTAGTATAAGCATGTCCCATGTGGTATTTGGAATATACTTATACTAAAAAGTTATTTGTTGTTTATCTGAAATTTAAATTTTACTGGGTATCCTGTATTTTATCTGGCAACACTAAACCCAGCCTTTGTAGCTAACGAGGGGCTGATACTCATAGCCCTTTCTAGTCATTCATTCATGGTTATTGAGCCAACTCTGTCCCAGACACTCTATTAGGCACCAAGGCTGCAGCAGTGGGGAAGGCAGACAGTAAGTGAAAGAAGTAAATGAATTATTAAGTATATTAGCGGTTTTAAGTGCTATGGAGAAAAATAAAGCAGAAAAGTGCTATTGGAAAGAAAGTGTTGCAAATTTAAACAGGTGGCCAGGGAAGACTTCATTGAAAAGGAGATATTTGAGCAAAGACTTAAGGGAGCAGGCCATAAGTCTCTGTGGGAGAAGAGTATTCCAGGCAGAACACTCACTGTATGCAAAGGTTTACAGTTTCGGCCCCTGTGTGGGGCTCAGTTATCTGATGAAATCAGCCTTGTTTCCTCAAGCACATTTTAAGCCAGAAGGGGAATGTATTGTCTCCTGTAACTGGAAAGGTCTGGTGTAGATTTCAGGCACAGCTGGATCCGGGTGTTCAAATGATGACATCAGTAGTCTATTACTTTTACTTTTCTCTGCAGTGGCTTCATTCTCAGGGAAGGATGACTTTTCCTATTCTTTCCTGCAAATGTTCCACGCTTGAGTCTTATTGGCTTGGCATGGATCATGTGATTATTAATGGCCCAATTGCTGTTGGCAGGGGGTAGAAAGGACTCCAATGTTGGAGCCAATGTGAGGCCATCTGTCCCCTTTGAACTACATAGACTGAGAGGAAGAGATAATTTTCCTAAAGGAAAGTGGGGGTGCTGCTGTGAAAAGGGGCATAGAGGCTGGGTAGGCAAAGACCACAGGACATCTCCCACACTTTCCTCCTCCCTCCTCAGCATGCCCTAATCTTAGACAGATTGCGTTTCCTCTTGCTTTGGTATTTTCTTTTTCTTTAAAATGGGAGGAGACCAGAACTTTGGGAGGCTGAGGTGGGCGGATCACTTGAGGTCAGGAGTTTGAGACCAGCCTGGCCAACATGGTGAAACCCTCTCTACTAAAAATACAAAAATTAGCCGAGCATGGTGGCCGCGCGCCTGTAATTCTAGCTACTAGGGAGGCTGAGGCGTGAGAATTGCTTGCACCTGGTGGGTGGAGGTTGCAGAGAGCCGAGATTGCGCCACTGCACTCCAGCCTGGGTGACAGAGTGAGACTTCATCTCAAAAAATAAAATAAAATAAAATAGAATAGAATAATACCATCCTTCTTTGTTTCACTAAGATATTTTAAGAGGAAATAAAGAAAATATTCTTTTTTAAATAAAGGCTTTAAAAAAATCAAAGGCATAATTTACCCCTTCTGCTTTACTCCTATACCTTTAAGCTAGTTTCCATCTCAGCTGGGGACCCCTTCTGGCTCTGGTTCTTTATGGGTAGAGCATGTTATTTAAATCCATTGTTCCCTATGTCTTAACTCTTGCTCTCTCTGTTGCCAGGAGGCCCAGAAGATTAACAATGGCTCAAGCCAGGCGGATGGCACTCTCAAACCAGTGGATGAAAAAGAGGAGGCAGTGGCCGCCGAGGTCGGCTGGATGACCTCCGTGAAGGACTGGGCGGGGGTGATGATATCCGCCCAGACACTGACTGGCAGAGTCCTGGTGAGTCTCCACCCACTTCTCACACCAGGAGGCCTTGCTGTCTGGGCCAAGGTGGCTTTGCTTATGAGACGTGATATTCCCCAGGGTCTTCTGCAGGAGGCTGGCTATTGGGAGGTGGGGGTGAGCAGCAAGTGCTCCCGCGTGGTCATGGAGGAGAGGCTCGGTTCCTTGTGTACAGTGGTTTGTGGAGGGATTTTCAAGGAGTGGGATTTGCAGTGGAGAAGGGTTGTTGGGAAGATGTAGCACATTTCCTCTGCTAAAGCACACATGCGCGCACACACACACACCCTCCATCATCTTGGAGAGGAGAAGAGGGTTAAGGAAATATACCAGAAACTCATGGAAGGGCTACAAATGCGGGGATCCTGGGGAGTGCTGAGTGAGTGTGTGTTTGGTGGTCTTCGGGGGATGTTCTTCTTGTCCTGTGGTAGCCCATAGGGACCCCCTCTTGCAGCAGTTTCCTAATTTTCTGCAGTGTGTGAGCTGGGCCCTGTGCACGGTAGAAATCAGTCATGCTGATGGTGGATGCATCAGTAGCCCACCTGAGGCTGCCTGGCCCGTGTACCTAGAGCTCGCTTGTGTGCCCTTTTCTGATGAGATTGTCTCCTAAGCCCACCTGCAACCAGGGCTGATTCTGCCCCTTCTCTGTATGTTTCCAACATCTCTCTGATCTGCTTATATGAAGCTTGGCTTCACTGGCTGGCCTCATGAGCCCTTGGTTTTTGTCAAGGATCATTACTGGGACAGGCTTATAGTGATCAACCATCCCAGTTTGCCTGAGACTGAGGGGTACATGAGACATGAGTCTTTCAGTGCAAAAACTGGGAAAGTCCTGGGCAAACAGGGATGAATTGGTCGCCATAGCCAGGCCCATGCTCTAGGAAAGCCCTAGCTTGCTTTCTTGGGTCTGCTCTGGGTCAGGAGTTTCCCTGAGAAGGATATTGCATTCGGAGTGATTTCTCATTGTGATTCTGGAAGCTGTTTTGTTTGGGCCACCTGTCCTGGCATGAAGCTAGGGCTCAGTCAAGAGTCATTTGGCTCATAGATGGAAGGAGTAGGGACATCCTGAGGCCTGCGAGGCTCAAAGACCAGGCAGGGACACTGGAAAACAGTCATTATCTCTGAGTCTCACAGCAAAAACTCAGTGAAGAGGTGACTGTAGATGGAGGGAGGTGGTGAGAATTTCACTTCTCAGAATCCTTCTTGGGGAGAACTCAATGTTATGTCTGGGATCAATATCACACACACTTTTGTGGGAAGGAGTGAGAGAATGAACGTGGTGCTTGAGTAATCAAAGGTGCTGGCCACACAGCCTTCAAGAAAGACAGGTTCTGTTCACCGAGGGATCTGCCGTGAGCTGTGTGCTGAAGGGTCTGGTTATGAAACCATGGCTGATGTCAATTGATGGCAAAATGGAAAGAGGGGACATTTAAAGTTGGAGTTTTGGAGGAGGAGAGAGAAACTGGTGAGGTCAGTGGCTGCTTGGAGGAAGGCAGAGAGGGAGACAATTCAGTCTGGTGTGACCCAGGAGGGACAGTGTCTAGTGGGGACTTGGAGGTGACTTGCTGTTGGCTGAGCTGTGTAACAGCACCTCTATCTCTCCTCCTGCCTCTTGACTGAAGTCTCCATTGCTCTTTCATGCTTGAAGAGGAGTGGATTCTGCATTGGAAACTTAAGAGAGGTTGAATTCTGAGTCTGGGTATTCATGGGGACAAAATGGAGGTAGTGTATTCTATATGTATGGTGGTGATAGTGAATGGGGAGCAGCAGACAGTTTAGCTGCACAAATGTGACACTTGTTCCTTCCATGTGGCCATTATAGACAGTTCTAATTTTCTTCATCAGCATTGCAAGAGTTACTGAACACTAATTCTGGGCCAAGTGTATTTGTTTCAGCTCTGGAGAAAACAAGGAAGGATCCTGATTCTATTGCACCATATGCGGAAGTTATTGAAGGAATGCATGGAGGATAAGTGCTATGAGTACAAACACGGTGTGCACTTGTGGAGTGTGGGGAGGGGCTGTAGGGGAAAGTAGGGCTGATCAGAAAAGCTTTCATAGGGAGGAAAGTCTTTGAACTAAAACTCCCATTTCAAGATGAGCTGCTTTATGGCGGGAAGATATAAAAAATAAAAACATATCCAGGCTTAAACACAAGAAAATGACCACTAGGTGGGCTGGAATTTGTGAAGAATACTTAATAAGACAGAATGCATTTGCAGTGAGCTTTTAAGTGTGAGTTAGGATCTTGAGAGTTAAAGGAGAAGAAAGCCTTCAAAGTGAGGAGCAGGAAAAACAGAGAAGGAGCCTGGCGCTCTGGGAAATGGGGGGTGCAGACCCCAAAGTCTGGGGAAGTGTCCTGGAGACAGCCTGGTGGGGCTTTAAAGGCCATGCTAAAGAATTTTGGGGCCAGGCGTGGTGGCTTACACCTGTAATCCCAGCACTTTGGGAGGCTCAGGTGGGTGGATCACGAGGTCCGGAGATCGAGACCATCCTGGCTAACACAGTGAAACCCCATCTCTACTAAAAATACAAAAAATTAGCCAGTGTGGTGGCGGGTGCCTGTAGTCCCAGCTACTCGAGAGGCTGAGGCAGGATAATGGCACGGACCCAGGAGGCGGAACTTGCAGTGAGCGGCTCTGCTGAGATCGCCCCACTGCATTCCAGCCTGGGTGACAGAGCAAGACTCCGTCTCAAAAAAAAAAAAATGAATTTTTGAAGTTTGTAGAACAAGGAGATTTTGAGGCAGGGGGTGTTGTACAGAGAGAGCTGGGGGACAAGTGGAGACTGAATGGGTGAGGCTAGAGCTTGGAGGCTATAGGACAAGTTAGGGCAGTAAGCTACTGCTTTAGTGATGGCATGGGAGCAGATTCCTGATGTGGTCCTGGTGGGGCACGGTCTGCACTGACACCAAGCAGAAGATGCAGGTAGCCCATGTGGGTGATATCATGGAAATGGAACTCATTGGGCCCAGCACACCCAGCGGCCACCTTGAGACTCTCCTGGCAATCACACTGTTGAACGCCTCTTGTGATCCAGGCACTGTGCTAACCTTATATGTTATGATCAGTTTGAAGGGGAAGGACAATGTCGTATTTCTTCCGTATCTCCTTATTGCTGTTGTGTTGTAGGGGTTCATTACAAGAAAACAGGCCAATCTTATCAGTGAATTCATCTCTGTTTTACAGTTGAGAAAATCAAGATATAGCAAGGGCAATTATTTGTCTAAAAACATTCAGCTTTGAGTGACAGAGCCAGGCTAGTACCTGCCAGCTCCCTGTCTCCCAGTCTGGTGCTCCTTTTGTGTCATTACTTCCCAGTCGAAGATAATGCCTTTTCTTTTCTAAGCCACTGACAGCTGTCACTTTGGCTGTGACATTTTGACATTACCATCTTTTAGCCAATTTGGTCCTGAGGATGCTTGGCCTGCTTGTTAAACATTTGCATGTAGAAGCATGGTCCACTCAGGCCTCTTTGCCTGAGCCTGCCCAAGGTGCCAGCTGCTCTCTGAAGGTCTCCTTGGAGAAAATCCTGCCCAGGCTGTTGGGGCCATGCAGAGCAAGTGGGACCTGCTGCACAGAAAGCAGGCATCTCAGAGCTCCAGGCGGTATCCTGAGAATAGGCCTGCCCTTTAGGAGCAGGCAGGTCCCTGCACTGAACAAAGAAGAGATTTCACAATTAAGTAATGGCGGGCAAGAGAAAGCAGCACTGCCTGTTCAGAACCCAAAGCTGTGTTTGTCTTGAGCCGTCCAAATGTTTATCCCTGCAACAATGGGACCAAAGCAAGACCAGACAGCTGGCTATTCAGTTTCCCGTTTCAATTTTTAATTTGTTTTCCTTGATGCACGCTCAGGAGCTTGGCCTCCTCATCTGGGCCTCTATCTCACCTGTCTAATTGTCACAGGTGTGAATCTCGAAGCTGGGACATCATGAGTAAGGTCCAGCTGGGGAAGAATTTGCCAATACAACCTCAGAATATCTGTAGGATCTCCCAGACGAGCACATCCGTTATTCACTAAGTGTTTACTGCTCATCTGTACCTGGCACTGTTCAAGGCACTGGGCATAAAGCAGTGAGCAACAGAGATCCAGGTGTGAATTATTTATATTGATAAACTAGATATAAGGATGCAGAGCTCAATTTAAGAAATGACAAATGATAATTGCCATTCACCAGTGCTTTTTATAGTCAACGCCTGGAGCCTGATTATCCACATGATAAAAATTCCTTGACCCCCCGGCTCCAGATCTCAGAATAGCCTGTCTTTGCCTCCTCTCTCACCCTGGCACTCAGGCTCAACTGGCCAAAAACAGCAGGACTGGACAGAGCCTTCTCTTGGAGCACGTGGCTGAGGGATTCTACATTAAAGTGAACACCAGGCTGTCAAGAGTACTGCTTCCTTTTATTTTTTTCTTAACTAAACAAATGTTTATTTTCTGATTATAAAAGTAATATATGTTTGCTTTTTTTAAAAAAATTGAAATGTGCTGGAAGACGTGCTGATAAATTCCACTGTGGGATTTGGAGTCGGCTCATGCGGAGGGAAATTTGGATATAGCAGTCAATGTCGTCAGGATTTCTCTTAACTGTTTGGGTGTCATTGAGGACTTTGTTCACTGCATCTCATGTTACCTGCTTTATGCACAGACTCATGGGATAAGTAGTGTTTTGCACCAGAGATTGTTGTGGTTTTCCTGGTGAACATCCAGTGAGCATGCTAAATCGAGAAAGGGATCATGTCTCTCAGTGGTGGCTGCTCAGAGCCAAGTCGGTGGCTTATGGAAAATACAGAGTGGCTCAGGTTTGCGCTCTGTGTCTTTGCACCCCTGCTCTGGCTTGTCTTCATCATCTCTCCTCTCATTTTCCCTTTGCCCTACTTTTCTTACTCCTATTTGGAATTTACATGTATGCAGTTATGTGTTCCATACATTTTTGTCAGGTAAATTAAATCCCCCTAAGAATAAGGTGGTTTCTAAATAAAGAGGGCAAGAAACGTATGGTGTAGGTTTTAGTATAGTTTGGTTGTGCTGTATAGAATCATAAGCCAAAGTCAACAGTGGTAGTCAAATTCAGGGTTGGTAAGTTTTTCCATAAAAGGCCAGATAGTAAATATTCTAGGCTTGCAGACCATGTGGGCTCCACGACTCAACTCTGCCACAGTAGTTTGAAAGCAGCCACAAACAGCCTTGGTGTGACTTTGTTCCAGTAAACTTTCTTTATAGAATGGGAGAAAATATTTGCAAACAATGCATTCAACAATGGCCTGATGTCCAGAATTCATGAGGAACTTAAAAAACTCAACAACAAAAATCACCAAATAACATTTAAAAGTGGGCAAAAGATATGAATAGTCATTTTTCAAAAGAAGACATACGAATGGCCAACAAGCATATGAAAAAATACTCAACATCTCTAGTCTTCAGAGACATGCAAATTAAAACCACAATTAGATATCATCTCACAGCAGCCAGAATGGCTATTATTAAAAAGACAAAAAATAACAGATGTTGGTGAGGATGTGGAGAAAAGGATCACTTATATGGAGATGTAAATTAGTACAACCTCTATGAAAAACAGCACAGAAATTTCTCAAAGAAGTGAAAACAGAACTTCCATTTGATCCAGCATTTCTACTAATTGGTGGCTACCCATAGGAAAAGAAATCATTATATAAGAAAGATACCTGAACTCCTATGTTTATCACAACACTACTCACAATAGCAAAGCTATGGAATCAACCCAAGGGTCCATCAGTGGATGATTAAATAAAGAAAAAAAAAATACACACACACACACACACATACACACATATATACACACACATGCATATATATCACATTATATATGTATATATATTACATTTATATATATACAAACACACACAATAAGATACTATTCAGCCATAAAAAAGAATGAAATCATGTCTTTTGCAGCAACATGGATGGAACTAGACACCATTATCTTAAGTGGAACAACTCAGAAACGAAGTCAAATACCACATGTTCTCATGAATAAGTGGGAGCTAAATAGTGTGTACACATGGACAGAGAGTGGAATAGTAGTCAATGGAGACTCAGAATGGTGGAAGGGTGGGAGGTGGCGATGAGTGATGAGAAATTACTTAATGGTTGCAATGCACGCTATTTGGATGACGGTTACACTAAAAGCCCAGACTTCACCACTGTGCAAAATATCCATGTGACAAAACTGCACTCATACTCCTTACATTTATACAAATAAACTGTATTTATAGAAATAGGGGGTAGAGAAAACAGTTGACTGGAAGGAATAAGTTCCAGCATGTGATAGTACAATAGGGAGATTATAGTTAACAGTAATTTATTGTACATCTCAAAATAGCTAGAAAAGAATTAGAATGTTCCCAACACAAAGATAAATGTTTGAGGTGATGGTTTTCTGTTACCCTGATCTAATCATTATACATGTACCAAAATATCACATGCATCCCCCAAAATATGTACACTATTATATGTCAATACAACGTTTTAAAAAAAGAAACAGGTGGTGGGCCAGATTTGTTTCACACACCATAGTTTGCTGACTCAGTCTAATTTATCCCCTTGTTTTATATATAAAGAAATTGAAAGTCTGGGGCTGGAGGCGAAGAGATTCTCTAAGGTCGAGTAGCAAGAGTGTCACACTCTTTGTAAAGGAGCGTTACAGACTCAGTGATACACACACAAAGATAAATACAGGCACACACACATACTCTCACTATCCACATTGTCACTTAGTTTCTGCATGTTCATATTCATTTCCATGTTGATCTCACAGCAACTGTCTCCCTAGGGAAACTATGTCCTGTGGTGAAGGACAGCCTCACCTCAACTTGGGAGCGACATCTACACTGCCTAGACTTTACCTCAACCCCCTGACAGATTCAATGTTTTGTGTGTCTCTTCAAAGACTGGTCTTGCCAAAATAGCTACCAGCTCCTGAGCAAAGCTAGAGAGAGCCCTTAGAATCACTCTTTGTAGTTACTTTCCCCATATTCCTATGCTGTTACATCTGTGTATTGCTCCAGGAAGCTTACACAGCTAATTCTATGAACTGAAAGCATATGCTACTTGCTTGAATGTATAGGGATGATTTATCGATGTAAGAAGAAAGAAAAATATCAGCCTCTCTCTTTATCCCCCTAAATATGTTGCATGTGTGGCATTTTACATTAACGTTATATACATAGCCTGGACCATTTCATCTTTATCTCCAAGGGCCCAAAAGAAAATATGTGTCAAATATGCCTTTCAAATAGGAATAATCCTATTGGTTTAACAGAGTTAAATAGATGTACATTCACTGATGTGCTGTTTGCGCATGAAATTAGACTGGTTGAACCCAGTGGGAGTACACATGGGCACACACATAATCAAATATATCACATTCATTGCATTCACTTCTGTTAGGTGCCCTATGGAGGTTGTGACATTTCCCATCAGTATCCTCTACTTTTCTTTCTCAGTGGTGCCTGGTGGCAAATTCACACACACTTCTCTCTCTCTCTGTCTCTGTCTCTGTCTCTCACCCCCCTCATCTATGCCCCAGCTTTTATTATATTTTAGGCAAATCTATGTAAAATTCTTACATCATTGGCCAATGCCTTGTGTAGCAGAAAGACTAGAGGTTTCACAGGACTGTACTTTTAGTAAGAATGTCCCATAGTGAATAGGTATGTCCTGCTCTCTGCTATTGGGAATCAGTTGGAGTTTTATTGGCATTGTTTTAACACTCCTAAGGGAGGCTTCTGTTTAAAGGAACCATATGATAATTTCCTTCCAGGACTTAATAGTGGTTCTGTATTTCATCCCATGCATAGATACTGAAATCACATTATGGGTATCAGTCAAAAAGTCAAAGAAGATACATTCTTTTTTTACTATTAAACATGAAATTTTGTCTTTATCTAATGAAAGATACACTAGATTTGCACTAGATTTGTTATTTTTGACTCAACATCATTTACCCAGATGAGAAAACATGAGTCAGAGAAATAATTGAATTGAGCAGTCTCCCCCGACAGGTAGTGAGCTGCCTGTTACTAGAAATATTCAAAGAGCAGCAGGATCGCATTTCATAGTGCTGTTGCTGACAGTTGGTTAGACTTTATCCTCATGGCTTTAATTAGGTTCCATAGAACACTAGACCCACGAATTGTTCCCGGATAAAAATGGTTCCCTGGGAACTTGGATAGACTTCATTTCTCATCCCCCTCCTCGAGATTGCCAATGCATATCAGCATATAAATACTTACAGAAGTCCTGCAGTCAGAAAGCGGAAAGGCTCTGTTTTGCCCAGCATTTTCCATTTTCATTTCCCTGTGGAATCCTTTCCCCATGTAATACCTGTGGGCATCACATAGCACTCACTTTGGGAAACATTTAATTAGCCCAGGGATCAGTTAGTTATAGCCTGTGGGACAGTCTGGCTCATTGCCTCTTTTGTGTGGTTCATAAGCTAAGGATGGTTTTTACATTTTTTTATTTTTTTTTCAGAGACAAGGTTTCACTCTATTGCTCAGGCTGGAGTGCATTGGTGCAATCATAGCTCCCTGCAACCTCAAACTCCTGGGTTCAAGCGATCCTTCTGCCTCAGCCTCCCTGATAGCTGGGATTACAGGTGCAGGCCACCATGACATGCTATGTTTTCTTAAATTTTTTGTACTGATGGGGTTCTACTGTGTTGCCCAGGTTGGTCTTGAACCCCTGGGCCCAGGCAATCCTCTCACCTTGACCTCCCAAAGTGCTGGGATTACAGATGTGAGCCACCATACCTGGCCTAAATGGTTATTTTTTAAAAATCAAAATAAGTGTATTTTGTGACATGTGAAAGCTATATGAAATTCAAATTTCAGCGTCCATAAACAAAGTTGCATTGGAATACAGCCATGCTCACTCATTTACGTATCGTCTGTGGCTGCTTCTGTAAGAAGCTACAAAGGCAGAGTTGAGTAGTATCCGGAGTCCAAAACACCCACCAGCCTAAAATAATTACCATCTGTCCCTGTAAAGAAACAATTGCCACTCCCTGTATGCCTGTCAATATTCCTCTTCAAGTGGCCTACAGGACTTGCTCCATAAGTTACCTATGGCATAGGTAATAGATAAGATATAACATCTGTCCCCTTCTCATGGGGACGTGTCTACATTCACTTCCCCAAGCTCAACTAAGTACTGCATTAGAGATGGAGAGGCCAGAGCCAGGTGGGTCCCCAAGTTCCATAGCAGATTCCCAGCTGGGGTGAACATATGGATTTCCACTTCGCAAGGTCAGGAGAATATGTCTGAGAATTTTGTAGCAGCATCATTCCTTGAGTTTCTCCATCCACCTGCCCACTGCTTCGGCAGCCCCCACACCCCAGGCCCTGCTGGCAGCTCAGAGTCTAAGCCTTACCCCCAAGAGGACCCCTGATCAGGGCCTGCAGGCCAGGCACCTCAGCTCGCAGCAGCTTCTGGTCTGCAGGCCTCGAGCCATGTGCTGGGCTCTCCGGCACGCCCTGTAAAGAGCAGCTGTTAATTTTACTAGCTGGTGTGTTGGCTCCTCTGCCCTCCCCAGGGCTGCTGTGAAAATGAAGGAGAGTTTCAGAAATCAACCCTCAGTTGGCTCCAGAGTGAGGAAGAGCCTCCTGGTCCAGGGACAGCCCACTTGATCCTGGCCACTCATCTCTGGCTCCCAGGCCCTCAGGGCTCTGATGGCAAGTGCTGGCATGGCTGTTTTCCCTCTCCTCTGAAGTTTCCAGGTGCATGTGGGTGCCTGCTTTGGCCTTCCATCCCATTGTCTGTCTGCCCATCCATCTATGTCCATTCATCCACCTGTGTGATCCACCGACATTGATTGGTGTTCCCTAGTATACAGAACTGAGCGTAGCACAGGTCAGTGGGGGCCTGGTAAGCAAGCAGAGCACTTGCAGCCTCTGTGCAGTCAGCAGCCAGTCCGGCCTGCTTCTGCCGGTCCTGTCTTGTCTCTGTCCGCTTTGCTTCAGTCTCTGTTGGGGCCTGGGAGTGAGAAACCCTGCCCCTTTGTCAGTGCATCATGATCTGAACTAGAGCTCCTACTCTTTTTTGATCTCCATCTTGCTCCTTGTGTCTCGTTCTCACTTGATTGGAACAAACAAGGAGGATGGGTGGAGCCCATAGCAGCCTCAAAACTCACTTCAGCTCTTGCATTGCCTCTCTCCCTGGGACACCCATCTTGGGAAGGAGCTGCTGTGTGTGGTGCGGCTGGGCAGTTGGAAGCCCAGCCTCTGCAGACTCCTGACTCCCAGCTCCATCTGTCTCAGGGGCTTGGCTTTTACCCTGGGCGAGTGGCTTCATTGTCTCATACCTCAGTTTCCTCATCTACAAAATGGGGACAATAATAGTCCCTGCCTCTTAATGAGTTAATGCATGTAAAATATTTAGAACAGTGCCTCTGACATGGTTAGTGCTTGATAAGCATGGTTATTATTATTTTTGTTATTGTGTGTGTGAGCCCGGTCACCATGTCATGGAGGAAATGGGCTGGTATGGAGACAGACGGGTCAGGGGGTGAAGAACAAATCCTTTTCTGGGGCAGGGGTAGAAGAACAGCCCTTGAGCCTCCCCAAACCCAGACATCTTCCAAGAGTGCTGAGCAGCTCTGGGCAGGGCCATCTGAAAGGCTCTGAATGCCCCAGGCAAGCCCTGGTTTGGATCCATCCAGATGATGATGTTTGCTCTGTGCACACACTTAATTCAGGCTTGTCCAGGCTGCGTCCTCTTTGCAGCTGGCTCATGCCAGCCTGACTCACCATTGTCAAATTGGCCAGGAAATTCTCACTTCATATAGCCTCCCTGAGCTGGCTGGGGACTGGAGAACGGGCTGGGCTCTCCCTGGAGCTGTACGTTGTGGGCGCATGTGTCACAGGAAATGCCTTGGCAGGACAACAGATGAGTCTTAAGGAAAAAGGGTCAAGTGCACTTACTGTGGTCTCCGTATCCACTTCTCCCTGGAGGTGGGGCGAGGCTGACAGGGCAGGGACAGGCTGGTTTCGGAGGGCACATCTGCACCAGTATTTGGGGAGGTGGGTTTGATGTACATTTTGACAGGTAGTGACCACACATTCATTGAAAGGAGATGGGAAAGCGTGTGAGGTCACCAGAAGATAAAGACCCAGATTCTACTGCACATGCGAGGCAGCTCCTCTGAGCTATTCCTCCATCCCTTCATCCATTCCTTCAAACATTCTGGAGCACCTGCTCGGGGTCAGATACTGTTCAATGTGCTGGACATATGTTGGTTCATTCAGCAAAAGCTGCAAAGTGCAGTCATCCAAAGTGTTGAAGGTGGAAATGTTATGCTTGCATTTTCTAGAATGATTTGGGGTGGCAAGGTTTCTGAAGTAGGGTTTAGTGATAAGTCAGAACCTGTGACCCATCTCTCAGTCCCTTGGACAGGCCTGGGAGCTCAGACATTCTAGTCCTGATTGCACATCCTGTGCAGTTCTGCAGCTGAATCCCAGGGGCCTGGGCAAATATGTGAGTAGTTGGTTTCCCTCCCTGCCTCCCTCCCTTCCCTCCCTTGCCTCCCTTACCTTCCTTCCCTTCCCTCCCTTCCTTTCCCTCCCTTCCCTTCCCTCTCTCCCTTCCTTCTTTCCCTCTCTCCCTTCCTTCCTTCCTCCCCACTGCCCCCTCCCACCTCCCCCACTCCTCCCTCCTCCCTCCCTCCCTTCCTCCCTCCCTCCCTTCCTTCCTCGCCTCATTCCATTCCTCCGTCCTTCCCTCCCTCCTTCCCAACCCATGAAAGCTGGCGCCCCCTGGAGGCATTTCAGGAAATGAAATGTCTGTATTTGCGGCTACTGAGTTGGGCTGGGAGACTTTTCTTACCCAGGTTTTCCCCCAAGGCCTTCAGAGGGTGCTGATGGCTTAGCACTCCGTTTTTGTCAGAAAAATATCCTTAGAGCCTCCATTTCAGCTGCGAGAAAGTTTGTTTAGCAGGGAGACTCAAAAATAGAGATGATGATGACAAAGTCATCAGCCTTTGTCGTTGCAGGGGAGTGCATGCTTGGAAAGTCACACTCGGGACCACACGCAAGCTGATGCTTCCAAGTTTAGTTTACGAGGCTATGTTTAGGAGGAGGCAGACTGACTCGTGCCTACGGGCCCCAAACAGCCCAATTTGGTGCACTAAAAGCCTCATTTTTAGACTCTGGGTCCAGAGTGAGGCTTTTTCCAGAAAAAAACAAACAAACAAACAAACAAACAAACAAACAAAAAACCTACTTCAGGGAAATGACAACAACAGAAAGCCACCATTTGCCCTAAAATTTTTATTGTAAAAACTATTCTCTCCTGTTTGAGTAGTGAGGGATCTAGGACATAACAGTGGCTTCTCTGGCTTTCTTAAGGAATCAGGGCACTTGGAAACTCAATTAAATGTACCCAAGCCTCTTAAGCACCAAGGCTATCTTTTTGCTCATCCAGTTAATTTCAGTTTGTAAAATTGGCCTTGTGCTGACATGATGGAGACGGGGTGAGGGTGGGAAGCCAGGGTCCTCTGTGAGCGGAAGCTTGCTTCTCTGTTCACAAGCCTCCAAGGGCACACATCCTTCCCTGGGGCATCAAGGGGGACCATTAAACCTGTTTGCACCACGTCCCTGGGAGAGCAAACTTCTGGGCCTTCCTTGTTTACTGGAGGTTGGTTAATTCGGAAGGTAGATGGACTGGGCATATTGGTTCCCCACTGGCAGGAGCAGCCCAGGATTCAGCAGGTTAACGCAAAGGATCGAGAAACTATCACCTTCCTAGAACTGTTCCCAGACTTTTAGCAAACAGGCTGAATTTTGACCTTTTTCCCATTTTTCTTTTTAATCCTCCCTCCCCACATGTTTTGTGGCTTTTGGTGAAATGGCTGTCCTAAGGGAAACAGGACAGTTCATTGAAAAGGAGAGAGAAAGTAAAGACCCCTTTCCCACACCACCTTCCCTCAGATGCAGCCTTTGCTTACACTAAAAATAGCTTGAAACAGAGGCTGAATCACAAAAAAAAAAGTGGCATTTCAGGGGACAGAGGCTGCCAGCTCCCTGGCTGCTGCTGAAGTCTGTTGGGTTTGTTGGTCTCTGAGCCCCGACTTGCCCAGGAAGGCGTGGGGTTTGGAAGTGTACTGGGATAGGTCCAGAACATTCTTTTTGTTTCTAGAGCAAGGGCCTGGTTGTGTCTGCCTTGGTTGGAGAGTCTGTCCAGAGCTAATTATATCAGCAGGCACTGATAGAGCCTCTGCCTGGTGTTATGCCTCAGGGGTGGAAAATCACTTCCTGCAAAGGAAAGGAGTTGTTTTCAGGAGCTCCTTAATCCCTGAGGCACCTGCATGGGCTCCCAGGGAAGCTGCCAGGAGGTTATTGTTTCCTCTGAACCATGAGGTGGGCAACTTGGTTTCTTGGCCACCTGAGATCTCTCCAGGAAAAAGCTCAGATCATCAGAAAGAGAGAAAACAGTTTACTCACCTTGGTCTATGCTGTGTGTCTCTCTGGCCCTTGGGGATTCATGACAGTGTTTGAGATCAATTCTGGATATGGGAGAAGAGAGGCAAGTCACTTACTTTTATCTGAGGAGCTGCAATCAGCAGAAACCTGGATACTAACCCTGGCTTTGCTATCACTTTTCTGGTTGACCTTGGACAAGTCAATTCCCTCTCCAAGGCCTCAGCATCTCCATAAATAGAGGGGGCCGCAGTAGTTTTTCAGTAGTTCGTTCCCTTGCAGCCCAAAATATCTTTATGTTTTCTTATCCCCTTCACTGTCCTTCATCAGCAAAGGCCACAAGTGTTAGGCTCACATCTACTGTGCCCTTGGCCCTGTGCTAGGCACCAGGAGAACTGCAAAAGGAGAGAGAATGCACTTTTCTTAGCTGCCAGAGTGATTGGCGTGAAGCAGAGTTCATCAAGGGGTGTCTCTGCATGGCTCTCCCATGGTTTTGCCTCCATTTGAAGTAAAATCTGAAACTGTGTCCCTGGCTTACAAGGCCCCGTGAGTTACGGTGCCTGCTTTTGACTCACCTCCAATGATTCTTTTCCTTCTTTGCTCCTTTCTAGAGAAGAAGCAAAGCCTATAGGTAGAAGCATGTAGATGGGCCTGAGGCACTGGGCAGGGGGAAGGATGCCGTGGGAGGAGGGGGCCATATTCCAAAGGGCCAGCTCAATGAGAAGGAGTTGGCTTCTTTTGAATCATTTCAGCCATGGAGCTCTCTTTTGGAACCTTCCTCAGTTGGAAGCCTCTAAGGGGATGTTGTTCCTAGTTGGTATCAAACGTGGTGACCCCACTAGCCCCAAATTTGACTGGAAGAGCCTCCTTTCCAATTGAGTATCCTCTGCTTGAGGAGCTCTTGGGTGAGATAACAGCCCCTATCCTTTGCTCTTTGTATTGCTTTTGACTGAACTGCTGCAAATCATGGGGCCCCTGAAAGTCCATCCCTCCTCCAGAGGTAGAAGCGCCTCCATCTCTGTGTACCTGAAAACAATAAAAGGCATGTTTATTTAAAATAATGACTGCCGGAGGCCCCCAGGAGGGGCTGAGGATCGAGGAAACATTACTGTGGCCAAAGTCATTTTTTATTTCTGGAGCAAGGTAGCAGACTCAGGGGGGTGGCAGGAGCTGCCAAGCTAGCCCCCAAATTTATAGCAAGGGTGTTAAACACTGTGGGTGATCAGTGGAGTTGACATTGCAGAAATTCCCCAAATGAAAATTCCTTGTAGGTTAACTTTTAGATGAACTTTAAAAAACAGGGGCAACAGACCCTCAATGGGCTATTTCAAGTGTTTCCAATTTCATTAACATGATTTAAGCAAAGACTCCCCCTTGCCTCCCTGGATGCTAAATTAGAAAACATCACTATTCCTCTGCCCTTGTGCCTAGTTTGCAAACCAGTGGGTTTATCTGGTTGTTTTCCCCAGAGTTGGAGCACTGCAGCTGTTTCCATAGCACTGCGGCCCACAGGGAGTTGTGTGTTGGGGGCTCAGTTGTTGTCTTACAGAAAAAAACCTTGTAAAGGCAATTCAGCAAGCCACCCTTCTAGCACCAAGAGATACAATTCCTCTTCCCGGGGCTGAGATGGAGAGATACAGATAGAGAGAAAAGAAATAAATAAATAACCAGTTTCTCTTTCATTTAACTCTCAGAAACAGCCTCTGGTGCTAATTATTTCTGCTGTAGATTTTGTCAGACTTTGAATCCCAATCCTTTTGCCATAGGTGGTATATTTTAGAGATGCAAAATGATATAAAAAACAATCCACTTTCCTGAAAGATAATTTTGTGTACATTAAACAGACACATTAAGCCATTTACAAGAGAGTTGTTTGTTCTCAGGGATTTGGAGGAAATCTGAATTTCTAATTCTGGGCTCTTTAATAATTTTCAAAAGAACTGAGGCTAATGATTAAACGTCTTTGAACTTCCCCAGGCTGTCTTCTATCCCATGATCTCAAAGCATTTGAAAAGGAATAGAATTCTTTACCTTGATGAAATCAGCAGGAGAGTAGAGGAGACACCAGCCCCACCAGGAGCTTTGTGGCAGAATGGGGGAACGTAAAGTAAAGAGGCTCAAGAAAAGTGCACAAGGTCACTTTCAGAGCTTCAGATGTGGAGTTGAATGAAGAGCCTTCATACCAGTTCTTATTTCACAGCCTTGGCTGCTAAGACTTGGAAAGAAGGCCAAAGAGAAAAGAAAACCAAGGTAGGACTTAGTTAAGGATGTCTATAATGAGATTACACATGACATGCAATCTTATCTGGCTCTAGTGTTTAAGGATTAGAAGAGATCAAGTCTAGCAATGGTGAACTTTCATCATCTTTCATCAGCTTTCATCTTCTGGGTTCATTCTGATTGATCAGTAGCAGCTACAGAGAATATTTGGCCAAAGATTTAAGGTTCAGCAGCAAACAGTCATAATGGCTCTGCTCTAAAGAATTCCGAGGGCTGGGTGCAGTGGCTCACGTCTGTAATCCCAGCACTTTGGGAGGCCAAGGCAGGTGGATCACTTGAGGTCAGGAGTTTAAGACCAGCCTGGCCAACATGCTAAAACCCTGTCTCAACTAAAAATGTAAAAATTAGCTGAGCATGCTGGCAGGCACCTGTAGTCTCAGCTACTTGGGAGGCTGAGGCAGGAGAATCACTTGAACCTGGGAGTGAGAGGTTGCAGTGAGCCGAGATCACGCTACTGGACTCCAACCTGGGTGACAGAGCAAGATTCCATCTAAAAAGAAAAGAAAAGAAAAGAAAAGAAAGAAAAGAAAAGAAAAGAAAAGAGAAAAGAAAAAAAAGAAAAGAAAAGAAAAAGAAAAGAAAAGAAAAGAAAAGAAAAGAACAATTCCATGACTGACTAATGATGCCTGCCATGAGTGCCAGCTTGGAGGGTGGTAGTACTAGTGTTATTTGTGCCTTAGCTACCTGTTCTAGGTCACATTCCCTAAAGTTTACATTATGTGTGATTAAAGTGGGGCTTGTCCAAGGTCATTTGGTCAGTTTCAGACATGTCTCCTGACCCTGTCTAGTATTTGATACCCCAGCTGCATAGGTTAGACCTCAGAGAAACAGCAAATTTGTCAGCTTCCTGTAGCAGCCTTCTTTTTCTTTTCTTTTTTCATATTGCAGCCTGACTTCAGATTTTTCCATCTGGAGACTTTCTTTAGTGTTTGGAGAGCAGAGGGGGTGGATTTCAGAGCCACAGTGATTCTACAGACAAACAGAAATGCAAGCACAATTTTCCTGTTTGTTATGTCCACTCTCAAAATTCTCTTTGCATGAAGCACACGCTGATCACAGCCCTCCCACTGCAAAGCCTTCCCCTCAGCCCACTCCCGGGTTCTTTCTCCCAATCGCTGCAGATGCCTTTCCCTGTGCCCCACTCCCCCGGCACTGTAAAAAGCTTTTGGTGGGGGTTGATGCGTCATCATTTCCTTCCATCATAGCCTCACCTTCTATTTCTTCCTGTTTCTCCCTTAATGTTCTTTCTCTTAGCTATTCATGCTCACATCTTAATGGCTGTGCTTACAGAGATAAATACATTTTGCCTCTGACCAAAAACAGTTTCTGCCCTGACTTGAATTTAAAAGCCTGCCAGAATTGCAGTGGGGAGCAGAGGCAGAGTCCTCAGTTTCATCCTGGGAGCCATAAAAGTTTTCTAAGAGTTTATCATCTCCATCAAGATGAAAATGGGATTTCAAGGCTTCAAATAGGAAAGATAAATAACAAGGAAAACTCCAGCTTTTGTCAAAGCAAAGTTCTCTTTACCAGTTTTATGAGTCTACCTGTTGTGCCTGCACCCTGGCATCTGTTTCACTGTGGTATCAGACAAAGCCTTCTCCAGGAATTTATGCAAACCTACGACTGGATAGAGAATTTCAGGCAATTGGTAGAGCTTGGAAGACGGCTGACAAGTCATATTCTTGGGCCGTAACTCACTCTCAGACTCCTCATTCGTTCCTCAATTCTTCCTCTTCCCCTTCCAGCATAATGGGAATTGGAATAGAAAGCCCTATTAACTGTAAGGCCTAGGCTGTGATTTATAGGACATTATAACAAACGGGACTATGGTTCGTTGTACTTGGCTATCTTTTGCATTTGAGGTGGCCAGGATTCTTTGTCAGGATTAGATTTTGCCCCCTTGGCCTCAGTAAATGGCTGCATGCAACTAGGAAAGGCTCAGCCAGTGTTTCCAGCTGCTCAAGATGACCCCATGTTTCCTTTGAGGAAAGCAGTGCTATAGAGCACCCATGTGCCACTCTGGATGGCCACGAAAGTGCCCAGTGAGTGCTCCTTGGAACTTGTTTCTGATGTGAAAGTTTTGGTGGGAAACTCGGGGAGACATATTACATCCTGGTAGGAGGCACGTCCTATGGATTTGCCCTTGATGCTTCTTTTTCCATTGTCCTGGCTTAAGCCCTGTGACCCCTTCCTTCACTCATTATAGCAGCTACATGTCACTCTCCTCATTTGTCCCATCTCCCCGCTTCAGTCCATCTTTCATGCTATTGCCAGATGAATTTTCCCCAAAGCCAGCTTTGCTTAGGTTTCCCCATGGCTCAGAGACCTTCAGTGGCTTTCCAAGGTCTAAAGCCCAAACACTTCAAGCAAATGGTCAGGGCCCCTATCCTCTTTCCAACCTGTCCTTCTTCTGCTCTCCTCCATGCACTCCATGTGTTCAAATCCTACCTCATCTTTAAGATGCAGTGCATAGTGTTTCCTCCTCTGAATCCATCAGTCTTGGAGAGTATTCGCATACACTTGTGAATGTGACTTATCCACTCTAAAGGCAATGAGGCTGAGTGGTTAAGAGCACAGGCTATAGAGCCAGACTGGCTGAGTTTGACCTTTGTTCTGCCATGTACTAGTGTGACCCTGAGCCAGTGACAGAAGACAATCGTAGTACTTACCTCATAGGGTTATTATGCAGATTACATGACCTAATATTTATAAAGTACTTAGTACAGTAGCTGGGGCAGACTAAGTGTTGTATACATTGTTAATAAAACATAGTAAACTGTAAGTTCACTGAGAGTCAGAAACATGTGGTTTAATTTTATAATCCTCTTTGTCCTGTGCTGGGCTGAAACAACCTTGAACCAGATTGCTGTGAAAATGAAATTTGAAGAGAGAGAGAGAGAAGAAATATATGTGAAAGCACATTGTCATATTTTTATTCAATAATCAATAATTCAATAATCTTATTGAGTATCTGGAGAGACCAGGCTCTCTGTTGGGTAATTGTTGATCAAAATGGAATGAGATATAAATCATGTATAAACACATTGAGTATGACTGTGTAGAAGACAAGTGGCAAACATTATTCTTCTCTTGTCCCCATGTTACAGGTGAGAAAACCAAGGCTCAGAGAATCTTTAATAGCTTAGGTGAGATCACACATCCAATAAGCATCTGAACTGAGATTTAAATCTGGGATCTCATGACTCGATGACCCAGGCTGTTTTCATGTTACCATGGTGCTTCTCATTCAAGAATGAGTGAAGGAATGAATGGGCATAGGAAAGAATGAATGAATGGGAAGATCTCAAACATACGTGGCTCCAGAAAGAGAGCAAACCAGAGGCTTGCCATAGAAAGTGAGTTGTAAGTCAGCTTGGGCAGGTAGCAAATCCCTGAAGCCATAACCATTTGTCCAGTCGAGCATTCACTATGGTGGTGAGATGGGGCAGTTTCATTGCCTCCCCTTTGGGGACCACCTTGCTACCCCTAGTGTCATACCTCAGTGCTCTCCAGTTATTTCCCTCTGTGGCAAGAGTGGCTTTATTTTCTTCTCTTTTGGGTATTACCCAGGACAAACAGTGGATGTGACGATGGATGGTAAAGGTACGTCATCATTCCCTCTTTGATGTGCTTTCATCATAATGGGCCTATTTGGAAGGTTTCCATAAGTACAGGAACAATGCCTCTCCACTGGGCTTCGTCAGCCACCAATGATCCGAGCACCAGGGAAAAAGTCTGGAGTGATGCTGGCTGGTTTCCATGGCAACCACGGCTTGCCTCAACCCTGCACACATGCTGCCCTCTTTCCAAGTAGGAATGTGTTTATTTATTATTGGTCCAACCTGGGAGTGCCTGTGCAGCTGCATAGGTGTTGTCCCTACCTCTGCCATTGAGGTCATGTTCTCAACTGGGAGATGAAATCACAGCTGGGTGATGGAGGCACGGTATTTGCTCCACCAGGAAAAGCTCTCATTTAGGCTTCAGATCTTGTATTGTCCATCAGCGTGATGCCAGTGATCTCCGCGGGGGTTAGAGAGGCTGATCTAGAACCATTAGAGTCAGACACCATCTAGGGTCCTGCGGTGAATCGCAAACTGCCCCAGAGAGCTGATGGTGACGCACAAATCTTTCATAAACATACAGCATGCTGCTGTCCCTTGGAGATGCCCATGAGCTGGCTGAGCACGCACAAGCCTGAGAAACTTTAAACCTGGGCAGTCCAACACCGGTGGTCAGTGAGCATCTGAAATATGAATTGCTGTGTGCTGTAAAGCTGGGAGTAGTAGTGCACACCTGTAGTCCCAACTACTTTGGAGGTGAGGCAGGAGAATCGCTTGAGGCCAGGAGTTCAAGGACTGTGCAGTGAGCTATGATCATGCCAGTGCACTCCAGAGAGACCCTGTCTCTAAAAAAGCAACAATGCTGTAAGTGGAAATTTAGTACAAAAAAAGACTGTAAAAAAACCTTATTATAATGTTTATATTGATTACTTATTGATAATATTTTGTATAGATTAAACTCCATTATTAAAATTAATTTCACTTTTTTCTTTTTACTTTTAAAAAATATGCTTTCTAGATGGATAATGGTGATGGCTGAGCGACCATGTGAATGTACTTAATACCACTGAGCTGTATACTTAAAAATTACTTAAATGGTAAATTTTATCTTATGTATATTTTATCATACTAAAAAGAAAGCAAAAAAAAAAAAAAATCTCGAGGTTAAGCAACCATCTCTCCAGGCCTCTTCTTCAGCAGTCTGGCCCACATTTCTAGAAGCCCCCAGCACACCTGCACATTTATTTCACAGGTCAAGAACCAGTCACAGGTCGGTCCTAAGCCAATTGTTGGCATAAGAATGAGAGCACCAGGGCTTGCTCAGACTAATCGAGGTCTGCCCAGGAGTGGGGCCAGCATCAGTTTTGGTGAGGTACCTGCACCCCTGAACAAAATCAGGGTTCTCTGAATGAGGGAGGGGGATGGAAATGACTGTTAGGAGGCAATCAACATTATAATCTTAAAGAAAAATGTACAAGAAAATTAATGTATGGGAGTTACAAGTGAGAGCAATCTGAAAACTTCTTTCCTCCACTTGGAATATATATATATATATATATATATATATATATATACACACACACACACACACACACACACACACACACACGTATATATATGTATATGTGTATATATGTATATATATGTATGTGTGTGTGTGTGTGTATATATATATATATATATTTTTTTTTTTTTTTTTTTTTGAGACGGAGCTTTGCTCTTGTCTCCCAGGCTGGAATGCAATGGTGTGATCTCGGCTTACTGCAACCTCCACCTTCTGGGTTCAAGTGATTCTCCTGCCTCAGGCTCCTGAGTAGCTGGGATTACAGGCACCCACCACCACACCGAGCTAATTTTTGTATTTTTAGTAGAGACAGGGTTTTACCATGTTGGCCAAGCTGTTCTCAAACTCCTGACCTCAGGTGATCCACCCGCCTTGGCCTCCCAAAGTGCTGGGATTACAGGTATGAGCCACCATGCCCGGCCCCACTTGGAATATTATTTGTCTTTAAATTTGCATAGAGTTGTAAATAAAATAAGTGTCAAAGAAATGTGCCTTCTAGAAAATTTAGAATGACCTGTGTGGTTTGTCTTATGTTTCTTCTGGACAGCGATGCTGATAGGGGCTCTTCTCCTCCAATTACAAACTGTCATCTTGGACAAGCTGCTTCACTGTGTCTCACTTGCTTCATCTGTAAAATGGGAATAATGATAACACCTGTTTCATAGACTTGTTAGTTAATACATGTAAAGTGCTTAGAATGTGTCTAGCACATAGCAGGAGTTGAACAAGGATCACCTCTCATTAGGGGCTGCAGGGGGACTGGTGGCTGCTGCTGAAGCCTTCAGAACCTCCCTTCACATGCTCACCACAGCTCCTCCAGCAGGCAGAAGGCTTACTCGGTGGTGCAGAGAAATTACCCCAAAGGAAGCTTTTCATCAGAGGTGGCTGATGAGTGCCTGATGGATGCCTTTTCCTCCCTAGATGGTCCCAAGATGACTCTTCCTAGATGAAGGGCCTCCTCCTGAGCCTTGTTGTAGCTCAGTGGAAAATAAATAAAGAGGGAACAAAAAGTCCACGAAGAAGAAACAGTTTGTTGGGTGGCGCCTCTCAGGGCCAGTATGATTTAATTGACGTCAAGCCTGTTATGAGTACTCATGTGGCTAGGATAAGTGGCATTGGAAGCCGGGTTGCCCAGCATCCTTGCTCTCAGAGCCCCACTTGATGACCTTCTTAGGGGTTAGTGCCTATCAGGAGGCTGTTTTGAGAGTATCTGTGGGGAAGAAGGGCTCAGATTTAAAACTGATTCTAAGTCAACAATTCAAAAATATAAACAAGGGAATTTGTGGTTGCTCTCACAATTAATTTGGACCAGCAGCCCACTGGAGACATTGCTGGGAACCCCAAGGAATGTAGGGATTTAAAAAAAAAGTCATTGAAACTTAGACCACAATCACTGGGTCCCAACAGGCTCTAGTGTTAATTCAAATTGCTATCTATTGGGTAGAGAAAGAGAATTTCAGTGCCAGAAGCTACCATAGAGATACCTTGTAGTTCCACCTTATACTGCCGAGAAGGAAACCGAGGCCTGGAGGGAGCCCATGATGTGTTCATGTTTACACCGCAAGTTAGTGTTAAATATTCCATTTTTTGGAAGGAATTTTACTTACATGCATATTTTCCATTATGTTTATAAATTTCCCCCTATTTTAAATTATCCCCATTCCCTACTAATTGTATCTTTCATTTTTTCTTTATAAACCTTATAATTCTCTAATATACTATATATACTTTATTTATTTTACTTATCATCTATCTTCCCCTGTCTCCACTAAAATCCAAACTAACTCCATAAAAGCAGGGCTTTTTGTCTGGGTCACTCCTGTATGGTTGACACTTATTTCCTGGAACACAGTAGGGGCTGAATGAATGAATCTGTTGAACGAATGGATGAGAGCCTGAATGGGTCTCATAGACCCATCTTGGTAGAAGTAAGTTCTCCTTTGGTCATCTAATTCAGAGAACCTTGGGGAGAAATAGAAAAGCCATTTCCACTCCAAATGGGAATCTAAGGTCAGAAAAGCACAGGGTTGCCCAGGGCTAAGCTGTAAATATTGGCATTCTGAGAAAGAGGTCATAAGTTTGGAGACTTTGCACTTTCTCTTTGGAAATGGAAAAGTCATTTCATTTCACCACATCCACTAAGGTGCATGAAGTAAACAGCAGACACGCTGGATGCTTGGGGCATCATTCCTTCAACAGGGACAACAGCTTTCATGAGGGTTCTACTAGGTTAAGTAGAGAGGAGCAGATTTTTCAGGGGAAGGGATGGCAGAAGCAAGGCTGAGAAGTCAGGCGTGATCATTCATCTGAGCTCCTACTATGTGCTGGGCTCAGAACCAGATGTGGATCTACAGCTTATTTATGGGTGCATTTGAGGGAGTAAGCGTTTATGAGTAGGACAATGAGGGAGAGAAGGATTAACATTTTCTGCCCGTTTCCTGAAATGTGTCTTAATTCCTTCCTAAGGAAGGCTGACCAAGAAAATAATGCAAGAAGAGAAAGTCTCTTCAAAGGAGCCCAGCTAGGGGCTGTAGATGAAAGGATTCCTTTGTGAATAAAATGAAGGAAGGAAACTGAAGTGGTTCAGTGGTTGAACCACTGGCTGAATGAAGACCTGAAATAAGGGAAATGCTTCTCAAAATTAGAGACCAGGCTGGGCTTCCTAAAGACGACTCATGCGGAGGGAGGCCCCTTGAGCTGGAGGGCTCAGTGGAAACCTAGAGACAGAAATGAGATGTAGCAGTCAAGCAGAAATTGAAGAATGTTCTTTATATTGATACCCACCATGTGAAGAGGGTGACAGTGAGTGTGATGCCTTTAGATGCACATGAAAGAACTTTCAGACGACAACATAAAATTTCCAAAATATTTTGTTTAACCTGTTCACACACTTTCATTCATTTTTCCCCCTCTGAGAGTAACTATTTGTAACCCCAACTAATAATGAACACTAGTGTTTATGAAGGATTTACTAAATGCCACCTACAATACCAGGTGATTTTTCTACATCACCTCATTAATCCTCATATCCCTACTATGAGAGTAGGTACCGCATTCATCCCCATTCAGTGGAGCCCATAGGGGAGGAAACTGACGTGGGAGGCTGGCTCAGTTCCCTTAGTGATGGCAGTCTGATGGAGGTGCTGACCCAAGTGGACACCAAATGTTTTGTATTGAAACATAATACAGTGCAGCATTATGGGGCAGGGATGGGGAGCTGCTGGCCCATGAGCTGGATATAGTCTTGATGTGATTTTATGTCATTAAGGAAACAATTACTAAGAGTAACACACCCTTTACTCCTGTAGTCATAAATCTGTAGTCTACTTTTAAAATCTACTGATAAGCTTCCAAAATTATGGGTTCCTTTAAGAAAGTTTCTCTTTAGTTCTAATTTTATTATTGTTGTTTGTTTGATTGTTTTCTTTTCTGCCTACATATGTCTGATTTTCTCTTCACAACTGCATCCTAGATGCCTTCCTTAGTCTCTTCTGCTTCTCTTCTGTTACTCTTGTTTTCTGCTTCTATATATTTATCTGCTGTTTTCCTTTCTGTACTTTTCCCTCTTCTGTCTGTACCCATTAGTATCCCTTAAATGCCTGTGAAAAGGAATTCAAGTGAGTTCTTATTGCTTATTGGGTAGAAGAGGGTTTTATGCTTTAATTTAAAAATGGTTGAGGATTTAATAGTATTTCTGTCTTTAAAAGATAATAACATTACATTGCTTTTTTACTTTATTTGTATTAGAAAAATATTCTGACTCTCCATTAGGCAGTTGTCCTTGATAGAGTGGGAAAAAGGCTCAGAATTCCGTCAAGCAGGTGTATCAAGAAGTTGCTATTTGGTCTGTTGTCTTTCCTGGTTATTCATTATTCAGTTTAACACAGAAATCATTAAACATACACTGTTTTCTATGGTGCCAAACATCAAATGAAACATGCTTAGGCCTGTGAACCAAGAACTTCTAGAAACCAGACAATTACCAAGGGCGTCAAAATGTCTCATCTTGTTGCTTGTAACTGAACAGTGAAAATGAGCGTACATGTAGGGGCCATGGAATGAGGATTTTAATTTGAATCAGAGGATGGGGTGAAGAGCAGTCATTTACAATATTACACAAGTCATCTTACAATGAATAATAATTCTATCTTGAAATTCCACCCTTCCTGCCATGTGATTATAAATTTGTTTATAATTGGGTAAGTCCCACCAGTCCTGTGAGATTGCACCATGCTTTATGTTTGCATACAGTGCTTTATGCTTGTCAAGGTGCTCTGCCTTCTGCTGTCTTATTTGGCATCTAAACATCCTAAATACCCTGAAAGTAATGAGACCTGGAGCTAAGAGCTCTCTTTACAATGAGGAAGCTGAGGATCAGAGAGCTTATGTCATTTGCCTTGACTACAGCAAGTTGCTAGTGGCTGTAGACCCAATGCAAACCCCACCCAAACCAGAGCCCCACCCAAACCAGGGCTTTTCTCTTGAATGCATATGGCAAGAGAGAGACATCCCACTGTCCATTGTGTTGAAGGTAGAAAATGCAGAATGTGGCAGAGTGAGCTAACCCGCTTGGTGGCCCTCACCCTGGCAAGAGACAGATTTTCCTTCCTCTCCCTGAAGGGTTAAGACAAAGAAAATATCTGAAACTTTTCCTAGCTGAGCCTTTGCTCCAGAACTCAGACACTTTTGCGACGGAAGTGGGGCATTGGGGAGGCAGAAAAAGCCAATACATAAAAAAGCAGCAACCTCACCACCTCACCTGGGTCCCCATGAAACCATTCCACCCAGATGAGTGAGTCAGTGGGTGTTCTTTTCATGGCCTGTCGGCTCGGTGGCACCTGAGGCTGCAGTGACCCCCAGTGCTGCTTCAGGTGAATGAGCACACAGAGCATTTTCAGAACTATGGCTTACTCTCTCAGTGTATAGCAGTTTAAGTGCTAGGGACTTCTCTGAACTCATTGAAAGAAATAAAGCCCCTCTGTCTTTGTATCCCTAGAATTGGAAGCTCATGTATTTGTGATGCTGGAAAGGGCAAATATTCATTGAAAGAAAATAGCTCACATTTACTGAGGTCTCACTATGAGCCAGGCACGGAGTGAAGCAACTGGTTGGCCTCACCTTGAACTCTCACACCCAGACTAGGAGCTAGGCACTGTGATAACTGCTGTTTTACACAGGAGGGAACTCGGGCTCAGAGTGGATGAATGACTTGCTGAGGGTTGCACAGCTATTAAGTGGTCTGCCTCCATAGCCTCTACTTCCCAGGATCTCCAGCAAGGGATATCTCCTGAGGCAGTGGCTTTCACACTCTTAGAGGCCTGGAGCTCTGTGTACACTAACTGAAACCTAGCTGCTTTGGTTAGAGGATTGGGGTCAGGAGGAGACTGTATCCTCATGGCCCAGCAAGAGTTCCGCAAAACCCTTGGGATTCTCAGTAGAGCAGATCAGGATGCTAATGCCAGCCTTCTCTGGAAGTCTGTCTCTTTGAAGTTGAGGTCATTTCCACCACACCCCAGAGGGACCCATCTAGTCGACGCCTGCCTGCCTGGCCACCACTTCCCTACTGGAAAATCATCATTTCCCATGTTCTAGTTGGGGAAGGACCCAGCAGCTCTTTCTCTTTGGCCCATCTCTCTTCCTTTTATGAGCCAGCTAAAAGGAATCCCCCAGAGGTCATCTTTGTCCTTGGCGTGGGAAAGAGAGAGGCCTTGTCAGCAGGTGGGGGAGGTAGGAAATGCTGTTCTCCTGTGGGCTGAAGGTCAGTGAAAGGTGAGCTGGGGCTCCTGAGGCCAGCAGGTTCTGGCACAGAAGCAGCCCGGGAGGAAGCTGCCCTGGAATGTGCTGTGGACAGACCTGCGTAGATCCCTTCTTTCCCACGTCCAGGCTGTCCCAGCATCTCTGACCAGGCCAAGGTCACCTAGGCGCAGGCTCTTCTCCTTACCTCACAGACAAAAAGAACTTAGCACTGTAATCTAAGTGTTCCCACTCCTCATTTGAAAAGGGAAGCATTTCATTTTTATGTATGTATGTATGTATGTATGTATGTATGTATGTATTTATTTATTTTGAGAGGGAATCTTGCTCTGTCACCCAGGCTGGAGTGCAGTGGCACGATCTCGGCTCACTACAACCTCTGCCTCTTGGGTTCAAGTGATTCTCCCACCTCAGCCTCCTGAGTAGCTGGGATTACAGGCATGCGCCACGACTCCTGGCTAATTTTTGTATTTTTAGTAGAGATGGGGTTTCACCATGTTGACCAAGCTGGTCTTGAATACCTGACCTCAGGTGATCCACCCACCTTGGCCTCCCAAAGTGCTGGGATTACAGGCATGAGCCACTGTGCCCGGCCTCATTTTTTTTTTTTAATGAATTAAAAAAAAAAAAACTTATGTGGCAGTTGATAAAATAATTATTTTGAAATTAGCCACTTATCTTCTAGAAAAAAAAATGTTTGTTGCTCTTCTGATATTGGTAGGAGTTTCTTCCTCTTCCAAGGTGACTTTTTGGATAACACCCTGAGGGGACTACCCTTCATCCTTTATCTCCATCGCAGCCATTCCAGGCCTTCTGTGACTCCTGGGATAAAATAAACATTAGTGGGCACTGTTCCATTACAGGGTTCCCTTTTGGTGTGTTCCATTGTTATCTCCCCCTCTCCCCCAGGACCTATTCTCCCGGGAAATGATAAACCTGGGGGCTTTAGTGGTGGAGAAGGTCTACAGAGCCCAACCTCAACTTAAAATTTCCCCAGCCTCTTTTGGAAGCCAACTAGGTACCTGATTTTCCTGAGTGGGACACGGCAGCCCCCTGGGTGGTCATAGCACCACAGTATACTGTTTTACTTACCTGTATCTCTTGGCCATGCCAGCAGCAAGAGCCTCTTGGACCTAGAATGACCAAGGACCGTGGCCTGTCTGAGTTTTAACTCTGGATTTAGAAGATTGGGGATCTTGTTTCAGACATTTACTCATCAACAAATACCAAGTTCATTGCAGGTAGGGTTCTTGGAAGGTAAGCTCTGACACGAAGTTGAGTGTGCTGGAGGCTCATACCCACGGGAGGAGGGGAAGGCAGCAGGACTGTGCAGAGGTTGAGTCGTGATGCAGGCTGGATGCAGCCACAGCCAGCCCCAAGAGCACCAAGATGGCCTGCCAGCATTGTGCTGGAATGAGTGCTGGGATGGGCTGACATGGGCCTTTATTCCATCACTCCCATCACTCAGAGGAGGTGGGCTGCCCCTGAAGGGCATGACCTCTGGCCAGGTAGCTCTCTGCAACTGAGCAAGCCCTGAAGAAGCTGCTGACAACCCTCTCACGAGCTGAGCAGCAAGTCCTTCTTGAAGGGGGTCTGTGCCTGTCACAGGATTTTCTCAATGGCTGAGGCACTGTGTTGAAACATGGCAGATCAAGTTGGAAAGGCTTGGTCTCTGTCCATGAAGTGCTTGCAGTGCTGTTGCCCTGACTGCAGTGCGGTGGATGCTATTATGGAGGACTCTTGTGGTGGCTGCTTGGTAGCCCCAGGCAGGCACCAGGTCATTAACAGCCGCGTGAATTCCCTTGTCACTCCTAGGAGATATATACCTGCACCTCTGTTTTGCTGAAGAAGAAAGTGAGGTTCTGAAGTGTTGAGTAGCTCCTAGGGGTAATACGGCCAGCTGGGAAAGATGCCAGGATTCAAACTTAGGTCGGACTCTGAAGGCAGTGTGCTTTCCTTTATTCATAATTGCCTTTGAGATTGAAGGCAGAGCCAACAGGAGCAGGACCATTGTGGGTGTTCAGCAGTGTCCCCTCTCCTACCCTTGCTCATACCCAGTTTTAGCTCTGTGCCTGGACTCTAGCTGTCCCCCGCCAATGGTGCCACAGCTCCATGCCTTTTCTGTGACCTTCACCACTTTCTCTGCCCTTGGGGCTTCCTCTTCCTCTTGACTTTTCTCAGCACTTAGGTGTTGGCCATAACTGTTTTTGGATGACTGCATTGGGTAAGTCCCACCAGTCCTGTGAGATTGCACCTTCCCAAAAGGCAAGGAAGTTGTATGGAAACTGGTTTAGGCCTTGTGTGAGATTCCTTTGCTAACAGTCCAGGAAGCTGTGTCTGGGGCAGCTTCCTTCCCCCAAATATAGATACTTCTCCAAGCTTCCTGTCTGGAATCAGGGTGTTGTGAAATGTGGGCACTCATTCAGTCCTAGGGGTCATGGGGAACCCTACCAGCTTTCCCATTAAACCCAGCTGGTAAAATGGACTCATGTCTGTTTGTTTTTGGGGTTTGTATTCCCTCCTACCTAAAGAAACTGCAAGAGAAGGGATAGAAAAGACCAAGGCATCAGCAAGTCTGTGCCCAGGAGTGCAATAATCCTTGTGTTTACTGGAAGGGGAGGCTGGCATTGAACCCATGTCAAGATAGGTTTGGAGAAAACCCAAAGATGCCAAGGCCTTGCCTTCCATCCCCTGTGATCTACTACTTAATCAAATAGCCAAGGATGTGTTAAGAGGGAGAAATGTGTAAATGTTTAGAGAGCAGTGAGTTGTGAGCTGTAAATGGCCCTGGCATGTTTATAAGAAATGAGCAGGCCAGAAATGAAACCCCAATAGTTTTTTTGTGTGGATAGAATTACCAAACTGATGGATGGAGGGAGTGTTCTGGTTGTTAAATATTTGGGCCTTGGGAGTCTTTTGATGTAGCACCTTGTGACAACTGCTTGCAAAGTGAGCTCAGACTAGCTTAAATTAGCTCAGGCCCACATGTTCGGGAAGGGAGGCTGGAGTAGATTCCCGCCATGGTTGTTTGCAGCTCTCCCTTCTAAGAGTTCAGGACTCTGGTAGTCAGAGCGCCCAGGCTTGGCCAGATCAGGGCACCTGGGGAAGGGTTTGTCTCTGCCTCTTACTACCACATGAAGTACTCAGAGTCTGGGTGATTGTGGACAGGGCTTCAGATCAAGGAAACTTAAGATTCTCAATCAGCCATTGACATATGCCAAGACCAATCAATCTTTTTCATCTCATCTCCCATTATCCACCCTTCCCACAGCCATAACCACCCACTGGTCACTGTGCATGTCTCCCTCCTTTGTCTTCTGGTGTCCCTGCCATGGTTCCTTCAGGCAAAGATGCTTCTTCAACCTATCCCTAAATAATTCTGCTTGAACCTTCAGGGTCAAGCTGAAAGTGGTACCTTTTTCACAGTCTTCCTGGGCCCACCAACTGGAAGCAATCACTGCCTCTACTAAAGTCCACATCAATTAAATAGTCAATTAGATAGATCCAGAGTGAAAATGGAAACCACCTTCTTTTTGCATCAGTGGGATGGATGACTGGAAACATGGATGACCAGACAGGTGAAAAGAAGAATGGAAGGAAACATGAGTGGAAGGACAAACATAGTGTCTCCTCGTTAAAAAAAATACTGTTTCAGCTTTCCTAACCTCACCTGTAATAGAGCTAGGAACAATAGCCCCATCTCATTATGTGAGAATTAAAATACTTAGCCCCAGGTATGAAGCACTGTCCCATTATTGTTGTTATTTTGGAAAATAACTCCGTAAGATGTTCAACCCTATGAGGAAATTATTCTTTTTAAGATTCAGGCTTAAAATCAAATATTCCTGGGGCTTGTAATTTCCCATGCAGACCTACGCCCTCATGTTACTGTTGAAGAAACTGAGTCCAGAAGAGGGGAGGGAGGGACTTGCTCACACTCCCAGAGTTGGTGGCACCTGGGTGGCAAAGTATAATTTTCAAAAAGTTAAAATTGTGACTCATACAAATCTAGAATGTGGACATGTCAAAAATGCATTTAGCTCATTAATGAGGAAACCAACAAGATGGCAGCATGAGTTTACATAGGCACTGGAGGAAGAGTGTTGGAATGAGATTGCTAAATTAGAAACAAAACTGGTTAATGTCCTACACGGGAGTCAATTAATAAACTTTGAGATTATCTTTTCTCCTGAACAGAAAACATTTGTATTTCTACTAGGCAAAATCCTACACATTAATGTGTAACTTCACATAATCTGGCTATTTAGTTGGTAGCAAATATCAAGTCAACAAAGGTACTTACTTTCCTCTAGGTAATTAAATATTTCTTGGGCAGGCTGTTAAACATTGCTCCACAGATGACCTTGAAAGGACATGACACATTTCCATTCCATTGCTTGACCCCTGCTAATAGAACCAAGTCTTCTCACCCAAGCTGCTCCTCTCTTCCTCTTCCATCTCTCTGCTGCATGCAGGGAGCCTGGTGCCTTGCTTCCATTTTCTCATTGGAAAAATGAGGGCCATAATACTTGCCTTCTCCACCAGACTAATTATGTCCAGTTATGACTTGGGGAACCAGGCAAGCGCATGGAAGAAGATCACACAATCCTGGATCCGGAAGACCTTGGCATCCAAGGGAAAAACAGGTGTGGGCAAACAATTGCACCAACATTTGGCAATGGCTGTGGCAGGCAAGAGCAAAGGACTGCGGCGCCTAGAGAGAGGAGTGACTTGGCTGAGTAAAGGAAGAGAAAAAGATTGAGAGAGGAACACTGAACTGGGATTTCCAAGACCCGTAGATCTGTTGGTGAAAAGGGAGAAGGGCATGGTCAGCCTGGTGAACTGCAGATGTTAAGATATAGGGACTAAAAAGTAAGGCACTTTCCATTTAATGTGCATATGCTGAGCTTTTGTTATGTGGCAGGTTCTGTGTTTAGCCCTGGGGAGTGGCAGCGATGGGAACAATCGTGGGCAAAACAGGAAACAAATTCTAGTCCTTTTGGAGTGATTCCAGGAGGATGGGGGTTTGGGTGGATTTGAGAGGGGAACAAGGGAAGTGGAGTGGAGGCAAAAGAGGCTGGAGAGACTGGTCTTGCACTGAGTGATGATATGGTTGATAGCTCCTGACCAAACAATTAATCTTTGTTCAGAACTTTCCCTTTGGAAAGTCTGTGGCTGCCTTCTGGGGAAGGCAAACAAATGTGAACTCAAGAAGTTTACAATTTAGCTAGGGAAACAGGATGTGCAAACAGGAAGAACCAACTATGTGAAGGTAGGTAAGATAACTGTTGACTCCATGCTTTAAGGAAAGGAGAGCTCTTTGTGGCTTGGGTGGTCAGCAAGAATTTTTTAAGCAGAGATACTCTTGATTGGGTTGGATAAATAAAAGAGCAAGGAGGACATTGTAGGAGGGGAATTGCTCCCAGCAGAGCCTAGAAGCAGAGAGATTTTCCAGGGTTCCCAGGAGAAGAGATTGAATAAGTGCAGTGGGCCATGTGGTGACACATCTTGAGTGTCCAGCTGGAGAACTGGAAGTGCATATCATAACAGGGGTGGAAAACTCAGAGGTTGATAGGGAATGGTGAGGTTGCAATGAGGGGACCGGTGGGGACTTTGACCAGTGGAGCAAGAGTCTTTCCAGATGAAGGGAGCAGCTGCCTCACAGCTCTGGCCAGCTGTGGACATTTGGCCAGTTTGTAATTTGTCAAAAGAAGTCAGAAATCTGCATTGTTGTGAAATCTCCAGATTTTTTACATGTTGTCAATTTAATTAAAATATTAAAATCAGCCCAGGGGTCAAGACTGCTGACCCATGCATGGGGCCTGGGGGGAAACTTGTGGGGCTCCAGCTTGTGGCTTCTCTGTTGGCGGTGCAGCTGTTGAAGATTCCTACACACAGGTGCCACAGGGGAAGATGGCACAGGAAAGGAGTGTGGACCTGGAGAATCAAGTAAGGAGCAGGCAGCAACTGAGGCAGGGCCATATGCAACTGTGGCCAGGGGTCACATATCATACTGAGCAGAGTTCACCTTGCCCGAGAACCACAAACCCAGGACAAATAGAAGGGAAACAAAATAAAGGAAAGGGAGCCAGCGTGTCTCGTTCAGTGTTGGGTAAGTAGTATGAATTTGGTTTGTTTTCCTGGCTGTCTTTAAAGAACGCTGGGCGGTGCTAGCCTGTATTTCTGATGAGAGGAAGGGGATTTAACCTGTGGTTCAAGTGCACTTATTTGGATAGCTCAGAGTCTTCATATGGTGTTGTTGTGCAAAGAGCACTGGACTAGAAGTTGGGAGACCTGGATTACAGGAATGACTGGTGTTAGCTGAGTGCCCCACTGTGTATCAGGTATTTTGTGCACATTTTCAGTAATTCTCCAAACAACCCTGTGAAGTAGAGGGCACTGTGACTCTACTTTTTCAAGGTCAAGGTCACAGAGTTGGTCAATGCAAGGCTGGGATTGGAATGAGACTTCAAAGGCCAAGTCTTTTCCAGTAGACCCCGCTACTGCACTGGCCTATGCTGAGTCTCTCCACATGCTCCATGTTACCTGTTGTGTGAACTTGGATAGGTCATCTACCACAGAGGAGCAAGAGGGGAAACTTCTTCAGGGTTTGCTTGGTCCAGTCTCAACATGCTGTGGTTCTGCAGTTGAGATGCATGTTGAAATGCATTTCATTTGTATGTTGACTTTTTTTATTCTAAAGGTCTTTGGATGTTTAATTTCAAACAAAGAGCTAGAGATTGGAGAGGCATCAATCTCAAACAGGCAGCGGCAGGGGTGTTTAGAATGAACTTGACAGCCCTGCAAGAAAAGATGTGTTCTTATCATATGTGGAAGGGCTTTTTTTTTGGTAGGAAATAGGTACTTGGACATGTAAAAATCAGGCATTCCAGCATGGCTGTCCCCAAGGCCCCCACCTGGAGGCTTAGACTGCAGCTTCTGCTGTTTTCATATCTTTCTCCCCTTTTATCCTCTCTGAATGTTTCCAAACCCCCAAAGGACCTGCAACTTTAAAGAGAAATATTATTGATGCAGTTGAATCTATTTTTAGCCTGCTGGGGTTGGTGCACATCCAAAGCAGAAGAATTTGGTTTTATATCTATTTTATCTACATCAACACTTCTTTACCTAAAATCCATTAAAAGATAACAGAAACAGAGCTGACTTCAGACGACATTCAATTGGTTCATATTTTGGGGGGCAATATGTCATGCCCCACCTTGCTGTAGCTGAGACATGCCTTTAACATTTCCAAGGAGCCACAGAAAAAGACATAGAAAACCTTCGATTGCATTTAGAGATTAGAAGAGGATTTTTCTCCTAAATATGGAGCTGTTTCCTTGACTCAGCAGGTATGTGAGATGGATATGAAAGCAAAAGATGTTCCCTTGCCATGAAGCAAGTATTTTTGAGTCATAGATCTTATTGATCAGACTCATTCAATTGGACATTTCTCTTGTGTGCACACATGTTCCCTCTCTCCTCTGTCTCCTCCTGCCTCAGTAACTTGTAGAGAGACTTCCAAAAAGAGAGCAGGTTTTTAGAGTTGAGAGTTAAAACTTCTGGAATGTTGTTCTAGCTCCTGGGGTTGGGCAGGGAAAGGTAATCCTCAAATATAGGTGGGGCCTCAGAGGAAGTTTGGTGAATCTGTCAACTAGAATTTTTTCTTGAAAATTCTCATTGAAGTAACCTCTATCCTCAAAGGATTCCAATATACATCTAGGGTTGAAAAGGAATGAACTGATGGCCTTAATCAGATTGATTTAATGAGCATAGGGCCAGAGCCACAAGAGCCCAGACTGGGTTTAGAGTAGAGGTTCACACATGGCTGCCAGTTAGAATCACCTACAAGACATAGAAAAAATTCCAGCACCTAGGTCCCCCTTCAGAGATTCTTATTCAGTTGGTCTGAGTGAGGTCTAGGCTTCCATATTTTGTAAATCCTCCCAGATGACTTCACTGTCATTTCCACTCTAGAGCTGTGCTTCCCAGACTCTAATGTACAGGGAAATTACCTGGGATTCTTGTTAAGATGCAGATTCTGAGGACCTAGAGAAATGGCAAGACATACCATGTTCATGGACTGGAAGACTCATCCTAGTAATGGTGCCAGCTCACCCCCAGATTTCTCTACAGATTTAATGTAACTCCAACCAAAATCTAAGCAGGACTGTTTGCAGATATAAACAAACCAATTTCTAAAATTTATGTGAAAAGGCAAAGCAACTAGAATAGGTAAAATAATTTTGAAAAAGAAGTGTATATTTGAAGAAATCACCAATCGCCCTACCTGATTTTAACACTTGCTATAAAGCTATAGTAATCAAGACAGTGTCATATTGGCAAAGGGATAGACACATAGATCAATGGAGTAGACTAGAGTCCAAAAATAGACCTACAACAAATATGGTCAATTGCTTTGATAGAGGTACAAAGACAATTCAATGGAGAAGGAGTCTTTTCTACAATGGTCTTGGAACAATTGGACATCCAAGGGCAAATGAAACAAAACAAAACAAAAAGCTCAACCTAAACTTCATGTCTTATACAAAAATTGACTCAAAGTGGATCACAGATATAAGTGTAAAACTATAAAGCTTTGATAAAAACACATAGGAGAAAATCTTTCTGATCTGAACTTAGGTAAGTTAGACATGACCCCAAAAAGATGATTCACAAAAGAAAAATGGATCACTTAGACACGTCAAAATTAGAAACTATTATTCTGTGAAAGATACTATTATGAGAATGAAAAGATAAGCTACATAATGGGAGAGAATACTTAAAAATCACATATATTACAGAAGGCTTTATAGCCAGGATATATAAAGAACTCTCAAAATTCAACAGGAAGAGAACAAGCTACCCAACTGGAAAATGGGCAAAAGACTTGAATAGACACATGATCAAAGAGGATATTTGGATGGCAAATAAGCTCAGAAAAAGAACATCAGCATCTTTAGCCATTAGGGAAATGCAAGTGTAAGCAATGATGAGATGTGAACACACCTATTATAATGGCTGAAATAAAAATACCAACAATACCAAGTAGTGATGAGGATGGGGGGCAACTGGAACTCTCAGACATTACTAATGGGAATGCAAAACAATGTTGCTATTCAGGAAAACAGTTTAGAAGTTTTCTTATAAAATTAAGCATATACTTAGCATATTACCAGAAATTCAATGTCTAGATATTTACCCTAGGGAAATGAAAACTTAAGTTTACAGAAAAAACATTCATATACATGTTTGTAGCATCTCTATTCATAATTACCCAAAACTAGGAAGAATCTCAGTGGGTGAATGGCTAAAACAACTGTGATACATCCTTACCATGAATACATGCAGTAGCAAAAAAGAATGAACTATTGATAAAAGCAACAACTTGGATGAATCTCAACAACATTTTGCTCAATTAAAAAAGCCAGCGTTAATAGGTTACATATTATATCAATTTCATTTATGTTACTTCCTTGGATAGGTAAAACTGTAGTGACAGAGGACAGATTAGTGGTTATTAGTGGGTAGGGGTGATAGGTGTGATCATAAAGGATAATGCAAGATAGTTTTTGGGGCAGAGTTGTTCTGTATCTTGATTATGGTGGTGGCTATACAAATTGACACATATACTAACATTCGTAGAACTTTACACCAAAAATAAAAAATTAAATTTACTGTATAGTAATTTAGAAAATGAAACTTTTGAAAAGTGCAGATTCTTATTCAAGAGGTTTAGCAATGGGGCCTGGGACTCTGCATTTCTTATAAGCTCCTGAGTGATGCTGGGGCTCTTGGGAACACAAGTGGAGGGGGTTAGGCTCTACAGAGGAAACATCGTAACATGCAGATTCAGCTCATTTCATTCCTACGCTGAGAGACCTTTAACGGATCCATAGTTCTTCCAAGATAAAATTCAAATATTTTATCACTTCAAAAAACTTAAAGTAAGCTCTTTCCCCTGAAATCTCCCATATCCCTCAGATCATACCCTACAGCAGTGTATATTCTCTGCTTTGTTTGTGGCCTAGAGTGCTCTCTATCCACCCATTCCCTGGAGGATGAGTGACCCCTTAGTCACTGGCCAGCTTGAAAGGCACCTTCCCAGGGAAGCCATCCCCGACCCTGCCAGTCCCTGACACACCCGTGCGGAATGAGGGTGCACCTTCTAATGCAGTATGCATGCTATTTTGCTCTCATGTTCTTTCACTTTTCAGATGTTTCTCTCCCTAGGAACACAGGCTTTTCAAAGACAAGATCTATGTCTTGTAGGCCCGGTGACCAGCATCATGGCAAATAGTGAGGGTTGCTGAGGAGCTTACAGAATGAAGACAAACTGACTTTATAGAAATAGTGAATGTTTCAGAAGCAGGAAAGTATCCTCTTAGGAACTATGGGGAAAATAATGAAGGACATTCATTGATTTCCAAGAACAGAAGATGCCAGGGAAGGAAAACAGCTTCCTCCACAATCTGTGCTGCCCACTCCATGCAGGAGATAGGGTTCATCCACATTTGTAAAGAACATGTGTGTGTAGAGTGGACTTGTAATGTAAGCATCACTTCCATCACCACCACCATCATATCTCCCCAGTATCACCATCATCTTCACCATTACCACTATGGAACATCAGCAACATTGCTGTCATCATCACTGTCATCACCAACACCACCCTCATACCATCATCATCTCAATCTCTTAATGTTATTGCAATTTGTGTGGTGTAACAAAAATAATAATGACTCCAAAAATGAAATAATAAAAATGTTAAAAAGCACATGTGGCCGGGCGTGGTGGCTCATGCCTGTAATCCCAGCACTTTGGGAGGCTGAGGTGGGCGGATCACCTAAGGTCAGGAGTTTGAGACCAGCCTGGTCAACAAGGTGAAACCCTGTCTCTAATAAAGATACAAAAATTAGCTGGGCATGGTGGCAGGCACCTGTAATCTCAACTACTCCAGGGGCTGAGACAGGAGAATTACTTGAACCTGGGAGGCGGAGGTGGCAGTGAGCTGAGATCGTGCCATTGCACTCCAGCATGGGTGACAAGACAGAAACGTGATCTCAAAAATAGAAAGAAAGGAAGGAAGAAAGAAAGAAAGAGAAAGAGAGAGAGAGAGAAGAAAAGAAAAAGAAAGAAAGAAAGAACATGCATAGTACCTGAGAATTTGCAAAGTGCTTCCTTGGAATTAACTCCAGCTGCATAAGGAGGATGCACTGAATTATTCACCTCACTGCAGTCTGAGTTTTATTCTTTTCTCCAAGCCCTTATATATTATTGTCTTTGGATTTCCTACATTTGTGTGGGGATCTAGGCTGGAATTCTTCTGCCCATCTTGCAGGTAGTATAACTGAGACCCTGGGAGGTTAAGATTATAGAACTTGTTAGTGAAGGATCAAGGAGGAAGATGGTTTCTAAGTAGGGCCCACCAAAGTGCCAGAGATCTCCATGAGAGGTGTGATGAGTGGGCTGAACCATCACAGAGCACAAAGCACAGGAAATCGGTTCTCAGAACTCATTTGGGAAGTCAGCGGCAAGTTCACACACCAAGGTGAAAGCGGCACTATAAAAGGATGGATGGAGGTACAGTAAAGAGGAAGAGGAAGAAAAGAGGAAACAAAACGTGGCCATAAAGTGTAGCTTCTGATACATAGTGAAGGGACAGAAGGTGAATCCTTGTAAAGTGGCTAGCCTGTCGGGAGCCACACTATCACCTGCTCCAAGTTACCCCTCCTCTGCCCCCAACCAAAGAAGATTGTGCATGAGAGTTCTACCATTGATTGAGAGACTCTCTAGGATCATAACATCTGGAATTCAGTCCTGCTTTAGCCATCGTCTATGGTAGTAAGTGATCTTGAAGAAGTCAACTAAAGCCTCCTCTTCAGAAGGTCCCCAGACAAAGTATCTAGGTTGCTGAAGGCTTGGGAGTGGAGGATGCACATGAATTGCCATTGCCTGTCTTGGGTTGGGTTGTGGTACTTTTGAAGGAGACAGTGACAAGGTGGCTTTGTTTCCTAGGGTGGGGTGCTAGAGAGTGAGATTGTGATGCTTGTCATTTGGTCCAATTGCTACTGCTTTCAGTTGAGCACTGGTGAGGAACCTTAGTTGATTCTTCTATGTAAATGGCTCTTGCACCTCAATTTTCTTGGCAATTACTCCCCAGCTGTGCCCTTCTTGCTGCATAAAACCTCAATCAATCCTTCATTAAAATGCTACAGAAACTGAAAGCTTTTCCCCCTTGTTTCCTAATTTTTCCCCGAGTGGATTGGATTTGTTATGACTCAAATGGAAAAGGACTAGCTTTGTAAGCAGGTTCAGATTCTAGCCCGGTTCCTATTTATTTATAGCCCAAATTATTTCAACAACTGCTGTCCAGTAAAAACTCTGTTTAATCAGAGGCAGGTAAACGTGCCAATTTCATCTCATTGCCTAAGTAGTCTCCTCTGCTGTGGAGGAGGAGGATGCCACTCTGGGTCTTGTCCCAGGTGCTGTGGGGCTGGGGACCAAGGCAGTTCTAGACTGGCTACCCATTCAGGCCTGGCCACTCAGGTTGTAGCCACTTGTGTCATTTGGTAGGAAAAGTGAGAAGTTATGAGCCAGAGGTTTCAATTATGGTTTTGCCACTTACTGATTCTATGACTTATAAGGTTACTTAGCTTCTTGGGGTCAGGGTTCACTCATTTAAAAATGGTGATGTTACTAACTACAAATATAAATGAGTTAATGTAAGCCTCCAGTCACAGCTTGGAAGACAGTGTTTTCTTTCTCTTTTTTTCTTTTCTTTTTTCTTTCTTTTTTTTGAGATGGAGCTTTGCTCTGTTACCCAAGCTGGAGTGCAGTGGCACGATCTTGGCTCACTGCAGCCTCTGCCTCTGGGGTTCAAGAGATTGTCCTGCCTCAGCCTCCCAAGTAGCTGAGACTACAGGCACACACCACCATACCTGGCTAATTTTTGTATTTTTAGTAGAGACAGGGTTTTGCTATGTTGGCCAGGCTGGTCTTGAACTCCTGATCTCAGGTAGTCCGCCCACCTTGACCTCCCAAAGTGCTGGGATTACAGGTGTGAGCCACTGCGCCCGGCCGCACAGTGATTTCTTAATTTATGGTTCATGGAGATTATAAAAATTGGCATTTTAATTATAAGTGATTGAATGAAGTCAGACATTGGAGAACTGAATAAATGGACACATTTATTCAACAAAGGTTGTTGAGGATCTGCTAGGTGTCAGGCATTGTGCAAACTGGTCGAGAGAATAAGATATTCTCTCTGGCTTCATAGAGTTTACATGGTCAGAGAGCGAGGACAATAAACACAAAAACATATCGTCATGCATATTGACAAGTCCATTTTAAAAAGAACAGGGAACTATAGGAGAGAAGGGGGCAGGAGTGGGAATAAATTGTACTGGGAAGCAGTCAGGGGAGTTTTTCTTGAGGAGGCAACATTTGAGCTGAGACCAGAAAAGGGAGCAGGAATTAACTGGACAAAGACGGGGAGGAGTGTATGTCTCACTACAAAGCAAGAAAGAGCTACGCACAGTCAAGGAAGGAGAAGTGAAGCCAGGGAGTCTGAATTGGATGGCCAAGCCAGTGACTGGCATGAAGGAGGCTGGAGAGGAGGGCAAGAGCATGTGGGCTTTGTGTGCCAGAGAAAGTATTTTACATTTTTGCATAGGCACCATGGAAGTGTTTTAAGCAAGGAAGTAATGTAATTCTATTTACTAGGACTAGATGAAGTTGAATTGAATAAAAGGTTACTAAGGGTGCAAATGCCATTTTTATGGGAAGAGCTTATGCACTCACCCTGAGGGCTGGCATAAGGCAGGAGTGGCATTGAGTGTCCTTGGCTGTTCCTGGCTTTGGTCCCTGCTGTGTGCTGCAGCCTCAGTGGCTGCAGATTCTGCCCATCTAAAGCCATGGACTTTCCCATGACCAGGGCCCATTTTGCCTTTGGGTCTGAGAATCCCCAGGAGTGGGAATCCAGAAGATGTCAGCTCTGTGGCCTGAACTGGAATTCCAACTGGATCATTTCATTCCACTATTGATTGGAAGAGGAACAGTAAAGCTGTGGTGTTAGCTGGAGTAAACTGGAGTTGAGAAACTCACTGTGTATTTTTCAGAAAAAAAAAATAATAATAATTCTTAACAATCTCAAACTACTCTCAATATTGTAAGTCACCTTGACAGCACGAGGACTTGAATGGTTTGCCTGGAGGGCTAACGATCTTGGCTCTCCCAGGTGCCTGTCCGCATTGGGAGACGGCGCAAGCTAAGCCAGCTGTGCATCTCTCCTATTATATCATGGACCAGGGGACCATAGACATTTTGAAAGGGAATGTATCTGCCTCTCTCACACTTCAGCCTGCTTGTGGGATGGCTTGGCCCAGACAGCAGCAGGCACTATGTCTTTTCTAAATGTTCTGCCTCTTGATATAAGCAAGCGGTCCGTGAAGAGATTTATCAGAGGCCCTTGTGATGGATACATGTCTTCTTATAAGCTGATAGTCCAGGGGAGACTCCTAAACAACAAAGGGAACTGAAGGCAGACTGGCAGCAATTCTAGTGTCCTACAAGGCTGTGGCTTGTCCTGTGAGCTGGACGGCGGGGTCTGAGGCAGGACGTCAGGCAGGGCCATGCTGAGAGCATTTCACATTTATTGAAAGCCTGCTGTCCTCTGGGCACTGTGTTTTCCTCTTGCCATTCCATTTATCCCTCCCAGTCATGCTCCGCTTTATGGATGGAGCAGTTGAGGCTCAGAGGGGTTACATAAAGCACCCAAAGACATATGGGCAGGAAGTGACACAACCTGGATTTGAATGCAAATCTTTCTGGCTGTTTCCATATTGTCTCACAGCCTATCCCAGCATCGTGTGTGTGTGTGTGTGGGGTGGGGGGGGTGGGGGGGGATAGGGGGTGGGGGCTGGTGGTATTTAGGGATGCCCTCTTCTTAAGGATGTGTCCTGGGGCTAAGTCATTGTTCTTGGGGGTGCAGGGAAGGGACAATGGATCGGAAGGGTCTCAGTTTGCCTCTGGCCTGTCAGTGGGCCACCCTCCTCTCCTCTGTGATGCAGGGGCAGTGTGGCTGCCTTGCCAGCCTGCCCTCCTCCAGCCTGCTGGGAGCCTCGCGTGAGACAACCGATCTGGAAGCCCCTTAGGGAGGACACAGCGCAGGAGAGGCAGCTGAGGCTCTAAGGACAGCTGCTATCAACTGCCAGCAGCCACTGAGGGAGACCCTGGGCCTGGCATGGCTACAAATGGGCTCAGCTCCAAGGGAACAGAGAATTGGGCCACATTTGTCTGGGCTGGGTCAGAAATGGCAGTTCCTGAGCCCATATCACCAGCTCCCATTTGCAAGGCTGAGGAGGTGCCTGGGCTTGCTGTGTGCTGCCTTGCTTTCGTTCCCGCTTTTTAAGGCACATATCAGCCTGGGCAGCTCTTGACCCACAAGGTGGACTCTTCTGGGCCAGCCACGGGCAGTGGCCACCCTGTCCTGCCAGGCCGCAGAAAGGCCCTGGGCCACTCCCAACTGGAGCCAGTGCTCCTGGAGAGAGCAGTGACCTGGACCAGCAGACCTATGGATCCCCTCTTGCTCCTGCACTCGCCTGCTCCTTGCAGTGACTCGGCAGTGGGAGTGGGAGGTGTCAGAGCAATTAGGCGGAAACTCCTTTCGTGCACCTCTAATTTTCGAGCTCTCTGAATCTCATTAGTTCCCGGGCTTTTCTGCTCTGCCCTCCTGTTCTTTGCTTGCAGAAAATCCAGGGGGCAGCCAGTCACCCTGTTGCTGGCGGTGATGATGAGACCCCAGGCCAGTGGCACAGAGGCCTCCTGGGAGGAAGTCCCTGTTTGGGCGCCCAGCACTGTTCAGGGCCTCCTCTAGTCTTGTTCTACTTTAGGCCTTACCTTCTCATTTCTGTTGCTGGAGCAAAAGGCTCTGAATTCAGAGTTGGGAATTCTCAGGCCTGGTCTGAGATTTGTCTGCCCCAATGATGATGATGATGACGATGACGATCATGATAATACTACACTAATAGTAGTTAAGAGTTACCAATTGCCTATTCTGTACTAGGAGCAATTTAGACCTCATCACATGTAATTCTAACAACATCCCCGCAAGACAAGCATTATAGTCCTTTCATAGATGAGAACATCTGTGCTTAGAGAGATTAAGTAACTTTCAGACTCAAACAGCTGGATGGTGACTGAGCTGAGGTTTGTACCCATGTCTTGATGACTAAGCCCAGCTGTGCCCACCGGGACACCTTGACCTAGTACTTCTGAGAGCCCCAGGGTCACTATTCAGAGGCTCCCAGAGCTGCCAGTACCCCAGATCATTGCGGCTCCCTCATCCTGGCAGTGAGGAGGCTCAGGCCTCCGTGCTAGTGCCCCACTCCTTGATTCTACCCGTCCCTCCCTCCCTGTGGCCTGCAGAGATTCCGACTGCTGCTTTGTTTCACCCAGAGCACCTCTTCTGGGCTGAGTGCTGTGGAAAGGGCCAGGTAGGAAAGGAGATTTAAAGTAGCTTGACTCAGTTTCTCCCCTGAGTTTCCCTTTGGAGACCCGAGAAACACATCTGGGAAGTGAATGGGAAGATGAGAAGAAGTAAGCAAAACTGGGAAGAGTGAAGGCCTTGGAAGTGCAGAGGATGCCGGTCGTCCCAGGTGCTCCGGGGAGTATTTCTGTTTAGAGTGGCATGTGGAGGGAGTGCTCTCCTGGTACAGCAGGCGTCCAGGCAGAGTGAGACTCTGCTAGACTCAACTCTTTCTTCTTCTCTGAAGGAATCAGAGACTGAAACAAGGATGGCTTCATCAGTTTGGCCATAGCCTGGAAAGACTGGGAAACCCAGCAGCTCTCTGGCCCCTGGGCTCACAGACGACATAGTTCTTGGAAGCTGTCATCCCTGCCTGTGATGACTGACCTGCCTCTTGCCAGGCTTCCATCCTTGCTTCAAGGCCTGCTAATCATCAGCTCCACTGGGAGATCTTTGCAGGCTGCCCTGGAATCATAGCTCCAGGCCTTTGTTCTAGAACATCTGTTGCATTGTATTGTACCTATTGCTTTATATATTTTTCTTCCTTTTCTCCAAGACAAGAATGTGCACTCATTCAAGCCTGGGATGGGCTCTTCTTATGTGCATATTCAGTTCCAAGAAATATTTAAACTATCACTAGTGTAATTCAGCATCCATAATGAGTTTATACTCTTGTGTATTGAAATCAGATGACTTTCCTGTCTTTGTGGTTCATATTATTAATATTCTTCTTATCGCTTTGCTCTGCTTAGTTCTTTTTTTATACATCTTTGCCTCTCACCCCCATTTTCTGCCTTGGCATTCGTTTGTTCTTTCAGCGAATGTCCACTGGGCACCTACTGTGTGCCAGGCACTGTTCTAGGTGCTGGGGATACAGAAATGAACAGGAAAATTGATTGGCTTATTTATTTGAAAAACACAGAATTAGGGTTGACTCAGGGTGAAGCTTGATCCACTGGCTCAACAGTGTCACCCCCAGAGCTCCCATCTCCGTGGGCACTCACCCTGTGGGTTAACTGGGTCTTTGGGGCGCCATTTCCTGGACATGCCTCAAGACTTCCCTGAATGAGTGGTTCATCTGGTAATGAATGAGGCCACACAGGCTCCCTTATACTTGTCCCTGGCGTGGGAGCTGCCTTCTAAGGTTTCATAATGAGAACATGCTTTTTTAGGGGAGCAGGTGTGTGGTAGACTCTGGACTCCTACGCTGCTGTCTTCTGATTATTCCCAGAGAACTGCACCTCTCCGCTCTGGTTGGGCTGAGGCTGTTTTTGTCACCCCACAGGCCTGTGTTGTTTGTTCATAAAGCAGAGAGACATCTGTCATCCTCACTGAGCCCGACAGATGCCACATTCAAAGACCCAGCACATGCAGCAGCAGCGGTGGCAGCACTGTCATTGCGGCGCTCACACACACATACCGACACACTCGTTTCTTCTTCCTGGCGGACAAACCTTCCTGCCCCTCCCCGCCAACACATGCTTCCACACCTATGAGATTCAAAATAGGGTAACAGCAGAACTGCAGGCCTGAAGCACTTGCTGGACAGTGAGGACACCTCTGGGTTGAGGGGACAGGGTTAAATGGGGTAGAACAGGAAGAATATTCCTCCTCCTGGGTGTGAACGAGTCTCCTTTGATCTCTGCAGGAAGTGCCTTACCCAGGCCCTGTTACCTTTAGGAGCAAGAACTTGAGGAAATGGTGTGGGCACATGCACAAAACATGGGGCTTACTTTTAGCATGAAGGGGAAACTGAGGATGCCCAGCTCATTGTGTAAGAGAGTGAAGGTTTGACCGAGGGTGGCTTCTAAAGCAAAACTTAGACAGATGACGACAGGGATGAGGTGGCAGGATCCGAAGACAAAGAAGAACCAGGCACGGATTCACTCGTACTTGTAGGAGGACCTTGGACATGTTTTATGTAATACAGAACATTTCCTCTTTTAGGATTGTAAGTAATATCATGGTAGATGTTACTGGAAATTTTATCACTCCCACCCTGTGGGTCTTAGCAGGAATCATCCTGAATGGTGTTTGTGGACTTGTTTTGGAGAAGTCTGTGTTGAGGGCAGGGGTGGTAGGACTTTGTGTTCAACTTGGCAGGCTCCTGGAGGGAGAGAGTGGTCTGGGACAGGCGTTAGAGGGTCAGGCCCTCTGGGCTTAAAAGAGAAAAAGGAAGAGGGGAATGTCTTGGAGAAGGAGGGGCCAATCACTTGTTAGGTCCTAGGCAGTGTCTTGGTGCCATGTATTAGAAGGGAGGTGGAGGGAGTGGGGAGGTATCAGCCTGTAGATAACATCCTGTTCTAATGGGTGGGTGTGAGAAGGTGGGGGAGATGCTTTGAGACATATTTAATAATATCTACTACAGATAAGTCAGTGAATCCCACTCTTTACCATGTAGGCTTATCAAAGACCACTAGCAGAAAAAGACTGGTCTAATCCTGAGAGTTTCCTTGGAGGACTTCCTCTTAGTGTAGCCCCACCTAAGGCTCTGGGATGTTGGAGAACAGCCGGAGAGAGAGGACCAGTTCTGTGGCTCTCAGCTAGGTTGCAGGAGTCTTGGGGGTGGGACGGAGGATTCTCAGCTGATTTTCCCTGCTTTTCCTTAACATCCCCCACTGCTTGAAGGAGCTGTTCCACTTGCATCTTTTTCTTATATTGTGCTTTGGCTCAAATATTTATCTGGAAAAAGTCCTCAAGAACTAAAACCTTTCTTTGTATCTTGAATCAGATCATTTGCAAGTTCCCTCTGACTGTAAGCTGATTTTGTGACTTGGTGTTCCCGAGACCCCCAGTCCACTTCATCTCATCTTTGATTTTTAAGCCATTCTGTCTTTCTTAAGCTGACATTTGAATTCCTAGGTGGTTCTTTCTGCATTTCACCAGCTTACAGTTGTGACTCATCCTCCTCATGTTGTTTTAAGTCATGAAGAGAATCTGAATCCAGCAGGAAAACTGAGAGCCATCTTCATAACAGTGAAAGTTTCTGGAATCTATAAAACATCAATTTGTATGTAGAAACTGAAGTTTAAGAAAGACAAGCTTTTCTCTTAATTTAAATTATTGCGTCTCATGGGAAATTTAATTTTTTAAATAAATCACATATTCCAATGAAGCAGAAAGCTTTGCTAGATACACAGTGAAGATGTTTGCTTTAAAAATTGTTCTTTATTCAGCTAGAGAGGAACCAGGGGAATACAGGAAGATAAAAAGTGCTGAATGGAATATACAAGACAAGGTTTTGAAATCAAGGCTAAATTAATCATCTCTCCCTTTCAGTGGGCTATATCTAAGCAGAGGCTGGCAGATACTCTCTGACTGTCAGATTTGACTATGTTATTCTCTACCAGAGGATGCTACCAGAATGACTGTCCCAGGGTCCATGGGTGCCAGGATCTGTTAACTGATGGCAATCTTCACCTGAGGAACTGCATGTATCTTCAGGGATCTCTTGCATGCAAGTGAGACAACTATGGTTCAAGCTGCTTAAGAACCAAAAAAATGGGGATGGGAATTTGATGGCTTGGGTAACTGAAAAGCTTAGGGTTAGGCTTCTCTTCAGGCTTAGCTGATTCCAGGCAATCAAATGATGTTCTTCAGTCTCTTGCTGTCACTGGTTCACTCATTTCTTTTTCCATCTCTTACCTCTGCTTTCTTCTGTGTTGGTTTTATACTTGGGCAGCCTTCTTTTATGTGGATTTCCGTAACAGAATCAAATGCATATCATATTGGCTTCTTACCTTTGGCTTTCAATAGAAAGATAGATTCTCTTTTATATATAGACATACAGTAGTTCCAGCAAAAGTCCTAGAACTCACTCTCATTGGATCAGGTTGGTTGGCATGTTGCTTCTGAACCAATCACCACAGCCAGGAAGATAGGTCTCATAGTCTTACTGAGCAAACCTGGGTGGATATCACTCCTGGAGATGGAAGGTGGAGGTGGGCGCATTCTTAAAACAGAGGGATTGAGAGTGGGGAATAGGGCATACCAGAAGGGGCAATGAATGCTAGTCAGGTAAAGATAATAGCTATCCACTATGATATGGTTTGGTTGGGTAGACTTGAGGGACCAGACCTGGGGTGACCCATGTTTGCCCAGCTGATCCCATTGGGTGATTTCTTCCTGTTTGATTTCCTGCAAGGTACCTCAGTTGTTGGCATGATTCTCCTGCCATCTTGCTCCTGGATGTTGAAAGGCCACACGGTGTCTAATTTACCAACACAGACCTGATCTAGAAGGCAAAGACAAGTTCTATGCCCACACTTTTCCAACTGTAGAGTTAAGAAGTTATTTCTATCCTCCAGGCTTAATTTTTGGCTATCAATATTGAGCTAAAGACTATTGAAGATTTACAAAATTATGTATCAATTTAATTTTACTATAATTAAACACATTTTAGTGAAATTCCTGTAGCTTCCGTTATTGATATTTTTCACAACAATCCTCTGACATATACAATTAGCCCTATTTTACAGGAGAGAAAACAGGGTCAGAATGGTAGAGAACTTGTTAAAGGCCATGCAACCTGGAGAATCCAGCATCTATGTGCTTGTGCTGGGTTTGATGCATTTAGGGATGAATAAGACATTCTCTGCCCTTGAGCTGTATGTAATTGCTCTGTGTTTATAGTTACATAAAAGAATGAGTAATATGCCTCTATGGAAGTAAAACAGAAGGAAGTGATTAATTTTACGTAAATGTAGTCTAGGAGACAGAAGGGACATTAGAGATGGGTCTTGATGAGTGAGTAGGAGTTTCCCACGTGGATATTGTGTACAGGGGGTCGTTTTTTCACTGAGTAATGCGTGAGTTTTCTATGAGATGGAGCTGCCAGTTTCAGGAAATGTAATGTCACCCTTGACTCTGCCTTCTCCTTTTACCAGAAGGATGGCCACAGAGATCTACATTAGTATTAGTTAGGTGCTTTCATTTGCAAAGACTAGAACTCCTAACACAAATAGGCTTAAATAATAAAGGGCATGTATTGTCTTATCTAATTGAAAAGCACAGAATTAGGGCTGACTTAAGGCCAAACTTGATCTGTTGGCTCAACAATATCACCAAGGATCTGGCTTCTTTCCATCTCTCCGTTCTGTCTTATGCTATCTTTCATATCCTTTGGTGTCTTTATCAAAGGCTGGCACCTTTTAGGCCCTAATATGACTGAAGGAGCTCCTGGGGCTAGATGCTTCCTTCATCATGCCCAACAGGAAGGAAATGGCATCGTTTCCAGGCACTTTCAGCAAGACCTGAGAGTCACTCTGATTGGACTGGCTTAGGTCACATGCCCATCCCTGAACCCATCACTGCTGCCACGGAACAGAGAACATTGATAAAGTTGATTTCCCTGAAGCCACATGGATCCCCAAATGGAATTTTGCAGACTGATGGAAGGAGGAAGTGGACAACGGATGCTATATTAGTCCGTTTTCACACTGCTGATAAAGACATACCTGAGACTGTGAAGAAAAAGAGGTTAAATTGGACTTACAGTTCCACATGGCTGGGGAGGCCTCAGAATCACAGTGGGAGGTGAAAGGCACTTCTTTACCTGACAGCAGCAAGATAAAAATGAGGAGGATGCAAAAGTGGAAACCCCTGATAAAACCATCAGATCTCATGAGATTTATTCGCTACCACGAGAACAGTATGGGGGAAACCACCCCGTGATTCAGATTATCTCCCACGGAATCCCTCCCACAATACGTGGGAATTATGGGAATACAATTCAAGATGAGATTTGGGTGGGGACACAGAGCCAAACCATATCAAATGCTCAGAAGGCATATGTTTTGGTAAGGCATCAAAGAAATGTTTACCAGAGCACTGAAGTTTCCATAGTCTCTCTTTTTTGGGCAGTAAAGGTTCTATATAGCTCCAAGACATAATCTTTGATGCTCAGTCTATGACAACTCAAATTCTAGGCCTTTCCTTGGATAATTCAGCCACTGAACTACCTTTTGCTTCCCTCTGTAGTCTCTTCTTAGTTAGTACTCTGGACAAACTTGCTTTGACTTTGTCCAAAGACACCCATTCTTTATTAGTATATGACGAATTTTGTGGACAGAGAAGAGTGCTATGGGCATGATGGCATACTTACCACACAGAATGATCTAGAACTTTGTAGCAACTAATGTCCTAGGCCTTTTCCAGAGCTGCTTTCTTCAAATGGGGCAACAGACGTGATGCCGCATTTTCTAAAGCTCTTCCCAACCTCCAAAACAGCTTCTTTTCTTTCTGCTGAGGAAGCTAAATTTACTTTCAGTCCTCAAATGGTGAAAAAAAGGGGAGCCTCCCCAGATGTCTCACACTGATAAGAGGAAGAAATATCCAAAGCCATTAGCCAGTGGTGACAAACAGTGTGTGAATTGTAACGGACGCAGGGTGGCTGAAGAAAAGACTGAGTGGTTGGAGACAGGCAGGCAGGCCTGAGTTTCAAATCCTTACCCTGTCACTTTCAGCACTTTGGGATGCTGAGGCAGGCAGATCACGAGGTCAAGAGATCGAGACCATCGTGCCATCATGGCCAACATGGTGAAACCCTGTCTCTACTAAAAATACAAAAATTAGCTGGGTGTGGTGGCACGCATCTGTAGTCCCAGCTACTTGGGAGGCTGAGGCAGGAGAATCGCTTGAACCCAGGAGGCGGAGGTTGCAGTTAGCCGAGATTGCACCACTCACTGAACTCCAGCCTGGGTGACAGAACAAGACTCCATCCCCACCCCTCCACCCCCACCACCCCCCCCCCCAAAAAAAGAGGCAGGATGCCATGGGGTTGAAGAAAACAGGCCCTGTAGCCAGGCTGCCTGAGTCTGAATCCTGGCTCTACTGTTCACCAACTGTGCCTGCGTTCATGTCCCAGCTCTTCCATTGACTAAGCCTGGATCAAGAAATAATCCCTGAGTTCTAATCTGTCATTCAGGTAATTGCGTTCTTATGTTTCCTTTTGTCATTTGGCCTTCCAACTTAGTTGGGATGATGGTGGCTGTCACTTTATCTCTTTGGCCTCAATTGTTTCATCTGTAAAATATTGATACAAGTAATGTCCACATTATAGGTTGTTGTAAGGATTAATCCTCATTTAACTCATTTACAAATTTTATGCATTATATATGTATATATTATATATACCTTCATATATATGGAAAACACTTGTAACAGCATCTAGTAAGCACGAATGATGTGGATAGATAGACATATCTTATAGGGTTGCTGTAAGCCCTAGAGACTTTGCATATATATTGTCTGGCAATAGCAGACACTGAATAAATCTTAGCTATTATTAATAATTATTATGTTGATTGAACTGTTTAATAATAATGTGATTCATCTAAATAGAGCTTTATAGTTTCTGGAGTTCTTGCTGCCAATATGATCCTTCTTGAGCCCTACAACCACTCAGTGATGGGGCTCCTATTCCTCTGTCCAGTGGCTCTCAGGGAAGGGTTGGATGCCTCTCCAGGGTCTCCTGGCCAGGTGGTCATTAGCAGGACCAGGGTGTGAATCATAGTGAGGAGCTTCCCAGTCCAGGGCTTGTTCCACATCCTCTCTTCCCCCATTCTAAAGGCCTCCCAGCCATTTGTCACAGCCTCATTTGAAATGCCTGTGCTTCTCATCTGTAATATCCTGATTGTCCCATTAATCTCCTTTAAGCTTCATGAAAAATACAAGGGGCTGGATCAGGAAATAGCCACCAAGTTCTAATTTTGCATTCAGGGGATTGTCTTCCATGGACGTGAAGAGACTGATGTTTCCCATTTGGCCTTTGCCTTTCCAACTAAGTCGGGGAGAGCTGTCATTTTCTGAATTATCAACCAGTTTACAAGGTGGCATCTATATTTTGCCTCTAATGTGTCTGTACTTTTGTTGCTTCTCTATCTTCATATCATCCTCTCCCTAGTAGATGTTCTACAGTACTGCCCAGAGGGAGTGGTAAGAAATGTCTTTTGATAAAACCTTAAAAGCTTAAAACTTCCAGTCACTTTCTTTTGCATATTCCTTAGACCCTGGCCATAGGCCAGTGCTCACTACAGAAGGAGCAGTGTTTGTTTTGTTAACACACACACACAAACACACACACACACACACACACACACACCCTGTACTGCAAGATCCTAAATTTTAGACTTAGTTCACTGTTTTATATGGTAGCCACTAGACACGAGTGGTTGTTTAAGTTTAAATGAAATTACAGGTTCAGTTTCTCTTTGCATTAGCCACCTTTTGAGTACTCAATAGCCATGTGTGGTTAGTGGCTACCATATTGGGCAGCACAGATAGAGAACATTTCCATCAATCACAAAGTCATATGGGACAACATTTACCATAAAGGGGAAAGGGAACGGGAATGGGCACATGAGTGTAGTGTTCAGTTAAGTAGCATCACGGGACAACAGATGTGAAGTAGTCCTCTTAACTCTCTGCATGTATTTCCTCTGTGATTTCCAAAGGACCACTAACCAGGAGAAATAAGAAACTGTTGTTTTCTGACCCAACACCAGCATGCAATGAAAGTAGGATATTTTTCATTCTATAGAGAACCGTCAATGTGTATTTTGTTATCTGATTTGAACCCTGCACGCGGACAGCACATTTCACGTGTTTTAGCCCATTTGTGGCTGGCACAGGTGTGGCCAGAAAGCCAGCATAGGATCTTGTTTGTGTTTAAGAGAGAAGTTCAGGGAGACTATTCAGGCACATTGTCTGGCAAGTCTAGCACTGGTCAAACCCTCATAAATATTCCTGTCCAATCTGAACTTGAAATGTTCTTGTTGTGGACACCTTTGGTGAGCCAGTCTACTTGAGGACAATCCAGTCTACTAGTTTAGCTTCAAAAAGCATGCACTAGAAACAATTAGAAGAACAGGGTTGCTTTTAAAGCTATCAGGATGGTGTTTGCTGTTGTTTTGTTGTTAAATATCAATGGGTTACTCAATGGTAATAGATCTAAAGAGATGAACATTGTTACATGAATATTGCAAGAAATTTGTGGATCTCTTGGGGACCCTCCAGACCTAGTTTTGAGAATGACTCATATAAACAATTTGCAGAGTCTAATTCATATACTCAGACTAGGGTTCTGAATTCTTTTCCCCCTGGGAGGAAGGAAAAACAGAGGATAACATTGGTTATCTGGGGTAATAAGAAAGCAAGGGGCAGACTACAGCTGCCCTAAGATCTGAGATCTGAGTGACAGAGCCTAGTTCAGGGAGGGGCTGACATGCTGCTGAAATGGGCTTATCCAGCCACACTCAGAGCTCTAGTGAGTATCAGGGTCATTGTGTTCTAAATCATCTGTGGCCAGCTTACCAAATAGGCTGGAGTCTGGCAGAGAATATCTATAGAATTTTCCACAAATCAGAAATTCTGGTTTCCAGAAGGATAAACTTCCCCAAATATCCTGGTGGTCTTGAGTTAATTGTGGCTTCCTGGGAGTTTCTGTCGTTGGTAAGGGTCACATTTTCATTGTCCCTTGACCTTTAGTCTTCTCAGAGTTGACTGGTAACATTAAAATGAGCATGTCTTCACTTCTGTCACTTACAAAGCTCTTAAAAAATTTATAATACTTTAAACATATCACAGTAATAAAAGCAATCGTATCTCTTTACATTGTTGCAGTCTTTTGGATAAAGTCCCCTGAAAGCATTGTCCTGGTGGTTTTCAAACTTTTTTCTTTGATCTTTCAGAATCTTTGTTCAAATGACATCTTGGCTAGACTCCAACATATAGCACAGATAAAAATGGAGTTGGGACTGCAGGGAGAGAAAGGGTGGAGCCCAGCTCACTGGACCTCTGCCTCCACCCCCAAACCACCCTCTAGCCTTTGAGTCAACCACTGAGTCACCGGTGAGCAATCCCTGTGGTTGCCCAGAGCATCATCCCACTAAGTCCTCATAATCACCAGGCATGATTGTGAGGTCATCACAGTGAATTGGTGCACCCCTGGAGGTAGGAAGGCAGCTGAAGAGGGGAGAGAGACACCCTCCCCACCCCCATATGAGGATGGTCTGTGATGATATGCATGCAGGGGAAGGGACTTATCCAAGGTCCCTGATAGATAGGGACTGGAATTTTGGCAGTGTCTTTTCTAGAGTAGAACAAATTTATCAGTTGAATTTGCTGTAGTTCTCTGAAGGTTTCTTTGGCCACATTAGAATTTTTGAGCCCTGGCATCCAAGTAGGCCAACTTCAAAATGGCTGTGTGCTCCACTCAGAGATTCTGCTGTGAAGACTGGCAGGAGATTTTTTAGCCTATTCTGAACTCCAACTGTTCCAGTTCCTCTTGCTTTCCAGAGGTGTGAGCACCTGGAAGCCCCTGCTCTGGTCTACACCCCAGGCTCAAGATTCATCCTGCTCACTCAGCCACTCATGCTGTCACCAGTGATAAAACTGTAAGTGTCAGCAGTTGCATTTGATTCTTGCACAAGAAATAGTTACCCTCTAAAGACTTGTTCATTCTTGTGCCTGTAAAGTGTGGTGTGCCCTATGCATCAGTATTCTTGCCTATGAAATGGGCATGTAGGCTGGGCACAGTGGATCATGCTTATAATCCCAGCACTTTGGGAGGCCGTGGCTGGTGGATCACCTGAGGTGAGGAGTTTGTGACTGGCCTGGCCAACATGGTGAAACCCCATCTCTATTAAAAATACAAAAATTAGCCGGGTGTGGTGGCAGGCGCCTGTAGTCCCAGCTACTCGGGAGGCTGAAGCAGGAGAATCGCTTGAGCCTGGGAGGCAGAGGTTGCGGTGAGCCAAGCCGAGATCGTACCACTATACTCCAGGCTGGGTGACAGAGCGAGACTCTGTCTCAAAAAATAAAAGAAGAAATGGGCATATAAATAGATCTACATAAGACTCACTGGAAGTTTAGAGCTCTTTAAAAAAATGGACAACAAAAAGTTTTTCCAAATAAATGTTGATTCTGGGCCTGGAAAGTTTGAGTGGCTGGCTTCTCAGAGACAGTTACTACCATCCATGCTCTTTAAAGTTCCATTGCTCTTATTCTAACCTTGAAATCAAAGAAACCAAAGCTGTGGTTTCTTGTCTGACCTTGGCTAATGATTTTCTGATTGACTCTACATGCAAAAGAACTGCTGATAAGTTTCTTATAGGGGAGAAAAGATGATGGGGAGAAAAGGAACTGAGTTCATTTCCTAACCTCAGTTTCCCTGCTTACTCACCCAGTGGGTTGGGAGCCACTTGCTGGGTCTGAGTTTCCATAATCACCATAGAAATGGAAGTAATATTATCCTTTTGCCCAGTCGATGGGAGGATGGAGGAATGTCTTAGTCTGTTTGGCCTGCTGTAACAAGATACCATAAACTTGGGGGGCTGATAAGCACATTTATTTCTCACAGTTCTGGAGGCTGGAAAGTTCAAGGTCAAGACACCAGCAGATTTGGTGTCTGGTGAGGGCCCGCTGTCTGGTTCATAGATGGCACTTTCTTGCTGTGTCCTCACATGGTGGAAGGGGCAAGGCAGCTCTCTGGAGGCTCTTTTATAAGGGCATGAATCTCATTCATGAGAGCTCTGTCTCCATGACGTTATCACCTCCCAAAGGCTTCATCTCTTAATATAATTACATTGGTGATGAGGTTTCAACGTATGAATTGGGGGTGGGCAGGCATAAACATTCAGAGCATAGCAAGGAGAATTCAGGGATTGCATTAAGAAAGTAAGTTGCTGAGCAAAGGGACTCATCTTCAAAGTCCAATACAATCTTTATAATCTTACAAAAAGCTTTCCTGGTTTTAGAATTAGCTCCAAGGAATTTGGCACTAGATTTTAGATTTGCTCAGAGAAAGAGTGTGAGAGAGAGAGGGATGTGGCTTTTGTGAGGAATTCCAGCACCTTCCTTTGCAAAGATATGCCCTAAAGAACAGTGGCGGCCTATCCTCAGGACAGAAGCACTTAATTTTGTCTAATTGTGTCAATTTCTAGGAGTCATTGGGAAATTCAGCAGCTAATGAAGATGGCCCTGTTCTGTCAGGTCCCTACTGGAATATTTAAAATTCTGTTTTTCATACTTATCAGCTAAAAGAATTACAGAAATATATTTCTGGATCCTGTGGGGAATAAGAGCAGAAATATACAAAGCTTCTTCTTTCAAGACGGATCCCAGCAGCCCAAGCTAATGTCACAGTTGTGTTAAAGACTATTGATTCCAGCAGGTTCTGGGCTGGGTCTCAGCTTCCCAGGACTGTTCCAGGCTGACCTCCTTTCCCTGGTTCCATCTTTTTTTGGGACTTCTGTGGGCCTTCATTCAGCATGTGGCTTGCGGGTGTCCAGGTCTGCAGGCATACACACCTCTCCTGATCTGAATCAGAGAACAAAAGATAAAGGATCGAGGACAATGGCCTCTTCACTTTTGCTTTCTCTCTTCTTTGGGTTTTACTTTGTGTTTCCAACAGCCAATGGAAGGCTGTTCTATTTAGGGTAAATGACTCAGACTTGGTACATCTCGAATCGTATGTCAGAGCACACTGTTGCCCCTCAAAGCTCAGGAAAGGCTGCATACTCTATCTCCCTCTTGATGGTTTCCTCGTATTTACAAGTTAAAGACCATAGATGTCCTGTAGTAAAGGGGTTAGCTTGCCTCTGTTTATCCCGGTGATTCTAGTGAAACTAAAATGCTTGTTTCTATGGGGCACAGTCCAGATGTGTTGTTCACTTGGATTGACCAATCCTTTCAATAAAGTTTTGATGCAACCATGTGAATCCCAAGTTTTCAGCACTTAGTTTTGTGACCTTGAGCAAGTCACCTAATCATTACATGCCTCAGTTTCCTCATCTGTAAAAGGGGATAATAAAAAGCATCTACTTCACAGGGTTGCATTGAGGATTAAGTGCTTTAATTAAGGTTTTAGTACAGTTTCTGAAATATAATGTATTCTATATATGGTAGCTATTATTATGTTAGTATCCATTATTATTTGCTGGAATCTTTTAACACTGTGCTGAGTGTTGGTACTGTCTTCTTATCATGTCATAGAGCATGGGGTAGTATAAGAATCCTACCTTAGGTCAAAGGTCACAAAGCCCTATTGTTTTATTCCCAATAGTCTTACAGGGAAGATGCAGTTGTCCTTGTCTTATGGAGGAAGGAGGTGAAGCACACCCGAGCGGTAAAGAGGCCCCTGGTCACACAGCCCATACAGGAGTCAAACCCTGGCCTCTGGCTGCAAGCCTGCCATCCCCAAGCGTCTCTCTAAAGCTTCTTGTCAACCAGCCTCAGACAGGGGCCCACAGACACGAACCTCATCTCAGCGTTGGTAGGAGGCACCTTCCACTTGGATTCTCTTCATGTGGTTAAGAGAGTCCTGAGTTCCAATCCTAAGTTCACTCGTCTCTACCTCCTTGCCTTTGTGCAGGTTACTTAACTTTTCTGACCATCAGTCTTCTCTGTTGTAACATAGGGATGGTAACACCCATTTCTTATGCATGCAGTGATGCTTAATGACATAATGTAGGTGGGGTTCATGCACAAGGCCTGGTATATGATGAGTGCTGGTAAATCTTAGCTCCCAATGACACTGTATCAGGCTCTGTGCTAGGGTGCTTTACGAAAATGATCTCATGTAATCCTCACAACACATCAGGATATTGGTACTCTTCATTTTACAGATGGGGAAACTGAGGCTCTGTGGGATTAAGGGACTCACCCAAGGTCATAAAGCCAGATTGTGACATTGAGATTCAAATCTTGGCAACCTTACTTTCTGGAAACACTTTCCCCCTTCCTCTTCTTTAGACCCACATGCAGGCTGCTTGCAGACTCTGTGCTTGGCCATGTTTCTTGGTCAGCAGGGCAGTCGGGCAATGGGCATTTTAATCATGTTTATGCTGGACAGGGCTGTCCCTTGGGCTTGAGGACAATGTTCTTGAACCAGAAGAATATGGCAGAAGTATAATGCCATTTCACCAGGACAGATGCATCAAATTCCATCTTGGGTCTGGTAATTCTGCCACAGATGGTGGCCCATTGATATGTGCATGCTTGGCTGGGGTGAGAGTCTGTGCCAATGTCACAGGACACAGCAACCCCAATGAGTCTGTTTACTTATTTAACAGTCAAGGTGACCAGAAGAGACACTTTCCAACAGGACACAATGAGGAGGTACCCAGCAAGTCTTCTAGCTGATTGGGGGAAGAAACCCAGTGTATTACAGGAAAATGAGAGAGTGCATTTGAATTTGTTTCTAATCTGAATTTTCCATATAAACTCTAGTTAGCAGTTTCAAAACTGTGGACGCACTTCAGCCTAAGGGACAAAAACAAAACAAATGACCCAAGGTACCAGCTGCAAGATGCTGGAATAGGAGGGAGGGAGGGAAGGCCAGTGAGAGGGCAAGATTATTAATATGCTTTTCTTACTAAATTGGCTTTCAGAATCAAGGGGAAGAACCAAGGTGGGTTGTTAAGGGAGTACTGATTTAGATGTGCTGAGCAGTTGAAATGTTTTTGTTTCTCAAACATGAAAGCACTTGGCTTTGCATGACTGGGTTTTAAATTGCTCAGCAAAGCATCACTTGGGGCTAACCTGAGTCTGTGAAGTTCCACAATTCAGGAATGATGGTTACTGCAGCACTCTTGTGTTTCAAGGTTCGTCATGAAGACTAGCATAGATTCCACTGTTCAATTAAAGCAACGTTTACCATGATATTCCTATTTTCCATGATGCAGGGTCCTGGGAAGCATCTCTTTCAGGAAGGGAGTATGTATTCAAGGTCAGTCAGTATATGAATGTGTCTGAGACTTGGATGGCTCAAGGGGATAGAGCTAGGTGTTATCTGGCAGTCGCAAAAGTGAGAGATGATGACAAGGCCAAGGTAGGTAGGAGAATGGGGATCCCTCATTCATTTATCCCATCATTATTTATTGAGCACCAACTGTGTCCCAGGCATTGTTCAAGGTTCAAGCACAAAGCCGTGTTCAATGGGTTCAGGTAGAAACATGCACAGTTACATCACAACAGAGTAAACCATGGGAACTGCATGGTGCAGAGTAGGGGGTATTTGCATGGCAGTTGAAGACCTGTGTCGGACGCTGATGCTTCTATAATAACCCAACTTGGTTCCTCTCCACTTTTAGAGCCAATTAATTAGGAAAAACACTTTCTTCCTTCCCTCTCTGTCATTCTATGTTGGCATTTGTCCCCCTTGGGTTGATGGGCAGACACAGGTATGAAACCCATAACTTCATCTCTCTGGGATTCAGTTTCTGGGCAGAGTGGGCAAGGGAGGCCAGGGTCTTCTAGACTCACTAAGTCAGAAGCATCTCCTCCTGATCTTTGGTTTAATTTTTCTTTTGAAGGTACTCAGTCCATGATTTCAGATTAGGGAGGCACCACCTGGCAAAGGGGGAGCCTGACAATGCAGGGCAGTTCTAAGTACCAGGCTTGGGACCGATTCTATGGAGATATGGTAGATGGGACTACCCTCAACTGAATAATGTGTGAAGAGAATTTAAGACCATGCCTGATACATAGAGGGTCCAGTGAAAGTTGAAGGCAAATAACCCTGGTAAAGAAGGCAGGAAACACAAGGAAGCCATTCATTTATTTATTATTCATTCAATCAACAAATATTTCTTAAATATTTATACCAACAAAGCATGGAACCTCTAGCCAAACTCTCTGGTTTCAAATCCTGGCTGTTTTACAATATCTGTATAACCTTGAGCAAGTTACTTAATTATTCTCTGTGCCTCCATTTCTTCATTTGTAACATGGGAATAATCAAAAAGAATAAATGAAGATTGTTATGAAGACTAACACATGATTGTTATTATTATCTTTTTGTTCATTTATTTAGCTGTGTCCTTAGTCTGTTGCTTGATTGGTGTGGTGTTGGGGATGTGGCCAACGGAGACAGGAAAGGTCTCCGTCTTTACCCACCTTATATTACAATAGAAGAGTCAGATTATAAAAAAATAATAAATCAATAAATAATACTTTAAGGTAGTGATGAGTGATGCAGGAAACAAGAGAAGATGATTGTGGAGTGAGTGATTACTACGGGTGAGGTCCAATGATAGAGAGGACTAGTGAAGAGGGAAGACAGTCAGTCTACACAAAGATCATCCTGTTGAAAAATATGAAATATGCAAGTCTTTGGAATTTACCCAAAAAAAAAAATAGAGAAAGCATTTCTTGAGTTTCCAAGAGAGGCAAGCAGGATGAGCCACCAAAAATAAGTACGGTTAAATAAAGATTGATTCTGGGACCAAATAAGCTTCAAGATAATTATTTCTCATGGTAGTGAATCAGTATGTCTCACAAATGCATTCATCTTTTCATGTTTTCAGTACCCAAGGTCCTTGATGGATGGATTAATCCTCCTTTTCACCTTGCTTCCTTCACCTGATCCCTCACCTCTCAATGAATTGAAATTAAGGACCGTTCATTTGGAAAAACCTATTAACTCCCTGCTTGTCGATGGCTTACTTTCTACTCAGCCTGGCTGGGTTCCACCTCTTAGCTCGTGAGCCCTCACGCAACTCTGCTGTCTCCATTAGTGTCCCTTGTGGGCTGGTGGCCGAGGCAGTTAGGCTTATGAATATTCCAGTTGCTCCTGTAAATTTCCAGCATCCACTGTTAGGCAGGACATGAGGCACTAAGGGATGTGCATCACTTCTGGGCTGGGGCAGGGGATGCCTGTGTGTGGTGGTGCAGTTGCTGTCTTCCCTGATGGCACTGAAGAGACTGTGGCTTCCAGGGTTGCAGTGCAAGATGGCGGAGCTTCTGATGCCTAGGCCCATGAGTGGGCAGGTGGAGCAGAGCCCAGGCTGCCTTTGTCTTCATAGGTCTCTAACTTCTTGACTTCTCAATAGCCTCAATGACTGGTTCCTTCCTGTATTTGGTAGGTGATTGAAAACCTCTTAACACATGAATTATTCAGTCTTGGCTAGGCCTTCTCCTAAACAGTTGTCTCTGGTTCTTAAAGTTACCTTTTCCTCCTCTCTAAAATAACTTACTTACCTTTTCCTGCCACGGACACTATGACCTCTTGGTTTTATTTTCTTGATTGTATTTGGCATTCTCTGAAATTGTCTTATTTGTACATTTATATGGGATTTGTGTCTCCTCGCTAGAATATAACTCTTATCTATTTATACTCCACTGTATCCTCAGTGCCTACAGCAGTATCTGGTTGAAAGGGGTGCCTGATAAAAATGTGAATGAAATGAATGCCAACAGCCAGGAAGGCACCTCATCCCCCTCCCCTCTGCCACCCCCTTTATCAGGGCTGGGCTGTGTCAGCTCATTGAGGCAGTAGGGAGTATGGTTAGGATGATGGACTGCCCGGGCTCAAACACAACTTCCCACCTGTGTGATCTTAGATAAATTCACCTCTCTGTGCCTCAATTTCTTTATCTATACAATCAGGACAATGGCAATACCTATCACATGGATTGTTTTTCAGTTTAAATGAGTTAATATACATAAAGTCCTCAGAAAATTATCTGATTCATAGTAGGGGCCATGGAGGTATTACCATTGTCAACAGTTACTGGGGAAGCAAAGGGCCTGTCCTCTCTCTGGTAACCCCCCGACCCCCTTCAGTCTCTTGAGAACCCGGCCTCAATGCTCACCTGGGGTCCCCTGGGATCCATTCAGCAAGAAGGTTCAGCCACACCAAGCCCTGTTCCTTAAGCCCAGGAGACATAAATCCACAAAGCCTACAGGAGAGATCCCTGAGGAAAGTGGCTATTCTGGATGGGGCCAGAAGGTTCTTTCTCAAGGTCAAAGCTCTCGGAGACCTGATGAGGCCCTGCCCCTCAAGCTTCTGTCCTTTCCACAGCCCTGCAGCATTATTTCCATAATGTTATTAAAAACCAATGTGTGCTGGCCAGATGAGTGACACTTCCCAGTGATGGGGCTCGGCTCTGCTCCTCCAGGCATGGAGAACTTGTTCAATTATGTGCCACCCCGTGATGGGCCCAATCACAGTACACACATTAGCTTCTGATTATACCCTTGTTGAGTTTCTCTTGACAGGAAGGAAATGAATTTACCTCGTGTCACCTCTGTAGTTTGCAAGCAGGCATGGCTTCTGATAATAGCACCTTTCATGTTTTGTAAGACCAAGGAGAAGCATTCGTGTGGTGGCCAGTCCTTGGTGACCCTTTGTCTCAGCCTGGAGGTGAGCTTGAGCTGATTCTTCATGGGAGTGTTTACTCCTGGGGCTTGTAGGAATCTGGCTGGGGGTTGGGTGGTCAGCTGTCCCATAAGATTGTGGGCCTTGGCCACTGCAGCATGCACATCCCTGAATCCACACTCTTATGGTATCGAGGCCTTGGGCAAATGACTGAATTTCCCTTGACCTTCCCTTCCACCTGTAAAATGGGGACAATGATAGTAGTTATCTCACAGGGTAGGCGTCAGATTTAATGAGCTAATAGATGCAAAGCCCTTGCATGTGCCTGGCATATAATAAATGCTACATTGTGTTTTTATCATTAAAATTATCTTAATATTATTTTGCTGTTGCTGTTATTATTGCTGTTGTTATTGCTTAGATTGGAACATGTCTTTGCTATTTATAACTGTGTGACCTTGAACATATCACTTAGCCCCCATGTGCCATGACATTTGTAAAATGGGGAAAGAGGAGTCTGTTCCTTGGTGCAGCTGCAAGGATGTCAGTAGGTTGGCACAGGAAAGGCCTTTGAAGCAGCATCAGTGCAGGGCAAGTGTTGTGGGTTATTATTGGTGACTTGCTCCCCTCACCAGAGGGGTCTTTTGGGTGCTGTGGAGCCAGAGGGGTCTGTCCATGGTGGGTTAGGATTATGCACTTAGGTCTTGCTTTCCATTTGGGACAGTAAGCATCTGAGAGAAGAGTTTGTCCCTGACTATACCAAATTCCAAGTTCTGCCAAGGAATCCTGGGGTAGGCCAGAAAGGGAGGCAGGAATGGAGCCAGTGGTGGACCCAGCGTTTCCTTCCAAAGCTTTTAGACTCAGCTGCTAAAGCCAGTCATGAAGTGGACGTGATTCCTGAGGCAGGGCAGCAGGCCCCTCTCTCACTACCCCCTTCACCAGCCCCAACCTTCAGCAACTTTTCCTGGCAGGAGACCACATCACCATCCCCTCCCCTTCCCATCACAGGCATTTCAGAACACAAGGGGATCTGGGGGACCCACGTCTAAGGAACTGTGACTGAGAGCCTGGGAAGGGCTTTCTCTTGACCTGGGAGAGGGAAAATTAGGCAAATTGCTGTGTTTCTCCACTGTAAACCTGAATGGGAATGAGGGAGGAGGGAGAAAAAGCCAGACAAAAATGGAGACACATGCAGAGAGATGGAGAAACAGAGAAAGGAGAAGGAAAGAGCTACAGAGATAAGGAAATGAGAAAACACTGAGAAATAATTGGGAAATGAGACAGACAAGCTCATAGAAGGACTTAGACCCAGAAAGGGAAAGTGGAAAATTATCTTGACAGCTAACACGTATTGAGAAGACAGTATGTGCCAGGCACTGAGATTAGTGTGTGATATATCTCATTTAATCTTTGCAACAATTCTATGAGATAAGTGCTGTTGTCAACTTCATTCTACAGTGAAAACAACGGACATACAGAACGGTGAGGTGTCTAAGATCACACAGCTTTTGTGGAGGAGTTAGGACTAGAATCCAGGTCAATTTGAGTGCAAAGCCCATGTGCTTAACCCCCTGCAGAGAGGCCATGACCCTGGGACCTAAAGCATGGCAGAGCATCTCTGAGTCTCCCTGCACTCTGGACATTGAGAAGCACTAGTCATTCTGTTTTGTAGTACAGATGTGTTTATAAAGAGACTCCAGGGAAGTCAGATGGGTAAGGATTATGCCTGTCACTCTTTTTTTTTTTTTTGGCATTTTTTAAATTATACTTTAAGTTCTAGGGTACATGTGCACAACATGCAGGTTTGTTACATATGTATACATGTGCCGTGTTGGTGTGCTGCACCCATTAACTCATCATTTACATTAGGTATATCTCCTAATGCTATCCCTGCCCCCTCCCCCCGACCCCACGACAGGCCCCAGTGTGTGATGTTCCCTTTCCTGTGTCCAAGTGTTCTCATTGTTCAATTCCCACCTATGAGTGAGAACATGCAGTGTTTGGTTTTTGTCCTTGCGATAGTTTGCTGAGAATGACGGTTTCCAGCTTCATCCATGTCCCTACAAAGGACATGAACTCATCCTTTTTTTATGGCTGCATAGTGTTCCATGGTGTATATGTGCACATTTTCTTAATCCAGTCTATCATTGATGGACGTTTGGGTTGGTTCCAAGTCCGTGCTATTGTGATTAGTGCCACAATAAACATACATGTGCATGTGTCTTAATAGCAGCATAATTTATAATCCTTTGGGTATATATACAGTAATGGGATGGCTGGGTCAAATGGTATTTCTAGTTCTAGATGCTTGAAGAATTGCCACACTGTCTTCCACAATGGTTGAACTAGTTTACAGTCCCACCAACAGTGTAAAAGTGTTCCTATTTCTCCACATCCTCTCCAGCACCTGTTGTTTCCTGACTTTTGAATGATCACCATTCTAACTGGTGTGAGATGGTATCTCATTGTGGTTTTGATTTGCATTTCTCTGATGGCCAGTGATGATGAGCATTTTTTCATGTGTCTGTGCCTGTCACTCTTGACTTCTGTGTTAGTTAGGATTCCTTGGGCTTCATGTAACAGAGAGAAAAGCAGTTTTTCCTACAAGTAGAAGTCTAGATGTAGGGGTTTCTGGCACTAGTGCTGCTGCTACATCATGTCAAGATAGTGTCTGTAGGATGTCAGGATTCCCTTGGCTTTTCACTCATGGCTGCAAGAGAGATGGAGAGCTTCAGACTTTGGGTCCATTTCAAGGTAGAAAGAAAAGGGGGAAGGGCAATATCAGGTTAAGCTGTTCCCTCCTGCTTTTTATCAGACATCTTCCCCTGCAGAATATGTGGCGTGGCCACCTATAGCTGCAAGGGAGGCTGGAAGGTGATTATTCAGCTTTCCATCTTCGAGGACAGGCAAGGTTGGACTCCACCTTGGGTGAGCCAAACTGCAGTGTCAGCCACCTTCCAACAAACCAGCCTAAGCCCAAACCCACCAGTAACCCTCCCCTAGTGGAGGGAAACATTTAGTTCTCTTGGGAGTTGCAGGCAGGTCTTTGACTTGAGGCACCATTCTGAGTCAAGCTGGGTGGTGGGGAGGTGGGGTGAGGCAGGAGTGCCTAGCTCTGCTTCCCCATGGTGTTGCTGGGGGTAGATACAAACACAGTCACATCTGCTATGTCTGGAAAACCAAGACTGGAGTCTCTCAGCTCTCCAGTGCCTGCTTTCCCTGTAGCCAATTGCAAGGCTGACATCCCAGGAAAGGCAGCAGATTAGATGAGCACAGGAGCAGAGAGGCTGGGAAGGCGGTGGAGGAGGGAGAAATGTGGGTTTGGCAGAATTTTCTAAAATATCACTTTATTGATTTGGAAGAGACACAAGAGAGGAAATATAAGAGACAAGTGATAAGAGGCTCAGCTGAGATGGGCATGGAAGAGCCTGCCTTTTTTTTTTCCTTTATTGCATACCTATGGAGCTTTTCTAAGCATTAAAAAAACACTTCCTTACCCCCTCCCCATGAGATTTTAATACCACAGATACACTGTATATCTGTGTGTGTACTCTGTATGTATCTGTGTTTATACATAAAGGTTGTTTTTTCACTTTTCAATGTCTGCCTTCCTGGAGGAGACTTTGCCCCCATTGAGAATACATGCATGAGACACATCTCTAGAGACGCATCTGGGCTTACTGTGGGAGGAGAAGAGCTGGTCCCACTTTGTCAAACTGTCTTGTAGACAAAGGGAATTGAGAAGAGTCTTACATTTCTTGAGCACCTGTTAGGTATTTGGCACCAAGACAGGGGCTTTAGATCTGACAACTCACCTGATGCCCAATGGCAGTTCTGAGTGGTCAGAGCAGGGGCCTCATTTCACAAATGACATCATCAAGATTTAGGGGTTCCTCCCTCCTTTGAAGAGATCCAACCTGCCCAGATGAACAAGCTAGCACTATTCTGATGACAGGGCATGGTTGAGTGTCAGATGGGTTCAAAGCTCGTAGGATGAGCACAGAATAGGCTGGAGTCTGTAGTGGTCCTCCCTGGAGGAGATGGGGTGTGAACTGAGCTCTGCAGGACAGACAGATGCAGAGATGAGAAGGGGAGGCAGCACCTGCTGGAGAAGAGCAGGAGCAGAGGCTTAGGGTCTGTAAGGGCCTCTGGCTGCAGGGGAGGATTTTCGCTGAGAGCTGAGAGAGATGGAGGCAGAGCCATCCCGGGCAAAGAGAAAAAGCCCCACCCTGGCATGTTTATTCCTCAGTCTCTGGTTGTGATGTAGTAATTGAGCCAGGGATCCAACCCAGCTATACTTAGCACCATTTCCAGAAGGCATGAGGGCGGGAGATGGGTATATAAAAGGCAGGAGTCTGGGGCTCCTCACTCAGAGGCTTCTGAAACCTGAGTGGCATTTTCAGTGTATCCCTGTGGAGGAAATCTCCGAAAGAAGGTAGCTGAGTCTGTGACCAAAGAGAGGCTTGAGTCCTGTTTCCTTTTCACTCTCAAGAGCCTTCAGGCTCACTCACCCCTTCCCTTACAGATACTTTGCTGGAGCTCCTCCTGACATGATTGTATTAGTAAAGAGAGGCGCCAATAACAAATGGCCCCCAAATCTCAGTCGGATTCTGCAACAAAGGTGTATTTCTTGCTTGTCCTTCATGTTCTGTATAGGTTGTACTGAAACCCCTGCTTCTGGAGCCATTTTCCCCCAAGATTCTTCATTTTAACATGTCCTTCCATTTGCCATACTGCAGGAAGAAAACATGGAGAACTGCACAGCTCCTAAAGTTTCTGCCAAAATGGGACATATGCCACTTCTGCTGATGTTTCATTGGCCAGTGTAGGACCCATGGCTTAGCCTAACTTCAGAGGGTGCAGGGTAATGTAATCCTGCTGCATGCCTAGGATGTGAAGAGCAGGAAATATTTGTCAACAGCATTAAACATGACCACAGTGATTATAATAAATGATTTTTCAATATCCAGTTGAAATGATTTTTCTGTTTCTTTTCTTTTTTTGACACAGAGTCTCACTCTGTCACCCAGGCTGGAGTGCAGTGGTGCAATCTTGGCTCACTACAACCTCCGCCTCTCGGGCTCAAGCGAGTCTCCTGCCTCAACCTCCCGAGTAGCTGGGATTTCAGGTGTGCAGCACCACACCCAGCTAATTTTTGTATTTTTTAGTAGAGAAGGGGTTTCACTATGTTGCCCATGCAGGTCTGGAACTCGACCTCAAATGACCCGCCTGCCTTAGCCTTGGCATTGGGCCTCTCAAAGTGCTGGGATTACAGGCATGAGCCACCATGCCCGGCCTAGTGTTTCTTCTTCCTCTGTAATGCTCTGATGGTCTCTGCATCAGTACTTATATTATGCTTGGTAAATATTTGTCTTCCCATCTAAAGTCAAAACATTAGGGACAAGATCCTGTTGAATGAGGGAACTACAAATACTTATTGAGGATCCACTCACTGTATACCAGGCACAGTGCTAGGTACACAGAGCAAACTCCCAGTCCTACAAGGTGGTGGATCTAATGACGTGACAGATGACTTGTCTCCGAGTTCTGGAACATCCTGAGCATGTTCTCATCCCAGCACTGACTAGTCCAACTACTTGTTGATTCTCTAAGTTAGAATTGGGAGATGTGGGAAGCTTCCAGAAAGAGGTGACCTGTGACCTAGCACAGGCTCTACCCACAGCGGGAGCACAATGCATTCTTGACCTTCACAATGCTTTTGACAATGGTTCATTCACCCTCCATCACACTTGTTCCTTTCAGTAGGGCAGATATTGTTAGTCCCATTTTACAGATGGGAAAACAGATTCTAAGAGGTCCATCAGCCTGGTCTGCTTAGTTCTTTGAGGATGAGTATTCATCTCTCTGGCTGTGTCAGCTGAGCTGGACCTGCCGAATTCAATCTTCCCATCACTCAGCTCCCAATGCCATCAGTCAAGTGTTATCAAATTGGTGGAGCTTAAAAATGACAGCCATTTGAAATTGAGTAGAATTTGGTATTATTAAAATAGCATTCTAAATTTTAATCTTGTGCATCGACTTTTTAATAGCTTCTACTTTCACTAAAAATTGTGGGCCATGCTCACAGACATTCAATTTAAATACTGTCAGGCAAGACTGATTTCTCTTCCAACATTGCCAGATTTTTCTTTTTTTTTTCTTTCTTTGCATTCATCTTCTTTTTTTTTTTTAAGCATTGAGTTAATTTTTCACTACTTGGAAATTTCACAGTGTATGAAACCTCAGAAAAAGAACATATCTTTGTGTACAGCTCTTTTATTCTTTGTCTTCTGTTCTGTAGCCTTCTTTCTAGCCTATCTGTTGGTTAGGGCAGGATCCTCTGTGGAAGCTAGGTAATGGTTAATTTTCTGGGACACCTTTTCTCATCACTTCTTCCTTGTCATGATGCCAAACAAGTCTCGTAGTCAATATCAGCACCCTCCCCTGCATGTGTCCTTTCAACACTTAATCTATCTAGCACTTAAAAAAATATCTGGGAGATGCTGGCCATCTATGAAGGAGGTTTCTCCCTTGCTGCTGTGTCCATTACTATTTTTTTCCCAACTTCCCCCTGCATCTGCTGTATGCATTACTATTTTTTCCCAACCTGTCCCTGCATCTTACCTAGTTTTCTTCATCCTCTCATTCCCATCCCAGTTTCTCACCTTGAACCAAGATTGGTGGAGTGGAAATGGAGGGCAAGGTTGATGAAGAGGAGGGACAAGGGGTGATATGAAGTGAGGAGCATGGGTCTTGGAGTCAGACCTGACCGGGCTTGAGTTTCTTCCTTTCCCAGTTGCTAACTGTGTGACCCTGGAAAAGTTGCTTAACCTCCTAGAGCCTTGGTTTTCTCACTTGCAAAATGAGGTTAGTGGTACCTGTCACACAGGGTTATCATATGGATCCAACGAGAAAGGGTACATAAAGTGATGCTGAGTGCTGTGGTTAATGGCATCATAGCCAACTGGCCACTCTTTCCTCTCCTCCACTCTGCAATTTCTGCACCCCAGCCCAGCAGTTCTCAGGTCTAGTTACACATTAGAATCACCTAGGAGCCTTTAAAAAAGGTGCAAACATCCCTAGGCCTCACTCTAGACCAATTAAATCAGAATCTGGGAGTGTATACTTGTGGCATCTTTACTTTTAAAATTTTCTCTAGGTGAGTCTGATGGATGCTAGGGTTGAGAACAACTCTAAGTCCCCAGGGTTGCCTAAAGTCCAAAAACACTTTTCTTTTAAGATCAGAGGAATCTTATTTTAGTGCTTGTGGGCAGATCTCTCATTAGTGATGGAATGGGATTTAACCTTCCTTGGCTGTGCCTAGGAGAAAGAGAAGAAGAGGCAGTGTGGAACAGGGACTCTCAGTGGGTAAGCCCAAGGTTTCCCTTTGTTTTCATCTTGGGACACCTATTTACCCCTGCAACTATACCGCTTGTGCTTCCATAAGGATGAGGACGGGAGGAGGAGGAAGATGGGGAAGGAAAGAGCAGGAAAAGGAGGGAAGGGGAGAGGCTTTTCTCATGGGACCTTCTCCACACTCCTGTGCCTGCTGAGATGTGTCCCCTCCTCTGTACTCTGAAAATCCTTTAGTCTAACCCTGAGGGTCCAATATGTGGCCAGTAGCCACATATGGCTGTTAGACACTTGAATATGGCTAGCCTGAATTGAGATGTGCTGTGTCATACATGTTCCAAAACTAAGTAAGAAAAATAATCTCATTAATAAAACTTTAAAAATATTGGATACATGTTGAAATTATAATATATTACATATATTGGGTTATGCAAAATAGTATCAAAATTAACTTTACTTGTTTATTTTTCATTTTTTAATATGAGTAATAGACAAATTTAAATTAGCTATATAGCTCTCATTATTATATTTCTGTCAGACAGAACTGGTTCAACCCGTTGTTTGACACTGAGTGTATGTTTCATGTGTAAATATGTCTCAACGCTTGCATTAGATGGGCAGTTTGAGAACAGAGACCTCAGCATCCCATTCATTTTCTGGCCCCCAAACACCTATTTTCAAAATGCCTTGTACTCAGCAGGCAGTTGGTAAATGTTTTCTGTAATTGTGAATGATAACAGTGATGGTAGTGATGATTGTGGTAATGAAGAAGATGATGTAATAAAGCTCAAATGGTATGTTGGGGCCAAATTACAAAGATTTTTGTAAGAAAACAGTGCAAGGTGGAATGGTTACATTTTTAAGACCAAGCGCCCTCAAATACACCTTAATTTTTGATTAATTTACATATATAAAGACCCTTGATACACAGAACAAAAACATCTTCCATCATTTCTGTTTAGAGATAGAGTGATTCTTAAAGAGTCTTACAATGAACTCCCCCACAAAATGCTCAGTGAACTCTTGCTAGGGACCAGTTCTAGGTGGTGGGAGTAGAGCGGTGAGCGAATGAGATAAAAATCCATGCCCTTTGGACTTTACACAGCATGTGAAAATAAACACATTTCCAAGTAAAGTGCTTACATGTCCGATAGTATAATAAGCAGCCTGGTGGAAAATCAAACAAGGCAAAGGAAAGGAGGTGTGGTTGGGGCAGGCAGGGGGCATGTGAAGAAGGTGAACAAATCTATGTGGGCTTACTTGATCTTATTGTTTCAATAATTCAGCTAATATGTTTCTTTATTCATTTATTCACTCAACAATTGCATATACTGAAATCCTATTATGTCATTCAAGCCATGGTGAGACAAGGAAGTGGGTTTCACCTCCCAAGGAGCGCACAGCTTACTCTCAGAAGCAGGAAAACGTGCCAATTACCCATCACACTCACATCGTTTCTAAAGTAGATCCTCAATTAGGCAACACTTCAGCAGCTGCGGAGTCACTCCGTAGTAGTCTGAGGCAACACAAGTGCATCTCATCTGAAATATCCTCTAATGCAGGATATACTGGAGCTGTTGCCTAGGGAGATACTGCTCAAGGAATATGGGTTCCACAAGCAAATGCTATGAAGTTCTAGTTATTATTTTGAGCCCAGAATGAGTTGAGGCCTAAAAATGTTGCCATTCCATTAAAATGTGTTAGTTTGAATTTAGGCACAAATGTTATTTTTGAATTATAAGCATGCGACTCGTTTATAGTAATGTAGCTTTGAGAGGACTTTGGGTTATTTGCCAGGCCATTCTTTTTCCTTTTCTTTTCTTTTCTTCTCTTTTCTTTTCTTCTCTTTCTTTTCTTTTCTTTTCTTTTCTTTCTTTCTTTCTTTCTCTCTTTCTTTCTTTTTTCTTTTTTTTTTTTTTGGTAGACATGGGTCTCTCTATGTTGCACAGGCTGGTCTCAAACTCCTGGGTTCAATCCTCCCAAAGTACTGGACTTACAGGCATGTGCCAGGCCATTCTTGATATAAGCTGTTTCTCACCCATTTGGTCCAAAAATAGAGGAGACAATAGGCCCTCTGTCCAGGGCAATCCAAGGTATAGGACTCACATCCTGCTCTATGCCATCTATACCATTGCTATTTGCCTTCTCGAATGGGCTGGCAGAACCGAGACCTTCCTTGACCAGATGAGGCCATTCTGGAGCTCCAAGCAGGAAGCAGAATGAAAACATGTGTTTGTTTTACTAAATAGCTGTTGCATGTGTTGGATGTAAGAGTCCCCCTTGCTTAAAGAGAAAATAACCTAAGAACTTGCTCTTCGTGCATTTCACCTTTAGAACTAGAAAAGCTGTCTAATTAGATTAACACACAGGTGCATGTATGTGTGTGTTAGAGTATAGATACTGCTAAATAAGCCCAGTGTTTCTCTGCATTTGTCTGAATTTTGGAAAATGGGATGAGGCTGATTAAGTGGCTTTCATCTGAGAGCTGTGTACTTCTGTGGTTCTGTTTTTCTCCTTTGAATCCCTATCCTATCTCATTTGGCCTCCTTGCTGTGATCCCATGGATGTGTTCAAGTGTACTGCTAGTTCCCTACCACTGCAAAACCCTCCTAGCTCTGCCTGGTGACCCCATAAATCCCCAGTGTTCCATGCCTGGTGCTCTGGGGAGGGAAGCAGATGGCAGGGCTGTCCATTCTGCCACCCAGTGAGGCAGGAGGTCAACTAGGGTAACAGCAGCAGGTGGGGAGGTGGGGTTTCTGGTCTGTGCATGCAGGGGACAACAGATCATCAATGATCCATGGGCAGAACAGCCCTCATGGAACTAACACTGCTGGCAGAAGGTGGCAGCAGCTGGAGGCTGCTTCAGCTCTTGATCAAGCACAGAATAATGTTGGGTGGGTGGCTGAGAGTTGCTGCATTTATGAATTGTCACTCAGTGGCAGCACTGAGGTCCCCAAGCTCTGTTTACAAATGGATTTTTTGCTCAAATGTTTCCTTAACTCAGAGCAACTCTCTCTCCTTTTTTTCCCTCTCATCCCCTGGCCAACTCCTGTGCACGCTTTAGGTCTCAGCTTTGGGCCCCAAATTCAGGAAACATGTTCCTCCTCTGTGTTCCCTTACCCCTGCGTACTCAGCCTATCGTACTGTAAATGCTATGTAATCTGTCTCCCACAATGGGCTGTGCCCTCGTAACAACAGGGGTTGTGTCTTGTTCCTCATTGCATTTTCATGGCCTCAAAATGTATATCTAGTGCTGTCAATATTTGTAGACTTGAGTGGATCTCATCTATGTGCATGGTCTAATTTCATTAATTATAGACAAAAAGGAAGTAGCAGCTTGGGTAACCAAACAAGCAGATAATCCCCAATGTATTTCTTTAAGGCTTTGCAGTGCTCCCCAGGGCAATTTGGGACAGGGGACAGGTTACCTATTTTATATATATATACATATATTAGAGATGAGGTCTGGCTCTGTTGCCCAGGCTGGAGTATAGAGGTGCAATCATAGCTCCCTGCAGCCTCGACCTCCCGGACTCAAGGGATCTTCACATCTCAGCATCCCAAGCAGCTGGAACCACAGGCATGCACCACCATACCCAGCTGATTTTTTTTTTTTTTTTAAAGGTTTTGTAGAGACAGGCCCATGCTGGTCTTGAACTCCTGGGCTCAAGTGATCTTCCTGCCTTGGCCTTCCAAAGTTCTGGGATTACAGGTGTGAGCCACTGTGCCTGGCCCATTGTCATATTTATTAAGTAAATATGAGGACTTAAGTGGTATTTGAATATTGATATTTATAAAATACCCTCCACTGCCTTCCTCTTCAGCATCATTTCATCCTTACTGGCTCTACCTACTCAAAACAGGAATGGTTGTTTATGGAAGTGGATATGTTTAATGGAAATTCATATGTTTCACTGACCCATGGTTGCCATCATGCCATATATCATAAAGCACTTTTGTATAAATTAAATATAAGGATAAGCAAGTTATTGCTCAGATTAGATACTGTATTCCTCATGCTCAGACCTGCTGCCAGTGTCAGAGGCCTGAGAGTATGCCAGCTGGGGTGGGTCAGGCCAGCGTGGGATTTAAAAGTTCTCTAGATAAGCCACATGTGATGATTGAGCTCTCTCTCTGCTGTTCAGGCATGTGGCTGGCAGGTACATGGGGGGCAGGGAGAAAGACACTGGACTTAGACTGGAGCCAGTGTGTTTTATGGCCTCCTTAGTTTAGATTCCGTGTGGCTCTGTACGTTGGAGAGGGAATGGGGCTCCCCTAACCATAGTAATAATAACAATAGGACCCTCCTATTTAATCCCATCTCTGTGCCAAACACTTGGCTCAGTGCTCTCCCACATTATTGCATGCCCCAGCATCCTGAATGGAAAATACTATTTTCATTTTACATGTGAGGAAACTGAGTCCTCACAGGTTAAGTGACTTTATTGAGGTCATATAGGTAATAAGTGTTAAGATTCAAGTTCTCCCTTGAACTTGAGTTCTCCCTGGCTGCTTTTCCCACTAAACTTTGCTGCCTGAAGAGCCATCCTGGGCTGTTCTGATTTTGCCATTCACTGATAGCTGTGTGAATTTTAGCAAGTCATGTCAATCTCTAGGCCTCAGCTACCTTTCTGTATAATCGGGAGATCACTAACCGCCTGCTTTGGAGGGATGTTAAGAAGATTGAAGGAACCAAGGTGCATAGCAGTATTTACGAAATTATTGTGAGTTCCAGATAAGGAGGGGTCATTGCCATTGTTTGTATTTCATCCTGACTCCTGGAGGCTTTAGGTTGTGGGCTGGGAACACTGAACTAATATTGAACATTCTTCCAAGGAGCAAGGCAATGGAGATACTAACCTTGGTGATCTGCACAGCTTGTGTGAGCCCCGTGGGCTCCTCTAAAATTGACAGAATGATGAGGAAGTGAGTAGGAGTGGCCCCAAGCATGGCTGGGTAAGGGAGTGGAGAGTGGCTCTGTTGTGATGTGGACTGAGGGTGTATAAGCTCTCTGCAGCTTTTTGGGAATTGTGGCCATTATGTTTTTACTATCTCCCATTGTAAGAAATTTCTGAATTCTTTTTATGGTGAACTCAGTGGGTGGGTGGGTGAGTGAACAAACTTTCTTCAGATCTTACGTGATATGTCCACAGTTTTCTCAGGCAGAGGATAGAAGGGGTTAGATATTAGAAACAGTACAAAGAAAGGGCACCTGTGCAAACCAATATGTGGTTACGTCTAATTTGGAACAACAACAATAATAATAACAATAAAACTAATTATAATATTAACATTTATCCTTACTGGGGTTGTACAATGTGGCAAGCACTTTTTAAGCTATTCGGGTGCATTATCTCATTTAATTTTTATAATAACCTTATGAACTAAGTATTATTTTTGTTATCATTTTTATAGATGAATAAACTGAGGGACAAAGAGGTGAAGCAATTTGCCCAAGGTCTTATCCTGATTAGTGATGGATTTAGGACTGGAATCAGAGGTTAGGATTGAAATCTCAGAGCCTTGCTCCTACTAAATATTTTCTGTCATGTCTTTGCAATAAATGAGGGAATAGAAGAATTAAATTATTTTCAGGATAGGACATTCGTGTTGTTCAATTTCTTATTATCCAGACCAACAGAGGGGAGGTGTTTTAGTTCATTTGAGCTGCTGTAACAAAAATACCTAGACTGTGTGGTTGACACAAAAACACTTTTTACAGTTCTGAAAACTGGGCAATCCAAGATCAAGGTGCTAACTGATGCCATGCCTGGTGATGGCCTGCTTTCTGGTTCATAGATGGCAGTCCTCTGACTGTGTCCTCACCTGGCAGAAGAAACAAGAGGGCCCTCTGGAATCTCTTTTTTAAAGACAGTAGTCTCATTCATGAGAGATCCTTCTCATGACCTAGTTAGCTTCCAAAGGCTTTGCCTCCTAATATCACATTGGATGACAGGATTTCAATATATGGATTTTGAGGGGACAAAACATTCAGACCATAGCAGTAGCCAAAGACCACACAAGTGATTTGTGTTATTTCTGGTATGCATTATGAAGGGTTTTTTGATGATTTTAGAGTCAGGGTATAAGAGGTGGGGAAGCCCAATGACTAAAAATATAGATATATATTGACCGGGCGCAGTGGCTCACACCTGTAATTCCAGCACTTTGGGAGGCCGAGGCAGGGGGATCACAAGGTCAGGAGATCGAGACCATCCTGGTTAACATGGTGAAACCCTGTCCATACTAAAAATACAAAAAATTAGCCGGGCATGGTGGCAGGCGCCTGTAGTCCCAGCTACTCGGGAGGCTGAGGCAGGAGAATGGCATGAACTGAGGAGGTGAAGCTTGCAGTGAGCCGAGATCATGCCACTGCACTCCAGCCTGGGTGACAGTGCAAGACTCCATCTTAAAAAAACAAAATAAAACAAAAACAAAAACAAAAAATATAGATATATATTTATTCTCAATAATTTTGTTTATTTGAACTTGATGTCGAAGAGTCTTTCTGTTTTCTCCTTGGAAATGTCTCAGAAGTCATGACCTCCCATATATGTTTTCTTCTGTTATCTTTTGTTGATACCATTTGCATCAGAAGAGGTCTTCAACTATTTGCAAAAGGGAAAAAGAAAAGTCATGACCACCCGTCAGTCTTTGTCCACTTGTCTCTTTCAGGACCACGGACAGGGGCCAAGGTGTCTGAGTAGACAAACATTTTAGTTAAGCTACGCCTGTGTTCTTGGCTCAGGTTATCTTCTTTGAGGCCTTTTTTCTGACTTTTATAGGATGTCACACTAGCACTGCCTGAGCACACACCTGCTGACATCAGAGTGGATGATGCTTTAAACATTTTCCAAGGATAATCTGCGGATGGGTAACTGGTCCTGTGGCCTCGTTGGGACTTGACAGTACTGGCCCTCTGACTTGCAGTTTGACCTGCCTGCCTGAGATTTTAGTGTGGTTGGTGCCAAGATTTAAAGGAAGTGATAAGCACTTACTTGTTCTTCAGCATCATTAAATGATAATGATAACATGGGTGATGACAATTACATATTTATTGAGTGCTTACTGTGCGCCAAGTACTGTTTTGCATGTATTGTTTTGTTTAATTCCCAACAACAAATCTTGGGGATATGAATAGTTTTAGATGAAGAAAATGAGACACAGACAGATATTTAAAATGTGCAAGACAACCCAGTTATGTCATAAACAGTGGAGCAGAGTCCCACTTTACCTTGAGGTCACGTTGTGTGCACTCCCACAAGGTCCTCAGGGTGGAAAGGGAGGGGCTGACCTCTTCAGAGTGCCTATTTGTGTGCTTTGTGAATATTATTATACTCAAAGCCTATTTCCTGGGGTTGTGTTGACATAAAAATCCCCACTTTATAGTAGAGGAAACTGAGAGAGCATTTAAGTGGCTTACCTAAGATCGCACAGACTATACATAGAGAAGCCAGGTTTGTCTGTCTTGAAACTTTTTTTTTTTGCAGTGGGCTATTTACTATTTATTTCCCAGATGGCTCTTTACACCATTGTGGGCAGTCCTACCTTACAGTGGGGTCTGGTTTCTCACCTTATAGGAGGATGTGGTTGATACTTGATAAGATTTGATACTGGTCAGGCGAGGTGGCTCACACCTGTAATCCTAGCACTTTGAGAGGCTGAGGCAGGCAGATCACCTGAGGTCAAGAGTTCGAGACCAGCCTGGCTAATATGGTGAAACCCCATCTCTACTAAAAATATAAAACATTAGCAGGATGTGATGGTGGGCACCTGTAATCTCAGCTACCTAGGAGGCTGAGGTAGGAGAATCGCTTGAACCCAGGAGGCAGAGGTTGCAGTGAGCTGAGATTGCACCACTGCATTCCAGCCTGGGTGTGACAGAGCGAGACTCCATCTCAAACAACAACAACAACAATAACAACAAAAACAGCAGCAAAGATATGGTGCTCAGTCTCCTCTTCTGCTTGGGATTCAAGCTTGTCTAGACAAGAAGGTGGTGAAGCTCTTGATGACAGGGATGGCGGGTGAACTTGTCTTAGGTGTGCAAGTGTGGACCCAGAAGCAAAAATGGGTATGCTGTGCAGAAGGGTTAATAATCACCCCCAGTCTGGATCATTTTGCTGTAACATCTGCTGCTAACCCACTGCTAGGAGGGGGAATGCCAATTGTAGTGCTGCTGGAGTAGATTTTAAAACAGAAAACATTTGTGTGTTGAAGTGAGGACTGGCGTTCTGTTGGTTGGATGACATAAGTCCCAATTTCTTCCATTTCCCCATGGTGTGCTTGCATTTTGGGGCCCAGGTATACTGGGGAGGGATGACCCATATGGATGGAGTGTAGGCTCACTTTGGTGTGGACTAGTCTCACTAATAACCACGTAATTATCATTGCTAGAAAGGACTACAGATCATTCTGGAAAACTCTGGAAAACTCATTTATTTATAGCTAAGGAAGCTGAGGCCCAAAGTGGAAAAACAGGACTGAAAGTCTGCATTTGACTTTGAATCCAATGCTCTTTCCCTGGTAACGTGATTAATACCAATAACATGAAAATATTATCAATAGCATTAATATGGTCAGTAAAGCTTCCACCAGAAATAAGCATTGGGCCATATGTTTTGAAGTTTGTCAAGACCACTATAAGCAGTGGCCCTTTCCCTCAAAGAAGGAATTGACATTCTGGGTCTTGCAATATAAAACAGAGATATCATCATCATTATCACTGTCACCACCACCACCACCACCACCACGCTCGTCCTCACCATCAGACAAATCTATTTTCAGCACTTACTGTGTGCCAGATTCTGTGCTATGTGCTTTATTTATATTGCATCATAATTTAAAATTTATGGCAAATCTATTGTGAACCATCCTTGTAGATGAGGTTCAGAGGTGTAAAGTAACTATTACAAAGCCTACCGTTATGAAGTTCCACGTGGGGGATGCAGTTAGAGAAGACAAAACAGTGTAGAGGCTTCATGGTGGTGAGACTTGTGGGGGAACCTGAGCTAAGCTCCAGAGAGTGATTAGGACAGAGAAAACAGATGAGATGAGGAAGACAGTCCTGTCAGGAGCAATCTGAAGGATTTTTGCAGTGAGGGAAGTTGTGGGTTAGACTCAGGGACAATTTGTAGAGAGGTCTGAGTAAGGAATGAATGGCTTCCAATCACTACTGAGCACATTTCCTGTTCCATACCCCATGTAAGGCACAGGGTGTGCAGAGGTAAGAGGCATGGTTCCTGTCCTTAGAAATGGGGGGGAAGAAACCAAAACAGTCAACCCCCATCCTGGATAATAAGGGTTGGGCAAAGGGTAAACTCAAAGGACCATGTGAGTTCAGAGGAATGGGGTCAAACTCATTCCTCAGTGGCTTGCTAAGGGTTTGGCTTTACATTAAAAGCCAGAGGGAGCTACAGAAGTATTCTGAGTTAAGGAGTGACCTGGCCAGATCATCTAACTGGGGAGACTCTGCAGATACTGTGGAGAATGGTATGGCGACAAGGAGACCTGTTGGGGCAGCAGAGGCAAGCACAGCAAAGCCCCCCAGCAACAACAGTGTCAATGTCAATGCAGAGATAAGGCAGAAAGAAGCGATCATGAGAAGTTAGAATGGATAGGGACTTGGTGGAGGGAGGAATGGGGATGGGCCCAGTGGGCATCCATGGGAAATGCATTTGGAGCCTGTTGGTAACTGGCCTTGAAGGTCATCCTCCCTCCTTGCCTACCTGTTCTTGGCTTGTGAGTAAGTACACGGAGAACATGTGTTAGTGCCATCCCCTGGCTTAGTCAGCTACCCAAGCTGTAGCCCAAAGCCCAGAGCTCCCCAAAGTCAGAGCTTGAGGCTGTCCCAGGATATCACTCCATGCAAAGGCTGATTCCACTTTGCGGTTGGACTGGTTGTGTTTGCATTTACTGTGCCAGCCACACCTGCTCTCCTCGACGCCCAGTGCTGAGCCTAGGTGGCTGGTGAAGGGCAGACTTCCAGGAGCCTGGACTCACTGTGGCAGGGAAGGAGGGGAGAGGCACAGCTGGTGCCAAGAGGATATTAACCTGACATTTAGCAAAAGGGTGAATCTGTTTATTGTTCTGTAACAATGAGGCATTTGCATCCTGAGTCGCCTTCTGTTTTCCTATTGTCTTTGCTCCTCAGTGGTCAGGCCAGGCTGCAGTCTTGACAGTTTAAATCAGCATGGTAATGAAGGGGTGGCACCTAGTCAGTTCAAAATAAAAAATCAATCTCACTCTCTTTCTCTGACACACACACACACACACACACACACACACACACACACACAGAGAGAGAGAGAGAGAGAGAGAGAGAGAGAGTCTAGAGCTATACTGAGTGTCCAGAAGTTCCTCTCTCCAGCTCCTTCCTTGATACTCTTAAAATTGTAGTATCCCAACCCAGATAACTTGGAGGTTTGGAAAGGGGACCCCTGTATTCCTTCTGTTGCCTCCACCATAGCCTGGCTTTCCAGCTACCAACAGAACCCACTTGTAGGCAAGAAGAAGCATGAATTGAAGTCCTGATGCATGCATCTAGGAATGCTGAGAACGTGACAGAAAAGCTCTTACACAAGCTGGGCATGGTGGCACCCAGCTACTCTGGAGGCTAAGGTTGGAGAATTATGGGAGTTTGAGTCCAGTCTGGGCAGCATAGTGATACCCTGTCTCTATACAGAAGAAAAAAATCAGACATTCAGGTTGAAAATTTAAAAAAATATTCTCTATAGCTTCATAAATATTTTAGCATTGACAGGGCTTGTGTGCTTTTATCATCTCACAGTGGTATAGTAAGCTGGGTGGGAGAGGTGTCATGCTAGGTGAAGAAGCTAAGACCTAGGCTCTTGGATGTTTATAATGTACCAGGCTTGGTACTGGGTACTTTAATGGCATGACATCATGTAATTCTCACTAGGATACAATGGGACAGGTCTGGTTTTCCCATTTTACAGGACACTGGAAAAGTTTAAGAATGTTTTCAGCTGGGAATTGGCAGAGCTGGGAAGGAAGCCATATCTACCTGACCCTGGAGTGGCCACTCCACTACTGTGGGTTGCATGGACAGGTCTGGAGAGTGGGCACAGTGTTCAGTTGGTGCCATGCTGTCTGCTCTCCATCTACTCCAGTAGCCCACAGTGGCTTGCAATGAAGCCAGATGTTCTGGAGAAGGAGGAAACACTCTTTTGCTTCTGTGCCCATCCTTACCACCAGAATCCCCACAGAAGATATAACTTCTTACCCTCTTCTTTTTCCCAAATTAGATCTGGTAAGTCAGCATCTGCATACCGACCTCAGGATCATTTAGAAGCTCACAGAATGTTCTGTCTAGAAATTGCCTCCAGGCAGGATTTACCTATGACAGCCTTGGCCAGTGGATGGTTCTATATCTTTATGCCCAGTTCAAACTCTGGAACACTGTCATCCCTGAATCCCTCCCCATCTCCCAGGTCCCTCCCTCTATGGCAGGAAAAAGATCCAACAGGCCTGACATGGAACTTGACTGCTAGGGTTTATAGTGATACAGGAGGCAGGAGAGAGAAGTAGAAAATGCATATAAATACATCTCATATACAATGTAACTTATCTTCAGTTACTAAATTAGCACTCTTTGCTCTCCCTAACTATATGCACATTGATATCACTCCTCTTGCAGCTCAATAGGTATGTGGTGAACCTCTTGCCATAAAATTATGCTCCTGCAAAGTGATGGGCCTGAGCACAGTTGGGATGGGGACAGAGGAAATCTCACAGGTCCAAAGCTAAGTCCTGCTCCTTCAGACTCTCAACTGGGTTCCCAAGCTGGCATGGATAGAAAGGGCACAGTTTACCATTGGTAAAGGCTTTACTCTTTAGAATTTGCCCCCCACTTCAAACTCACTCTTCCATGCCTGTAAATATTCTTCCATGGACTTCCACTTGTCACTAAAGGAAAGATTCAACTCTTGAGTCTTGGTGTACAAATGAGGGGACCTATTGCTTCTTTAATGTACCAGTCTGTCCTCAACATGGAGACCAGTTTCATCTCCTTTGCCTTCCATCAGATGTGGATGGGAGCCCTGTATTCTGCTGAGCTAATAGAATGCCTGTGTCCCTACTGGAAGGTGACAGGGAAGTATGCATCCAGCAATCTATGGGAATATCAAGGCCACATTCCCTTTTTTAAAATGAGGATGGCAGTGTGTTAGAATAGAAAGAGTTGACATGAGGAACAGCTGTGAGGTTATGAATTCTGATCTTGGTTTGGTCCCAGTCAATTACGTGGTCTTAGTTCCCATTTAAATGCTGAATAAGTCAATCCTCAGGGGTAAATTCTTTCAAAATGCTCATAAATTGTGAAATCCTAGTGTTGGTGGGGACCTTGGATATTCCTTTAGTGCAATGACTGCAAAATATGACTGTGCATTGGATTGCCCAGGGATGCTTGCTAATATGTCAATAGCCAGGCTCTAGCATAGAGTATTTAGGCTCCAGCATGGGTATTTTTTTTTTAACAGTCGGTCCTCCTTCCAGTGTTTGGGAACAATGATCTGGTTTATCTGCCAGCTCCCAGGTAGAGGAAAATTTGCAATGAAATCTTCCCAGCATGGCTACTCTTAGCCAGTCCTTACTCCCTTCCCCTCATTGACAACTTTCATTCTGTTTCTAAGGAGTAGGGCTCTTACCAAAATGTCAATGTGACCCACCTCCAGTCCACTCTTTTCTTCGCAGAGCGTAAGAACTAGTTCTGTCTGGCACTCCTGGAATAGTCATAGGACAGAGAAAAGAGAGGAAACTTTTGAGTTCTGATAAACACATCTGCAGCACACATCTTGTGAGTTGCTCAGTGTTCTGTATCCTCTTGTCTTTTCTGGTGAGGATTTGATGATGAAGTTGGAGCATGGTCTTCAAGGGCTGAAATCCAAGAGTTTCTAAGTAGAGTAACAACATCATGAAGTCTCTTAACATCACTATGAGATAACCCGTGTAAAGAGAGATTTAATAACCATCAAATACTTGTGGACTCTCCCATGCTTCCAAGGCCCCTTGTTGTTGAGTGGATTGTGCACAGAAATAATATATGTCCCTCCTAGTCCGAGTCAGTAAAATGCCTCTACCTGCTTCTCCATGCTCTCCCTTGGCCTTTCATGGTGATTGCAGAGGCCATGCATTGAGATTGTAGACCACAAGATACAATCAGCTTGAATCCCTGAGTCATCTCTTTAAAGGAAGCTGTGTTGGAGAGTCACCAGACCCAAAGTGACTTTTCCTGAGTGAGAAGTAAATGTTTAAGTGTTATGCCTTTGGAATTTTAGGTTTTAGTTGTTACTGCAGCATAACCTTGTCTATCCTGATTAATGCAGTTGGTATCATCCTGAAGCGTACTCCCTTGTGGATAAAGCTTCTAGTTCTTGGCGTGTTTGGGTTGCTTTTCCTCCTAAAAACTGAATGGAACTAGAACTTTCTAGGAACCCTTTCAAGCTGCAGTAATGATTTACTGAAGCAGAAAGAACATGGTTATTTTGAGTCTCAGAAGAAAAACACAAAACAAAACAAATCTAGGACTGTTGTCTTTCCCCAAGAAAGGAATTAAAAATAGACTCATATGGACAGGGGAAAAAAAAACCGACACTGCCTGATCTGGTGTGGACATGTTCTTCGAAAGTATTAATTGCACACTCATGCCATTTAAAAATATTAATTTAAATGCACACAGCTTGTAAATCTCTTCTTGTTCTGTCTGCTGGATGACTTGGGACAAAGCAAGCTGAGAATTAATTGATTAATAACAAGCTGTGACCTGTGTGTGTGGTTTTACTGACAATATCCTCAGGACTTGGGCTTCTTGGAGCCATGCTTCTGTCAGTGGGAAAAGTGCTTTCATCTTTAGAGAATGTTACCACTAAGCAGAGTTACCTAATCTGATGCTTTCTCCTCTGGGTATGGCAGAAGTCGCTTACTTGAGAATGGATACTGATATGTTATTTTTGGAGCTGTATTTAGGGGATTTATTTGGCACATGTGGTATATATTATAGAATGGCATGTAGGGTGAAGCCACGGACTCCACAAAGAGCCTTCTGTCCATTATGATCTGTTGCATACTGAAAATTTCCACTCTGAGTAATGCATATCTTTACACTAAACATACATCATTCCCAGAAGTTGTTTGATTAAATATAAACATCTTGCCTAGGGAAGGCAAAATATTAAGCTGCTAGAGTACATTTGGAATTTTCTTAGAAAGGCCCTGAAAGAATAGGATACAAGTCAGACATATTTTGATGGGGGATGTGAATGAGGGAGATGAACCACTGAGGACAGAGTCTTGAATGAGCAGAACATTGTAGTGGAGGAGCCGTCAGCTCAACAGCACAGATTCCTGGAGGTGGACAATGACGTAGGTTCCAGGGATAAAAGATTTGGATTTGTTCAGGACAGGCCGTGAGTGCCTGCCTTGGTGTGTTATAAAGATCCTATGTGGTTGGTTTCTTTAACATTCAACACAGGATTCTCGAATATTTTAGAAATGTGCTTGGGTTTTTTTCTGTAACTCCTAGGCTAGAGTTACATCATATCATATTTAGTTCAATGTGTCTGCTGTTCTCAAGTGTGGTGGTGCTGGCAGGTAACAACGAGGAAGAAGTGAGGCAGGGCTCAAATTGGGGAATACATACCTGTGTGCATCCTGGCCCAGGGAGTGGGCTGAAAGGAGGGCAGGAGTGGACTGGCCTGCTCAGGCTCCCACACCTGTGTGGCAAGAAGGGTTTGACCCAGAGAAGCAGAGCACCGAGAGCCACAGAAGCTCCCTCTTCCTTCTTTGAGTGTGCCTAGGGTCTCAGCCTCAGCTTTGGCACCCAGAGCCACATTCCAATTAGGTTCTTAGGGGAGTAGCCCCTTCCTTCCTTGCAGAGAAACCTGCATGAAAGTTTGGGGGACTTCACTTTCTTCTTGAAGACATCTTATGTCCAAATTAATGCTACTATTTCCTGTGTCTCCACTGTTTTGACACTTACCTTTTTCATGCACTTCCCAGAGCATATTTCTTTTGTGCCAGACACTCTTTCCCCAGAATTCTTTCCCCAGAATTCTTCTCCACCATTTTGTTTAGAAAAAATATGTTGATGAGTCTCATGGAGTAAGGGGTAAGACCTCAAGGAAAATGCTCCACCATCAAAAGATGCCATAACTTTCCATCCACAGAGTGTAGATTGTGTTACCTGGAGAATCTTTTGTTTGGTGAGTGCCCACCTTGGTTTAGTGTGAAAGTCTGACTGTAGGTCAGAGCAAAGCAGAATTGTTCTGCTTCGAAGAGGGCAGTATCAGTCAAGTGAGGCCATGCTCTGCTACAGTAACAGACAGCCCCCACAGTGGCATAACACAAGAAAGGTTTATTTCTTGCTCAATACAGTATATATCAGTCATGAAGGTAGGAGGCCAGTAGGAGGGTGGAGGCTGTTCATCAGAGTCACTCAGCAAACCAGATTGATGGAAACTTCCTCTTGGTCTTTGCTTCCAGCACCGTCTTGGCAGGAGGCAGTGGTGAACTGCTCTGGCTAAGAGCTTCCATCCAGAAGTGTCACGCATCATGTGGCTCATGTTACATTGGCTAGAGCAAACCACTCAGCACTCAGCCACACTTAACTTTAGGAAACTAGAAAGTGCAATCCTACAATTGCCCAGAAAGAGGACGTAATAGGAGTATTTGTGAATATCCTTAATGACATCTACAAGGGGTGAAGACTGCTCTAGTGAAAAGGTGAGGCTTTTGGAGGGCGAGTGAAGGACTTGGGCTTCTTGGAGCCACCTTTCTACCTCAAGGAACTCTGTGGGAAAAGGTCAGGGAAGGAAATCCTTGGTTGTGCTTTGGCCTGGAAGGAACTAAGGCAAACTCAAAATCTGTTAGAGCATTTGCCATGAGATATGTGATTTAAATTCCTTTTCTGCCTTACCTGTGAAATCTTCAACAGTCTGTGTTGTTCCTTTTTGCTTGTATCTGGAGCAATGGCATGGGGTGGTGATGGGGTGGGATGAGGGACAAGAGGGAGAAGCTCAAAAAAGTGTAACCTTCAGGATGAAAGTTATTCAGGGCAAAACAAGATGCTGTATACATGGGCCTAGGCACTGGAGAAGCCAGAGACAGCTGACACCTGAGTTAATGTACCTGTTATTTTTCCTCCTAGCTTATAAATTCCTCAAGGTCAAGGATGGTTTCTTATTTATATGTATGTTCTCCGCAGAGCCCAAAACTACTCTGGCCTCAGTAGGTGCTCAATTGCTTGAGGCATGTTTGTGGGTGAATGAATAAACAAATGCACTTCTGCCTCCTTCTCTTGTGTGCCAAGGCTTGCAGCGGGCCAGCAGCCAGGGGAGGATGTGGGGTGGGCCAGCACTCTCTTTGCTCAGAAAAGCAACTTGCCTAGTTCTGCATCCAATCTTGACTTCTAAGCCAAGGAACGAAGTCTCCAACTGCTCTCAGAGTAGGATACAAAAACCTTCCTCAACTCTTCTCACCTGTGCTTAGGGACATTTGGCCCTTGGTGAATAGGTCCACCAAGATACCAAGAGGTGGACAGCAGCATAGGAGACTAATTTCAACTGTCCTTTCACAAATCTTCTAGGACGTGAGTAGGGACTGACCATCAATTCATTTATTTATCAAACATTGAAAGGGTGCCTACCAGGTGCTTGGTTCTATGTCAAGAGCTGGGGCTGCACCCTTCTGTAAGCTTGCCTATGAGTGCAAGCTGCTTTCATACTAGAAGGTAGGATGATAGGTGAACCGCCTTCTACAAGTGGAGACCCATGGGGCCCTCTGGTTGTGCCTCCACAGTAGAGTCCATGGTGGTGTGAGCCGTAACAAGCACAGTCCATGGCGGCATGAGCTTCAGAATCCAACACACATGGATTCCATCACTGGCTATGCATCTTGAGTCTGATCTTGAGCCTCACGTTTAACCTCTCTAAGCCTCTATTTTCAACTCTGTAAATTGGCGATCACAGTGCTTAATTGATAACTTGTTGTGCAAATGAAAAGTGAAAATGCAGGTAAAATCCTAAGCTCAGTCACATAGAAAGCACTTAGTGTCAGTCAATATTGCAATATGATGATGCCAATATTGTTAATGATAACCTTTCTAAGTTGGAGTGACCTCACCTAAAAATAGTACCTCCATCACTGAGCCTATGGTAATTACACGAGATAGTATGAGACACTTAGCACTTTCTGGGTACAAAACAATAGTGAGTAACATTTACCCAAGACTTTATTTTGTAAATGCCTCTCTTCCATCACTACTGCCTCACTTGGGGCACCTGGGAGTATCCAGGTTGAAGATGCGGGCTCAACCCAGGAGTCAAGCAAACAATTTCTAGTTTTTGGGATGCCTTAAACAAAACCGTGAATCTCTAAGCTCCTCAGGCTGGAAATGGCTCACTGCTGGTGGAATCATTAAGAGTGCCAGCCAGATCTGATTGCTGCATTCAGAGGTTTATTAATATCACCTCGAATTTATCTTCCCTGATGAGGAAATTTTGCCAGCATCTGACAAAAATGAAATGTACAGCGGCCTTGTGCCAACAAGCATCCTCTCCCTGCCATCGGCTGTTAGCAGAAAGCCAGTGCAGTGGGCTGCTATGGGGCTAATAAAAATATAAGATGAAAATGGGCTTCGCATCTTCAATTAGGAATTTGGGCTTCCAACCCTCCTCCTGAGGCTCCCTTCCCCACAACCAGGCTATGATAATAAATTTCAGAACCTCATCTCCCTCTGCGAGTGTGGATTCTCTCCCCAACTAATCCTCCAATACTCATCTGAGCATAACACTCCCGATGAAACCACACTTGTCCCTTCTAAACACTTCAATGAATTCCCTTATCTTCCAGTCTGGAATGTAACCACAAAAGAATATCAATGAGAGGCATGAGTGGAGCTGGCTACAAATGAAACGTGAACAAAATCTTGGTGGAGTGCAATAGGGTTTCAGCAAGAAGGATCCCAGGTTGCACTTCCCAGGTGGAAGTGGGTTCCTTAGACTACATTCGGTGAGTCAGGTGGTCACCTGTGGCCAAGTGGAAAGACCCTTCAAGGCCAAGGAACCAGACAATGTCTTCAAGGCAGTCTTGAGTTATCCTGCTGGGGCCTGGCAGTTGGCAGTCTAAGTGGTAGGGGGTGATTGGGAAGGCACTACAGGTACGTGACGCTGTGTGATAGAGTCAGGAGCAAGGAGCTTTGGAAGCTTCTAGCGCCAAGGCACCTTCAGTCCATTATAGAATGTCCAGTGTCCCCATTTTATGAATGAGGGCATGACCCAGAAAGAAGTCACTTGTCCAGGGTCACACAGCAAGTCAGGGTCGCAGGGCTAGAGCTAGAATGCATATCTGGCTTCTCTGACCAGCAGTCTTTCCCCCAGACCATATCCCTACTTTCCTTTATGTGGTTAACTTTAATTAAGCTCTTTCTACCTACCAAGCACACCCCTAAGCAGTGGGTGTCCTCCTTTGACCTTCATAACAATCTCGTGAGAAAGATCCTCTTGGTGCTTTGGTTTGACACTTGCATCTTGGGGATGGGAAAGTTTAAATGACTTGCCTAAAATTATTGGCTGAGGTGGTGGGTTCAGGGTTCCAGCATAGATAGCCAGCTCTAGAGCCTTGCTTGTAATAAGCAGGCTAAACCAATGCTTCTCAAAGTGGGGTGCCTGGAGGAGCAGCGTTACCTGGATCTTAGAGGTGCAGATTCCTGAATCAGAAACTCTGAGGGTGAAGCCAACCCTCTGTGCTTGAACAATCCCTCCAGGAGAGTCCCGTGCAGGCTCAAGCTCAAGTTTGAGTTGGTCTAAACTACTTAAGCTGGTAAATCTTCTGTATTTTACAACGAGTCTTCCTTTTCATGCTTTGTAAACCAAATTGCTGACTTCCCAAACCTGAGGACATTTCCAAGGTCATCGTTACCTCTCAGCAGCCCATTTTCAGGTGGCCTCTTTTAACTGTGGGATTCTTTAGGAAGACTGAGATTGGCACAGGTTCCCTGCTGCCCAGCAGGGCTCCTGAGCTTGAAGACAGCAAAATTGGTGTTGTTGAACCTTCTGTTGGCCAGAGGGGATTTTGAGAGTCCTGTCTGCTATCACGTGGACTTGGAAAATTTGGTCCAGTCAAGTGGAAAATTAATAAACCAGAAAGGAAAGGGACACAGTATTCAAGACACTAAATGCTCATTGCAACCAGGGAGCCTCCAGGTTTCTAAGCATTGCTCTTCTGAATCCCACACTGGAGATATTTTCCTCTTAATTCAATAGATGTTTATCTTGCGCCCACCAATGCTGAGTACTTTGCTTAGCACTGGGAATATAAAGATGAAGGGATGTGGTCCCTGCCCACAGAGAACCCACAGTCTAGAATGATTATGTGGTGATGGGATCCTCCACTGGGGAAAATGCAGTGGCTTTTACTTGATGCAGTTTATGATGTTTGGTTAATAGAATGTCACATAAAAACAAATCCCCTGATTATCCCACTGCCAATGGGTGGCACTGCATTCTAATAAAGGCAGCACTTCTTTGGTGGTGTGGGGGAAAAGAATTGCAGCCCAGTGCAGGAGAGCCTGATGAAGACTTTATTATTTAATGAACCATGTCATATGAACAGCTGTGGTGTAAACCAGCCAGGACAATTATGCAAGTTGGATTATGTCTCCAGTAAATTGATGCTACTTTATTTGATTAGGTTGGTTCTCCAAAGACAAATTCTTCCAAGTTGGGTTGGGGGAAAAAAATCACCATTCTAACTTTGCTTCTGACTTTCAATCTTCAGATTGCTTTTGCTTTCTAATCCTAAGAGGAAACAAACACAAGATGGCAGCTATGTTGTTATCATCAACAGAACCGAGAATAATCACGTATCTGTAATAGTTATCAGCATGCTCTGTACGAGACTCACACTGTCTTTTCTCAATGAGCTTGCCTGGGGGGCAATAAGAGACAGGCAGGAAACTGTGACCATTCCTTTGTGAGTCCCCAAAACAGCCTGGCTGCAGCTCACTAAGCCATTGTCTTCCTTTACACACAACCAAACGTAGGCACATGGCTAAATAAACATAATGAAAAGAAATGGGCTTGGTGTGAAATTCTTCCCAGATGCCCTTCCCTGCCTTTTCAGATTATTAGGTACTATCTAGTTCAGTGTCACTGTGGGTCATGGTCCATCAGTAGCTTGTGAAATCTATTTAATGGGTCATCACCAACATCATAAGAAATGAAGCAGAATAGAATAAAACATCATAGTACATCCCATTATATATAGTAAAGGTAAACATTGCTTCGTGTGTGTGTGTGTGTGTGTGTGTGTGTGTGTGTGTGTGTGTGTTGGGGGTGTGGTGGTGTCTTCTGAACCATGTTGTAAAGTACATTTCTTCCTGAGGGTTGTGGTCAAAAACATTTGAAAAATACTATTAGTTCAAGCTGTTTATTCACAGACGAGAGGGCAGGGATGATGAAATTACCCTGCTAGGTGGATGCAGGCTTTTGAACAGATAATGTGAGAGCTTTTAGGAAGAGAGTTGGTGAGCACCAGGAGCTAACATGGGTTCACCTCAGCCATCACCCAGACAAGCTTCAGACCAGACTCAAATGTGATGGTCTTCATGCCACACACCAGGGGTCATGAATGGGCTGGAACTTACATAAACACAATCAAGATGGATAACGAGCAGGTACAAAGCAACATCTTAGGAGCAATTGTTAGGATAACTAGAACTATTCCTGCTCTTCTCCAAGCCATTCAGCAGGGGCGCAATTGACATTCTAAAATCTTTGAATGTTTGTCATGTGGAAAATGGAATCGATCTCATCTCTATGGCCCCAGCACTTAGATGGGTGTTTTGATCTAGGAAACATTTTCTTTTTCTTTCTATAACATCTCTGATTTGCCCTAATTCCTGCAGCCAGACAGTCTGTAAGTGAAACAGGCTGCTTCTGGATGAAATTCATTTCCTGTAACAAGAGGGGATCAAAAAGGAAAATTATTTGTCCCTGATGTGGCCTCTGAGGGCAGTGAAAATCACTGGATGAATGGTTAGATTCATCAGTGGCTTTTGGCCTTAAGACACTGTACACCCAATAGACACACACTCATGCCCTGCAAGTACAAGCCTAATTTTCCTGTACTCACCTTTACTACATGTGATGTACTTTGATAGTTTCTATTCTGGAATATTCTATTATTTCCTGCTAGTTCCATCTCATTCCATCCCACTCCACTCCACTTCATTTCATTCCATTCTCATTTCATTTATAAAATGACGGTCAGGACTCATGAAACTGATCTCATGGTCCACTAATAGGTTGCAACCTGTGATTTTAAAAATACCAGATTGGGTTATATTCAAATTCCCTTTAACCCCCAAATCCTGTGAGTCCAATGTAAATTGCTACTACAGTATTAGGGTACAAAATTCTGTGCACAGCAGGCTCACAGATAAAGTTTTTGACAAACTGAAAACCATGTGTTATTAATTCACTTACTCATTGATTCACTTCCTCATCCATCCCGTTCATTACTTACCATGTGCCAGGTACTGTGCTAGGCCACATTGATATAAGGTAAATAAGACACAGCCCCTGTTCTCAAAGAGCTCTTGGTTACAGGGACACTGATTAGGTTTCCTGGGGTTGCCAGGATCCTAGCATCTGCTTTCCCTGAGTTTCCTTGGAAGGAAGGTCCCATGCATGACACATCCTGTTCGCTGTTCTTGGGTGACGTATGTAGCCCTAAAGTCTTGGCCCAGTAGCAGAGAATTTCACATCCTTCAGTAAATAAAAACCAAAGTCAAAATGAACATATGCTAGAAAACAGAGACTGGCAGTGCTGTGAAGGCCCTGTCCCCTCATGGACTCTGTCGTGAGTGGCTTAAGGGGAAGAGAAGTGCTCCTCTTACCGGCATCAGGAGCCCTAATTACTGTTGTATATTGATTCCTTTCTTCCGCAGACCGCTAATCCTGCAGAGCAACTTGCAGGGCATAATAATTGGGATTGCCCAATGCTGGGAGCTAATCAGATTTCTTATGTGTAGACCAGCTTTATGCTAGCGTTTAAGGAAGCTCCTGATTCAAGCACAGAAATGAACTGTTTAACCATTTCCGAGCCAGAGATGAGCCATCACAGACCAACGCGGAGTCTGATAGGTTAGGGGTGAATTGCGCTGGAGAGGCTGAACGTTTCTTAAAGTCCACTGGCAACAGGAAGTCCTCAGAAGTCCAATTTGTTGTTGTTCCTCCCTGAACTTCTGGATTTCTGAGGATGGTTGTGAGAGTGGCCGTGTGTCAATTTTTAAATCATGTGGTAATTTGTCCATGATTGTTTATTTTGTCCCCCAGCAAGATTGTATACTCCAGAAAAGGGGTAGCTGACCTACTAGGTGAAATCATGCTGTAGTTCTGAGTTGCTGCTTCTTCATGCATACAATGGAAACAAGTACACCCCCACCAGGCTCATGTGGAGGGCTCAGTGACTAACCTGGCCCTCAGCTATCCCCTGCTACTCCCATAAAAGCTAGCACTGGGCATGTGGCTTGTACTTCCAACAATGAGTACTCCCTTTTCTCCCCTAAATCCAGCCCTGGAAGCATTGCCGTGTTTTTATGCCTCTTGGCATTCTTTATTTTTTGAGACAGAATCTCGCTCTGTTGCCCAAACTGGAGTGCAGTGTCACGATTTCAGCTCACTACAATCTCCGTCTCCCAAGTTCAAGCAGTCCTCCTCTCTCAGCCTCCCAAGTAGCTGGGATTACAAATGTGCATCACCATTCCCAGTTATTTTTTGTATCTTTAGTAGAGATGGGGTTTCACCATGTTGGCCAGGCTGGTCTCGAACTCCTGACCTCAGGTGATCCGCCTGCCTTGGCCTCCCAAAGTGCTGGGATTACGGGCATGAGCCACCGCGGCCGGCCATCTCCTGGAATTCTTTGTCCACTTTTCTGTCCTTCCTCTCTTCCCTTCTCTCATGCTACACTCCTCTTTCCACTTTTGGTCAATCAGCCAAAATTACAAGTACTTTTCCAAACCTTGGGGTATTGGAGTCCATGGCTCCTGGCTGCTGTGCATGGTTTCCCCTTTTCCTGGGAAGCTTCTGTCCCACTCCCTGCCCCTCACCTCACCCTAGCACTCTTCATACCAAACAAAATGACCTTTCTGGGTGTTCTCCCTGGAGTTCCTTCGCTTGCGCAGTCATAGCAGGCTAGCGCCTAGTGGGCTGTGTGCATCTGAATTGCAGGTTGAATCCAACAACATCAGTGAGGTGGGAGGCAAGTGGCTGGGTGCGGTGCCATGACATTCTGGCTCACCTGTCATGTTGGATGGCTTGTGTGAGCCCCAGGAAACCCGTGCACCCTTAGGAAAGCATGGGATAGATCTCCTGAGATGATTTCAGAGAAATGACAGCAGACCATTGTGAGGGAGGCAGCATGACTGGGGGAATGGATAAGGCTTAGGTCCCTGAGAGGCAGATCCACTCCAGCCTTGCGGAATGTCATGCTCCTGCAGAGGGCTGCAAGAAGAGGTGAACCCATTCCCAATCACTGGCCAGGTTAGACAAATCATTGGATTCTGGGACATCAGAGCTGAAATAGCTTTATTGGATCATCTCTGGCCCAGCTCGCTTGCTCTCTCTCTCAATCTCTTGATCTTTTTTATTTATTTATTTTTTTAAATGATAAAAACAAAGTTCAGAGCTGGGGCATAACTTGTCCAAGGTCACTGAGAGCTGTAACCATCAACATGTGGGGCAGCAGCTGCCTGGGTTTCAAAGAAAGGGGACTTGCTGCCATTCCTCCTCCCCCTAGTTGCCACTGTCTTCTCATGGGTTTCCTTGTCCTTCCCTGGTGCCGAGAAGCAGGGAGGAGGGAGCATCTGTTGCCATGGAAACAAGCCTATAGTATGAGTTCGCTCTCCCCAACTGGCTGTGGTTTCTCTGACAGGGGCTGCTACTGGTCCTGCTGTTGGGCCCTAATGGGGACTCAGGGACCACCACTGTATTTGCCAGGGGAGAAAGCTGGAGGAGCAGCAGACATCCCCTAACATGAGTTGTGCAGGCTTGGTAATGTGGAGTGGGCATGCATTGTGGTGATTCTTCTTGCTTTTTTAAACCAATTTCTCCTCTGCTGGAGACTCTTCACAGAATTTAAGAGTCTTTCTCAGAAGGTGATCAGCCTTGGACAGACTTTGGTCTTCAGACCCCAGAGCCAAACTTTTGAACTGACAGCAGCTGTGGCCAAAAATGGTGTTTGTCAGACCTGCAGGAAGAAAATCTGCAATGAAGAGTTGGAGTGGTAGGAAAAGAGGAAAAAGAGGGAACTTGTTTTGCCTTCAGACATATTTAAGTCTCCTAAGTACTTCAGGAGTTAAAATGGGGCTTTGAAAATAAATAGACTTTTCTGTTCATGTGGGGCTGAAGTGTTCCAGGGTTGGAAAGGGTTTTATTAGGTCATTTCATCTCTCCCTCTGTCTCTGGGCCTATTCTAACCCCTCTTACTTATAAAAATCGCAGAAGAGGGTGATTTCATAAGCTGCCACGACAACTTGTTCCGCTAACAATTCATGATCTTAAAACAATCTCCATAGCAGGGAGAAATTCCTCCTATTTCCTCCAAAGCTCGTCTGTCTGCGGGCCAAGGCTGCTCAGAGGCAGCTGGGGTTTTAAGAAGTGAGCTCTGGACTTGGATTTAATGGTCTTTGTTCAAATACTGTTATTGCATCCTTGAACAAGTCACATAACTGCTCCAAGCCTCAGTTCCTTAATCTGAAGAGGTTAGTGTGAAGGGGAGAAAAAGTAACATATGTTAATGTGCCTAAGATGGTATCTGGCACACAGGAATGCTTGTTAGATGTGTGGTGTGGCTTTGGGCTGACTAGGATCACCATGGTATGGGCACCTTTTGGATCGAGATCTCAGAAATTAACCCTTTGGTTGTTGGATCATGGGGTTGGGATGGGGGATAGGCACTGCAGCAGCAGGGGCAGCTGAGGGGGCACTCCTAAGTCAAGGCCATTGGCTGTTTACCAGCCGGTACAAAAGGTTTCAATATTTGAGAGACTGGTTTAGTTGTACTAGTGCACGCTGTCTAAATTATCATCCCTAGTGGTTCCTTCAAAGACGCTAAGCACATTCCTGACTCCACTTCTTTGTTTATGCCACTCATGTCCCCCCATGCCTTCAATGCCTTTACAAATCCTCCCAACCCATGAAAATCCAACTCAAATTCTGCCTCATACATGATGCAATTCAGCACCAAACCCATAAATCTCATGCCCCACAAGCTTTATCCAGGCTGGAAGAGAGAAGAGGAGAGGTTGTTTCTGTGTGGCTGATTGAGCTGTTGGCTGACTCAAGCAATCACAGAGCCTCAGGTATCATTCAACCTGCAAATTATAGATGAGGAACTGAGACCAGAGAGGCTGTGGGACTCATCCCAGGCCATCTTAGTCATCAACAACAGGTCTAGAGCCTTGGTCTCCTGACTCTCTGCCTATACTTCTTGTCCATGACTGAGGCTGTTCCTTGAGCCTGGAATGAGAACAGAGTCGTCCCCCACCCTACCAGCACTCCTCCTACCCAGCACTTGCTTGCTGAGTCACACGGAGGGAGGTGGGTAGGGGGAAAATATATATTTGCCTGGAGAACACACCAGTCTGGAAAAGTGAAGCCAGCCAGGTTCAGTGTGGGTGGAGTCTCCCACCAGGGATCCCACCCTAGCACTAACCAGGGTTGAGGTGCTGGGGAAAATGAAAAGCATTGGTGTCTTTCTGACCCACCTAGGTGAGTGACCAACTTTAAGCCATGTGTCACAACGTGGCGGTTTTACTGTTTATTAGAACCTTGCTTGGCTTAGCTTTTGTAGAACTTGGCTTTTAAATAGAAATTCCTTATACTAACTTGTTCTGCTGTCAGGGAGATGCTGGCCAGCCTCGAAGCACCTGGTATATAGAGACATCTGGAGAGCGTACTTCAGGCTGGGAGGCTTTGAAGTAGATGGTTGTGGGCTCGTGTGTACATGTATGTCTATGATCCCCTTTGCTGGCTGCAAATTCTGTCATCACATCATGGAAAAATTCTTCTTAAGGAAAGTTGCAGGTGCAAAGATGCTGATGTTGGATCAACCGAGGAAATACAGTTTTGGTCACAAAAGTGGTATTTATGCACTCTGCCGGCACGTGGTTGGCCCAGATGGCGAAAATACTGTTGAGATGGCCGGGCTCCTTTGGGTAAGGGAAATACAGGGCTTTAAGAGCAGTAGGGAACAGTGAAGGATAGAGAAGCTTGATGCTTTGGAGCTCACAGGATCAGAGTTCAAATCCTGACTTGGCGGCCATTTTAGCTGTGTGGCCTTAAGCAATTCTCCAGCACCTTGAGCATGCTTTATGGGTAGGGGCTCAGTGTTAATTTGGGATTCTTTCTCATGAGGATCTCAAAGATAACTGTAGCTGGGTATCTCAGGGGAATATGGCCCACAGTTTTGAGTCCTCCAGCCTCAGACATCAGAGTAGACTCAGGGCAGGTAATGTATGTGTGATGGTGGACACACATTATCTGCATGGCGGTGGAGAAACCTGCACATGAGTGATCCCTCATGCTGCCATTTTGGTCATGTCTCAGTGTTAGGAAACTTACAGCTGCTTTGCTTCATTTCCTGACAAGGCGGCAGCTGGAATTGTCGACTTTGCTGTTATCTGGAACAGCTGCTGGGATTTAATAGTGCACTTAGAGGAATTACCTGGAATCACAGCAGGCATTATGAAATGGGAATGCATTTCTGTAAGCCCATCTAATGTTTGAGGGCAAGAGAGCAGGGGCTTTCCCTCCATAGTGAGTGAGACATAAAAGGGACTGGTTTGTCTGGGATGTTGCCCTCAAGATGAGCAATCATTTCATCTGGGCTATGCTCAGCATGGCACTCAGCTTGGGCAGTGTGTGAACTTCAGTGACAAGGTCTGCTTAGGGGACCTATTTTCAGATCAATTGCTCAAGAAAGCCACCATCTCTGGGCACCTGGGGAGTGACAGCCATCTTGGCTAGGACTCAAGGGCAACTCTAGATAGTTCAGTGCTGAGCCTGTCCTCCCACTCACTCCTCTCTGTTGGTCTGGCATCACCAGACTGGCATTTTCCTCTCTTCTGGGCCCAGTCAATTCACTTCTTTCTCTGATATTTAGTAGGTGCTCATCTACAGCACCTTGTCGCTGGGTATGCTGTGCTTATCTTAAGGTGGCTTAAAGTCTTTTTGGAAAACAGGTTAATGAACATGCAATTATTAGACAACAATGGCAGCCTAAGTTGTGATTCCAAATTGAATCTAAGCAAGGTAGAATGAGATGCTTCTCAACGTACAATGGTGTTACATCCTGATAGCCCATCATAAGTTGAAAATATCATAAGTTAAAAATGTGTTTAGGCCGGGTGCAGTGGCTCATGCCTGTAATCCCAGCCCTTTGGGAGGCCGAGGAGGGTGGATCACGAGGTCAGGAGATCGAGACCATCCTGGCTAACACGGTGAAACCCCGTCTCTACTAAAAAAATACAAAAAAATTAGCTGGGCGTGGTGGTGCGCGCCTGTAGTCCCAGCTACTTGGGAGGCTGAGGCAGGAGAATGGCCTGAACCTGGGAGGTGGAGCTTGCAGTGAGCCAAGATCGCGCCACTGCACTCCAGCCTGGGTGACGGAACGAGACTCCATCTACTGAACATCATGGCTTAGCCTAGCCTTAAACCTTAAATGTGCTCAGAACACTTACATTAGCTCATAGTTGGGCAAAATTATCTAACCCAACACCTATTTTGTGATAAGCGTTGAACATTGCATGTAATTTATTGAATATTGCACTTAAAGTAGGAAACAAAATGGTCGTATGGGTACTTGAAGTACAGCTTCTTCTGAATACCCATTGCTTTTGGAGTATTGTAAACTCAAAAAATCATAAGTTGAGCCATTGTAAGTTGGGGACTGTGTCTGCATGTACAGGGATGATATAAATGCCCTTGGAGCTTGGAAGAGGGAGAAATTTCTGAAGGCCAGAAGAGACTGGCTTTGGATGAGCTATGTAAAACCAAAACCCTTGTAGCCTTGTTGGGATTCAGGGAGCCATGCCCCTTCTGCTGATCTTGCAATTGATGACCTTTGAACTGAGGCAGTAGTAGAGCTTGGGTTAAATTAAAGGAAAGGGATTCTACCTCATGTGTTCTTTTGCAAGTTGAGAGTGTCAACTGGTCTGGGGATGACTTGAGCTGCGTGTGCTATGTTGCACTGGTGAGGTGGTCACTTGACCTCGTACCAATACTGGCTTCTGAGTGGCTTCCAGGTATTGACCTTGGCTAATGAGATTGGATTCAAAGCATTTGCAAGTGCCAGTAGGTCAGTGATCACCATTATCTACTGTGCACCTCCTAAATGCCCTGCCCTTTTTGCGTAAGCTGGGTCTGACAGCCCTAATCGGTCCTACCTCCTAGATAGCACTGTGGCCCATTTATTCTTACCTAGTTCAGGCCACCATCACTTCTTGTGTAGACAACTGCAATAGTGTCCTACAAATCTGCTGACATTCCCTCCTAAACACCCCCTCTCTGTCAAATCCATTCTTCTAACTGCGGCTGGTAGAATCTTTCTAAGATGGTTTTCTGATCATGTTAATTCTTTTCTTAAAACTCTTCATTTATTTCTATTGCACTTGGAAGAAAACCTAATCTTATTATATCCTATATGTGTTGTCTGACCCAGAATTTTTGTCATTCTTTATTTGATACTCATGTGGCTCAACTGCAACAGCAGCAAACAGCTGGGCTCTACCCATGTGGATCCCTCTACTTGGAATGTCTCTCCTCTTCTCCCTTTCCCCACCTTTTGCTTAGCCTCCACTTACTCATCCTTCTTGGGCATCACCCCTACCAGATCAGGTTAGCTGCTCCTGTTCCACAGCTCATAGCTTGCTGTACTTTCCCTTTGCATTCCCTAATGAACCCCCATGTGTTATCCATGTAGTTTTCTGTTTAGTGTCTGTCTCCTCTTTCCCTTTCAGGGACCCTTGCAAGGTCCCTGAGGGCAGAGACCACCCCCATTTTGTTGGCTACTGCTCAAGACCTAGCACAGAAGCCTGCAGCTCAGCAGGCTCTCAGGGCATGTTTGTAGAGGCAGTGGCTGCTTTGGGGTTTCCAGAGCTTCCTTGGGAGGTTTCTTCTGTGTGTCCCATTGACCAGAGCACCACTGGGGGTGAAGTGAGCCCCAGACATCTTTAGGTTTCCATCTTTAGGTGAGCTTTATGCCCAGGCACGTAGCAGAAGAAACTGTTTCTACTCATAAACCAAGCAAATTTATAGTGGAAATCAGTGGGAGAAAATAAATATGAATCCCCATGATGTCATTTTATGGGCTGCTTTATAGATTGTAATCACCCATTTAGAGTTTGCAGGCTATTAATTTTGTTTGCGCAGAGCCTCAGGACTCTTGGGGACAGAATTTACAGGGCTGTGGTGTCAGACACGTGGTTCTAGGTCTTAAACCCCTGAAAGGTTTTGGAAAGAGAATGACAGGTAGCCTATGGAGCAGCTGGGGCTTAGGGCTCTTTCCTCTAGCTTTCCTCCTGGACATAGTTTTAAAATATTTGTTCACTGTTTTATCATCTTAATTTTACCCTAGTCTTCAGGCCTGTCCTTTCCGTAAGCTAGGTGACTATGTGGGTCTTGCATTAAACCTTTGGTAGAGAGAGCTCCCCTCTGAGAACCTGAAGAGATGTAAAGAGGAACAGCACAAGGTCAGAGAGAACTGGGTAGAATCCAGCTCTACTCCTTGGCTTGTGATCTAGAGCCAATTTTCATTGTTGTTGTTACTTTTTTCAACCTTCGTTTCTTTCTCTATAAGTTGAGACCCATGCCCTCAACCTCAAAGGGTGATTATAAAGATAAAGAAGAGGAAATAGGAAAAGCATTTGGTACTCAAAATGAGTTATAGTTCATAAAATGACTATGACGATTGCTGTTTTAAGGTAAGCTGATAGAGTGGGAACACAGTGGAAACTAGGAGTCAGGGCACCTGGTCCCAACCCTGTCACTGATGTGCTGGGTGATTTTGGACATACTAGTTAGCCTCTCTGGTCCCAAATTCTTCATTGGTGAAATAAAATGTTTGGCTCAAAAGATTTTCAGACATGGTGCTTCTCAGTGTGGTCCATCGACCACCATCCCCTGGAGACTTGTTAGAAATGTAGATTCTCAGGTTCAGCCCCAGCTCTCTTGGCCCAGCAGTCAAAATTTTAACAAGCTCTCCAGGTCTCTGGTGGGCATAGTGAAGTCTGGGAAGCATTACCTTGGTTCTAGCACTCATGTCCGATATTGACTTCCCAAGCAGCAGTCACCTCTGGAGCCTTCCTCTTTGGGGTCTTGGACCGCAATGGCCTTTGGCAAGGAGTCTCTGCTGGATCTGTGCTGCACACGGGGTGTGGGAATCTCTGGGCAACCAGAAGAGCAGTAGTAACATCTTTAGGTAACTGAAGTCAATCCTGCCCACTGGGCAAATATTAATTGGTTGCTCAGGGCTGCACTGAGTTCAAATACTGAGCCACTCAGGGGCTTCGAACGACCAAGATCAGGCAGTTTTCAACCTGTGATCCACTTTTGGTAGATTTAAGGCAAAAGCAAATATTTTTTGCCATTTTTTCCCAAATTATTTTACCATTATGGCACGTGTTGCTCCTGCCTAGGAGATGCATTCCCCAGAACCAAGCAAACAAGAAGAAGGTCCTCCTTCAGTGGGCTGTCATCGATCATTCCCCGTTCCATGGCCACAGGACTGACTGCTGATGAAATCTAAAAGACCAGCTTGCAGAAGGCATGGAAATCCTGGGGTTAGGGGCCCCTCTGCTATGGAGGTATGACTCACAGTGGGTCAGGGAACCTGAGTGGGATCATCCCTGGAACTCAGAATCTCTAAGACACACTTATTGGCTCTCTATAAGCAATAACAGATGGCAAGATAATATTATTCTTCTAATCTTTTGCTAAAAACATTCAGTCATTTCTCAGGGGCCTCCCTAGTAGAGGAAGACACCTGCAGGGTATCTCATTCTTTCTTGTTCTCATTTTCCCTTCTACCATTTTCCCCTTAGTATATTTCTGGCCCTATGTGCAGGAAATCAGGTAGCTGAGGTGTGGTTTAAGGGACCCATTGTGGTTCTTATGGCCCATCAACACAATTCCTTCGTGTTGGCCTGCAGTATCCATGTTTGTTACCCTTTTGGGTCAAGGCATGAAAACATCTGTCCACAATGCCAGTCTTACCTCTGATATCAAAGATAGTATCTGAGACGGGTGATAAACAAATTTAATGTGAAAAGCTGATGATGTTTTGAAGTCAGTAGAGGACGGAGCTGACAATGAGCGTCTTGCAATGAGTCTGTTCTCAATTTCATTGCTGATAAAGAGAAACAGTGTAGTGTGGTGGCGAAGAGCACAGACCCTGAAGCAAGAATCCATGGGCTCAAATTCTGAGTCTTTAAGTCTGTGGCCCAAGAATTCACATTTCTAACTGACTTCCTGGGTATGCTGATGCTGCTGGTCTGCAGGTCACACTCAGGGTGGCAAGGTCAGGCAAGGTCAGAGCACAGCATGGGAGGGACTGTGCTGCCTGTAGTACACAGTGGAAGGTGGAGGAAGCCCAGGGGTGACATGGCTTACTTATATCATCTATGAGTTTTTTGTTTCCTTTAGGAAATTTACTGAAACATTCTTCATTGCAAAGTATAAAAACAAATATAAAATATTCAATGGGTATTAGAAAATCAGGTATACTCTGTTTACCTATGGGTTTTTCTAGAATGGGGTTAAGGGTGGGAAAGTGATGGGAGACTTAAGTAGTAGAAGTCTATCAGAGGCCCCTTCAGATTAGGAAATGCCCTCAATGGGCTTCAGTATCCTTTATGAGATAATGCATAAGTGAGTGGACCCTGAGGAGAGGAGAGAAGAACAAGACCTTCCCCTAAGGACTATACAAGACATGTACCCATGGAAAGATGGATGCCATGATACAGTGACCCTGTGAGACAGTACTGGTGGAGTCAATATGAATAATGGGAGAAGGAACATTCACTTCTGTCCACTCTTCTAAATGCCATCGTAAATGAGCTCATTTAGTGTTCAGAGCAGAGTAGGTATTATTATTTCCACCTCAAACATGGAGAAACTGAGGCCAGAGAGGTTAGTAATTTTCCCAAGGCTACACAGCTGGCAAGTGGTAGAATGGGGATTTGAACTCAGTGATACAGCAGGAGGTAGACAAATCCCTAGGCAAACACAGGTGAGTCCCCAGTGAAACCCCCCCCTGCAAACCAAAGCCAGTTTAAAGTCTGAAAGCCAAGCTACAAGTCTTGGATAAATCCACAGACTGGATTGAGAACCTCTCTTCCCATTTGGCATGCTTTCCTCTGATTAACCCCCACCTCTTCACCTATACCCACCCTTCCCCAATTGGTTTTTACACTGTTGCCTTTTTTTGCATACTCACAGACCAATCAGTATCCATCCCCTTTCTGAGCCCATAAAAACCCTGGACTCAGCCACACTGGGACACAGAGACTACCTGACTTTGGGTGGTAGACAATTCTCACGTCCCCTCTCTGCTGACAGCTGTTTCATCAGTTAATAAAACTTTTCACCTTGCTCACCCACTGGCTGGCAGCATAACCTCATTCTTTTTGAATGTGGGACAAGAAATTGGGACCCTGGAGAATGTGGGGGCTGAACAAACAGTCATGGTAGCTGTGAGATCTGCACCGGAGTAGTCAGGGTGTCTCCTACAGTGGGCCTGGACCCGAGCAATGCTTGTAGGGGGAATTGGCAGCTGCAAGTCTGTGGCCCACAGAGTGACCAAGAAAAACTGCATCATCAGGACTGGCCACAGGACACCATTAATTAAGTGCTTAAGGAGCAGTATGGGGGTGGGCAGCAACCCAGGGATGCAAAAAAGAGAGGATTCTCAACCAATAGCTCCTGGAGCTCAGAGAAGCAGCCCCTTTCCCAGGTCTGGATCCATGGATTGGGAGCAAGTTACTCCACCATTTGGTGGAAGGAAGCTTGGAAATCAGAGGGACCAGGGCTAAGTCCTAGGTCTGCTGTTTACTATCTTTGTGACCTTATGCGAGCCTGATTCTAATCTCTGTCTCCCCACTTACTGTGAGAAGGAAGTTAAAGGAGATGGCATGTGTAAAGGGCCCATCCAACATGTAGGACATGGCGCACCCCTAATATTTGGCAGCTTGTCTCCACTTTGCCCATTCCTACTCCCAAGCCTTGGAGTCTGAGATGAGAGGTCACTCCACCTGGCTTTAGTTGGGTTTGTTTTGAGTCCCCATAGGCTCTCTGGGACTCTGCTTTCTGATGGGTTGAAAACATTAGGCTGTTGTGAGATGCTTCCATTACTGTGATCTAAAAGCATCTAGGATGCCTAGCGTAGCTTTCTCACTGGATTGCCAATTTCTCAGAGAATTAAACATTTAGTGCCCAATCAGATATTTTTCTATCTGCATACATGTGGAAATGTATGCTTACCCACCTCCGGGGCGTCAATTGAAGTGCAGTTGAAGCCAACTCACTAATTCTCCAGTGCATGGTAGAATCTTCGTGGTTGGTGAAATGAGTCATGTGTATGATTTGATGGACTGTATCTATGAAAGTAGAAGATGGAGAGGAAACAAGGTCTGCCATAAAGAAAAGAGCTTGGTATGGATGCAAGAGGAAAAAGAAGGGGGAAATATAATCCTTCAAAAGTCCATCAAGTTTACCTAGAAACAGATTTACTTAAAAGTTTTGAGAAATTTATTTCTGATGATGATCCTTATGAGTCACTATTTCTTATGGAATCAAGCCAGCATAAAAGTTATCTTGCATTCTCAGCATAGCTAGTTTAGAGAATTAGGTCATTTGTAAGTCAAAAGATTTCTACAAAGTTCAAAATAAATAAATTCCAGGTATCTGAGCTTAAGATGGCTGGGAAGAAGGACTCCATTTGAGGCAGGTTTTCTCATTTCCCAGCTTAGAATTGCCTTCAAGGTCTTTTTCTTTATCTCAGAACAACAAAGACACTGCCTGAGGAAGAACCTCTGCTTTATTATGGTGTTCTGCAACCTAAGTCAGTGAAGTTTTGATTCTCCTGGAAGAGGCTGGCCAGCTACTCATTAGCTGCAGGGATTGAGGGGATTTCAGGCATCAGATGGAGGTGGGGACAGACTGGAGCCAGAGTTCTTGATTCCACTGCATGTTACAACCATCTGGGGAGCTTTTAAAAATGCTGATGCCCGGGCCTCACTTCCATTAATGGAATCAGAACCTGTGGGGCCAGCGAGTGCCCTAGGATTTCTGTGAGCAGCTCGGGCTCAGAACCACTTGTTGGATGCTCCCTAAGGATCTGGCAAGGATTTTATGAGTTTAGGTTTGAGAGCACCTGAAGGAGTCCAGAGGGGCTGGAGAAGAAAGGAGATGGTGGCTTGGTAGGCACCTACATCCCCAGGGGTGCTGGTAGAGACTATGCTGCAAAATTACCCAGGAAGAAGTGAGTCTTTAACATTGCAGCCATTACTATGCATGAAATGGTAATTAAAAGACCATATTTTCTTAACTCAAATACGTTGATGAGAAAGATGCACCATTGATTTAATACCTGCTGTTTTGGAGGATGCGGTGGGAGAAAACTCTATTAAGTATGTATTAACATATGGACTGATTATAAGATCTCAGTTTCACAAATCATTTTATGTTGGAAAATGTGCTTCTTGAAACTGATCTAACAACATAATGATAGAGTGCCTTATATGGATTACTCTGCCTAGTCCTCACAACAACTCTACCTGTGAGATAGATGCTAACATCCTCCCCATTGTATGGGGGAGGGAGTTGAGGCACAGATTGAATAGCTTATTCAAAGTCACAGGTAGTCCAGAGCTGGTCAGTGATGGGACTGGAATTCAAAGTGTGGTTTTCAGAAGTAGCCCACAAAATGTAGTGAGATCCAAGGCTGTTGCTTTCTCAGGTCTCTTACCTTCCCCAGAGCCAGGGAGGTGGCTTTCCCTTAATCAGGGTACCGAATCTCCCAAGTGCAGGGGCGTCCTGTCCACTGGCTCTCATGCCCTGCACAGGGTACCTGGCTTAGGAAGTGAATGGGAATGAAATCTGGCTTGAAGTCCCTTAGCAGGCCCTGAGGCCAAGGGATTATTTTTTCTAATGCCACAGAGGCTCAGCATGAGCTGATGGAGCCCAGCCCAGGGAGAGAAGCCACACTGACTGGGCTGAACAGTGGACACAGCCTCCCTACCACGCCTGGTGGTTCTTTCACCTTTCTGAGCACAGCATGTTAGAGAATCACTCTATTGGGTTTGTCTGATGATACGGGACCAGGGAGAAGGAATTGGAGAGCCTTGTAGCTCTGGGGACCTTGATGCTATGCCTTTAGGACAAAAGCCCCTACTTCCCATGCCAGTTTGCCCCAACAGCATGGCAGAAATGGAAAAGGGGAGTGTAGGCTGAACAGGACCTTTGGAAAACACCAGGTTCTGATTTCCAGACCCTCGGTCTTCTTGTGCAGGCTTTCCCCCTCTTTGTTTTTCCCTTTTCTCAAATTCCTTGACGTGGTGGCAAGCTGAACCTCTTAGAGCTGCGTTCCAGAACAACCTGGGTAATGGAAAGTACAAAAACAACTTAAACTTGTTTCCAAAGCTTGATAGGTTACACCGACTTCTCAGAAAGTGTCCATTTGGACCCAAAATGTGAAATAACATTTTGAGGCACGTTGGAGGGGGGCCAGAGGGTTACGCAGCTGCAGGCGTGGGCCAGATGGGAAATCCAGATGCTGGCCTAGGGAGCAAGGTCCCTTCTGCTGCTCATGCAGGCTGTCAAAGCAGCAGCCTCCTTAGGACCCTCACTGCAAGCTTTAAAATGTTACTCCTTAGGGAGAATTTCAGATGGGAGGGAAGGCTTAATCAATACATGCAACGTTTAACTGGCATTAGAATGATGTTTTGTTTTGTTTCTTTTAATGGGAGATGATGGGTGGTAGTAGTAAGTCAGGGAGGGCGTTGCAGGGTGTGGTCTTCAACTTTCCCCATCTTTATCACATGCCAAAAGTTGCTCCATTTCAGCATGCAAATCTAAATTTAAATAGTCTTCTGGCTTTTAAGAAAGCCCCCTAGCTCACCTGTGCAGTACGACTGAACTACTATGAAACCAGCACTGGTGAACATATATGTGTGGAAACACAACAACAACAAAATCAGTTGTTCAAAAGACATATTTATTATTCCTTCAGCAGAGAGGCCCATCTGATGCTCTGGGGCGCAGGTCCCATGAATGTTCAGGGCAGTCTCTGCCCAGGCCAGCTCCTTCCCCGATTGTCCACAGTGATGATCTCTTACAGACTGTCCTGCCTGCCCTGCACACAATGGGAGCCAGTCTGGAGGAAGGTTTGGTGGCCATCACTCTGGCGGGCACTGGAAAGAACTCTGCTGGATGCCGAGGGCCATTTCTCTCTGGACTTGCTGGTGTTCAGTGTGGAAGTGGGAGGGAAATCAAATGAGGGGACCTTTGGGAGGTCACCTAATGTGGTAGGACCTAAACTCAGCTGGGTATTGGAATCATCTGGAGATTTTTTTTTCAGTTAGGGTGCCCCCTCCTGCCTTATCACCATAGATCTGCAGTGCAGCCCAGACATCCATTTAAAATAAGCTGCAAGTTTGGGCACGGTGGCTCACACCTGTAATCCCAGCACTTTGGGAGGCCAAGTTGGGTGGATCACCTGAGGTCAGGAGTTCGAGACGAGCCTGGCCAACATGACGAAACCCTGTCTCTGCTAAAAGTACAAAGATTAGCTGAGCGTGGTGGTGAATGCCTGTAGCCCAGCTACTCGGGACGCTGAGGCAGGAGAATCGCTTGAGCCCAGGAGGTGGAGGTTGCAGTGAGCCGAGATCACACCACTGCACTCCAGCCTGGGCGTTGAGAGTGAACCTCTGTCTCAAAATAAATAAATAAATAAAATAAGCTCCCCAGGTATTTCTGAAGGTTCAGGTAGCCTTTCTCATTAGCCCGTTCCCCAGGATTCTTCTCTCAGTCCTTTTTGTTGACAAGCTCTCTCTGGTTTAGCAGGGGACACAAGGTTCAATTATTGTTCCATTCTTACGATACAATTCTTGGATCTGGTTTGGATATAAATGTCTAGGTTGCCAGTTTCTTGACAACTTCAAGGGCCTTGAAGTTGACTGGTGAGGAAAAGGCAAAGTAAATGCCTGAGGGATGGATACCAATTGCTGTCCCCAGGTTTAGTCAGCAACTTTTGCTGTTGCTCCTGGGTCTACTGTGTGCACTCCTTTGAGGGCCAGTTATCACACAGGTCTCCCTTTGGGTCTCCATCTTGGAATCCAGGCAGGAGAAATTAACCAGGAAATTAAAGACATCTTCCCTTCTCCACTCCTGTCATGTTTAGATCTTGGGAGTAAGGAGAGGAATGGGAGAGCAAACATAGCTTGGCTGGAGAAGGAGGTGGTTTTGATCTTTTCTTCTCCCCTTCCTTTCATAGGTAGAGGTCGTCTCCTTTATACCATCTGTCTTGGGGAGTAGTCACATTAATTATGCGTGTATTTAGAGCTTTACAAGCCTTGCCACCAGACGTGTGTAGTGCCTTACAGTTTACCAAATAGGTTCACATACTAATCTCTTTTGACTTAGTGAGATGATGACTCAGCTGGTTATAAATCATCAAAGCAGCACCATGGACCATGCATGACAACCATGGAGCTAGGGCAAAGCTGTTACTTGAATGAAGGAAAATGATAAAAGCTTATGTTCCCTGAGCCGCAAAAGAAAATAGCCGTAAAATTTCCATTGAGGCTTTTTCTGTTATATCTTTAGCTCTTTAAAAATCTCATATTGAAGATACCTAAGAAGTTTGGCAACAATGTCCTGTAGATGAAATGTGGGTGGAGCCAATTGATTGGGCTTCAAGTTGCATAATGTTGGGTATGGTGAGGCTATTTGGTTTGGCTCTACTCTTGGGACAAGAGACAGTGGGAATGTGTCCTTGTTTTGTAGTTCTCTGGAAGCCAGAGGAAGGTTATGATTATAAATTTAATCTCTCAGTTTTCTCTGTGTCTCAGCCTTCTTCACAGGGGGTAGGACCTCCGTCCTCACAAGTTACGGGGGTGGTCTCAGCTTCTGGAGCAATGAGGCAAGTCTGCACCCTGTTGGATGTCTTGGGTACAACCAGATTAATGATTCAAAGGCTGGGGGAAGTCCAGGCTCACAAACGGCTTTCCCAAAGCTCCAGAAGGAACTTTGTTCTTCTCTACATTCCCCCACCGCCCCCCCGCCCACACACCCAGGCATTCCTCTTAGATTTTATAATCTCTTTGGAGCAGATCGGCAGGTAGGACCTCTCATCTGTTTTTTTCATACCGCCATGTCATCAGCTTGATAAATGAGACAGACACATGCTAGAGTGGAGATAGCATTCTGTGAAGAGCATAGTGATGAGGCCAGATGGCTGCCAAGCTCACCCCAGTGTGGGTCTGGGATGGCAGTTCTATCCAGGAGACTGCTACCATCAGACCAACTAAGGGAGATGTTTTTCATACATCAGCTTTCATTGGAACTGATAGTGTTATGGAAAATCTGTCCTGTCCCCAGCAGAATGATCAATCAAGGGTGATGAGCCTCCACTTGGGTAAGCATGGCTGATGGTCCCCCTTCTGACACATGAATTAGTTGGTTTTAAAAGGTTTACCTCCATATTAGTTCCCTGTTGCTGCTGTAACAAATTACCACAAACTTAGTGGCTGCAACAATATAAATTTATTGTCTTACAGATTTGGGGGGTCAGAATCCCAAATCATCTCACTGGGCTAAAGTCAAAGTGTCAGCAGGACTGGAGGCTGGCTCTGGGAAGACTCTGCTTCCTTTCCTTTTCTAGCCTCTAGAGACTGCCTACACTTTTTGGTCCATGGCCCCTTCCTCACATCACTTCTTACTTTTGCTTCTGTTGGCACATCTTCTTCTCTGATTCTGACCCTCTACCTCCCTTTTATAAAGACCTAGTGATTACAGTGGGCCCACCTGGATAATCAAGGACAATCTCCCCATTTCAAGATCCTTAACTTAATCACACCAGCAAACCCCTTTTGCCATGTAAGGTCACATATTCATGGGTTCTTGGGATTAAGATACTGGCATCTTTGAGGGTCATTATTTTATCTACCACAACTTCCAGTCAGTGATTTCTCGGTTTATTTACCAGAGCCTCAGGGAGCACTGCATTTTGCCCTTTTACAAAATTACTTTTAAAGAGATTAAGTATGTACTTGTAAAAATAAAAAAAAGTTAATTTGTTTGAAATCATATACTTTAAAATATCTCTTCATCCCCAGTTTCTAATGCCCCATTTTTCCTTCCCAGAGCTGAAAACTGTTTTTTTTTTTTTTTTTTTTTTTTTTTTTTGAGACGGAGTCTCGCTCTGTCGCCCAGGCCGGACTGTGGACTGCAGTGGCGCAATCTCGGCTCACTGCAAGCTCCGCCTCCCGGGTTCACGCCATTCTCCTGCCTCAGCCTCCCGAGTAGCTGGGACTACAGGCGCCCGCCACCGCGCCCGGCTAATTTTTTGTATTTTTAGTAGAGACGGGGTTTCACCTTGTTAGCCAGAATGGTCTCGATCTCCTGACCTCATGATCCACCCGCCTCGGCCTCCCAAAGTGCTGGGATTACAGGCGTGAGCCACCGCGCCCGGCCTGAAAACTGTTTATTAACAATCTCTAGTGTACACTTTCAGTGAGAATCTATGCACATACAAGCGTATGTGCACACATATATGCGTGTCTATGTATAATTTTCCCATTTAAAAAATGATGGTGCACTTTCACACTACTCTCTTTTTTTTTTTTGAGACCGAGTTTCACTCTTGTTGTCCAGGCTAGAGTGCAGTGGCATGATCTCGGCTCACTGCAACCTCTGCCTCCGGGATTCAAGTGATTCTCCTGCTTCAGCCTCTGGAGTAGCTGGGATTATAGGCATGCACCACCTTGCTGGCTAATTTTTGTATTTTTAGTAGAGACAGGGTTTCACCATGTTGGCCAGGCTGGTCTTGAACTCCTGTCCTCAGGTGATCTGCCCACCTTGGCTTCCCAAAGTGCTGGGATTACAGTCCTGAGCCACCACACCCGGCCTCACACTATTTCTTAATGATCTATTCACATCAGACCTATATACCTGCCTTTAAAAACAGCTACAACATATTTTTACTTTGCATTGGTGTATCCAAATATATGTAATTGGGAGCCCCTTATCAATAGATTGTTTCTTTTCTTTTTTTTGAGACAGAGTCTTGCTCTGTTGTCCAGGCTGGAGTGCAGTGGCACAATCTCGGCTGACTGCAACCTCCACCTCCTGGGTTCAAGAGATTCTCCTGCTTCAGCCTCCCAAGTAGAGGGGATTACAGGCGTGTGGCACCAGGCCTGGCTAGTTTTTGTATTTTTAGTAGAGACAAGGTTTCACCATGTTGGCAAGCCTGGCCTCGAACTCCTGACCTCAGATGACCCGCCCACCTCAGCCTTCCAAAGTGCTGGGATTACAGGCGTGAGTCACTGTGCCTGGCCCTGATTGTAACATTGTTTCTAATCTTGTGCTGTAATAAACAATGTAACAGCAAATGCATTCTTACATTGGTCTTTGCACACATGTGCCAGTGTATCTATGGGGTAAACTCCTATGAATGGCATTTTTGGGTCCCAGGTTATGTGCACCTTAAATAATGATAGTTGTTGCTGCATTGCCTTCCAAGATGTATATATGAACATATGCTTAGAGACCATGGCACCTGGGCCTGGTCAAACACCATGCTCAGCAGGGCTCTGCCATGTTATTCACTAATAGCTCTGGGGACATCTCATTATAGTTCTGCCTCTGACAAGGTCCACCCTCCAGGAAATAGCTCACTAGTTGGGGGTTAAGTCAAGGATGATAAGTACACCCATTGGGTGAGCCACTGCAAACCTGGGCCCAGAGTTGAAGCCAGGACAAACATGTTCACTAGAAAGGCTATTCATTAAACATCATATTCCAAGCTATTCTGTCAAATTCTAGGGACACAGCACTATGTCTTCTTGAAAACCTCTGATTTCTTTTGTCTGTCCACGTTGCTGGAGCTAGACAGTGTCGAGACTTTGATTTGAGTACCGCAGTGGCGGGCTATTCTGGGAGGAACAGACCTGAAAGAGGCAGCACATTTAGCAGAGACTGCAGCCACACCGGCTGGGGCCAGGGTGCTTGGATGTGACACAGCTATTGTTTGTGAAAGAGATTTGATGCTTCATTAGAGAAAAACTGTGTACAGAAACCCGGCAGAGATTTCTTAATGGCATTCTGATTAAAGGAGCAAACAACCTAAATGCCAGATTAGTCGCATTTTGGGAAAGAATGCATGATGGGGACTGCATTTCTATTTCCTTCTTTCCCTCAGCCTTGCTTGGCAGCATACATTTGTCACTTTGAGGACATGAGAAAGGGGCTCTCTGATGTAGCAGAGAAAGAGCTGGAAAGCAGAGGCATGGAAACTTTCAGCTTTCTGGCAGGCCAAGGGGAAGGTTGGAGGTTCTGATACAGTGTCTGCAACTCCCAGGGTCCAGAGATAAAAGTCTAGACGGTCCAGTGGATCACCTTGGAATGCAAGGCTATGTGGATGTGCATCAGTCCTTTCACCAGGAACCTTCCAGAATGGTTAAGAAAGGAACCCACAATGCCCCTTAGAGTCAGGGCTGTCATGCACATGAATGGTTACCTCTTCTGTACCATGGCCTCAGAACATGGTAGAGCTGATATCAAGGGAACCACCGTTTCTCCCTCAGAACCATGCTTTAGGAGCTATGGTTGTCCCCCCCATTCTTGTTGTGCAAACTCATTAGGAGGGGTAGCTCTCTCTTAGACCTTCAAGATGGGGATATGCCTGGACAGGGTGAGGCATTAAGGGTCTCTCTTTATAAACAATGAGGAAAATTCCCTATACATTGGCCAAAGTGATCTTTTTAAATGTAAATGAAATCAATTGTAAGTTCCAAACTCCTTCCCATGGCATTGGCCCCTGACACATCCCCCATTGCTCAGATGCATTGGCCACATTGGCTTCTGGAGGCTCTTGAAGCACACCAAGCTAGTTCTTCCTGGGAGACCTTTGACCTACTGTTCCCTCTGCCTGCCATGCTCTTCTCCTGGCCTTTCAAAGGTAGATCCATTGCGTTCTTCAGATCTCAGCAGAGATATCCCCTTACCAGCTGATATAGCTCTCCATCCCCAAATCCTGCCACCTCGATGCTAATTTCCTTCATAATCCTAACATGATCAGGAACTGTTCTTATTCATGTATTTGAATGCTTACTTGCTTATTGTATTCCTGCCCACTGGAATGTAAGTTCTAAGAGGGCAGGGATCTGGTTAGTCAGATTCAATGCTTGTAGAGGTCAGAACCCAGCCAGGAAAACAAAGTGGCTCAAGAGAGTATATTTAATGTAGGGAACTATTACCCTAGCATCAGAAGAGTGGAATGGCTAAGTAGGTCACTGTAGGGCAACCCGGAGGTTGACAAGAGAAAGGAGCTGGGGCCTGGAAGGACAAAAAGAGGAGGTGGTATCATGGAGGAGACCTAATCATGGCTGAAGAACAGACAGGAGAGGGACAGGTTCCAACTTCTCCCTTCCTTCCGCCCTCTGGGCTTTGCCCAGTGCTTCCACTGGCCAAATCCAGTATGATCCAGTTGGCAACAGTGCCAGAAAACATAGTGGGGGCCGCCCCTGTGATTAAGAATAGAGCAGGCAATAGGTGGGGAATTCATCTGAAAACACTGAAATGACTGGTGCCTTGCTCTATCTCCAGCTGTCTTGACACATACTAGGTCCTCAGCAAGCAATTGTTGGATGGATGAATTAATGGAACGCACCACTCCAAAGGAGTCAGCTTTCAGGTCAACTCTAATGGAGTGGATCCCTAAGAGGGAAGGGCTTTGCAGGCTGGGTTTAACAGTGGAGACTTCCTGAGGCCCGGCGGGGTCTCAGCCGGCTGTGCCTTCTATCTCTGCTGCCCTGCCCAGAGGAGGATGAAGGATTCTTATCTCTGGAAATAACCCTCTTTCATGAGCCCTTTAATCTGAGCCTGCTGACACTTTTATATGTGCAGGGTTATGTTACTTGAGGAATTCCTTTGAAGACAATTTTAAACTTTCATCCCTTAGTTCAATTTTAAAGTTTGTAACATTTGGGACCCTTCTCAGAGCCCTGAATTTACTCCTGGCATCAAGATGTTCAGGGCAGAGCTGAGCTGGAGGGGAATTCCGCATTCCTAGTGATCCTTAACTGGTGCCCCTGGGGAATTTATCTAACATACTGGAGCCTCCACTGGTCTGTAAGGCAGAATTAAGAACACCTTGAAAGAACATGAAAAAATGAAATAAACAGCCCAAGTAAAGCACCAGCACATATGAGGCACTTGAAAATGTTCACTCCTTTTCCCCCAGACGCTGGGAAATAGTTCAGATGCCCCCTATCCCAGGACCCATGAAGCAGCTCACCGCAGCCTCTCTATGTTGATTTTTAGATTTCCTTCTGTTGATTATTCTCCACGGAAGGCGACTGGAGCAAAAGAGGTGGTTGGCCACCCATTAATACATCTCCTTCTTATTGGGACATTTCGCCCTGCTAAAGGAGTAATCATGGATTTTCTGTGAATTTTCCTTTAAGCGTTTTCTGTGTTAAAAAAAATTGTAGTCTGCCTAAACTGATTTATGTGGGTAATTTATGGAGTACCTGTTTTTCTTTTTTCTCTCTTCCTTTTTCTTCTTGCTGAGGTGGTACCTTTGCTGCCTCATCCCTGGAGTTTTGCATGAGAGTTGAATTTTGAGCTGCAACAGTTTTTCCCATTTAAGTGTTAGAGTTGACTGGTACTTTATCAAAGTTCCGTAAGTACATTTCATACAAGAAATCTCAGCAGGTTAGAATCCGGGGACTTTTTATTTAAACCTCTAATGACAGTGATACTGGCCTGTAATTAAGGCATTTCTGGAAGTTACTTCAATTGACTTGCAGAAAGGAAGGCAGAAACCCTTGGAGGCTGGTACTAAATTCATGGGGAAGAGAGGCACGGGAAGCTGTGGTTTGGGAGGAGGGCTCATGTGTAGCGTGGGGCATATGTGTGTGCTAACTTTCCTGGGTTTCTGTCTGAATTGCTAATATGACATTAGGTGAAAGGCATCTTGTCAAGAATGCTGCATGTCTGGTGGACTTCCTGAATATCAAATCTCCGAGCCTTCTTTCCAACTGCCCCTCCTGGCCAGCCTCATGAGACACTGATGAGAAAAATGCCACAGCTTTCAAAACAGTTAACCTCTCCTTTGGCAATTCACAGCACTGGGTTTATTCAAGCTTACGATGACACAGAATTTTCCTCCCTTTGAAAAGTACTGGTTAAGTCTTTCTGTCTCCTGCCCTTCAAAAGCAGTCATTGTGTTTGTTTTTTTCAGAGGTACCATCAGGGTTGTCAGAAAGTGGAATTTCCCGCCAGATCAGAATTTCTTCAGCCTTCATTCATGACCTGAGTACTTTTGGTTTTGAGGGACAAACTTGCTCTATTTTGAGCACTGAAGGAAAACATCTAACTCCCAATTATGGGTCTGTGCACGTGAATAATTGGGTAATGGGATTAAAGTGCTTGAAGATACAACCCTTCCTCAGGTGCCCCTTTTCACACATAAGGAAAGTGGAGTACGAAGGGCACTGGCTCACGGGAAGGAGTGGTGGGGACCCCAGGCCTTCAGTCCCTCATTTAACAAGGTTGTAAAGTCTGATCTGACTTCTTACTGCAAGCACCGCTACTTCTATGACATCCTCCATGCCCTTTTTATTTCAAAAGCAGTTTAATATGTTATTTCATTTAATCTCCACTGCAACTATTTCCATTTAAAATTTTGTTAGATAATCAATAGTGCTCTAAATATGAACCAATTTGGAAGAAATATGAAGAAAAGTCATCTTTTAGAGACAACCCAATTCATGGGCCTTGTAAACATTTTTATTTTTTAGGTAATCATAAAATAAAATTGACTTTTTAAAAAAATTTGGTGTGTAGGTCTATGAATTTTCACAAATGTATGGAGGCGTGTAACCACCACTATAATCAGTGGAACTGTGCCTTTACCGCATCGAACCGCCTCCTTCCATCTCTAACCCCTGGCAGCCAGGGATCTGTTTTTCATCACCATAGCTTTATCTTTTCAAGAATGTCAAATAAGGAGAATCCACAGGATGTGGCCTTTTGAAACTGGTTTCTCTTATGGGCTTACTTTTTTTTTCTCAGTTAGAACTTTTATTTAAAATCAACAATCAATTGAACTTGCCTATTTGCCGAACAATATCTACAGGTAGAAATTTGCAAGAATAACTCTGGATAAGCATAGTAGGCCATCTATTTCATCATGAAGGAAATTTTTGATGTACTATTTTGAAGACTCTATTTACAGTCCCTTATATTTAAACTATATCTATTAAATTAGTGTTATATTGAAATAGCCATTAAAACAAAACAAAACAAAAGTCTTACATGGACCAGGCACTTGTGAAGTACTCTATTATTTCATTTAAGCAAATATACATCCTTTATGGGTCATCTGTGTCATTTTGTTATTTACTCCTCTTGTACAAGCTTGGCAGGGTTTGAGTGGTTCTTTAAAAGAGAAGTTGGTGATAGGGAGGGAACTTCATTTCTGTCCCAGATGCTGACACCTTGTGGGCCCTTGGTAACTTCCGCTGCTGTCCATTTCCCTCATGTAAGGGCAGATGGCATTTGCATACCTGGAGGGACGCCGGCTGGAGTTACAGATGCCTGCTGATGATTGGAATGTTAGGGACTTAGTGACATGTGCTGTAGTCATGGGGTCCTCTCAGACACTTAGGGCATGCAGGCCTTAGGGGAGCCCTGTGCCTTTGGGGCTGGCTGATGCTGGGGAGTGGGACTGTCTGCTGGGTTCAAGGTGGAAAGGGAACTGCTCCTGTGTGGTTTGCCTGCCAAGGAGCTAATTAGGAGAATGGGTTTGGTGATCTTGATCTGACAGCCAATGGGAGACTTCCTGGGGAGCTGGAGGAGATAAGCCTGTCAAGAGGCTCCCAGCTGTGTTAGGGCCAGGATTGTCATTGCTGCTAGGCAGGGCTTTGGTCCTCCCAAAATGAGAGTGAGCAGATTGCAGCATTCTTTCTCATAGCACCAAGGAATCATAGACTCCATGGCTAAGTGAGGTGGAACCAACCACATTGTGTGGTCAGCCAGTGCCAACCTTTCTTCTTGCCTGGCCTTGTGGATGGTGTTCACTTTTGAGATGCAAACTCCAGGTTATGTTATGAAACTCCACTTCTTTGTCTCTCAAAAAAAGCTTGTTAAAATGCGAGTATCAGTAGCCTTTTATTTCAAGCCTCAGATCTCCTCTAATCAGGCCATCAATTGGCCATACTGATAGCTATTATTAACCATTATTGAGAGGCACTAGATTATGAAGAGTTGAGTAGTTAAAAGCAGCATTTCTGGAGACAGACCACATGATTCCTAGTCTCACCTCTGCACCTGGCTGGCTGGGTGACCCTTGCATGTTGTCAGCCTTTCTGAGCCTTGGTTACCCCACTGGTAAAATAGGGATGATAATAGTACCTCCTTCACAGGTTTATTGTGAAGATTAAATTAGTCAATACATGTAAAGCTACTGACAGATACCAGCCTTTGGTTGTAAGTTAATTTTGAGGATTCTATATTCGGCCACCTCTGCTACTCTGTCATCACATTCAGATTGAGAACTGCTGATCAGTCTAAGTCTCACAGGGAATAAAGCTGAGGTCTACAAAGGCTCAGTGATGTACACAGGCAGAACCAGAACTAGGAGTGTCCCTGGACCCTTAATCTCTTCACACTGCAAAGCAGAAAGCTGGTGATCTGAATAAACTGTTTGCTCTTGGGGACTTTGCTAACTAGAAATCTTTATTAACTTGGACTCTGATTTTATTGTCAAGGCAAGAATAAGCAATTTTTAGATCAACAACTCCAAGTCACTGGAGTCACTTCAGCAGAGTTTCAGTGTTTAGTGTGATTTGCTGTGCCCATTTCTCTGCATAATGGCCTTCCATGCATGTATGAGGGGAAGTCCATAGTTAACTGGAATGCATGCGTAGGCAGAGCTTTTTGTTTGCCAACCAGGAGTGATAACGGAGTTTATTGCCACTTGATCCCCTCTGCCAGCCCATCTGGGTCAACTTGTTTTTCTCTGGTGTTTGCCCTTTCCATCAAATTGTTCCAGAGACTAACAACCTGGCTTAGTGATGACAAGTGTGTTAATAGTGGAGCTCAAGATAAGGCAGCAGTAACTCTGTTTGCTCTGAGAGTTTGCTGCCTGCCTGCTGAGTGATCCAGGGACTTGTCAGCCCTTTGAGTTAATGTGTGTGAGGTGCTGGATGCAGAGAAGAGCACTTGGTGTGCTTTCAGCTTGCACATGTGTCTTGGTGCTCAGCACTCCCCATCCCATGCCAGGAAACCTCTCTCTCTCTCTTTGCAGGAGATCCTCATGCCAACTCCCATCTAAAAAATGAATGCTTGTGATTTGGAAATACTTTTTCATAGATGCTCAGAAGGTGTTTAGAGTTTTGGCTTTTGCTTAGTTCACAAACCAGGTAATTCCCAGTTGTCCATATGAATGCTCTATAGTCAAATTTAGGATCCCAAATTGGCTTCTTTCATCACTGAGCAAGCTTCTGGACTAGACAGTCTCTTCTGTAATAAAATTGCTAAAGTGAATGCAACAGGAAGGAGAGGAGGAATTTGCAATGACCTCTTTGTGTAGGTAGATAGTCTGTGCTTTCCTGATGCAGGCTCCCTTAACATGAGGATTGTGTATGGGGCAGTGACGTACTGCTTCTGAATTATCCATGCAAAATGTTTGGCTCTTTGAGTGTGAAGCAGCAGCAGTTGCTTGTATTTTCAGACAAGGGTCTCAGTGCACGGAGAGGACTCCCTCCAAGTGTTGTCTTTGCATTTCCATTCATCTTATTAGAGCAGTGCAAACCCTGATGCATGAATGAACTGGGTTTGTGGCTGAATGAGTTTGGATTTGCTGAGCAGGCTGATTCAGGAAGTTGTCCTTGATTCCCCTGCTGTTTCCCATGTATACACACCCTTCCTAAGTGAATGTGGCATTTGTATTGGATGAAGGCCATAGCTCAGTATGAAACGTGATTATATGTCTACTCTAATCCTCAACAGGCAATGCTTTCCACTTAGGGTGTTTTAGAGGACATGTGTACCATTGGACTTGCATGATATTTGGGTCAAAGGCATTTATGGACAGAGATGGAAGGTATGATCTATCAGCTTAGAAACTCAACCTCAAGAGAGAGGAGGGTGTATAAATGAGGATGCATAAAGTAAGAATGGAACCCCCCCCCCCCCCCCGCACACACACACACACCGTCCCTAGTCAAATTTGCAAAGACTTACGGATATGCTAATAAGATTGCTGCTGGCTAGGGGAATTCACAGGTCTGCAAATTCTATGAATTCTAATGCCTCACTCAGCAATTTTAAAAATGAATGGACTGGAATTAATTGGGAGCCTCCTTCCATGGGAATTTTGGAAGTATTCTTAGGTATCACAGAACACTGTCTGTTTATGCATAAAACTCCATAAACTACAATGGAAATCACTCTAGATAACAACGTGAGAGATGGGTATTACCAGGGGCATATGGCGTAATTTTAGGTGGTGGCCTGACCCAGCATAGGATGACACAGACTCCAATGAGGAGAGGGTTATGTTTTCTTTTACATTCTCTTTAACACAGAGAGAATGTCTTCCCTAGGTTCTACCAGGTCTTTAACACCTCTCTAAACTTTGGCAATCAGCCTCCGCTCTCAGGCTCTGAGTCTTTGTTGGGGTGACAAGATCGAGGTGGCGTTTAAATGATCTGGGTTTTCTTTTTTGCTGTATGTTTAGAATTACCTTCTAGTTATAGCAAGTGAGATGGGCTTTCCATTTGTGGTAGTGAAATAAAGTTCAATTTAAAAATTGAACTTTAAAGAATGAGATTTAAAGAAAAAAAATTACACAATTAATTGTGTAGGTAGAGTCCCATTATAAATATGTTGTCAGGACAGGACATGAGTGATAGAGATAAGGAAACCCTGGCAATAGGAGATAATGACTACTTTGATTACACAGGGAGGCAGTAAGGACTGGTTCCTCCTTCATCTTGTAAACATGGCCACTGTTTCCACCAGGGGAATACTGATCGCTGTCCTTTACAGAGGCACTGTGCTAAGTAAGTACTTTTCACACATCTCATCTAATCATCTGAACAACCCATGAGGTATGCATAATAACAAACCTCTTCCTTTAAAGATGAGGAAGCTGGAACTTAGAGATAGTAACTGGCTTTTCCAAAAATACATGGCCAGTAAGGGGCAGAGGCAGCATTTGAGCACAGGCAATTTGACTCCAGAGCCTGGCACCTCACCCCTATGCCATGTGGTAACACCCAGTAACAGCCCCAGAGAAATCTAATCAGAGAAAATTCCAGTCATTTCAGTTTACTACCTGGGGCAAATTGAGTTTATGGTGGGGGAAAAGAAAAACACATTTTAAAGAAGGGCAAAACACCATCCTAAACTTAATGAGTCCCATATGCCATCCCTATGTAACATCTTAATTTTCACCTGTTTCAGTGTCTGTTCTATTTCTCTCATACCACTGCCTGTAGAAAATAGATGCATGTTCTTGAAATTCCTACTTTTTCTCATTAAAGGTTAGATTTTATTATTCTTTCTCTCAAAGTTTGGATTGCCAAAGCTTTTGGATTTGGAATATATTTGGCTTGCATAGATGCCAATATTTATACATTGATACGAAGATTAAAAAAAAAACTTTAGAGGAGAGATCCTTTTACAACTAGACTTGATTTAGAGTCTATCAGAAATTTTCTTACATATTTAGCATAAGTATTGTGAGATAATGTATGCTTTCTAAAAATATACATGATGTTCTGCTCAGTCGAATGCATTTATTTCTTTCTTTAAAGTTTTCTGGGTAAATTTCAAGAGCATCGGGATATTACTTAACTTGGTAGATTTTATTAAACCTCCAAAGAACATAATTAACTCATTTTACAAACTGTTAATGCTTACAGAAATTCATGATAAATGAGATCACTTAAGACTGTTTCGGGAGAACAGGAAAAGCCAGTTTGTTAATGCTGGTCCTCTTCTCTATTATAATATTGTGAGAAATGAAGGAATGTTTATCACTAGCTGTTATAACCTTAATTTGAGAGTTCTTTAAATGGCAATTACATATATTTACAGAAGAATGACACTGGCATTTAGCTCAATATTTTCAGCTTAACAGAGTCTCGTTGGGCGCGGTGGTTCACACCTGTAATCCTAGCACTTTGGGAGGCCAAGGTGGGAGGATCACCTGAGGTCAGGAGTTCACGACCAGCCTGGCCAATGTGGTGAAACCCCATCTCTACTAAAAATACAAAAATTAGCTGGGTGTGATGCCATGTGCCTGTAATCCCGGCTACTTGGGAGGTTGAGGCAAGAGAATCGCTTGAACCTGGGAGGTGGAGGTTGCAGTGAGTCGAGATCGTGCCACTGCACTCCAGCCTGGGCAACATAGAGAGACACCATCTTGAGCAATAATAATAATAATAATAACAACAACAGAGTCTCCCCTGAAAGAGGGATTATAAAACCAGGGCAAGCCTGTCAAAGAGAAATTTGATTTGGTTCTGCTGTTTTACATTTTAATATGCCTGTATGATGACCTAGCCCATTAAATTTTTTTTCTTTAAATTATCAATAGGCTGTCTCAACCTCTGTTCAATTGAATTTTACTCTACTCTCCCAGGGAACAAAATGACAGAGCATTTTGTTCTAGGTACCTTAGTTCTTGTTGCCTATTGTGGCAGCTCTATTTCCAGTACAGAGTTTCATAGGAAACCTCTCTTCTTCTGGTCATGCCTATCACCCAGTCACCTTTCCTGAACAATTAGGAATTGACTTTCTCTTCCCCAATGCTGCATTTCACTCTCACCCTCAGTGTCCAGCCCTGGTCATATTGTCTTTAGCCCAATTTTTCACCACGCCATAGTCTTTCTTGCCACTGGGCTTTGCATGTGCTGTTCCCTCTGTTTGCACATGCTGTTCTCTCTTTCTCCTCTTCTTCCCATCCCTTTCCCACAGCACACGCCTTTCACCCAAATAGCACCTACTCATTCTTCAGATGCCAGCTCCAGTGCGACTTTCTTGAGAAACTTCTTTTCACCTTGATCTTTTGTGAGCAGCTCTTCTAGAATTGTGTTATGTTCTTCCATGCCCTTATTTCATTTTGGGTTCACATTCATTGGGGATGATTATGAATGGATACCTGTCTCCCCCATTAACTGACATTGTTAAGTTCCCTGAAAGCAGCTACTATCTGTTTTTTGTCTCAGTTCTATCCCAGCACAGGATGAGCACTCCATTAAGTATCTGCAGTATACATAAGTGGACAGAAGTGTTTGTAAACACCCACGTTCTGCCATTCTTCCCTCAATGCCAAAGGATCCAACTCTACCACCTCATCAAATTCAGAGACAGCTTCTGATTTTGAGCCATAGGGGTGTCAACAGCACAAGTGCCTGAAGGGCCCACAGAATTCCTGGCATGTGCTGTACTTTATCAAGAATCTGACAGGGAATGCGGCTGTCCCTATCAAGCTGTTGTGCCTGACAGGCACCATCTTGGTTAGCTGTGGGACCACTGGTGTTTCTCCTGAAGCTGCAGGACAGCCAGCTGCAATGGGCTGACTGATCTTGAAATGAAACCCTGCCTCCTTCTCCCTCCTCCTCGAGCCAGAGTGAGGTGGTTTTAACTTCTATCTAGACAGTTCTGAGATTGGTAGAGGAGAAAATAGAAAGTTCTTACTTAAATTATTGGTGCAGAAAGAAGAAGGTGTATGTGAAGAAAGAAAATGGACATTTACTGACTATTCTGCAACACAGCCTGTGCAGTGTGTTAGGATACACACCCAACATCTCCTTTAACTCATCTGTTGCCGCAGACTAGTCAATGGGAGCACCAAAAACTAGGTAAAGGCTGGTAGTTGAACTAAGTCTGTTTGGCTCCAAAGCTTATGTTGGCACCACAACTTCTTCCTAAGACGAAGGTTGGCCTTCACTGGTCTGACTCAAAAGTAGAGAACATTTACTCTGCCAGAGGCAGGAACATATTCAGCTAGCTTCAGGGGTCCTGGTGCTACAATCACTTGTGTTTCTTTCTTTTGTTTTTTTATGTCAAAAGTAATTAGCAAAGAAATTCTGTTTTGATTGTTTGTTTTAGAGATGGGGTCTTGCTATGTTGCCCCGGCTGAATTTGAACTCCTGGGCTCAAGGGGATCCTTGTGAGTAGCTGGGACTACAGAGCACACCACCCGCCCAGCCACCTGTGTTTCTTATCAGAGCTTCTATCTCTTTGTTGTTGCAGATTGGAGCCTGGGAGGCTGGGGGCTGGGGAGATAGTCAGGACCCCTAGAAGGGCAGGAAGGATGCACAATTATTCCACAGAAGAAGCCTGCCTCTGTTTCCCTTGATGTCACCTAGTCAACAAAGTCCCACAGTTTATGAGTTTAACCTACAGAAATTCTAATATACCTGCCCTGCACACATTCTGCTATGAGAGCCAAGGGATTAAAGATCAACAAAGGCTTCCGAGAAGAATGCTTGGCTTGAGATTAGGAGGAAGAATAAGAGTCATCCTTCATCCATGATGAAAGAAGACTGGTGGGAGGAGAATGGGAGAGAATGTTGCAGATAGGAGAAACAGAATTTGCAAAGTCCACGTGGTGGCACAGAGGAAGGTTCACCTGAGTCATGGAGGAAAGTGCAGCCTGGCTGGGGTGTTTAGGGAGAGGAAGCCTGATGCCAGAGGTCAAGGCCATGACAGGTACCAAATCTGCCCCCACACATTGTTCTCTTTCCATCCTGTTGGGTAAAACATACAGATGTGAGAGATGGGATCTAAGGGATGGGAGGAAAGTGGGAAAAAGCTGGGGAGAAAGACTAAGTGATAGTTACTAAAAATAAAATTTGCTAAGAGCATGTTTTAAGGATCGTGGCAGAACCAGTCAGTAATAAGGGTTGAAAAACAAAGCATGAAAATGAGGTTAACCTCCCTGTTAACCCAAACTGAGGTCTCCCTGGCTTTTATTATCATGGTTATCGTAACACCCAGACACATGGATTGGAGTGTCTGGGGAAATCCCTTCAGTCCGCTCCCCAACCACCGCAGCTGTAGGAAACCACTAATCTACTTTGTGTGAACCTATTTTTAGGTTTCTATAGATTTTTCTATTCTGAGCATTTAATACAAATTAACTCATACAGTATGTAATCCTTTATGTCTGGCTTTTTTGTATGCAGCATAATGATTGTAAGGTTCCTCCATGTTGTAGCAGGTATCAGTAGTTCATTCCTTTTTATTACCAGTCAGGCACTTCTTGACTCCCTGAAAAGGGCATCCCATCATAAGGCAGTCACCGGTTCCCAGGCATGGCTGGAGCAGGGTGCCATAGAGTTAGTGATTTTCCTCAATCGTATTGGATCTCAGTGGTCTAGATAAAGTCAGCCCGGACACAGCCCTCTCAGTTTCTCTCATGCCCTGCTTAGCAGCAGCTGTTCTCTAGCTATATATCCCTGTTATGGTTTTGGGTCCTGGGTCATGAGTGGTCCTTCCATTCATGGCCACCATGTACAGTTGTATAGGTTGAGTACTGCACAAAGGTGCCCAGCTGAAGAAGGTACAAGAAAGCACTCAAATGCAACCTGTACCCCTTTTGCTAAGCCAGAGGCTCCAGAATGGTGCTGTGTCAGCCAGAGGGGAGAGTACTTTTTTTCTAATGCATTCAAGGCTTCCTAAGGGCTTCCTAAGGGCAGTCCTTTGGATAGCATGCTGTTGTCTGTGGCACTTGCCAGGGCTCAGGTCCTGGATCCAGTTAACATGTCTTATATTTGAGTTAACAAGATTGAAGTGGTAGGAAGATAGAGGATAAAATCACAGATATTTTCTGATTTATGGATTTGTTCTCATAAGAAAATCTTTTCCAATTTGTGTTCGGAGATCTACACCCCTATTTTCTCCATCAGTCCTCTTGTGAGTTCTAACATCTCTTGCTGTTCCCATCTGTGTTTCTAACTTTGAGGTTGAGCATTTCTGAGATTGAATTGGTATTAAAAATTAATTTTCACAAAAGAAGAAAATCATGACTTTCAGATATCAAAATGAATATGTGTTAAAGATTTTATTCTACTCCTATTCAATGAGGGGACCAGGCAGATGTTATAACCAGTTGAGGACAGGCAGGACATGGTGGCTCACACCTGTAATCCCAGCACTTTGGGATGCCAAGGTGAAAGGATCACTTGAGCCCAGGAATTCGAGACCAGCCTGGGCAACATAGTAAGACTCTGCCTATACCTGAAAAAAAAAAAAAAAAGCCAGGCATGGTGATGCCTGTCTGTAGTCCCAGCTACTCAGGAGGCTGAGGTGGGAGGAGCCCTTGAGCCTAGGAGGTAGAGGCTGCAGTGAGCCATGATTGTGCCACTGCACTCCAGTCTGGGCAACAAAGGGCAACAAAGCAAGACCCTGTCTTGAAGAAACAAAGACACAAACATAAACAAAAAAGAAAAGAACAGACACTTACAGGTCAGTAATATTTAAATGAATGTGGAAACAGAGGCAAAACTGTTTTTTTCCACAAAGGCAGGAGAGAAGTCAATGGAACTTCTCTTGGACAGGACAGAATTTTCATGTCCATGGACAGGAATTATTTGCATTGCTGTCACTTATGTACAATTTACAGAATTATAAAATAACTTCTATATGGTCAGAATCAGCTTACCAAGAGTGGCGTTCTCTGGAGTCTGTCAATGCATCCCTTGTAGCAGCATACTTCATTTTCCCCTGCATTGGTAATTTGTGGTGTTTCTAGCGCATTGATGAACCTAGGTAAGTTTTTACCATTCCACTTGAGATTTCAAGATAAGCACACCATTTCTTTCATGTCTGAAGTAGTCTTTGGTATGTTGGTGTTCTCTATTAGAGGAGGAAGGATCTGGAAGTTTTCAAAGGAAACTGGTTTATGGAAAGAGCAAATGGTGGGGATGTACTGTGGGTTCGAAGGGAGGCATGTGTTAGTCTGTTTTCTTGCTGCTGATAAAGATATAACTGAGACTGGGAAATTTATAAAGAAAAAGAGGTTTAACAGACTCACAGTTCCATGTGGCTGGGGAGGCCTCACAATCATGACAGAAAGCAAAAGGCAAGTCTTATATGGCAGCAGGCAAGAAAGAACTTGTGCAGGGAAACCCCTCCTTATAAAACCATCAGATCTCATGAGACTTATTCCTTATCATGAGAACAGCATGGGAAAGACCTGCCCCATGATTTAATTACCTCCCATTGGGTTCCTCCCATGACATGTGGGAATTGTGGGAGCTGCAATTCAAGATGAGATCTGGGTGGGGATATAGCCAAACCATATCAAGACACCTGGTAGGCCACCAACTGGGAAATAAGGTCTGGATTTTATTCTTAAAATCATCACACCCTTGCTGTGTGACGTTTGGGCTTGGCATTTATCTCCCTGCTTCTGTGAGACAGGAAAATAAGTGTTATTTGTAAAGTGTGTTGAGGTTCCCTGATGAAAGTTACCAGTTAACCACAAAGTAGTGTTATGAATCTGCCCTTTGTCCGCTTGCTGGGATTGGATGCCCTGGGTACATTTGTCTTCCACATCTTTCATCTCTTCTCACCATTCACTTCCGCTGCAGCAAGTGGGCACCCTGCCATGGGCTTACGTGTTTTCAGCAGCTGCATTTGGATTTTTCTATTTACCCTTGAAACAATCTGTTATAAAAAGCCTTAAACATCTCCCAGTTTCTTTCCTTTCCTCTAAAATGTTTAAGTAAATAGTTGATGGAATAATTATTCTAAATGTAGTAGAGTTCACATTGTCTTAAAAGACTGGCTAAAAATAAAAAATTGGTCTTGTCGAAGCTTAATGAGATTCTTCAGCTTTGCTGTCCCAGTGCTGCAGGTGGTGAAGAGGAAAATGCTGGAGCTTCCAACAACAACACACCCCCCAAAAACCTAAAAACAAAAAAAAGTGTGGAAACACTTCCAAAATCTACTCATCTAAAATGGACTATTCCTATTCATCATGAGGGGATCTTCAGGTGTATTTTCAGTCTATGAGGAAAAAGCCACTTTTACAGGAATGTCTGTAACAAATTTGTGATGTAATACAGTGTCTACTCCAGTAGCTTCACTTCATGAAACTGAATAGCAGAGGGATGGATAATAGTAGCTGAAAGACTTATTTTTCCTTTTAGCTGTGACGCTTTAATGACTTTGCTATCCCTCAACTGTCCCCTTGGGTGGAGGTTATATTCTTTAACGAATCGTCATGTGATTCTTCACTTTTACCATACCAAATCCTATATACTTTGCTTTAATTTTTGCTTTGCTTTTGGTGACCGCATATGGCAGAGAAAATATTTTTTGTCTTCACTGCCATTACAAATTTCCATAGTCCTGGGTTGAGGCTGGATTTCGGAGACCACCTTGTTTTTTTCCAAATGCAGGAGAGAGGAAAGTAGTATTAGCAGCAGTTCAATCCAGTGCACGAAATATTTGTTGCCTGTTGGGATGCAATACTACAACTCATTTACACTTCACACATTTATCACTTTTCTTACTTTTGATAGATTATCTTCCCAGCCATTCTAGCCAAACTGATCATCTGCTTCTGAATTCCCAAGGTGTTTAATATCTTTCCTACTGATATTTCCATTTAACCATATGGAAATGGTTAAATGGTCTGATATGGTTGTTTGTCTATCTGTTGGGCATTTATTTTGTCTCTCCATCAGAAAAAATACATTCCTTAAAGGAGAGAATCATATTTTATATTTCTGTTTTGTCCTCTATAGCACCTATCAGGTGGCCAGAGTCATAGTAGGGTCTGAGAAAATTCTTTTCCATTTGCTTAAATGCAAATGACATTGGGTAAACTTGTACTAAGTGACACAGATTGTCACAAAGGTCTACAACAGAGCATGCTGATTATATACATATCATCAGAGGACAGACTTGAGAAACTCAGCATGCTCATTTTTGGATTTGAGCTGCATGAACAGCTCTTGGTATTGATTAATGGAAAGATACAAGCCTTTAGTTGTTTGGATGGAAAGAAAACATCTCTAGCATTCTTTTTTCTTTGAACTCTTAGAAACTGAAAAGTCCCAACAGTCCATGTCCAAAGGCGTAACTGCAGACTTCCCAGGCAGCTTTGGAGATCATCCTTCTCCAATTGTGGTACTTGGGGTCAAGTGTAGAAGCAGGGAGACCACTTAGGAGGTTATTGTAATAATCTGGTGAAAGACCATGACACTTTGCATCCAGGTTGGGGCAGTGGGAGTGGTGAGAAATGTGATCTGTTGCATCGACTTTGATGTAGAGTCAGTTACATGGAGAAGTGATTGGTGATTCCAGAAGTTCAGAGAATAAGCCCCCTGGGGAAGGTCATTTTCAGTGAGGAGGTCATTCATGTCCCTGAAAGTCAGTTGTCTGTGGCAGAGCTTGGGTGCTGGTGCTTTTGCTGTGGTCCGTCCCAGCTTCTCTGGCAGGTTGGCATGTGGACTGGGTGTTGGAGAAACTGCTGAGGTCTTCCTTTCCCTGGGGAGGTAGTATCAATGATTCGGAAGTTTTAAAAATGCATCAGCTTGCTGGACAGTGCCCTCAATCCTGGCCCAGACCCATCGTGGAAAAGCTATCATGGTGCAGCCTCTGCATTTTGCATTAGTTGACCTCTTTATGGTAAGGGGCCAAGTCTGAACCCCAGGGAGCTGAGGCCCAGGAATGCTCCTTCTCATTAGAGTTTGGCCTGGAGGTATGGTCCTGAAAACTTTGCAGGTGAGCCCTGTTAGTGGCTCCTCACCCCTTCTTCTCCTCCCTTGAAGGAGGGAGAGCTTCCCCCAACCATGCTGGGAAGGCAAAGCTCTCTTAAGGCAACGACCACTTGCTGAGCACATCTCAGGGCAGAGACAATGAAGAGAAGGCATGAACCACACAGCCAGCTGACATCTCAGGAAGGTGTGGGAGTTTGAAGAATCCCCGCTGTGTGTCATTTACTGGCTACAGGACATTGGGAGAATTACCTAACAGCCCTGGGCCTCAGTTTCCTCAGCTATAAAGTGGGGATAATAATAATAGAACTATCTTCTAAATTTTTTGTGGGGATTAAATGGGGAAATATAAGTAAAATATTTAGAATAGTGCCTGGCACAAAATATGTACCATATTTTGTTTGCTATTAATATTTTATAGTATTATTCATTTATAATATGATAGGTTATGTAGTGTGTTTGGCTATTATAAATATATTGTGTGATTAGTATATTCTCAAGCCAGGCCCAGTCCCCAGCCTTTAGAAACCCACTCCCTGGGGATCTGGTTCAGGGTAGTTACTGGGTCAATCTGTGTATGAACAAACCTCACGCATAATACAGACATCTCGAATTGAGTACCTGCTGAGCCTGGATCTGTGTTGGTAACTTCACATCCATGATCCACAAATGTCTGACATTTATTTTAGAGGTGAAGAAGTTGAATACCAGAGGGTTAAGTGACTTCCGCAGGGCCACACAGCAAGGTTAAAATTAGGTCCCCTGACGCCAAGCCCCTCTCTGTGATCAATGAGTGTTTCCTGATGTCTGCAGTATGCCCTTTGCTGTGGGAGGCACTCTAGGCAGTTATTCCTGAACTGGCTCAAGATTCTGAGTTTGCAAGTCAGGGATTAGGCCTAGGCATCTACCTGTTAGCAGGCCCCTGCAGGAACTTCCAGAGCAGATGGCCTCAATGGCCCAATGGAGACACAATGCTAGAAGGTAGACGAAGGATGGTCTCAGCTCCTGAGGAGTCTTATTACAGAGGTGATCATCAAATTACATGAAAATGCCCAGCAGGTGCTGATTCTGTGCGTGTCTGTGAGGCTCACTCTGAGATGCAGCAGCCTGGTTAAGCGGAGAGGACTGTGGTACTCATGTTGACTCAGCTTAGGGAATTAAGATGCCCTGTGAATGTGGAGAGGTGGGGCAAGGGCAAGGAAGGGGGGACACCGTTTGAGGAAGGTTCAGAGGCATAAAGAACTTGACATGGGACAGGGCTGGTGAGGATTCCCTCTGGGACATTTCCCCCATCTTCCTAGTGAAGACCCATCCTGCAAAATCCGTGGATGGAAAGCAGCGGGCATAACCTCCCAGGGTGGATTACATAACTGGGCTGGGCCTTGGCTGGGGCTGGGCCTCCCTTGCCATCCTTTTCTCCTGGTTCTCAGGTCCTGTGCTCCTCTCATCTACCTCTCTACCTCCTGCTGAGCAGTGATGGTGGAGCAGGGCAACCTGCTCACAACTTCCTGCAGGAGTGGATGATGTGCATGTGTTTTGTGGGGTCTGTTGTAGTCTTATGTCTTTTGCCTGTGAGTGGTTAGGCCAGCTGTGCCCTCACTAGGGGAGCAACAATTGGGACTATGGCAATGGAAGGCAGACCCTGTGGGCTTTTGGAACTTCCTTCTTTTTCACCCATCCTCCTAATTTTGCTTCTGTCCATAACACACAATAGGGCGTTGGACAAGTCAATTCCTCTCTGGGTCCCAGTTTTCTCCTCTAAAATACAGGCTTACGACTAGGTGACCTTGCTTCCTTCTCAAAGTAACATTCAATGACTTTTTTGAACCCAATCTTTGGAACCCCTCTTGGTGTTCTGTTCTTTTGGCTTTGAGAAGGCTTCCTCCTCCTGTATTAGACAGATACTGGAGTAAGAGCCCAGGTTTTCTGGGTACATTTTCCTTTAAACCTCCAGGCAAACTGGAGCTAGTCAAGACATCAGAAAGAGTATCCTGAAGCTCAGGGTTGTGCTTTCAGATCCTACCTCACAAATATTCAGTTGGTATAGGCTCTCTGAGGTCTAAGCTGTCCAAATAAGAAGGATCTGCCTTCTGTGTGGTTGATCCAGTTGCCCATGAAGGAGACTCTGAAAAGAAAAGCCCCTCCACACTCAAGATAATGATTGCCAAGGTTTTGCACTAAAAGCACACATCTGCCTGGGACTTTATGAGTGATGGCTGTGTGTTAGCTGCAGGAGGCAACAGGAGGCAATCTGCCCGAATGGTGGACACCATGGCCAGCCAAGGCTGCCCCATCTCGGTCTTCATCACTTCCCTTCTCAGTTTCTCTCCCCACAAAACTCACCATGAGATGGCTTCTGCGGCAGTGAGGTTTACCATCCAATAGAAAGAAAACCCATGGCAGTTGGCTAACCGACCAAACTTACTCCATTTCCTCTGACAATCGATAGTTATTAATCACCTACATTCTCCAGAAGGCTGTAAACCGCCCTCCCTTCTGTGTCTCTGGGATGACAAATGGAGTCGGGGTTAGCCAGCCCGGCTTTGTGGCATCCAATGTGTTTGTGTTTGTGCTTTGGGCTTGTCAGTTGCCTTTGCTGGGATGAAATAGTGGGGCTTCCACTAGGCATGGTTCAGCAGCTCTGCTAGTGTCTGTGCTTTATTGGGCAATAAATTAACAGTGAGCACTGCCAAGGAAATAGATAAATGGATAGGGTGGCAAGCACATTTTTAACAAGGAAAATGGCTTCGTTTCTCAGTAGCATCATTTAAATGATTAGCTCAGTTGTGTAGTTTCCTTGATTAGGGGATGGGGAGGAGATCTTAAATAAACATGTCTGTAGGAAGAACATTGTGGGGGCATCCTCACTGCCCTTCTTTGGAAGGTTTAGGGAAGGAGAGGGGATTTGTTTAGGACCCTAGGTCTGGGAGAGTCTTGCATTTTAGTCATGTGTGATACATGACTAATTCTGCCTGTGGGTTAAGCCTATAAATAGTGTGTGATTCTGGCTGGCCATATCTGGAGGCTATAATCAGGATAGTCATACTTGAAAGAGTTAGGAGAAATCTTTTATGGCTTGTCATGATCCTTAACTGCATCCCCATGGTAAACAGTGGCAAGAGGGAAGAGAGGGAACTCTTTGTTTGCAAGGCAAATCTCCACAAAGCTAAGAGGAATGCTAGCCATCAGTACAAAGGAAAACCTTCCAGGCTCAAGAGAAGGGCAGTAGAAAACAAAAACATGAATGCCTCCTTTCCATGTATGTACACGTAAACATAAAAGGGTGCCTGCTTTTTCATAACTAATTTCTAGAAGTGGTGCCTTCCCCACTAGAATATCATCTGAATAAGGGGTCTTTGTCATGTGTTCTCTGTGATAGCCCCTGTGCTGGGAATGGTGCCCAGCATATAGTAAGAAATCAACAAATACACGTGGAATAAATGAACTTACAGGTGGACTGCTTTCCACCCTCCAAATTCTATCCATGATTCCTTTACAGCTTAATTACACTTCCACCAGGTCCTTCCCCAGCCACTCCTGCCTGAAGGACTGTCCTCTCCTCTGCTCACCAGTTATCTCTTCTTTTCCTTTTTATTGGAAATTGAGACCTTGTTTTGGACCATGTTTTCTATTGTTTCAATTTGACATTAAAATCTTATAGTATTGATCTCTTTTATATCCATTCCACAAACCTTTTCAGGTTGCTATAAAATTTTTTATCTGTGTTTCTCTAGGAATAGATGAGTTGCCTGAATGTGAATTCAATTCATCTTGCAAGTATAATAGCTTATCATAATAAGCTCTTCATGTAATGTAATAAGTACTTCAGAAAATAATTTAGCCTTTACTGGATTTTTTTTCCCTTCAAATGATTGGTTTGTATGCTTAATCACTCAAGAACTCAGCTTTCTGGTAGAAATTGAACTTGTATTTGCCTGTGACCAACCTACTGATTTTTGTTTTAGAAAAACAGAAACAAAGGGAGAATAAGAGAGAGGCAGGAGGAAAGAAAATGAGAGAGAGAAAAAAGATGAATGTATATTTACATCTATAGCTTACTTCACAATAGGTTTTGAGGACTTATTTACAGCTACCTTATAGAAGATATTTACAAAAAGTAAGTGCTATAGGTTTTGAAATCAGAGAAAAGGGTAGATGAATAGATGCTTCTGCTTTAGGGAATGTATCTTGGTAACTTCTGATAAAGGAAGCTTTTTAAGCTTTCTCTTCTCTGGCGCTTATAATAGGTCCATGTTTTGGTAGGGGGTCTAGAAGAAATAGCAGCTCTTTGCCAAGGGATTGCTTATTGGAACAAATCATTTGCAATAGAAATGTGTTTACTAAGATAAGTGCCATTTTAAATGTAGTGTGCTGTACCCCTGGCAAGGAATCTTAAAGGTGACTCAAAGCCTTTTTGAAACACTGCCATATAATTAAAGAAAACCAACTTAATGATCTAACATTTAGCATTATTCTTTACAGTTTTACACTTGGACTGGAAAACAGTTGCAAAAATAGCTTCATTTAATTAGGATGAGAAACATAATACACATATATAGATGCATGTGTATATATATATATATTTACTTCATTTTAAAAATTATTATTTGTAGAAATAGTCTAGTATGTGTGACCAAGAAAATTAATTTAAGATTTGTGCTTTATTCTTCCCAGTCATTCATCAACAAGTATTCATTGAGGATGCAAGAGGACCTCAGGAGGGATGTACATTCAAGACATACCATCAAAGGGGCTTATTGTCTAGTTGGGGAGATAAGACATATACACAAAAATAGTTAACTGTATGTATCAAGTATTATGGAATTGACTGCCTTCAAAATATGAAAGATGGAAAGTGCTTTGGAATATCAAGCAAGGGGAAATAGGAACCTATACTTTAAGGAGGGTATTCATTCATTCATTCAACAATTGTATATAAAGCATGTACTGTGTTCTAGGTACTCACACCTGGGTGCTAGAGATACAGCAAGGACTGAACAGACCAGGTCTGTGTCCTTACAGAATTTATTTTCTTTTGAGGTTAGGCAAGCAATAGACAAGTAAGAAGTAAGTCAACAATGTGATTTCAGGGAATGATAAGCCAATGAAGGAAATGAAACAGTGTGAGGGGACAGGCCAGTGCTGTGTGCACCTAACTGCATGTACTTGCTTGCTCACAACTCAGTCGTGCTTTAGAAAGGATAGTCAGGAAAGGCCTTGTAGGAGGAGCTGGCCTGGACTCAGACCTGAATAAGGAGAAATAACCTGGAGAAGGGATGGCATTCTGTCCTCACCTTGGAGGGTCAGGAAGATATGGTTTGGAGGATAGGAAAGGGACAGACATTCTAGAACATTTCAGAGTATCTGAGCTTTTTTTTTCCCCCAGGGTGTGGGGTTGTGGTGTTTTGCATCAGGTAAGGCTCAGGTGAATCAATGTATAATTTTGGCAGCCAGAAGGCTGGGAGCTGTTCACAATGAGAGATTTTTTTTGCATCTTCCAGTAAGGCCATTCTGGGATGAAAGATGTCAGAGTGTCTGGCAACCAACTGGCAGCCATTGAACTGGGGATTTATTTAGCACTTACTTCTAGAGAGCTTGCTATGTGCCAGGCACTGTTTTGAGTGTTTTACAAACATATTAACTTACTCAATCCTTACACCTCTTTGTGGTAGATGCTCATCTTCGGCTCCTCTGTCAGAGGCAGGAACTGAGCCTTGAGAGTTACCTGCTCTAGGCCACATCTCTGGGAGGTGTTCTAGTTATGCTGTTCTAGCCCTTAACTCTTGTGCTTCTTTTTTGTGAGACGAGAGAGCACCCATGTCACTCAGGACACTTCTAAGTGTCTCTAGCCTGGACCAGCAGAATGAGAGTTGGGACCTTTTCTAATTATTTAAGGGATCTAAGGACTTTCCACCCTGATGGAAACATTCTCAGTCTGCCCAGTATGGTACCCACTTGCAACATGTGCCCATTGGGCACTTCAGTGTAGCCAGTGCAACTGAGGAACTGAGTTTTTAATTTGTGTTTAACTTTAATTAACAAAAATATAAACCTAAAAACTGAAGGAATATAAAATGTTTGTCTGTTAAACAATACTTTGTTGTTTTGGTAGGACTAATTTTCACAAGATGCAACAATTGTTGCAACACATGAAACACTGTTATATTTCAGTGGGGGTGTCAGGTGCATGAAGTATTTCTAGTATCTCATTAGGAATTTTTAATATTAATGACATGTTGAAGTAAAAATATTCTGGATATATTGGGTTAAATATGAAACACTTTACACACTAATATTATATGTTTCTTTTTTTTGAAATGTGGCTAACTGGGACATTCAAAATTACAAATGTGGCTTGAATCTTTGAATATTTCTATTAGAGGGAGCTGGGATGAAGTTTACCCTCAAGCCTCTAAAAAGAGCGCTTGGGCCAGGCACGGTGCCTCAACGCCTGTAATCCCAGCACTTTGGGAGGCCGAGGCAGGCCAATCACTTAGTGAAACCCCAACTCTACTGAAAAAAAAAAAAAATTAGCTAGGTGTGGTGGTGTGCACCTGTAGTCCCAGCTACTTGAGTGGCTGTGGCATGAGAACCGCTGGAACCCAGGAGGCAGAGGTTGCAGTGAGCTGACATTGCACTACCGCACTCTAGCCTGGGCAACAGAGCAAGACCCTGGAAAAAAAAAAAAGAAAGAGAGAGAGAGAGAAAAGAAAAGAAAAGAAAGAAAGGAAAGAAAGGAAAGAAAGAGAGCTTGAACAAAGAGGAAATAACGGCTGTGTTTTGGGTGGACATTGAGCCATCATCCTAAGCACCAGTTCTCCCGGACTTCTGGGCTCTTGCTGAGCTCACTCCAGTTCCCAGTTCCCCGGGACCAACATGCACCACTATTTCTTGGGTTTTGCAGATGGAATTGCCACATGGATAGAGATTGGTGGGAACTCATACATGAACACAACCCCCATTTTGCTCAAAAATGGTGTGGATTTAGTTGGAGTTAGAGAGTCTCTCAACCATATGTGACTTCTGCCTTCTGCCCTTGCCTGTTCCTTGACAAGGAATGAGGCCTGCATTGCCACTGGCAGGAAGCAGCTATCCACCCAGCACAATGCTTGAGGGCCAAATCCTGCACCTGGTCCCAGAGGTGCCCAAAAGCAGGAGGTGAGAGGGCTGTGCTTGCTTGAGGGACCCCACAGAGCCAGGGAACAGCCTGCCAAAGCAACTCAGGCTACTGAAATCCAAGTGGCAGCAAATGGCCAATCATTGTCTGGGTCTGGCTCTGTCCCAGCCTCTACTTACCTGTATCTCCTCAGAGGTACAGCTTGGGGCAGCCTCCCTATCACCGTGGTTTCAAGGAGAGGTGTGGGTTTGTATAGGGGAGATGGGGCTCCTCCATAACTGAGTCAACTGAAGACTCCTCCAGGGTCACTCAAGTGGGGACATTGAAGACCAGGTAGCTGCCCACTTCGCCAGTGCAGAGACCTGAGTCCCAGGCAGCCCAGATCCCTGGAGATAGTCACATGTTCCATTTGCTCTGCTGTGTTAGCATTAAGATCCCACCCATTGGCTGTTCAGGTGGCCACGGCCCTGACTGCACACTGGAATTACTTGGGGAGCTTTCTTTTTCTAATACATCAGAAAAATACTGATACCTGGTCTTCCCCACAGAGATGCTGATGTAATTGCTCTGGGGTGTAACCTGACAATCCAGGTTTTAAAAACTCTGAATGAAGTTATCTTTCCCTGAGAGGATATGGTGCATTGAAATGAACTTTCTCAAAGTGCTTCAGAATTACAGCAGATGGGGGTGCAGGGTGCCTGTTGAAAATGCAGAGTTCTAAGCTGTTCATCAGACCTTTGGAATCAGAATATTTGGAAATGCACTTGTAACCTACAGCCCAAGTGGATATTCAGTAGGCTGCCATTTCAACATCACCCTGTGAAATCATTAACAACTCAGTATGGATTTGCTCCTTATTCCTTGTGCTTTTTAAGAAGTCCAAGAAAGAGAGTTAAGGTAAAATTGAAAGGAAGTAATCTCTAATGGTGAAATTTCAGGCTCTTAGATAGAGAATACTTTTCGGGGAAAGGGGGTCTTCTAGAAGCCCCTGAAATGAAGACAAGGAGTGACCACCAACTCCTTGAGCCAGAACTGGGGCAGTTCTTCACTTGGGGACTCTGCCCTTGTGCAGTGGGAAAGCAGCTTATATCAAGGCTTGGCCAGGCCTCCTTTGGTCCCAGGCTGGGGACTGCTGGGACTTCTGCCACAAGATGCTTGGATTGTGTTTCTTTGCATTGGTGCAGCGTCTCCTGGAGACTGCTTTTGTTCAGTCACTACTGAGGCGTGTATTCATTAAATCACTGTGCGCACTAAGGTAGCAGTGCAGAGACACCCTCTCTGTCAAAATTGAGCCAGCCCATCCTGCATGGTCTTAAGTTTTCCTGAGAAAAGTAGCCATAAGCGATGGGCTCCCACTACTCCCTGCTTTATTACTTGAGGTACAGAGAGCATATGACACATTCGAACCCCATGTGAGTTAGAGTTCAGTATGGGATCAGAGGCTGGTTTACTCTTTTCACCGGGAAGCGATCTTGAGAAGCCTGCGGATGCCACTTCCCATGACCTGAGGGGCTGTGTTTTATGGACTGCTTTTGATCTGAAATCTAGAGATCCCTGTTTTCATCCTTGTAAGCCTCCAGTAACTCAATCACAGTAGAGCAGTCCCCATCATCTCCAGCAATTTATTAATCATGTTCAATGCCAGACAAGGCCTTAAAAAAACAACACTTACTCATCAGCAGACCACTAGCAGCATGGAAATGCTACTGGCTTCTCTCGGAGAATCTCCTATACTCTGCGAACAGCATGAGTGTCTGTGTGTGTGTGTTTTAGTGTGTGTGTGCCTGTGTGTAGGCACAGAACTATGGAGGTTTTAGACATTGTCGTTCGCCTGCTGGTATATCAGGTTACTAAACAGAGAACTAGAAACTCTCCTAGAGTGGCTACAGGAGCACTGCAGATTCTCAACTGTGCTTCCCCATCTTCTCCTGGATGTTTGGCAGCCAGTGTGTCAGGATGTATTAGGCCTCTCTCCAAGGACCCAAGTGCAACTTAAATTGGATGACCATATTCTTTGGCATCTACTCAGGGCACTTGTGAGAGTGGAAAGGAGGTGCTCTTAATAATTATTCCAGGACATCAAGCAAACTGGGAAGTAGAGTCTCCTTAGGCATATTCACTTGGCAGGGTCTACTGTCAAGAAGCGTCTATTCTTGGCTTATTAAAATGCCATCAGAAATCAGTCAGCATTCTGATATAACAGGGAATTCCTTTTATGGTATTCTTGGCAGGTGATCTCCTGTGTCAACTTAAATGTCCCCAGGGACTGAAAGCTCAGTGCCACATGCAGCAGCCATTCTATTGTTGGATGATTGTCACATTAGATTGGGACTCATTAGAAGACTTTTCTGATATGAGATTGGAAAATATGCTAATAATATGTACAGTGATGCAGGCAACTTAAAATTTTCTTGGAGAGAAAGAGAGGGTTGCTATGGTTTGGGAAAATGAGTGGGGCCGATGCTTACCCTTTGTGAACCCATTTTTGGAGGGTGCAGCCATCACAGCGATCCAAGAAAAATCTTCCTGCCTTGGATGCTCTTTCACCAAATAACTCTGGAAAGCTGATGAGATGAAACAGAGTTTCACAAGGGAAAGTGGAGAAGAAGTTTCTGAGAGACAGGAGGATTTATACCCACCAATTCAGGAAGGAGCTTTGGAGTCATGGATTAAAAGAACAAAGGCAGGGAGTCCGACCTGGATTTGAGACTAAGCTCTGCCTCTTATACAGGGCATTTAAGCTCTCTGGGCCTCAGTTGCTCCACCTTTAGAATGGAGATGCCTCTTCCTTTTTGAAGACAGTGGGTCCTCCCTCAATTGAATTCAGTGGGACTTCATCGCTTGCTCCACACAGAGCTCCTCCCCAGTCTGTCACATTGAGTGCAAAACTCTGCCTAGGTCCATCCAGTCACTCAACAAGCATCCATGGGGGAAGCATTAAGGAGCTTTAGATGCACTGGGTTCTGTGAGAGCAATGTTAGTCTTCATCTTCTTCACTCCTTCTCATCCTCCTTCCATGGAACACCCCTAGACTCCACAGCCTGCAAAGCTCATTGCCCCTTCTCTGGAGAGTCCTCCTAATTCATGTGCAAATTTTACTCACTAGTGGGGTCATTTGTTGAGTGTCTGTCCCTACTTCAGACTGTAAGGTTCATGAGGGCAAGGGCTGTGGCTCTTTGGTCCTCTGCTGCATATTCAGGCTTAGCACAAAGCTTGGTATACAGCAGTCATTTAATAAATATACATTGATTGAATAAATGAATGAGTGAATGGTGGGGCCACAGCCATGATTGATACCCTTTCCATCCTCAAGGAGGAGATCACAGACAAGAGACTCAGAAGAAAACTCATGACTACAATAAAGAGTAAGAAGTGCTTTGTTTAAAGCATCCTTGGGGTCTTTCAAGAGGTCCCTTGGGTGAAGTAGCAGATTCAGGGTAATTAGGGAAGCCTAAGAGTTGATCTTTCTGTGCCTGAATGGATTGATTATTCAATAGAAGAAAAGAAAAGAAACAACAAGACTTAAACCTATTCAACTACCCTGTGTACTTGAAATGTCATTTAAAGTAAAATCTAGCATGGCAACTTCAAATAACAAACATAGGTAATGCTGGAGAGGGTGCGCCAAGCTGGCCAGCATTCTTACGAAGTTTGGCTGGCACAGAGCACACAAGAGAAGTCATATTATTGCCAAAAAGTTCTTGCAGTGGGTGGAACCTGGACAAAGGGAGCTGTTCTCTCCCCTCTAAGTCTTAGATATAGCTGGGAAAAACAGACAGAGTCATGACCCTGGGTTCCTTTGTTTTTGGAAGTCATGTGGACATTCTTCTTTTTTAGCACTGTTTCTTTCTAATGATAAAGGAAACAGTATATTGATGAACTCCTATTTTTCATTTGTGGTGCTTTCTGAATGCTTTCTTTGGAACCCAAAGTCTCCTCAGCCACACCTTTACAAGTTTTATGGTTCTGGGTGGAAGCATGTTTTCAGAAATCTAAGCCTACGAGGTATTTTTTTTTTTTTTGGCAGGTTTTCACTCTCATTGCCCAGGTTGGAGTGCAGTGGTGCTATCTCAGCTCACTGCAACCTCCGCCTCCCAGGCTCAAGGGATTCTCTTGCCTCAGCCTCCTGAATAGCAGGGATTACAGGTGCCCACCACTGCACCTGGCTAATTTTTGTATTTTTTATAGAAATGGGATTTCACCATGTTGCCCAGGCTGGTCTTGAACTCCTGAGCTCAAGTGAACTGCCCATCTCGGCCTCCCAAAGTGCTGGGATTATAGGCATGAGCCACAGCACCCAGCCTAAGCCTATGTATTTTTGTTTTGTTTTGTTTTGTTTTGTTTTTAGCAGCCATGGCATCATGGTTAAATTCATGAGGTACCTTTCAATGGAGATGATATTTCAACTTTAATTAAAAACCAAACACCTTGCTGGCATTGTCCAGCCCAATGAACTAGACTCTGAAAATGATTTTGAACAATAATTCAAGATAAAGAGCTCCAGCCGGTTTTCTCCCCTTTGGAAGCCTTCAAAGTATATTTTTATAGATATATTAAAGAGATTTTGTCCAAATGGCACATACCTAAACAGTTTAAAATGTTTTTATACCCATGTTCAAAGAAAAAGAATATCTTGAAAGAATAAACTTTTTATCTTTTATAAATAAGGTTAAAAGCAGTAATTCTCAAAATGTGGTCTCTGAACCAGCAGCATCAGCATCACCTGAAACTTATTAGAAATGCACATTCTGGCAGGGTGCAGTGGCTCACGCCTGTAATCCCAGCACTTTGGGAGACCAAGGCGGTTGGATCATTTGAGGTCAGGAGTTTGAGACCAGCTTGGCCAACATGGTGAAACCCCGTCTCTACTTAAAATACAAAACTTAGCTGGGCGTGGTGGTGCACACCTGTAATCCCAGGTACTTGGGAGGCTGAGACAGGAGAATCACTTGAACCTGGGAGGCAGAAGTTGCAGTGAGATGAGATTGTGCCACTGCACTCTAGCCTGGGCAATAGAGTGAAACCCTGTCTCAGGAAAAAAAAAAAAGAGTCTTTTGATGCTATGAACATCATCTGGCTTCTGGCATCCTGCTTTGCCCGAGAATGAAAATTCCAGTTCCAGTTCCAGAAAAAAAGGGCATTCTTCAGTTTTGTGTCCCCTGCCAGGTCAACTCTGAACCTGTAGTGGATACTCAGCAACTTTGTGCACTGAATGAATGAATGAATGACTTGTAGGCTGGTGTGGGAGGTTAAGAGAAATTTATTCTAGCACATAAAGATCTTCTGATGGAGTGGATGAGGGATGGAAATTGGTGATCAGGCTGGGGCTGTGCTGAAATATGCAGGCGGGTTATGACAGCAAGAGACCGTAAACCCTGAAAGGATGAAGGTTCTCCTCACATATAAATTTGACACATGGAAAAACCATGCAGTAAGCTTAAGGGAGCCCACCTCAATTCTGATTTCTTCCTGATAACTATGTCAAAGCTCTTAAAACTGTGCAATGAAAGATCTCCACGCATTTTCTGGCCCTTGTCTTGCCAATTCTTTCACTGTGTACCTGGTGTGCCTGGTCTGCTGAACTATGAAGCATACTCGAACATCATACACATGATCTTCCTTTTTAAAAATGACCTTGAGAAGATAACAAGTGACATTCTACAGACAGACTCCATTTCTTCTCTTTTGTTTGCAAAAGTGTGAGGCTGAAGGAGGAAGGAAAGCTTGGGTTACCTGACCACATTCTCATCCACCCACCCTCAAACAAATGCCCCACACATGTAGAGGATGTGGTTTTCTGACTGTTTATCTCCAGTGAGCCAGAGCTCTAGGTCCCCTGTGCTAGAGGGGGCACAGAGGCATTATTATCACCCAGTCCTCACTGGGTGAGAGGGAGAATGGTGAGACCATTGTAGGAAGCAAGGTGGAATCAGGGGCTGTGGGCCAGGCTTTCGAAACTTGCGCGAATACACATGCAGAGGTTTATGCTGCTGACTCTGCCTTCCAACTTTCCAGGCTGTAGGAGTGGGAATTTATTGAGCATGAGGGATGCTATCTTGTGAAACTTTCTACTTCATTCGGGAAGGGTAGTTTGTCTGTAAGAATTCAATTGTAAATACAAAAATACCATTTATTTCTGAGGTGAGGGCAGGAAGGAGAGATGTCAGAAGTAGACAGGTTAGGGCTTTCTCTTTGGAGACCTGGATTTCAACCCACTGAAAGTCTTAACAAAGAGGCATGCTAGTATCATTCTTAGCAAGCCCAGTCCATTGTTATGGTCAGATTCGATTCTGCAGAGGAGAAAATGGAGTGTGACATGTTTGGTGCCAGGAATGTGAGCATGCACCTGCACAGCCGATGTTGGTGTCATATCGTCAGCTGAATGGTCATTTAGCAATTTTGGCCAACTCCCTTGACACTATAGGGCTTAGATGGCATTGCTTTCTGGGATGCACTGATAAGCCTTTTACATAAGCCTTTTACAAAGTAAGACCTTGGTGCCAAAATCCTTGCTGTAGAAGATGAAAATTTTATGTTATTTCTAGGGGTGCTTTCAATGTTCCATTAAGCCACTGAGGAGCTACAACCAAGCTTGACCTTGAGGTTTAGTCTTAGGGACCAGATGCCCTCTGTGTGTTTCATTATCTTCCAGAGGAAATTGTTGAGTGTTTGTAAAGTGGTTATAGGATGAAGGGAACACTCTTTTAAAGTTCCTAATTATATCTTGGACTTTAGCTACAGTTACCGAAAGACAAAATAAGGTCTCTAAAAAAATCATAGCCAACTTTGGGCATTGGTTGTAGACTAGAGTGCAGTGCAAGGGAAAGGCGGGACACACATAACATCTCTGTGGCTACATGGGGATAGATTCTGGAAATGAAAGGAGAAATTCCAGCATCCTAGGGGGTAAGATCAATGCTCTAGAGAGGGAAGAGTCACTTGCATGTAATACAAGTTTCTTGGAGATACCCACTGCCATTGAATTGAGAGATGTCAGTATTCCTGTGGGAGGGTTATGATGTTTGAGTTTTTAAATATACATATGCTTCTGAATTCTACTTGTGGGTTCTCAGAATTTTCCTTCCATTTTGTAAATTGCAGTAAAATATGCATAAGATTTACCATTTCAGCCATTTGTAAGGGTACAATTCAGTGGCTTTTAGTACATTCACATTGTGCAATCATCATCACTATCTGTACTAGTTATTTGCATTGCCATAAAGGAATACCTGAAGATGGGTAATTTATAAAGAAAAGAGATTTATCTTGGTTCATGGTTCTGCAGGCTGTACAAGCATGGCACCCACTTCTGCTTGGCTTCTGGTAAGGACTTCAGGAAGCTTACAATCATGGCGGAAGGCAAAGGGAGAGCTGGTGTATCACATGGCAAGAGAGGGAGCAGGAGCAAGGGGACAAGAAAGAAGTGCAGAGGTCCCAGACTCTTTTAAACAATCATATCTCTCACTAACTCATTACCACTGGAAGGACACCAAGCCATTCATGAGGGATCCACCCCCATGACCAAAACGCCTCCCATCAGGCCTCACCTCCAACACTGGGGGTCATGTTTCAACAGGATATTTGGAGGAGGGAAGACATCCAAACCATATCACCATCCATATCCAGAACTGTTTTCATCTTACAAAACAGAAACTCTGTACCCATTAAACAATAATTCCCCACTTCTCCCTCTCTCCCACTTCCAAGGAACCATCATTCTACTTCCTGTCTCAATGAATGTGACTACTCTAGTTACCTCCTTTAGGTAGATTCACACAATATTTGTCCTTTTATGTATAGCTTATTTCACTTAGCATAATGTCTTCAAGGGTCATTCACGTCGTAGTATGGACCAGAATTTCCTTCTTTATTAACACTGAATAGTATTCCATTGTATGGAGAGATCTCATCTTGTTTATCCATTCATCTGTCCATGGACACTTTGGGTTGCTTCTACCTTTTGGCTGCAACAAACATGGGCATATAAGTATTTGTTTGAGTCCCAGCTTTAAATTCCAGTTTTGCCTTTAATGTAATTTAACAACTGGCAGGGTTTGAGAAGTAGGGCAAAGATAGCCACAAATTTAGTCCTTGGTGACAGTGAGTGGCAACTTCTGACCTGACTACGCTACAGAAGATTTCTCATCTCATAAACCTAATTAAATTAAAAATCCAGTTGGCCAAACCCACATGCACTTAAGTCAGACAATTTCTTAAAAAGCTCATTAGCTGCAAACTTGAGCGCTCCACCAGCAGATGGAACTTTTTCCCCTAGGTTTTTCAATACTTGGACAGGAAAGGTCTTCCAACTTTAGACCTCAAATGGAAGATTTTATCATGCTTGCCAGTGCATCGGTTTTAATGTCATTGGTAAAATTATGCAAAAAGCAACCTTTTAAGTTTTATGATGCAATGATGTAAGATTTCAGTGTCATTAAACCTCGGCTTGCAGGAAGGACACAGGTTTTAGGGAAAGTTTTCTGACTTCCTGTTACAACTGCTTTCCCTCATTTCAGTTATAATAAATTAAGCCCTAGGAGGAATATATTGAACTTTTCTGTATTTTTAATTTGGGCAAAATGAGATGAACATCATCAACAAAATCCAGGATGTAGGACAACACTCCTGCGATGTTTGGGGAACACGAACCTGCAGAAGTTCACATAACTCTGGCCCTATAGTTATGTCACAGGCCTCAGAAGGGAAGAGATTGGGCAATTGGCTTGTAGTAATCATGTCCCAGATTCTTCTTTGGGGAGCATTAAAAAATGAGAATTCAGACACTGTGTCTATCTGCATGAGTCAAGTTTTCTTCTGCCCTCTCAAAAAAAAGTCCATGATTGCAGTTAACTTTGTCTATATACTGATGGATGCATGATTTATAGTAAACTTATAGTAAGAGGGAACCCTGTTGTTTCCCAGGGTTTCGTATGTATTTATAGTCACTTTGAAGTGACCTGATTTGAAAATGGACAGAGACAAACTGCTGGGGGGCATGCAGGTGGTTAATAAATACTGATAGAGACCCCCAGGTGGTTAATAAATACTGACAGAGACCCGGTCTTTCTGATTAGAGGAATCACAGTTTGTCTCTGTGCCCCTTGCAGCGTGTTTGTGTGCATACAAATACACACAAATATATTCACTTATTATTGGAACGTTGGCATTTCCATTATTTTATGCCTCTCCATCTCACTTTCTTATGACATCTGTTTTCACAGATTCCTAGTCCTGATTCAAATCTGAATTCTCTGCTTCTTCACGTAATGCTCCCTATATCTGCCACCTCAGTTGAATCTGTTTTTCCTAGAGACATAGTTGTTTCCCTCACTCCTCTCTCTGGAGGTTGCTGTTTCTGTTTTTGTTTGTTTTTTGTTTGTTTGTTTGTTTTTTGAGATGGAGTCTCGCTCTGTTGCCCAGGCTGGAGTACAGTGGTATGATCTCAGCTCACTGCAACCTCCACCACTGGGGTTCAAGCAATTTTCATGCCTCAGCCTCCCCAGTAGCTGGGAATAGAGGTGCACAGCACCACGCCCAACTAATTTTTGTACTTTTAGTAGAGATGGGTTTTCACCATGTTGCCCAGGCTGGTCTTGAACTCCTGACCTCAGGTGACCCACCTGCCTCCACCTCCCAAAGTACTGGGATTACAGACATGAGCCACCATGCCGGGCCATCTTTGTAACCCAGGAGTGCTGGACACTCTGGCCCTTCATTGCCCTTCTGTTCTTGTAGAAACCTGTTTTCTCCAGGCTCCTGCCATCCGACCAAATCCTTCCTCTCTCTGTCCTTCCTGATGCTGTCACCCATCTAAGTCCAGGCCCCTCCCCCTATTCAGGGATGGCCCTGTCCTCTTCTATTCTCAACCTCAGCTCCCCCCATCCCCTTTGAGTCTGTGTGCAGGACTGTCCTTGCTATCCCTGTGTGTGTCTCAGACCCTCGACCTCTACCACCGCGGTGCTCTTCTTCCTGCTCCACTTTCACCAGGGATCCCCTGGATGCTGCCATTACCTGGAACTGCATCTCACCTTTATTCCGGGTTATAAACTTCAGGGTCTCACTCAGTGAGGGTAATCCATGTTTCTCCCACCTCTCTTTTGCTTCCACTACACTCAGTCTTCAAACTAATTCTCCAGCCTTTTCTCCACATATTTATTTATTTAACAAATACTGATTGAGACACTTTGCTACTTTCTTGGAATTTCGTGATAACTAAAAATGGACACACACCCGGCCTTCATAGAACTTGCCATCCAGCAAAGGAAAGAGGAGAGCAATTGATCAAAATGATTGCACAAAGACATGTAAAATTGCTGCTTTGCTAACTGCTACACAAAACAGAATACCTGTGGGCAGGGAAGTGACAGCAGAGCTGATTTCTGAAGGATGGGCATCCCATGTGAGCAGGTGAGGCTTCTGGGAGGAGGAAAGTGCTTGTGCGAAGGCTCTGTGGTGGTTGGGGTGGGAGGAGGCAAATGGAGAATGAGAATAACTGCAAGTTAGATTCCTGGAGTCTAGATGTGGAAGCATGTGAAATAAAGCCAGAGAGGAGGAAAAGACCAGAGCTTTCAGGGCCTTGTGGACTCTGTCAAGGATTTTTTTTTTCTTCATACCAAAAGTTATGGAGGACATTTGAGGTGATTTAAGGAGGGATTCTCTCCGATTTACATGTGTGTCCTAAGAATTCAGTCCATTGCACACAGAGTATGGCTTCATAGTATTGCACTTTTGGAAGCACCAGATCCTAATGCCTGTAAAATCATAGAGATTTTTACTAGGTTTCCTTACATGTGAACAAATCAGTTTTACTCTTATCTGGCAATCCCATGCATTTTATTTTAATGCTATAATCCCAAATACCAACTACAAAGCCCCTCTTTCTTCTTCCTTTCTTTCATCTTGAATACATCTCTACTTAATCCGTTGTTTGGAGTCTTGGTTTCCAGTGAATCAATTTACAGCATTTTTGTGCATGTGCTTCCATAAGTCAAATGTGATGTTTCATAGTGCTAGCTTGGTAATTTAGGGGACCTATGGATGATTAAATGGCTCTGCAGAAATATTACAGATATTTTTAAATGTATGATAACAAAAATCCTTTTTTGGTGGCAAGATTATATATTATATATATATTTTTTTGAGACAGAGTCTCGCTCTGTTGCCCAGGCTGCAGTGCAGTGGCGTTATCTCGGCTTGCTGAAACCTCCGTTTCCTGGGTTCAAGCAATTCTCCTGCCTCAGCCTCCTGAGTAGCTGGGATTACAGGTGTGTGCCACCACACCCAGCTAATTTCTGTATTTTTAGTAGAGATGGGGTTTCACCGTATTGGCCAGGCTGGTCTTGAGCTCCTGATCTCAAGTAATCCACCCGCCTCAGCCTCCCAAAGTGTTGGGATTATAGGCATGAGCCACCGCACCTGGCCTATATCTTCTTCTATTGAGAACCATTCATGACTTAGGAATGACAAGAACATATCAACTATACTTGCTAAACAGTAAAGAGAAAAAAATCATTTTCTTTTTCCCTTAGGAAAACACTGAGACTCAGTCTGAGCTTCTGGAAGGCTAAAGCCTGCAAAAACATGGGCTTTTCAAAGCTCACAGAGGCAAGGAGAGGGAGGCGATGGGTCAGACCACCACTCAATTTTCTGTAGTGATGGCAGAGCTGAGACCCAGACTCAGGAGAAAGCTGATCCATGGCCCTTCTATGTCTTGTGTTAGTTTTGTGGGATGACATTCTGCATGAGCAATTGATTGTGCTGCTGGAAACACAAACTATGAATCTGAGTGTCTATGGAGTTTATTCTTGTGATCTTATGAAACAAGTCTCCTGCATACAGATTTAGGGACAGGCATATTGTCAGCATGTTGAATCAGACTTATGTATACATGGTTTACAGTTAGCATAAGTGAGGGCTACCTTTTCAAGCCAAAAGTTTTTAGTTCCTACCAAGGTCCCATCTCATAATCATCTGTTTCAATCTCATTATTTCACAGATTGGGAAACTTAGACCCAGAGAGATTAGGTGACGTGCTTAAGAGCATGTTGCTTATAGGGGCAGAGTGGAGATTCACACCCAGGTCTTCTGTGTCCTGTGCTCTTCCTTCTCCACATCACTCATCCTGTGTGCCTGGTTATATTAGTCCGTTTTCACACTGCTGATAAAGACATACCCAATACTGTGTAATTTATAAAGAAAAAGAGGTTTAATGGACTCACAGTTCCACGTGGCTGGGGAGGCCTAACAATCATGGCGGAAGGCAAGGAGGAGCAAGTCACATCTTACATGTTGGCAGGGAAGAGAGAGAGCTTGTGCAGGGAAACTCCCCTTTATAAAACCATCTGATCTTGTGAGACTTATTCACTATCACAGGAACAGCATGGGAAAGACCCGCCCCCATGATTCAATTACCTCCCACCAGGTCCCTCCCACAACACGTGGGAATTGTGAGAGCGACAGTTCAAGATAAGATTTGGGTGGGGACACAGCCAAACCATATCACTGGTGTCTGTCCTTTCCTAGAACAGCCAGGTGGACTTGGAATGTCAAAAATTCTTCTTCCTTTTTCCTTGGTTTTCCATTTCTCACTTTCTCTCCCCGTTCCACTTTGGGAGTCTGAAATGAGGGTGGTGTTGCTTCTCTGCCTGATCTGATCCTTCCTTTATATCCTGGAGATGACTGTTGATATGTGTAGCGCTTCTTACATTCAGAAGGGACTCTTGAGTAATTTAAACTTCTAGATCCCATGCTCCCTGAGGGCAAAGGCCAGGCCAGACTTAACTGTTTCAGTTTTGCATTTCTCTGTCTCTCACTCTGGCCCTTGTGCATAGGTGTTCAATAAATGTTTGTTGGCATTGTTATTAATAAATTCACCAGGACAAAAACATTATAATTTAGATGTTGGAATGATATTATCTCTCAAAAAACAAAATGTCACCAGATTGTTTTGCCTTGGGAGTTCTCACATCTATTTTTTTCTTTTTTGTGTGTGTGAGACAGGGTCTTGCCTTGTCACCCACGTTGGAGTGTAGTGGTTTGATCACAGCTCAACTGCAGCTTCCACCTCCCAGGCTCAAGCGATCCTCCTGACTCACCCTCTGGAGTAGCTGGGATTATAGGCACATGCTATCATGCCTGGATAATTTTTTTAAAGTTTTTTTTGTAGAGATATGGTCTCTCTATGTTGCCCAGGCTGGTCTCGAACTCCTGAGCTCAAGCAATCTTCCTGCCTTGGCCTCCCAAAGTGTATTTTTTAATATAGTGGATTTTATTATATGTAAATTATATACTTCAATTTAAAAAGTCCTATGCCTTTGGGATCATATATAGAAAATTGTCCATTTTCTGAGAAGGGTCTCTGCCTTCAGTAGGCAGATAAACCCTGATCAAACATGCAGAATCATTAATTAGGGTCATTTGTTCTGCTGTGAGCTGAGAAGAATGTGTAAAACCTGCTCAGGAGAGAATTAATTCATCCTCCTCTCTGTACTTTTTCTAGTACTCCTAGCACGATTCTCTAAGCCTGCAGGCCTCATACATATGTTCTAATGGGCTAATTGTTAAGGCGACATTTGTAGATTAATCTCTGACTTGAGCTAAGTGGTTTCTCCTAATGGCTTTAATTCAGTGACTCCCATTGTCAGATTCACTGGAGGAGCTTGTTAAAAAGAGGTGCCCAGACTTCCCCTCCCCCAGCTCATGATTTGCTGGCCCTAGGGTGGGATGAGGGCATCTCTGCTTTGGAAGGAAAGCTCCTCAGGTGACTGGATTCTGGTGGTAGCCACCTTTGTGAGCCTTGGCTCTGAATCTGCCTCCCAAGGCCGTGAAGCCTCACACACCCGCTGAAAGCATATGGGCCTAATTGCAGCAACTCCAGTCCAGGTTCTAGAACAGGAAATATTTCTAAGAGCCAGCTTTCCCAACTCAATCACCTCTATACTCACATCACTGAATCTGCCTTTTTCCTGAAGTGCTCCATCACCTGAGGGGGAATAGTCTATGCTTGGCTGTGCTATTGTCCATTTTCATGAACTTTCATGAACCTTGTCAGACATTTGAAAGATCTTCATGGTCCACCGGGATTTTCATCTAGCGAGATGGCTATGGACTTCCCCTCTCTCCTCCCCATTTTGCACCAGGCTCCTTCTTTGCATCAGGTGTTAGGGACAGATTTTTTTTTTTTTTTTTTTGAGATGGAGTCTCACTCTGTTGCCCAGGCTGGAGTGCAATGGCACCATCTCGGCTAACTGCAACCTCTGCCTCCCAAGTTCAAGAGATTCTTCTGCCTCATCCTCCTGAGTAGCTGGGAATACAGGTGAGCGCCACCATGCCTGGCTAACTTTTTATATTTTTAGTAGAGACAGGGTTTCACCATATTGGCCAGGCTGGTCTCGAACTCCTGACCTCGTGATCCCCCCACCTCGGCCTCCCAAAGTGCTGGGATTACAGGTGTGAGCCACCATGCCCAGCCCACTTTTATATTTTTTTATTTTGCTTTTTTTGGAGACAGAGTCTCACTTCGTTGTCCAGGCTGGAGTGTAGTGGCATACTCTTGGCTCACTGCAACCTCTGCCTCCAGGGTTCAAGTGATTCTCCTGTTTCAACTTCCCAAGTAGCTGGGACTACAGGTGTGCACCACCACAACTGCTAATTTTTGCATTTTTTGGTAGAGCCAGGGTTTCACTGTGTTGGACAGGCTGGTCTAGAACTCCTGGCCTCAAGTGATCCACCTGTCATGGCCTCCCAAAGTGCTGGGATTACAGGCATGAGCCACTGCACCCTGCCCTTAAAAAAAAATACACCGTGTATGTGTGTTCCTGGCATTCTTTTGTGCAAACACATGTCTTGTTTGATCTTGGAGTTTTGAAAATAGATGACTCAAACACCATTGTTCCAATGACATTTATCAAATTGCTTTTGTTTTTAGGAATCTGGCACACCGAGTACTCAATATCTCCACACAGTATATGGGTGTTTTCAGTAAATCTGAGAAGGTGACAATTCATACTGTCCAAGATGGCTGAGGTAATTTGTTGAGCTCAGACTATGGCAAGTTTAGCAACCAGGACAGGCTCTCAAGCAAGCTAGCAGAAGTGCCCTAAGAGGCAATGCTCAAATTATCTGTGTATCACACTGCTGCCCCCAAGCCCTTGTGTGGGACAATGCTTTGTTACATGCTTGGTTATTGTCTTATTCTATGACTCAGCTGCTGTAGGGCAGGGATGCTTTGCTTTCTGGGGTACTGTGCTTTCCTTGGCCTCATTTTACCATGTCCCTTGGGCTTCTGTCCTCCTTGTCCCTGAAACTATAGAAGCTTGCAAAAGGATTCCCAATGGCCTCAGCCCTTCGTGAAGAGATATTAGAGTAGTGGTACTATGTAGAAAGGAAGGACATTTTGGGAAAGGAGAGGATATTGAGATAAGGGCCCTACTTTTTCTATCTTTACCCAGTTACTAATGATCCATCTAGGCAATAGTTCATTTTATATTGGCTAAACCTGTACTATATGATTTATCACTAATTGCATAATAGCATGGGATTAATCTACAGAAGAATGACTCTATAAAAAAGAGTATATTTTGCCAGGTGCAGTGGCTCATGCCTGTAATCCCAACACTTGGGGAGGCTGAGCCAGGTGGTTCACTTGAGGTCAGGAGTTTGAGACCAGCCTGGCCAACATGGTGAAACCCCCTCTCTACTAAAAATACAAAAAATTAGCCGGGTATGGTGGCAGGCACCTGTAGTCCCAGCTACTTGGGAGGCTGAGGCAAGATAATTGCTTGAACCTGGGAGGCAGAGGTTGCAGTGAACTGAGATCGCGCCACTGCACTCCAGCCTGGGCGACAGAACGAGGATCTGTCTAAAAAAAAAAAAAAAAGAGTATATTTCATGACTCCAAGTGGCCTCCCATCTTCTGTTTTTCTTGGGCCTTATGTATAGGATATGTTAAATACTTAGGTGACTATTTGGGGTGCTCTATAATAATACCATTACCATGCAGACTAAAATGTAATCATTTTGTGTTTTCAAACTTAGAGTTCTCAGACAATGGGGATTTGTTAGAGAGATAGAGAAAGAGAGAGACTAAACTGACACTTCTAAGGTGGCTTTGCTAGGGGCCTAGAGAAGACAAGTCTCTGATGGGGATTCTATTTTCATGGCCACATCCAAAGTATTGATGTGTTTTCTGCAGCACCTGGATCTGGGCTGACAATGTGATCAAGCCTGACACGATAAAGAGGCATTTAGCAAGTTTCAAGACTACGTGCACAGTTACCTTAATACTGAGAGGCAGATCATCTCCCCAGGGAGCATTTCATCGTACATCATGGGGCAGTTTGCCTATCCTGTATCTCATTGAGAGGAGGCCTTCCAGCTGAATACGTGGACCCAAATGCATGTCCATTCAACAGAGTCTTCAGGGCCAGGGAGCTGTGGAGGTTATTTCCCTCCTGGATTTCTTCCCTCTCTTACCCTATCAGAGAGATGCTGATATTTGAGTTTTCATCTTCAGAGGGTAGCAGGATTCCTGGCCTCCTCCTGTCACTGGCTGATTTGCTTAAATAAGGAATGCATTAGTCCCCATCACTGACTCCAAGTGGAGGCAGCTGGAGCAAATTAGGATCAGCTACATTGGCCATCTGGATGCTGCGAAATCATTGCCATTGCAGGGGTCTTAGATTTTGAGTTCCTTACAGAATGATGTAGATGCCATTTGCAAGGGCTTCTTTCCAGTCCTTTTCTGCAACAGTGGCTTTGGGTGGCATAGGCCTATATAGCCAGCTCTGACAGATGCTCAGCATTCACAGATACACACACAGGGAGCCAAATGGACAGGGATTAGTCTTAAATCAGCTGTTTATGAATGGAGAAGAGGCCCTTCTCCTGGGTTCTGGCCACACCCCTTCTCTTTGCAGCTTTTTGAGAATGAGGTCAGGGCCAGGATCTAACTGCTTATGCCTCAGAAATAGCAGCACAGATCAAAATTAATCTTAAGCTTTTTGTTTTGCTGCCTCCTTTAGATAATAGAGGAAAAAGCGAAGGCCTGCTCATGTTTTTGTTTGCTTGTTTTTGTGTGTACCTTTGAAAGGAACATATGAATGAATATGTGTGATGGGAGGGGTTGAGGTGAGGCAGCTAAGAGGGATTAGTGCTGGGCGGGTGATAATTACTGATAGACTGCAGCATTCAATTGGAGCATGTTTTAGTTGTTTTTTTTTTTAAATGGCAGAATGAAATAAACCTCAGTGGTGTATTGTTTTAGCACCTCCCTTTATATGGAGATTTTATCAGTTGCTATGAAACTGCATATTCCTTTTACAGTGTCCAATTGTTTTTAATGGTCATTTTCTGGGCTGTGCAAGCCACCATTCTGCCCCAGGAGCTCCATGCAGTTTTGCAATGCTTTAAATGAGTATCTCATGCAGATTTCATTTTCTGTCAGCCACTTTGGCACACATAAAAAATACAGGAGTGTGTGTGTGTGTGGGTGGGTGTAAAAGAGAGAGATTCTGTCTCTCATACATACACAGGCACACGTGCCCGCACACACACACACACACACACACACACACACAAAGCTTGATCATGCTTAGTCTTTACATAAATTGGGATTCCTCTCTACCCACCAGCCAAGGCCTGAGAGATGTCAATAGATGGACACTGAGGAGACTGACTTCCAATGCCCTTCAGCCTGCAGTCTCTTCAGGGTATTAGCATACCTGGAAAGGTTGACCTAGCAGCCAGGCATTGTGTGTAATGGTGGTGCTTACTTTTTATTCTCAGGCTTAATTGTTGGCTGAAAGCATCTTCTTTATTTCTGACTATCCTTTATTTGCATTAATAGTCTCCTCTGTGAAAGATTAAAGAAAGTAGAATGTGTACTGAGGACAGAAGTGTCAGTGTCAGCCTAATCTGCTACATATTCATTCTATGGACCTTAGCATGACAGGTATCCACTGAAGGAGATGCCAAAACTGTCTTCCATCCATGGAGATTAATTTTGAGTGAAGAGTGTAAAGTAGGACAAGGATTGTCACATAACTGGCCTAATGGATTGCCTAATTGACTTCCTGAACTGGAACTACTTTCCTAAATATTTCAGAAGTGTTCTAATCATATAGATCATACATGCAGTGAATATATCTTTATGTATGTCCACACATACACACACGGACATTTGTACGAGCAAATTTGTGATCTTCAAATTGGTATCTCTTATGTAGTGACAGAAAGTAGATTAGTGTGGTCTGGGGCTTGGAAATGGGAAAGGGGATTGATTTAACAGGCATGAGGGATCTTACTGGGATGATGAAAATGTTCTGAAACTGGATTACAGTGATGATTGCATAACTTAGTAGATTTACTAAAGTCATTGATGAATTGTACTTTTTAAATGGGTGAATATTGTGGTATGTAAATTATGCCTCAATGAAGCTGTTAAAGTTGATATTCCTCTATTGGAGTTCCTGCAGATCCTAGACTACATATAATATTAAAAATTGTATCACCCTAAATTTTCACCTGCTTTTTTCCCACTGAAGTTTATCAACTACAATTGCAGAGAAGCTGGACTTCGAGATAACAGGGTCAGATAAAAACCCAGTGCCCTGAGACATAAAAGGCTACCCTGACCCCTATTGGCAAGGAGCGAGGTTGCTGCCCATTGCTGTATGAAGAGCCAAACCTGAAGCAGTAATGGGGGGCTGGGGATGAGGGTGAGATTTCCAAGCAGGTCCCCAAGGGCAATGGGCACCGTATTTCAAAGCTGCTTCGGTATGTGTCAAAAAACCCAAACATCCTGAGGTCCAACTCTTAAGTGATGGCATTCTCCTCTTCTTTTACAGGTTGTCTTAGTCTTTGCTCTCAGCATCGGTGCACTTGTAATATACTTCATAGATTCATCAAAGTGAGTATTCAAATATACTTTCTTGCCCTCGTTTCATAAACAATCATGAGCCTTTACATTGATCCATTTATTTACCTTGACACCAACCTTTGCAAGACCTTCTGAGTGCAGAAGATTTTGGAGGAAGCTAGTGCTGTACTGTACTGATTTTCTAAATGGGAAAGAAAGTTCTCAGAAGGAAGGCTATTTTGAGTCTGCTGGCATAGGAGGGTGAGGTATATGAGGTCAAGTCTTCTTGCTGGGTATTACTTATTTTTAAAGAGCTGTTTCCTAATGATGTATTTGCACTGAAGATGTCAAGTAGTTAAGATGACTTGATGGGAATTTGCAACTTCTGGGAGGGTGACAGTTTCCCACAGATGAGGGTCTGAGCCATTCTTGCTATGGTTGTAGGATCCTTTTCTCAATTGGGTTTCCAATGCTTTGATCTTACTGGAGGTCAGATTAGAAAGCATGATGCTATCCTTTCACCTGCCAATCGGGTATTCAGCTGAAGCATTGCACGCTGGTGCTTCTTGACTTGTGAAGGTAAGGAGATGGATGGAGGAGTTCATCATGACCCCCAGAGGTGGAGGCCCTGGCCATTTGAGGACTTCTAGAGTGGACACTCATGCAGACTCCTTGGGTGCCAGCCGAATGGACTGGTGCTCCAGAGTGAGCCTGGGTGACAGATGATAAAGACCTTGCAGAAGGATGAAGAGGGCACAGACTAGAACTGCAATGTTGCAGCCAGTTCTGCCCTGATTCCTGCAGGTGCCAACCCTGAGGAAATAATTTGTTCCAACTATACTATTGCAAATCATGAAGTTGATGGCATCTGGGAAACAAGCTGGAGTCTAACTCATTTTCTGTTGTGGCGTGAACTTGGCAACTCTGGTGACAATGGCCTTGAGCTTGTTGCCTTTATTGTCCACTGTGTGAGTGTTTTGAACTTTAAACTCTATCCCTGGCATGGTTGGCTACTAGACTTTGATACTAGGAAACCTGCTTGGTGTGCCTGTTGGCTCAGACTCTGGTGTGCCTGAATTCTGAGCTTAGTGCTCCTTTCCTGTGGCTTGGGATGGTGGTAATTTCATGCACAGCTAAACTCAGAATTTCTCAGAGCCATCTGGTCACCGGCCAAGGATTTTGTGCATTTGGGTGGAGAGGCCAAAATGTCAGTCAGGGAAAACAAAGCAAATATCTCCTTTAATAACCTGTCTCTGGGAATCAGCCAAGTTTAAGCCTATCAGAGGTCCTTCAGCCCACCCCACATGCGAGGCTGGGCTGCCCTCACCCATCTCAGATGGAGAGTCCTTTAAACGCTGTCAGGAGACAAGATTCCACATGCTCCCTCCATCAGCTCTCCCGAGCCAAGAAAGAGAAGAGCTTGTTTAAGTTTGGAAGACTCCCATTGGCATGTCATTGAAGGTAAGCCCCCTTTTAAATATTTACTGTTAATGATTCTGGATCCTATTTGTATTGAACTGAAGATCCTCTAAAGCCCCTGGTCTTATTTCTCCAATCTCTCTCCAGGGGTGTTCTTACATGTCGTGGGGTGCAGACCCTGCCAACTTCCATGCTGAGACTCAGGAAAGAGGTTTGGGCTTGAAGCTTGTATGTCCCAGAGAAAGAAAACCCTAATGTGGAGGTGAGTGTGTTGATGGGTTAGAAGTCCAGATGCCTCAGCCAGCACCTTCCTTCCCTTTTCGTTTTTTTATTTTTTTTATTTTTTTAACCTTTTGTCCCTCTGTATTTCTCAGAAATAAAATGCTCTTTAGATGGATTTGGATTGTGTCTTTTTTTACAGTCTACTATGAGGCAGTCTTTTGTTCTGTAGATCCTGGTGTTCTCTGTTTCCGTGTGAGAAGATGAAAAGGAATGAAATTCCCCAATGCACCCTCTTCCCCTAATGTCCTACACCATCTCAATGTCCTTTGGCTTTAATTGTGATCCTTCTAGGCCTTGGCGAAGATGGCACTGGGAGTCCTCTCTGATTCTGGTTTCTTTTATGAACTTGCAAATAGTCTATCCCAAGGATGGAACTTCAGTCCTGTCCTCACCTTTTCCTGGCAAAAATGCCCATAAGGTTAGAAACAAGGCTATTCCCATTCTGCCTGAGGACTGTCGTAGCCTCATCCCAGCTTTAGCCTTTCTTCTCTGTTGCTAAACTGTGTGATTTGGCATAGCAAGGCTTTGTTTATAAGAAGACCTTCTGGTTATTTATATAGAAACTTTTCATTTTCATGACTTCATTTTGTTCTGAGAGCATATCCGAAGATTCTGTCCGGTGGCAGGCCCAATCAGTGGATTCAGCACAAGGGAGTTTTCCATCTTCCTTGGGAAAGACGGCAAGCAAGCTCAGTTTTAGTTTGGGAGAGAATTAGTGTAGAATCTCTAAAGCCATCTCTATGGTAAGTCCATAGATTTCCAGGAATAAAACACAGTGAAACCTATTAAAAAATTATAATCGAGCTTAGTGAATGAGAAAAAAAAATGAAGTTCTATCCACATATAAGATGCAAATGGAAAGAAAGTGAGAAAGTAGAATGTACATTCTTAAAATCCATGTCTTTCATTCAAAACTGTTACCAGTTTTACACATTCATGGTTTGGCTGGCCATCTGGGTATTTTGGAAAGACAGCTTTAAACTTCTCGTGGAAGTTATACTAAATCATCACCCTGGAAAAAAAGCACCCAGAATTCTCCAGATGAATTGTAGCTAGTATTTACACCCTTCAAATAAATGAATCAGGGGACAGTCTATAGGCTTTCCCACAAGTGAATCTAAACCAACAGACATGCGTGAAATGGCTTGTCTCAGTGAATTTTAGCCAGAGCTGCCCCTCCCCTCCAGAATGCTGAGGACTATCCTGTAGCACAAGTTTGAGATTCCAGGCTCTCTGCACCCAGCCCTTTGAAAAGTGCAAGGAATGCCGATTAATGTATAAAACAGGCTCCCTAGGTCTGCTGGACCAGCTATGTCTCGAGGCAGGCCAGCTCCAGTTGTGCAAGTGGACAAGCAGGCTAGGTAGTTATTTTACTTCTGTCCATTAGCAATACAGCTCAGAGAAAGGTCATCATTGGTGGTTTATGATCTTTTTAACCTTTTAAAGCTCTTTTTACTATCCAGAGGTGATGGATAAGTCACTTCCAAAGACAGCTGCACACCTTTCATTTTTGGCCATTAGGCAAAGACAGATCCCAGCATAGGGCGTTTTCTTTGGGTCTGATCTTAATGAACCTAGGGTGGTTGTGAGGGAAGACTCATTTGTGTAGCTGCAAGTGATTACTATCTGGCTAAGACAGATTGTCCTCAGAGCTCCTGGAATTGAAAACCAAAGATAATTACGTTAAACCTTACTAAAATTATGCTTTATCATCCCAGCAGTAGACTCTCTAGAAACACCCAAGCAGAGGAAGATGCCTCTGGACTGAGTCTTTGGTCAGACATCATGTTAGTGCCTTAACAAGCACAGACAAGCATTGAGCCCTCCACACACCATCTCCCCAAAGATCTCCAATTAGCCACACGAGGTGGATTGTGTACAAAAAGCTCCCTTTCTTTTGCATTCTTTTTAAAAGGACTCCTGCCCAATTTATGTCACACGTCACTTTAGTTCCTAATTCTGATGTCTCCCGACACCAACGCCAACCCTGTCCTCCCACATATTCTGATCCTTGTGAAGCAAAGATTTTTTAGAAATTGTACAACCAAGTCAAGAGTGCCTGCAGACGCCCTGTGGGTGCTAATGTCACCATTGCTGCTTCCATCCTTGTCTATTTCCTCCCTTTGACACAAGAACAGCAATTCTTATCTAACAGATAAGGAAAAAAAACAAAGACCCACCAGTGTCAGCATGAGAGCGAGATTCATGGATTGCATAATGCAGCAGTCCCTGTAGCTTTCAGAATTTCAAGAGAAAGTTGGAAGAGACAGAGGCCCAGAGCTCTGGGTATTTGCATTTTCACCAGGGGCATTCTGGGAAAGGATGACTCACATGTGTGAAGATATTTATTCCTTTGATTCATGTTTAAACGCTGCTACTTCTTATGCTACGGTTACGCGGATTATGAATATTTAATGTGGCGTATACTGAAAATGAAGGTCAAGTCCTGCTCACTGGTGACTTCAATGCAGGCTCTTGTCTCTGAAAGGGAAGCTACCTGCTGTTTGCAGAGTAAAGCTGAAAGGTTATACGTTGTTAAATGTTTCCTTAATGACTTTATCTGCTCCAAAATGGCTGGCACACAATGGGGGCACTTGCTGATTTTGCCAGTCTTTGCTCTTGGCTTCTGGTATCAGCACTGCTGTTTTGGGGATATGGACGTTAGGAAGGAGCAGGAAATGGCAGCACAAATTTTGTAGAGCATCTCATCCAAGGGCACAATTGCCAAGGCAACAGTGGGGTTACGATTGGAAAATGGCCTCTCCCCAGTCTTTTAAAATGTTACTTTTGCATCCACTCACCCATTTATTCATTTTGTATTCATTTATTAGTTTGTAACATCTTCAAATGTGATAATGCTGAATATTTTCCAGGCAGTAAAATTGCTTATGGTTAAGGAAAACTATCTTTAAGATTGCGATAGAAATTGACCAGATTGTTTTCATAGTCTCTGAAAATAAAACTGGCACCATTGATGTATTGGGGATGTCCAGAGCTTTAGCAGAACTGGTTTAGTTGCCCAGTAGTTTCTCCCTCCCCTGTCTTCACATAGCCTGGTCTCTCATCCCTTGGCCTAGAAATTCTGTTTCAAAAGGGAAGAGAGGGCAAGTCGTTGGAGGGAACTAACATTCACTGATTATGTACTGTCTGTGAGCTACAGAGCTAGGCACTTTACCAAAAATAGCACATGCAACCTCATTGAATTCCCCTAACAACTTCTTAGGATAGGTATTACTATTCCCACTTACAGATGAGGAGGCTGAAGCTGCAGGCATAGCCCAAGCTATGTAGCTAGTAAGCAGTAGAGCCAGGATTAGATTCCAGCATGGCTCATTCTAAAGCCATCTCTCTTCTAAGTGTCAAGAAGTAAATTTCCAGATTGTGTAAGTAACTGATGGGGTTTAATGAGATGTTGCAAGAATGGGAAGTTGCATCACCTCATCCTGCCAATGCACTGGTCTTGTTTTCTCTTTTGTTCTCCCTTTCTCCATTTCTCACCCTGAGAACCAAGTGTGCAGTTGTGGGTACGTAGGAGGCTCCTATCACAGGCCTTCCATGTAAGACACTGCCCTGGGTCAGGTGCTGTCTGATGTCTGTTTGGGCCTTGATTCAGTTCTTCCTAATAATGGCTTGATGAGACCAGCTTCTCTGTTATCTCAGTGGAGTGGCAGCATTTTGCAATGAGATAGGATCAAATGAACAAAAAACAAGGAGAGCTGATTGTTCCTCATTAGCTTCCACCACCTAGGGGTGTCTTTCCAAGTAGAAAGACTCTTTGGCCTTCCTATCCTTACCTAATCTGTCCTTGTGATTTGGCATACTGAAATAGATATGAGAAATGCTGTTTCCCCATGAGATACATTCTTTTATCTCTTTTAGAGAGTTACAGAATTAGTTGATTTGTTATAGTTTTGCATTATGTTATGCAATGTTTATATGCCCAGAGAGTTGGTATTATCAAACTAATGGACTTCAGGAAAATTTGGCCCCAAAGAATGGAGCCACATAGGATGGAGGTCTTTGAAATGTCATAAAGTATCTGGCTTCCTTCTCCAGCCTTGTTCAAACTGACTAGGCACAGGTGTAGACCCACTGCCTCTCCTGTGCTCAGCCCCAAGACAGGCACCTGGGAGAGCTGTGAGGACAGCACAGATCCCATCCCATTCATGACAGCGCATTTTAAACTGTAAAGGACTGTGTATACCAGCTTTCACTATCCCCTTTAGTGTACCCCATCCTGCAGCATGATGAGATGGGCAGCCTGTGACATGGAAAAGGAAGCTCACCAGCCTACTCTGTAACCAGTTCCTTTATGAAATACAGCCTTTCTAGGTAGTGTTCTGGAAAATTAGCTCCAGCTGTCTGCCTTCATGCCCTTTTTTGAGAAGTCACGGCATGCATTTAACCTTTGTTGAAGAAGTCAACACAAATCACTGTGTGCAAAGCACCTCCCTGTTTTTTTTTTTCCTTTTAAAATACTCCCCCCAGTTTTCTCCATCCCTCACTGACATTTTTATTGCCAGGCTTTGGTTTGGAAAATTATGGGTAGGGAAAGTTCAAGGGCAGGATGTTCAGAACGGCACTGCACATCTGTGAAGGGAACACAACAGGAGAGCCAGCAGCTGTTGAAAGAATGGAATGTCAGATGGTAGAGGAGCCGAGCCCACTCAGGGATGGTGGAAGAGAAGATGCCTTCAGGGCAAAGAGGCTGTAAATAACTCCAATGGGAAGTCTTGTCTCCCTTCAGAATGTACCCTTTAATAGCAACACTTGGTGCTCTGATATGAGAGTAACTCTAACTCAGCCTTCCTAGCTCATCTGACCTTCCATATTGCCATTTGTTCAGGAATCGAGTGAAAGCCTGGTAGAGAAGACAGGTGGAGAGTATGCCAAGGAACAGAGTCAACTTCTTTATATGTCCTTGTCTCCATATAGGTAGATTTTGGGGACAGGATCTGTTCTTTGGTTGTCAAACAGATTGGTTTCATTTACGTCAAAGTTCAGAGCATTAGCACCCTTCCTCCTTCTCCCTTCCACATTGGTGAGGAAATCTTGTCTTCCTTGCTTATTTGTCATTGCACAAGTGGTACCTAGGCATCGTAGGCAATGGCATCTAGAAGCATTAAGGGAACTGCTTATCTTTGGCTTTCATTGGGGAAATCAGGGACTATGCTAGGAAAGGACAGGAGGACTGAGCTGAACCTTTCAGGTCTGCCACAAAAGACAACTGTAGAATATAGTATTAGAGTCAAAGAGGCATTGGATCCCAACTGGTGCCACTGTTCTCTGAGCCTCAGCATCCTTTCCTGAGGAATGAGGATGAGGGACCTCCTCAAGGTCATCCGACCAGCCAGGGGCAGAGCTGGAGCTGGAAGATAGAACTTTTCTCTCCCAGTCCTTTTCTACTTGATCTCCTGGGTTCTTTCTACTAAATACAGAAATGAACAAAGACATGATAACCTACTCATTGAATAGCAAAGTATATATTGTCTTTTTATGCCAATTCTGGACTTCTAGGCCCTTATCATGGGGGAAACTTTAGGGCCATGGGAAAGAACAAAGATAATCCCAGGTGGAAAAGATCAAATCCAGCCAGGTGGCTGCGTGGGATTAGTTTATTTCATCCTCACTGGTGAGAGGCCTTGAATTCCTTGATTTTATGACCCTCCTACTAATCTCTCTCTCTCCCTCCCCACTGTCTCCCTCTCTTTTTTGTACTGTTTCAGCATGGAGTTGGGGATGGGTAAGAGTTAAGAGTTCAGCTCCACTGTGGAAGGGTAACACAGGGCTGAACGCATTGAAGAGCTGAACACATTGTTTTGGCCTGTTTGGAATTTGTTATGCATAACTTTTGAGGACATTTTGCCCAATTGCTCACTTGTTTCCCCTGTGGAAACACTATCTGATAACTATGTCTATACATCCCTATCTACTTTGCCTTCCAAAATTAGGATGAATTATTTCTTCCCTTCTCGCCACTCTCCAAAACTTAAAAAGAATGCTTTGGACAACCTGGCACTCTCTCAGCCCTCTCTTATTCTTTTTAAAAGAATAATTGTTTCAGGGCAAATGAAGAAATGCATTCCCTTTCAGACCCACTAGCCCACTAGTTACTTCTGTCCTCTACAACAAGCCTGAGTTTATACCGCAAGAGGGCTGCATCTCCTCCCTGTCACATGGCACTGGGCCTTTCCCTATAGTCACAGGCTGACATGCATTCAGAGACTGCTGAGAGATCAGGATAGGAGCCAGCTGGAGCGAAATGTTATAGCTCAGAACAGTTTAATCCAAACACAAGGGCAGTGCTTGTGCCTAACACAACTGTGGTAGGGGTGTGGTGTGGTGTGTGGAGTGGTGGCAGCTTTTACAGCTTTATCATGGGGTTCATGGGCTGGAGGAGATGTGAACTCTTCCTTGTCTTTTACCCCTTGTCTTTTGACCTGACAGCCTGACACATGTAGCTTTGGGGAGACCCTGGTTGGTGATGAGTCATTTGTGGCTTAAAAATAGAACTCTCAAAGCAACAATGCCCTTGGGACTTTTTGATGCATATGTCTTTGTTCATAGAATTTGGGAGAAAAGAGAGAGAGGGAGAGAAAGACTCTGTGTGTGTGTGTGTGTGTGTGTGTGTGTGTGTGTGTGTGTAGGAAACAATTATGTCCTGCCTAAAAATTAAGTGGAGAAGAAGAGCATGGGGGAATTGGCCACCAGGCTCATCACAGTAGCAGAGATGAGGCTGAGAGCTGTCTGTGTACCTGTGGCCTTAAAGGTACCAATCAGATAATAGCTCTCCACTGAGTACAAACTGTGTATAAGGCATTTTGCTAGGTACTGGGGAATTTTGAGTACTTATGTATAATGCTAGATCTTTTCCATTAAGACATTTAAATTATACATATTTTTACAAGGGGCAGGAAGTCCAGCCATATATAAAGGAAAAATAAGATAACAAAACAAGAACAAGTAAGGCATCGCTAAGCAATATATCAATGACTAATATGAGCATTGCACACAGTAAGTGCTGAAGGTTGAGGAGTTGAAAAGATAGCTGGATGCTATAACATGTTTTGGCTGTAGGGGAGATTTTGAGTTGAATAGACAGAAAACTCAGTCTGCCCTCAACTCTAGGAGTCCACAAGAGAAGACTCTCATTATGGCCTGTACTCGGGCTTTGTGATTTTCAGTATACGCTAAAGTCAAGCAAAACCTTGCCTTGAAATCAGCTACTGAGATTAGGGATTGAGAATGCTTCAGGGACGGCATAAAATAATCAGAGAAGCGGACTCTATCCAGTGGCAGTAATACCTGTTGTCCAATGATAGATGATTAAAACTTTTGGAAATTTTTATTTGGAAATTTCCAGAAGCATCTGAATGGCATCCACTCCATCTTTTTGAAACTGAGGTCAGTGTGCGACGTGCTTTGCAGGGGTCTTGTTACGAACTTGCCACATACAGAGCATCACAGGGGCATGATGGGGAGGAGAGTCTGCAGTAAAATGAGCTTGTGCTGCTCGCAAACAGGCCACAGTGTGGGCATGGTTGTTGGCCTGAAGACCAGCATTTGCCTCCAGCTCCGTGCTGTGATTTCCATGGACTCTAGGTACGTTGGCTTTGTTGAGCCAATTCTTCCATAAGAATATTAAATATTATATTTTGCGGCTGCATTGGTATAAGAATGAATATAATCCAGGCTGGATTTATTATTGTTGTTATTATTACTATTATTTTTAGAGACACGGTCTCACTCTGTCACCCAGGCTGAAGTGTACTGACATGATCATAGCTCACTGTAACCTTGACCTCTTTGGCTCAAGTGATCCTTCAGTCTCAGTCTCCTGAGTAGTTGGGATTACAGGAATGCACCACCATGGCTGGCAAATTTTTTTTTTTTCTTTGAGACAGGGTCTCACTCTGTTTCCCAGACTGGAGTGCAGTGGTGCAATCATGGCTCACAACAACCTCTGCCTCCAGGGCTCAAGTAATCTTCCTGCCTTAGCTTTCCGAGTAGCTGGGACTACAGCTGGGCACCATCATGCCCAGCTAATTAAAAAAAATTATTGTAGAGATGGGGGGGTCTCACTGTGTTGCCCAGACTGGTTTTAAGCTCCTGTGCTCTAGCAGTCCTCCCACCTCAGCTTCCCAAAGTGTTGGCATTGCAGGCGTGAGCCACTGTGCCCAGCCTGGATTCGTTGTTATTATTCGTCATTTATTATTATATTTATTTTCTTCTGATTTTAAAGAAGTTAAAATTTAGACTTTTTTGTGTCCCATAAGTACAGTGGCCTCAGGCACTGTGCCTGCACTGCCTGCTGGAGAAATTGACTTTATTTCTCCCTTTCCAACAGCCCCATCCTTCTGGAAATTTTCACAGATAAGAAAACATGCTCAGAGACAGATGCCTTATACTAAACCCCTTCAATGTGGTCTAATTGTTTCAAATGAGAAAATTAAAATAAGCATTTTATTTTAAGCCCTGTCTGATAACTTGGCTTTGGGAAATAGGAACTTCAGCAACCCAGCATTCAAAACAATGGATACAACAAAAATTTTAAGACAACTTAATAGTCTTGCTTTTCTCCCGAGTTTTGGAAAAACATGTGCCTTTTCCATTCTTTTATCTGACAATGAGTCTTACTGGTTTAAGAGATCTGTTCGCTGAGAGTGCAACAGTACAAAATAACATTTTTTTCATCTGATGTTTGCAAATTCATCTGGACAGGGAAGGGCAGACATTGGAAATGAGTGAGGCGGATCTGGTGAGGACTGCAATGAGAGCTGAAGCCTCACCTGAAGTGGCTTCCCAGGTCCAGCTGATTGTTCCTATGCAGAAATGCAGGCTCTAGTGGCCAGATCTTCCTGTGTTTCAAAGAGGAGACAGAATACTGCATTTTATGTTGAATCTCCAATTTTAAAATATTGGCCTCAAATCCAAAACTCTTAAAGTACTTGCAGGCCAAGCAAAACACCTCTGCAGGCCAGATTTGGGCCTCCTGTTTTCAGCCTCTATTCTAAACTGTCTCTCTTTCTGGTCTTGAATTGGCTGTGCTCCCTGAGTGCCAGGAAACGTTCTTAACCCTTGCTCCTCCATCTGCCAAAAAGGACCCCTTCTCTCTCTAAGATGGGAAGCCTTTGGTCTCAGGGTGCCCCGGGTCGTTTGCCATCTAACACATTTTCAAACACTGCTTAAATTTCCATTTTTCTCGAGGCAAATACTGTATGCCACACCAATAAATCATCTACAGCTTACTGTAAGCCCCAGAGCTACATATCACTAACTCTACATCATCTCTGAAAATAACGTTGTTAGAAGCTCATAAACATACACTCTGTTTGTTTAAGAACTGCAAGAGCTTTTAAAACATGGTTGCTAAGTCACAGGGCATATTTTCCAGGACATAAATGGAAGTGAACATATGCCCCTTAAATTGTCAGATTCTTTTTTTATAAGAAGAGAGGCCCAAATCTGTCTGTTCTGCCAGGATATTAACTTGACCAAAGAAGAGTTGATTATACTAAGTGTGTAAGTGTTAGTAATTATTGGAAACTATCCTCTGACTTACTTAGCTAAATGGGCACATTGTATGAAACTTGATTTAGTTTCTAGCATATGTAGGTATAAGGTACAGGTTGACATGGATAAATCCTGGCTTTAGTTTTCATGAACCCTAAAGTTCACAATTTGCTGAACTTTGTATTTAATATTTACTGATGAAATTCTTACGGTGTCGTCCCTTCCAAAACAAAATCGGAGGCATACTTAGACTTTTCCCCTGAGACATGGTCCCAAGTCTAGGCTACAACTTCATCACTGACCCTTTTTCATGGAAATTTGGCAGTTAGTGATAGGTAGCGTCTGAGCTTATAGCTCAGATATTTTCAAAGTAGGAAGTAGATGGCCCTATTAATATCAACTGCCATTTCAGTAGAGCTGCCTCATCAGTCTCTTTTCCCCGTGGAAGACACTCACACCACCTTTTACCTATCAGGACACTCTCAGGAAGAAATAGTAGGTAGGGCTCCAGGACCTCTGATGGTGGAATCTACTAGAATGCAGTTGTCCTTAACAAGGATACCTATCTCATGTTGCTCATCACACCCATGCAGAGACCTGCCACCTTGTAATTTGAGAGCTGGAATTTCCATACACCCGCTACCCTCACTCCATGCCAGAAAATGCAGAAAATGAACCCATGGCCCAGTTTGAGATACAATTGATCTTGAGGCCCCAGAGAGAACTGCAGGGACAGTGTGCAGAGAAGGTGAAAATAACGTGGATGCTATTAGATGACTGTACCTAGCATGTGCTTTTCCTCTAGCAGTGGGAGGAAGTGGCACAGGAGTGCATTAAGGAGTTTGCCCTCTTCATAATAGCATGAGTAGAAATAATAAGGCAAGGCCTTTAAAGAACAGCATTAATAATTGAAAGGTGCTCCAGGCAGCCATGTGGTCTTCCAGTGCCTTTGAGTACAATCTGTTATCAGGTACGAGGTGAGGCTGAGGAGTAGACAAGGAGGGTGCATTTGGCGGCTGTGTCTGTGTGCATGCATGTGCTTATGCTTGGAGGAAGTATGAATAAGATTTGGCAGCTACAGCAAGTAAAATTATAGAAGGCAATGTATGTATATTACCATGTAGACTGGTGGTGGTTCTTTTGTGGGTCAAACACCCATTTGGGAATTGGATGAAAGCTGCAAAAATTTTGCCTGCCAGGTACCCTATAGTTGGTCAATGAAACCCAAACTAAGGATTTCTATTCTCTTAAGATGGATTCATCTGCTCATTCACTCCTGTTTCTTCTGCCATGAAGATCAGGTGACTGCCAGAGGGCCATCTTCAAACCCGAAGGTTAAGCAGAGGTTGACTGGGAACTTTTCCCTGCATGACATACAAAACATGTCTAAGTGAAAGTCTCTGCTGTGTTTTCCCTTCTTGATCAAGTGTCCCTTAACCTGCAATGCATTCAAAATCTCAACAATGACAGGTGATGCTAAGGAAACTCTGGGAGGGAGGCCCTGGGCTTCCTACCTCTTCCTCCAATAACAGACAACACTAAAAGGGGTAGGTAAGACAAGATGCATCTATTAGGCCAAGCCTAAGAGCTCTTTGATTTGCTTCTCTTGTGTATTGTGGGTTAGCACTTGTTTGTAGAGGACAAATTCCTCTTTAGGCAATGATTCCAGGATGCAAACAATCTCCAGCCAAAATCATTCCACCCGAGACCCACTGCTGTTGCACCAGGAACTAGGGACCACTGGGTACCCAAACAGATGCAAAAGCTGCCACTTCTGTACAAGGCCGTATTTCTCACCCTCCATTGGAGAGGAAGAGGTGAGTGTAGAGAGTCGCCAGGGATCTCTATGGGCTCATCCAATCAGTCTTCAGACCAGTTTGACAGAAAACAGAAGAGGAGCTTCAGCACAAGGAGGCCTCATCTCATCTGAATTCCCAGCTTCCTTCAGATTTCTTCCTGACCTCACCTGCCTCCAAGCCAGCCGACTGTGACAGTTTAATTGGTGCAGGGAAGGCGAGGCAGTGGGGAGGCAGGCAGGGGTGCCTGGCATTCTGGAAGGAGACTCTCCTGAGATGAGTGAGGGGAACCGCAACAGACAGGCCTGAGAGCGCTGCCTTCGGGTAGAAGGTCACAGAGCTTTGCTTGAAAAGAATGCTGGCTGAAGAGGAAACATTGCCAACTCCCTCCTCTTTGAGCCCACTGGGCCAGAATTGTATATTCATATTTGTCATCTGTGCCCTTTCCACTCTGGGGCAAAAAGGTCTGCTGGGCAGCTCTGGCGGGGAATGAAAATGGGTGGGAATGTAGCTGGGCAGGGTGGCTCACATGAGGTAAGAGGATCACTTGAGCCCAGGAGTTCAAGACCAGCCTGGGCAATGTAGTGAGGCCCTGGAAAATGTTTTAAAGATTAGCTGGTCATGGTGGTATGTGCCTATAGTCTCAGCTACTCAAGAGCCTGAGGTGGGAGCATGGCTTCAGCACAGGAGTTTGAGGCAGAAGTGAGCCCTGGTTGCACCACTGTGTTCCAGCCTGAGGGACAGAGTGAGACCCTGTCTTTAAAAAAACAATTTTGCAAAAAGAAAGTGGGGAGGAAGGAGCCTAGTGGTGAACACCAGGGTTTGGAATCAGACCAGACCTTCTTGGCTTACTTGGCTCTACTACTTTGTAGCTGTCCTGGGCAAGCCAGTTAACCTTTCCAAGCTATGAAGTCTTTCCTTTGTCACATGGGGTGAAAGTGGTGATGAGAGATGTCATAGTGGATAATACCTACCTGATAGTAGTGTGTGGAAACAATTAGACACTGCATGGAAAGGCTCTTAGTACAGTGCCCAGCTTGAACATGACCAAAAAAAGTATTAGATATTATTGGTATTGTTCTTTTTGAGGTCTGTTTTGAAACTTTTAATCAGGTCTTGAGAGAGATGAGATATAAACACAGTGAAGTTAAGAAACAAAATAAGATGTATTGTAAGGCAGTAAAGAGATCGGTTATCAGAATAATGGACGAGACCTGTGCTTCTGAAAACTGCAATCTCAACTCATTCATGGTTTGTGAAAGGAAAAACAAGCATTTAAAAAAGATGACACAGCTGGGCATGGTGGCTTTTACCTATAATCCCAGCTACTCAGGAGGCTGAGTCAAGAGTATGGCTTGAGGCCAAGAGTTTGAGATCAGCCTGGGAAACAGAGTGGGACCTTGTCTCTAAAAGTACATACATAAATAAATAAAACATGAGATTGATCAGCCCAAGATGGAAATATAGCTAGAGAAGTTCAATTTGATTTTATGAAACTTTTGTTTCCATTACATATATAGATCTATGTACTGTATAAATGTATATATACTGTATAAACGTATGTATACTGTATAAATGTACTGATTTGTGACGTAAACTCTGTTTCTTACTGTGGAATTTGCTAAAAAGCGTTTAAGAAACACTAGCTTTTAGTGTAGAAGCCAGCATACTTGCTGGTTGCAGTAATCCAGGGAACTTTAAGGAAGGATGGCAGGCTAGAGTTGGGTCCCAAGGCATGGGTAGAATTTGGATGCTGCAGAAGAGGGGCATGGGGTGAGCAGTCCCCAAGACCATCCTCCCTCTGACATCAACTGCAGGTTTGGCACGTTCCCCAAGTCACCTTCAGGTTCGATAATGCATAGGACTGCAGAGCTCACTGAAGGCTATTATACTCACGGTTACAATTTATTACAGGGAAAAGATACAGATTAAAATCAACCAAAGGACAAAGTACATAGGCCAGAGTCTGGGAAAGATCCAAATATGGTGCTTTCATTATCTCCTCCATGTGGAGTCATGGATCGTGTTACCTCCCAGCATCAATGTGTGACTACACGCAAGGAGTACTGTCAATCGAGAAAGTTCGCCCGGGCCTCGGAGTTCAAAGTTTTTACTGGGACTGGATCATGTAAACTTGAATGACTGCCCTCATGGCCAGCCTCAGTCCCCTGCTCCCCTGGAGGTGGATGGATACCATGTAACCCAAAGCCTCCATCATAAATGACATTGTTAGACTTTCTGGCATGGTCAGCCCCTACCCAAAATAACACTGTTACTATCTGGCCAGCCCAAGACCCCTGGAAAAGACACTTTTATCAGGCATGACACTCCAAGGGCTTAGACATTGCCTCCCAGAAGCTCAGGACAAGGCCAGGCCTCTCTTTGGGCAAAGTTAATGTCTTTACAAAAATAGTCAGTGAAGGGACTTTGTTGGCTGGAGGAGAGGCCTCTCTTGAGGAAGGCTGGAAGTGGGTCCTTTGATCACTTGCATGAATAGCAGAGGAGAGGAAAATGCTACTCCATGAAGTGGATGCTTCCAGATTCTACTAATGTCAACAAAATCCCTGTTGAAAACGAAGCGATTTATTCCTTCCCTTGGCTCCTCTGCATACCCGGGCTGAATAACCTGTTAGCCAGTAAGGGGAAAATGAGGCACAGGAAAGAGGAAAGGGGTCAGCCTGGATGTATGCTTGCCATGTGGGTGAGTGACCTTGGGCATAATGGACCTTTGGTTAGATCTCATTTGCTGCCACCTCCGGGTGACCAGGACTTTTCCTGTGCCTTGTTTCTTTGCAGACCTGATGAATGGTCCTCTGTGTGCCCGTGACAACTTTAGTAAGGAGAATATCTGTCTCCCTGCTCCAATTTAACTTCCTTTCTGTAAAACTTGATGAGGTCAAAGCCAGAAAGCACTGAAACTTCAAGCTGGGGATCAAAAGCATGTCATCCAGCCATGCTGCCCCCTTGCAACCTGGCAAATGAGACAACCTCCAGCCAGGGACAGTTTATAATTGTGCAATCAAATTAACTTGGATTTCAGCCTAATGAAGTCCTTAATGCCCTGAATGAGGCCAAGCCCTAATATTTAGAGAAGCAGACTGGACCCCAGGAAAGAAAAGAACAGGCTTCAGTTAATGCCTGCTAGTATTAATTATGCTTCTTCCAAAATTCATCTTCTCGTAGGAGGCAACCTGATAGCACCCAGTTCTGCTAAGGGGTTTTCCTGCTGTGGCTCATAAGGAGAACAGTGGAAAGAACATTTTATTGGAAATCTCTGCTGAACTCTGCGTTCTGGGCCACATTTCTTAACTTCACAGGATCTTAGCTTTCTCAGTTGAACAGGAAGAAAATTCCTCCTCTCTTAGAAGTGTTTTATTGTAGTTAAAAATCAATACTCTGAAGGCAGGTAGGCTTGGTTGCAAATCCCAACTCTGTCATTTGTTAGCTATGTGAACTTGAGTGAGAAATTAACCTCTCTGAGGCTTAGTTCCCTTAACTGTAAGTATGGTTAATGATATTCTTGGTTGTTAGTATGGAGAATAGTGAATGAGATACTGTGCATCAAGCACTTAATACAGCACATAGGACATGCTGGCATTTATTAAATCTAATGATGATGATGGCATAAATGTAAAATAATTTTCAGTATGGATTACATGTCACTAATTTGGTATCAGTAGTCTTTATTTTCATTAAGCCAATGATTTAGCTCTTGTTTAGAAAATTGCTGCTGATTCCGTAATTAACTCAATAAATATTTATTGAATGGCTATTATGTGCCTGACACTATTTTAAGCCCTAAGCACTTACATTCCAGTATCAGAAAGAGACAGACCGTAAACAAGTTGACAAGTAAATAAGATAAATTCAGTTGATGCCATGTGCTGGGAAGAAAATAAAACTGGTAATGGAAAAAGCAGGGTTTCTTAAATGTTTTGTGCTGAGGACTTCTTTGGCAGTCTGGTGAAGACTATGACCCCTTTCTCAGAAAAATATTATTTATAAAGGCATAATATAAAAACATTGGATTATAAGAAAATAGATTATGTTAAAATCAGTTATCAGATTATAAAAAACAAATTATGATAAAGTCTGCTTGCTTCTTGATTAGGGCATTTTTATGAAGATCCAGCAATAATTCTAATATACCACCATCATTTTAAAGTAGGATTAATATAAGTAATACTTTGAGATACCTGTAACAATTGTAATCTTATATGTAAATATCTGAGATTTCTGTTGCTAAAAAAAGTTACAAGTGTCATTAATACTGTTCTAATTTATTGTAGAACACCTGATTCTGTCACTGTTCGGGGTGCCACTTGTAACCTGCCATGATCCCTGGTGGACTGAACAAAGTGGGGCTAACTGGGGAATAAAAGTCAAAGACAAGAGAGTATATTTGGAAGAAGGGGTTGGGGGCACCTCGCCTCTAGTGGACAAGGGCCCTGAGCTGTTTCGGTCCTCCGAATTTATTAGGTAAAAGAGATAACGAGAAAGGGGCAGGTGGTTGTCGGCCAGCAGTTTGAATCACAGCAGGCTTGCAAGACTGCATTCTTCAAACAATAGGCACTAGATTTCCCAGTAGATAACTTTAAGGAGCCCAGCAAACCTCCTGGCCCTTAGCAAACCTCCTGGAGGCATGCGCAGTCCTGAGTTTGCTCACATTCTGCATTCACGATAAACAGTTTGCTGTTTGATCATATAGCCTCCAGTGGAATGCTGAGTTGGTCATGTCCCATGGGCCTTTGGCTCCCTACAGTTTATTGCTATATTCATAATTAAAGGAAATGCCAAATTTGAATTAGAGGTTAATAAAAATAAAGATGTAATTTTTTTGGTCCAAATCATGGACTCCCTGAGTACTGCACAAGGACCTCTTGGAAGTATATGGCCCCAAGTGAAGAATCCTTGGGATAGAGAATGACTTGTATTGGGCATTAGGCTATTACTTTAGAAAGAGTAATAATGCAATTTCCACTTTTAAACAGTCATTCTGGACATATAGATCAGTGGAATAGAATTGAGAGTCCAGAAATACATCCAGTTTTTATAGTCAACTAATTTTTGAGAATAATACCAAGACCATTTAATGAGGAAAGAATAGTTTTTCCAATTAATGATGCTGTCCAGTGTGGGCAACATAGTGAGACTCTGTCTCTACAAATTTCTTTTTTAAACATTAGCCAGGTATGGTGGCACACGCTTGTGAACCCAGCTACTTGAGAGGCTGAGATGAGAGGATCACTTGAGCCTGAGAGGTGGAGGCTGCAGTGAGTTGTGATTGTGCCACTGCACTCCAGTCTGGGTGACAGAGTGAGACCCTGTCTCAAAAAAAAAAAAAAAAAATGGTGCTGGGATAACTAGATAGGCACATGCAAAATAATAAAATTGGACTCTTCACATCAATTAACTCAAAATAGATCAAAGATCTACATGTGAGAGCAAAAACATTTAAACTTTTAGGAGAGAAGACGGGGTAGACCTTTGTGACATTGGATTTAGCCATGAATTCTTAAATATGATACCAAACACAAAAGCAACAAAAGAAAAAGTAGATAAATTGGACCTCATCAAAATTAAAAACATTTGTGTTTCAATGGAAGGACATTACAAAGAAAGTGAAATGACAGCCCAGTTTAAAAATGGTCAGTTTATGAATACATCTCTCTCTAAAGAAGATATACAAATAGTCAAGAAGCACATGAAAAGATGTTCAACACCTTAGTCATCAGAGAAATGCAAATCAAAACCATGGTGAGATACCACTTTACACCCATTTGGATGGCTATACTTGAAAAGACAGATCATAACAAGTGTTGACAAGGATATGGATAAATTGCAACCCTTGTGGCTGCTCGTGGGGATGATGTAGAATGGTGCTGTAGCTTTGGAAAACAGCCTGGCAATTCCTGAAAAACTGAAAGACAGAGCTACCATGACATGTACATTCCACTCCTAGGTATTTACCCAACAGAAATGAAAATACATGTCCACACAAAACTTGCGCTTGAACATTCATAACAGCGAAACAATCTAAATGCCCATCAACAGATGACTGGATTAACAAAATGTGATGTGCTTATGCAGTGGAATACCATTTGGCTATAAAAAGGAATGGAGAACTGAAACATGCCACAACATATGTGTACCTTGAAAGCATTATGCTAAGTGGAAGAAACTAGTCACAAAAGATCACACAGTATATGACTTCACTTGTGTAAAATGTCAAGAATAGGCAAATATATAGAGTCAGAGAATAGATTACTGACTCCTTGCTTGTGGGGAGATTGGGGGTTGATAGCTGAAGGCTACAGGGCTTCTTTTTGAGGTGATGAAAGTGTTTTAAAATTGATTGTCCCATTGAATTTTAAACCTCAAATGGGTGAATTGTATGGTGTAGAAACTAGAACTCAATAAAGCCATTAGCAAATAATGACTGTGATGTGGAGAATAGAGTTCAGGGAAAGACAAAAGCAAGGAAAATATTTGGGAGGCAGTTTTCTTAGGTCTCAACTGAGAGGATGCTGCCTTGGGAGAGGTCCGAGGCCATTGGGGTGTGAGCACATGCTGGAGGCGTCACAGACAGAGCAGCTGTTTAGTTGAAAATGGAGAGGAATCAAGAGTGACTCTTAGGTTGTTGACCATAACAGGTATTTTCCTCCTAGAAAAGCTGAGCTTCAGTTACAATCTGCAGAAATGCTGGGAGGATTAGTGGCAAACCTAAAAAAAAGAAAAACACTAGAAGCTTATCGGAGAGTTGGTTTGCAAAGTTTCACTATCAATTTCATTGTACCTTTTAGCAGGGAAAAATATTCATCATACATGCACACAAATTTACACACAACTTCACATCTTGAAAAGCAACAATATAAAACTCACACGCTTTAGAAAGCCAAGCCAGGGAAGAAAGAATGAACCCCCTGCCTTGTGACTTCTCATGCTGATACTCAATTTGTTCAGTGGAAACGGATCAGTGAGTAGAGCAAGTAGGAAAGAATCTCTTCAAGAACTTATGTATCTTCGACATGTCCATCACACATAATTTTCTCCTAGTCACATGTACAAATGATAAAGGAGAGGAAAATGTCATTTCAGGGCCTTGAGTATCACAGGATTTTGATAATGTTAGCAAAATAATGGGTAAAATAACTGATTTCTCAATTAAAGCCCAAGCTAAGTAACTTGTCAGCCCAGGTGTGTTAAAATCTGAGTTACTCTAGGTCCTTCTCTAGAGACAGTGTGGCTTCGGTAATGAGCAAGCTCTGGAAATTAAAGAAGTAATCAGATGTTGATTGAGGTTATCTGCTTCACTTCAAGCAGAAGCAAATCAAGTGGACTTCCCTTGAAGACAGAAATTTCTCTATTGATAGAGCTAAGGGTGTTTCATGATGCTGAATTCTTTGTGGCTCCTTTTCACATAAAAGTAGGAAGCCATTTTCCCTGGAGTGGAAGGGAGGATGACTTCCCAGGAATATGAGCTTTGAGCCAAAGAGGCAGGAACTGGGAGGCTCTCAGTTACACTTGAGAAAGAATTATTTCTCTCAATATTGTTCTTCTTTTCCTCCAGAGCCCCAGTGTGAGCCTGGGTGCAAGCTCTGATAAATTAATTGACAGAGGGTTGACTTCTAACCCCAACTTCACCGGCAAACTTTAGCTATGTAATTCCGCACTGGACAGACTGACAGCTCATTTTCCTCATCCACAAAGAATGCAGTGCAATAGAGAACTTGTGAAATATCTTCTAACTTTACCACTCTTTTGTTTTCTTAATCCTGGCAAAATTCACAGAGCATAAAAGTAACTATTAGCCATTTTAATGTGTACGATACAGTGGTGATTCGTACCTTCACAATGTTATGCAACCATCACTTCTATTTAGTCAAGACATTTCTGTAAACCCAAAAGGAAACCCCATACTCATCAGAGTCACTCCCCATTCCTCTGTCCTCCTAGGCCCTGACAACCACTGATCTGCTTTCTGTCTCTATGGATTTACCTCTTCTAGATGTTTCATCTAAATGGAATCATATATTTGCGACCTTTGTGTCTGGCTTCCTTCATTGACATAATGCTTTCAAGGTTCATCCACGTTGTAGCACGTATCAGTACTTAATTCCCTTTGATGGCTGAATAATATTCCATTTTATGTCTGCCACACATTTTGTTTATCCATTCATTTGTCAATGAACATGTAGATTGTTTCTACCTTTTGGCTATTGTGAATAATGCTCCAATAAACAGTTGTGCACAAGTATCTGTTTGAATTCCTGTTTTCAATTCTTATATGCATAGGAGTGGAATTGCAGGGTCATTTAGGAATTCAATGTTTAGCTTTTTGATGAATCACTAAACTATTTTCCACAATGGCTGTACCATTTTACATTTCCACCAACAACATGCGGGGGTTGCAATTTGTCCACATCCTCGCCAACTTATTTTGTTTTTGTTTGTTTGCTTTGTGTGTGTGTACATATATATATATATATAGCCACTACTCCCTTGGTTCGTCTCAGGGAGTATGCTCCACCTACAGCGGCAGCTTCAGGGATGGCCAGCAGCACAATGTGGGAAGAGCACAGGCTTTGGACTCAGACCGAGGTGGGGTTCAAATCCAGATCTCCCTCTTCCCAGGAAGGTAGCCTTGGGCAGGTGATAATCTCTGCAAATCTTGGTTTCTCCATCCATACAACAGCAATAATATACTGGGGTGAAGAGATGAGTGAAGCTCCTGGCACATGCCTGGCAGACAGTAGGCTGAACAAATGCTCTTCCTCCTCAATTATGGATAGAAACAGAGAGGAAGAGATGGATTTTAAACAATCTGCTTTTAAATTATTGTTACTACTATTTTTGGTATTGGACCTCATTATAGAAAGTTTTTTTTTTTTTTTTTTTTGCCATGGGCTTCTCTGCAAAATCATGCCTGATTAAATTAATACCCAAATTGCAATATGTTTATTCTTTAGCCCAGTTTATGGGGTTAAGGGAGATGGATCTGCATGGTAAATTGGGAAGATTTACTGAGCTAACCATTGAACTAGAGATTCCCAGGTGGATGACCCACCTTTGCTTTTCCATCGTGTCCATATTTCAGGGTGGACTTGAAGTAGTCATTGTTCCTCAAGTTCCTTCAAGAACATGGACTTCTTATTCATCCTAGAAAACAAAAACCTCTTGGCCACAAACTGCTTTGTTAGTTTTGTATACACTGTGTTACTTGTGATGGAAGCACACATTCCCTATGTAAAACTTCAGCCACATCTTTCAAATAACACTAACAAGTTCCAGTGATGTCGTATTCATGCTGAATTATTCTTTTCTTGGTCCCAAGCAAAGTAGGTTTTCACGTAGTGAGTGCTGAGGATACCTCCCCTTAGGGTTGGCGCCCATGGTAGTGAGGGCTTTGGACCAATGCCACATGACTACAGGTGGCTCAAGCTGGAATTTCTGTTCACTGAATGTGGTGAATAATGAGGGAGGGAAAGAGCAAAGCAGTAGCCGGGAGAGTGTTTACACTCAGTGCCCCAGTTAGCTCAGAGCATGGTAGGCCAAGAAGACACTTGGGCAGGCTCATAATTTTATGTGCCTTCAAATTGATATTTGTTATGTAAGTATTCAATATTTATTTAGCAGAGAAACTAACCTTTGTGTTGGGGAAGCGGAGGAGGAAGAAAACTGTTGTAGAGGTGGCTCAGGGACCCTGGCAAGCCTCTTTAGCAGTTCAGAGACTCTTTGTTTATCTCTGATCTTGTCCTTATGGGAGCTTTACCTCCTCACACCTGGCTTTTTATAGTGCTCTTCTCGATCATGTATAGTGAGTGCTCACCCTGAAAATCTCATTTTTCCATCTTGTTACTTTTCCAGTGATCTCCTGGGGACTTTATAGATTGGCTACCAGGAAACCGAGTGGTTGGCTTACCCCCTAATTCATCTCTGGCTGAGAGTTTTCTAAAAGATATTTTAAATTAGGCCGGGTGTGGTGGCTCACGCCTGTAATCCCAGCACTTTGGGAGGCCGAGGCAAGTGGATCACCTGAGGTCAGGAGTTCGAAACCAGCCTGGCCAACATGGTGAAACCCCGTCTCTACGAAAAATATAAAAATTAGCCAGGCGTGGTGGCACGTGCCTGTAATCCCAGCTACTCAGGAGGCTGAAGCAGGAGAATCACTTGAACCCTGGAGGTGGAGGTTCCAGTGAGCCAAGATTGCGCCACTGCACTCCAGTCTGGGCGACAAGAACAAAACTCCGTCTCAAAAAAAAAAAAAAAAATTAAATTAAATGCTTGCTTTTTGGCAGGCGCTGTGGCCCTTGTAAGTATCACCTCATTTAATCCTCATAACATCTTACAGGGTAGGTAGCAGTATTACCCCCTTCTTACAGATGAGAAGACCAAGGCACAGAGAGGCTAAAGTATCTTGCTTAAAGTGACAGCTGGGAAGTGGCAGAAGTACTCCCAAATGGCTAATAGAAATTAGCCATTTTATGTGAACAATTCAGTTCAAATGGAGCATTTTATCCCAGAACTTTACCGTTAATGCCTGCATTTGGCTTGGGCAAAATAGCATAACACTTCTTTCCAAAATAGTCAGGATTTCAGACCCCTGATAATGACAGAGAAATGAAAGCAGTTTGAGGACAGTTTTATCTTAAAGCATCATATGTGCTAAACCTGGTGATTTATTTCTGAGTTAAGATTGGTATAATAATGAAGTACTAATGAAGTACTAATATCCATAATATAAATATTTCTGGGAACTGGTGGGAGCTACCCATCTACAAAGGTGGTTCTGTTTTATTTGGTTCCCAGGGAGTATAGCATTGATGTCATAATTTGCATCTGGCAGTACCTTCTGAGTCACTGGTTAATGCCAAAACATGAGAATGATGGAGCCCTGAAATTCATTAGCTTCTTCTGGGGCTTGGTGAACCTCAAAACCAGAACCTGGGTTTAATCAGACATTCAGTAAGGAAAGTGATCAATTGCTTTTCCTATCTGTAACTAATTGTATTTTTAAAAAAGCAGGGAACTTAATGGGGAAAAATTTTCCCTCTTCTGCTTTTCTCCATGAGCCTCAAATTGCTAGATATTCTGTTTCCAGGGTGTTGATGTCAGTGGAAATGGCATGCACAGAATCATTATCTACTATGCCACAAGCTCCATGCTATGGTCTGGCAAAGAAAAGACTGCCCCAGGCAAAGGGGAAGTCAGCTTATATAAAAAAGCAATAAGCTTTTCCTTAATTGCTCCCTAAGAAGGAGGATTCTGGCATTTAAGATGAGCTAAAAGTACAAAAAGAACATGTTTTGTAATGAAGGAGGCACACCTCCCTCAAAGACCCCTACAACTACTCTTCTGGTTTTTGGCTATTAGTAAAATAGAGACTGAACAATCTCCCATTGTGCACTCAGGAGTATGTGGCTGTCCCGGTAGCCCCCTCCTCTTTTACCTGAAGCCCCTCAGAGCAGTTATGATTGATTCCACTTCTCTTCTGAAAGCATCAAGTCCTGGGCTGGGCAAAGGAAAGATGAATGACTCCCATGGCTCTGTTGTAGATTACTTAGTGCCAGTTGTCAGTTCTTTTCTCCCTGGGAAGGGTTTGAAATGAGATTGTTTTCGACAGGCTATCCATGATAAATGATTTTCCGAGTAAGAAATTGCTTTCACTGCTGAACTTCACCAAATCACTCTGACAAATGTTTGTGGCTGCAGGGGGCCTTCTCGTGGCTGTCTCATGCTTGAGGGGTGGGAGGCTGGGATCTCAAACCAGGATGGCTCAAATAGGACGTCTCCCAGTGAAGACAGAAAGAGACAGGAATGTCGTCTCGTTAATGTGCATTTGGTCAGCTCCTTTCAACTGCTGCTAAAAATCAACAAGTGAGGCCCAAAATATTCCAGATCCAAGAAAAATAGGTAGGCTAAAGGGATGTATACATCTCTTAGTTCTGATTATTACATTGTTTTCATGTTGGTTATAAATAGAACAGCAATATGTACCTACAGCAAGGGCAAGAACCCTCCCAGCAATGTTGCAATGTTTGCAACCTGTTATTAGTCCATGACCCTTCCTGAAAAATCATAAAAGCAGCATGCCCTCTTTTAATATTATTTGGCATTTCAAAAGAGATTAAATACCATGTCTAAAATCACAAAGGACTGTTAGAATTTGCCTTTTCCAGCTGCATAAAGTCCCCCTTCCTCCCCTAGATTCTGGGAGAATAGGGCCTTCTGCAATCACAGACACATGTCACTTGGCAACAGGGGCCCCCAGGGCATTGACGGGAAGATGCCTCCTAAGCTTGGATCTGCGGCCTTTGTGGGTAGCATCATTGGATTGTTTACTCAGAGCCCAGGGTCCAGGTGAGACGACTGGCCTGCAAGAGGGGCCCACAGCACTGTCTGAGCTATAGACAGACCTCGGCAGTTCTGGCTTCAAGGAAGGTTGCCACGCTCCTCCATTCGGCATGTGGCCTCCATGGCCCCTTGGTGCCTGCTAGCTCCCAGTTCCTGTCTCCTCCTGGGGCCACAGGAAGAAGGCCACAAAGGCCTCTTCAGTGGTGGTGGCACAGTGCCCAGCAGTCCCGTGGGCACCTACGACAGCCGCAGGAGTTTCCCATGCTTCCTGCCGTGTGGTTCAGAGAGAGGTGAGGTATTTACACTGCACTCCGCAGGCCTGTGTGGGGAGGAGGAGGCTCTCAGGTGGGAGAATTCTAGAGAATTACTGGGGACACTGGACATGGTTTTTGCTGTGACTTCAGAAGCAGGGTCTGTTTAGAGCTTCTGTTTTTTCCTGGCCAGGGGGAGTCCCCTGGGGCAGGTGGAGAAAGATGAGTCATGTTTCACCTCTCCACCTGTTCTTGCTGAAATGATACCCCATCTTTCTAGTAGTTCCTGCCTTTGTTTAGACACACAGATGGCCAGACTGAAGCCCAAGAGGAAATGGATGTGCTCAAGACAACCCAGTTGGTGAGCTTCAATGCCAGTCTTTTTTGCTGTAATGCCCAGTCTCCCCTGGCCATTCTCACATTGCTCAGTTTCTCTCTGGCCAGTGTGCCTGCCCGTTGACATTCTGCCCTCTTTCAGAACATTGCAGGGGAGGAGTCTGTAAGGTAACCATCACCAAGTCAAGCTGTATATAGTCCAGCATTGCCAACTGGATTCGCTTTATTCATTCACTCATAAAACATTTTGAGCCTTTTCTGCACCATGCTCTGTGCTGGGTGCTGGGACCATAGAAGTAAACAGAAAAAGTTTCCCACCTTCAAGGGGCTCCTGGTCTCACATGGTATCTGACAAGTGGGAGCAGCGGCGCCAACAACAGCATGGGAAGTATGTTGAGTGCTTACTATTCTAGTCCACGTTCTAAGCATTTTCTTTATATTAGCTCTTCTGAGCCTTACCCAAGTCTGTGAGATGGGTGCTGTCATCATCGACATTTGATGGATGAGGACATTAGGGTGCAGATTAACTAAGTAGCTCCCACAGAGTCACATAGGGAATGGGTGACACCTCCAAGATCTGAATCCCAGAAACTCTGGCTTTGGGGATAGATGCTCTGAGTTGGCACTGCAATGGGAGTGAGTCAAGGGCAGGGATGGTCAGCACTTCAGCAGGGTAAGGAAGAGCTGCCGGAAGGAGCTGGTGCCTGAGTGGGGTCCTGAGTGTTCCCAAGGTGTCCTGGTTTTCAGTTTTGGTGAGAAGCAGCCTGGCTTTCCTGAGCTCTGGGCTGGGTCTTTGGGAGCTGGGATTGTCCTGCAGCCCCTTTCTTGTAGTGTAAAGACTGTCATAGAAAAGGCAAGTTCATCAGGGTCCTGCCTTTGCATCCAGGGGGCTTGAGAGCTATACTGAAAAGAGGAGAAGATGTGAAATCCACGTGCTCAGCTCCATCCTCAAAACTCCACTTCTAAAGTCACTCATTTGGGACTGAAAGTTTTTTAGAAACTGTTCAGAAGGAATGTGGCTCCTCTCCCAGTCTGGGGCTATGGGCCATGGGCCTAGGTCACACCTTGCTGATCAGGACAGAAACTGGAATAAATGACTCTCTATTTTGGGAGCAGACACATGTAAGGCTAATTAGGTCTGCTGAACCCCAGGTGTATCAGGGTCTGTGGAACTGTACCATCCCAGATAGGGAGCAAATATGGCAAAGTGAGAAGGCAGAAGCAGCAGTTGAGAATGGCTGACTCATGGGCAGCACCTCTTCCCTGGCCTGACTTCAGCAGGGGGCAGATGGCAGAGGCGTGGCAGAGCAAGCAATCTGAGCCCTCCTGTAGCTGCTGGGTCCATGCTGGAAGAGGCTCCTCTGTTCTGGAACTTCTCTCGTGGCAGTTGGATATTTTAAGTCATGAAGGCTTCCATATACTTAGCAGATCTCTGACTCATTGGGCTGTTTGATTCCTTGCGTGAACCAGTACCACCAAGACTTCACTTTTGTCTTCACTTCGTCCATGACCTCTACCAGATCCAAGCACACCCTCCTTGAAACTGTGCTATCTGCAACCGTGCGGTGTAAAGAAGTCATCTGTGGTTAGAGGACAGTGCCCCACAATTGAGGAAGGAAAAAAGGCATGCCAATCAGAGAGGGCAAAACACTCACATTTGAGAAAATGAACTTGTGTTCTAGTAAGCTCCATCGCTCTGACCCTCCCGGCTTCTGAGTTTTCTGTCACCATGTCTGTCTGTATGTCCAATCAAGACTGTATCCCATCTTGGATGTCATGGGATTCTCATTTTTTATTCATTCTAGATACACTCTGATTATTCTGCACTTTCTTTTCAACTTGTTTGGGGGACAAACAGCTTTTATAGCTGGGGAGTGAGGTTGATAATAAAGACTTTAAAGACAAAAATACAGATGTGCAGGTTAACTGAGCAGGACCAAGATGAGCAGGTGGCTGGGTTAATGTCATCTGAAAAGCCAATACACTGTGTGTCACAACATGGTCTGAGCAAAAACTACAACCACTATGAATGGCTTCCAAATTAAAATTCTTTTTTTTTTTTTCTGAGATGGAAACTTGCTCTGTCACCCAGAGCTGGAGTGCAATGGCATGATCTCAGCGCACTGCAACCCCTGCCTCCCGGGTTCAAGCAATTCTCCTGCCTCAGCCTCCCGAGTAGCTGGGACTACAGGTGCCTGCCACCATGCCCGGTTAAGTTTTTGTATTTTTAGTAGAGACGGGGTTTCACCATGTTGGCCAGGCTGGTCTCGAACTCCTGACCTTGTGATCTGCCTGCCTCAGCCTCCCAAAGTGCTGAGATTACATGTGTGAGCTACCACGCCCAGCCCCAAATTAAAATTCTTTATAGCCAAAGAGAAATGATATAATGATTTCAATGCAGTTAAACTCTGCAGTAGCATGCCCCACAATACAATCATAATATAAAATCAGATATGTAGAGAATGGCAATCAGCTTCAATCCTCTGCCTGTCTCAGATAATAAAGCTAAAGTTCTTTTTTCTGGGAGTGAGGCAACCTTGCCATGAGAAATAGAAATGCAAAGGTGGGGTCCTCTTGGCCTGCGTTCTGTTGGCCTGTTCTCTGGAATCAGGAATCTAGCCCATACAACAGGAGCAGATTAATCGACTTCAGGATGTTTTTGAAGTCATTGATGCTGTTCTGGAAGTCCCAACAGCCAAAGGATCTAGAAGCCTCTAATTGATATTTACCCCAGAGCAGCGAACTGACCCAGGTAGAACCTGAAAATATTGGGATCTTGCAGAAGGACTGCAGACATCTGGCTATGCGGGCTTCCTGAGGTCATTTCAGTGCCCTTACTGTGGTGCAACTTCACATTGTACATGATTGAAATGTTTAGGCTTTGCTTATCACATTATGTTGGGAGTAGTAGGTAGAGACAGTAGGAGAATAGAGGGTTAGAGGCTTATTTTAAATCAGATTGGGCATGTCACTATAAGATCTATAAAAAGGTTTATAATCTAATATGATGCTCATAAAGAGTGCTCTTCCAATCTGATTCTTATGGATTTCCCAGGGGTGATCCCAATCTGATTGTCTTTGTAGTACAGTGACCTTCATCTTTAGCAAAGCCAGAAATGCAGTTCCCAAAGATGGGAGAGCAGCGTCTCTACTCCTGAGCCTAGATCTGCCTTTTTTTCTCTCTCTTGTAGGGAGGATTTTCATTTTGCCCTTTCTATGTACAAATGCTTTGTGCTTTCTCGTATTATTTTGTATAGTCACCCAATAATCCTGTACTGAAGGAGTTATGATCACCATTTTACAGATGATGAAATAGGCTCAGAGAATTTGACATTTGTCTAAATTCATGCAGCTCGTAAGTGACAGAGCTGGGATTTGAACCTGCATCTGTCTGGCTCCTAAGCCTGGGCTGTCTCACTCTGCATCATAAATATTCCTTGTGATGCAGTGTTTAGGTGGGTACAGTCTAGTCCTTTAATGCTTAATGCTGTTTTAGGGGGTTGGGGAGAACATAGACTTTCTTGAGAATTTGATGAAAATTGGACCTCTTGGGTGGGCAGGGAGCCAGGAAGTACCCTACCCTCACAATTTTTTGTTTGTTTTTAATTTTTAATTTTTGCGGGTATATAGCAAGTGTATATATCTGTGGCATACATGACCTGTTTTGATACAGGCACTTATTATGTAATAATCACATCATGGAGAATGGGGTATCCATCCCCTAGAGCACTTATCGTTTGTGTTGCAAACAATCCAATTACACTCTTGCAGTTAATTTTAAAAGGTACAATTAAGTTACTATTGACTATAGTCACCCTCTTGTGCTATCAAATAGTAGGTCTTATTCATTCTTTCTGATTTTTTTTGCACCCACCCCCACAATTTTGCATATAATTTCAGCTAGCTCATGGGGTCCCTGAAGCGCATCTATGGATTATTTAGGCCTAGGGCAGTCCTTGGATCCCAGGTTAAGCTAATTAGGGTCTTGGGAAGATTCGTTAAATTTTTTTAGAGAAAAAGCTTGAGTGATTAGAAGGTCATTTCCAGAAATTTCCTTTTGGCTCTTCAGGAATAAAGAGACTGGGTGAGGAGAGAGGAGGATGGTGAGGGGAAGAGGAACTGGATGGAAGACATGAAGAAATTAGCAAGCAGTAAAAGCAATTTGCATTTGTGAATAATTAAGGTTGTTAAGACCCTACGGACTTGGCTAACGCACCATTCACTAGCAGTTTCTTTTCAGGTTAAAATTAATTGGAGTGTTGGTTTATTTATCTTTTCCCTTGGTGAATCAAATGACTCATCCTGATTTATAAACCTTCCACCTATCCACTCTCTATTAAGACCTGTGGGGGCTAGCGATTGATAATTTTATTGAGTTCCCCAGGGACATTATTTGTAGAACCCAGTTGCTAATGGTTAGGTCAGTGACCGCTAGAGACATCTCAGAACCCCAGAAGCTCTGGTTTCTATGAAAAGAGAAAACAGCCCCAACAGTTGGATGTCACTTATATCTTGAGGCAGACTTTTTTTAGCAGAAACTGGAATATATGGCTAAGGGGGTAAAAAGGACCAGATCCAAGAGCTTGGGGATTTTTAGATTTCAAAACTAGATAGTTTCAAACTCCCCAGGAAAGGAAGAGAGGGCTACTAAAACAATCTCCTCCCCTTTTGTCTAGAAAAGACCCCTTGAAACCACTATTAGAATGGCCCCTTTGTATGCACAAAAACGACCCAGATTTTCTTCTTATCACTTATCTGCTCTCCTAGAAGTTTTAAAATCTCCTGACATTTAAAAAATAAATGACAAGGAAATGTTTTTCCCAGCCTAGCTCTGAGAAAGGCAGTACATCCATCCCAGACCCTGCTGCCAGCCGTTGGAGCCACTGCAGAGGAAATCTGACCCCATGAACATCTAAGCAGGCCGCAGAGCACATGGCTGCCCCTGTGGCTCTAGATTCTGACCACATGGAGTAGACTCAAACTCCAGCCTTAACCAGTGGTGTGACTTTGAGCAAATCAGCCTAGCAGTAAAAGCACAGCTTTGGTGTCAAGCTGCCCAAGTTCAAGTTCTGCCTAATTACTCACCAGCTAAGTGATCTTATTTCACCTCTTCCCTGTGCCTCAGTTTCTTCATTTGTAATATGAAGACAACATAAATAGTAACACAAAAAGGGTGTTATGAGGATTAATTGAGTCAACAGATAAAAACACTCAGAACAGTGCCTGGTATGTGTAGTGGGCTAGAAGGGCACCCTTCATGAATTTTAGTTATTATTATTATTTAAGCTCTCTAAGTTTCAAGGTCTCCACTTGTGGAATGGAGCTGATAATGGGGATTTTATGAGGATAATGAGAAGATACACTTAAGTTCTTAGAAAACAATGCCACTGGGCAGAGCATGACTGCTCAGCCAGTGTTCGGCAATCATGAGTTACCATGTTAGTGATGAGAAACAAACCAGTAGTCTTCTTACAGTTCCTATATGGATTAAGACTTGAGGTTGCTAAATTAGCCAGGTGTGGTGGTGGGTGCCTGTAGTCCCAGCTACTTGGGAGGCTGAGGCAAGAGAATTGCTTGAACCCGGGAGGCAGAGCTTGCAGTGAGCCAAGATCGCGCCACTGCACTCCAGCCTGGGCGACAGAGCAAAACTCCATCTCAAAAACAAAACAAAACAAAACGAACAACAACAACAAAGGACATTTGAGGTTTCTGAGAAATCATATGGTGGGTGGAGACTTTAAAACACTGATCTTTCTTTACTTTCTGTACCCTCATAATCTTTGGCACTAACTGCAGCTGCTGGGTTTAGGGCTCAGGGAAAAGCCACCACCCCTCTTAGAACCCAAGACCCCAGGCTGGTATGGATATGGAATGTACACGTCTCTCTTCTTCCCCACTCCGCTAGTTTAAGCAGAGTGAGCCTGAGTGCCTGAGTCCTATGTCTATTAACTTTTTGTTGTCAGCTCCACTGGTAATAGTGCTTCAAAGAAATGAACGTCTTAGGATCCTTCTTAGAAGCATGTCGTCACGATTGTATTAAGCTGATGGAAAGCAGAACAATAACAACAACAACAAAAACAACATTCCTTTCTAAGCCCTGTGGTCTAAAGGGTAAAGTGAATTTATTAAGCATGTCTGTGAAGCAAAAGCTCTGGAGGCATGGCTGCTGTGCTGATTCTCTGGGAAAGTGGTGATATGGAGTCATATTTGTCACTAGACGAAATGAACCAGGAGGGCACTTCAAGAACAGAGGATCTGAAAGAATTTGGGCTAGCTCTAAAAAATTTATTAAATAATAAAAAAAATAAGGCCAGGCGCAGTAGCTTATGCCTGTAATCCCAGCACTTTGGGAGGCCGAGGCGGGCAGATCACTTGAGGCCAACAGTTTGAGATCAGCCTGGCCAACATGATGAAATCCCATCTCTACCCAAAAAACAAAAATTAGCCGGATATGGTGGCGTGCACCTGTGATCCCAGCTACTTGTGAGGCTGAGGCAGGAGAATCACTTGAACCCAGGAAGCGGAGGTTGCAGTGAGCCGAGATTGCACCACTGCACTCCAGCCTGGTCGATGGAGTGAGACTCTGTCTCAATAAATAAATAAATCAGTAAATAAATAAATCCAACAGTCTCATATATTTTGAAATGAGACCACATTAAAGAAAGGATGCTCTTGGGATCATGGATATTTGCGGGCTCTACATGGGATTGGGTGAGTCGTGTGGTGGTGACCCTTAGCTCAGAGGAGACTTCTACTGGGGTGCAAGTGAAAATGCCTGCAGGAGCCAGGCTGGATGCAAGGCTTAAGAAGTAGTGGGGACCAGGAGACACGTCTTCAGGAGCATCTACCCAGCTCCAGTGAGTTATTCCCCAGTGGGAATATGGAGCATGTCTTGCAGATCTTTTATTCATTCAAGTAATTCTGCAAATCCATTTTAAGAAATGTAACACTTGATTTTTAAAACCTGTATGGTTTTAAATGGTTTAAATGGTTTAAATGGTTTAAATGGCCTGTATGGGTGGCCATTTTGTAACCTTTGGCTATGGAAGACCAGGGAGCTAGTGACGTTGTAATTTGCAAGGAGGCCATGGGAGTCATTTGGAAATGGAGTGCTGGACTCCTTCAACTTCTCCCTCCCTCTCAACTGTCAAGAGAGAAGGGTTCAGGGCTTTTGGTTACCCAGGGGAGATACTTATCTCCTCTGAACTTCCCCACCCACGCAAATAATCTCCTTCAATAGTGGTCCTAGAATTCCATCCCTGAGAAGGATCTTCTCAACCCTCCCATTATGTTGAGATATATATTTAAAGTATTATGGAAATGGCTATTATAAATGGCATAGATAGTTTATATTTTTAAGCCTTTGTAAAGCATTTTGGTCTCATGACATTCCTGCACATCAAGAATCCCTGGTGGTTATCGAACTTTTATGTGCAGGTAGGCTCCCCTTGAGAAGAATAACAAGTAAATTCAAAAGAGAGGCTGAGAATCAACTATTCTCAGCACAAATAAATTTTTCTGATTACAAAAGTTTCCATCACAATGCTTTTGTTGAATTTATGATAGGGTTTAGTTCATAAATCAATTTGATCTACACATAATTTTCAAGAAAGCATCTGCAGCATAAATTGAGGTGCAACTGCACTTCATACCACTTTTTTTCTCCTTTTGTTTCTCATTTTCCACTTTGTTCTGTCTGTGTCATCTGTAAGTATCTCCATGTTTTCATTCGGCAGCTCCTGGAGACTTCATGGCAAACCAACATATTGAATGCAGGAAATTCCAGGGTGGCCAAGAATATTCTCCAGAAATGTACTGTAATTCCTATTCCTTTAATACATACCAGTTGATGTTGGGAGAAGTTGGCCATGTGAGAAGTAAGGCCTGAGATGATGGGATTGATGGGCATCTACATCTCTAAAGCTGACAGAGGAAACATTTGGCTTAGAAAAAAATTTAGTTTTTTTTTGTTTGTTTGTTTAGTTTCTTTTTTTTTTTTTGAGACAGAGTCACCCAGGTTGGAGTGCAGTGGCATGATCTCAGCTCACTGCAATCTCCACCTTCTAGGTTCAAGCGATTCTCCTGCCTCAGCCTCCCGAGTAGGTGGGACCACAGGCACCTGCCACCATGCCTAGCTAATTTTTGTATTTTTAGTAGAGATGGGATTTCATCATGTTGGCCAAGCTGGTCTCAATCTCCTGACCTCAGGTGATCCGCCCGCCTCAGCCTCCCAAAGTGCTGGGATTAAAAGCGTGAGCGATTAAGATTGCACCTGGCCAAAAATTCAGTTTTTGCTCACAAGGTTTCTGCATCTGAACTGTTCATTCATAACACAGGGACAGAGCAGAGACCTGGAGACATGGCTTAGGATCCTGGCTGTGCCACTTAAGAACTATGGGACCTTTCTGTAGCCCACACCCTTATCTATAAAATGAGGAATATAATGTTTATCTTGAAGGGTAGTTGTTGAAGATTAAATGAATGATGTGCACAGAGTCAAAACCATATATAAAGCCAATATCCAGCTTATAATACTCATTTGATAAAATTTTTTCTTATGAATGAATGAGTTCATGGTTAATAAATTATCTTTAAAGAAGTAATTCAAATTTAGAAGCCTTCAGAAGCTGGTACCTAGATCTGACAACAGCTACGTGTACTGTATTTTACTAATTCTAAGATACAATTTTTTCATAGTTTAAAATCTCCAAAATCAGGAAGTGTCTCATCATTCATGACTTCTTATGGCTATAATTGGTAAATATTTTCTTTCTTGGTGGCATATAAAGCAGTGGCTTACTTTTTTGTTGGTGGCAACTTAGATTCCATAGACTAACTCAGCTAGGTTAACTAATTTGAGCTGCTGCTGTTTGCCTTCTCTTCCTCCCGCTTCTCTCACCCTTCCTTCCCACTTCTCCTCTTCCCCCCTTCTTCTTCATAGTTTTATTGAAATATGTTTTATATACCATAGAATTCACTCATTTAAAGTGGTTTCTAGTATAGTCACAGATTTGTGCAACTATCGCTGCAATCTAATTCCAGAAAATTTTCAACACCCCCGAAAGAAACCCTATATCAATTGGCAATCATTCCACATTCTCCCAGTCCCCCAGTCTTCTCAGCCCTAGGCAACTACTCATCTACTTTCTGTCTCTATAGAGTTGCCTGTTCTAGACATTTCATATAAATTGAATTTTGTAATATGTGGCTTTTTGTGACTTCCTTCTTTCAATTAGCATGATGTTTTCAAGATAGAAATAGAGGCTAAGAAGTCTAAGATCAAGGCAACAGCATGGTCAATTTCTGGTGAGGGCTCTCTTCCAGGGTTGCAGATGGCCACCTTCTTGCTGTGTCCTCACACGGCAGAGAGAGAGAGAGAGAGAGAGAGGAGAGAGGAGAGAGGAGAGAGAGAGAGACAGGTGGGGGGGAGGGGCAAGCTCACTGCTCACTGGTATCTGTTCTTACAAGGACATTAATCCCATCATAAGGCCCCACTCTTATGATGACCTCATTAGACCTAATTATCTCCCAAAGGCTCCACCTCCAAATGCCATAACACTGGGGACTGGGGCTTCAACATATGAATTTTGGGGGAATGCAATCCAGTTCATAGCACATCAAGATATGGTATCTCGATGTTTAACTTTTTGAGTAGCTTTCAGCTAAGTTTATTATCTCTGCTCTGGCCCTGGCTTTCATCTTGGCCCTTATAAGTTTACCATGAGGCTCATAGTCTGCATATTATAGATGCCAATACCATAGTCATTTATTTATTTATCTAATGAAAGTTAATTACCTGATCTATGCTGGAAACTGTAAATAAGTAAAACAATAAATGTAATCAGGGAACACAGTCTAGAGGAGGAGACAGGCAAAAAAAAAAAAAAGCAAAAATAAAAGACAGACAAAACAAAACAAAACAAAACAGGTGCAATCTGTAATCATGTTCAGAAGATAAAGAAAAGACCATCCCGACAGAAGAGGGCACTGGCCTGATCTAGTGGGGTGGTGAAGTAGGGAAATTAAAGAGGAGAAAGACATTTTGGACAGGACTCCATGATGAATTGGATGTGGAGTGAATGGAAGGAGGAATCAGGGTCCTTCTAGCCTTCTAGTGTTTGGCTTCAATGACAAGTCGCTGGTGGTAGCATTTACTGGGAAGGGAGGGGCTGCACTGGGGGCTAAGGGCTGCACTAGGGAGAAATCAGGATTTCCATCTTGGATATGTTCAGTTTAAGAAGTCTGTGACACCTGAAAGAGAAGATGTCAAACAGCAGGGTAGATAATTGAGTCCAGAACTCAGAAGAGAGGAATCATATTACATTTGGAAATTACAAAGATGACTTTGAATGCCTGTGAGTTGATGGTACCATCTGGGGAAAGAGTGTAGGGAGAGGAGAGAAGGTGCCCCAGGTGAAGGCAAGAGGATGCCCAACATTTAGAGGGTGAGTAAAGCAGGAGGAGGCTGGATGGGAAACTGAGGAAGGGCACACACAGGGCAAGGAGATGGCAGAAGCCTAGGGAGGAGAGGGTTTCAGGCAGAGGGAGTGGCCAATTGCCAAGCACTGTTGAGACAGAGGGAAGGTAAGGGTCTAGGGTCATCTGTGGAGTTTGTGACAGGGATGTTGCTGGTTTCTTTGACATTGAAGCTCTAGTGAGTGGAGGGAGGGCCTGATCAAAGTGGGCTAAAGGATGGAGCCTGCAGTAGTCTCTGGAAATGTGGTTGGCTATGGAGGACAGTTGAGCAAGCTTATATTTTGGCAGCAGAGCTCCAGCAGCAAGGGAGAGCTTGCTATAGCAACACAGTACAGTTAGACAGTACAGGGCTGAAAGAGTGTCTGTGGAGGGCATGGTGTGTTATGAATGAAGAGGCAGAGGATGTGCTGGGCGCCTGTAAGTGCAGTGTTGGAGAGCTGCTGGTAGGAAAAAAAGTGTAACTGGCCTGATTCTTTTATGTGACTTTTAATGACATGATGAGGCGAGGCCATCCACTGAGCCTGATGGTGCAGAAAAGAACATGGGAGGTTGGAGGAGAGAAGGAAAACTGTGAAATAGTGGCCTTGGAAAATTGGAAAGCAAACCAATTCAAGAAAAATAGCAGTTTGCCAGTCAGTATGGAGTGTCAATTTGCAGTTTGAGATCATGAATTTAAAGCGAAACCAGTCATTTCCCTTGTGTGGTTTTATTCAGGAACTTTCAGCTTTCCAGAGCTGGTGTGAAGTAGGGCTGAGGGCTTCTGTTATGGAAGGAGGGTGCTGCCCAGGGGTGATGACAATGGTGGACTATGGGAATTAGGCTGGACAAGGAGCGTTGCAAGGCAAGGCAGGGAGCAGATGACTGGCCAGGGGTGGGATGTCGGGGGAGGTGTCCAGAATTTGGAGATTTCTCTGAGGTTGGGGAAGGGTCCCAGTGGGGAGCACGTGAACAGGCGAGCACAAGGATGAGAGGTTGCTGTTGATGAATGGGGTGTTTGAGGCCGAGATATCAGAAACACTATAGTTGCTGCTTTCTTCGGGTCCAGAGCAAGATCATGGGAGTGGGTGGGTGGCGTGGAGGAAAGGAAAGGGTCACCGACAATCAGCAGAGCAAGGACCTGGGAGGCCAGCACTTCTGGTGGTTGGTCTATGTCCTGGTGATTAAGATGACTGGAGTTGGGGTGGAGAGGGCAGACTGAGAGCTGGGAGCTATGTCCCAGGCCATAATCACTAGGCCCACTTGTAATTGTGTGTGTGATCACCAGACATTCTCCAACCCTAACTTTTTGTCTCCTGATTACAGTTTCAAACTTAAAACTGACATGCAGGAGTGACTGTTTCAGAAATGTGAGTCCATCTCTTGCTGCTCCTTTCTGTCTAAGGGCTGATTGTATTGGTGATTTGGTTCTTGGAGATGTGAGTGCTCCTGCCCTCATGAGGACCTTCCTTAGACCTCGCCTACTGCCTTTGATTCCTGTGGAGTATAAAAGTCAAAGGATACATTAGGGGGATAAGGATGATAAGCAAGTCCAAGTATAGGTGCTGAAAGCTACTTTCCAGGTCTCCAACTTTAGCTGTGCTCCATTCAGCCAGGGTTAGAGCCGTTTTTGCTCGTTGCAGAGTACCCTGTGAATGTTATACATCATAATTGTATCATTACACGTCATAACAATAGGATTTCAACTGTTATTATTGCACATTCTAATTATGTAATTACTCAGTCTTTCACCGATTATGTAATTAGATTTAATTACACCAATTGCAGAAATAAACGATAGTCAACTACAAATTACTTAAAAAAAAAATCCAGAACTATGCATACGTCGGCAATTGTCCCAAAAATAAGAATAGAAAACATAAGGAAGGGAAGAAGGCTTACGAAACCAATTAGCAAGTGAAAGGAATGATGTGATTTGGATAGATCTTTAAGGATAATGGCAGGGAATCATCTTGTCTAGAAGTTTCCTGTCATTTTTTTTCTCTGACGAAGTGTGGTAGTAGGAATTGAAGATGTCAAAGTCAAGAGCGCTGATTCCTCTTGGCTGTGCCTTGAAGCAGAGATTGCTCTCATTTCCTTAACCATACAGCTTAATGAGGAAGAGGGAAGAGAAGACAGCAAGAGAGAGAAAAGAGCAAGAGACACTGAGCAGGGGAGGGAGAGAAGGAGAGAGAGAGAATATAACAAATTGGCATTTCATAATTAAAAGTAGTATACATACAGTACTTTTAAAAATATATATTTTTAATTTCAGTTTTTATTTTAGATACAGGGGGTACATATGCAGGTTTGTTATGTGAATATATTGCACCCAGGTAGCGAGCATAGTACCCAATAGGTAGTTTTTCAACCCACGGTCCTTTCCCTCCCCTCTCTAGTAGTCCATAGTATATATTGTTCCCATGTTTATGTCCATGTGTGCTCAGTGCTCAGCTCCCACTTATAAGTGAGAACACGCAGTGTTTGGTTTTCTGTTTTTGTGTTAATTTGCTTAGGATTATGGCCTCCAGCTCCATTCCCGTTACCACAAAAGACTTGATTTCACCCTTTTTTATGGCTTTTTAATATTCCATGATGTGTATGTACCACATTTTCTTTATTTAGTCCACCATTGATGGGCACCTAGGTTGATTCAATGTATTTGCTACTGTGAAATTTCATGGCAATGAGCATGTAGGTGCATGTGTTTTTTTGGTATAATTATCTAGTTTCCTTTGGGTATATACCCAGTAGTGGGATTGTTGGGTTGAATGGTAGCTCTGATTTAAGTGTTTTGAGAAATTTCCAAACTGCTTTCCACATTGGCTGAACAAATTTACATTCCCACCAACAGTGTGTAAACATTCCCTTTTCTCCGCAGCCTTGCCAGCATCTGTTGTTTTTTGATTTTTTAGTAATAGCCATTCTAACTGGTGTGAGACGGTATCTCATTGTGGTTTAAATTTGAATTTCTCTGACGATTAGTGATGATGAGCAGTTTTTCATGTTTGTTAGCCACTTGTATGTCTTCTTTTGAGAAGTGTCATTTCATGTCTTTTGTCCATTTTTTAGTGGGATTATTTGCTTGTCAATTTTTTTAAGTTCCTTATAGATCCTAGTTATTAGACCTTTGTCAGATGCATAGTTTGCGAATATTTTCTCCCATTCTATAGGTTGTCTTTTTACTTTGTTGATAGTTTCTTTTGCTGTGCAAAAGCTCTTTAGTTTAATTAGGTCCCACTTGTCAATTTTTGTTTTTGTTATAGTTGCTTTTAGGAACTTAGTAAAAAATTCTTTGCCAAGGCTGATGTTGAGATGGGTATTTCCTAGGTTTTCTTCAAAGATTTTATAGTTTGAGGTCTTCTATTTAAATCTTTAATCCATTTTGAGTTAATTTTTGTACATGGTGAAAGGTAAGAGTCCAGTTTCATTCTTCTACGTATGGTTAGCCAGTTATACCCACACCATTTATTTAATAGAGAGTCCCTTCCCCACTGCTTGTTTTTGTCAGCCTTGTTGAAAATCAGATGGCTCTAGATGTGCGGCTTTATTTCTGTGTTCTCTGTTCAGTCCCACTGATCTATATGTCTGTTTTTTTTACCAATACCATGCTGTTTTGGTTACTGTAGCCTTATAGTATATTTGAAGTCAGGTAGTTTGATGCCTCCAGCTTTGTTGGTAGTTTGATGCCTCCAGCTTTGTTTTTTTGTTTTTGTTTTTGTTGTTTAGAATTGCTTTGGCCACTCAGGCTCTTTTATGGAGTCATATGAACTTTAGAATAGTTTTTTCTAATTCTGTGAAGAATGTTATTGGTAGTTTGATAGGAATAGTGTTGAATCTGTAAATTGCTTTAGGTAGTATGGCCATTTTAACAATATTCAGTCTTCCTATCCATGAGCATGAAATGTTTTTCCATTTATTTGTGTTGTCTCTGACTTCTTTCAGCAGTGTTTTGTAGTTCTCCACATAGAGATCTTTCACTTCCTTTTTTAGCTGTGCTCCTAGGTATTTTATTTTCTGTGTGGCTATTGTCAATGGGACTGTGTTCTTGATTTGACTCTCAGCATGGATGTTGTTGGTGTGTAGAAATGCTACTGATTTTTGTACATTGATTTTGTATTCTGAAACCTTGCTAAAATCATTGATCAGTTATAACAGCCTTTTATAAGAATCTTTAGGGTTTTCTAAGTAAAGAGTAATATTATCAGTGAAGAGAGGTAGTTTGACTTCTTCTTTTCCTATTTGGTTGCCTTTTCTTTCTTTCTCTTGCCTGGTTGCTCAGGCTAGGACTTGCAATGCCATATTGAATAGGAGTAATGAGAGCGGGAGTCTTTGCTTTGTTCCTCTTCTCAAGGGGAATGCTTGTAGCTTTGCCCATTCAGTATAATGTTGGTTGTGGGTTTGTCATAGATGGTTTTTATTATTTTGAGGTATGTTCCTTTGATGCTTACTCTTTTCAGAGTTTCTATCATGAAGGGATGTTAGATTTAATCAAAATCTTTTTCTGAGGCTATTGAGATGATCATGTGTTTTTGCTTTTAATTCTGTTTATAATGCTAATCGCATTTATTGATTTGCATATACTGAACCAACCTTGCATCCCAGGGATAAAGCCTACTTGGTTTGTGGTGAATTAACTTTTTGATGTGCCACTGGATTTGATTTGCCAGTATTTTATTGAGGATTTTTGCATCTATGTTCATCAGGGATATTGGCCTAATGTTTTTCTTTTTTTGTTGTGTCTCTGCCATCTTCTGGTATAAAGATGATGCTGGCTTCATAGAATGCATCAGGGAGGAGCCCTTCCTCCTCAGTGTTTTGGCATAGTTGCAGTAGGATTGGTACCAGTTCCTTGCACATCTGGTAGAATTTGGTTGTGAACCCATCTGGTCCAGGACTTTTTTTTTTTTTTTTGGTTGGTAGGTTTTTTTTAAATTACTGATTCCATTTCAGAGCTTGTTATTGGTCTGTTCAGGTTTTCACTTTCTTCCTGGTTCAATCTTGGGAGGTTGTGTGTTTCCAGGAATTTATCTATCTCCTCTAGATTTCCTAATTTATGTGCATAGAGGTATTCATAATAGTCTTCGAGAATCTTTTGTAATTCTGTGGGATCAGTTGTAATGTCATCTGTGTCATTTCTGATTGCACTTATTTGAATCTTCTTTTTTTGTTAATCTGGCCAGCTGTCTAGCATTCTTGTATATTCTTTCGAAGAGCCAACTCTTGGTTTCTTTGATATGTTATATGAAAAAAGGTAGTACAATATATTTTAATGTGGAGAACAGAGTCCATGTTAAGGTTCAAATTTATGATTCTCCCTTGGATTAGTTTCCTAAACCCCTTTTGAGTTTGTTATCTGAACCTAGAACTTCAGAGCCAGTACTCTATCATGTTCTGTTCCAGCAAAATTTGCAAGACCAAAAATTAATAGGTGAGAAACCAAGAATTTGGTACATGAATAAATGTCATACTCTATTGTTTTTCTTTTCCATTACCTCAGGTTATTGGGTAGCTTTGATCTGAGGTGCCTATAAGAATTCAATTAGGGCTGTGTCACAGGTGTGACCATTTTTTTTCCTATGAAGACATTGTAGAGGGTGGTCTTTTTCTGGAGAACAGGTTTTCTCTGTTGTAACTCCTAGAGGTAAGAAAAGAACAGTGATAGCTCCCCTAGGCTGAGTTCACTCAGCTGCCTCTGTGCCTGGAGAAAGGACTAACCCAGAGCTTCTAGAGAGGAGAGGCGAAGAGACAGCTCTGTGGAGGCGGGAATGTGCACACATCTGGGAGAGTGGGCATGCTACACTTGCACTCTTCCAAAGAGAGATAATTGGTAGGTGCCATTTAAGCATATATATACTTAGGAGAAATTACCCACTGAGCTTGGCCAAGTACTGCATAACCATAGAACACCAGCATTGCTCAGCATGTTCCCCAGGATCTTACAGCAGTTGACAGGATGAGGATTACTTCATAAGAACACATAATAGTTGGTGCATGTACTTACACTGCTATAAAAATAGGTCTTGATGCTATAGAGGGTCACATTGGGGAATCAGTGTATTTGTTTAGCTCTTGCCTGTGCATGAAAAACTAATAGTCTGCAATAACACAAATAAGGAAAAAATGTAGTTTTAAATATAGAATAAAGCCATTTTATTTTGAGCTTTTCTACTGTATGTTTGTCTATGGAATCCCATAAGATGGACAGTAGATGCTAAAGAACTTTAATCTAGACATATTCATCTCTCCTTTGGTTTATGCATAGCTCCAGGATTGCATTTGATTTTTTTGCTGTTCATGGGCTTTCATTTCTGCGCACAGGTTTTTAAAACGTTTTATTTACTTATTATTTATTTTTAGAGACAAGGTCTTGCTATGTTGCCCAGGCTGGAGTTGTGTGATCATAACTTACTGCAGTCTCAAACTTCTGGGCTCAAGTGATCGTCCCGCCTCAGCCTCCAAGGAGCCGGGATTATAAGCATGTGCCACCATGCCTGGCTCTGCATACAGGTTTAATGCCTGTTGAGGTCAACCCACAGCAGTGGAAGGTGGCCCCTAGAATAGAGTAGTGCTCTTACATTGGGCATTTGAGCAAACAAACCCTGGGAAATTGGAACTAAGAGAAGGGAATCAAGCTGGAAGTTTGTAGCCCAAATATTCATTCTCATCTACAAAAATCCACCAGAACAAATAAGGTTAAGCTGATGCGTATCCGCAGATTTGCAACAGTGTGGCATTCCACTCTCTACTTTTCTTGTCAGAAACTGAGAATGTGTAAAATGGAAGATGTGGCGATATCAAGCAGCCAAAGCTATTTTCCAAATGAGGACAAAAGAAGTGCGGCCAGTTTACACAAAGCAAGCGAACTTGCTGAGCAGTTATAATCTGCATTCCAGATTCTCAGCCCAGAGCCATCATTCCTGGCTTGCTCTTCTAAACAGAAATGTCAATGCAAAGATTAAAGTGGATTGTAGTGAGGTAGAAAGTTGTCAGCAGGGACTAACATCAGAGTCTTACAAAGGCATTTTACCTAGTTAAGCATTTATGGTATGCACGCAATTTTGGCCATCACAGGCTCAAGGAGAGGGATTCTACAAAATACATCACATCAGTATAGGAAGGGCCACACAACCTGAACAGACATTAGCGAGGAAGACAAGGAAAGGCTGTCATGCAGTTAGTCACCAGTAGCAGCCGTTCACTCAGTGGATCTCTACCAGATGTTCAATAGGTCAGGTACTGGCTTGCCTGGCTATCATTAGGGGATTCTGATCTTAGTTCTAGTTTGCTCTCTCTAGGTCTACAAGCAGCTTCTGTATTTATTGAGTACTTACTAGGTGCAAAGTGCCATGATAAGCCTTTTACAAACTTATTATTCTACTTAGTAGCACTACTACGATTTTCTTTATTTGCTTGATGAAGAAAGAACACCTCAGAAGGTTTCAATGTCCACATGGTTAGTAATAGGAACTAGAGTTTGAACCCCTGGTCTGAATCCAGAGTCCATTTTCTTAACCTCTAAATTATGCAATGTGTTATATTCCAATATCTATAGAATGCAGAACAATTTTGTCATTGTAAAGATACTTTAAGTGTGGAATTAAAGTTTGTTTAGGGAGAGTCCTCTATTAAATTTATGTAATCAGAAGAGCTTTAGATTAACATGGGACAAGACTATTAATTTCTTCTTCACATAATCTAGAAAAAAAAATTGACAAGAAAATGTTCCATTTTGCCTTCAAATGAAAGCGGAAATATGTGGTTAAGTGTAAGTCAAAAATTAGATGTCAAACATCTTTCCAGGTGCATATATTATATAATATTAAATTGTCAAGGAACTCCTTGTGTTGGAATGCAAGAGAGGAAAATCCTTTTTGTGAGTACAAAAAAATCATATAGACATAGGAAGTGAGGTGGGAGCAGCCTGATCCTAATAACAAGCATGGTTTGATAAAGGAAACACTAGCAAACTAGTATTGACCATAGACTTAATCTTAGTGAGAATGAACTAAGACCCGCCCCCCCCTCCCTCCCTGCCTCCCTTTATTCCTTCCTTTGGCTCTCCATTTATTTATTTACTTGTTTAGCAAAGTTTATTGAGTACTTAGTCTGTGTCAGGCACTTGTGTAGGTTTTGGTGAAACAGTGAACAAAACACACATGTTTTCTGCTTTTATGGGCCTTGCATTCCAGTGGAGATGGCCAAAAACTTGGACAGTTGAAGAAACAGAAAGAAGATGAGTATGGTTAGAGCTCAGTGGGAAAGAGAGAGAGTAATACGGGTGGTAGGAGACTTACGTAGAGGCAAGAGGTCCAGTTCCCAGTTAGACGAAAAACCAAGAGCAGATAGAAGTTTGGCGCATGACTTTACATTTGACAACAGGTAACAGTTAATGAGCCCTTAATCAGTGCCAGTGACTGTCTAAGCCCTTGTCCTGTTTTAACTCATTTAAACTCCACAACACCACTCAATGAATTCTTAAACATATCTACTAAATAGAAAAACAATGAATCCAACGTCAGGTTGACACATTTTTTTCAAACTCTTTTATTGATTTAACAGTGAGTTAGAACACAATGAGATTAATTAAACCTCTTTTTTTCAGTTTTAAAAATGGTGATGCTGTATTAATTTAATTGTCTTAGCACTTATAATTTTTTAACTGAGAAAAAGTATTTTGTATGTAAAGAGATTGTTCTTAAGCTTTAAATTAAACAAATGTTCTCTCGCCTTATGGGGAAATGGGCTTATTTGCAAATGGACCCACTCAATGGTTTTATTTTGTTCTGTTCACACCATACTGTCATGTTGTCCATAGATTCATTAGAGCGAGATTGGTGCATTAATTCATTCCATTATTCTGTTGCTCATAATAAACAAATAATACAGTTTTACATCACTGCTTCTATACTATTAGCTCATATAGTTACAAATAGTCTTTGTAGAATTGCCTACCCAGAGGTGTCACTTCAGAAGCTAGTGATAACTCTACAAATTTTTACAATTTCATAGACTTTTAAAAAGTCGTCCTGATTTTTTAAAAAATGGTTTTATATTTAGGGAGAGTGATGACTAGAAGGAGCAGGTTATCAAAATCTAGGCTGATATGAGAGGACAAATTCAAAGGAAAGTTAATGTTAAGTGATTTAAATACTTGGTTCAGATGGACTTCCTAATGGAATCTTCATCATATATGCAGCATGGAGTAAAAACTATAAGAAACCTTCATCAATCTAAGACTGCATTAAAAATTACTATATTTTTTGAAGGTTTAAATATATTCAGCCTTACTGGAAAAATTAGAGCATGTTGATTTATATCCAGTAAGATAAGTTACTCTCCAAGGAGACCCTTTGGGTTAAAATCCTCACCCACACTCCTCTTCATCTATGTATTCTTATGTGGAGATTTTAATTCATCTTTTTCCATTGTTGCTTGAACACCTGATTCCTTGGGTTGGCTTCCTGGAGAAATGAATCAGCAAGAGAAACATGAGCTGACTTCCTCCTATTTGATATGCACACATCTCTAGATTTTTAGCTTTGCTCCTAGTATGCTTCGTGTCAAGTTTAGGTCCAGCTTCCTGAGCTAGAGCACAAAAAAATATATCATTTGAAGCAAAGAGAGAAGAACGAACTGGGGCTTCAATCACCTCTGTGTATTATTTCTGATATAGAACCAATAAGTTTGTGTGCCCACTGCATAGTAACAGACCCATTACCCTGAGACAGCAGGTTTGCAGCAGAGAAGGGTTTAACTATCTCAGGGCACCAAGGGAGGAGATGGGAGGAGAGCCTCAAATTCATCTTTCTGAGGAGCTCTGGGCTGTGGTTTTTAAGAACATCATGGAGCGTGATGGGCTGGAAAATTGGGGTTGTTGACTGATCAGGGGAAGGGGGATTAAATCATCAGAATGTGGAAATTGTGTTCTTTGGTGAGTCAGCTTCTTGTGGTGTTCCTCAGACCTTCCTGGGGTCACCCGTGGGGTCTTTCATTCAGATCAGCTGATGTAGTAGTTTCACTCGTATGCAGGACCTGAAAGACTACCTCACGGGGAAAGCTTAACATTTCTTAATGTTCAAGTTGTTATCTATAGAGCACTTAAGGGGAACTATCATCTTATCACAGAGTCTACATGATTCTAGGACAATAGGCACCAAACCATGTCGAGGAAGCAGGTCAGAGAATGAGTTGACCTCATGCTTAATGCTGAATGTGCTTCAAGCTTGGTTTATTAATTTATTTTTTCCCCTTTCTTCTTCCCTGATTAATTTTATAATGTTTACAGGGGCAACTTCATTTCAATCTTGGTTTCCCAGTTATAGAAGATAACCCTCATAGAAGGAGAAAAGTGCATACTCATTAGTTTCAGAGGAATGACTTTTTTTTAGTTTTAGGCATTTAGATTTTGTGATGCCTAATGACACAGAAATTGAATGCCCTCGGGGAGACTCTCCTGTGGAATTTTAACTATCCCATAGCCTTCTCAGGTCTTGGACCTCTCATGGCTAGTGAGGTCAAATGGCTTTGCTGAGTGGTGAATCTTGTTACCTCCAAGGTCATTCCCATTCTTCTTCTTGCACACATGAGGTGAGATAACCTGAAACTCCCCTGAAACACGGGAAGAGCACACAAATCAGTCCTTTGAATGCACCTCATCCTCTAGGGATTGTAGTAATATTGTAACTGATGTAATTGTCATATAATTTAAGTTCTTTTTTCTTTCTTTCTTTTTTTTTTTTTTCCTGAGAGGGAGTCTCACTGTGTCCCCCAGGCTGGAATGCAGTGATGTGATCTTGGCTTGCTGCAACTTCCACCTCATGGATTCAAGTGATTCTCCTGACTCAGTCTCCCAAGTAGCTGGGATTATAGGAACCCGCCACCATGCCCAGCTAATTTTTGTATTCTATTAGAGATGAGGTTTCACTATGTTGGCCAGACTGGTCTCGGATTCCTGACTTCAAGTGATCTGCCCGCCTCAGCCTCCCAAAGTGCTGGGATTACAGGTGTGAGCCATCACGCCTAGCCTAATTTAAGTTCTGAATTGGTATGGGACTATGGGGCCATTTGAAACCATGTTGGGAGATGGGACTTCCCTAGTATCTTGGTACTGTTGAATTATAATCAGTTTCCTCCAGGTTTGTCTATTTTCTCCCTCAATTCATTTATTTTTCTCCTCCTCCTTAAACATGTATTGAGGGCCTATTTTGCGGGTACCATGATGATGGGAACCCAGACACAAAACACCAAGGCTCTCCCCTCAGGAGCTCACAGTCTAGCAGGGAAGGGAGACAGATACACAAACAAATAAATTACCACTTCATGAGTGATGAGCGCCACAACAGAAGCACCCAGGAAGAAAAGCCTAGAAAAAGGTTCAGTTACCTCTGGGTGGGAGGAGGATCAGGGGAGGCTTTCTGGAGGAGGCAGCCACTGAGTTGAGTGTTCAAAGGTGGATGAGTAAGAGCTTGCAAGGGAATAGCATGGGTGTGAAACAGAGGAGTGAATGCAGCAGCCCGTCCATTCTTAGCTGCTGTTCATTCTTACAGATGTCAAATATTTCTGGGAGTCTTCTGTCTTCCACTGTTACAAAACTTCTTTAAAAATTGTTGTGATTAGGATAGGACCCTTCTTCATAGCAGGAGTTTCCCAGTTCTTTGGGGAATGCTTTGAAAAATTCATTTGTTCCCGGATTGAGCTGTTCTAGTTGTTTATCCTTTAAACAGCAAGAAAAAGATGGTACTTCCAGACTTCTTAAAAGCCCAAGCCACTTGCAGGTAATAACGGTGTCAGGTTAACAGCAGTGACACATCTTCTATTTCAGGAAGGATTGAATTGGCTCTTCCTGGATATTCATTTGCTGAGGCTTCAATTCCAGGAGATTTTATTCTTTGCACATTTCTCTGTTTTCTTTTTGTTCCTGTTAGAGGCAGCTTCTCAGAATGATAAAAACTGTTGACATGTTCCTTGCAAAGTCTTTGGCATTCTAAGGATCCATCCTTATTGCCTCATTTGGCCTTGACTTTACTTCCAATATAATTGCCCATGACAACTTATTTTAGTAGAGAGTGTGGTAGATGGCCATCCTTGGGTGAGTTTGAGGGTGCTGTAAATACTCCTATACTCCAAAACATCTCTTCTAACTTGCAAAGTACCTGAAATTCCACCAATTAGACATTCATTCTTGAAGCCTTTTCAGTTGTTTCTTAAAATCTAAGTAGCTCTTAGTGTCACCCTGCACCTTCATTAAGCAGGTATCACTTGTTGGCTCCTCAGTGTGGTGAGCACTGAGTTCTGGGAAGGACAAAACAGGGACTGAAAAACTAAGGAAAAGGATGGCTTAGCCTGCACCAACTGTACGTGAAGGAAGAGAGTCATTATCACATCAGTTGCATTATTCAGCACAGCTTGTTACCTGATATCTGCTTACCTGAAGAGATTACTGTGGGTTAATTCTAGAAGCTTGCTTATTACATTAACGACCTACATTTATTGACAGCTGATTATCTTGGGGGATTGTCTCTGAGAATTTGTGCAGTAGGTAAATGATGTCTTTGCCTCAATTAGCACTCCTTTGAGAAAGGAACTAAGATAGTTAATGTTGATTTGTATCACTGTGGTTTCTTATCCCTCTTTTATATCTTTTGGAATTGAACACAGTATTATACCTATAACAGGTGCTGAGTAAATGTTTGTTAAAGAAATCAGTCTGTAGACATTTAGAGGCACATATCACCAGAAATAGACCACTAGCCTGATGTCTGGCTACAGTAAAACCAAACAGGAGAATAACTGTTTTTTAAAATTAGAACTTCATTTTGAAATAGTTTAAGATTCACAAGAAGTTGCAAAAACAGGACAGAGTTTCTGTATCCTTTCCAAGCTTTCCCCATGATAGTGCTATATGCTACATAGGCATGCATGGTATGTTATCAAAACCAGGAAATTGATATTGGCGTACTGCTGTAAACTCAAGTACAGATGTTTTGCCAGTTTTTACAAGCACTTTTTTTTTTTTGCTGTGTAGATCCAAGACATTTTATCCCACATAAATTTGTTTTATTACCTCTCCAGTCAGTATACAGAACTCTTCCATCAGCACAATGAAATTCTCTTGTGAGAAACCAAATTTTAAAAAGAAAAAGAAATAACTTAAAAATAAGCACCAACATTTTTATAAGGTCACATGCGTGAACTTTAAAATAATACTAATTTCAGGCTGGGTGCGGTGCCTCACGCCTGTAATCCCAGCACTTAGGCCTGTTCTACTCTCCTTTGAAATGAGGTCCTTCCCCAGCATGCCTTCCTGCTGAGCAATTGCTGCCTGGAGCATCTCCCTGAGTGTCTGCTGTGCAGCAAGGTGGCTGCCACTTTAGGGAATCTCAGCCTGTGCTCCTTTTCCAAGTTCAGTGTGTATTGTCTTCTCCGTAAGTCCATGTATAGAGGGTTCTTTTTCCCTGTGTTAGCATTTGTACACTTGGCCTGGCTTCATGGAAACTCCAAACTAGAATGGACTTGGAACAAATGGAAATCCACCAAACAAATATGACCGCATGGTCACAGCAGCACACAGACAGAACTTTCCTGTTTCTGATTTACCAACATAGGGTACAGAGCTCCCACCACGGTTAAAATTGAGCTAAGTGAGTATCAAACACACTTGGTCACTTTTTAAAGAGAAAGCACATTACCTGAAAATGGCATCTTTCCTCTTGTCAACTCCTGCCAAAAGAAAGCCTCACCCCCTACCCCCTGCACACCCCAGAATTCATACTTTCAGGCAGCCCTCTGGAAACTAAGGACATCTAAATCTAAAGGTCAGGATTCTGTGAGAGAAAACCAGTCCAACATGCTCATGAAATCCTAACTGTGCACAGGGTTGGATGGACACTTAAAAGGCAGTTAAGTTGATGGCTTGACGGTATGACTAACCAAGTTCTTTAGGTAATTAATAGTGGATGCAGCAGAAGTGTTCACTGTAATTTTTCTATGTGCCTGGGTGTGATCACATGTATACAATTTGTCTATAATCTGTTATCTGTAATTTGTCTATAATTGTTGGCATGTGTCTACTATGTCCAGGTACCCCTATTTGAGGTACTGAAATATGTTCATTTTATGTCGATTCTAACTATAATTTAGAGACTGCTCTCCAAATAGCAGAAAGAACAGCTTCTTACTAGGGTGGGTTTTTTTTTTTCCAGAAGATTAAGAGACATGTGCTGTCATTTCTTCATGACACAGATTCCTGCAATAGACATGGGGGCCGTGGTAGGAGAGAGAACCATGTGGTTTAGGAAATTGCTTCAGTGATACTGTGGACCTAATCCCCTCTTCCTAAAGAACTCTGACAGCAGCAGGCCCTGAAGAAGGGGTATTTCCCAGGATATTAAGATACTGTAATTATATGGCAACAATGATGCTCATCTTAGTATGTGCATAGGTTACTTTTTTCCGTGGGGATTTAATTTGACTAATTGACCTCTGTCTTCACAACCTTCTGCTTCCAATTCCTACTCTATATTGTCCCCAGAATTAACTTGCTACAAGACAAGATAATGGTACCACTCTCCAGCATTTAAATTTCTATCAGGCTGGGCGTGGTGGCTCACACTTGTAATCCCAGCACTTTGGGAGGCCAAGACAGGTGGATCACCTGAGGTCAGGAGTTCGAGACCAGCCTAGCCAACATGGTGAAACCCTATCTCTACCAAAAATACAAAAATTAGCCAGCCATGGTGGCAGGCGCCTGTAGTCCCAGCTACTTGGGAGGCTGAGGCAGGAGAATCGCTTGAACCTGGGAGGCAGAGGTTGCAGAGAGCCAAGATCGCACCACTGCACTCCAGCCTGGGTGACAGAGTGAAACTCTGTCTCAAAAACTAGATTTAATAAAAATAAAAAATAAATAAACTTCTGTCAGCTCCCTATTTCCTATAGGATAAAGAGCAGACATGCTTCCAGGGCACACAGATGCTTCACCGTCTCCTGTCTGGCCTTGTTTCTTGCCAACCTTACAATCTACTTAGGCTCTATACGAGGTGTCCTTCCACTCCCAGAATGCACTGTGTTCTCTGTGCTTCTGTCTCTCTGCCCAAGCTTAGCCCTCTGCTTCCATCCCTTCCCCTGCCTTCTCACGCTGATGAGTTTCTAATCCTCACTCAAGGCCTACTGCAAAAGTTAGGCAGAGGCGATCTTCTGCTTCCAGAGTCCTTTGCTTCTTACTTATATTTGAGTACTACTGATCATAATAGCTACCACTGACATAGCATCCATCATGTGCTGGCCACTAACAAAGCAGTTCACGTTTACTAACTCATTTATTTCTCTCAACAACCTCAGGAGGTAGGTATTATTTGCATTTTATAAATGAGGACACTGAGGCACAGCATGATTAAATATCTTATCCAAGGTCATACAAGGTAATCAGTAGAATTTTTAAACAAGCTGCTCTTGCATATCTGCTGCCAGAAATTAAAATCTGGGTAGACTTCTCTGCTAAATGGAAAACTACTCCAGAGCAAGAATCATGTCTTATTGAATTATATGTCTCCAAAACCAGCATAGTGCCTGTCACCAAAGAAAAAAACTCAGAGACATTTGTTGAATGAATGTACAGACTATTATGTTTTTGTTCAAAAAGATAATCCTTTGAAAAGATGTCATTCAACTAAGCCTCTGAGTTTTTAATCTATAAGAGAGAATAAATTGTGATCAAGTGGAAACAGCTGCATCTCAAGGAATGAGGAAGGTAGTGTCGGGAGGAATCCTGTGTTTTGCTTCTACCTGCATTCACTCCCATGTTCTGGGTGGTGCTCAAGTTTCAGTGGGTATGTTAAGGTCTCACTGAGTGTGGAAAGTGAGGCAGTGCACTGCTCATTCACACTGGACCTAAGTTCCCTATCAAGGCCTCCATCATACACGCAGGGAATCAGAAGGCTGAACTCCTGGAGAACATTTTAGAAGGAGTAATTTATAAGCACGGGGCTTGCTCTTCCCCTGTCAGAACTAGGAGGCAGGAATTGTGAGTTAGGACTAGACCGTACCATTTTTTGAGTTGTGTTCAATGTACCAGAGATCATAAAAGGCAGAAGAGGCAAGAAAAATGATAACAAGCCTTATATTAAGCAGGGAGTTTACAGGAAACTAGTTTTTAGATATCCAGTGTAGCCTTGACATTAGAGCGAAGCTTGATGAATCTCTACTGAATTTAAAACAGTATTATTACTCCTTTAAGAGAAATGTTAAGAAATATATATATATATATATATATATATCACATATATATGCTTTTTGCTGATGAATTGATTTTGATAAGAAATACCTTTGAGAATCTTGCTCGTAACTAGGGTTCTGCTAAATGGTCAATATGTATGAGGTGAGCTCACTGTTCACCTGTCATTCATGCTGAGATGAAGAAAAGATGGCTTCACTTGAGAGCGTGGTTAACTTCAGGGTTATAAATGGCTTTCAGGGGTATAGATGCATAGAGTCCCTACCCTTGCACCACCCGAGCTTTCACGACTGTTGGGTTCCTTCAACACTACATTACGCCTTGAGAGTCATCATGAGCTCTGTAACCAAAGTGTTAAGGATGTTGGCACTTAACTGTCTCTTATTTATCTGACCCGCTTCAGCTCTGCTTCTATAATGAACTGTAACTACAGGAAACCATGGTGTGTATCTTTATGTAACTGATGCCTTGTTTCTCCTGAATTTTCACAACATCTTAACAATTATGGTTGATGTTAAAAACTCTCATGAGGTTATTTGTTGAAGTGAAATACATTATAAAAATACATGCATATGAAAGGATGGCCAGGGAAGCCATTTCATTGAGTAACGGCCAGTTCTGTCCTCACCTTCCCTCTGTCTCGCCCCTCCTCGTCCCCAAAGCTGCCTCTTCTCGCGTGTAATGCCAGCGCTCTGTACAGTGTTCTGTTTAGAGTGGTTTGAACATTTTTCTGCCTGTGTCTCTCATTGCTGAAGTAACTCACCTCTCTCATATCGACTCTTACCCAGGAGCCGCACTGCAGACTCTTTGATGTAGGTCCTTTCTGCATGGCAGCTAAGGCCAAGCTGTGGTTTTCATTTGCATGATGCAACCTCCCCCTTTCGGTTGTCGCCTCCAGGTTAACCAGATTCTTTTCCTGCACTGCCCAAGCATGTTGACGTGCTTTCCCCGATGGCCCTGAACGTGGTGAGCACTGGACGCATGCATGAATTAAAGCAGCGAGCATTCCAATACACTGAAGCACTGGGCCTGAGGCTTCTCCTGGATCATCCCTGTGGGCCCTCAGTTTGCTGTGATATCACAAAGGCCACCATGTCCCTTGAAAATTCAAGACTAGGACATTGGAAAAGAGAGAGATAAATCTCCCGTTTTTAGGTTTATGCTGAGCAAAGACTAATGACAAATAATTAGAAGCTAGGACCAGTTTTCCAAGTAACAACCTACCTGATCATCAGTCCTACATGTTCCTGACTCCACCTGGGTGTGCACCAAGTGACCAGGATGATGATACCCTTTCATGTCTTTCTGAATAATGTTACCTGATTTGATTTTGCTTAGATCTAACAAATATCTAAATAAAAAGATATACCTTTTAAAAGCACTTCTTGGGCTAAATGCCTCAGGAAATGCAATTATTGATCGTTTTCATAGTGTTTAGTAAAACTATTAATTCAACTTTAAAAGAAATGAAATGGTACTACTAGGAAGAAATATCGCATTTGTTAAAGCATGTTGGCACTGCATTCAACATCATTGATTAGTAAATTGTGATCATTTTCTCTCCTTGAAATATTTTTTTTTTGCCTTAGGGCTGTCTAATGACTTACTTTAAAACTGCTTTCTTTTCCTTATTTTTTTTAAACTTGTATACTTCTTTCTTGTATTCTCAGAATGGACTTTTATAAAACACAACTGTCAGGATCTGTTTTCTCACTGCATTTCTTTTTTTGTCATTTCAAATAGATACTTTGCATTTTAGACATGCCTTGGTTGTAAGCTGAGAAAAATGAAAGGCGAGGCATTCCAAGCTGTGATAATCCTAGGGTAGGAATAACAGTTCCTAGACAATTCTTGATGATACTAGCTTGTCAGCATCCCTTAGCCCAAGAGTAGGCACTAAGCAGTCAGAATGAAACAAAGCCGAATGCTTCTTATCTTATTTTTAGGTTTTCTTCATGAAATCTGATCTTCTACAATCTGGGGGCTTAGTAGATTGAAGCTCTTCCCACAGTCCTTTTTCCTCCTATTCTATTAACCATATCCCATGTATTATATTGAAATGGACTTTGCTTAGAATTTCATAACATGTTCTTTTGGTAACCAGTAAAAAGATCCTTTGAATGGGAGCATTTCGCTTTTTGAAAGGAGCTTAAATGTAATTACAGTACAGACCTGTGCAGGCAGGCGATCCTGCCCAGCACGTTGGCATATTCTCACTTTATGAACGTTTTCATCTGGGGGCTTGGCGAAGGAAACATCTGATTCTCTTTTGTGAGATTCTTCAGTACAGAGACCCATTCCTCTTTCCCAGAAAAACACAGTGATTCCTCATAAAATGAAAGGATTTCTGAAGCCCAACAGAAAGTGGGGATACAGAGATCCATTCACAGAGACAGAAGAGAAAATCCTAAGAAATCGGCTTCCTGGGGCCATCCTAGGCCTCTCACAGAGATGTTTTTATAATGATAGGAATAACATCTCTAGAGAAGTTCAAAGATAGGACAATAAAATTAAAAGAAGGGCCTGCAGGAGGAAGCAAGGAGAAAGACACTTCACCCCACTGAGCAGGTAATTCATCATATTTCTTTCCAAATTTATACCCAAAAATCTAGTGGATGTCATTGATATGGTGGAAATAGCTATTTATTATTATTTTTCTTTTTTTGAGACAGTCTCACTCCGTTGCCCAGGCTGGAGTGCAGTGGTATGATCTTGGCTCACTGCAACCTCTACCACCCGAGTTCAAACCATTCTCCTGCCTCAGCCTCCCGAGTAGCTGGGACTACAGGTGTTCACCACCACTCCCAGCTAATTTTTGTATTTTCAGTGGAGGTGGGGTTTCACCATGTTGGCCAGGCTGGTCTCGAACTCCTGACTTTAAGTGATCCACCTGCCTCGGCCTCCCAAAGTGCTGGGATTACAGGCTTGAGCCACCATACTCAGCCAGCTATTTATTATTTCTGAAACATGGGCAGGGGAAACCTAATTTTGATAAATAAATGATTTTCAATGTTAATTAGAAGCAAGAAGGAAAGAAAAAAAAAGGAAAAGAAATGTTCCAGGAGATGAGACATTACTTTCATGAAGTTGTCAAGAAGGAAATGAAAAGTGTGCATACTTGAAGATATGATTGTATAATCATAGGGGTTAATAAGTCATTGCCATTTTCCCTATTAATGATGACAGTTTGTTTTAAAGGTAACTCATCCTGTCTGATTTTCCATGGTGGTGTTGGTTTCTACTGCCCAGGTCCTTTATGACATTCCTAAGGAGTGACTCTAGCCTTGTACTCAGCAGACCCATGACTTCTAATCAGCAGCATCTCAGACACTCCGTTTTGGCTGTGAGGCTGCTAGGCTCTCAACAAAACTCCTAAATAGGAAAACTTACAAAACTTCCAGGCCTTAGCTGTCAGCCAAAGACGGAGCTAAGACACAGCTATTTTATTTCCTTGTGCAATAAAGGTATAATTGTCTTCTATGCCAGATGTCAGAAAGACTTCTACCAGGTCTTTCTCTGTGTGTTCTTAAAAAAAATCCTCAACAACAACAACAACAATAACAACAACAACAACAACAAAACTTCAAGATGTTAGAAATAGATATAAGCCATTATAATTATCCTTCAGCATCACATATAAATTCATGTGTAACTTTAAACAAGCTGGTGTCCTTGTGGTGACTATCTATGTTATGTGACATTGTTTTCTGTTCGTCAAAGTGAAGCAGCAGATAAATGGAACAACTGTTTTTTAAACATAATTATTTTTTTTTCCAGATGTTCTCAGGCTTCCTACATTCAGGATCAGCAAGTCTTCAGCATTGGTACTCTTTGTTAGTGTAGACCTTGAGTGCCCTGCTGAGGGGCTTGTGTGCCATTCTGCTTGAGTGCAGATGTGCCAAGAGGTACAAGAGTTGGAACTGTAATAGACCTCTTAGGCTACTGGCTGAAATACTAAGGTTCAGAATAAGAAAGAGATACGTCTCAGGCATCTCATTATCCGCAACTGTCAGTCCGGAACTCAGAACAGGCTGGTTCTAGCTGTCGATTCAATAGTTTTAGCTTCTGTACTCCAAATCCTTACAGGTAGACCCATAGCAAGGTGCCATTGCCAGGGTCATGCCATCCAGGTATGACAGGACTATGTCAAAGCCAGGTAGGAGGGCAAGAAAAGGGAGTATAAGGCATAAGTTAAATAGGGGACTGGTGAGATGACCAGGGGAGGCCCAAAGAGTCCAAGGCAAACATCTGGAGAAGGCTCAGACAGAATTTTGAAGTCTGCATCTAGTAACAGCCCAAAGAAGTCCCACAGTGATTTGACAGTCTGTTATGCTATGGGAGTACCAGCCTACCTGCCCAACCGTGCCCTGATTGGCCAGCCTTTGGCAAATAGAGAGCTCTTCTTTTCTCTTAGGAGCCTCTGCCATCCCCTGTATGAATATGAGGGCTTCTTATTTGGGAAGCCTTGATATGAAGTGCCTTGAAACTGTACCCTGAGCTACTTTCTCTAGGATGCCCTCTCTTTCAGAAATGTGAGCTCCAGGCTGTTGCTCCCCAATGGCTAGGGGTTGTTGGCTATCCCTGGTTATAGATTATTGTTTATCAGCCTCCTAGCACATAGGTGGCAATTTTAATATCCAGAAAAAAAAGGCATAGGAAGCAGAATGTAGTGGTTACATGAATAGTCTATTCTTGTTTCCCTAGGACTAAATTCCTGTAGATGTGAGAGGAGTATGGATCCAGGGGTCAGAGGTTCCATTCCCCATGCCAGCATTTGTGTCTAGATTCTCAGCTCTCCATTCAGACCTGGGACTTCTCTTCTCTTTCCTTTCCCCCATTTCTAATCACCTCATCTAGGCTGTCCTGTTTTGTGAGTGGTCCCAGAGTGGGGTTGGGGTTGGATGGAGAGCATATATTTGTGCTGGGAGGCTGGGGATGTTTGTGTGTACACGTTGTGTGGGTGCCCACCCACATGAACCACTCCATACCTATACATGGCTCATTGACCCTGCCCTCGAAGAACTTTCACTCTGTCTTCTGGTATATGTGCATAAGTGCATATGCATTTAGTGCTATTTGAATCACCTACTCCATCCCATTCCTTTTCTAGATAAATAAGGGTTCCCTAAAAAAAAGGGATGGCTAGAATCAGTGGAGGGAGTGGAACGAGTGAGTAGAATTGGTCAGTCATGATTCCTAAGACAGTTTAGTGAAAACTAAAATCAAGCAATACTTGTTTGGAAAGACTCTGTTTTATGTAGTAGCTTAGCTCTGATTTATTACATAGAAGTTGCTGGCAAATATGAACACTAATTCTACTCTGGTAACAACTGTGATTGAAATAATTGTAGTCTGCAGATAAGCTGGAGAAAACAAGCATTAGTGGGTAGGTTGTCTTGGACATCATTCCAAAAGTGTAACAGTGAAAAAGTACGTGCTCTTAGAGAAGAAAACTTACAAGAGATATTTACAAGACATATGACTGGTTCAGATCTCTGCCTCTTATGTAGATCCGTGCTAAGCCAACCAGGCAAGGAAAGCTCTCATCTCTAAAAAAAAAAACTAGGAAAAAAGGAGAATAACAAACTCCTGTGGCCACTCATTAAAGTGACTTATGGCTTTCTCTGTCAAGAAATCTTGGCTAATTATTTAGCATTTATGAGACTGTGTGGCTGCCTTCATGGAAATATAATTTTCACTTTTTCTTCTTTAATACTCTATAGAATTATACTAGGCATTTGTGAAATCTTACAGTAGCCCAATGCACAGCCTGTTGGGCATTTGGATTACAGTGCAACACCAGATAAAGAGGCAGTAAAGCAGATACAAATGAAAAAAATAGAAACAATTGATCCTATCAGTTTTTGTTCAGTTGAATGATTGCCTTTTGGGGGCATTTTCTACAAACAGTTACTATTATCACTATTATTATTACCTTAGTTTTGGAAATTACTATCACTTTTGAGTGCTGAGTCATCTGATTCAGTCTTAGAACAACGTTGGGAATTCGTAACCTTATCCCCAGTTTACAGAAGAGAAAACAAAGACTTGAAGAGGTCAAATTATTTGCTTAAGATCCTATAGCTAGGAGGTGATAGGGCTGGAACTTTAGCTCTTCCATTGAATTCTAAAACTACCTAGCTGCCAACCACTTTTGAGGTCAACTTGTAATGCCCGTATTTTGCTTTTGCTATACCTATCTAGGTCTATCGTGGATAAGAAATATGGAATGAAGATGGGAAAGGAGACTCTTAGTTCAGATATAATATTGAAGTCTTGTTAGATAAAATTTAAAAGAACTTCATAACAAACAAAAGGGTTCTCGCCACCTGAGTTTCTTGAAAGCAAATGATCTGTGTGTGTTTTATTGAGAAATTTATAAAGAATTGACATATTCCATTCTCTCTGTTAGCAATCTATGTCATTTTCTTTGTCTCCTAGAAGAATGTTTTACTCTTAGGAATAATTATTCAGGTAGACATCCTGAGCCTTACAACTGCTCTGAAGTCAACTGCTATCATTGTTTCAGGAGTCTCCATATTACTCAAAGCTCAAGAATACAGAGTGTATATGGATGCTAAAGAGTTGTTAGGGTTTTTATACTACTTTCCGGTATGCTCCAATTCATTTCAACATGGAATACATATATTTGTGGCTATTGGATCACATCTCTTCAACTGAGCAGAGCTATAATTAGAAGCCTGCTGCCATCAAAAGGATTAATAGTCCTGTTGATACAAACCCATAACTGATGACTTCCCAGTAAAGCCAGTTAAACAACCAGCTGGCATGGGATCATAATCGATCAGTACTGCAGAGTAACAAAAACTGTTTTCTATTTACATTAGAGTCATTTCAAGGTCTAAGAAAAATGTTTTAAGATTAAAAAAGGGGGGCCCATTTTGATGTTATCATCATTACTATTGATGGATGATTGACCACAAACTGACCCATCAAAGGTGACCACATCTTAGAAGATAACTATTCCATGATGTCTGGGATAAAGTGAAGAGGCTTTATTCTGTTTGGTAAAACTAAAAACTACACAACTTATTGAACACACATGCCCCGTCCAGTGTAAACATGAGAAGAATCGATATTAGAAAGATAAACTCTTAGGTACACAGCTCTGATAAGATAAGTAAAATGGCAGCATGAAGAAAACCAAAAGAATACAAAGCTTTCAGCTTGGATCCCGTCAGGTTCAGGGCAGTCTTGGGGTGTTGTCCCAAGTTCAGGAGAAAATGTTCTATATAAATATTATTGCTTTCTCAATGATGAATTCATATCATGTCATTCACACTAAATCCATTATTGTTATTAGCTCACAAAATATTTTTCTGTGATCTTAAATTTTATGAATAATAATATCAGTTTCTAATTTGAAGTACATTGCAAAGACTTGCCTCCTTTTAAAATTAGTCTGTCTCATAATATTCTGGCTGGCTAGATGCTTTTATTCCAGTGTAGGCAGTTTATCCAGGATATCCAGAGGTAGCCAGGAAAGCTTCAAATCACTTAGACCTACTCTCTTGGTTATAGATAGATTCCATAAAAATCCATATCCATATGATATCATCTTTTTTATTTATTTTGATTGGATCAAATGGGATGCAAAGCTTATTAATCATCTAGTTCATAATTAAGAGTCTTCAGAGTGTCTAAGTATTATCAGCTTTCATTATCTTCATCCTTGTTCTCCTAGAATAGGAGAGGGTGAGGGAAAATTGGGCCACTTGAAGGGTCATTCATCTTTAATCAGTTGGATAACTAGGAGTTATCCCTCTATAAGCAGAAGAACTTCCCCTCAGCCGATGGGATCAGTCTTCCTGATACCACCACCCCACACGGGGTCCCAGAGAGGACTTCTGGGGATTATTAGTGTCCCACATGACAGTCTCTACAGAGCAGGGTTAGGGTTAGGTACAGGTTGAATACATCTGCTTCCTCTGCATTTTCCTAGACCACCCAACAGACACATCAGTTATTTTCTAGGGCAGTTTGTCCTCCTCTATGAAGGATTTATGAATCAGTCAACCCCCATCATTTTTGCATGAGCCCCAGGCGAGGCTCTGTAGATAGCAGACACTATGTCTTATGCTTCCTCTTCCTCTCCAAGAAGGCTGCACTCCATCTGGAGAGGAAGTGGTATGGCACAAGGCTAGTGGGTCTCTATCCTAACTCTACCACATAGCTGCAGGGTCTTGATTGGATATCTGAGCCTCTGCTTCTCTGTCTGTAAAATGGGGATTATAGTACAATATCTACTTTATTCTGCCATTTTGTGAGGACCAAATGCAATAGCATATGTAAATTTTATACAATTGTCAGGTATTATTACATTGAATTGAAGAATAATTGAATATGAACATAATGAGGCAGTTTAGAATTTTTTTCCTCCCAGTAGCATGGGAATTCAGAGATGGGAGAGGTCAATGAGGGCACAAGTAGTTTGCTGAATCAAGCCTGGAGGTTGGCCTCGAAGACTGCCCAAGGTTTGAACACAAAGAGTAATCAGCAGTTGAAGAGGCCACAGAGAAGGCATAGATTTAAAATTAGGGAATACATGGGTCACATTCATGAAATAATGAAGGCAAGGGTTTGGACTGAAACATAGTAGAAAATAAAGTAAGAGATGTAGAATGAGTTTAGGTTTTAGAAATTCTTCCTAGCCAGGCTTAGAGTTACTATATGAAACAGGCAGGGACCGTGATGGTGGATGAATGACATTTTTAATTAAATTAATTTGGCAACATTGCAGAGGTGAGACTAGGAAAAGAGTCTAGAATCATTAGGCTTATTGCATTGACTCATGTCTGTGGTGCTGTGGGCCTGAACTCTGCCTGTCCATAATCCTGGTGGGAATTGAGAGGGCCCCATTCAATTTAGAAAGGGACTAGCCACAAGAGTGAGGAGAATTTGAACGTTGGAAATTATTTCACAAAATGATATCTTGTTCCTCAGCCAGTCCCGTCCCTAGTAAATCATCTTGGGTGTGTGTTATTGTTGTTGTCATTCTTAAGCTACTTACCATTTCTTTATCCCTTGTAAATGATGGTCTCCGTAACCCCTCCCCATCTGTACTTCATCATTTTTCCTTTTAATCTTAATCTAAAATGTGCTCAGCAGGTACTCTCTGATTGTTAATTGGAACGTCCACTGGTGAAGCTTGCACAGTGGCATTGCAATTGCTTCCCTGTATCTTTTTAATTTTTTCACCCCCTTGTTCGCATCTGAAACAGAAAATGTCTGTTCAACCCCTTGATCCCAGCAATTAGCTAAGTGGTAGGCAGCTGGTTATCTGGGGGCTGGCTCAAACACTGAATCATCTCTGTTCAGGTCTGAATGGGAAGCTTCTCGAGCAGCAACACCTATAATTAGTGTGTAGTTGCAAGAAAGGTTTTTTGGGAGTGGCAGGTCTCAAAGCGGTGTTCCCAGATAAGCAGCATCCCCATTATCTGGGAAACTGTAAGAAATGCAAAATCTAGGGCCCCCACCCCAAACCTACTAAATCAGAAACTGGGGATGGAGCCCAGCAAGATTTTAACAAGCCCTCCAACTGCATGCCAAAGTTTGAGAACCACTACCCTGGAGAAGTAGCTTCACAGGGTTCGGCAGCCAGACTCAGGGAGGTGGGAAAACAGACTGCAGGAAACCCAGGGAAGTTTAGAGGCTGTGAGGAGCGGGTGATCCTTCCCTCTTGGAGATGAGGAAGATGCCCAGAGGAACAACTGCTAGCAGTGAGATTTTGTGCTGAGAGCTCCTGCCCTCTGAAAAAAAACCTGGGTAGCCCTCACTTGCCTTGTGCTCTGAAAAGATAAGTTCTTAAGTCAGTCTTTGGGAAGGTCTGTTGGATCATCCTGCTCAAGAGTCTTTTTGAAAATTCTATGACTAAGTAGATGAGGAAAGAGAAACATTTCCCACTTTGGGTGAGTCTCATTTTCCTCTGTAGAGGCATCTAAATGCTGAGGATGTACTTACTTGATGGCCAAGAGGAAATAGGAGTTTGTATTTCAACCTCTACCCTACAACTGAACATTTACTCCATAAGAATCAACTCTTTACTGAGGCTCTTTTGAAGGTGCTCAGTCATGGAGTCCTGGTCAACATGCTAAATTTGCCTGTGGTTTTAGTATCACACTTGTTTCATGGATTATGGGAGCCTAGAAATGAATAGTCTGCCACTTACCAAGTATCTTATATTCTCTAATTATTAAGAGGATATAAGTTAAGTTAGTTAACCCGTAGCAATTTAGGGTAAGTCAGTTTTCTACTACCAGAGGCAGAACTAGTGTTATTTCAGTTCATAAAACTCCACTTTTTTTTTTTTCCTGTTGGCAACATATGCCCATGTAAATCCTTCTGAGGTGGATATGCCTCATCAGACTGGAAATCTAAGTCTGTGTGTGATCCAGAGTCACTTTCCTTTGTAGTTTTTTTTTCTTTAAAGCACAATTTCTTTGCTAGCTTTTGAAGTTTCTGTGTATCTAGACAAGGAAACTCCTCCTACTTTACACAAGAAGGGAGAGGTGTTTGTATTTCATTCTCCATCCTATAATGTGCATTAATCATTAAGATGAAGTCTCTTTGGGAGGAAAATAAATCCTGGTTGATATGGCCAACTCTTTTGTTGTTGAAATATGTATTCTTTTTTTAAAGGATCATTGAACTTCTCCATGGGTTGTTTCCATTTGGGGAATGAAATAATGGGGATTTGGAAGCTCCACTCTGTGGTCTCTGATTGTGCGAGTCCGTAAACTACAGGCACTCAGAGGACTTATCTCAGAGGGGATCTGATAAACAGTTCTGTTGCCACTTGAAAAAAATCAGGCAGGACATTTCTCCTGGGGCTGTAGTGGCAAGCAGGAAATAGCTAAAAGGGATAGAAAGTACATTGCCCGATCACTCATCCTATATGGGTCTTTTGTCCCAGAGTTTCCTGCTTCTCTGCCTGCCCCCTGCCCCCTCATATTATTGAGGTATGCTCATATTACCTGCCAGCTCCAGCCAGAGGAAAAGCCACCCGCGCCAGCGGCATCATTTACTTCCTTTAGTATTTCAGCTCCAAGTCTAGTACGCAAGGAATGATAATGAAACATGATGAAATCGGTTCTAAATTTTTTGAAAGGATTAGAGAAAAGGAAAAGGTCTTGTATGGCTTCAACATGGTTTCCTGTAAACCAGGGGTGTTGTTAAGGTGCGTTTTTCAACACCCATGTCCTCTAGCTTCAAGCCCTCTCACTGTGGCCATTGAACATAAGCATTATGAGGAGGGATGACAGAAAGGACCAGGAAGGTAAGAAACAGTGGAGAAGTCACTGCAGCCAATTCCTTATGCTCTTCTCAATACCTGTTTCCATTTATGTTGAATCCAAGTATCCTCTGTGGCATTCAGCTCACATCTCTCCCCCAACTATTCCATTTTCTACCACAGCCTAGCAAATACTTTTCCAATTAGCTGTATTTCTAGGTTACCACCAAATTAACCACAGAGGCCACGGGATTAATAGGAGCTAGGGAACTCATGATGGCCCCAAATATGCCACCAGTAACTCCACCAATAACGACTGTGAGGGCAACTGTAAGGTTTTGGCCTTGGTGAAACAATAGTCAGTTTTCCATGATAGTCTTGGAAACCAAGCCCTTTTTTTCTCTCCCCTTGACTGCGTATACATCAATCTTGATGACTGTGAGTTTATAATGCACAGCTATGTGAGTCCCCGCTGGCACAAGTGAGCACCTGAGTACAGTAGTTACCTACAGATCTCCCCATCCTTGCTTGCTTATTCTCTGACACACACACACACACACACACACACACACACACACACACATTTACTCTTTAGTAACGTATCCTGCAGAGATGCATTGTCTCTTCAACCCTGGAGTCTATAGGATTTCTGGTCAACCTAGTTCCTGTACATTTTTCACTGCAACTAGAGTGGCTGGGAACTCTGACACCCATGGACCTTTGGGTCTTGTTTTTGAAACAAAAACAAGCACCCCCATGGCCTGAGAATTGCAGAAGTATCACCGATTCACTGTAGCCTGGATTTTCCTTTTTTCATCGAAATTAGTACCTGTGTAGGAGAGCAGGCCTAGAGCCATGGCAGGCTGTGATATTTGGCTTCCTTGCTTGTGTCTCCTTTCAGCATTGGACTAACCAAATTCCATGCTGTCTTTCTACCCAATTCCCTACCTTAGTGAAAACCTGGCAATTGTCGTTTTTTTTTGTTTTTTGTTTTTTTTTGAACTGTTTTTCAGTGTTGTTTTTTGTTCAGTCCACCTAGTTTGTGAATGCAAATAAAGGTTACTCTTAATGCTTGTCTGGAGATTTTTCCACGTGATTTGGGAGATGATATAGGGCATGTTTGACTTGTAGCAGAGATGAAGAATGGATAAATCCAGTGCATGGAACATGATCGGAGATTCCCACAGACTAACTTACCCTGCCTCTAAGTGGGCCCCGAGTTCCTCTACTGCACAGATTCCTGCCTGTTGAACAGCCAAGCGTTGTCCTTACAGAAGTGCAACTATACTAACTGGTATTGCACACAGTGATTTCCAAAGTGGCACTACTAGGAAATCCTTCATCTTCCATTTCTCAAGCTGGCCCTCTCCTGGAGGGAGGAGGTCTGTCGCTTCCCTTTAGCTAAAGTGTTTTGCTTCTCTTGGTATTCTGTCTCCTTTCCCTCACCTCACTTCACCTTCACGTTCCTGGCCTGGGTGTTACTATTTACCTACTGATCACAGAATACTATGTGAATTTCCATTCACAGCTTTGAGTGTTTATGAGGCTTTCCTACTTCCCACCCAGCCCAAACCTTGGGACTTTCCACACACTGATCCTCTGATCAGTTTGACACAGGAAAGCACACAGAAGTCTTGTACCAGTTTGTATAGTAGTACCCTTTTGAACTGGCGACTCTTGAAGTAGAGTGTGCTAGGGGTTTGCATTGGCTGCTCGACACACACACCAAGTCAATTAGCATGCATGCCAAAAAAAAAAAAAATTAACCCTTAGAGTACTGCTTCAACCTTTTGGTTTAATGGTCTGAATTTGACTGGTCGGACAATGCTTCTTTCCCCAGATCCGAGTCCTGCACAGAAAGTCTGTGCTTAATCTAGCCAGAACCTCACCCAGGATCCTCTCCTCTCTAGCTTTCTTGAGATGCTCCTGGGTCCTGAATTTATTAATCAACTAATGGTTTTTAAAAGGTCCAAAACACAACCACTGTGTTTAATTGAAAACAGGCCCCACTGCCAATGCGTTGGAGGGCATGAGGAACTGTGTTTTAGCTTTAGTATGTGTCCTCTCAAAGAAAGAAAGAAGTTCTTTAAGGGTTAATATGAAATTAAGGAATTTGGAGGCCTCTCCTGCTTGTCCTTCCTCCAGGGTATCTGCATGATCCTCTTTAGATTCTTAGTTCAACTGCTGAATGATGATAAAAAATGATAGTATATAATAATTTCGAAAACAATAAATAAAAGAACAGTAGTTCCTGAATGGTTGAATGGAAAGACCCCTTGGCAATGCTTGCTTGATGATCCCAGGAGGCAGAAAGACCAAATGTTTTCTTTTATGAATATTCATTTCATCGTCTACCCTAAGCACTACCACTTCTCAGCATCGTGGGAGACAGGATGATACTACCTGTCATTTACCTCTTGCTTTTTCTTCTTCCTGTCTAATAGCCCAATAGAATCCTGCCAGAATTTCTACAAAGATTTCACATTACAGATCGACATGGCTTTCAACGTGTTCTTCCTTCTCTACTTCGGCTTGCGGGTAAGTTTGTGCAACATTGTTCAGTATCACAATGGGGTGTTTCAGTCTGGGACCCAGGGATCATCCCCCTCAGCCTCTGCTCTCGCAGTCAAGATATTTCCAGGAGAAACAGCGCACCCGCATTCTGATTTTCAGTCTGAGAGAGAGCCCTCTCCTTAGCTAAGCATTTTCTGGAATTCACATCAGTTTTGTTTCAAGGGGGAGAAATAGGGATTGAAGAAAAATGATGATGTATCCACCGGTGGATTGTTTCTCATCTCTCTATTCACATAATGCCCTGTTCCCTTAAAAATTAAATAGAAATAGGCTGAGTGTGGTGGCTCACGCCTGTAATCCCAGCTTTGGGAGGCTGAGGCGGGTGAATCACCTGAGGTCAGGAGTTCGAGACCAGCCTGACCAACCTGGTGAAATCCCATCTCTACTAAAAATACAAAAGTTAGCCAGGCGTGGCGGCGGGCATCTGTAATCCCAGCTACTCAGGAGGCTGAGACAGGAGAATTGCTTGAACCTGGGAGGCAGAGGTTGCAGTGAGCTGAAATCACGCCACTGCACTCCAGCCTGGGCAACAGAGTAAGACTCCATCTCAAAAAAATAAAACAAAACAAAAGTAAATAGAAATAAACCTCTTCAGCTCTTAAAATTACGTTTAGCAGTGTTCACTTAGCTGAGCCCTGAGAGAGCAGTTGTGAGTATGAATGAAAGGAAGGTGAGGAGAGTAGATGGATGGAATTTTGTGTGTGTGTGTGTGTGTGTGTGTGTGAATGCGTACATATGTGCTTTATTTATAGTTATATTTACATGAATGAGTCTAATACAAGTAAAATCACCCAATCTTCCCTATGAAGCTGTTGGGAACCACAGAAAAATACACTGCCTGATCTTTCTCTTAAGACTAGCATAGCATATAGTTAGTCTATATAGGGCTCTCTATGGGGCACTAGAAAACGTGTGTGTCCAATCATAAAAGCATGTGCTTTGTGTAGATATGAGAAGGACATAATGTCTCCCTCCAGACCTTAAAAATTAAATAGAAATAGGCCGAGTGCAGTGACTCATGCCTGTAATCCCAGCACTTTGGGAGGCTGAGGCGAGTGGATCACCTGATGTCAGGAGCTCGAGACCAGCCTGGCCAACATGGTGAAATCCCATCTTTACTAAAAATACAAAAATTAGCCGGGCGTGGTGGCCCTATGAAAACTCAAAACTTACCCTTTGACAAAAGAGTGTACATTGGATGCCAGCACCATGCTTCTCATGTTTTTTCTCTTTCTTATTTCTTCTTTCCCCCAGTTTATTGCAGCCAACGATAAATTGTGGTTCTGGCTGGAAGTGAACTCTGTAGTGGATTTCTTCACGGTGCCCCCCGTGTTTGTGTCTGTGTACTTAAACAGAAGTTGGCTTGGTAAGTCAGCCTCTCTTTCCTTCTCCTTCCTGGTTCCTGAGTCATGGCTGAAGGACAGAATTTGCAGTGGATGAGGGGGCTGTCTCCCTACAAACAATGTTGTATGTATTAATGTGAACAACGGGCTCTTGGAGTTTTAGAAGTTGATGGTGGCAGCTCTCTTTGGAGCACTAGCCCCAAAGGGTTTGCACAGTTTGCGCTTCAGGCAGTGCAGTTTTATCATTGTCAAAGCCTAGTGGTCATCACTGTCACAGCCAGGGCCTTTATGTTCATGGTTCTGTCACTTTTCATTCAGGAACTTAGAGTCAGGACTGGATTAAGAAGCCCATGGGGGTAAGGCCAACTTTCCGAGTGGCTGGCTCAGGTACCCCAGAGGCCTGCCTGCCAAAGTTAGCTTTGGTCTGCTTCCAAAAAGTGGGTTCTGCATGGTCTATTTATAGGTACAAGGTTCTTTGTAGGGCAGGGAGAGATGAAGCTTCTTGAGTCATCTCTCACCTTACAGGAGACTGAGGTCCCTTTCTGTGTTAAGGGGAGAGTGCTGCTGGGCTGTACTGTACAGGGCACCTCCTGGACCAGGACTAGAACACTTTAGTGGAGAAAGTAACTTGACCAGAGGATAGTCATGGAAGCCCAGGGCTTAGAGAGACAGCTTCAAGTTTCTCATTGCTGCGTTGATTTCATTTTTTCCCTGAATTCAGAGTATTCCTGCTGTCATGGGGTCTACTAGGGAAGAAGGCAGGCCGAAACAGAACCTGGAGGACTATTTGTGGGTTCCTTCTGTCCTTATTTTTAGGATTTTTGGCTTAATTATTTAAAAAGTAATATGCATGCATTGTAATCAATGAAAACAAAGATGTGTGAAGAGAGCATTCATCATCTTTTCCCCTTGCCTCCATCACTGCCTCCTCCTTTAGACACCCACGGTTCCCAGGCCTTCACATGTGCACACATGATAGTGTTTTAGAGATGGTGGTGTTTGTATAAGAAATTGTTTCAAATAATTACATTGCACCACAATTTGGCTTCCTAACTAATCATGATGGACATTCCGTCAGCTCTGTGATAACTCATTTTGTAAGAGTTGCATAAAATTCCATAATTTGTTTGTATCGCAGTATATTCAGCCATAACCCTAATGATAGACCACCTGAATGTTTTCCTTTTCCTTTTATTGCTGCTAGAAACAATGGTTTAATAAACACTGTTATTCATATATTTGTATAATTCTAATTCTATCAATAGTTCCAGGTTCCTGGAAGAGGAACTGCTGGTTCAAAGAATATGTGTATTTTCTTTTGTGCAGACATTGATGGATAACTTAAAAAATGTTGTGTCAAGATAGGCTTCCGCTAGCAATCCATTTTGATGCCATTGCTAGCACTGGGAATTTATTATATACCTAGTGTCAAGTATTTTTTTAAAAAATAAGCATCTTCTTAATATAGTATGTGTGGTAATCTCTATATTATATGCACATACACGTGTGCATGCATATATATATATATGTATGTGTCCATATCCTAAAAAGATTTCTTTTGCTACAGTTTTCTCATTAGAATTATATTCTCTTGCTCTAAGGAAAAGTTTTTGTTTTGGACCTGAGATATGCTTGGTTAGACTGGATTTTTTGCTTATCGTATCCTGATTCCTCCTTATTTTCTCCGTATCGTATCCTGATTCCTCCTTATTTTCTCCTTATCCTGATGAGGCTAGTAGAGTCACACACAAATCTGAGAAGTGTCCTCAGTGTAACTTACGTGGCCCTGGGTGCCAGCAGTCCCAGCTGCTGTAGCTTCACTGCTAACTGGCTTTGTGACCTGGGAGCTCAATTTTCTTTACCTAGCCTGTTGTTTTTCATCTGTAAGATAAAGATTTGGCTAGATGACTTCGAAGAATCTTTTAGCTCAGAAAGTCTTTAAGGTTCTTGGGTCATTAATGGGAAATTTGGGATCTAGGTCATTGGGGTGGACAGGGAAGCTAGTAGAATTCTATCAGCAGCACCCCTGAGTCAAAATTATGGATGAGTTGTTAACAGGGACTCCTTTTAAAACATCTTGTTGCTAAGAGTTCAAACACATACCCATGCACACACAGGGAAATCGATGGGGAAGGGGAGAGGTGGGATCTGCCTTCTTCACTGAGCTGTGCTTAATTACCCTGTGCACTCGAACAACCACTTTGCTTTTCTGGATCCTCAGTTTTCTCATCTGAAGAATGGGGGTTTAAATGAAATTACCTTCTAGTCCTCACACTTCATGAATCTGCACTTTCTGCCAGTGTCCATTGTCTCTTGGTCCCCTGTGGGCCTGGGTGATGGAAGGGCTCCCTGGTGACTGTGGTGGAGACATCCTCCTCTGCAGTGAGCAGAACATGCCCCCGGTAAAAGTGTGGAGCCCAGCTTCCTTGTGGTGAGTGACACGTTCCCTGAAGCATTTTAGGGCCAGGAGTTCTGGTATGCTTTGAAATCCATAGCCTTCCTGTGGATGATTTAATTCTGATTTTTGGAGATATGTTGTGATCTCATAAAAAATCTATTGGCACAAACACAGAATGGGGGTGAAAAAAATTGAATAGGAAATAAAAGAGGTGGAAATGAATTTCTAATGAGATACATCTTTGTATCAACTGTGGTCGCTTTCCAAAAGAAATGTGCTCTAAATGTGCTTCCATTTGTATATTAATATTTATTGAGCATCTACTATATGTCAGGTACCATTCCAGATGATTGGGAAACAACAGTGAAGAAATAGAGTCCTATCCCCCTACCCTCCTATACTGCAGTGTTGGGAAAGCAGGAAACACTGAACCTAATAAGGAAGTAAATGATACGGTATGGTTAGGAAGCATAAGTACTATTGAAATTGAACACATAGAACAATAACCTTTTGGGATATGAAATAATAATAACAAAAATAAAAAAACCTCTTTCCTCTTGTAGGAGAAAGCACCTTTAATGAAATGCTTTAGGTTCTTTGGTAGCGAAATCTCCTTGGGTGAAATCTAAAACTGATCTCCCTGTTATGGAAGAGAATTCAGTACAATAATATTTCAAGGAGGTTCTCATCTGACTTAATACATGGGTTATTACATTGTGAAACAACCATTGTACCAATGAGCTTCCAGAGAGAAAATGAACATTCCCATGAGATATGACTTATAAAGGAGAAGAAATAATCCCATTAAATAGGGGCATTTCAGGCATGGCTGCCCTTCTCCTGGAAAGTGGAAGGGTGCTGCCTTTTCTGGCTGAGGTTTGGGATAAGATGCAGGAAACCGAAGTCTATCCCCATTCTCCTGCACAAACTTTCCTGGCCCTGCTGAGGGTACAGGACTGTGCGGTAGCTGGCTCTGTGGGAGATAAAAACCAGAGTGAATGCAGGGTCCCTGCCCTTACCTGTCCCAGAACGCTCCCCACACCGTGTTTAGTTTTCAATTGTCGGCATATGATTGCGTGTTGTATAGTACAGAATATATTCATTGTGCAGATCATCCTAGTGCATGTAACGGTGTACTCATAGAGACACTACTATGTAGTCAGCTCCTACTGTGTGATGGGCACTCTGGAAAGCCCCTCACAGACACGGACTCACTTAATCCTCAGAGCAAACCTATGAGGCAGGACTTGTCATTTCCCCATTTACAGATGAAGAAACTGAGGCTAAGAGAGATTATCTTGTCCAAGGTCACATCTCCTGGGAGTGGTGGGAGGGGTGCATTCCCCAGTATGTGGTCTGACTTTATGTCCACACTCTTCCTCTGCTCTTCTTTCTGTGTCCTTACCCCTTGAATGATTTGGAGTTGTGAGGCCTGGGTTGGGAATGACAGGGCTAGTTTTGCTGTGTTGTGTTGGCATCCCTCCATCGGTGCTTACTCATAAAGGGCTTCACTCCAGGCAGGAAGAGAGGGAAGAGATCTTATTTAAGACTCCGTGTTCTCCTGGCTCCTCTTTCCCCCTCCTCCTTGCCCACCTCCAGTTTCTAGAAATGCCAGGAGGACCAGAAGAATGCAGAGCTAGCCTGGTGTCTCCCGAGTCCTAGTGCCCCTCAGCAGCTTGGAGATCCGACCTGCTCCATCTGGGACAGAGAGACTGGGGCTTAAGAACACCCCGGATATTGGCGCAGAGTAGATTAAAGCTCAGCTCTGAGCTCCACCAACTCAGTCCACATCTTGGCTAAACTGTTTGCTGATGGGTCGCTCAGCATGAGCATTTTATCTGCCTCAGGCTCAGTTATCTCACCTGTACAATGGGCTAATTACAGCACCCACCTCATAGGGATTCACCGAGGTAATGTGAGTAGCACAGCACGTACTTCATACGAGCTTAATGAACAGAAGCCAGGATTACCTCGGTCTCTCTTTCTAACCTACCCATCATATTTTAAAGCACCGCAGGAGAAAACAAACCAGAACAGAATAAAAAATAAGGCAGCGGATGTGAGGACAGTCATGTCGGCAAGCAGCAAGACGCTGCTTATTTTAATTCCTGTCCCCACCCACCAACTTATTCATTTTGTTTCCCTTACAAATCCAAACCTCACTAAAATAAATGCACCTTGAAATGAGAGCTTTATCTTATTTTGAGATTTGAATAACATGCTCCAAGGAGAACTCATATGTCCGTCTGTCTCATTCTCTTTTGGGAATGTATCCCCAAGGTAGGTCAATGGGCTGTGCTGCCTCTGTTTGTGTGTATGTTTTTTTGTTTTTGTTTTTGTGTTTTGGAGTTTCGCCCTTGTTGCCCAGGCTGGAGTGCAGTGGTGCGATATTGGCTCGCTGCAACCTCTGCCTCCTGGGTTCAAGCGATTCTCCTGCCTCAGCCTCCCCGATAGCTCAGATTACAGGCACTTGCCACCACACCCAGCTAATGTTTGTATTTTTAGTAGAGACGGGATCGCCATGTTGGCCAGGCTGGTCTCAAACTCCTGACCTCAGGTGATCTACCCGCCTCAGCCTCCCAAAGTGCTGGGATTACAAGTGTGAGCCACTGCACCTTGCCTGTGTGTATGTTTTTGTTGAGGGTGATCTTGTAGGATTTAAAGAAGGGAGTAGGAGGAAAGTAATGATGCACTCACCAGCCAGTTTTCTAGCCCATTTTTATTACCTACTGTGTGCTCAGCACTGGGATGAGAGGAACACATGCCGGGCCACCCTGTATCCTACTGGTACTGTGATTTCCAACACCATCCCCTGTTCTTTGACTGATGAAATCGGCATATGATAAGGGACCATGGTCATTGGAACCATGATTGGAAAACTATAAACTTGATTCTATTGTCTGTATCAGAACTGGCCTTAGACCTTAAACCTTAAAACCTTCAGTAAACTCTGCTAGAAAATAGAAAAATGAGTTAATGCCCAATCACAGGGCAGTTGCAATGATGTAGGGTATCTGCTTATAAATATATGCCCAAAATAGTCCTTTTTTTGTGTCAGAAGGCAATAAAAACAGGATTATATAAAAAAAGCACAGGTGCTTAAAAACAACAACAACAAAAGGACAAAACATTGTTCCTGTTTGAGACTAAAGTTTCAATCTCATTTTGGAACCAAAATAAACACACATGCAGTGACAGCAGGTAACACTACCCACTATATAATTAAGCCCGTAATTGCAAGGTACAGGCTGTAAAGGCCATGGGAGTTCAGAGGAGTGAGAGCTCATGTGGGTGGGAGAATGAGGATAGGCTTCTGTGAGAGGCTGGGGCTCAGTGGAGGCTGCAATGATGGGCTAAGACAGGGAGAATGAAGCCTAGTATGTGTGGAGCATGGTGTGTACCCACAGAAGCTAATAACAGCCTAGAGAAGAAAGTGGCCTTGCTACTGGGGAGGATGAGGCAGGAGGACCCCTGAGCTCAGGTGTTTGAGACCAACCTGGGCAACATAGTAAGACCCTGCTAAAGAAAAGAAAAAAGAAAAGAAAAGAAAAGAAAGAAAGTCAGAAAGAGAGAAAGAGAAACAGAGAAAGAGGAAGGAAAAGAAAAGGAAAGAAGGAAGGAAGGAAAGAGGAAAGAAGGAAGGAAGGAAAGAAGGAAGAAAGTGAAGGAAGGAAGAAAGGAAGCAAGGAAGGAAAGGAAGGAAGAAAGGAAGGAAGGAAAATAAAAGGAAGGAAAGAAAAGAAAGAAGGAAGGAAAGAAGGAAGGAAGAAAGGAAAGAAGGAAGGAAGAAAGGAAGGAAGGAAGAAAGAGAGAGGCCTTGCTGAGTGCCAAGCATCAGCCTCACAACCTTGCAAAATGGTGTAGAAGTTTTCTATTTCCAAGCAGTTCTGTGGGTGAGAAGTCCAACATGGGTCTCTCCAGAGGCTCTAGGGAAGATTCCATGTCCTTGCCTTTTCCAGCTTCTAGAGGCCACCTACACCCCTTGGCTCATGGCCCCTTTCTCCACCTTCACAGCCAGCAACTAAGGGTGCATCCCCACCTTGCATCACTCTGATCTTGCTTCCTGCCATCTCTTCTTTGCCTCCTTCTTCTACTTTTAAGGACTCTTGTGATTACATTGGGCCCACCTGGATACTCCAGGATACTCTTCCCATCTCCAGGTCAGCCTATCAGCAACCTTAATTTGCCTGCTGCGTTCATTTCCTTCTGGCATGTAGATGACCATATTCACAGGTCCCAAGATTAACACAGACATCTTTGAGGGTCATCGTTCTGCCTACCAAAAGGGGCATATTATTATTCCCATTATTATTTCCAAAGAGGAATCTGAGGCTCTGAGGGGTTGAGTAACTTGCCAAAGTCAGAGCCCAGAAGAGGGTGCGCTGGGATCCGGGCCCCTGTTCAGATGTGCCAAAAGCTCTGCAGAGCCTTTTGGAGTCCTTTGCTCCAGGGGTCATTCACGGCCCTTTGGGGCCATGCTTCATGTTATTTTACAGCCTGTTAGGGAGGAGACCGTTGGGGAGAGCCTTATTGAAGCTCAACACCCTCCCACACCCCTCATTTGCATGGAGTGACATTTTTTTTTCTTTTCATGGGAACAGGTGAGTTACTAGACAGACTTGCCTGTTGTCTGTTGTTCTTACGCAACTTACTCTGAGGTTTGGGTGCCCCTTCCTGTGCAGCTGCAGTGACTGAGGGGAACATATTAGGTCTGCATAACCTCCACCTAGTAGCCCTCTTTTTTAGGAATCATGCTTTATTGCTTTCTGGAGTTTACAGAGAAACCCAAATGAGACCAAAGAGTTGTGGTGGTAGGCCACCATTTTCCTAAGGGAAGCGGTGGATGGGGTCAGCACACCACTCTTCCTTTTAATGGTTACCCCACCCAGGGCTCAGCTGAAGTCTCAAGCATCTCTCTGTTCCTCTGCTTCAATGGAGCATCTGGGCCCAAGGCCACCTGCTTGGCTGAAGAGCCCCGCCCCACCTTCAGGCAGGGTCAGGATGATTCTGTGAATCTCTGGACCTTCTGTTGACTGGCCTCTGCATTTGGTAAGAATAATCAAGAATGAAAGCTGTGGCCTGGTTTCAGTTTCCTGACATCAGTAATTTTCAGTGTTTGGGATTTAAACAAACACAAATAGTATGGTTTGGCCAGAGAGTGGAGGCAGACCCTGGTTGGCATCCCCATATGCACAGCCCTGCCTCCTGCCTCCCCTTTCCCTGTACTTCCTGCCCCAGCTCCACTAGGCTGCTAGCTGCATCTTCTTGCTGTCTCTGCCCTGTGCCTGGTCATGAGTAAGTTCCTGCCCTGACTCTGCAGGTTGTAATCCTTCTCCCCATTAAGGCACAGCTCTGACTCCAGCTCCTGTGTGCAGCTTTCCCATTCTCATCCATTGGAATGAATTCCTCTCTGACCTTTGTATTGTGCTGTTAGGATTCGTGCTATAGGAGCACCATACGCAGCCTGCTTTGTACTGACAGGTAGGACTGCAGCTTCCATGATAGCAATGTGGCAGGGACTGTGGCCCCCTTGTTTTTCGCTATGTCCCTAGTACCTGGAACAGTGCCTGACACATAGTTCATACTTGTTGAATGAATGAATGAGTGAGTCTTCTTAGGATCATGATAGTAAGGAACAGTTATTGATTGCTTATTAAAAGTAGGCACTATGCCCAGCATCTCACAGTCATTCTCTGAGTTAATATTCACAATAACTCGATGAGTAAATATTCATAGCCCAAGTTTACAGTTTGGGAAACTGAGGTTCAGGGTCTAAGTAAGTGGCAGGTCCAAGACTCAGGTTAGTCCAATTCTGGAGCCCATCTTTTAAAATGATTAGACCAGTGGTTCTCAAAGTGTGGTTCCTGGATCAGCAGCATCAGCGTTACTGGGGACTTGTTACACATGAGGGTTCTTAGAGCTCAACCGAGACCCAGGGATCAGAAACCGCGAGTTGGAGCCAGCAGTCTGTGTTTTAACAAGCACTCCTGGTGATCTCCAGTTTTGGAGCCACCGTACTGACTTATGCTGGGATGGTTCTCGAATTTTTATTAGAATCCCCCAGAGTGCTTTTAAAACTCTTCATGTTCAGGCCAAGCCTTTAAACCATTAACCTAAGAATCTCTGGGTGGAGGGTGTGACCTAGGCTCAGCTTCTTTTAATGTTTCTCAGTTGTGTCTGAAGTGCAGTCAGGATGAGAACCACTTGTATGCATCTCCTAACTTTCTAAACTTTACTGTGCATGAGAAGCACCAGGAGATCTTGTTAGAATGCAGTTTCTGATTTAGGAAGCCTATGCTAACGTCAGAGATCTACATTTCCACCAGCTCTCAGGTGTAGTGATTCTCCTGCTCTGTGGACCACACTTTAAATAGCCAGGCTTACCAATCCACTTAAAAATGGCCAAAACCACAATTACTTTTGCACCAAACTAATACACTGTGCTGTCCAGTATGGTAGCTCCTAGCCACATTTGCCTATTTAAAAGCTCAGTTCCTCCATCCTACCAGCTGTTTTTCAGGTACTCAAGAGCCCCATGTGGCTCATTGGCTGCGGAGCTGGACAGCACAGATGTGGAACATTCCATCATCATAGACAGTTCTGTGGGACCACGCTGCTCTAGAATGAGTCTGTGACAGCACACACCATGGCTTTTTACTTTTTGTATGCCCAGGACACTCTTGCACATAGTGGAAGCTTAGCAAATGTTTTTTGAAGTGATTTTGAGTGAATGGACCAATGGTAAAAATTCTATATCTAAAAGAAATAAATAACTTTCCTGAAGAAATGCTAGAGAAATCATGAATACACTGTTAAAAGGAACCCTCTACCACCCTACCCAAATTAAATTAAATATACTTAAGGACTCAGTAGGCCAAAAAGCACAAGAGACACTGGACCATGCTCCAGCTCCAGGACACACTACTCTGCTGCTACTGAAATGGCATTTTGGGCTCTGAAAGGAAAGGTCTCTGGTGCCCCCTAGAGGCTGGTCCTGCAATTTGCTGGATTTGTGAGCAATTAAGTAGCAAGGGGAGAGGGGAAGGGGGCCAATTTCATCATGCTCAGATGGGCAGTTCGTGGTTAGCAGTGGTGGAGATAGGCTCACTTTGAACTCCTATAAGCTATTTGACATCTGATAACTTGACTCAACCGCTATGACCAAAAGCACCCCTCCCCCAAGGGAGTTGCTTCTCAGTGACAGTGCCCGAAGCCTGGAAGGAAGGGCCCCTGAGTGCCCCCAGAGGTCACCCACTCCATGTTCCAGGCAGCTGACTTTCAACTTGGACATCTAGATTCCCTGAAGCCCAGAGCCTTCTAAGTAAACTGCTGTCTGTAGTCTGTGGGTTTCTTTAGAATAAGAATAGTGAAATAAAGAAAAGAAAAAGTATGATTTCCCTTTTTGGGCCAGGTGTCCTTAGGAGAGTGGGGGTTGGGGGGTTTGAGAGAAAGAGAAATCCAAAAGAAAAGTGCTTCCATAACTAGAATAAAGTTAGATGTGTTCATATTACACATATTACATATATGTGTATATATATGTATGTATGTGTATGTACATACAGTATATAATTGTCTCAAGTGCTCTTCCAAACAGTACTATGAAATAGGTGTCATTTGGGGGCCCATATTACAGATGGGGAAACTGAGGCTTCAGAAGGTTAAATAAATTGCTGAGAGTCACCTAGTGAGTAAATGGTAGAGCTCAGCTTTGATCTCAGGCAATCTACCTCCAAAGTCCATGTTACTTGATATGATACTATGCTGTCTCTCAAGCTACAAGTTAACACATTTTTAATAACTTACCAGCCTCCAAACTACTTTTTTCCCCCATGTTCACCAGTCCCCTCTTCTGAGCTTCTTGACCCATTCTATACAAGTAGCCAAATAAATAAAAACAATCCATGTTTTTACCATTAGTCCATGTTGAAATAGTATCATGCTAGATGTTATGGGCTGCTATGGTCTGAATGTTTGTATCTGCCCCAAATGTATGTGTTGAAATGAAATCCCAATGCCGTCGTGTTGGAGATGGGGCCTCTGGGAGATGATTAGATCATGAGGGTGGAGCCCTCAGGAATGGTATTGGTGCCCTTATGAAAGAAGCCCTTGGGAGGCTGTTTGTCCCTCCCACCATGCAGGGAAACAAGAAAGTGCCATCTATGGAGCAGAGAAAAAACCCTCCCCAGATGCTGAATCTGTTGTCGCCTTGATCTGGGACATTCCGGCCTTTAGAACTGTGAGCAATCAATTGCTGTTGTTTATAAATTACCCAGTCTAAGGTATTTTGTTAGCGCATATAGACTGACATGGGGCTCTACTCTTGGCTTGAGCTTTTTTTTTTTTGTTTTTTTTTGAGAAAGAATTCAATGGCAACATACACCTTATGAATAGCATTGCAACTGAATTGCTCTAGTGTGACAAGAAAAATGAACTCATTATTAAGTTCTGTCCCTATGATTGGGCTCTGAAGAAGGCAGCCCAGCCAAGTGGAATACTAAAAATTTGGATGTATTTCAGGGAGCTCATTGCTGTTCCGGTCGCTGCTATAGCTAAAACTGCTTCTAGAGAAATTACTCCTCTCCAAGAGATTTCCAATTGTGTTCCCTTGATATTGCTTTGTCAGGGACACGCTTTAAATAAGATGCCCTCCGTAAGTAGAGATTCTAAATCCTCATTGATTTGCATGGCTCTGTTATATGCCAAATTGGAAATACCATCCTAAAATGAATGTCTTCAAGGAACGAATTCAGCAGTAGGTTTGCATGGATGCCAAAACCTCTCCAGATGGCTGTACTTCATCTGGGGTATTATTGGAACAGCCTCCTCAGCAACCTAAATCTCTAGGACTGGACGTATATTTACCTTCACATCATCTTCAAAAAATAGATGCCTTGATTCTTTTCCATGAGACCAGGGCCATAATGGATTGACCTGGCTAGCAGATCAGATAGGGAGAAAATGAACACCTGAAACCAGCTCAGGGATTCGACTGCATTATTCAGCTGAACACCTACTGTGTGCAAATCCCTAGGTGCTAGGAGTGACCCAAAGATGGGGAAAACATAGATCTTGCCTCTATAAGATGTTAATAACTTAATTGGAGTGTCCTCTAGAAAGAACAGTAAGTTTATAGGAATTTAGAGGAGGAACAGATGGAGGAAAGTTGGCCATCCCAGCCCAAAGAAGATTTCAGGTATCTAAAATATAAACATGTTTCTCCTAGAGCAGGACTACTCGAGGTGCGGTCTGCAAGCCAGCACATGGCCTGGGAGCTTAATAGAAATAAAAATGTTGGAGTTCAACCCTAAACCTGGAGAATCTCTGAAAGGTAGGGCTGAGGAATCTGTTTTAACAAATTCTCCTGGTGATTCTTCTATGGGCTAAATGATCTTGGCAGTATGTTAGAATCACCCAGGAACTCTGACACGTCCTCCTGGCCAGACTGTATTTCTAACCAAGCATATGAGAATTGGGGATGAACTCAGTCACCAGAATGTTTTCAAGTTCTCTGAATAATTTCACTTGTGCAGCCACTGTTGAGAGGCCTGGCACAGTGGTGGTTCTTAAACCAGAGGAACATACCTGAATACCTGAGAAACTTCAACACACACACACACACACACACACACACACACACACACACACGCACACACACACACGCACACGTACTTTCCGAAATCTATTCTGTGAGGCTCTTTGGGTCGTGGTAAGGACAATTGCTTTGGAACAAGCACACTATGTATTCTAGATAGACCAGTGGTTCTCAAACTTTGAGTGCACCAGAGTCACCTAGAGGTCTGGTTAAATTACAGATTTGGGGTGTTCCATCCCCAGAGTTTCAGATTCAGTACACCTGGGATGGGGCCTGAGGATCTGCATGGCTAACACATTCCCAAGTGATGCTGCTGCTGCTGATCTGGGGGCCACACTTTGAGATCTGCTGGTCCAGCCCACGGTGAGGCTGAACTTGAATTCTAGTTGTAGCTGCTATGCAAGTTTCCAGGATTCTGGTATTAGAGTAAACCTTGCTATTTTGTGCTCCTAAATATCAGTATTCTTATTAATGTAATCCTTTATTTCATATGTTTTTGAGATTAAAATCTGAGTCATTTACATCTTGAGATATACTCATCCTATGATATTCCATATTACAATTTCAACTTGAACAGCAGAACCCTTTTCCCATAGCTCTTGGATCTTCCACTTGTAATCCCCTTCTAAGGTATTCCAAGTCCTTGGTTACTAGTAAGAATGAGCACCTTTGCTTGACTTTATTAGTCACTAGTATTTTGTCTAGAGCCAATTTGGTTGATATCGCTTCCTAAACTCTCTGAAATTAGGATAGGGTCAACTCATTCAGGAAAATAGATACAGGGTGTGTTGGAGATTAGGGAAGGAGAGGGGCGGAGGGAGGTCCCAGGCCAAATTTCTAACTCATCCCTAGAGTCTCACCTCCGATGTTCTCCCAGGGATGGAGCCTCACCTCTGACCTTCTCCCAGGGATGGAGCCTCACCTCTGACCTTCTCCCAGGGATGGAGCCTCACCTCTGACCTTCTCCCAGGGATGGAGCCTCACCTCCGACCTTCTCCCAGGGATGGAGCCTCACCTCCAACCTTCTCCCAGGGATACAGTATCTCAGCCCGCTCCTCGAGGGAAGGGCTCTCTTAGGGTCCAGCCTCTCTCCAATAGCAGGGTGACTTATTTGAACAAATCTTCTTTCCCAGTCATCTCACTTGCAGACACTGAGATGCCCAGGCCTGGGCCCAAGCCTGCTCATGAGAGTAAGAACAGATGATAGGTGGTGAGCAGAGCTCCATTTTTCTTTTTTTTAAATTTATTTTTATTATTATTTTTTAGATTGGGTCTTGCATTGTTGCCCAGGCTGGAGTGCAGTGGCACAATCTTGGCTCACTGCAACCTCCGCCTCCTGGGTTCAAGTGATTCTCCTGCCTCAGCCTCCCAAGTAGCTGGGATTACAGGTGCCCACCACCACGCCCAGCTAATTTTTGTATTTTTAGTAGAGATGGGGTTTCACCATGTTGGACAGGCTGGTCTTGAACACCTGACCTCAAGTGATCTGCCCACCTCGGTCTCCCAAAGTACTGGGATACAGGTGTGAGCCACTGTGCCTGGCCCATTTTTCATAAGACACACTATATCACTCGAAATAAATGCCAAACACTAGTGTGGTGACACTTTGCTCCCATATCACAATCACTAAATTCGACTTACCCCTTTAAGGCCAGGTAGGAATTTAGCAACCCAGCTCATAAAGGGTAAAATTAGCTTATTATTTCCTGAGTGGATTGCAAACCTCACTGGCCAGATTGGGAGCACAGCAGATACTTCCTTTTTGTAAAAACTTGGCTGAGTGTGGTGGCTCACTCCTGTAATCCCAGCACTTTGAGAGCCCAAGGCAAGAGGATCGTTTGAGGCCAGCCTAGGCAACACAGTGAGACCCTGTCTCTACAAAAATTTTTTTAAAAAATTAGCCCGGCATGGTGGCACATACCTGTGGTCCCAGCTACTCAGGAGGCTGAGGTGGGAGGATTGCTTGAGCCTTGGAGGTTGAAGCTACAGTGAGCTGTGGTTGTGCTACTGTACTCCAGCCTGGGCAATACAGTGAAATCCCATCTTAAAAAAAAAATAAAAATAAAAAATTAAATTAAATTAAACAAACAAAAAACTCAGTCTCATGGTCTTCCTTCTTTATATTCTCACCTAGCCTTCTTCTCCAGCCCTGTTTGCATTTTTGTGAATTTCTCCCATTTTCACTCTAGCCAGCCTACTTACCAACCACTCCTACCCAATCTCAGATATGTTCCATCGCCATGGTTTTGGTAGTTTCTTGTCTAGCAGCTGCTTTCTTGTCTTCTCTGCTTACCTGCACTCAACCAGTTATTATCCTGTTACTTGCCTCTTCCAAAACCACTATAGTCTGAGCCACTCTTTTGATCATGGGTGATCTTCTGATGTGGTTGTGTTTTTATAAGTAACATGTACCTGTCCTGACTCATCAACTAGATCAGGAGTTAGCCACTCTGGCCTACTGCCTGTTTTTGTAAATAAAGTTTTCTTGGAACATAGCCATGTTCATTCGTTCACATATTGTTTATGGCAATGACATGAAGAAGATAGGACCCAAAAAAGCCTTAAAAAATTATTATCTTTCTTTTTAGAGAAAGTTTGCTGATCCCTGGTCTAGATTTGCAGCTATGTTATATATTCTTTTATATTCCTCTAAATGTCTGGCACTATGTTTTGCATACAATAGCTACTAATCAATTTTGATGACCTGAACATGAATTTTTCTCTGAAATCCTTATAAATGTAATAGGAATAAAATAAGTTATTTTTGCTCTTGTTATTGTTATTATTATTATAGCTGCTATGTACAGTCCTGCTACATAATGTTTCTGTCAGCAACAATTCCCATATGCAATGGTGGTCCCATAAGCTTATAATATGTATTTTTACTGTATCTTTTATATGTTTAGATGCACAAAACTTACCATTGTGTTACAGTTGCTTGCAGTATTCAGTACAGTAATGCTGTACAAATTTGTAGCTTAGGAGCAATAGGCTATACCATATAGCCTAGGTGTGTAGGAGGCTATACAATCTAGGTTTGTCTAAGTGTACTTTATGATGTTTGCTCAATGACAAAATTGCCTAATGACACATCCCTGTCATTAAGCAATGCATGACTATATTTTGTGGCAGGTATTGGACAAAGCTCTTTACCGGCCTATCTCATTTAATCCTAACACACAGGTAGAGGAACTTGGAACTTGGAGAGGTGACCTGTGTGACCTGTCTTACTTGCTGTATGACTTCAGCAAGTGATACAGCAAGAATTCGAACTCACATCTTTGTGATCTCAGCGCCTGAGCTTTTAATTACTACTATATACCCACGGTTTAGTAGTAACTCATACATGTGATGAGAGACAGAAATGTTTAAAAGCCCTACCAATGAGATAAATCATGTAAAGAAAACTGGCCTATGTTATAAATAGGCTAGGAGCAAGATGAAGCAAGTGACCCTGAAAGCGAGGGCCTCAGCTGGGTGCAGCAGCTCATGCCTGTAATCCCAGCAATTTGGGAAGCTGAGGTGGGAGGATCGCTTGAGTCCTGGAGTTTGAGACCAGCCTGGGCAACATGGTGAGACCCCATCTCTACAAAAAATACAAAAATTAGCCAGACATGATGCTGCATGTTTGAAGTTCCTGCTATTTGGGGGCTGAGGTGGAAGGATTGCTCGAGGAAGTCGAGGCTGCAGTGAGACAAGATCATGCCATTGCACTCCAGCCTGGGGACAGAGTCAGCCCCTGTCTCAAAATTAAAAAAAAAAAAGAAAGAAAGAAAAAGAAAATGAGCGTGCCTTTCAATTTTGTTCCCTGGATGCATCACTGTCTTACCCTAGTCTCTGCCCTGGTTAAGAAACTTCATAAATATTGCCGGTTTCATTATTATCATCATCTTTATTATTATCATCATTCACTCAACAAACCTTAAAACAAGTGTAATGTGCCAGCTGTTGTCCTAGGCTTGGAGTTTAAACTAAGATATTTTAGCCCTACTATAGGAAAGATGAATCTATAAACCCCAGATTGCAAACACAAATGCTTACAGGGACAAGAAGATAACAAATGGGTGAAGCAGGCCAGGTGGAGGCTGTCTCTAGCAGGAGAGTGAATGTCTCTCTTCAAAGGAAGGCTGTTCCATGAAAAAGAATGAAACCCTGTCATTTGTGGCACCGTGGATGGAACTGGAGGTCGTTGTGTTAAGTGAAATAATCCAAGCACAGAAAGACAAATATTGCGTGTTCTCATTCACATGTGGGAGCTAAAAAAAAGGGGATCTCATGAAGATAGAGAGTAGATTGGTAGTTATCTGAGGCAGGGAAGGGTAGGAAGGAGGGGAGGATGAAGAGAGGTTGATTAATGGGAATAAATATACACTTAGATAGAAGAAATAAGACTTGGTGTTTGATAGATCAGTAGGGTGACCAGTTAACATTAGGGTGACAAGTTAACATGAATCAATTGTACATTTCAAAATAGCTACAAAAGAATAATTTCAATGTTCCTAGCATGTAGAAAAGATAAATATTTTAAGGTGATGGATGTCCCAGTTACCCTAGTTTGACAATATGGATGTATCAAATTATCACATAGACACTGAAAATACATCCATCTACTATGTATTAATTTTAAAAAGAGGCTATTGATCAACCTTTGGCAAGGTCTTGCTGTATTGACAGCTTCTCAATGTCCACTAGCAGTTACCTCCTTCTCCCCTTCATCTTTCCTACATTAAGGCAAAAATACAGTATTCAGTTAAAACTCCTCCTCCCCTCCTTCTTTTCTTCTTCCTCTTCATCCTCTTCCTCCTTCTCCTCTCCCTCTCCCTCCTTCTCCTTTTCTTTTCCCTCCTCCATGTCCTTCCCCTCCTCTTCCTCTCTTTCTTCTTCCTTCCCTTCCTCTTCCTCTGAATCAATCATTTTTGGCCATAGCGACTTGCCCTTTGCAAACTAGTATGTGTTGCAGTATTATGATTTCTCTGCTTGAGACAGGAACCTCTGGTGTTTTGGAGGAAATTTCATCTTGGGCTGCTCCCCTTCTTACCACATCTGTTGCCCAGTATCCACCACAAAGCCTGTAACTTAGCATCTGCCTATAACACCAAACAGGTTGCATCAGATAAACAAAAATTCTTACTGTGGTAGGTGAATATTTTAGCAAACGTAAAATACTATAACTCGAATTTACAAACTGGGTCAGAAGTGCTTTCTCATGTTTTGGTGTCTGGAGCAACGTGCACATGGTCAGAGGACTTCTTATTTCAATTTTCTTGTTTGTTTATATTTATTTTATGAAATAAATAGCCTCCCTTCCATTAGTACAAGTACTTCTGGTTTGTTAGAGACGAAGGGCCCCAGCTCCACTGGGAACAAAGGGGACCTATAGGAAACACAAGTGTCGCCAGCTTTTCCATGCACTGACCTGCCCTAATGTGTATCCTCCTCCCATAGCCCGCAGAGACTCCCCAACCTCACTTTAGCTCAACTGCATTTTCCCCAGACTGTTCTGAAAAATGTGTTGTGACGTGCTGCCACCTAGTGAAGGAAAGTAGGAATGGACATTATAGTGGCTGTCGCCCTCAGAATCCTCTTTGAAGCCTGGTTTAGTTAACCTCTGCCGAAATAAGGTCCTACGTTTTTAACTTTCAGAAAATAACTCTTATAAGACTCCCAAAGGGTCCAAAGACTATTTAGTGAAGACTGAAGAAGACAAATGTCAAGTGAATAGCTAAGAGTTTGAAAAGTAGGTATACGTGTTCGGGCTAAGTATAAATGGAAAACAACTCCCCGCAGAAAACCATTCTAATTGGACTTGCAGGGCAGGTTAAGAGGAGGAAGTCAGCCCGACTCCAGAGTACAGACATTACCTGTTTTCACTAAAATAAAGGACTGTCTTCAATTGTTTGCATTATCATTTTATCTCCGTAGAATATTTTCCTTCGGTCTTTTGACTGAATTGGTTTTGAATTTAAAAGAAATATTGAAATGATCTGTCACTTTACTTTTTGCCTATCAAGCTGTCAGCTTCAAAAAATGAACAAATGTATGGATTCTGAATAGATATGTTTCTCAGACCTAAAAAGAAAGAAAATGTGTTAATAAACTTGCGTCTAGTCATCATATGTGTACTTCAATGTGTCAGAACTGATTTATGAACCAGAAGTACTGTGTTTAAGTGAGGACTTCTCTGCATTCATATTTTAAGTATTATTATTTCATTCTTTCCTCTTGGGGGGCAAGTTAGTATAATATTACCATTGACTACCGTTGGGTGGGTCCCAAAGGTCATTTCTGTGGAGGATAATAGAGCTTTTCATATGAGACACTTTCAGCTGCCTAGCAGAGGCAGCACACTATGACAAGTGGCCAAAAAAAAGTAGTGAATATTTTTATCGTGAGTTTTCATGGCATGAATCAACTCATTCTTCAGAAGTCTGTATTTTTTTCTTTCTATTATGGCATGTCTGTCATTTCCTTTGACTCTCTGGCTGGTCTTCATCTCAGCAAAGTGGAAAAAACATATTTTAGATGGGAAAAAATGGGAAGAAACTGAAAGAGGGAAAATATCCCTAATACAAGGAGAAACACAACTCTAGATTCCCTATTGCCATATGGAACATTTAGGATTTCCCAGGAGGAAACACGTTCAACCAGTTGCTTCTGTTACCTCCGGACTAAGAGGGATCCTGATAGTAGCTGTGGCTGGTGAAGGAACACCTCTATTATCTGGCTCTGGGTGCTGCAGAACCAGGCAGTTAACAGGACAAGAAAACCAAATGATCCATGGGTGCAAATGTGCTTTTGCCAAAGCCACTTCCCTGGGGTCTAGATAGCGAAGAGAAATGGTGGCTTCTAGAGGAGGAAGAGCTAGGAAGTAATCCTGGAGTCCAGTTGTCTTTTCTTAAAGATCATGTTTCAGGATTCCAAAAAAAAAAAAGAAAGATCAATGGCATGTAGGAGGGTGGGGGACAAAGAGGGTGAATTATGAGTTTGTGTCTGTGTTTTAAAATAGCCACCTGCCTTGAAACTGCCATTTAGAAATGTGCATGGAAGGAGAATCTTCCTGATTCTTAGCTCTAATTTATGGCCAATTTATGAAGTCAAGGTCATCTCTCTTCCTGCTGGTGTGTGTTCAACCTGGCCTCCCTTTATGCCAAAGACCTTGAGCAGACCTTGGCTAAAACCCCCAGGTATACTCCCATTCACTGTCAGCAGTGATCCGTGGAATGGATTGGGGCTGGCCGCCTTGCCTTGGGCAGAGTTCATGTGTCACTCAGGAAGATGCATCAGGCTGCTGAGTCAGAGGGAGTCTGCCTTATGTCCACAGAGAGGAGTGAATCAGAAAGCCAGATGAGTCCAGCTCTCAGGACATGACAAATTGCAGAATGCCGAGCTGGGAGGCTTGAGTACATCATATCCTTCTTATTCTACTGATGAGAAAACTGGGGCCTGGGGATGCCCAGGAATTTGCTTACATTTCTTCTCCTAATGAATTAATTCTTTCATTTGTTCAACAGTGATGCCCTGAGTGTCTCCCGTGTGTCAGGCTTTGTTCTAGGTGCTGGGGTTAGAAAGAGGAAGAGTGTCACATGAGGAGAAGACACATGTCACAGGTCATTCTAAAAGGGAAACCCAACTGAGAATGAAGAGTGTCTCAGGGCAGAAAAAGGAAGGAGCAAAGACATCCACCTTGGCACTAGACAATTTGGGTCCTGATTTGACAGTCTTTAGTAATTAGCATAACCATCAGTACATCATGGAAGCTTACCCCATGTACCATTTCTTAGCTCTCCTCACTGTTGTGATTGCAAAGGTGCTTGGAAGGTTACTTGATGAGCCTCTTTCTGCTGCTCCAGACCCAGACTGTGAGTTCCATCAAGGCAGGGATCTTTCTCAGCTCTCTGTTTTATCCCCAGAATGGGACAGAGCACTGCACGCATGGGAGATACTCAGTAAATAGCCACTGAGTGAACAATGGAATGAATGACAAATGATAAGGGTTCCCAAGTTCCATTCTATAGAATAAGGGTCAGCAAAATTCTTCCATAAAGGGCCTGATAGTCAATGTTTTTGGCTTCAGGGGCTGTATGATCTCCACCACCACCATTCAACTCTGCCTCTGTGGCATGAAAGCAGCCATAGGCAATAGGTAAAAGAGTGGACATAGCTGTGTCCCAATAAAATTGTATTCGGGACACTGAAATTTGAATTTCATACAATTTTCATATTCCATAAAATATTCTAATTTTTTTAGCTGTTTTAAAATGTAGGGGGAAAACATTTTTAGCTGGTGTCCTGTGCAAGAACTGGTGGTGGCCAGATTTGTCTCACAGGCTGTAGTTTACCAACCCCTGCTATAGGAGGAAGATTAATAGGGTAAAGATTTTATGAGGTTTTTAATTGATTCATTTATCCATATGTTTGAGCATTTACTTACTCTATGTCAGGCTCTGTAGCAGACACTGGACATACAAACAGAAATATTAGTCACCAATATCAAGATGAAATCATTATCCTTGATGGGTCAGATCTTCCGAGGATGAGTCACGACCGTGTAGGAAATATGAACCCCGCAGTCTGTTTAATTGATGTATGCTATGCACTCTAAAATTAATTGGAGATTTCTAGATAAAACTTTCCAAATGTCACAAGTATCCTTCCAGCATTTCATATTTACAGACTGGAAAATCAATGGAGATGGAATCATTCTCCCACTGTCTCTAAGTTAATTTGCCTGTCTAATGCTTTAACACTTTCTGCTAGTTCTGTCTCATTCTTTACCCATTGGAGAGTACCAGTGGGTTTTCAGATAACTTCCTTAAAGACCAGAAAGAAAGATTTAAAAAAAATTCCAGCTCCTTCCTTTTGGCTCGGGTCTTCCAGGTCTTTATCTTGATGAAAACTGGAGGCAAAGATGTTATCTCTGGATTGTAGTCAGAGAACAACAAAAACCCCCATCTTTTCTTTCCCAGGAAAATATTAATCAAAATAGAAATAAGGTGAGATTAGAACCTTAGAAGGTTTTGCATAATACTTTTCTTGTTTGACTGTTTCTGGCCTGTCTTAATCCAATAATCTATTAAACTCTAGCTAGTACTTTCTTTCTTCATCCCCAGCAAATTTGCAATCCTCCAGAATCCTTTTGGGAATTCCAAGGCAAACGGCCTTAAACAAGAACATAATTGTCTGAGAGATTTTGTTTGCTTATCGGAACTGTTTGGTCCACAGCATTATCTGCATGGGGGCATAATTCCCTTAGCTGCAGTCAGTTTTACAGGTCTTTGCTCATAGGATTACAGTTCTTTTACATAAAAGGATGCTTGGAATGGGGGCCACCAAGAGTGCCAATATTTAGTATCTTTAACTGAGCTCAAAGTAATAACTACTTAACTAGAATCAGTGTGCTTCTTGATATCTAGGAAAAAAAGGCAAAGGAAGGAAAGAACAGGATTTGGGGATGTAATTTGAGATTAATAAATGATTCACTCAATAGATACATATGGATCATAGCACTCTGCTTGTTGTGCATGGTATACTGTGAAATGTAAGACACAATTTCAGCCTAGAGTAGCTTAATCTAGTTATAGATATGGGAATTCCAAATACCTTTTCTACAACAAGAGTTCAAAGTCTTTCATAAGTCAATATAACAAAAGATGAATAAATAGTTAAATAATACTACAGAAGAGTAAACATGAGAAGACATGCATTTAAATGTATGCAGAGCACTTATTGCTTTGGATAGAATTCACATGTTATCCATGCGTTGACTACAAGATACATGCACATCTCTAAACACACTCATAACTGAATTCAGCTTAATAGGATAGTAATTGAATGATGGAACCTAGTGTGCCTGACTTTTCTCAGATGAAATATCTGGCTGGTGCAATGCAGTAACTACTATTAAAACTCCATCAGGCATGGTGGCTCACACCTGTAATCTCAGCAGCTTGGGAGGCCAGGGCAGGAAGATTGCTTGAGCCCAGGGGTTGAAGACCAGCTTGGGCAACATAGTGAGACCCCATCCCTACAAAAAAAAAAAGTAGTTGGGCGTGGTGGCTTATGCCTGTAGTCCTAACTACTTGGGAAGCTGAGGCAGGAGGATCGCTTGAGGCAAAGAGGTTGAGGCTGCTCAGAGCCATAATCATGCCGCTGTACCCCAGCCTGGGTGACAAACACAGAGACCCTGTCTCTTAAACAAAACTCACTAGGATATACCAGTGAGTCCATATGAAGAATCCTACCCATCCTTCTCACCTTGGCCTGAATGAATGAGTACAAGTGTCAGTAAAACAGCTGTTATTTATTTCCTTATCCCACATCTGTCCTTGAAGGCTGTCATGTGGTCAAGGACCATGGAGCCGACAGACAATGTTTCTATCAACAGGCAGTTCAAACCAAGCCTGTGGCTGACCATATTGAGTGGATGAAAGAGCCTTGGAGGGACTGGGCCTTTTAGAAAAATAGGCTCGTAAGTCAAGAGCATGGTGTCAGCTGTCTGTGTGTATTTCATGGTGAGAGTGAAAGCAGATCTAAATTATGAGTTGTTGAGTCACCTGCATGAATCAATTCAATTCTTAATTTGAAAGGAAGCTCAGTGCCAAGGGAACATAACATATGGAAGGAGTGGCCTCAATGACTAACAAAACCAGGGCCTATTAGGGTTGCCTGAGTTTACTTAGGTGCATTTATAAGACATGACATTTCCACAGCTGTTCAACTATGTGAAAACCTTTTGTAAGCATTACTGTATTTGATAAACTCTGTGAGATGGATGTTATTGTTATCTCTGAATTGGCAGATATGGGCAAGGATGTTCCAAGAGGTCTGCAGTGTCACACAAGTAGTAAATAGCATAGCCTGGGCTAGACTTAGAGGTCTTTTAACCAGTCACATTCCCCCTCAGCAGTGAGAACTATGGTCTGCCCCTGCTCCCTCAGTGCACGCCAATTAGTTAGGCCTGTATTCAGATGGGATGAGTTATGTTCTGATTAGGAACCACATGTAGTATATGCTATAAGTTAAAAGTAGGCAGATGTGCCTGTAGCCATAGGGACTTGCTGGGGGAGCTGGACTTGAGTTGAGTCTTAAAACATGGAAAAGCCTTAACTAAGTGGAGTGGAGGGCCAAGAGCATTCCAGACAAGAGAAAAAGGTGAGCAGGGGGAGGAATTTGCATCCTTCTTTGGGGAGCCAGGAAGTGGACTGGTGTGAATATTTCAGAGTGATCATATAGGGAGGCAGCTGAGGGATCCTCAGTGCGTGGTTATAGTAACTGGAGTGGATTTACTCTGGGGCAGGACTTACTCCGTTGACACCCTTGGAGAAGAGCAGGGGAACAGGAGGAGAGCCTTCCCAGTTACCCTGTTAGGGACCTTCTCTTTGACCGTGTCCTGCAGATGCACAGTAGTTGGGATTCATCCACCTCCATCCACTTATTTCTTTTTAGCTCATTTTGTTTCATTCAACAGACATTCCCATTACCACATTCTAGGCACTGTGTCAAGTCTTACTGAAGTTACTAAAAGGAACCCTCAATGAATGTTTTGTGAATTTAGACATGAATGAATGAACAAAAGAAAAGGGACAAGGGCTGGTGAGCTCATTCATGGGGGAGAAGGAAGTAAGTAAAGAATTCCAGTGTGTTGCATTGAATATGGCAGGAGAGTGCTGGGGGAACAGGCAGAAAAGAGACAGCCTGACGTGTCCCAGGGAAGACTTTCCAAAAGGAGGTGGTGTTCTGGCTGGTTCCTGGAGTCTGAAGTAGAAATTTGTTAGCTACAGGAGGGGGGAATAGGCAGGTCAAACTGAGGGCAAGTGTTTGCAAATGAACAAAGGCCTGAAAATTAGGGGAAAAGCAAGGATGTAGGTGTAACTTAAGTTGAAGTGGAGAAGAAGGTAAGGACAGAAGACCAGGGAAAACATTTCCACCTGAGACTGAACAGAACCACCTGGTCCAAGGTCACTTCGTTATGTCTTTAGGCAAGCCCTGGGCCAAAATGGTGTGGCTCTGGGAACTTTGCTCACTCAAAGCCCTACATAAGCCCATCTTTCCCATAAGAAGGCTGAGGGAACATCTATCTAAGATAGATGCTAGTAATTTAACAAAAAAATAAAAGGCAACGATACTATAGGGAAGAAAAGAAAGAAAGGAGCGGATGATGTTACTTGGCTATTGTTTTCCTAAAACAAAAGCAAGAAATGAAGCATCTTTTAAGAGCTGGCCTAGAATGCCATTCTGGGGGCTTAGGAAAAAAATCAAAATGTATTAGAGCTCTCTCAGACATTGGATGGTTTATGGCAGCATCTAAAATTGCTGGTAAAATTATGACCTTGTAATTCACAGCCGTGTCATATATTCTCTAGCACACAGTGTAATTTATGTACCAAGCCAGTTGCTTCAAAAAAGAATGGGGAAAAAACTCACACAACACAAAGTTTATAAAATGTGGTTATTTTTAATGGATAATGTCTTTAGCCTAAACCTGTGTTGTTAGGAGGAAGGGTGTGCCGTTGCTCAAGGTTATTACCACAGTTCTTGCAGCATGGGGTGAGAGTATGAGGATTACTTATTACACTTACGCATTGGCTGGCCAGGCTACCATATCCACAACTACACAGTCCTCCCTTCCTCCCTCCCTCAAAGAGAGCTATCACCTTGAACTCCTTCTTCCCTTGAAATAAAACCTGGGCAACTACCGAAGCTTGACCTTGACTCATGCCTTAAACCTGAGCACAAAACTTAACCTCTGCTGGGAAACCTTCCTCCCTATGAAACAAAGGGGTCTCAAGACAACTTCTTAGCAAGCCAAAAATGAGATTTCCACTCAGCTTCTCAAGTTAGCCTGGCTTTGACCCCAGTTATGGAGCTAGAGAGGGGAGAGGAGCTGGGAGCAAACTAGGAATCATGGAGGGGGGGACTATGGGGAATATCAGATTCACACAACTCTCACTTCCATGAAAAGGGGGAAGGGGAGAGAGAGGAGACTCCCATGGCCGAGTGATCAGGTCCAGAGACCTCCTTGTGGTCCAGGCTGCACCTGCACCAGTCTGCTTGACCTTGAGCAACAAGCTATAGTCTCTGAATCCTATCACCCTCACCTATAATAAGGAGATGAGCTCTTGCCTTCACTACCTAAAGGAGTTACTGTGAGGATCAAAGGGTCTATTATAGCTTTTAATCTTGAGCCAATGACTAGGTCATTATTTTTCTCTTGCTCTGCCTGTATCATTTTCTCCTCATGGCATACAGCTCTTTTGCCTCAAAGAAGATTCTTGAGGATGATGACCTGCCTCAAACTTCCTTCTCCCTAAAAGTGTTTTCTTTTGTTCAGTTTCATTTCTGTCTTTCCACTTATTCCTGATTATTTTCCCTGAGCCTCTTAGAGATCTGATCACCTCATTGTATAGGAGCTATTTACACTCCTTCTTTGATATGACCACATGCTTCTCTGGATCTGATTCTTAATTCTTTGCTACTTCCCTCCCTGCCCCCAACCCATGGGGGCACCAGAAGCTGTGGGAAAGGAGGCAGCCCATCGCTAAGGAGGAGGAGGACCTTGTCAGGGTGTTGGTGGCGCAGGTGACCAGAGGACAGAGCTCACTGCTGTGATCCTGGAGAGGGTGCCAGGACGCTGTTCCCATTAAAGGCAGTGGGGCTTGGAGACACTGCAGCCTCATGCTCAGGCCTCCTAGACTTTGGCCCTTGCTGTGGGGCTCGCCTCGCTGAAGGCAGGATGAAGGGCTTATTTTTCTGGCTGAGATATTGCATCCCAGAAACCACAGAAATACTTCCAAAACCCCCAAGATAAGAGTGCTCTTATTTTGCTCCAGCGTGAAGAGGAGTTTATTTCATATGATCAAGTAAAGCAAGTCTGGACGTCTTCCTTATGTATTTTCAAAATAATTATTTTATTATTTAAAAAACTCAACATATTCATTTAAGAGAAATGGAAGCAACACAGAAAATGCCAAGAAGAATGTGTCCAACAAACCAAAGCAAATATCATAAAACATTTGATCACATTGGATAAAGATCATTCTAGATATTTTTCTGTACAGTAGATAAGTAAATAAGTTAGACAAACAGAAATTTATATAAAATGAACTTGTACTAGCCTCCCGAGTAGCTGGGATTACAGGCACTTGCCACCATGCCCGGCTAATTTTTTGTATTTTTTAGCAGAGACAGGGTTTCACCATGTTGGCCAGGATGGTTTTGAATTCCTGACCTCGGGACCCGCCTGCCTCAGCCTCCCATAGTGCTGGGGTTATAGGCATGAGCCACTGTGCCTGGCCTACATGTTTTTTTAAAAAATAAAACTGTTAAGTTTAAGCTTATTTGTGTAGTCACCCAGTGGATTTTCCCTGTCTGCTGCACAGACAAAAGTAATTCAGTGAGATGGCAGTATTGCTGTAAAGAAAGAGTTTAATTAATGTGAGTCTGGCCACCCTGGAGGACTAGGGTTATCCTTCAAATCAGTCTCCCCAAAGGCTAGGAGGTTAGGAGTTTTTCAGGATGGTTTGGTGGGCAGGGGGCTAGGGAACAGGGAATGTTGATTGCTTGGGGGTAAAACCACAAGCGTATGGAAAACAGTCCACTCGTGTTGAGTCCTCTGGGTGGGGACCACAGGACTGGCTGAGTCATGAGTCTTGGGTCCAGGTGGGGTCAGTCACTCGCCAGAAATGCCAGAAGTCTGAAAAACATCTCCCAGGGCCAGTCTTCAGTTCTACAGTAGTGATGTTATTTACAAGAGTAATTGAGGAAGTTACAAATCTGTGACCTCCAGAACAATGGCTGGTTATCATTTAACTGCGCTTATGTGTTAGCAGAATTCAGGCACCTCTTATAACCCTAACCTTATGGCCTTTCGTTAGTTTTACAAGGACAATTTAGTTTTGGGAAGGGCTATTACTGTCCTTGCTTAAAGGTTAAACTATAAATTCCTCCCAAAGTTAGCTTGGCCTATGCCCAGGAATGACTAAGGGTAGCTTGGAAGTTGGAAGCAAGAGGGAGTCAGCTCTGTCAGATTTCTCTTGTTGTCATAATTTTGCAAAGGTGATTTCACTTGAATGTAGAAAAATTGGAGAAAAATGAAGCAATCGCTAAACTTTGTAACTTTTACCTCCTAAGACATGCTGATATGAATATGAGAAAGCAATTAGGAGAAAAGATGAAGGTAGAGTCATGTTTTCATTTAACTTTTTTTTTTTTTTTTTTTTTTTTTTTTAAGATGGAGTCTCGCTCTGTCACCCAGGCTGGAGTGCAGTGGTGTGATCTTGGCTCACTGCAAACTCTGCCTCCCAGGTTCATGCCATTCTCCTGCCTCAGTCTCCCAAGTAGCTGGGACTACAGGTGCCTGCCACCGTGCCTGGCTAATTTTTTTGTATTTTTAGTACAGACGGAGTTTCACCCTGTTAGCCAGGATGGTCTCGATCTCCTAACCTCGTGATCCACCCACCTTGGCCTCCCAAAGTGCTGGGATTACAGGCGTGAGCCACCATGCCCGGCCAACTTTGTTTTTTAATTTGGTGTAAAACAGATGAACTTTCTGCTGTGAAAGAAGAGAAAATGACATTTCATTTTCTCCCCCATCCTTTCCCCTCACTTCTTAGTTATGTAATTGTTTCACTGTGTCAGGGTTTTGTGACATTCTCTTCTGAGGCTATAGCTTTCAATTCTATTTAGCCTTAGTAAAGTCTTGCATTTTAAAGTGTTCAGTACTCACCCAGGTTCATTTTTTGCATAGCATCTTCTTATTGTTTTAGTTCAGATCGTAATGGTGGAGGAACCGTTTCCATGGGACTGAGAAGAAAGACACTTGTGTTGACGTTCAGGCATACAGGGAATGAAATCTCGGGGGCAGCATGGGAGAGGCAGCCAGAGCCATGGCTGAGCGTGCTTCCAGGGAGGCAGAACAGGGCAGGGTGAGCACACATCTGGAGTTCCACTGCCTAAATTTCAACCGCGGCTCCATCATCTCATTGCTAGGTGAGCTTCGGCAAGATGTTTAAGCTCTCTGTGCCTCAACTGCTGCCACATCTGTAAAATGGGGACAACCATGGCCACCGCATGTAAGGTGTTGTGGGAATAAAATGAGTGATTTAAAAATGATTACAGAGGTATCTGACTCACTGTCAATGTTTGCTCTTGTTATAGAATCACACTTTTTGGAGATCAATAGCAGGCAGGAAAGAATTCTCTGAGAATCTCACAGTCATCTCCTTTCTTTAGTTGTTTGCAGGGATCTTTTAAAATGTCAACCCTTTTTCAATCTGCTTTTGTGGCCCACCTCTTTAAACTTTTTCCTTCTTCTTAGATGGAAACCAAGACCTCCTTACGGCCCATAAAGCCTGCCATGGCCTTAGAGCTTCTGCCTTCTCCTGCACCCCCCAGGCTTCTTCTCCCTGCCTCAGCAATGGCAGGCAGCAACCCGCTCCTTTGGATGGCACTTGCCCCTGCGTCCCCTGATGGCCCACTCTCTCCCTTCAGTTCTCCACTGATCTATCACCTCATTAGAAAGGCCTCTGTGGCCACACAGTCTAAAGTGTCCCTCACTGGAATTTGTGTGTTTTATAGCAATTTATACAAGCATTTGCTTGAAGCAATTTGTAATTAGTTGTTTGTTTGCTTCATTGTTTAGTTGTTTCTTGATGTGACTTGTCTGTACTACTAGGCCGTAACCTACTTGTGAGCAGGGATCATGTCTGTCTTATTCAGTATTTTCATCCAACACAGAGCAATGCCAGGCACCAGCAGGTGCTTAATAAATATTTATTGCATGAAATATCTCTGCCTCTATATATCTGTATCTCTATATAGATACAGATGGACATTGCATATTAAGGTACCTACCTGTAGAGAGGTAGCTACACAGCTGTCTATATGGATATAGATACTCACTAAGTGGCCTGAATTATTCAGGCAACAGTCTTTCCATTTCATCATTCTATTTTCTCTTTATATGACAATTATCTAAGTAATGAAGAATTGGAATCAGGGCTAGGGGTGGTTAGAGGAAGAAATTTGAAAGGCAAGCGACATTCATTGAGCATTAGTTGGTGGCTGCACAGTGCTGGATGTTTTGTGCTGTAATTCATTTAATTTCTATAGTAACCTGTGGTATTAGTCCATTCTTACACTACTATGAAGGAATCCTCCAGACCGGGTAATTTATAAAGGAAAGAGGTTGAATTGACTCACAGTTCCGCATGCCTGGGGAGGCCTCAGGAAACTTACAATCACGGTGGAAGGCAAAGGAGAAGAAGGCACCTTCTTCACAGGGTGGCAGGACAGAGTGAGTTCAAGCAGGGGAAATGCCAGATGCTTATAAAACCATCAGCTTTCTTGAGACTTACTCACTATCACGAGAAAAGCATGAGGGAAACCGCCCCCGTGATCCAATTACCTCCACCTGGTCCCACCCTTGACAGGTGGAGATTATAGGGATTACAATTCAAGATGAGATTTTGGATGGGGACACAGAGCCTAACTATATCACCTGTGAACAACAGACATTTTCTCATTTTACAAATGACGTTGGGAAAGTTAATAAGCAACAGAGCTGGGCCCGGAGACTCCTGTCCATTAGGTAATGCTGCCTCTGAGAGAAGCAGGACTTGGTGAGCACTCAGCAACTTTGGGCAGGGTGCAACACCTGTAAACTCCAGGATGTAAGTTGCTCATGCAGCTCCCATAAATGATTTCAAATCACACGTGAAAACCATTATGAATCTGAGAAATGCAGAATAAAAAAATCATCAGGGTGGGTTTGGGTTCATTAAAAAAGGAGGTGAGGCTGGGCATGGTGGCTCATGCCTGTAATCCAGCACTTTGGGAGGCCAAGGTGCTTGAGCTTGTGAGTTTGAGACCAGCCTGGGCAACATGGTGAAACCCATCTCTAGAAAAAATACAAAAAATTAGCTGGATGTAGAGGTGCATGCCTGTAGTCCCAGCTATGCAGGACGCTGAGGTGAAAGGATCCTTTGAGCCCTGGAGACTGAGGTTGCAGTGAGCCAAGATGGTGCCACTGGACTCCAGCCTGGGCAATAGGGCCAGACCTTGTCTCAAAAAACAAAAAGAAAAAGAAAAAAAGAAGATGAAATCAGAAGATTTGGGTGTAGTTAAGGAAACATATTTGTCAGCAGAATTTTGGGGGTGAGCTGGAAATTATGGAATGCTTTTCTGGGTAAAATTCACCAGTCTCAGGCCTTCTTTTCCCAAAATGTGCTTCATGGAGTGTTGGATTACACTGAAAGTTGGCATACATTATTTGGAAAGAGAACTCTGTGCTCCAGTAAGTTTGGGAAATCCTCATTTAATTAAAGAGTTTCTTAACCATAAGAATCCTCAGAGCCTTCCATATGCTAATGTGCATTGTCAGTTTCCAAGGCTAGGAAGTGGCATTTCTCTGGATCTATAAGGTCTCAAGATGCCCTTGAGACTGTATTCTACCTGATGCATGGCTCCAGGGGCCTTAGTGGGGAGCGCCACATTTTCCATGTTCTCATGACAGCAGGAAGCCCTCAGTGAATGGAGGTACAGTGTGCAGGGTCGCAATCAGTCCTTTCCATCCGCCGCTTCATTTAAGCCTCACATCAACCTAAGACATAGGTTTTATTATTCCTGGGAGGCTGGCCCTGTTGGTGCCTGTCACCGCAACCCAGACCCGCTTGCCCTTACCTGTAGTGCAGGTGGCTAGATTTTGAATTGCCAGCATCTGCATTTCTTTGCCAGAGGACTTTCTCCAGTCACTGAAGCTTGCTTGTGGGCCTGTCTACAGGTCGTAAGTGCTAGGGACTTAATGCCTCCTCAACCAGTGACCAACAGGAGGTGTTGGATCAATGCCCCAGCCCCCTCACCCCTTGGTCGCAAGGCTCTTCTGTTTACACATAAAGCCATGTGTAGATCCTGGCTGCCAGAGTACCCCAGTGGGATTTTCCTTTAGTTGCCCACAGTGATAAATGCTTGATAACAAACTCTTTATGGATGCTTTCCCATCTCCTCCCCACTTTCCTGTTCCCTTACTGGTGTTTCCTGAGATCACTTCCCAAGTTAACTATTTGTAATCAAATCCTTTTCTCAGGTTCTCCTGCAGAGGAACCCCAACTGAGACATCCCATTTTACAAAATAATGACAACAGCAACAACACACACACACACACACACACACACACACAAAAGCAAAAAAACAGAAGAGTCTCCAAGAGGTTATGGAAGGTGCCCTAGGAAACAGCTTATGCATGGTAGAACCAGGACTTAAATTTCACAACACATTTATTTAGCACCTGCTATGTACCCCTTGCTATCCTAAATGCTGAGATGACAAGATGAAAAAGACAGTCTTGGACCCTCTGTCCTAAACCATAGGCAAAAATAAATTAGTCCAGGCCTGTCTTCAAAGCCTCTGCCCTTAACCACAATACTCTGCTAATTCTCCCAGGATGGACATTTGACTCTCTTTTAAACTGGGAGTCCATTTCCATACCACCCTTATGAAGAGAAGCTGTGGTATTCAGCTCCTATTCTGCCCTCTAGGCCATGAAAAAACTGCATCAGATCAAGACTTTTGATTCATGAAATATGCTAGAGAAAATTGCAAGATTTCCTGACTCAATGATTTTCCTGCCCAGTGTAACATCTCTCTTAATTAGTGAGTTGCAATTAGCATTTATAAAAAGAAATCATTGCACAAGGTGAGTCAACTGAGATGTAACATCTTGCTCTAAACACTGTCCTCCTGGTGTGAGTGGGATCATTCAGAAATTAGGTATCTTAATCAGCTGAGTGCTCCAGCATTCAAATGTATCTGGCCCAGCTGGGAGGCCAGAGTCTGTGGCATGCATAAGAAGCTTACAGGAGGGAGGGAGTTTTCTGTGTACACTAGCATTTGTTCATAGTTGCAAAGTAGCTGTAGAAACTGCAGATTTATGGCCAGGTGTGGTGGCTCATGCCTGTAATCCCAGCACTTCAGAAGGGCAAGGGGGGGCAGATCACAAGGTCAAGAGATCGAGACCATCCTGACCAACATGGTGAAACTCCATCTCTACTAAAAATACAAAAATTAGCTGGGCCTGGTGACTCTCACCTGAGTCCCTAGCTACTTGGGGAGGCTGAGGCCCGGGAATCACTTGAACCCAGGAGGTGGAGGTTGCAGTGAGCTGATCTGGCACCACTGCACTCCCACCTGGTGACAGAGCAAGACTCCATCAGAAAGGAAGAAAGAGAAAGAAAGAAGGAAAGAAAGAAAGAGAGAGAGAGAGACAGGGAAAGAAAGAAAGGAAAGAAAGAAAGAAAAGAAAAGAAAGAAAGAAAGAAGAAAGAAAGGAAGGAAGAGAAGAGAGAGAGAAGAAAAGAGAGAGAGAGAAAGAAAGAAAGAAACTGCAGATTTATGAGAATGATTGTTATTTTTCCTACTTTGGCTATTTTTAAAGTTATATTTCTTTGTTACTGAGTGACCTCCAGAGGCAGAGAGCCACATTATAATTATAGAAATTTGATCTGAATGGGATATTAAGGGTTATCTATTACCAACACTCCCAGTCCCTTCTTCCTCCCTTCCTTCTTTCCTTCCTTTTGATGAGAAACCTAATCACAAAGAGAGAACATGACTTGTCTAAGGTAACATAGTGTGTTGGAATACTCCTGAAACTAGAACCTACTTAGAATCACCAGAAACTTGAAGTTCTTTTGTTATTATTATCTTCTTTATCTCTCTCAGCGGTTCTGACAGAAGAATGATCATGAAGGGAAGTTTAAATTGTCAGCCAATGTAAGGTTTTGCATTATTTATGCACTTCTGCCATGTGGGCTATGCTCTCAGCACTTTTAAACTATCCATAGTCCATAGTTGGTTCTGATAAATGATTATTTATTTGCTGTTTTTCAGTTTTGCTTTTATTTTTGGTGATTGTTTGTACTTCTTTAAAGCAGGGACTGTGTCTTACAGTCCCTTTCTGGCCCTAACAGCTCCCAGAAAAGAACTTACCATGTAATAGGGATGTGGTGACTTATTGATGATTAATTCATTTTATATATCTGGATTCTTTCCCTTTGCTCACATAAATTTCCTGGGTTTGAAATTTATGCCTGTTTATTTCTTCTGTTGGCCCCTCATGTTGTCAGTGAAATGGCTACAAGAATGGCATTTGATGGAAGAAGAAGGAAGACAGGGCTGGCCTATTTCATTCTCTAATTGGATAATCAGTCCAGAATAATGATGGTTTGATTTTATTTGCAAACCTACACCTCAGGCAGTGGGTGAAGAACAACAGCATAAGCAACAATGCGAGTATGGTGTTCATTTACATCCTCAGTTTGTCTGTGGCAGGAAGAAAGAATCCACTTATTGCTAATGATAAAGTAGTAGACCCACTTTATTTATTTTCATATAAATCATATTGTGGCAGAAATTTTCATAGCCCGAGACCAACTTCTGGAGTTTTTCTTATCTGTGAGATTGTTCCTGTTGTGTATGAGCTGTTTTGCAGAGATCAAGAATCCCTGCTCAAGTGTGATCCATCTTCATCAGTGAAGTCATATGCTGCGAGGACTTCTGAGATACTGTCTGCTGCCACATGACCACTAAGCAGATGGTTTTGTGCCTCTTGCATGGGTTCTATGAAAAGATGGAGATTTCAGTGTCCATCCTCTGTCACTCACCAGTAGTATGCAGAAATGGGTGAGCCTAACAGAGTTGTTAGGTCAACAAAGCCTGCCATTCAAATTCAGATCAGTGACCTTGCACTCAGGGACAAATTGGGGTTAGGATGCAGGCTGAGATTGGAGACGGATTATTTCACTATGCATGGGTTTGACCAGGCAGCCCAACAGCACAGGTCTTGCCCATCAAAATATTGTAACTGCCTAAAAGAGTTGGCAAAAGTCTCTAACAAAACAAAGGGTTTATGAGCTAAGCCCATCTTGCATTCATTTCCTCATTCCTTCTACACATATTTAGTGAAGGCCACTCTACACTGGACATTGGGATATGAACACAAAGAAGGAGACAAGTCACACAGCCATTTATTTATAGGAAAAAAATGTTGAAATAAATACATGAGCTGAAGACTTTAGAATTACAAAATGAGACTTGCTAACTTGTTTTGGATTGGAAGAAATTAGTTTATGCCCATGACATCGCTTTATTCCAGACTGATTAGAAGCATAATGTACATGGCAGGGGCAGGGAGAAGGGGATGACAATCCATTCTTTGAAAGAGACTCTTCTCCCCTTAGGTTAAATAGATCGTCAAGTCCTTGCATGTCAAAAGCAGAGATGTGAATCACTGTCCTTCAGAAAGGGAAGAAAACACTTTAAGCAAGTGCAAAGTTCCCAGCTGTGCTAGGCACGATGGATTATACCCAAAGAAGTTGGACAGAGACCTTGACCTCAAGGATTTCATCGTCTATTTGAATAGAAATGATTTCTATATAACTGAATTAAGCCAGAGCAATAAAAATAGCATGATATTAGGTTCTAAAGTGAGTGTTGCAGGAAACAGAAGGAACTTCCAAATGTTGTTATTTACAGATTTCTACCTTGTGAAATGTAGAAGTACCTGTTCTCAAATTAAACATTCCTTCCTCATTTCAAGATGTCAGCTACATCAGAGGTTGACCAACTATGGCCTACAGGCTACATCTGGTCCATCACCTATTTTTGTAAGGAAAGTTTTACTGGAACGAGGCCAAGCTCATTCATTTTTGTATCATCTGTGGCTAGTTTTCTCACTCCAATGGCCGCATTGAGCACTTGCAATAGAGATTGTGCAGCTTACAAAGCCCAAAATATTTATGATCTGGCCCTTTACAGAAAAAAATTGGCAACCCCTGATTTAGATTATCCAGGTTGATCCTGGTGCTAATTTAGAGCTTCAGAATAAAACACAGCTGAGGTGTGCCTGGTAGCAAATTAATCCCCCCCAAAACAAGTACTTCATTTTCCTTAAATTAATGTTGAGCATCAGAATTAAACAGAGCTAAATCTCATGATACCTGAGGCCCTTGTGAAAATGTTTTTGCTGACCCAAGATTCAGTGTTATGCTTTCTGTCCTTACAGAGAGCTAAATCAAGAGTCCCCTTTTGGAAGGAGTACCTCTGTTCTTTGTAAACTGTAATTGAAGATATAACTCACCGTGTTCTTCAGTCTTTATTCAAAGCCGCTGGCACAAAAATTCTGCTTGAATTTAATTTTAGGATAGATTTGATCTCTGAATTGGCTTTATAGGTTTTCTCAGTTCACAATAGTCATAACCTAGTTGTTTCTCTCTTGCCATAGGTGACAGGCAATGCAGAGCCAATTTCAGAAGTGAGCTCAGTAGTAAACTCATGGCAGGTGCAGGATGAGGCAAGAGAGAGGCCTGGGTGCAAACATGAGGGTGGCTCATTCCCAGGGCTATGCAAAGGCAGGGTCAGTCCCAAAAGGAGCACCTCCTTACATGTTGTGCCTGAAGTGTCCCTTTCTCAGTCTTTTCTTGGTGGTGGCAGGTGCTGCCTGGCAATCCCCATCCCTTCTACTTTTAGATGGTGGGGGCCCTGTCCTGCTTTATCCTTGTATATGGCGCTTTTATTTTAACCATGTAAACTGATTCAGGTCCTCCCTGTAGTCAACAGAGATAAAAGTCTCAATAATCAAACCTGTGGGTACTTCAGTGACCAGGGACCACCATCTGTCCCCTGTGGGTCCAGACATCAGGCAGGAGGAAAAGTTGGGGCCATGTGTCAGCGTCCCAGCTGGGGCTCACCATGGGAAGTGGGATAAGGGAGGATTATTCCAGTTCTCTTCTTTGAGTTCAGGTTTTTATCTACGGGAAGAAGAGGGAGATTGGACGAGGTTAGATTCACTTGTCTCCAATGTCCTGCATGGGGTTCTGGGACAGACAATGCCTCAGAAATGGGAGGTCCAAGAGGATGGTGACTTTCACTGCTAGCTGATGATGAAAGGGAAAGGGATGAGGGAAGAATGGGCTGAATTAGAGGCTATTCCACCCCTCTGATGGTTAGCTTTCAGGGGGAAGGGAAGGAGGGAGGGAGGCTGGTGGGGTGGGAGACAAAGACGAATTGGAGATTAGGAAAGATTCTTTGGAATAGTCAAACCAGAGACCAAGCAAAGCATCTTTTTCCCTTGTAACTTGAGACCTGTGCAAATGACACAGGCTTCTAGTTCCCAAACTTAATAAGAGTAAGTGCGTGAAGAAGAGACCTGCAGACACTTAATTCAAACAGTCTAGAATTCTGGGAATAAGTTATAGTACAAGTTATATGTGGCTGGTTATAGATTCAGCCTTGATGTTTATGTTCCCTGTTTCAAGTCACACACATCAGATTACTCACTTGTCAGCTAAAAATAGGGCCATCACTGGCTTGCAAGTCGAGTTAGGTTTTATTTCTCTATGTGCTTCATTGTTCGTTCTTTTGTGCTCCCTCCTCTGTGCCTGGCCCCCTCTGCCATGCCCAGGTGGCTTCACAGTCCCCCTTCCCCATGGTCAATACTTCTTTCTAACTGAGGGATAAATGACTCTGAAAAGGAAATGTATTTCAATGGGGACCAATCCATTACACCCGAGAGAGAGAGGCCAAGTGCAGGGACTTCTGGAGGAGACCAGGAATGAGTGATTATGTAGCATATTCTGTGTGAAAGGCATTTTAAAACACACGTAGATCAATTTATTGTCACAGCCCCTGAGAGGCATAATTCTCATCTTTTTTCTTTCCTTCTTTCTTTCTTTTTTTTTTTTTTTTTTTTTTTTTTTTTGAGATGAAGTCTTGCTCTGTCACCCAGGCTGGAGTGTAGTGGCACCATCTCCGCTCACTGCAACCTCCACCTCCTGGGTTCAAGTGATTCTCCTGCTTCAGCCTCCCCAGTAGCTGGGACTACAGGTGCAGGCCACCACGCCTGGCTAATTTTTGTATTTTTTAGAAGAGACGAAGTTTTGCCATGTTGACTAGGCTGGTCTCAAACTCCTGGCCTCAACCTATCTGCCTGCCTTGGCCTCCCAAAGTGCTGGGATTACAGGCATGAGCCACCGCGCCCAGCTTCTCATCTTTATTTTTTACATGCAGTCATAGACATTCAGGTTTCATATAAGCAGCCAGGGTCTCTCAGTGCATCAGGAGCAGAGCCAGGGTCAAAACTTACATCCATTTGAACCCAAGGCACAGTTTTTTCTTACTGGGTAATGCTGCTGTCTTATGGGGGAATTTTAGGCATCAATAAACAAGGAAGAGAAGAAGGCTAATTTCTTTTGGGGGCTGGTGGATCGTCCCCTAAAATTATGTAGATAGTCATCTTTCCTATCTTAGCTAAATACAAATGTAGATTGTAAACAGCTCCTCAAGACTGTACATTTTTTGAGGATAGATTTAGAGCAAATCACATTTGTATCCCCAATATGGTTAGCCCAGTATCTGGCTCCTAGTAATAATTATAGCAAGCACTGACTGAACATTTCCTATGTGCCAAGGACAATTTTAACCGTTATAGATATTAATTCATTCCTCACAATAACCCCATGAGGTAGGTTACTATTACTGTTCCCATTTTATAGTTGGGGAAACTGAGATACTTTGAGTTGAAGGAACTTGCTAATGCTCACTCCCAATTAATGGCAGAGCTGGGATTTGAATCCTATAACACTGGGCCCAGATTCCGTCTCTTTTCTAAATAGGTACTCCATGAAAATATGTTGTTGAATAAATGTACTATTACTTTGTACAGGGTTGAGGGAATTAGATATGACTTCACTGAAGAGGTCAATTTCGTCTGAGTTCATTTCTTGGTCAATATTTTTAAATGAATGAATGGATTCCAGTGTCCTTTTTCTCTGACCACTTCTGTCTCAGAAAAACAAGCCTAATGCAGAGGAAGAGGAGCAAGGGAGTTTTCCCAGTATTGGTAGATGAAGATCTATGACTTCAGAGACAAATGAAGCCCTCCTAGAATTCTTTCAGGCAGACAATACCAGGTGGCACCATGGGACACACTGGTGGGAGGAGTGCAAAATGAGGATACAGTTTATGACAGTTTTTTTTGGAATAGACACATGTCCAGAGAAATGGGCCCACATTCACTTGTATGTGTGCATACGTTTGCATAGAATTCTCTTTTAAATATTTCAAATTTATAAGAAATCCTTTCTTGTGATGAACAGATTTATCTTGAAAAGTGTTTCCCATTTTAAAAGTCAGAGACTTGAGGCAGGGTTGGAATAACTTCCAAGAGCATGTGGCTCGTATGTGGAGATGCCAGGAACCAAATCCCCTGCTGCTGGTTCCAGGGACCACATTTATTGCCACACCTACAGGGTCCTAGGAAGAGGCTGGCAGATGTGCCCCATGGAGATAGGTGGGGTTTTTATTTACAGTAGGAGACCAGATTGCCCAGTGATGATGGGGCATTCGATGGCAGAATATAGACCAGTTTGACTGGGCCCTAGTGCTTTGGCAGATTTTTGGAGGAGAATTTGCTGAGTGTCAGACCCTGTGCAGAGCTTTGCAAACATCGTTTTCTTTAATCTGGATAGTTCGTCTGTGAAGTAGATGTCATAATCCCTATTTCGGAGATGAGGAAATGAGGCTAGGAGTTACATAACTTACTCAGATGTGCAGCTGCTGGTGGCAGAGCCTGAATACAAATCCTTCACTTCTCCAATTAAACCAGCCATCTCTGAGTTGCAGGGGTTTCATGCCATACTGCCCACTGGAAGTTGGGAGGGAATTTACAGGGTTACAGCAGATGATCTCTGTTTAGGCATCAGGTGAAACTTTAGTGTTCCCTAAATTGGTACAAGCAGACTCTGTTTGAGTATCTCTGTTGACAGGGAGATACCATCTAACATGGCAGCCCATCTCAATGTTTTTAATAAGTATATTATACATGCAATAAAATGCATAGATCCTGAGGGTGCATTCAGTGAGTTCTGACAGAGATATGCACCACTGTAAAATGGTCTGTCATCCATATCAACATAGAGAACATTTTTACTATCCTGGAATGTTTCTTTATGCTCATTTCTGTCAATATCTGCTCTCTCCTCCCTTGAACATAAAAAAATCACTATCTTGGCTTCAATCACTATAGATTAGTCTTGTCTGCTCTCAATTTTTGTATGAATGGAATCATGCAGGGTATTCACTTTTCTAACTAGCTCCTTTCCTTCAAAATAAGGTTTTTGATATTTGTATATATTGTTGTATATATTAATAATTTCTTCCATTTTATTGCTGCTAATATTCCATTATGGGATATACCACAATTTGTTTATCAAACCACCCTGTTGATGGCCATTAGGTTGTTTCCAACTTTGGCTTATTTTGAATAAAGCTGTTATGAACATCCTTGTACAAATGATTTTGTGGACATATATTTTTTTTTCTTGGGTAAATACTTAGAAATTGAGTCTCTGGGTCATAGGATAGATGCATGTTTAACATTACAAGAAACTGCCAGTTTTCCAAAGGAAGATACACCATTTTACACTTCTACTAGCAACGTGTGAGGGTGCCAGCTGCTTTGTTTCTTCACCAACACTTGATAATGTCAACTTTTAAATTTTAGCCATTCTAATGGATTTGTGGTGCCATCTTGTTGTAGTTTTAATTTTTATTTCTGTAAGTTCTTTGTCATATAAATGTACTGCAAGTGTTTCCTCTTAATCTGTGGCTTATCTTTTAATTTATTGTCTTTTTATGAGAAGTTTTTTATTTTACTGATATTTAATTTATCAGTCTTTTTAAAAATGTGAGTGCCTTTTGTGTCCTATCTAAGAAGCCTTTGCTTATCCGAGTGTCCTCAAGACACTCTGCTGTGTTTGTTTATAGAGGCTTCAGATTTAGCTTTTACATTGAAGTCAGTGATCCATCTCAAACTAATTTTGTAGATTGTGTTAGGTAAGAGTTGAGACTGATTTCTTTCCCTTTGTAGATATCCATTTTTCCTTCCATTTGTGGCGATGACTTTATTTTTCTCATTGAGTTGTATTGGTGCTTTTGTTGTAAATCAATTGATTGTATATATATGGGTCTATTTCTGGACTCTGTTTCATTAATCAACTTGTCTTTTTGGGGGGCACGACACATTATCTTAACACAACATAGTTTCATTATTTTTTGATGCCTATTAAAATGATCATATGATTTGTCTTTTAATTTTTCAATGTGGTGAATTACATTAATTAATTTTCATTTTTTAAACCAATCTTTTACTCATGGGATAAACTCTATTTACTCGATTCTAAAGTATTATTCTTTTTATATACTGCTGGATTCATTTGACTAGTATTTATTTAAGGATTGTTGTGTCTATGTTGATGACATATATTTTTCTGTAATTTTTTTTCTTTTCATAATACTCTTATTAGGTTTCAATGTCATGATTATTCTGGCATTATAAATCAAGTTGGGTTCTCTTTTCCTCCAGTCCCTGAAAGAGTTTGTGTAATATTGGTATTATTTCCACCATAAATATTTGGTAGAATTCTGCAGTGGAAACTGCCTGAACCTGAAATTTTCTTTGTGGGAATGTTTTTCATTGAAGTTTCCATTTATTTAACAGATATGTAGCTGTTTACATTTTCTATTTTTTCTTGTGTCAGTTGGAGAAAATTGTATTTTTAAAGGAATTTGTTCATTTCATCAGGGTGTCAAGTTTTGGAGACATAATATTATTCCTAATACTTTAAAATTATCCTCTTAGTGTTTGTAGGACCTGTAGTTCTGTCTATCATTTCCAGACAACTTTAGGTGTTGGAGAGTTAGTTTCTCACCAATTTCTTTTTAAACACATTGAGTTTCTTTCAAGTCAGGACCAGGCCATCTACTTCCCTCTTCAAGATATTCGTCATGCTGTTCCCTCGGCCTAAAAAAATTGCCATCACCATAATTTTTTTACCTGGCTGTCTGCTACTATATCATTAGGATATAGAATTATTGTGAAGCCCTTTTGCGTATGTATGTCACATTTTCCATACACATTCACTCAGATACACATTTATGTAACATACACATACACATACTCAGATAACTACTTGGGGTTTTTCCTTTTTCTTTTTTGTTTTCTTTTTTTCTTTTCTTTTCTTTTTTTTTTTTTAAATGGAGTCTCCCTCTGTCACCCAGGCTGGAGTGCAGTGGCACTATCTTGGCTTACTGCAAGCTCCACCTCCCAGGTTCATGCCATTCTCCTGCCTCAGCCTCCTGAGTAGCTGGGACTACAGGCACCTGCCACCACGCCCGGCTAATTTTTTTTTGTATTTTTTAGTAGAGACAGGGTTTCACCGTGTTAGCCAGAATGGTCTCGATCTCCTGACCTTGTGATCCGCCTGCCTCGGCCTCCCAAAGTGCTGGGATTACAGGCATGAGCCACTGCGCCCGGCCTACTTAGGGTTTTTCTTTACAGCACTTTAACCAAATTGTTAATTACAGTTATGATATATTGTTTCACTCTCTGATTATACTATAAATGCCACCAAGGCTGGACTTGTGCATTGTTCCTGTTAATCAGCAAATACCCAGTACCCAGCAAAACGCTTGGCACATAATAGATGCTCAATACGTCATGGTCAGGTGAATGAACTAATCCACATTGAGAAGAAATGTTATGCTTTGAAAATTCTACCAATAATTTTAGCCTTGCTAGAGGTCTGAAAAAATAGGTGGGGATTAAATTATGAGGAGCCTCAGCTAACAACTTGTGGAATGTGGATATTTTCCTGTTTATATTTTTAATGTTTCCCCTCTCTCTGTCTGTGTCATATTTTTGTTTACACTCAGTACCCTGGGAAGGGAGACTTTCATAGTCACTCTGGGCTGCCTTAACAAGATATCAAAAACTGGGTGGCTGAAATAACAGAGATTTATTTTCTCACAGTTCTGAAAGCTGGACATCTGAGATCAGCATTCCAGCATGGTCAGGTTCTGGTGAGGGCTCTCTTTCTGGCTTGCAGGCGGCTGCCCTCTCACTGTGTCCTGACATGGCAGAGAGGGAGAAAGAGCAAACTCTCTGGTCTCTCTTCTTATAATGGCACTAATCTCATCATGAGGGCCCTATCCTCATGATCTTGTCTAAACCTAATCACTCCCTAAAGTACCTCATCTCCAAATACCATCACATTGGGGTTTGGGCTTCAACCTACGACTTTGGCAGGGATGGGGGTCCATAATGTAGCCTGTAACAGAGAACTAAGAGGGGGCTGGGGTTGGTAATGAGAGAAGATGCTGAAAACAATGGGACAAAGAAGCAGGGGGTGGGCCAAGGAGCTCTAATGAGTGTCTCCTCCCATCTTCCTCTGGATAGCCCAGAATCCCTCTTCTTCCTCAGTCCTGTATGTAGGATTAGCAGAGGATTTGCGTATTTGGGTTATGTTAGTGGTGGGAGGTGGCCACGACAGGAGGAGTAGGACAATTCAGTTTTTCTTTCTTGTTGGGCATCACATCCTCTAAGGGAATCCTCCTTATGAGTCCTCAGTTGTTAAGCAGGATTACTAAAATAAAAGAAACGACTTAGTGGGCCCCAAACTGCAGCCTCTCTCACACTCTATTCTATACCACTTGATTTGAGGAATTATAGCCTTTTCTCTTTCTATCCCCCTAAACCATGTCCAAAGGAGCTTACATGGTTATTTCCAGCGTGAAGCTGATTGATCAGCTCGCAGGACATCGTGGATCAGAGTGCTTCCCCCGCCCCTCTTAACCGCCTTTCTGATGTGGCTGCGTGCATCCAGTGCCCAGAGCATGCCGGGGTTCTTGCAAGAGGGACTGGAGGGTGAGGGAGGAGAGAGTGTCTATTGGCTCCACCAGGACATAGATGCTGGTGACCCACACTGCGCTGGACAGGAGGACCTGTTTGCAGCACGGGTCAGAGGAACACAGGCTCCTCCAGGTCTTTCCAGAGCATTGACTCCTGCAAGAAGTGAATGGAAGGGAGCCGAAAGCCTAGCCCATCTCCCTCCTTCTACCATGATCCCCAGTAAGATTCTGGTGTACCGCCACCCATCCAGCAGAACCGGCACAGAGCTTTACAGACCCGGCAGGCGCCGCAAGAAGTCCCTGGGGGACCTGTTCCATAATGGCTACCGGGTGAAGTCTGGGCCTGCTGCTCCGGAGAAGGAGGAACCGCCGAACTTCCGGCAGTCATTGGTGTCTTGCTGTGGTGTTTGTGCATCCTGGGGTAAGGACTCACCCGTCCATGGCTCTTCTCCTCCCAAAAGTATTCCGTATTCCTGGAGGCTGCCTGGGAAAAAAAGTGCTTTCCGTCTAGGCTGGATTTGGGGAACTGTCTAGTGGAGAGGTGATAGCCACCTTGATTCCTGTTTTCTTGGCATACCCACCCAACGCAGATGTGCTGGGTGAGGCAGAAATCTCGTCCTTCCTTTTTAGATGAATTTAACTGGCCTCTAGTGCTCCTGAATGTTATTGAGCTATTAAAGAATATATTTCAGAAATGTGGGAGAAAGTTTGGCAAACGATGTAATAGCTTGCTTCCTATTTATTAAATGGCAATAATTTTCAGTGAGTCAGCATTTTTGGAAGAGGCATTTGGACCTATCGATAATTTTTTTTTCAGGGGCTACAGTGCGAGTTGTGGCTCATTTTCTGTCCTTACATTTGACCATGGGAGCGTGGTCTTGCCTGTCTTGGGTGGTACTTTTTTATTCTTACCCAGCAGAGATCATAAGAATAGTTTTCTAGGCAGATTTTCTTTTCTCAACTGCTTTCTGATAGGCATTTGGCTTTATTTAGGCATCCATAATATATTACAGTTTAAAACAAATAGATTAAATGTACATTTCTGGCCATAAAAATGTCAGTCTTAGGGAGGGATAGCTTTTATTTCCAGGAAAGTTAGCAGTACTAGGAATTTCTTTAAAATGGAATGTAGTCCCTTTGAAACCTAGTTTAGGATTCTGATGTGGGTAGGCACAGCTCAAATACTTCTGCATTATGTAATTGTGCCTAACAAAATTCCAGTTGGCAAGCAATAAGTGAAACCTAGTCAATCCTTTTCATTAGAACTGATATAAAATGTTTCTGTCAGCTGAAATGCCTGGAATCTAAATATTCATGCTTCTGTGTCTATAACCCTAGAATTAGCTGGCCAGATTGTTATATTTCCTCTCCCTTCATCACAGAGAAGAGCTGCTCTGTACTGTAACATCTGGCCTTGGAGAGAATCAGGATTAAAGCCACTAGAGAGAAGAGACCAAATGATGGAATTATTAAGCTAAGGGCACATACACTACTTCCTGAGAAAACGTTGAATAATTGAGTAAAACCATGGGTTTAACTTAGTATCCAATACCCTTCTTACTTTTCCTTTGAAAGGATTAATGCATTTATTAATTTTCAGTAGTGAGTACTCACTATGTACCAGTCATCACTGTTCTAGAAGAGGGTGCACTTGGTAGTGAGCCAGTGAGTGAGACACCTGCCCCAATAGAGCAGATAGTCTGCTGAGGAACGGGCAGGAGGCAGGCACCTGAACAAGCAAATGAGATCATTTTAGATTGTGGTAAACCCTATAAAGAAGAATGGATAATGGCGGCGAAGGACTGGGCTCCAGATCGGGTGGTCAGAGAAGACCTCCATTAGCCAACCTTGCAATGATCTGGGGGAAGAACATTCCCAAGAAAAGAAACAGAAGGGAAGACTCAGAGCTGAGGACGAACTGGGAAATGTTTCTGGAGCAGAGACACTGTGTGCAGGGCGTGAGGACATGGAGAGTGGTGATGAAATGAGCAGAAACCATGGAGAGCCTTCCAGAGCGAGATAAGGAATCTGAAAGTAATTTTAGTGAGATGGATGCCATGTAATGGCTTTTGGCAGGGAGCAATGTAATCTGATGGATATTTGAAAAGACCATGCTGGCTGCTTTCTGGAGAATGCTGGTGGGGCCTGGGGGGACTGGGGTAGAGAAGTGAAGCAGGAAGACCCGTGTGGGGCTCTTGGTCCAGATGGAGGTAACAGCAGTGTGAACCATGGTTCTGGCAGTGGAGAGGGAAAAGATAAGTTATTTCACATATATTTAAGATGTAAAGTCAGACCAGGCAAAATGGCTTATGCCTATAATCCCAGCATGTTGGGAGGCTGAGGTGAGAGGATCATTTGAGCCCATGAGGTCAAGACTCCAGTGAGCTATGATCATGCACCCCAGGATGGGTGACCATGAGACACTGTCTCTTAAAAAATTCAATAATTTTAAAACAAAGTAAAGAGGTAAAGTGAGTAAGTCCTATTTGTTTACTTTTAAAAAATGTGTTTCTCTACTTACTGGCTCCTCTATTCAAATAGAAGACCTGGAAGCAGGAGCCTCACCCCTGTGCTGCAGCATCTGGAACCACAAGGGGTGGTGGAAGCAGTGACTCTGTGCATGTGTGTGGGTGAATGAATGAATGAATGAATGGGCGACAATCCCAGTCTGAATATCAACTGATGTTGAGCATCTATCAGAACAGGAACCAGGACTGGGTTAAGGTAGGGAGCCAGGATTGGCAACATGGTGAAACTGTGTCACTAAAAAAATAGAAAAAATTAGCTGGGCATGGTGGCTGGCTACTTGGGGGGCTGAGGCGGGAGGATCACTTGAGCCCAGGAGGTCGAGGCTGTAGTGAGCTGTGATCGTGCCACTGCACTCCAGCATGGGTGACAAAGTAAGACCCTGTCTCAAAAAATTTTTTTAAAAAAGTAGGGAGCAAAACAACCTGAACAATTACCAAAGGAAAGGATGGTGAAAAGGTCAGACAAGCAAGAACTGTTTATAGAACACACATTCTGACTGTGGGAACAAAAGCCCAGGGGCATTTGAGAGGAAGCGAGACAGTCCTTTTTCTCCAGCTGGGAAGGAGAGGCTCAGATTCACTCTGTGCTGGGGCTAAGAAGCAGGTGGTCCTCACAGTGACCAAGCTGGGGATGGGAGGTGGGACCTGTGATGGCAGAAGGGTGCAGGGGACCACCCTGAAGAAGCCTCCCCATGCTCCTGGGCATCCTCTGTTTACCCTGATATGCCTGCCCTCAGTTTGATCCCTCTGAGCTGCAAGGCCAGATAACAATGACCTTGTCAGACACCACAAAAATAATTGCTCTTCAGGATTTGCGTGGGGCTGCAGAGATTGGAAACGACAGACGTTTATTGGAACCTTTCAGCTTTTTGGATTTAAAGATTAAGGAGTGAAAGGGAATGGAAAATAGCAAATTGGAAAACCCTGGCAGGCTTTCTGGTATGGGCTTGGATGTGTTTGCTGTTGTGTTTTCTGTCTTGTCCTCTCCCGAGACCTCACATGTATGAATCTCCAGAGTCTTTTCTCTCTGGGGATCACAGGAACCCTGAAGCAGTGAATGAGTTATCATTTACCTGTTTATCCCTCAATTTCTGTCAGTACAGTAACTCTGCTTTTATCTGAGAAGGGAGTTCAAGATCCCTTAATCTGTCTGGTCATTGCTAAAATTCCACAGCAATAGTTCTCAGGAGGAGCCTCACCTAGTTGTTCAGGCCCTGGGCAGCAAGTTTCGAAGGGAAAGCTCTGGCAGGGGGTCCTCCTCACCTGGAGCCAATGGTCTCATGTGACTGAATCTTGCATGTGAGTACAGGGCTCGGAGCCAGGAAAACCTGTATTCCAGTCCTGACTTGCCACTGACTTTATGACTACAGCAATAAGTAATTATGCATAAAAATAGAAATTTTGATATAAATATTACAAAAAAATTAAAAAACTCAAGAATATTAAAGAAATCCAAAATGTCTGCCTTTGTAACATGGCCACTGTCATCATTTTATGCTTTTCTTCTACTTTTTCATTTTACACATACCTATAGTTTTCATAGTTTTATCATAGGGACCATGCACTTCATCTTTTACTTCTTTTTTTTTTTTTTCAGCATTTCCAATTTGCTATTTTTAAAAAATTGTGGTGAAAAACACATAACATAAAATTTACCATTTTAATTATTTTTAGTGTACAGTTCAGTAATGTTAAGTATATCCTATTGTTGCAAAACAGAGCTCCAGTACTTTTTGATCTTGCAAAGTTGAAACTCTAAACCCATTAAACAAATAATTTTTCCTCTCCCCTCAGCTCCTGGTAATCGCTATTTTAATTTCGACATTCTACTTCTTTAACTTAACATTATGTCAAAAATTTTCCTTGTTACAATCTTTGAGCATATATAATATCCTATAAAGAAGATGTATCAGACGTAAGACCTATTTTTGGATTTTAAGCTGCTTTCTATTTTTCTTGCTTAATGAACAATTTTGCAATGAGCATCTTTGTTTCTGTAGCATATTTCCATATTTTGTTATATTTTCTTAGGCTATATTCCCAGAAATGGAATTACTTTGATTAATAATGCTGAATTACTTTCTGAAAAGGTTTTATCAGTTTATAATTCCACAATGGAATTATAAGACTATTTCATTGTAGAGTCATCTCCACTAGGTGAAGCTCAAATATGTTGCTATTAAGTAGAATAAATACAGTGCTTACTTATTTTTGTTTAATTTGCATTTCTTTTAATTTTTTAAAGCATTTTTCAAGAATACTATATGGTTATTAACTATAGTCACCATGTAATACAGTAGATATCTTAAACTTATTTCTCTTATTTAACTGAAATTTTGTATCCTTTGACCAACATCTACCCAACCACCCTTCCCTCCAACCGCCCCAGCCCCTCTTTCTATGAGATCAGCTGTTTTATATGAGTGAGATCACGTGATGTTTGTCATTCTGTGCATGGCTTATTTAACTTAATATAAACTTTAGGTTCATCCACATTGTTGCAAATGAAAGGATTTATTCTTTTCTTGGCTGAATAATATGCCATTGTGTATATATATCACATTTTCTTCATTCATCTGTTGATGGACACTGCGGTTGATTTCATACCTTGGCTATTGTGAATAGTGCTGCAAAGAACATGGGAGTGCAGACATCTCTTCAGCACGTTGATTTCATTTCCTCTGAATATATACCCAGTGGTGAGGTTGCTTGATTGTATGGTAGTTCTATTTTTGGGTTTTTGTGGAAACTTTTTACCTTTTTCCATAATGGAAAATAGTACTAATTTACCTTCCCATCAACAGTATGCAAGGGTTCCTTTTTCCCACATCCTCACCAACACTTAACCTTTTGTCTTTTCGATAATAACCCTTCTAACAGATGTGAAGTGATAGTTCATTGTAGTTTTAATTTGCACTTCCCTGATAAATAGTGATGTCAAACATTTTAAACATTTACTGTTGGCTATTTGCATTTCTTCTTTTGCGAAATGTCTATTCAGGTCCTTTGCCCATTTCTTAATTGGGCTATTTGCTTTCTTGCTATTGAGATGTGTTCTCTATATATTTTGAATATTAAGCCCTTATCAGATGTATAGTTTTCAAATATTTTTCTCCCATTCTGTAGGTTGTCTCTTCACTCCGTTGATTCTTTCTTCCTTTTTTTTTTTTTTTTTTTTTTTTTTTTTTTGAGACAGAGTCTTGCTCTGTCTCCCAGGCTGGAGTGCGGTGGCATGATCTCAGCTCACTGCAATCTCCACCTCCCGGGTTCACGCCATTCTCCTGCCTCAGCCTGCCGAGTAGCTGGGACTACAGGTGCCCACCACCACACCCGGCTAATTTTTTATATTTTTAGTAGAGACGGGGTTTCACCGTATTAGCCAGGATGGTCTCGATCTCCTGATCTTGTGATCCACCTGCCTTGGCCTCCCAAAGTGCTGGGATTACAGGCGTGAGCCACTGCGCCCCGCCTCTCTTCACTCGGTTGATTCTTTCTTTTGTTGGGCCAAGCTTTTTAGTTTGATGTAATCCTCTTTGTCCATTTTTGCTTTTATTGCCTGTGTTTTAGGGGTCATTTCCAAAAAATTATTGCCCTGACCGTTGTCATGGGGCTCTTTCTCAATACTTTCTTCTAGTAGTTTCACAGTTTTGGATCTTAAGTCATTAATTCATTGTGAGTTGGTTTTTGTATATGGTGCACATTTTTTTTATTTGAACCAAGTTAAGATAAAATAGTTTCATTTAATTAATTTATTTAATGATTATTCACTAGTTATATTATCTACTTCATGATGTAGCTGTTTGATTTTTGCCTACTTATCAACTAATGATAAAGTATTTTACATACATGCTTTTGACATTACAAAGAATTTATCCTTATTGTATCATATTTGATTATTTTTTCATTGGATATTGTGTTTATTATGATTTTAAACATGCAGAATTTTGACGTTTTTATGGTGGTGGCAGAGCCTGTATTTCAAAGATTGTATGACTCCTTTTACACATGAAATTAGAAATTCTTCTTTTCAGAGGGCTAATAATATATACCTATATTTTCCTCAATTTTTCTGTCCCTTATTATCTATATTTAATTTTTAATTCATCTCAAACTTATTTCCATTATGGTATGAGGTCCATCATTGCATGATGCCTGTCTTCCTTTTGATTTGTGATGACCTCTTTATTGTCTGTAAAATTCTTCTGATAAAATAGAGTCTATTTCTCTACTGCTTAGTCATTGTTGCCATGCTCTTATTACTTTCTTATTCTATTGCTTTGTGGTAAATGTGACTTAGATGATTTTTGCATTTTAGATTTTGATGAAATTTCTTTGTGGCCTAATATGTGGTCAGTTTTTGAGACTGCTCATGGCTGTTATTAAAGAATGTGTGTTCCTAGTTTACTAATATATGTGTGTGTCTTTCTGCCCATCCATTCAGATACATATAGATACGAATATATCCCAAGGGATTAAATGCTACTTAAATGTCCTATATTTGTGCATTCTTGTCATATTTGCTTTATTTATCTCAAAGGAATACTTTTAGGTGTATAAAGTTTTTTTTTGTTACACATTCTTTGTGGATTGTTTCTTTTATCAATATGAGATATTACTTTTTATTCTTTTTAATATAATGTTTATATATAATTTTTATATAACTTTTTGCAGTAGCTGCCACTTTATTTGATATAGTCATTGCTCTATTTGTTCCTCTTTTCTCAGCATTTGCCAGGCACATAATTTCCATTCTTTCATTTCTAACTTTTCTGTATGTCTTGTTTGCAGTGTATGTCTTTTAAATAGCATGCGCCTGGAATTTATTATTGTTGTTGTTTTCATATCATGTGAATCTCTGTCTTTCCATAGGTGAAAGTAATTTTAATTTAATTTTATTATGATTACAAATATATTTGGACTCTTTTGCTATTGTAACTATGTTTTCTGATTAATATACCTTTTATTTTTTTTTTCTTTTCATTGGATGGGCTGAAGTTTTTGTTCTTTTTTTCTTTTCTCCATTTGATTAAATTCCTTTGTCCTTTTTTTTTTCTCTAGGCTATGGAATTTATATCCTTAAGGTTTTGATACACATACTTTAATTTTTTTCTGTTAATATATATGATTGATTGTATCCTATCAAGACAAGAATTTCTGCACACCTTTCTTTTTCCCATTGCCCTCTCTCCTTCACACCTCCATCTTCCATTTATTTCCAGAGATTTTAATTTTGGATCATTGTTATTATTTATTCATTTAAAACATACTCAGTCAACACATAAATGAATCCATTACTTTTATCTTTTCCATGTTGCTTCTTGTATCTTGCTTCTTTTGGATTTATTTTTCTTTCAACTGGCTAAGTATATATTACTTGGTTCAAATTAATCTGTCCTGAGAATTGTAAAGATATCCTTCTTTTGTTTTCTTGCAACCAGTGAAGCCAGGAGAATTGTGACAATAATTTGACTCTTGTTGCTTTGAAGGGATTTATTTCTTCACATTGATGTTATAAAATTTATCCACAATATGCTTGGATTTAGGTCTTTGAAAATGTAATCTGCTGGCCGTGGGGCGGAGCTTGCAGTGAGCCGAGATCGCGCCACTGCACTCCAGCCTGGGCAACAGTGCCAGACTCCATCTCAAAAAAAAAAAAAAAAAAAATTTAACCTGCTGGACACTTAAAAGACCTTTCCAATCTGAGGATACAGGTCATTCTTTCGGTCTAGGACACTTTAATGTTATTTTAAATGTTTCCTGTTCTCTATTTCCTTCATTTTTTCCTTCTGGCAGCTCAATTACATGGATGTGGAAAACTTTATTCCTGTTTTCTGGGTCTCTTAGTTTTTCTTTTGCACTTTTCATTCCTGTGCCCCTTTGTATGAAGATGGCTGTGTGATAGTTCAGCCCTCTACTTTGCTGTGTGGCTATGCCCATTCTTCTATTAAGCTGGCCTTTTAAGATTTTGATGTTCAAAATTTTAATTGCTAAGATATTTAGTTGATTTTTTGAGTTGAGATAGTTTTTCACAACTCTTTATATTTTTCAAATATTTTTCTAAAGCATTTTTTGTTTAATGCTTTGTTAATGTTGTATCCTTAAGGGTCAGTTGGCCTGAAGTGTAATATGTGCATTTCTTGAAGGAAAGTTGCCTTTCCTCAAATGTTTGGCAATTCTTTAGTTCTTTTCTTCCCTTTTCTTTTCTTTTTTTTTTTTTTTTTTGAGACCGAGTCTTGCTCTGTTGCCCAGGTTGGAGTGCAGTGGCGCGATCTCAGCTCACTGCAACCCCTGCCTCCCGGGTTCAAGCGATTCTCCTGCCTCAGCCTCCCAAGTAGCTGGGATTACAGGTGCCTGCCTCCATGCCCAGCTAATTTTTGAATTTTTAGTAGAGATGGGGTTTCATCATATTGGCCAGGCTGGTCTCGAACTCCTGACCTCAAGTGATCCGCCTGCCTCAGCCTCCCAAAGTGCTAGGATTACAGGCATGAGCCACCGTGCCTGGCAACAGCTGGATAAATTTTCACGAAGAGAATGCATTTGAGAAGCCAACGCTCAGCTCAAGAAACAGTCATTATTGCCTGTCACCCCCTAGTCCCTTCTCCTGGCAACCTTCTAGTCACTACACCCCACAAAGGTAACCACTCTCCTGACCATATATCAGTTTTGCCCAGTTTTGAACTTCATATAACTGGGTTATATAGAATGACTCTGTGTCAGGCCTTGTTCTCTCAGTGTTACGCCTGTGTGATTCATCCATGTGGTTATATGTAGATGTACTTGACAGTGTTTTTTTGTTTGGAGATGGAGTCTTGCTCAGCCTCCCAAAGTTCTGAGATGACGGGCATGAGCCACCGTGCTTGGCCTGTTTTGTGCTTATCTTTGCATTTGAGATCTTCTGTTAGCCTATATGTGAATGCTGTCTTTGTGTGTTGCAGTTTGTCTGGGGAGTACTGAGATATGCTACTGTGTGTTTCTATTCGGTAACTGGTCTTACAGCTGTAGAGACAGTGTGTTTCTTCCAAGAGTTACAGTTTACTCAGGATATTGCTCTATTTTAACACCTCAAGTGTATGCACTTGCTGCCATGTAGTGACTACTCCTGTTTGGCACCCCAGTCAATCAGTGTTATTGTCACAGCCTCCTTCTTCCCAGGGTCAGCCACTTCATTTCACCTTTTGGATGGTTGTTTTCTTCTTCACTGTGATCTCTGCATCCCAACCACCCCCCCATCAACCTCAGTCTTTATGTATTGACCAAAGACATTTTTAATATTCTGTTTATCATTGTGGAGATAGACATATGTGTGTGTATATGTCTTTCTTTCTCATTATGGAAATATATACATGGAAAATATATGTATATGTTTATATAAATATAAATAAATACATATATATGTATGCCAAGTCAGTTTCTAACAGAGTATCTACCCACATTTTGTGTTCGTCTGTTCTGTGTTGTAATCTCCTCTTCCATTCTTTTTGTTCTTGTGGGATTCTGCTGTTTCCTACCCCCTCAACATTTGTATTAGTTTAGTGAAGTTTTGAGAGGGGGCAGACATAAACCATTGTGATCCATCTGCTATGTTTAACTAGAATGCTCTGGATTATCATTTTAATTCATTGATGAATAATTTATGTTGGTATTATATACAGAATTTTGGCATCTATGATCTTAGTGATATTAGAATACAGATGCTTCTCAATTTAACCATGGAGTTACATCCTCACAAACCCATCATAAACTGAAAATATTTTAAGTTTGAGAATGCATTTAATACCCCTCACCTACCAAACATCACAGCTGAGCCTACCCTATCTTAAACATGCTCAGAACACTTACATTACCTACTGTTGGGCAAAATCATCTAACGCAAAGCATATTTTATAATAAAGTGCTGAAAATTTAGTGTAATGTATTGAATACTGTACTGAAAGTGAAAAACAGAATGGTTGTGTGAATACTTAGAGTATGGTTTAAGGTGAATAGGTATCACTTTTGCACCACTGAAAAGTCAGAAAATCATTAAGTTGAACCATTGTAAGTTGAGGGCCATTTCTACTTTATTTTTGTGCTTTGAGAGTCAGTTTTTGGTCCTCAGTTTATGTTTATTTTATAATATAAGTTAGTAGCTTTAGATCTCGTTTTGTATTATGGAACAGTTTAGAATTTTAATAAAATGTATGTGCAATAATTTAATCATAAATTATATATGGGTGCAGAGTCTGTAAGGGAAGCTGTTACTATATATTTCAATGTATATCTCAATTGTTATCCTATAATGGATTTCTTTTTTGTGTGTATCAAGTTTCGAAGTTTATATTTTTCAGAAAGTCATCCCTCTCACTGAGGTTTTTCACAGATTTATTAGAATATCATTGTGGATAATTTTTTTCTTTTTTTATTGGATCAGCCAGAACTTTATTTTGTTTGTTTTCTTGTTGCCATTGTTTGCTCCCATAAAATTCTACAGATTTTTAAAATTTTTTTTCATATTTATTGGTTTTCTGGTTATTTAGTCATAAACACTGAACTAAAAAATCAGCTTTCTCCTATTGTCAAGACTACTTTTCCCCCAAAATCTTAAGCTGAATGCTTTGTTTTATAAATAATCTTTTATTGTATTATTGATTTAACTTCTAGTTAGCCAGTATGTTCTTTAAAATTGATTTAAATAGACTGGTAGTGTGCTTAGAGGGTAGATTACTGGTTTTAAATTACTCAAGTGATTACTCGGATTAACGGAAATTTGCTATTTGGAGAAAAAATAAAGCATTCTCCTTTTGGCATACTACTAGCCAAAATAAATAAATACATCCTGATGGATTAACAAGTTAGAGGTTAAAAAAAGAAAATAAAAGATACTCTAAAGCAGTGATTCCCAAACTTGGCTGTACACTGGACTCATCCTCATCCATCATCTGGCTGTACATTAGAATCTTCTTGATTAGAAAAATAAAGCTTGGTCCTTTTGGTGCACTGTTAACCAAAATAAATAAATACATCAAAACAGATTAACAAATTAAAGGTTAGAGAAAAGAAAATATATTCTGAACCACTGGTTCCCAAACTTGGCTGCACACTCGAATCAGAATTTATAAAAATTCTGATGCCCAGCTTGTATCCCAGACCCGTTGAATCTGGTGGGAAGCAGGCCTCAGTATTGCTTTAAAATCCTCGGGTGATTGCAATGGCAGAGAAATCTGGGGACCACTGCCTTGCAGCCTTGTTTTCCCAAAGTGTGGTCTTCTGACCAACAGCATTGACGATAGCTTAGAGCTTGTTAGAAATGCACAGTATCAGGCCCCATCGGAGACCCACTGAGTCAGAATCTGGATGTTTACAAATGCCAGGTGATTCATGTGCACAATGGATTTGAATCCCATGCCTCCAAAGCAAGTGTAGAAAATTAGTGTCCATGGCCTATTTATATGAATAACATTTTACTGGAATATGGTCACACCTATTTGTTTTCCTATTATTTACAGCAAAGTTGAGTCGTTGTGACAGCCTAAAATATTTATTAATATTTACTATATGTTCATTTATAGAAAAAGTTTGCAATGCTTCTTAACCTGGATGGCTCATTAGAATCACTCTGGAGCCTTAATACTCCCTCTGCCTGAATGTACCCCACGCCCATTAAATCAGAATGCAGGTAGGGGGTGCTGAGACCCAGGTGTCAACAATTCTAAAAGTTTCCCAGGTGATTTAAATGTACAGTCAAAGTCCAGAACCAGTGCCCCAAAAGTACAAAGAAAAAAAAATAGATGCAGTAAAAAAAAAAAAAAAAAAATTATCTATATGATGGGGATGGCCAAAAAAATTTTAAAAAAAGGGAACATGGTAGAAAGATTGATATATTTTAGAATTCATGGGGAAAGAAACCCACCTTAAGTAAAATTTGACAGTAGGAAAAATACTTTAAGCCAAATTGAGAAGAATGACGAACGGTGGGAGATAATATATGGTATACAAAATCTTCTTTATATGAGAACATAATTGTATTACTACAATTAAGATAAATACACAGGCAGACTGGCAAAGGCCACTCTAAAGCACTTTAGAGAAGAAAATAAAATGACTAATAATTATATGAAAAAATAATTAGCTTCATTTGTTAAGATAGAAAAGCAAAATAAAACAGCCATGAGCTCTTATTTGGGGTCTATCAAATTAGGATTTTTTTTTTAATTTTTAAATTTTTAATTTTTTTGAGATGGACTCTCACTCTGTAGCCCAGGCTGGAGTGCAGTGGCGAGATCTCGGCTCACTGCAACTTCCACCTCCCAGGTTCAAGTGATTCTCCTGCCTCAGCCTCCCAAGTAGCTGGGATTACAGGCACATACCACCACACTTGGTTAATTTTTTGTATTTTTGGTAGAGGCGGGGTTTTACCATGTTGGCCAGGCTGGTCTCGAACTCCTGACCTCAAGTGATCAGTCCACCTCAGCCTCCCAAAGTGCTGGGATAACAGGCATGAGCCACCATGCCCGACCTCAAATTGGGATTCTTACCCTCGTTCTCTCCCTTTCCCCTCCTGCCTTCCTGCCTTCCTGCCTTCTCTCCTTCTCTCCCTTCTTGCCTTCATGCCTTCTTTCCTTCCTTCCTTCCTTCCTTCCTATTTTCTCTATCACTGTACTCAATCCAGTGGGAATACAGGCAAAAGAGCATTTGCATACTGAAGGGAATGCAAATTGTGAGGACAAGTTGGTAAGATGTATCACAAGTCTTGAAAGTGTGTGCTTGAGTCCTAATGTCTGAATTGGAAATGACTGGCTGAAGTCTGTACAGGGCAGTGGCTAGAAGCTTGGGCTTTGTGGAGTTTGTCACATTTGTGGTGAAACTTGGCTCTGTTGCTTTCAAACTATGCTGGATACACTGTCTCATTTGTGTCTCCTTAGCTATTTTCTTCTGTGTACGTATTTTTTAAAAAAGATATAGTTAGAAGTTTTAGTGTGTGTAAGTAAATAAACATACTAGATATCATCAATAATAATAGATTAATGTCATTGTCAACATCATCATTTCACCAGTAATTTAAAATAATAGTAACACTATATGTACTCTGTGTGTGTGTGTGTGTGTGTGTGTGTGTGTGTGTGTGTGTGTGTGTGTTTGTGTGTGTGTTTCTGGGCTTTCTAGTCCAGTTTGATGACTTTTCTGTGGCGTGTGTACACTCCTACGCTATTGTAATTCTTCATATGATGAAATTACCATTTACTGAGTGCCTCCAGTATGCCCACATGGACTCTTAGAATGCTCGGTCTTCTGGTATGCAGATCACCAGGGTAGGATTTAATGCCCATGCCTGTGAGGGAATAAGGGTGGAGAACTCAGGCTGGCTGCAGCTGCCTGGGAAGCCTCAACCCATCCCACAGGAAAAAGTATCCCAAATTGAGGCAAGGCAGCTGACCTTTGTCCCTACATCAGCCAGCATTTGTGTGTGGTGGTGGGGGGGGGGTGGGGGGGTGGGGGGCACCACCACTGACAGGGGATGTAGCCCCAGGTGAGGCAGCTCCTTGTAGCAGAGGGCAGTTCTCATGAAGGGACTAGCTCTGAGCCTTTAGCAGGTCACTCTTCAAGAGCCCAGGACAAATAAGGTCCCTGAAGAGGGGATTTGGGCTGTACCCTACAGCATCTGCTATAGCTCATGTCTTTTATTCATTTAATGCAGTCTTGGATATGATACCCTAGTATTTTATTTAGGATTATTGTTGTTAGTCATTAGTGTGATAAGCTTGCCATTTAAGAAAAAATGCAAGGGAACTTGTGTCCAGGTAATGCCAACTTTCTAAACCAATACAGAGCATGGAAAAACACAGATAAGTCCATTTTTAAGAATTGATCATATAATAGAGAATAGATAGAGAAGTTACTATTTTTTGAAACTGTAAAAATCTCACTTGTAAAACTCTCTGAACCTGGAAGCTTTTGGGGAGGGCATGTAATTCCTGGCTTTTGGTATATACACATTTTCTTCTTCACAACTCTATTATAGCTATTTTGTGTTACCTTAGAAAATCATTTATTTCAGAGATTTTATAGAATAAAAATAATAAAAGATATTATAAAATAGAGAAGATGAATAATTGTCACCAAAGAGTTCCCCCTCTCACCTCTCTTATCTTGGTCTCCTCTCTTAGCCTGAAGTCGCTGTCTGTAGTCTTCTGGGCTCTTTCTGGGTATAGCCAGAGTGGTCATTCGTTAAGGCTTTTCCCTGATGAGGCTACTTTCTACTTCCCAAGAGTGCAGCCCTGACCTCTCTCAGGGGACCCCGCAGGGCTTCTGGCTTTTCCCTTTAGTAGGCAACATATAGTCTCAGAATTCTGAATGTGGATTATCTAACCTTTAACTCCGCCGTCTAATTATTTCTCAAAACTTTGATTCACTCATTCAGTTCAAACAAGGATTTATTGAGCCTTCACCTTATGCCAGACACTATGTTCAATGCTGGAAATATAGCCCTGAACAAAACAGACATCAGCTCCTCCCCTCATAGAGCTGATGCTAAAGAGAGGAAGGCAGAAAGTAACCACATAACCGAGGTGCTAGTGCTTCATGCTGAGGAGAAAAGTGAAGCAGGAAAGAGGATAGGGAGTTGCACGGGTGGTGTGGGAGGAGTTGCATGTTTAGGTCGGGTAGCCAGGGAAAGTCACGCTGATCAAGGGACATTGAGTAAGAACCCAAAGGAGGTGAGGGAGTATGCCATGTGGGCATCTGGCAAACAGCATTCCAGGCAGAGAGGCTGCATGTGCAGAGGCCCTGGGGCAGTAGCATACCTGTGTGTTCAAGTGTCACTGAAGACATCTGCCAGATCAGCGGACAGTAGTAGGAGTGACAGTAGGAAGCCATCAGATCCAAAAGGAGATAGTGCTGGTGGTGGGATGGTGTTGCTTTAGGCCTTTGAAAGACTTTGACTTTTACTCTGTGTGGAATGGGTGGCATTGGAGGCTTCTGAGCAGAGAACACAAGGGGTCCAGGGCAGAAAGCGGTTAGGAAGCTGATATGGTTTGGCTGTGTCCCTACCCAAATCTCATCTTGAATTGTAGTTCCCATAATACCCCTATGTTGTAGGAGGGGCCCTGTGGAAGGTAATTGAATCATGGGGGCAGTTACCCCCATGCTGCTGTTCTCGTGATAGTGAGTTCTCACGAAATCTGATGGTTTTATAAGGGGCTTTTCCCTCTTATGCTCAACACTTCTCCTTCCTGCCACCATGTGAAGTAGGATGTGTTTGCTTCCCCTTCTGCCATGACTGTAAGTTTCCTGAGGCTTCTCCAGCCCTGTGGAATTGAGTCAATTAAACCTCTTTCCTTTATAAATTACCCAGTCTCGGGTATGTCTTTATTAGCAGAGTGAGAACGGACTAATACGGAAGCTATTGTGAATGATTCCTGAAAGACCAACCATTTCTCCAGATAGTCTGGCTTGATCTGAGGATGAAATGTAGACTGACTTTTTTAACCTATGGAGAACTTCATTGGCTCATTTGCATTAGTGAAACTCAGTGCCATAAAAATGCCCAGTATGAGGCAGTCAAATAAGCAAAGGCCACCCTTGTTCAGCCCACAGGGGTCTTGCTCCTGCATCACCCTGGGTCCCTTTTGCAAGGAGATATTTCCCTCTGGTCTCCATGTTGGGAAAAATAAATGATTCTCCTGCAAGCCAGTTTGTTTTTCTCTCATATGTATACACTATTGATCTTATCCTGTCTGCCTGCTTGCTTTTGTTAAGAAGGTGCTCAGAGCTAGATCTGCAGTTTGTGTCTAGCAAGAGTATAGGACCTTGTGGCCTCTGCATTCATTTCTTTCCTGCCCTTACTTTCATGCACCTTAATTAAAAGAAAAGCTTTTATTCTACTATATTTGTGTAACTCACTCAAATGTGGCAAGCTGCCAATCAGCAATGGATATACGATACAAACACCATCGTTTAAAGATAAAAAGAAGAAATCCAGTTTGAAGTTCAGGTTGTTTGTATTCTATTTTTAGTTCCATAAATAAAAGCATATCTATGCACACACAGAATGTTCAGGATTAAACACTAAATGGCTAATACATTGCTAGCATGTATTTCTACAGGAGTGCCTCTTATCTATGGTTTTGCTTCCTGAGGTTTCAGTTATCCCCAGGCAACCGTAGTCTGAAAATATTAAATAGGAAATTCTAGAAATAAACAATTCATAATGTTTAAGTTGCATGCTGTCCTGCTTGGTTCCATCTGGGACAAGAATCCTCCCTTTGTCCAGCACATCCGTGCCATCTGCACTCCCTGGCCATTAGTCTCTCAGGGCACTTCAGTGGGCAGACCGATGTCTTGCTGTAACCCATGTTACCTGTGTTCAACTAACCCTTATTTTACTTAATAACGGCCCCAAAGCGCAAGTATAGTGATGCTGGTACATATTGTCATAATTGTTCTATTTTATTATTGCCATTGTTAATCCCTTCCTGTGCTAATTTATAAGTTAAATTTTACCGTAGGTGTGTGTATATAATGCATATAGGATTTGGCACTATCTGAGGTTTCAGGCATCCACTGGGAGGTCTTGGAATGTATCCCTCAAGGAACATGGAAGAGTGTTGTTATCTTTCATAGTTTCAGTGCTAACTGCCAGTCGCCTTCTACTCCACGTTTCTACATTTGTCGTTTTAGCTCAGCAATATGCGACAGTGATACTGGTATGAGATAACAGTCTAGGTTGGGCTGGAAGGTTAGGACCAGCAGTAGAGTCTGTTATAAATTTAATTTCCAGCCCTTGCCCCCTCCCATTCTGATTTAGCAAGTCTTGTGAACCTCTTTGGAAACTTTATGCACACACTGAGCAAACAATGTATTTTTTGAGACCTTAGAATTTGAAATTTTTTTTGTTACTTTTATTCTTGAACAACCACTTGACTGGGTATAAAAATCTTGGGTCAAATTCTGTTTGTCTAAAAATTCTGAAAATTGCCCAATTGCTGTTTAACACTTTTTTTTTTTTTTTTTTTTTTTTTTTTTTTTTTTTGAGACGGAGTCTCGCTCTGTCGCCCAGGCTGGAGTGCAGTGGCGCGATCTCGGCTTACTGCAAGCTCCGCCTCCCGGGTACACGCCATTCTCCTGCCTCAGCCTCCCGCGTAGCTGGGACTACAGGCGCCCGCCACCACGCCCGGCTAATTTTTTTGTGTTTTTTAGTAGAGACGGGGTTTCACTGTGTTAGCCAGGATGGTCTCGATCTCCTGACCTCGTGATCCTCCCGCCTCGGCCTCCCAAAGTGCTGGGATTACAGGCATGAGCCACCGTGCCCGGCCAACACTTTTTGTTAAATATAATGATCTTAGTTACATTAACGGTAAATAACCCCATCAACACTGGTGGTTTATTTTTATTGCTTGATTTTAATACTTGAAATGTGAAAATGAAAAGCCAGATGCTTCTTGGCATTGGTCTCTAAGAACTGATCCTTCATTTTACCTTTTAGTCTCCAGTCATTTTTTCATATCTCAAAAGTTCTTTTCTGTTATGTCCTGGCCTTTGCTTATGATCAATGTGATGTTTTGACTTCCCTTTGGCCAACACATTTTATCCATGGGTTGGATCTCTGTGATTTCTACTGTGTTTCTATTTTCTGAAGTTTCATCTTTTTTTTTTCTCCCTTTCTCATATTTTCTCTGCTTTCTGAGGTGACTTCTTAGTTTTGTACTCTGCGCCGTGGTCGGTTTTCAGCGGTGCTAAGTCAGCCTTTCATCAGCTCAGTTACAACTGTGCTTTTGGCCGTGAGCCTTTTTATTTCATCAACATCCCGTCTCATCTCTGCAATTATTTAATAAAAGTTATATAAGTATTATTTAGCATAGAAGGAGAATGTTTTCAAAAAAAGTCTTCTGTTCATGATGGTTAATCCTTTTCAGATGAGAAATTATTTTTTTGAGCCAATCCTTTTCTCCCTCTTTCCTTGTACAGATTTTCCCCCACCCCATGAACTTTAAGTTAATTTTCCCTTATTACCTAAACAGCTCCACGTTGCGTGCAGTTAGTGTACTCCTCATTCAAGTAGAAGGTAGTAAGGATTCCTTCCCACCACTGTGCCCTAGGCTGCCCTTTACTGGCTCACGGGCGTGGGAGAACAAAGCCCCACCCACGGGCGTGGAGTTGTCTGTCAACTCAGTGCACTGGAGGGCTTCGCACTGCCTTTGGCACGTGGCGGTGCTTAATAAAATGCTTCTAGAAAGTCTGCAAAAGAAAATCCCCTTGGGAGTGGGTGTGACATTCAATGTGTCTCAAAGCGGTGACAAACCAGCATTTTGTAAGTAATTCCCTTGCATGATAGCCAAATTATTATAGCCCAGGACTGACTGAATGTTTTGACCATGAATTTCACCTGAACAGAAATATAATTCACTCTTAGCTATTAAAACATAATAATTTGCATTTTTAAAATGTCCTTGATGTGTTTTCCTTCTCCATCTCTCTTCTGCCACCTAAACACTGATGCTTCTTTTTCATTCAAGAGAGGTTGTTGATTTAGAAAGGACAAACCATTTATCTTAACACTTAATAAAAGGGGAACTATATAAATTTTGAATCCTGAAGTTGTGGGGTGTGATATCTCACTGATCTTTTTTTTTTTTTTATTGGGAGGAAAATATAGAAGTTTGTAGAAAACAGATAACACTGTGGGCTGTACTCTTCATTTTATCAGGGCTGAAGATAAAGATAAAAAATAAAATCCATCAAAGACATAAGGTTATCCGATTTATTCTCAATCTGCTCTTAGCACAAGGGTTACCCTGAGCTATCACAATTCCTAGGATTTTTCAGAGACAAAATCCTGCCAGATAACTAGGTAACTTAGAAACAGTGCTTTCAATCAGAGATCACCAAATGAAAAGTCTCATTAACCTGGCTTCTCCCCATGAGCCCTTCCTCTAAAGAGGTTCCAAACAGGCCACCTTTATAAAGAGAAAGTCCATTTCCCAGTCGAGATTAAACCAGTCAAGAATCAGAATGAAGGAATATGTCTGAGGTACCAGCTGGTTTATCTTCTGCAAGAACTTCCCATCCCTTCGACCCTTGGGAACTGTAAATCAAATGGCAGACTGTGAACATTAAAATCACACATTGAAAATAATGCATCTCTATTTCATTCTTTTTTCCAGGTTTGAGATTTTTAAGAGCTCTGAGACTGATACAGTTTTCAGAAATTTTGCAGTTTCTGAATATTCTTAAAACAAGGTAAGATGTTCTTCGTCATATTTTTTTCATTCCAGTCCCCTATGCCAAGTTGCAAATATCAGGTGTGCTTGCTTTCATCACAATGACATTATTAATAGTTATATTATTCACAGAAAGAGTGATCTAACACAGAGAGGGAGAGAAAACCAGAGTAGGGTTTGAGTTGCTCTCTTCTGCAGGGCCAGGGAACTATGTGGTGAAAAGAGAGAAATAGCTGTGCATGCAGGGAAGTAGGGACACTTTTAGGGACACATAGCTGATATCTGTGTGCCCAGTGGGGTTGCCCAGATAAGAGCCACGGTGTCAAGGGGAAAGGTGCACAGTGAATGAGGGATAGATTTGCTCATTGATTGGGAAGTCCTTGCTGCCAGATTCTAAATCGCCCCTTTATTACATCACTAAATAAGAAATTGAACCCAGTCGTAAAGGCAATAGAAGCAATGCTGTGAGAGGCAATCACAAACCTCATACGGCAAACAGAAAATCATTTCATTTCAAAGCACATTTTAGATGTTCACTTTATATCCGTATAGCCCTTGGGGCTTTCTCTGTGAATTGCCTTTTGGGGGAAAACCTACAAACCTCCTGCCGAATGCACCATGAATACTTCTGTTAACTGCGTTATGATCTGGAAAACACAACTGGACCAGGAGGAAAAGCCCCCAGAGGATCCCTTTCCTGATGACCTGCCGGCTTGCAGAGCTGGCCTGAAACCAAGGCTGTCTTGATGAATAAACTAATAAAAGAGGTTAGACGTGCTCTAATGGAGAATAAGTACAGGCCATAAATTTCTCTTCTAGGAAATTACACTCTAAGAAGCTAACTTCTAATGTTCCATTTCCTCTTTGGTTGCCCTTCATGCATTTGATAAATGATTAAAAACAGGACACCTCCATATTTTGTGATTTGTAATTAATATATCTGTAGTTTTGAGGATTAGATTCAGCATCATTTTCCTGGTAACACAGGCTGGGACCTAGCTTCCTGAATGAACCTGACACAGCCAACAAATTCAACCTATGATTGGCTTTACTCCTTGGGTGTTAGTGTTTTTTTTGCTTGTTTATTTTATTTTGCTTTAATTCCAAATTGGTTTCCTCTCTCTGACTGCTCATCTATGTGACTGTGAGGTCAAATTCACTTTCTATTAGTCAAGTTGAAAAGAAAAAGAGAATCCAATGGCACTGAAGTCTTTAAAAGTATGTCCTCCTGCCTTTTACTGTTCATTATCCTGAGATAAGAATTTATCAGTCCTCTGTTTATTAGCAATAATGTAATATTATTCACATACAGTGAATATTGTATTTCTTCATGTTTTTCTGATTGCCAATAACCTTGATTTCTGCCTTTTAATTATTCTTCTATGTGCTAGAATCATATTACTTTTGAAATGTAAACGATCAATGAAGCTAGCATCTCGCCAATATTTACGTATGTCAGATTCACTCCACTAGACTGTGTTTTAAAGATGGAACGCGTGAGTACCCAGCACCAAGCATAGAGCCTTGTCCTTAAGAGACACTTACTTTTTTGGTAGGGATGGTGTTTTGTGACACTCTCTAACATTGGGTAGTGTCTGTCTCTCCCTGTTTCACAATTACATCATATGTTAGGGGGATTTTTATTCTCTGATGCCAGCATTTTGAGAAGGTTCCATTGCTCTGAGGAATACTGTCTACTCCCTGGACCGTTTTAGAACTTGAGAAAATGATGGACCATCTGAATATCTTTTTCTGACTTTCTGCTAGGACACTCACCTCTCTTTCCTTTGGATGCGGGAAGTGGCTGTGGGATCCCTGGTGTCAGCTCACCTGCCAACTGCACTCAGTGCTGCCTCTCTCAGTGCAGAGCGGGGAAGCTGAAGCAGCCAGCCAGGGGACGAGGGAGAGAATGGCCCTAGGGAAGAGTCACGGGGTGGAAGGCTGTCTGGGCATCTGCCATCCGGGCCCCAAAACAGCCTTTTTCCAGCACCCCACTTCCCACTATATGAAACTCTTGTTGTTAGAGGGTGCTTTTTGCCACAAACCCACAACCTGGGTTTTCAGAGTTCCTTTCACTTATGGTCATAACCAGATGGTTGAGATAATTCAGCAAGCCTGGAGTGAGCACCCATTGGTATCAGCAGCAAGGTGCATGCTAGGAGTCCTGCTGTCAGAGAACTTGCTGCGTAGGGGGCCAGGCCACCTGACGGTGTGGTTAATGCTGATGTCAGCATGCCCAGGGGTTGAGAGGGGAGTAACTAAGCTGGGCTTAGCCTGAGTTGCAGGGCAGTCAAGGATCTTTTCGAGGAGAAGGTTACTTTTAGGTAAGCCTTGTAGAAAAAAGTGTCATCCTCATGGGGCTGGGCATGTGAGGGGTAGGGTGGGGGTTGACTTCTAATCAAGGAAGATGCTAACAGCACACTGGTGTGAGAGCATAACACTTGGGGAAACTTTGGGTAATTCTGCACTCCTGGACATTAAGCGTTCTGTGATGGAAAGAGGAGGATGAGGTTAAGAGGGTAGGAAAGGCCAGGTCACCAGGCACAGAAGCAAACGTCATGTAATTGTAAGAAATCTAGAAGCTTTAGGACAACTCTCTGAGGCCATTCTCTCTCCAGGTGCCAGCCTGGCTAATCTTGGCTCCTTCCTTTTGGGCATCCCCAAGTGTGGATCCCAAAGTTCTGTCCCAGAGAAAGTGCAGCCTTGGCTTTTGTAGGGTTTTGGACTTTTGAGCGATTCTCCTGTGACTCTTCCATACTCTGCTGCTTTCATAGCGGTCCTTCCAGAAGGGTGGGTTGGGGGACCCATGTAATCGTCTTTAGGGAGATTTTGTCTGGCTCTCTTTGGCGGTGAATTCCTGCCAATCTGTGGCATTAGGCAGGGATGGAGGCTTTGCAATGCAATTTGAAATAATGATTTGGAGTTGCTGTTTCATTTCCAGTACTTTGGCTGCCTCACTGGGCCAAGAGCTGAAAGAAATAAGGCAGAGAAGCATAAGGTGGGCAGAAAGATTGATAAAGAATTAAGAATGCAGCAGAAGGAAAATTAAAGTGCATGGGATGAAATGGGCAAATCACAATTATGTGACCAGCATCAGGGCCCTTTCCCAAACTGCAAGCCCATAGGGGGCCTAGAATACTCCATAGCCTGAAACGGCCAATTAAAGGGGAGACAAGGAGACTCCCTCTCACTATCTGAGGTTTTGGCAGTTTCTCAGTTGCCCTGCAAACTGGAGATCTAACACACAGGTGCTAGAACACTTATTCTACTGTCAGAGGAAAGTCAGCAGCTGTGTTTAAAGGCTGTAATTCCACATCTCATTGACTGTGGTAAATATTGATGACTAAAACATGGATCACTCAGCAATTTTTTCCAAAATGGGAATTTCCTTATTGTTTCCTCTAATTTTTCTTTTCTTTTCTTTTCTTTTTTTTTTTTTTTTTTTTTTTTTTGAGATAGACTCTTGCTCTGTTGTCCAGGCTGGGCGTGATCTCAGCTCACTGCAACCTCCGTCTCCAGGGTTCAAGCCATTCTCCTGCCTCAGCCTCCCGAGTAGCTGGGATTACAGGTGCCTGCCACCACACCTGGCTACTTTTTGTATTTTTAGTAGAGACAGGGTTTCACCGTGTTGGCCACGCTGGTCTCGAACTTTTGACCTCAGGTGATCTGCCCACTTTGGCCTCCCAAAGTGCTGGGATTACAGGTGTGAGCCACTGTGCCCAGCCTGTTTCCTCTAATTTTGAAAATATGTTCATGGTAAACATTGCAACAACACACAAAATCACATAGGATAAAGTAAAATTGCCTCCACATCACACTACTTTGAGATAATGATTACATCTACTATGTCACCTTTTGTTTCTCACATAGCATTCCATGATATGCATGAGTCATCGTGTACCTAACCAATATGGTTTTGGGAGGCGTTTTTGAAACTAAAACATTACTACTGACATGAACTTAGAAATGGCTCCAAGATAAAGTTTGTAAAGAAGAGTATTCTATATGGAGACTGCAAGAGATGTGCAGGGAGAGGCCAAATCATGCAGGTTCTTAGATTCATGGACTTTACTGAGAACAAATGAGAGCTGTTGAAGGATTTTAATCAGGAGAGGAAATGTGGTTAGACTGACATTTTAGAAAGATCCACTATTCCAACAGTTGTATAGAGAATGGGGTTGAAGCATCAAAGACCTCATAGACCATAAGACCAATTAGGAGGCAGTAGTCCAGGGAAGAGGTATTAGGGCATGGCCTTAGGCAGTGCAAATTGGGGCAGAGAAAGAAGAAGGGATCTAGAGATAATTAAGGGATTGAATTGGCAGAATTTCACTTTGTTCCACTCATGTTGTCATTCAGACCATTTATGTTAGTGTGGTGCAGTCCAGTTAACTTTTTAGGGGGTGGGTATTTTACATCTGTCCAGCAAAGAGAGCAGTAAAACAAACAAGGCCAGCAGCACCTGGCAGTACCAGAAACAAAGAGAAAAATTAGAGACAAGCAGAACAGGGACAAACGTACACTTCTTTGTACAAAGTGCATGGCATTTTCTGTGTTAACTGAAACATGTCTTGTTAAACATATAGAGGACAAAGGAGGCCCCAGAAGCTCTGGGTTTACAGCTGTAATCTCTGGAGCCAGACCTTCTCTTGCAGCATCCACAGTTTCTTGGAAGAGGTCTCTAATCTACAAGAATCCTGTGCCTGACCTATCATGATTCACTGTGTCCATCGATGTGAATTAGAACTCATGGGATGGAGACTCAGGAATTGTATAGGCAACATGAGAATGATTGACTTTAGTTGGATCAGGTGTTGATGATAAGATCATAATCTCCCTCAAAGCTTAGGAAGCAGGCTAGAATCTGAATGGTTCAAATCATTCTAACCGCTGGTAGCTTCGTGTTTGGCCCAGATCCCTGGGCTTGACCAGGAAGGCTATGACTATCTCCACACAGAGATATATAACCTTTGCTATGCAGAGCACACAGCCCTGCTCCTGGCGTGCCTCACTCTTTCTTCCCAAGGAGCCCTACTTAACCTGGCAAGGTTCACATTTCAGACTGTGGAGAATGCCCACCAGGGGTTAACCTTGCATCTTTTGCTTGTAGCTTTCAGATGTGTGGTCATACAGTTTCATTTAGAAAGCAAATTCCTAAACCTAGGGATCTGTGATAATACTGATGTCATAAAAATAATCAGATTTCAGAGCTAAACATGGACTGTTTTAGCAACAATGATTAAATGTTCTGCATATGGCAAGAGCTCCCTAACGCACTACTAATATCACTGTAACCATCATTTAGAGTTTAGTAATCACCATATTTAGGTCATTTTTCCAAAGCACCAAGGAGACTCAGACTCTAAATAGGTTTAATATCTCAAGAGGACTCTACATGGTTGTTGGTGGGACACTGCTGTGTTCAGGTCCCAAGAATCCAGGAGTATGTAAGTGAAGCCACTTGGTATTTAACGATACCCTGAGAAAATGAACAACACACACCTCCCTAAGAGGCCTCCCTTTGTCGCCGGCTATCAGTTCTTCATCTATTTCTTACCCTCCAATGTGGGAGCACACCTTAGAGGACTTACAAGGTACAGGCAGGAGAGAATTCTGCTTAACACAACATCTAACACATAATAAGGGCTCAATAAATATTGGCAATTATTATAATCTGGTAACTCTAGAAATGACCAAGAGAGACAGAATGGACATTTTGGCTGTTTTTCCAAGTTTTCGAGCCAGAAGAAAGTTGTTCCACACATTTTGAAATATCAGTCTCACCCACAAAGTTGAATCTGTTTATTCTTTCCATGAACTGTCAGAATCAACTCTGGAAAAACTAAGACTATGGATTCCTCTGTGCTCTTCCATAGAAGAAGAAAGATTGTTGTTATGAGCATTAAATGACTTAGTATACATAAAGCACAGGTGATCCTAAAGCACTTAGGATGGTGGCACATGTGGTGAGCACTGGGAAAGAACTGTAAACAAGCTAGCTGAAACTATTACTGTGATCTTAAATGCCTAGAATTTAAATCATTGGTTCTCCAAAAGAGAGGTAAGAGAGGGCAGTCATAACAGAGATGAACTGACCAAAACTAATGGGTTGGGCAACCCTGTAGGCTGCATTAAGCCACTACTGGGAAAATGCAAGAGCTAGAAAAGAGAGTTCTTTTCTGCAAGATGCAGCAAGGAACACAAGAGTCAAATAGCAACCTAAAACTTTACAAAAGACATCTTAAGTCAGTAGGATCAATTACCAATGAATGGCTGGAGTTGAGAGCCGGGGAAAGTCACTTTGTCTTGCAGATGGATGGAACGACTTTAAGGAAGCAGTAGGGATTGAACTGGGCTTTGAAGAATGGGGAAATTTGACTAGATGGGAAGGGCTTTCAAGTTGAGTAAATAGTGTAAACAATAGCTATAGTAAATAGGTTTAGCTGGCATGGCAGTTTCAAGAGTTTATGTGAAAGAGGGGTGGTGGGAGAGACTGGGACTTCACAAGGTGTTGACAATGGAAGGAGAGAGTTTGAATGTCATCTTTTAGTCAACAAGAAGCCTTTGGACAGTGAAGTGACCTGCTGACAGCAGCGTTCAGGTATACCCCAGTGGGACTGAACAGGATGCAGTTTAGAAAGAGAGCAGGGGCAGATACCAGTGCACTCAGTGCAGAGTCACGGGTCTGCTATGCTCCAGGGACCCAGGGCTCCTGGAATCCAGACAGACAAGGCCTCAGCTCTTAGGGACCTCAAAATGTCATAAGGTCCAGTTGATCCACTCAAGGAACACCAGTGAATGCTAAAGCTATTAGGTATAAGGTTTTTGGGGAGCAGGATATTCCTGCAGTCTCGGGGCCTCACTCAAGGTGGCATATTCATTACAAAGGGAAATGGGCACCTCTCAGTGGAGACATTAGCATTTCTGCCTTAGCCACATGGATGGAGCTAGTCATTGGGCTGGGATATCCTGATGTGATGCCATCCCCGAAGAGATTCTTAACAGAAATACTTAAGTAGGGAGCTATGTAGGATGATCAAGTCTAGAGGTCTAATGTACAACATGAGGACTATTGCTAATAAAATTGTATGGTATTTGGGATTTTTGTTAAATATGTAGATTTTAGCTGCTCTTGTCACACACAAAAACGTAACTATGTGAGATGGTAGGTAATATCATGTTGTAAACCTCAAACATACACAATAACATTTATTTAAAAAATAAACTGGGCTGGGCGCGGTGGATCACACCTGTAATCCTAGCACTTTGGGAGGCCAAGGCGGGCAGATCACCTGAGGTCAAGAGTTCGAGATCAGCCTGGCCAACATGGTGAAACTCCATCTCTACTAAAAATACAAAAATTAGCTGGGCGTGGTGGCGGGTGCCTGTAATCCCAGCTACTCGGGAGGCTAAGGCAGGAGAATTGCTTGAACCTGGCAGGCAGAGGTTGCAGTGAGCCAAGACCGTGCCACTGCACTCCAGCCTGGGTGACAGAGTCAGACCTCGTCTCAAAAAATAAAAAATAAAATAAAAATAAATAAGTAAATAAACAGGATCCAGAATATAGAACATTATAGAAGACAACCTAGGTTCACACAAAATTTAATGTCATTACAAAGGAGTGGTGTCAATTATACATTAGAAGGGACTGAAGCTGGGATTGGCAAACTATAGCCCATGCCGGCTGCCTGTTTTTGTAAATAAAGTTTTATTGGAACAAAGCCATATCTATTCCTGTACATGATGTCCAAAAGCTGCTCTGAAGCCACAGTGACAGAGTTGAGTATTTGTGACAATGTCTATATGGCCTGTAAAGCCTAAAATATTTACTCTCTGTCCTTGTTTCCTGACAGTTGGATTTAAGCCACCTAACAGCCAAATGCAGTGCATGAAACTTGGGTCTGGGGGGAAAATAAAAAAAAATCAATAAACATAATTTTGGGGCAACTGGAGATATTTAAATAAGGTCTGCATATTAAATAGCATTACTGAATTTTTATGTTTTAATTTTCTGAGGCGTGCAATGGTATTGTGATTATGCTGTGCAATGCCCTTCTTCTTAGGAGTTGGGTGCTAAAGTATTTAGGGCTTGTGCCATGATGTCTCTGATTTATTGGTAAATGGTTTAGCAAATATATATATATATATATGTACATGGCAAGAAGAAGAGAAGAAAAAAGGGCGGGGGGGATAAGAGAAAAAGCATGTAGGGAGATAAAGCACCCGTGGTAAAATGTTAATAATTGGTCAGTCTAAATGAAGAGCGTACAAGTGTTCATTATACTGTTCTTTCCACTTTTCTGTAGATTTGAAGAGTTTTTTAAATAAAAGTTAATTTTTACCAAAGTTAAATTTGTTCCTCTAGGCTCTGTCCTGACCTTCATCCCAGCAGCTTCCTCCACCTTCCAGAATTCCCTTATAATGGAGAAATGGTTGGGAGTTAGATGTGGCAGCCTCTCCTGCTAAGCGGGTGCTGTTACCCTGTAAGGCAGCCCCAGCAGGGCCTTCCCTTGGTAACGTGGGGATTTTGCTTGTTGTCTCTTGCACAGTAATTCCATCAAGCTGGTGAATCTGCTCTCCATATTTATCAGCACGTGGCTGACTGCAGCCGGGTTCATCCATTTGGTGAGTAACCTTGAAGACCCTTCTGCTCTCGCTTGCCTGCAACAAGACCCTCTCTGAGTCATTTTATTACCTAAAATTTATCTTGCTGGAAATTAACTTCACCTCGGTTGTAGACAGGAAGATGGGAAGCAACCACACAATTGTCTGGGTTTCCAACCTTTTTACCCCAAACTAGTTCCAAATGGTGAGTAATGTTTGCACTATTAACCTGCATTTTTCAGTTCATTGCTCATTGGTATTGTCATGGGGGCTTTGGTAGATTTTCCTTCTGTCTGCAATAACTATAGTAAGCCACAAGATGGCAGTGCTTCCTAAGCAAACACCTGGAAAAGGTCTGGGGACAAGGTTGGAAGTTGGACCCACACCTCCTAGTAAACAACAAATTCAGATCCCTCAATTTCTTTCCACTTCCGCCTTACGAAAAGCCACCTTTGATTATTTTGTCTGATTTGTACCTCAAAAATGTTCATTCTTTTTCATTAGTGACTCTTTGAAAGCCTTGTATTAAGTCAAGCCCCTCACACCACCCGAAGGCAGACTTTCCCCCTGCTTTTAGAGAGCACAGCCATTGTGGGAAGTGTGTTTCATGCAAACATAGACTGTTACAACTGGAAGGAGCCTCGTCTAGCTCTGAGACTTTGGATAAAGTTGACCACCAGTGGCTGAGCCTCTATTTGCATAAGGGATAGAAGGACGCGCTTAGCTACCCACACTTGGGATTTAGGTAATTATCACCCAAAGGAAGACAGGCCTGGGATGGCAGTGGTTGGGGCATGGGGCCTCACGTAGTCACCAGATCTAGAGTCTCCTGCCCAGCCCTTAATGCTGATGGGATTCATGGCCAAAATCAACCTTAATCACCCTAATTCTTGCTGTAACCAAGCACGAAGCACCCAAATCACATATGTGGAGGAGATAGTTGTCTTTAATAAGATGATGACCCCACCTTACTACGGGTATTAGTGAAGTCCCTTCAGGTTCACCAGGAAACTTTTGTGAAAATGGCACATTGAGGACAAACTGATGTGTGAAAGAGGCCAGGCCCTGGAAACATTTTGCAGAGGCAGAGGTGGAGGCCTGGGGGCCACCGTCTACAGGCCCTGTGGGTGGATCACAGGCATATTTGAGTAAAATTGGGCCCGCAGCTCCCTCTCTCCTGAGAGTATCTAAAGTACCTTTCCTGCCCACCTACTAGCCTTGTTGGCAGATCAAATATGATGGAAGGACAGGAAAGTGGGGAAACTGCAGTCTCGGGCCAAAGCTCTCCAAATCCAGCCACACCCATTTGTTGAAGTTTTGCCTCTGCAGAGTTGAACAGGACCTGTGTCGCCCACAAAACTGAAAAAGTTTGCCAGCCCTTGATCTAACGGGCTGTGCCAGTGCAAGCTGTTCTCATGAGCTCACTTTCCATGCCCCTGTGAAGATTCCAGCAGCCTCAAGGCTGGGACCACCATTGCCAATTTGCAAAGGAGGGAGAGCAGGGCCAGATTCCAGAGATGCTGTTTGAATCAGAAATAAGCAGGGCCCATATATACTCTTTGGATAAACTGATGGAAGGAGGCAGCCCCCTACGGAAGTGTTTAGAATTTCTGTGGGAGAGGCAGATCCAGGCCATCTGGGCCTTAGAAACCCATTGAGGAAGGTCAGGGACGGAATCTCTGGCTCTTTCCTTGAAGAGAGTGCTCTAAAACCTGGCCAGAGGCAATGCCCTGAATTTTAGCTGGCTTCCCACATTTTACCAGAAGAAGAGAAAAGGCCTAGAGATATTTCCCTTCTTGCTTTCCCTCTCTGTCTCAATCAGCCAGGAAGACATCTCCTGCAGCTGCTTCTCCACTTTCTCTGTGTCCTGCTCAGGAGCTCTGCATCCTGACTCACAGAACTCAGCCCGGGAACCACACATCTCGTGTGGAGAGTGGTGTGCAGTAGCAAGTGGCCTTCGAGAGTGCCGAGCTTCCGCGTTTATTGCATGTATACACTTCAATAGCATGTTTTTCTTTTTTCTCCCCTGTCCCATTTGCTTTAGGTGGAGAATTCAGGGGACCCATGGGAAAATTTCCAAAACAACCAGGCTCTCACCTACTGGGAATGTGTCTATTTACTCATGGTCACAATGTCCACCGTTGGTTATGGGGATGTTTATGCAAAAACCACACTTGGGCGCCTCTTCATGGTCTTCTTCATCCTCGGGGGACTGGTAAAAAAAAATCTTTATTATGATGTTGATTTTGATGGCTGTTAATATTTTCCATGATACATTTCCTTAAAGCTTTGTATTTTAGACTGTATTCTGCACTAGAAGCAAGCCTTAACGTTACAATCAGGCTAAGTAAATCCAAACACGATGGTGACTTTTCTGCATAATTCTTGGTGTATTACACTTGTCCCATAGATCCAGGCACATTGCCCTTGTCGGGGACAGCCATTTAGCCAGGAGCAAACCTAATTGTCTTAAGAAAAGTGATGCTGTTAATAAGGGAGAGTGTCTACCCCTTAGCAATGTAACTCAGCATCTGGTATGCTACAAGGACAGTGGCTGTCACCTGCCTCTGGTAGAAGCTGTCGATACTTTGTAGAGACAGTTTGCGGTTTCAAGAGCTCTCCCTTCCCCTTTATGTTCCTCCCCTAACTTCCAACAAACACTGTGGCTGGGGCCTGCCCTAAAGAGAAGGGTCCCTACATCAAAGGAGAGAGAGCACCTTAGTCTTGTCCAGGCGGACATCCCCATGTGAGCAGAGTGCAGTTTTGCAAACAGCTCACTCCATTCTGCAGCGGACACATGGGGTATTTTTGCTCCTTTCTTCTAAGAAAGTTTCACTGTTTGCTTTTTAAAAGTCTACGCAGCTCTTTATGTTGCACTAAACCACCCCTTCTAATGTAAATCGAGGGGATTTCTGGCCACACGTTGGCAGTTGCTGCATTTTGTCTTTCAAAGTAGCTCATTTTAAGTTTAGATTTTTTTTTGCCATTTATGAAGCGAGTGATTAAAATCCTAATCCATACACAGCTTTCATGTATGTACACCGTGCGCACATTTATATGTAGTGATGCATACACCTCTCTCTGTTTTGTATGCATAGGGCCTATACATTTTAAAAATGTATATAAATGTGCACATGCATGTGTACATTCACGCAAGCATTTCTACAGCATCCGTGAGGTGCCTATAGATAAAAAGACCCATCCAGCCAGCCACAGGCCAGATGTTTGTTGGACAAAACATGGCAGATTTGTGTTTCTCCTTGCTATCTTCTCCTCCCAGGTGATTTCCTAAATTTCCCTTTTGAGCTTTTCAGTGTTTTTTTTTTTTTAATAGAAAAATGTAGTTTTTAATCTTTTGGTGTTTATTTTCTTTTGTCACTCATAAAAGCATTGATTCTCCTCTGAATTTTAATGACAAAGGAAGATCTTCTCTTGCGAAACTGTGTGTGTCTGTGCATGCACACATGTGTCTGTGTGTGTTTAGTTTCACTAGCATGTCCCCCTCTTGCCTATTTTTCTTCAGCAAGAAGAACTAGATATCACCTTATTTATTCCTGTCGCCTTTGTATTTTTCTCGACTGTGATTTTTTTTTGTTCTTTAGTTGTCAAGGTGGCCAATGTTTGTTTGTCTTGTGTATTTCTGGGAGCTTGCTCTCTTCGTGCTTTTAGTTTTTTATGATCCAACATATCAATATATACCTTTGCAGGCCTAATCCTTTTGTGTTTTCAGATCTTAGTGCCCCCACCCTCTGAACAGGTCCCCCCTTTTCTTTGGCCTGTCTTTTTAGTCTCTCTTCTGTCTCCTATCTTCTCAGGCCATGTTTGCCAGCTACGTCCCTGAAATCATAGAGTTAATAGGAAACCGCAAGAAATACGGGGGCTCCTATAGTGCGGTTAGTGGAAGAAAGTAAGTATGCCAAGAGGTTTTGCTGCCTCTGCTGCGGTAGAATCCTCTCTGCATGCCATTTTTTTTTTTTTTTGGCTCTTGTTTCTTTGTTTCATGCATGTAGGCAATGTTTGCCCGCTACGTGCCCGAAATTGCTGCTCTCATCCTGAGTCGGAATAAATTCGGCGGGACTTTTAACAAACATGGAGGCAGAAAGTAAGTCAGTTGCATCAGAAAAGATGTGGTTGAGTGACTTTCAGGAGTCCCTGTGGAGGTGCCATCTGAATTCTGCCCCTCCCCAACCCCACCGGGTGCTTCTGTGAGGGAAGGCCCAGTTTCTGCATGGGGTGTGATGTCAGAGGTGACCCGAGGACGTTGCCACGCTTGGACCAACTCCCATTCACAAATTCCAAGAGATGTAATGAATTTATCCTGAAAGGAGTCCATTTATAACTGGGCCCATATTTTCTCTTCTGACCCCTAACAAGTAAACAAAACTCGTTCATTCTTCCATCATCTGGCTATGTGATAAAATTCTGGTCCCTCAAACTAGTATGATGCCCTCCTATGGTGGTTTGTGTGTAGCAAGAACACAGGATAAGACTCTGGCAGAGAAGTCCTTGGGTGGCAGATCCAGGTCATCTGGCCTACTGCAAAGGCACTGCGGCCACTGGGAACCCAGTTCTCCTCTTCATCCAGGAGGCACCGATCTTATCCTCAAAGGGACTCATTACTCAGCTGAAATTCCTTCCGGGCAAGAAATAGTATATTTCTGGTAGTTTAGGGTACTACATGCTATTCCTGCCAAATCTTTTGTTTGGCTTCCCAAATGTGAATGCTTTCTTCTCGGGAACTATTTTAGTGTGTGCTCAGATCACTTTATCACTCTCGATATCAATGTGCAGGTTCAATAGAGACCCCAAGGTTTTTTCCTAAGTAGAGGGCAGTACCTTACAACCTCAAGAGGAGAATGCCATGGGGGAGAGGGGGCTGGCAGCAGCCATCCTTTATTTATTTTTTTAAAGCTTTTTCTGGAGTAGTCACCTTTGTTTGTTTTTGGTTTTGAGGTATAACTTACATAGAGTTAAATGTACACATCTTTAACATATAAAGTGAGGAACTTGTACCTATGTACACACCCAGTCACTATCATCCTACCATCCGGATCAGGACACAGAAAACTTTCATCACTCATGCCTCTTCCCAGTCATGGACGTTCCTATCATGGAACTGTTTTGTTTTGTTTTGTTTTCCCTTCTCGTTCTGTTTCAAATGAACTCTTAAAGAGCTTCTTTTGTTTTTTTAAGAGGAAATAAAATCAGACTGGGAGCATTGTATTTCCCTCCACTGCTGCCTTCTCTTTTTGACAGTCAGCCGTGTGGGACAGAGTGGACCCTCCCCTTTGGTCAGTGAGTCCAGTGCTTCCTGAGCTCAGGTGTCCAGGCCTCTGCACAGGAAATGAGGAGGTGGACAAAAGGGCTCATTTTCTTGAACTACCCACAGGACACCCGTTTCCTTTCAAAGGCACAAAGGACAGTGGGCCAGAGGAGGCCAGTTGGCGTCTTTTCCGGGAGGCAGCACATCCCTCCATCTTCCCTCTAATGGAGCCCTCCCCTCAATATTATCTTAACAGCCCTGGATGAGGTTAGAACCAAGCTGTTCTGATTTCTGGGCCATTGGTTGGATCCAAAAGGCCAAGTAAGTCCAAAGATTCCCAGTGGTCATGTATCCCATGCCAAGAGGAAAACAGCATCTCAATTCATTTTGCCTTGAAGGTGTGGACAGGTCTCCATAAAGCAGAAGGCATTCTGAGGGCCTGGGGCTCTCTTTATGGCCTCCCTATCTTCTGACGTCTCCGCCAGCATTTCCCAATCACTGCCCCAAGAAGTCAATAAAATCAATTGCCCTGAAGGCTAAGTTGAAAATATTTCTTGACTTTCATTCCAGGTGATTTTTTTTTTTTAATGAAATAATTTTCCTAGTCAAATGTGGGTGAGCTGGTGGGTGGGCTGGAGGCCGGCAGCTTTCGGTGCCAGCTGACCCAGATGGGGCTCTCAGCCCGGCACTCACTCACTGCCCCCAGTCCGATCCGGTCATCTTTCACCCTGGCAGTTCCACTCAAACTTTCAGGTGCTGATGACTTCAGATCACAGACTTCCTGCCACTCTGTTCTGGCTCTGTAATCTTTTATCACCGCTTTTAGCCTGGTTTTCTCTCTCTCTCTCTCTTTCTCTTTTTTTTCTTCTCCGTTTATGAAAATGCACTTTGCTTTTAATGTTCTTTTTGGGTCCCCACTGTTCCTGACCCTGCAGACACAGAGTCCGTCCTGTCATCAGCACCGGGCCTGTTCACTACTTTATGCATTGTTTCCTGGTTCAAAAGCTAATTACTAAGTAGTTTAAAGAAGGCCTTTGGTCACTTAGATCTTTCATCAGAAAATATAAGCTTGGGAAAGGCACGGTAATAAAGGGCCATTAGCACCCTTTGTTTGATGTTGTTTTTCCAGTCAGTAAAACAAGATTGATGAAATGTTATGTTTGGCCAAATTTTGAGTTTTCATTTGGAATTCAGTGTTGAGAGAATGGGCTGTCAGAATCAATAAGTTTTCTTTCGCTTGGGATATGGGCATGTGGTAGTAATTAGCAATATAAGGTCTTTAGTTGAGCAACCAAGCATGGATTCTGGCAGCAAACATAATGAGAAACTACAGTTGTTCTATTTCTAACGTCAAAAAGTTTCCAGATAAAATTAAATGCATTTGCAAAAGGAAAGCAGCTAAACTTTGTTGAAAGATAAAGTTCAGACTCTTAAAACAGTGTGCTGTGCTCTGAGTTTTTGTGTATGCATAAGTCCATGTGCTCTGCCCATGGACACACACATACATGTTCTCTGCTCCCCAGGACCCAATCAAATAAATGCCCAGAAAGAAATTAGAATGTATACATAGTTAAGGGATTTGTTTACTTGTGCATATTTTATTCAGAAATGATTTCTCTAACAATATATTAACTTGTCAGAGAACTCAAGGTAACTCATGATCTAAAGCTACAGAGACATAAAACTTTGAAATTCAAAGATTATTTAAAGTACAAAATTTAGGCAGAGAAGATCAGGGTTTTGTTTGTACAACACCCAAATTCAGGATATTTGAGAATATGAAGATTTCATTGGCATTTCATTTTCAGTTTTAATCAATGTGTTTGGCATAATATAAACATTTCAAGTAGCATTCTCAAAGCCTCTTCACCATCAACACTATTTCAAGGGCCTAGAGTGCCTTACCCAACATTTTCATCACCTCCTGAAGGATACCCAGTCCCTGCAGTAGGTATGGGTAATTGTGCACATGTGCGTGTGTGTTGGCTATTTCATGTATGTTATGATGGATTGGAGCATCTAAGAATAGGGGTTTGGGTGTCCACAACCAAGGGTTCAGTGAGTAGCTGAGGCAGGTAATCTCTCTGAGTTGGAGGGATTAGAGCTCTCTGGGCTCTTGGGCTGATACCCTAAATCTTATTCATAAGGGAGCCCTCCTGCAGCCCAGCCTGCCTCCCAAGGCCACTGCCTCCTCCTCCTTTCCTTTGTGTAAGGTCAAAGCTGCTTAGAGACAGGGAAGGCCTGAGGGCTGGTGACGCTCCCATGGCCTTTGGGATCCCCAGCTCTCTCCTCCCTCTCACAGCCCCTTGCAGTTTCCCCCAGAGGTCTCCTCCCTGAGTGTGATTCATTCCACTCCTGGTTAGTTTATGAGAACTGACAAGATCGTGGTCCAAGGTCACATGGCCAAGGGCCATGGAAAATAATCAGTCACAGAGAGGAATCCATCTGCTGTAACCCCCTTGTTAGAGGGAGTCCAGCCGGGAGCCACCCAGACCTTGTGTTTCCCATGTTGGGACTTGAGTGACTCAAGTTTGAGGCAATCCTAGGCCCAGGTGTTTGGGACAGAGAGAATGGGATGGGTTTGGATTATTCTACTGATTCCTGGTAGCCAAATGCTGACAGGGCACACGAGAGGGGAATGAGTCATGAAAGACTAGATGTAGCCAAGGTGGGAGAGGAAAGTGAGTGTAATTAACTTGAAGGAAGGTCCTCAGGATGAAGCTGCTGAGCCGCCATTCTGGTTTGGGGAATAGTTGTCATGGACTAACCCGTCTCTTGCTCCAATTCAAGAAAGCTGCCTGTGAAACTTAAATGCTGTGGCTTCTCTTGGAACATTTGCCTATAGAGACAGGAGTGCCACACACTTCCTGAAATGAGAATGTGAATCAGTGCAGCCTAAAGCCCCAGGACTGCCTTCTCTGGCAATAGTAATACCTACAAATATTTGCATATTTCAGAATCCTCACATTGATCCTGTGAGAAAGGTATTACCATCATCTCCATTTGGAATGAGTGAAGAAACTGAGGAACAGGGAGGTTAAGTAACTTGCCTGACATCACGCAGCTAGTAAAGAGTTGGGCTGGGGTTTGAACCTGGACAGCCTGCTTCCCTGCGTCCTGCTGCCTCTCCATGTCATCTCTTGAGACTCCATTCTGCTCTAAACTCAGTGATCTCCTATTGTTTGTATCTTCCTCCACCTTTCCGTATAAGGGGAGCCAGAGTACCGTGCTCATGATGGAGAGGAAGAGAAAGGCATGAGCTTCACTTTGGGGCTGTCTCCTCTCCCCTCCTGCCCACCCACTACCCCTAAGGGTCCTGGCCCCAGGATTGAGGGGAAAAAGATGGAGAGGGGACAAAACCATTCCTTCCTTTATTTTTCCCATTTGGTTAGACTAGAATTCTAATTCCCTCTTGAACACTTCTAGCAATGAAAGGCTCTCAAGGACAGACAGATGAACCACACCTAAAGTGAGAATTGTGCCTTTTTTGTGGATTTCAACATTTTCTTCCCCTTCCTGGCTCCATCCTTTAAAGGTAGTTCCATGGAGAATTGTAGTGATCTGCTAAACTTGGACTTCCCTGCTGGGCAGATCTCACCTGCAGAGCCTTCTATACCCTTGCAGATGGAACCACCTGTTCCCTTTCACTCCTTAGTTAGTCTGCCGCACAGCACAGAGCAGTATCTGGAGGTGGTTTCTTCCTTATCAGTGAAAGGCACAGTAGAGCCCCACGTGACCAGTTCTGCAGGGTGCATTCTGTGTGTTTGTTTCATAGCTTTGACTTGGAATATTCACCCTCAGGAGCCTGTATCCCGCTGGAGGGAGTTAGGGCTGTCTGCCTTCAACCTCGGATGTGGTCTCCACATTGGAAAGAGCCTTACATTCAGAGAGATGGGGACAGTTTGTCATGCTTTTCTATTTAAATATGAAACTAGAGTACTTAATTATCTTCTTTATTGTAAATGCTCATATTTTAAAGAGGATTCCATACTTTAGAAGAAATAATTGAGTATTCAATAGTTGAGAACAAAATTCAAGAACTAAAAACAGCCCAGCACAGTTAGTGACCTGCCTCACTGTCCATTCCTGTGGCCCCTCTCCATCGGTTCATTCACTCACTCGGCAGGCAGGCATTCTCTGTGTTATGCATCAGGCATGATGCTGGGTTTTGTTGGGTGCTCAGGGTTCATTGGCGAACAAACTACCCTCGGAACCTGTCCTCCTGGAGTTTACAGTCTCAAGGAGGTTGCAAGCACTGAGCAAGGGTACAACTAAAGCAAATGCCAATTACACATTTTTAATGTGTGCTGCAAAACCAGAAAAGACTAAGATTCTGCAACTGAGAAAAACAGGGATTAGTTACACTGGATAAAGTAGTCCAAGGAAGCGACACCTCAGAGGAGGAGATGCTAACTAACGCTTGTTCAATGACCTTGACCCAGCTTGCATTACCCACTAAGCTGGGGGAGCTAACACTCTTGCTTTTAAAATCCAGGTTATGCAAGCCCCACTTGCAAACATAGGTCTTCAGTTCTACCTCCACTAGAGGAAGTCTTAAAAACTGATTGCTCGCTCAGACCCCAACCTGCCTGAGCAGTGCTTGCTTGACTTATCGGGAGATGGCATCCTGCGTATCTTCCCTGCTTCCTGATTATTGGGTTATTTTTAAACTCTGTGTCTTTCCTTATATCAGAATTTGGACTCTCCTTCTCACTCAGAACCTTTGTTCCTTCCTGAGAGCGCACACTATTCCCTCCTGCCTGGCTGTCTTGTATCAACGTGGAATTCCACTCCATTTCCTCCACCACACTCATGTCTTGTCCACCAGGGTTCTAGACTGATTTCTAAAGGATTTGGAATTTTAAATTGTCTAGTGTGCCAGAGCATGGATCATTTATTTACAAAGACTCATTTAATCTATGGCCCCATAGCCTACCCTACCTTAAAGGAATTAACACGAGTCATGCCTTCATGTCCATCCATTCCACATGTGTTTACTGAGGGCTTGCTACCAGGCACTGGGGACAGATGCATTTCTACACATCCATAAAAATCTCCAACTATACCACAGCTTTTCTGAGCTACACATCGTACTATTTGGCCACCTAAGTGGTTGGGAAGTCCAATATCAGGGCTTATTGAAACCTCTTCTCTTGGTTCTGAGAGAGTCTTGCTACAACACCATTTCCCTCTCGACTCTTTCTGGGAAGGCATGGCCTCTAGCACTTGGGAATCGGATTTGAGATGATTTCATGTTATACTGACTTGGGCCGATCCACAGGCCTTTTCTTTCCATGTTTACTTGTGTCTTGGGCAACAGCTATTCTCACTTTTCCTCGCCTGCAAGGGGCGGACTGCTCTCATGAGGGGTGTTTCCTATAAAATGTCATTTACGATTTCTCTATTGCAGACATGGCTCTGGTCGAAATGTGACTGAAGCTTTGCATCCTACACAGACTTAGATCCCTCATCAAGTAGCCATTCAGCCCTCATTGCATGAGCCACGTGACTTCCCCAGCCTGAACCCCTCAGCAATGTCTTTGGATTCCTAGATTTTAAAAGCCATAAATTAGCAAATCATCAACATATCACCAGGAAGGATCATCTGGTAGCGATTCTAGTCAGAAGGAAACACAGGCCCCAATAACCGATCTTTATAAAGATATGAAGAACTGTAGACAGACAGATACAGTAAATAAGAAGACAAATAGATAATTCAAGTTGACAGAACATCTTGGACTGATTAGGCATTCTGCTTTGATTAGCATTAAACTTCTTGGGAACAGGGAAAACAAAAAATGAGCTTGCCCTAATACTTTGGAAAAATGACCTCTTGACTACTTCTGAAACGTGGTGCTGAGGGGTAGATACCCAAAGCGCTTGTCATTAGATGCCATGTCTTCTGATGTGATGTGCTAGGTATCCCTTCCTGATGAGAGGGGTCTTGGTGGGCGTGGGACATGGGCACTTCTTTCTTGGCATCTGTTTTGGATTCCTCTAAGCCATATCTTCAGTCCCTTTCAAACTTGAAGCTCTATTTAAAGAGACTTGGAAGCATATTAAATCAATTTCCTGATAATACTGATAGAATGAAGCTCCCCTCCTTTCCTGCTGTCACTCTTCCCTTCCACACACTTAGCAAAATGTTCCAGCTATTGTTCTGAAAACAAGAATAGAAATGTAGGTGGGAGATGAACTGTGTACCTTAAAAAAAAAGTCGTATTCAAGCCTAGATTTTCACTCTCAAATATTCTTTCTTCCATTAAAAAATAATTCGAATATGATTTCTCAAATTATAATTGCTGAAGATTCTGATCAATGGCTCCTTTGATTGGGTGAATCCTTGCCGGGTAGATTCAGAATCTCAGGAACAATTGCAGCCATCCAGACTAGGTTGCCCCCTGTTTTCTGTCTTCGTACCATGTCATTCACTCTGCTGGACTTCTTTCCAGAGCTGTGCAAAATGGTTCCTGGTAGCTTTGGGGTTCCTTCCATGCTGCTGTCATCATACTATGAAACTAAACCAGGAAACTTTCTAACTGGCCAAGTCCAGTGTCTCTTTTTATTAAAACATTATAGAGGTCAATACATTGTGAGAGTTGTGGAAATCTGATTCTCTTGTCCCAAGGGTTCCAGTCTCCACAGCCAGTACTGGTGTTGCATCACAATGGCCTGCTGTCACCCCCAGAACCACAGGGACTGTTCCAAATATGGGTACCAGTTGCTGGAAAAGTAATCTATCTCCCCTCCTTGTACCTTTCTAACAAGAGGACATGGGGGCAGTTCAGAGATAGATATGTGCCCATCTCAGTGGGAGCTTATATGACCTTAGCCATTGACTCCAAAGGCAAATGTCAGCTAGTGTATAGAACAGCCTTAGGAAAACTCCCATTCTAACATATTGGCTCAACAAACAATAATTTGAATCCCCACCATGTGCTGTGGGTAAAATGTGGTTCTTGCTCTCCTGGAGCTTATCTGAGATTCTGACCAATCAGTACCACCCAAGGAAACAGTGGCAGTGAAACAGAAGCTTGAGTATGCAGGAGCGTCTTCCCAGTGAAATGCTCTTTTTTCAGGAATTTTATTCATTGAAATCATGGAAGTGTACAATAATCATGAAAGCAAGAGACATTAGAGGGAAGCCTCCCAAAAGCATTTGATAATTCACGTTGTTGAACATACCCATTGAACAGTGGAGAGCATAGGTAATAGCAGATTGCCTTGTTCACCTAAAAGCTTACAGACCCAGTAAAAGAGGGGTGCAGAAAGATTTGGGAGGGTTGGGAATCCGCTGATGTGATCCTGAGGTCCACTCCTTTCCAGACCCCACAAAGGTCCTGCTGTGGCCTGTCATGCCTCGTATCATGCCTTCTTTTTACTTTTTTCCTTTTCTTTTTTTTTTTTTTTGAGATGGAGTTTTGCTCTTGTTGCCCAGGCTGGAGTGCAATGGCGCAATCTTGGCTCACCACAACCTCCACCTCCCAGATTCAAGCAATTCTCCTGCCTCAGCCCCTCGAGTAGCTGGGATTACAGGCGTACGCCACCATGCCCAGCTAATTTTGTATTTTTAGTAGAGACGGGGTTTCTCTATGTTGGTCAGGCTGGTCTCGAACTCCTGACCGCAGGTGATCCGCCAGCCTTCTAACCTGTAGCTCCTTCCAGTCCCTGTGTGACTAACAGATGCTGGAGGTCTGCTGGGGCCTATGCAAGTATGTTGAGTCTACAGAGTGAATGGCTAGCAGCTTATGCTAGCTGTGGCAACACCGTTGGGTGTGGCTGGAGAACAAGGCAAAGATATGTCAAGTTGGTTGTCATTATGGGAGGGTCAGTCCCAACAGTATGTGCTCAAGGACCATGATACATGATTCACCAGGGGTGTTAGGGAGGGAGGTGGGGCTCGCTTTGTAAATCAAAACCCTCTCCTGGGCAAAATTCAGAGCCATTTCTTTGCTTGGACTCATTCTCCCTCTATTCCACCTTCATCCCTGAAGAGTGAGGCTGACCTTTGCCTGCCTTAGTCTTCTCTCAGTCTCTGCTTGTACAGAAGCAGCATTAAAAATGAAATCGGGCAAATCTGCTTTGATCTGAAAAAAGGAAAGTGCCATTCAGCTCCCTGATTTCTCTGTAAGAGCAGAGAACCATCTAGCATTGGGAGATTCAGGTCAAGGGAAGACTTGCTTATTTTAAAATGGCCAAAGGCCACCAAGCCCAAAGTAATGGGATGAATAAGATGCAGAGGGGTGAGGGTGTTGGGGAGGGAGGCATAGGAGGAATCAGTGCAGTTTGTGAGGGTTCAGCAACTGTGGAATTGCTTACTGAAGAAAGCTGCAGAATTCCCCTTCCAGAGAGGAAGGAAGGAAAGAAAGGAAAGGAGAGAGAAAGAAACCTAAATGGTGGTAATACTTGCATACTAGGTAACAGTGAGAATTAGGTGAGAAACCAAAGTAAAGGTAAACAAGTCTACCAGTTAGGATTCTCTGGTTGCAGGCAACAGAAACTTATTTTTTTGCTGACTTAAGAAGAAAAGTTTTTTGTTTTTTTTTTTTAAAGGTTAGGGTACCTTAGAGATTCCAATGAAAAACTGAAGAGCAAGATCCCAGAAAGGACAGAAAAGAACCAGAGATGCAGCTCTGACACTGAGGAAGTGGAAACTCGGGAGTAGTCATTACAGGGTTTTGTCATCAGGTTGAATCAACTCCCACTGTGATTAGCATCAGCCCATCCAAGATTTAAGAGTACCCATTGGCCTCACTTGGGCAGAAAACCTTCACTAAAGGTCCCAAGACTGTATATAATTGGGAGACTGTATTTAATTTGGGGAGGAGCAATTCCCCAAATTAAAATGAGGTGCTGTCCACAGAAGAGAGGGTGTATGCAGGACAGGCAAAATCTACCAATGTCCCCGGCACTGAGTTTCTCAGAATTTAAAGACTTGGACTGAGGCTCCATGTAGGCTACAAGCTACAAAATATGTGTGATCATTTCTCACCACGGTCTAATTATGGAGGTCTAACTGTGATTTGGGATGGTGGAGGTGTAGACACAGATCCCTCTAGGGTAGCTGAGGTTCTGACTGTCTGCATGCGATAAGATGCAAAGTTTTGGCCCAGGTGGGACATCCCGGTATTCCCCACTGGGGCTGCCAGTTGTCTGTCCTCTGACCTTGGGGCTCTGCTTTAGAGGTGCCTTTGCTGCACTGTTGGGATCTATTTGCTCAGACTTCTGCCCCATTTAGGGAAACAGCAGCACAGCCTGCCACATCCAGAACAGCTCCATTGACAGCTGGAGAAGAAGATTACTTTATTCACTTCCTCACTAGGAGGGAGAATGCATTTCCTTCCTTTGTGATTAGCAAAGTACTAGATGTGTCCATGGATAGGAAATTATCTTATTGCTGAACCTCCTTTTTTTTAAAAAAATTATTTTAACAGGAAATGGTGATAGTCAGGGTTTGGGGTTGTGGGACTGATACACACTCTCATTTGCTTTGTTTTTATTTTTCTTTATGTGTACAGATCCCTTACAAACTTGAAATATGCTAGTAGATTCAGGGTGGTGGAATAAGCCTATGGTCTAAAAGGCTTGCAGTGAACTACCTGTTAACTTTTTTCTGCACTTACCATGGGATAGAGTCTCCAAGATGCATACTTTGTCAACCAATCCATCAGTTAACAAATAGTTCCTGAAAGCCCAGCAAGTTTTGGGGGTTCCAAGCCAGGTCCTGGGGTAGGGTGGAGGGATGAGGCAGCACAGCCTGGAGTTAGGCTTCATTTGCCCATGATGTCTCCCCTATCTTTACTGAAGTCAGTCTCTTTGAGACATTCAGTAAAGGAGGAAGTGGGAAGGTGGGAGTTGGATTAGTCTTATTTTTTGGCAGTGGGGGATTGAGCCTCAAGGGAAGCGCTGGGAAACAGTAACCCTGAAGGACATGCCCCAAATCAGGGAAACCTGCATTAAGACTAAGTAGCCAAGAAAAGCACTACCAGGTGAGAAGGAAAGGAAAGGCCAGCTTGCAGGAGTGTCATGGAGAGGTGGTGATGCAGACACCAAGGGTTCAAGGTCAACCTAGGGGGGCAAACGTGAAGCTTTGGTGCTGACCACTGTGTGGTTTAGGTCGTTGGGTCTCTAACCCCCCACGCCCTGCTTCCTGTATGATACAGTGCTGCTGGTTCTCTTGAGAAGTACTTCTTAAAATTCATTCCCATCATGTCAGGGGCTACCAATGGTGAGATGCATTTTGGGAGGAGCAGGACGAGGAAAACACAATTAGAAGGCTCAGCAGAAAGACAGAGAGTCTAGCATATGTATTTGATATAAATATTATAGTTTTACAGAGACATCTAGATCAATATGTGCCACATTTCATCTACCTCTTTGACAAAGTGAGCACAATGTATTCAGGCAAAGCTGTATAGGATTTTCAATTTACTCTGTCTGATTTATTGTGACAAGATAGCTCTGGGTTTTTTAAGTTCTTTATACTCGTTCCAGTAAAAATGGATATAGTATCTTTAAAAATAAACAGCCCAGAGCTGTGCATTTTACATTGTCTTCCTAGAGCGAGGCTCTGCTAAAGAAAGATCTAAGGCCTCCCCGCCCTCGCAGAACCTGATCGCAGTAGGATTTGCTGCCATCCCTTCTCTTTGGCTTTTTTGAGGGAGTGTGGGAATGGTTGGGGGCAGTGGGGACAGTAAATAGGGAAATCAGTTAGGAAGCGATTGCAGATGTCTAGATAAGGTATGATGGAGGTGTGAACTAAGGTCGGACAGAGAACTGGAGCCCTGTGTGAGGATTCATCAGTGTCTGGTGGGTGCAGCCCAGTCAGCCTGGGCCTCTTCATTTTAGTGACTGGCCCCAGGTCACTGAGAACTCGCCCCCCAGTCTCCCAATTCCCAGCTTAGGTTATCCTCCCTGGCACCAGCTGCTTTCTTTCATCAGAAGGCATGAAACTGAGGGAGGTGTTGTGCTCTGGATCTGGCACTCATCTTGCAACCTGTTTCCACATCAAAGAGAAGAAAGGTGCTAGATTAAACAATTGCCAAGGGCTATTCATTCAGATGCTGAGATAAACTTAAGAACGTGGGAGGGGGCCCAATGGTGACTATTCCATGGTCACAGTTTCCCTTTTCAAAGGCTACTGGCTCTAACAACCAGTATCTGAGGCTTGGGAAAAGTATGTAGATTTTCCTTGTCATAGACCTAAAAGTCATCTTCAGTGGCTCTCTTGATGCCTCAGTCACTGCCCTCCTGTCCTCTTCTGCCTTCTGCCTTAAGTCACTTCCCCTAGGTTGTCCTGTGTACCTGTGGAATTGAGCTCTGAAACTGAAGTTCTGGCTCAACTTGGGCATGCAGGCTTTCCTGGCCCATCACTGAGAAGAGAGTAGAAGGATTGAGAAGAATTTGTGGGATTTCATTCTGGAGGCAGCGATGCTTAAATGGCAGGAGAAGCACACCCATGTATATTTAGTGAAGATATGCACATGAAATAAGCAACTGGCGAATTTATGGTGACCCTCAATAGTGTTCATAATCATCAAACTTCTTCTCATGAAGTCATTCTTACCCCTCCAATGCCGTGACCCACCGCACTGCCCTTTTCAGTTAAACCAGCCCATATTTATGGAGCCCTGACCCAGCACCAGGCACTACTTGCTCACACTGGATGAATAATTCCTCTCCAGAAAGTGCCGTTGGATACTATTTTGGCATTGAAGATGCTTCCTTGTGTTTCTGAGGTGGATCTTTTATTCTAAGCCATGACCTGTCAGCTTATATCTATTTTATGTTACCTTTGCCCAAGAAATATTTGTTTACAGATCCAGACCTAGCATTTAAAACCAAAAACTTCATCAGATCAGAAATGGTTATTGATTGAGGACTATTGGTCATCTTCACAAATTGAGTGGTCAGGCCCTATAGAAATTGGTCAGGACAATCGCTGATGGTCTAAGAAAGTTCAGATCCACATCCACAGATGGGGAGAGATTTAGCTACTCTCATAGCTGAACTTTCCTAAATATTCCCCATTGTAAATGGATCATTAAGATTCTTATTATCTTCTAGATTCCAGGCTGGTGAGGAAGTCCTGAGCTGTACATGACATGTCTAAAATAGACATTTGGGGTAGGGCGCGGTGGCTCATGCCTGTAATCTCAGCACTTTGGGGGCCAAGGTGAGCAGATCACTTGAGGTTGGGAGTTCATGACCAGCCTGGGCAACATAGCAAGAACCTATCTCTACAAAAACCAAAAGAAAATTAGCCAGCTGTGGTGGCATGCCTATAGTCCCAGCTACCCAGGAAGTTAAGACAGGAGGATCGCTTCAGCCTGGGAGTTCAAGGCTGCAATTACCTCTGATTGAGCCACTGTACTCCAGCCTGGGCAACAGAGCAATACCCTGTCTCTAAAAAATAAATAAAATATAATATAAAATAAAATGGACATTTGCATCACTTTGCAGCCCCTTAGCTTGCTCCAATCATATGGCTTCAGTTAAGTTTGGCTTAGAGTTCCTGACCGGTGGAACTTATGATTTCTGCCTGTAATCAGACTTTGCTAAGACTATCATGATACTGCCTATCCAGCCAGACTCTAGTGATCTTGCAAAACTGTGATGGTTTATCCACTCCAGTTCCCAGACTAAACCTCTCCCTTGGCCAGTGGAGGACCCCTCCAACACCCCCTCCACCATGTATCCAGGAGGACCTCTGTGGGTCCATTTCTGCTTGCCCTGAAGGAGCAGAAGCTGAGATATACAAGCCTCTTTCCTTTCCACCACCACCTTCATCTTAGTGGGAACTGAAGTGGGAGACCCAGATTGCATCCTGGGCAAGTCACTTTTACTTGCTGTGGGATGCCAGGCATATATGACTTAAGGAAAGAGTTTCAGAGAGGTTACCTGAAAAGACTCAGGCAGTGAGAACACAGGGTTGTTGAAGGATTAGGTGGGATTGCATAGGCCACAGAATACTTTATATTGGTTACATCCTAATTTACAGATACCATATGGCACTTACCATTTCATAGTGCTTACCATGGAGCAGATTACTTGGCCCTTCCATGTATCATCTCCTTAGATATCAGGATAACTTCATGAATCAGGCACCAGCTCTGGCCCCTCAAAGGCTCTGGCTTTTTAATTGTAAAATGCAAAATTGGTACATTGTCCAAGACTATTTAGTTATTTAGTGTCTGAGCTGAGTTAACACAGGGCTATCAGAGTATGAATCTCACATGGTAGATATGTAGGCATCATGGAACCCAACAGAGATAACTTTGGATGGGGATCTTTTTTGGCATTCTTCAAATCATGCCCTGTGAACAACCATTACTCTGCCTCCAATGAGGTCACACCCTGCTGTCTATCTTAACATATTTGTGTTGATATCTCTAATAATTGAGGATGCAATAAATTCTAGTTCTCTTCTTCCTGCAATAATATCCTTCCCCAAACTATGGCCCTAGAATCTTCAAAAGTCTTGAAAATATTTCTGGTAAATAAATGTTCCCCATTCACCATCCATCCCTCATGCTCTTGCAGGGCCCTCCTCAGACACAGGCTGGCGGAAGCAGATCTCCTAATACCGATTGCTGAGTTAGAGGCAGCTTCTCCCCATCCATCAATTCTAACTGCATTCAAACATTTTCAATATGTGGGCTCCTTGATAACTTTCACTGTATGGAAAACAAAATGGAGGGAAATGATTATTGGCACAAAAGGGGGAGGCCATAAATCTTCAAATCAGATATAGGACAGATTGGAACAATATGGGTTCTCCAAGGTTGCCATGATAATGTACCTAATAACTCTCCTTGGGCAAAAAGGCAATCTGCTTTCAATCAATCTCGCTTTTTTTCTGAGCAAAAATACCAATTACGTTGAAGGAAGGTTTTTTTTCTTCCTTTTTTGATAAAGACAGCTCTCCACCCCAGAAATCATGCTGTGGCTAAAAGATATATATTTTCAATTGTCTAGAATGGTATTGGATAGCTAGCACCAAATGAAAAAAGTCAATCCTTTTTTTCTCCTCACTCTTGCCAGCATTTGTCTACTTCTTAAGAGAAGTGAAAGTTAATTAAAGGCTTAAGGGATAATATTGATTGCATTGGAATATATTTTATATGTACCCAGTACATTTTCAAGGAAGAGAACCCTGACTTTTTCTAAGGCTGAATAAATCAGCCAGCTGAGCTTTTGATTCAAGGGTGAGAGGGGGGAACTCATCTTTTCCCCTTGCACTTCTCACACATCTTTCCTAGGGATGAATGATTTCAGAGAGGAGGAGGAGATGCTGGCTGATGTTCATTCAGTTCTTTGCATGCTGGGTAGGAAGAACGAATGTTCAGGCATTTCCCCAGACCTATCATTGATTTGAGCCTAGCTTTGAGTAATAACCAGGCTTATGCTGGTATAGAACTTCGAACTTTACAATGCCTGGCACAGGAGGCCGGCTGGGTGGTATTAACCTCTCAGCTTCCTCCTGCACTGAATGGGAATAAATACTTTGCCCACACCCTTGGTCGCAGAGCAGGGAATCACATCTGGCTTACTTTCACATCTAAGTGATGAGAACAGCCTCAGCCACGTATCTGTCCTGTGGAGATACCCACGCATTGGATTCATGTTGGCTTTGCTCCTAATCTTGGAAGTCTATGTGCAGAGGATGTTAGAATGGCAAAGTAGCCCTATTGTCAGTTGCAAGGAAGTTAGGTCAGTAGGGGAATTCTGTTTCTCATTCACTTCAAACATATTTGGCAAATTCAAAGTCTGAAATCTTATTCAGAACGTGCAAATTTATTTGAAGTATTTTGTCCATGTAAATGTACATGTGCCACAAGAAACATTTTAAAATATATGATAAAATGCATATCATCCAAATGTTCAATCTATATTGTGTATTCTGATACACTGTGTGTCACACTGTCTTAGCCTCATACTACTCACCATATACTAATGAGGGGGTTAGTCATATGGGCTTTGGGCATAAAATTTGGGTGGGTGGCTAAGGGACCTTCATCAACCTAGCAGGAGAGCAAAGTGATCATGTTAAGACATCTCTTCTGAAGTAGCTCATTGACACTCTTCCCTCACCTTGGTGGCCGCTGCGTGCCTGATTGCTAAGTGCACCACCGTAACAATAACAGTCTATAATGGTGATATTATTAACTGCATCGTGCATATTATTGATTTACTCTTTGTTCTGCATCATTATCCTTTCACCAATGAGTTTACTGCATTATTCTCACATACTTAGTCAAGCACCAAATTACAACGAAAGGGCAGGCTCTTATAATGGCATCTAATGGAACATTGCATAAGCCATCATCACTGCCTCCTATTATGAGCCACCTCCAGCCAATGAGCTTTCTGCCTTAGTGGAATGTGCACAGAGCAATTATGAAGTGCAAGGGACATGGCCATTCTAAATTTTACCCAGGAAATTACCATGCTGCATGTTCACCACCTGCCCAAGTCTCAGAGCGCAGCTAGAGACTCAGATGCTGTCACTATGAGCCTGGGGGGCACAGGGACAGGAGTCGAGCCTCTTGCTACATACAGTCTCTTCACTAGAAGCCAGTGGTTTTATCTCCACAGTCAGTCCCTGGCTTTTTGTCTTGTGGCTGACTCTTGCATCAAATGCTCACTCCTGACTGGGCATTATGTGGCACATATAAGTGGCCATGACATTGCCTGGTGCCAAAGTCAGATTGGCCAGGAGCCCCGAGCGGTTGGAGGGACTGTCAGTCTCAACAGTTGTGGGGCTCATCTCTTCCGGGTGAGCCACTACTTCCAGAAACAGAAGTCCAAACCACCCTCAAACAAGGCGAGCAATTCCAGCCTCATCCCTTCCCAGCATCTCCCCATCTTGAGGTAAATTCCTTTAGCTCTCCTGGAAATCCCGGGCACCCTAAGGAAGCAGCCCTCTGGGGACGCACAGCCAGCTGGCATGATCTTCCATTCCATAGGCATCCCAGCCCCATTTAGCCCTGAGTAATGCTCACTTACTGTAAAGTGTTACATGCCCCCATTGTCGGAGGAGTTATAGTGGAAAAATGCAAAATTTCCTTTTTACTGCTTATGGCCAGCAGAACCTATAACGTGTCAGGCCGCACATTAGCCACCCTGATAAAAGTCTGCTTTCTTACACACAAAATCATCGTTTCAGCAAGATTTGTTATCTCATTACCTGATAAGCTCTATGTCATAAACCAAGACTCATACAGTAAATCTCCCCGGAGGACGCTTTGTGGGCAGAAAGGGAGAGATATGAATCTGCAAGGGACTTGATAATGCAGCATTTAAGCACAAGCATAATGTCACTTATTGTTAAATGCATAAAACCACTTGGCCAAACAGTTGGGCTTTTAATAGGATTTTGTGCAGCATCAGGTGAGAAGCCATATGGCTTTTCTGTCTAGGAGTCTCAGCACCTGCTAGCACCGCTGCTTTGCCTCACTGCCCTCTGGGGATGGGAGCTGGGCTTTTATGGAGGCGGAGGGAGGAGATGAATGCTTCCCCTGCAGCTGCCTGGCTTCTGCTGTCTTGCCAGGGGGTGGGATGCAGGGTCCTGTCGTGGTGCCTGGCCTGATCTAACTGGCCTCTCCTGTTCAGGCACATTGTGGTCTGCGGACACATCACTCTGGAGAGTGTTTCCAACTTCCTGAAGGACTTTCTGCACAAGGACCGGGATGACGTCAATGTGGAGATCGTTTTTCTTCACAAGTAAGAGCTTCCTACTGCTGTCAGACCCTCTGCCCAACCACACACCCTGCGAGGGACTCCCTGAATGTCTGTAAGAGTGGAGGTCTTGGGGAATGGCACTGGGGATGGGGCCAGAGTTGGGTAAGCCATGATCCCTTTTGGCCTCGTTGGAGAAGATATTGCAGAACCAATGGAAAGGGAAGCAACACACTGGTTCAATGATGAGAGCAGAGTCTGCCTCTGTGGAGGCGATTCTGGGACCACATCCGAGTTTATCTCTGGAAGAAATAATAGTGGAGCTCATTGTGGGTCCAAGTCATCATCATTGTCCCCTTAGCAATCTGGCGTGTCCACATTATCTGCTGTGGGATGATTAGCTGTATGGTGTGGATACGTTAGGAGTTCTGGAGTCAGTTGGTGACCAAGCAAGACACCAACTTAAGAGGAAGCAGGACAGAAGGTAATAGTAATAACAACTGCCGTTCCTAGGAACCCCCAGCATGGGACCCTAGCCCGTCACTGTGCATGCAGGCTCCCATTTACTCCACAAACAGAGTAAAAATACATATTCTGGACTCAGATTCCCTGATCTGAATCCTGACTCAACCAACTACTGGCTGAGCAAGTTACTTAAGCTCCCTGTGCCTCAGCTTCCTCATCCATAAATCATGGAGATGATAGTAGTTCCTACCTAGTTGGGCTGTGATGAGAATGAAATGAATTAATCCATATGAAGTGTGCAGAGCAGAGTCAGGCGTGCAGTAAGTCTTCAATAAGTGTTAGCTATCAGCCTGAAAAATAACATATATTTGGTTGTATAATCCACTTAGGAGGTAGGTCTTATCTTGTATGTTTTACAGGGGAGGAAAGCAAGGTATCTCCCTTCTACCCAATGTTGAGGTTTTCAACTTTGACTAATCCTCTTTTTAGATAAAAGGTAGTCTGCCCCAGGAATGGAGAGAATTAGGGGGCTCCATTATGGTGACATGTGTGGTACCATGGTCATCTTCTTTTATGGAGATGGGGCTGTCATGGGGCCAGTCCTGGCACCACATCGCAAAGTCCAGGACAAAGCTAACATGTTTGTGCTGGCTTGACGTGCTGTTGACTACCCAGCACGCGGTCCTACTCTGAGGTTCCACTGAGGTCGGCTTCCCTACAAACTCCCTGTTTGGTGGATCGTCGTCCTCTGGCATTTGCTCACAGAATGCTAGACTTCTGACTTGTCACCATGTTGGGGCACCAACATTTCTCTTTTCTGCACTGATTTCTCCAAACTTTGAAAAAACAGACCAGGCTATGTTAGCACAGGAGCAGGTACCCACAGGTTCCATTCAGTGCTTAGCCACTGATTACCTGCTGTGTGGCCCATCCTCTACTGAGCGTTTTGGAAAGTTCTCTAGAGGTATAGTGTGTAGGCTGTGCCCCCACATGAGTTGGGCATTTCAAGATGAACACACATGCAACCATTAGAGACAACATCAACCCTGTGTTATCCAAGGGATGCTGAAGTCATTTTGATCAGGTGGCAGAAGTGACTGGGGACATCTCTTTCAAGGAGCATCAGTCTATGGTATTACCCGGGCAGGCTTCTGAATGAGGTATGACTTGTCATGGGTCTGAAAGACTGGTCAGATTCACAGAGGCAGCCACTTTTCTCTCATCCACTGCTTTAGTTTGAATAAACAAGCTGGTAAGGTGTGGTTGCTCATGCTTGTAATCCCAGCACTTTGGGAGGCCAAGGTGGGAAGATCACTTGAGCTCAGGAGTTCAAGACCAGCTTGGGCAACACAGTGAGACCCCATCTATACAAAAATAGAAAGATTAGCCAGGCATAGGGGCACGTGCCTGTAGCCCTCGCTACTCTGGAGGCTGTGGTGGGAGGATGACTTGATCCTGAGAGGCAGAGGTTGCAGTGAGTCAAGATGGCACCACTGCACTCCAGTCCCTGTCTCCAAAAAACAAAACAAAACAAAACAAAACAAAACAAAAACTGGCTGCTCATGCTTCCATTGCTAGGATTCACCTTTGTATCCCTAACATCCATCAATGTCATACTTATAGTAGATGGCCCAGTTAATTAACCTCTTGAAGCTCTGGGTTAATAACATACCTGCCTATAGGGTTGTTTTGAGATTTAAATGAATTAATGCTCATCATGGCCAGGCATGGTGGCTCATGCCTGTAATCCCAGCACTTTGGGAGGGCAAGGTGGGTGGCTCACTTGAGGCCAGGAGTTCAAGACCAGCCTGGCCAATGTGGCAAAACCCTGTGTCTACTGAAAACACAAAAATTAGCCGGGCATGGTGGCACATGCCTATAATCCCAGCTACTCTGAAGGCTGAGGCACAAAAATCACTTGAACCTGGGAAGTTGCAGTGAGCAGAGATCCTGCCACTGCACTGCAGTCTGTGTGACAGAGATAAACTCTAAGTAAAATAAAATAAAATAAATAAATATTATTTATTTTACTTATTTATTTATAATACTATTTTACTATTATTTATTTAAAATGTTATCTGCCATATAGTAAATGTTACAAAACATGAACTATTATTATTATTGTCATTATGGACTTCACAAATGTTAGGCAAGTGTTGACTTATCACGGTACCTGGCGTATAGTAGGTTCTAACTAAATATCATCTCCCAGTGCCTAGCACGGTACCTTATCGACAGTCTTTTTCATCTCTGCAGAATTAACAAATGAATAAATAGGTCACTTGTTTAATCCTTGTCCTCCAAAGAGAAAGATGTCAGTACAGATCAGCACCAAGAAATGTGATGAGTCGCATACATGTGTGTGAATCAAGAACAATAATGAGAGTAAATTAAGTCTGTCTGTGGCTCCTCAGAGTGATACTTTTTGATCCAGGCCTTGGGGGATGAGAAGTCCATGAGACACAGAAGCAGAGATAAGGTTCATGATGGAGGGAACAGCAGGATGCCTCTCCCAGGGGAACCTTCGGCTAATCCTTGATTGTATTAGTCAGGGCTCTCCAGTGAAACAGAGTCAATAGGAAATATATATATCAATATATCTAATACAGATATATATCGGTATCTATATATTGATACATCTATCTATCTATCTATCTCTAGAGAGATTTATTAGGAAGAATTGGCTCATTTGATTACAGAGGCTGGGAAGTCCCACTGCCTGCCACCAGCAAGCTGGAGACCCAGGAAAGCTGGTGGTGTTTGAGTCTGAGGGCCAGAGAGTCATAGAGCCAATGTCAACCCCAGTCCAAGGATAGGAGAATGACAAGAGATGCCCAGTTCAAGCCGGCAGGAAAGAAGCAAAAGGGACAAACGCCTCTGTCCTCTGTTTTATTGTTCTCTTCAGACCCTCAAAGGACTGGATGATGCCCACTCCCACAAAGGAGGGTAGTCTACTGAATTCACTGATTCAAATGCCATTCTCATCCAGAGACTCTCCCAGACACACCCAGAAATCACACTGGATCTGGGCACCCTCTGGCACAGTCCGCATAAAATGAACCATCCCACTAGTGGCGCAGCCCAGCTTCCATATTTATAAGATAGGAATTCCATTCATACCGAAGAGAAGACATTTGTCCTGAGGTCTTGGCCTTCCTAAAGCCCATGAACCTCTTTCTTTTACCATGGTACTGGTTTGGTTTTCAGTTGGGCTGGGGTTTTACTTCTCTTGAGTGTGAGTCTTTTATTTATGGCAAGCAAAAGGGTGACTGTAGGTCACAGCCTCTCCCCAGGGCTCCCTGTGGAAATTAGAGAGGAAGGAGCCCATGGAGGCTGAAACCCCCGAGTCCATTAAATTAATAGCGATTTCTTCTCTCCCTGTGTAGCATCTCCCCCAACCTGGAGCTTGAAGCTCTGTTCAAACGACATTTTACTCAGGTGGAATTTTATCAGGGTTCCGTCCTCAATCCACATGATCTTGCAAGAGTCAAGGTAAGGAGGAAGAGGTGACTTCTGCTTTTATTCCATCTTGGTGTGGGTCTGGGGGGAGTCCTGACTCTGTGCTGAGGGGACACACCTCCTAGGTTGGCCACGAGTCATCTCCTAAACACCTAATGAGATCAATCACATACCAGCAACCTTGAGGTCACCCTTCCACTGGTCCCAGGACCTCCTTCTGCTGGCATATGCAACACTACCTATAACCATCCCACACTTGGACTGGTCATAACATGAAACTTGCTTTGCTGGATTCCTCAAAATCAGCTACTCATCAAGGAAGTAGACCAGTTATATGGACCCAGTAGCTTTATACAACATAATAATCAAGTAATTCCTATATTGAACACTTAAGTTGGACTCAATATAGCTCTGACTTCTATTATTTACATCTGAAAGAAACATTAGGCTAAAATATAAAATAAAATTTTACTAAGCGATAAAACATTTGAGCTTTCTTTTTTCCCCATCTAAGACGCAGGGTGTAAAACTAAACATGCAGTTATCTGATATCATTGATAATGGGCGAATCTTTTTTTCCAGAAACTGGTAATTTAGAATCTTCTCATAAAGCACACCTGAGGCTTAGAAGGGAAAGGTACAAGGCAAAATGGCATCTGCTACTTTACCTATGTAATATAGATTTTGTAAGCATGTTCAATATTTGCATGCCAGGGGGTGTACATTAATATAATGAATTCACTGAAGTCTAAATGCTAACTGTGGTCACCGCATAATTTTGTAAATAATATAATTGGCCAAGATGAATAATCCAAAAGGATTTGGATAAATTCTTTCTTTATATTATTAAAGAAATCAGAGATGATTTGTGACATACCACGGAGGATATTATGGCCTCCCTCAAAATCCAGGAATGATCTATTAAGTATAACATACCAAGTAGGACAGATTGCAGACCTGAGCCAGCATAAGAATTCTTATGCTCATAGAGTCCAGTTAATCTTGATATTATCCAGACATAACTCAAGTTATTGCTTATGTAAAATCTTATGAGAACGTAGGGACAATTGTTATTGTTCGTGGACCTAATTTAAATGCAAGCAATCATTAGCACATCAAACTCATGGTCCCCTCTAAGGAATAAACCCCTGTGGGCTCGTGTTTGGATAAGTCAGTAGGTATATTTTGAGTTCAACTGTAACACATTATTTCATACATAGATTTGTTGTCTTCTGAATATCTGAATACTAATCGGATACTAAGCAATATGGTGATGTTATCTGATTTAGAGCTCTGATCTCTTCCCAGCCTATAGAAAATGAAGATGTGAAAAAGGTCAGATGAAGGACTTCAGAGTGTACATTTCTGAATCCCCAATACTCAGTTACCTTGCTAACTGGAGAGAAGGGATTTAACCCACCCACCTCCAACTCCTGATAGGAAGAATTAGGATGATGGTGCAGATGGTTGAGAAAGGAGGTGGGGAGGAGACTGAAAGGCTTAATTAATTGTTATTTAAAGAAATCTGGAAATCCTACAAGTAAGCAACGATGCCAAATGAAAAGTATAATTACCAAGGTACATGTTGTACCCTCCAACAGCAACAAGATGAAATGTTTATACCATAACAAGAACTTGGAACCTACACTTTTGACAAAAACTATAATCTCTCAGGCTCTCAGGATTGTTTTTTTTTTTTCTTTGCAAAGCTTCCCCAAGAAGCTGTCAACAGAGAGAGACTACACTCGAGCATGGCTATTTATATGTTTGTGTTCTGTGAATTTTCCTTTCGGTGTCTTAGATAGAGTCAGCAGATGCATGCCTGATCCTTGCCAACAAGTACTGCGCTGACCCGGATGCGGAGGATGCCTCGAATATCATGAGGTAACTCTTGGGGCGCTGCGGAAGGCCCTGGGCTTGGCAGTCTGTGGCTGTTCACGGCCCTTTTGGATCTTCTGCAGAGGACTATCTCTATGAGGCCTTTTTGCCCCACAAGCCACTGTACAACTCACCAGCTGCATAGGCCTGGGGGAGCCGAGGCTGTCTGTGTGGGTTGGGGCAGTGGCACACAGGGTGTCACCAACCGGAAGCTCACCCTCAGCAGGTGGCAGCTCTAGGGCTTACAGCTGGCCTTGGGTTTGAGATTCCTTGAGACAGAACTAGGAAATAGATTGAGATGGGTGCTGGCCTGAATTAAAGTACCATGTTCCCTAAAGGAAATGGGCCTGAGATATCTTAACTAAAGGCAGATGCCCCCAGGGGACATTTTGCAATGTCTGGAGATGTTTTTGGTTGTCACAACTAGGGGACCGTGCTGCTGGCATCTGATAGGTAGAGCCCAGGGACACTGCGAACGACCCTGCAATGCACAGGTCAGCCCCCAAAACAGAGAATTGTCTGGCCCAGAATGTTAATGGTGTCGAGGCTGAGAAAACCCTTACTAGGGCTTTCCAAGTGTGTCTACGGCATATTGATTCCTATCACCCCAAAGGGGAATTTAGTGACCAGTTAGGCTGTTTCATCCAGTTTCCCAAAATTAATGTTCTTTCTTGAAAGGCTTTTCAGTGCTTTTAATACTAATATGCATCTCTGAGATAACGTACTATAGAACACTTTCCAAACCTATTTGACTATAAGCCTCTGCTCCTCTCCCACCTCCCCCAACCCCCCCCCGTTTTTTTTCATAGAGACAGAGTCTCGCACTATCGCCCAGGCTGGAGTGCAGGGACTCAATCATAGCTCACTATAACCTTGAACTCCTGAGCCCAAACGATCCTCTCACCTCAGCCTCCCAAGTAGCCGAGGCTATAGGAATGTGCCACCACACATGGCCAATTTTTAGATTTTTTTTTTTAGTAGGGACAGGGTCTTGCTATGTTGCCCAGGCTGATCTCAACGAACTCCTAACCTCAAGTGATCCTCCCACCTGGGCATCCCAAAACTCTGGATTACAGGAGTGTGCCGCTGTGGCCCTGCCCTGCCCTGCCCTGCCCTCCCTTTTTTTTTTTTTTTTTTTTTTACAGAACATCTAGGGGAGGTCATACTGGGAAACACTGTGCAGTGCTTTTTGTGCACAAGGGTTAGGCCTGTCAACTGCTAATATTGGCCCCAACACCAGCACCTTATTCTTTTCTTAATTCAGAAAAAAAGCAATTGTTCAGTTTTTGTTCCTTGCATAAACCCAGTAGTCACATTGTGTGACAATGAAATGACTAAAAAGTCAAGGTATTTTGCTCCAGGTAGTTAGAGGCCCTTTGGAATTTGTCTTTTCTGTAGCATAAATTGCAGAAGAGTTAAGAGGGCTGAGAGGAAATGATAAAGGGAAGCTTCTGGAGAGTTGAGCTAAATTCAGTGGGATTTCCGTCCCACTGCATTCCCAGGAACTTTTACCTAACTGTGAACAGCCATCTTTCGGGCCGAAGGTTCCCCCTCTACCGGTGGCTTGGTTTACTGCCTCCTGGGAACTTACCTGAGGTTGAAGGTCAAGAAGTTACCTTTACATCCTGACAATGTTTGCATTGCCTTTGTCTTTGCTTTCCATCAGTGGCCCCAAGTGACCGGAGCTTCCCCATCAGTGAGGTGGGGGAATTCCTCCAGTGCATTTCAGAGGAGCCAGTCCTCCCTTAAGCATCTGGTCCTTGTGTCTGGCAGGCAACATCTGGCACCATCTTCTCTTGCCACTCAGTTTTCTTTGGCAATATGCTTAGTGAGGTCATTTTAAGGAAGTGGATGCGTGAACTCTTCTAAGCTTTGGGCTTGCCAGGCTGCAGAGAGAGGGTGGAACAGATTCTGGCTTCACACCTGGGCTCATTCCCGAATCAGTTACAGCTGCACAGTGGCTACACCAGGATCAGGGTTGGGTGTGTCACTTGTTCCTTTCTTTGAAGTAGGAAGGATTTTCAACTTTTGACACCTTTTTCTGTCATTGGAAATGATTTAAAAAAAAAAATGTAACCCTTTAAGGAACCTGGCTTCACTGTCTTCAAAATTCCAAATGGAAAACCAAAAGAAGATGAAGCTTAATGTTTTGACTCCACAGAGATGTTTGGGGCTACCTGAGTAATAGTTTTGAAATGGGTGTTTCTCTTAATTGTAGTATTTTATTTAAACCCTAACTGTGGTAGGGTTAATATGAAGACACATAGGTACTAGGGTGACTGGCAGGACAAGGAGGCATAGAAATTACTGGTCAAGGGCGGGGCTCAGTGGCTTACACCTGTAATCCCAGAACTTTGGGAGGCCAAGGTGGGCAGATCACGAGGTCAGGAGTTCAAGACCAGCCTGACCAACATGGTGAAACCCCGTATCTACTAAAAATACAAAACTTAGCTGGGTGTGGTGGTGTGTGCCTGTAATCCCAGTTACTCAGGAGGTTGAGGCAGGGGAATCGCTTGAACCCAGGAGGCGGAGGTTGCAGTGAGCCAAGATCGCGCCACTGCACTACAGCCTGGGCAACAGAGCCAGCGAGGCTCCGTCTTAAAAAAAAAAAAAAAAAAAAAAAAAAAAAAAAAAAGAAAAGAAAAAAAGAAATTACTGGTCAAAGGTAGTATCAGAAATGTAATTAAGTAGAGCCAGAACTGAGGCCTTGGCTGCAAAAAGAAGTGGGAAGTTCAGGGTTAAAAATGGGCTTTGTCTTTCTCTTATTTGTATAATCCTCCTTCCTCCTCAGTTTAATGAGACCAATCTGCCTCCTTTGAAATTAAAATGTCAAAGATCCATTTGAAATGAGCTAATGCAGAAAACTGGCTGAAGCTGTGAACTGCAAGGCAGGGCTGACAGAGGCTCAAAGTCCTTGAGTTATAAGCGTGGGCCAACGCAACACTTTTTCAAAAATAAAATGAAATCCTTCAAGTGCAAAAACGCAGGGTGAATTTGTGCTGGGAGAGGCTTTAGCGTGATCCATTTCCTAAATTCGTACGTTGCAGCTTTTCAGATAAAGCTGCTCCCTGGCTGCCTTCTCTCCATTTCTGCACTAAAAGGGGTGAAGTGGGGAGCGCTGCTGGGTGGGAAGTTTGTGGGGGTGGTCATAATAAATGCACTTGCATTTCTGATTAGGCTTAGGAGGTGGGCCTTTCTGTGGAATTCCATTCTTTAGCCTTCCTTGTCACAGAAGGAAATGTACAATGTCACTTCTGACAGACTTGGTAATGACAAAAACCATAACTTACACGTGGAGAGAACTTTTAATGATTTCAAAGCATTTTCACATCTGGTCTCCCATTTGCTGCTCATACCAAGCCTGTGAAGTAAATAAAGCAGGTACTGTTGCTCCCAGTGTCCAGATGAGGAAACAGGAACAGAGAGCCCAGGGTTTTCCTAAAGGTCGCGCAGTTCATTAGTACAATAGCTGTGACTGGAACCCACGTGTTTCCATTCATCTGCGCTCTGCCCCTCCCTTTAGCACCATAATTGATGTGGGGAGGACACGTGAGGCCTGGGGTGGGTGCAGGCCATGCTTAACATTGAGTTTGGACTGAGGGCAGGTAGGAGACAATTTTCCACCAGATCATGACCCCCGCAATGCCTTGGCACTTATTTTTAACCAGCGTTTAAGTCATCATTTTCTCTATTAGCTATGGAAGGCTGAGTCCTTGATCTCATCCTAAAAGCCCTGCTTAGAAATCATTTTTTGTGATAGTGGCCAAGCATGTGTCACAATTAGAACCATTTGTCATCCTGCTTGTTTGATTTGTCATTGTTGTCTCAAGTTGTTAACTTGGAGAATTGGACTCAGCAGATTGTTTCTGGGCTAGTCCCTAGGGTGTGGGAGATTGCAAACCTCTGGAGGCCCCATGATTTGGGCTCGCTTTCGATGTCTACGTAGGCAATAAGCTGGCAGCCCCTGCTCCAGGCCCCCTACTCCCCAGTACGCACATGCATACATCCCATCTCCAATGCATTCCAAGGGGCCCTCAAATTTTTCATGCCCAGGACACAGACTGTGGCTGTTTTGTGATTTTGTTTTCACACTAGCAAGAGATATGGTGGTGGGAATACTGTTTAACCTGGCCCAGTGTCTGCAACCCCTCAGGATAGCCCTGGCTGCTGGTCCTGATGCAGGATAGGTGAGCCCCAAAATGGGGCTTAGCCCATGAAGGTTTTTAGCTTCCCCCAGAAAAGAATTCAAAGGCAAGCTGATGGTAGGGCAGAAGGAAACAGCTTTATTGAAGCAGTAGTATTACAGCTCTGTGACTGCTCCTGCACAGCGGGGCTACACCATAGAGTAGCAGCTCTGGGCAGGCTGTCGTATTTATACCTACTTTTAATTGCATGCAGATTAAGGGGCAGCTTATGCAAAAATTTCTAGGGAAGGGGTAGTAACTTCTGGGTCACCGGGTCATTGCCATAGAAAGGCAAGTCCCATGAGCCCAGTGCAGATAGAAGCAAGTTCTTTGAGCTTTCTTTCTCACTGTCCACCCAGACACTTAGGCAATCATATTAAAGGGTTTCCTCTTTCATGGCCTTCTTTGTTCCTCATGGTGGCTTCCCCAAATTGTATGTAGTGAGAGATGGAACTGGGACTGGAATTCATCCATGCATTACAACTTGCTTTCAGGAAAGGACCTGGTATGTGCCTGTAAAGTTATGTCACTATGAACATATTCCAAGAGATAGTTGATTTCATAATTGGACAACGGGCTTGAAATATGAAGCATTTCAATCCCCTATGATCTAGTAATAGTAATGTTCTAGGGCCTAGAGGTTATAGGGAACCTCCTGGGTGTTGCCATGGCAATGGTAAACTGACAGGGCACACTGCTGGGCTTGTCCAGTGAAAAGTTGCTTCTGCCCCATCCCTGTTTCAGCTAGTCTTCAATTTTGTCTGGTATCTGAGCCCTGCCTCTGGAATCAAGTCCTGCCTCCTACCTCAGTCCCATGGGTACCCCATTTGGAGACAGTAAAATTGATCTTTTTGTCAGACACCATGCATAAGGCAGACCTGTCTCAGCATTGGTTCTTTCTTTTTCAGAGTAATCTCCATAAAGAACTACCATCCGAAGATAAGAATCATCACTCAAATGCTGCAGTATCACAACAAGGTAGGAGTGCGAGAGCCCGCTCCAGGTCTGAAGACCCATCCACAGGTCCAGCCTCTTCTTCCTCATTATACAGGCTCACACACACACACACACACACACACACACACACACTCTCACATGCCCACATGTGCGCAACTCAAAGACCTGGGTAAAGAGGTGTGATTGTTAAAAATCTTCCTGGGACATTTCTTTCTTTCTTTCTTTTTTTTTGGGATGGAGTCTTGCTCTTGTTGCCCAGGCTGGAGTGCAATGGCATGATCTTGACTCCCCACAACCTCCACCTCCCAAGTTCAAGCAATTCTCCTGCCTCTGCCTCTTGAGTAGCTGGGATTACAGGCATGCGCCACCATGCCAGGCTGATTTTGTACTTTTAGTAGAGATGGGGTTTCTGCATGTTGGTCAGGATGGTCTCGAACTCCCAACCTCAGGTGATCTGCCCGCCTCGGCCTCCCAAAGTGCTGGGATTACAGGCATGAGCCACCACGCCTCTGGCCCATTTCTTTAGTCCAAACAACGTGTTTGCATTTGGTCACTGGAAGGATGCTCCTTCATGTACTGATTCATTCATTCGGGAAGTGTCTATTGGAACCCGAGGTTCAGAACTATTGATTTACTCTTGGATCCCATCCATACTTAAGTTACAACAACTTTTATTTGTATGTGCTGCAGTCATTTACTTATTCAGTAAATATTTATTGAATACATACTGTGTGATTAGCACTCTCCCTGACACCCACAGGAATATCAGTGAAGGAGAAGCCCTATTTTGTGTCCTCGGGGATTTAGCAGTTAAGGTGTAGAATGCTCCAGGCAAGTGAGTGATAGGATTTCTCTATCTGAGACCAGGTGAACTAGTGAGTGCATAATGCGCTCTGTAAGAGTGTAATGTGGGACACATTCCCAGAGTCGAGATGAGAATTTGCAGAGTTGAATCAGGAAAATAGTAAGCTATCCAGAGATTAAAGAGAAAGGAATTTTCCTTGTGTTATAGCTTACAGTGGGGGATTGATTAGAAAGAAGACAAAAGTCAGAGTCTATGCTGTTTCCCTGTGATTACTTCTCAGTAAACCAGAGTCCAGTGTCTCATTCAAAGGCAGTGCTCCTTCTCTCAGCCAGTCAATAAACTTCCAAAAAAACAGCTTTAGGGGAGGGAAGGTGGCACCTTTCTCCATTTGATGCAGTACCAGTTATGTCCTTAATGAAACCTAGAAACCGGAGGCTGCCCAGTACCTGGAGCCAGGTGTCCTGTCTGTACAGAATAACTCGCTGCTGGGTTATGAGTAACAGCGTACCCCCTCTTATGGGCCATATTCCCTATGAAATAGGCAGTCAGGTGATGCAGAGAAAAACCCCATTCTGCCAAATGCACCAGTGCCATGCCGTTATTTCTTAATTGCTGGCAAGTGCTGGCCCATTTTGCTGTGTGGAGGCCCATCAGAGGCTGTCACTGAGTGGAGCCTGCTGTCAGTGACTGGCCCACCATCCAGAACGGCTGACTGCTGCCAGCCACTGCCCAGCCCTCGGCAGGTGGCTCCCTTGCAGAACGTGTTGTTCTCCAGCCAACGGATTTGGTGGTGGGCACCCAAGGTCACATTCGCCTGTTTGTCTCTGGAAAACCCAAGGACACTGAAGAGATAAAGTGAGGATATTGGTAATGTACGGGTGTCAAGCTGGAGAAGTTTTTGATGGCAGCCCTTGTAGGTGGAGGTGAATTTTATTAGCAAGGCTGTGACTAGTGACAGCTCCTGCAGCAACGAGCTCTCCTTCTTTCATTTGTGATCTGAAATTTCATTTAGTGTGGGAGTGCTTTAAGCTGTTGTTTAGATTTTTGGCTGAATTTAGATTGAATAGGAAAATTAATGTTGTATGTTTAGAAGGGGTTGTCAGTTCCTTTTTTTTCTCTTTCCAATGAGTGCTGATGCAGCATCTTCAAGAAATTAAGGAGGATTTTAGCTGTGGTTATTGTCCAACTCAAAGCAGCTCAGCCGGCCTGGGATCCAGACAGTCCCTGGTCAGTAATCACATGATCATAGCAACCTGAATGTGTTTGGCAAACCTCTGTGTTGTAATTATTCAGAAACAGTGAGGAAGATATCAACCAATTCATGATTATTTGCTTAAAACACATTTTGTTTAGAACCATCCCAAACTATTCGAGTTTTGGGGTTGGGCAGAATCACTTACAGATCCTTGGATGATTAGTCAGGACACAGGGAATAGAGTGACTTTGACACAGGGCATTTTGTTGTTGTTGTTCTTTCATATCTCTCTTCTAGAGAAAGAAGAAAACGTCCACTCATCATTGTTTGTCTTTCATTCCTTGTAGAATTGCAAATGGACATTCTTCACCTTGCTTCACAGTTTTGCTGTGTTTCCTGAGATGTTTCCTACTCTTTCAATACATTTTCTTCCTCTTCCCTTTCAACATTTTTTTTCTGCCTTTCTTGGCACTTTTTGCTGCACTCATCCTAGATGCTTAGAGATCTCCATGCATTACAATTTGCTTTCAGGAAAGGACCTGGTATGTGCCTGTAAAGTCATGTCACTATGAACATATTCCAAGAGATAGCTGATTTCATAATTGGACAACGGGCTTGAAATATGAAGCATTTCAATCCCCTATGATCCAGTAATAGTAATATTCTAGGGCCTAGAGGGATGTAGGGAAGCTGCCTACTTTCTCTCCATGTAAAACTGGCCCTGAGTTTGTCATCATCATAATTGTAGACATGTGTGTCATATTTTATGGTTTTAAAAGAGCTTTGACATCCATTATCTTCTTTAGTACTCGTTGGACCATCTGTGCATTTTAGCATCCCAGGGTAACTTCAGAGCAGGGCATCTAAGCTCTGTATAGACAGCGCAGCTCTGCTGGGCACAAATCATGGCCACCACTCTGCAGCCAGCGAGCGGGGAGACAGAAGAGCTTACTGCCACCGACTCTTTAAATGGAGCCACAGCCCATTGAACCAAACTGTGGTTCCCGAGAGTAGGCATTATAGAAGGGCTGATGCTCTCCAAAGTGTATCTTTTAATATCACTAGAATTCTTGGAGAGAAACGCTTTCATGCTGGCCATCTTTTAAATGCTGGCCCTGCATCTTCTGATTTGAGTGTAAATGGCTCAAAGCTCTTCAAGGAAAGATTGGTTTATAACTTCTTGGAAAAGTATCACTCCTGATGATTTACCTCTCAGTGGATTTTTTATTTTTCCCAAAGACTCTAGTGAAAGAGGCCTTTATCTCTGGAAGCCAAGTCCCATGAGCCCAGTGCAGATAGAGGCAAGTTCTTTGAGCTTTTTTTTTCCACTGTCCACCCTGACACTTGGGCAATTGTATTAAATCGTTTCCTCTTTCATGGCCTTCTTTGTTCCTCATAGTGGCTTCCCAAAATTGTATGTAGTGAGAGATGGAACTAGGACTGAAATCCATCTCTCCTGGTTTTCCAGGACAGCGTATTTCCAGTTCCTTCTCCATGAGAGGAGGGAGGGGTGGTGAAGTAGCAGAAATGAAGGGCAGCCAGGTCTGCCAGACCTGCTCTTTATATTCTCCAAGTTAGGGAGAGAGGATTTGCCTCCAGACTTCTGGGCACTAACACTGGCATTTTTCATCAGACTCAATTTACTTCAAATGGAAAAGGACGAAGTTTCCAGAAACAAAGGATTTATGTTCCTGGGTCAGTCTCTTCTCTTTGTTTCATGCACAGAGATTTCCCTCCAAGCATTCAGCAGGTCACCCTCACTCCTTCCCTGCGTTGGAGAAAATATAATATCCAAAAAAAGAGGGCACAGAACCCTGAGATAAGGAACAAACTCAACTTTTCTATATAATCACATGGCCAAGTGTCAAGGTGGACAGTGAGAAAGAAAGCTCAAAATATGCCTACAGAACTCAAACCAGACAGGGCCATGGGGGACCCAAGGATGAAATGCCTCAGCCTTATACCTTAGATAGCACATGCGGATAGGAGAGACTTTCTCTGAAAGGTTTTGCTTGTTTGTTTGAAGGTGCCATGAAGGTTCAGAGCTGTCTCTTTAGGGCTTGGACCAAAAAAATCTCCTTTCACACACAATGCTTGACTTGTTCATTACTTAAACTGAATTTCTCCTCATTCCTCTCAGGTTCTCAGATGATATTACTGCAAGTGAGTATTTCTCCAGTTATACCAATGTGTTCTCTACGATGCCCAGGAAGTAAAAGGGAAAGTGGCCATCTGAAGCCACTGGAGAGTAGGGAGAGGAAGGAATAAAGGGTAGGGCTAGTTGTTGGAATTGAGTCTGCAGTGTGGGGAAGGTCCTTTGATAGTTTGACAGCAATTACCACTTGCTGTGGCCCCTCCATGAGACTATTTAACCATGCTCTCATCAGGGAGGGCACTGTCATCTCTCCCTGGAGTACCCACTTTTGGCTTAGGATGCACAAGATTGTCACAGAAGCGGATTTTGCAAGAAGGAATTTCATAAGAATAGTATTTTTGAAAGCAGAGTGTGGAACCCTTGGACTTGCTCTTTGTTTTCACAATGGAGTCTTCCATCCTTCTAGTTCAACTATTGTATATTGTTCTGAAAGTGAAGGGAATGCTCCCTTGGTGCTCCTTGTGTTTGCTGAGATGTGCAGAGAAATAATAACTTCAAAGCCATAGAATCTTGGCACTAGCAGAGACTTAGAAGGGCTCTCTGATTCAACCTCCTAGTGCAGAGCAAAAGTTCTTTCCATAGTAACTTGGAGAAATACTTACTGAGTCTTAGGGACAAAGACCTTTCATTTTTTAAGGTAACCTTCTCCGTTTGGTAGACAAATTACATCCTTAGGAAGTTCATTTATAAAACAAGACAAAAATCTGCTTTCTTGGAATATATACCAGTCAGTCTTAATTCTGGCTTCTAGAACAAAGCAGGACAAACCTAATCTTGTACACAGCAGCACCTGAAGTATTCAGATGTAACCATCCTGTCTCTGTGAGGACGAGAGCCTTCTTCAGGCCAAATATTACTGGCTGTCTTAACTGTTCCTCAAAAGATCTTTTCCAGACGCTACCTCCTCTTGTCTTTGTCACTTTTCTCTGGAAGTTATTCAGTTGATCATTTTCCCTCTTTAAATCTGACTGAAAACTGGATCAAGTACTCTGGAACTAGTCTGACCAATTCACAACAGAATGAAATGTTCATTTCCCTTGATCTGGGGAGCACTTCTAAAAAGTAAACACTGGCTTTCTCTGTAATGTCACATGGCTAGCCTAAAATTTGAGGTTTTAGTTACCCACACACTTAAATTTAGCTTTGTGTGTTTTGTTTTCTTTTATTTCTCTCCTGCCTGCTGCCAAGCTAGGTCTTCTCATTTTGAATTTATATAGTTGATTTTTTTTAGCCTAAATGCTGTACTTGACATGAAAGCCTTGTAAATCTTTTTAGTTTGGTCTTTTGCCGATTTTTCCAACTCTGGAGAACCTTTTGAACTTTGATTCTTTCATCCAATGTATTTTCTATGACTCTCTGCTTCATGCCACTTAAAAATAATTGGATGAGCATGCCTCTGGGTTCTTGTCTCAGGGCCTGACATAAGGGTTGAATAGGACCAGTCCATTTGCAAGAGATTGGAAACGTCGACACTGTGATTTACCTGATGTTTTAGGCCAGTGGTTCTCAAAGTGTGGCCCCTAGATCAACAGCGTCAGCGTCACCTCCAACTTGTGAGAAATGCCAAATTCTCCAGCCTTACCCCAGATCTACTGAATCAGAAATGCTGGTGGGGGGCCAGCAATCTGTGTTTTCAGAAACTGTACAGGTGATTCTGATGCCCGCTCCTGATGCCTGGGAGTCACTGATCTGGAGTATTGGAAAGGCAGGTAAAAAAGAAACTGAAAATATACAGGCATTTGGCACTCCTACGGTCTATTAGAGGACTCAACTTAATGATTTAGCTAGACATCCTAGTAACCCAGGCTGTTGGGTCTGTCACAAGAGGAAATTCCCTCTGGGCTCTATTTGGCTAAATGACAAACCCAGGGGAGGACTTGGGCTTGGTGGGTGCAGAAGCAACAGTCCAGAGAGACTGAAGTGTGATGAGCAGAAGAGTTGCATAAAACAGCAAACATCAGACCGCAGCAAGGGAAAAGAAGGGCAAGACTGGATGGCCCTGAGTGGTTGGGCAATGCTGCATTTCCCAGAAGAAATGTTAAACAATTGAACATTTAACAGAGCAAGGTCTCATACCTGCTTTTCTTTCCCCAGGCCCATCTGCTAAACATCCCGAGCTGGAATTGGAAAGAAGGTGATGACGCAATCTGCCTCGCAGAGTTGAAGTTGGGCTTCATAGCCCAGAGCTGCCTGGCTCAAGGCCTCTCCACCATGCTTGCCAACCTCTTCTCCATGAGGTCATTCATAAAGGTAACGTCTCGTCTTATTAGAGCACATTAGCTCGGGATTCCATTTGTCGTGGGGTTGAGTAGAGAGCACAGCTTAAACTCAAAACAGATCGACGGGCTCTAACCACTTGGGTTAAGGAGAAATTCCTTGTTACGGATTTGGGCATGAAGCCAACTTCTTTCAAAATTATGTTTTTATTTTTATTTGGCACATCCACGGCCATTAAATGATTGTTCAAAGCACAATCCCCTCTTTTTTTAGATAAACCACATGTTTATCTATCAACAAAGCCTCCGCTGTTAAAACAAAAATATGATTTATATACATTCCATATGGCAACAGAGCGCCTAAAGAAAAGAATTATCATTTTGCTCTTTTATATCAAGTGGCTGGTGGACCTCTCACTGTGTGGATAAATGCAGACCATGTGTTTGTGCTGAAGCCCAAACCCCAACAGCATAATTCATTTATTTATTTCTGCACAATCAAGGAGGCCAGCAGGACTGACATGCCGCGGTTGTTTGAATGGAGAGCGAAACAATGTACTGAGTCCTCGGCAGCAGTGCCCTTTGCACCGAGAGACAGGCGGTCTGGATGTGTTCATGTCCTTGTCAGAGCTGGCTGGACAGACACTCCAGAGTCCCCAAGGTGGCCATACCTGCTGCACCAGTGCAGGCAAGGAGAGAAAAAAAACCGACTCTGTCCTCCCAGGGTGGGCCAGGTTAGGATTGTGTTTCCAGAGCCTTGCATTGATCGCCCAGCCACTAGCAAGGGGGCTTCTGGAGCCTGGGATAACAGTCACTCCAGTCCTCATCCTTAGACTGTTCTTAGATTAGGCAGTCAAGGTGACAAACCCGTGTGTAAAACGGGTCTAGCTTGAGCCTTTCTGTTATGGCATGGGAGGCAGTTAGCTCTGGATCTGGGCTTACATCTTGCCTCTTACTATGTAAGGAGCAGAATTAATAGCTGGCAAGGTGGGAAATTACATCCTTAGAAAGTTCATGAGTCAGCACGAGGTCCATAAAGGAGGCTGGAAGCTCTGCAATCAAAGGTATGAGACCTCCTGCCTTTTGCTGTCATGTGGCTACCTAATTGACTGCCAAGTTCCTTGATGGTTTTGAGGAAATGGCCTAGGTTGCAATAAGAGGGATGGGTGGGAAGCATGAGGATACAGATGCATTGGTGCTCACCTTGGGCACCTATGAGTGATATTATTTAGAGCAGGAGTTTTTCTAAGTCCTTATCCTTCGTACCTGCCAAATCGGCATTATGTAGCCAACTGATAGTTAACATTGCTCCACATAAAGGAACAAATTGCTTTGGAGCTCCTTCAATCACTTTAGCAACACTGATAGCAAGGGATACCTTGATTTAAAAAATCCTCCTATGCTCATTATGCAGCCAAAGGTCTCAGCTCAGCAGAACTCTGAGCTCAGATCCAGCTTACAAATAAAGATGTTGCATTCCTTTAGGTATCTTCTTTAATCCAGGCTGCTCTCATCCTGCATGGGTGGAACTGAATGGAGGTGGCAGGGAGGTCTGTGTAGCTGTGTTTAGAGACGAGACCCTGAAGCCAGATGTAGCCACGTGTCTCCCAGGGATCTTATGTTCAACATGAAAAGCCCAGACTCAGGATAAAGGACTGTCACCACGAGAACTTCTCTGGCTCTTTCAATCAAGCTCTGGTGGTTTTCTTCCAGGGCATGGCCCATGGGACCAAGCACATGGTGTGTGGAGCTGTGCTCTGCTTCCTCGTGTTGATGTAACATGGGCTTTGGCAGGGCCCCACCACAGATGGGGCCCCTTGACATGCGTATGTTTTGATTTTGTGGTGCCTGCATGGTAACTAGAGCTGTCTGTCAAGGAAATTAATAAAATGGATGTGATGCTGATTCTTCAGTGCTATTAGCAGCAGGGAAAACCTCTGCCCAACCTTCCTCCAGACCCTGATGGGCCTCACCTCTAAAGCCAAGGATGTCCGCTCCAGCTCAGCTAATCCCATTGCCAAGTTCCTATTTAGGAAGAGCTTGTGGGAAAGGCTGGGCCTGGCCCTGGTGTAACTGAAAACACATTTTCCTCTGGGGGTTATGTTACCACATTATTTCTGTATAAGGCCAATTCCCGCCTGTTTGGAAGTAGCTCTCTGAATATGACCTTTTGACACTGAGATGGTCTTTGTGTTGGAATTGGCTAAGGTACATGACCTGGAAATCACAAGCCTTCCCCTCATATATTTTTCTCAGCTAAAATAGAGATGCCTTATTCACATGCTCCCCATTCTACATTGCTATCTTTGTGTACTTACCTCCAAATCCCAGATCTTCGTCTCCTTTAGGTCATGGTGAACACCATAATGGCACCCTCCTTGGCATGTTTTATGTATTATCTCCCATTCCAGGGATCACAAAGCCCTCACTTACTTTTGTTGGGGGTGGGGGGTAGGTGGAAAAGTAAACCTACAAATGGATTATTGTTTACAGAAATTGCTTCCTTCTCCAATGACCTCCGTATCCTATGACGGAGAATTCATCAATATTTCCATGGGGACAAGCAGGCCTATTAGGATGGACAAAGAAGGGGTGAGGCTTTGGCAGCACTTGATCCTTTGGGAACAATTAGCATTTCTGGAAGCCAAGGTAAAGTGTTAGCTCACCCTCTCCCTTCCCCTAGGCCGGTCGTGTCTGTTTTTTGGTGCGGCAGAACCCCTGTTAAAATAAGAGAAACAAGACTGTAACAGCAAAGATGTGGCACAGGCAGAAGCACAGTGACTATCCACTGGGCTTTTTAATTTTATTTTAATTTTTTGTAGAGACCAGTCTCCCTGTGTTGTCTAGGTTGGTCTCAAACTCCTGGGTTCAAGCAATCCTCCTGCCTCAGCCTCCCAAAGTGCTGGGATTATATAGGTGTGAGCCACTTCCACTGGGCATTTTATCATGCATGAGACCAAAATGCCAAGACTGAAAGTGGGGGTGATATGTTTAATAAAAGAAAGAGGGATTACTGGCCAGGTGTGTTGGCCCACACCTGTAATATAAGCACTTTGGGAGGCCAAGGCAGGTGGATCACCTGAGGTCAGGAGTTCGAGACCAGCCTGGCCAACATGGTGAAATCCCTTTTCTACTAAAAATACAAAAATTAGCTGGGCCTGGTGGCGCATGCCTGTAGTCCCAGCTACTCAAGAAGCTGAAGCCGGGGAATTGCTTGAACCCAGGAGGCGGAGGTCGCAGTGAGCCAAGATCATGCCATTGCACTCCAGCCTGGGCAACAGAGAAAGAAGACCCCGTCTCCAAAAAAGAAAGAAAAAGAAAGAGGGACTACTGGCATACAGGAATTACAAAAGAGGCCCAGCCTGGAGGTACCAAGAAATATGGAGCAATGCTTCTTTATCTCTCCATCAATGCCACTCTCAAAGATACCAACCTTAGGACCCTAAGTCTTTGTCCCTGAAAACCTCACTCCTATGTGGATATATCTCTGAATTGATCTAAACTTTTTAGGAATCTTTTTTATATTTTATATACCCCCATATCTTTGGGGGTAATGAATTTCTTAACTTTGCTAACTACTGCTAAATATTTTTTTTCTGGCTATTTGTCCTTAATTTACTCCATTTAAACTTCAAGGCATGCCCTCTACAGCTTCTGCAGTGCTAGGATTTAACAAATCTTATGCTAATTTTATATCTAATACCTTTAGGAAAGAGACTCAAGCTGGCAATCCAGGGATCCTCCAGCTCAGCAGCTGCTGTTAAGGACAGGTTAAGCATTTTGTGCAATAGGATCTTATTTGAACCCTTGAGTTCCTTTAAGGAGTTCGCACGAACATCCTGGTGCCTGTGACTTATCTGCATTCACATCATCAGCCAGCCCTGGAACATGCTGTTCATTTGCCACTGTCTGATCTCCTACTCCTAGCCTGTCAGGTTCTAGTGAGACTCTCCCTGCTGTCTTCTGTAAAGACCCAGGCAATGAACTTACTTAGCCTATCTGCTATTGCCTCAGCCCTGAATAAGTGGCCACACTTACTCTCTACTTGGCTTCCTCACTTGGATGTAATTTAAGATCCATTGATTTGTTTTTGTTTTTGTTTTTGAGTCTTACTATGCATACTTAGCTTCTCTTCAGCGTATGAGGTTTCAAGTTGGGGCATGGCCTGCCATCTTCATGAATTGTGCTATCATTCTTACTAGGATTAGCTGTCTTTGCACATGACAAATTGTGTGTGTGTGTGTGTGTGTGTGTGTGTGTGTGTGTGTGTGTGTGTGTTTAGAGGGTGATTAACTCTTAAAATTGTTTTTCAATGTACATTGGGACTTCCAATGTAGCACATTTAAATAGTTCTCAGAATTGCCAACTATTTGAAGTCTGTTAATCTATCATTTTATACACACACACACACACACACACACACACACACACAAAACCTGGAACACAGTATGCTCTCCATGATTATTTCTTTGTTGAATAAATCAGTTTTGAGAATGAAGAAAATATGTTATGTATTTCTAGTGTTGTTTTTTTTTCCCTATGCCGCAAGATTTGGAATTTGCGGGTGAAATGTTACTTAATATCGATAACAATACACGCTTCTCTGTCATGTTTTCTGTTTCTGAATGAGAATGCACTAGAGAAATCAGAAGCATGCTATTCAGATTGTATCTTGGCTGAAGTGGATATGGCTGGACACACAAAGTTTTTGTCCTAGCACTAACCATAGCCAAGGGAATCATTTAAATATTTTTAGTCTGGGTTATGTTTATGTGTATATGTGTGCTTGTACATATGTATGTATAGAATTAGTCTGGTTTAGCAGCTAAAAATGTAAATCAAGGACTTTTAATAATAGCTAAAAAATACTGATTCCCATGTGCTAAATCCCGTATTAAGTGCTTTAGCTGCAATATCACATTTAATTCTCACAATGACCATACCCAAACTTGTCACTATTATTATCCTCCTTTTACAGTGGCAGGCACTATGGGTTAAGAGAATTTCAACAACCTGCATGCGGATGTGTGATTTGGAATTCACAAACTCAGGTGTTCAAACCCAAGCAAACTGGTTCCAGGTTTGCCCTTGAGTATACTGAAAGGAAATGTGAGAAACGATAAGGGAAAACTTTAGCTAGTGCCATCATCTTAGCACAAATCTTAGCTTTCTATAGTTCATTCTATGTGAACTATTGATGCAATAGAGATGCCCTGGGGACCTACCATGTTCCAGACAGTGCGCTAATCCCATCAGCATCCTTAGGTCTAGGAAGCTCTGGTAAGCTTCAGAAAGCTTCTGTTCTGACTTGGATGTATGGGCACATGTTTGCATAGCTCCATTCTGTGCATCTTCTTTACCTTTCTGTCTGCCCAGCTCTGCAAAAGCAGAGGCCACTGCATCATAACAGTTACCCTAGGCTGGGCTGAGTCAGGGTAAGGAATGAACTAGGCTCCCAAGAAGGGATTGACACACACTGCTGTTTTGAGGAGGTGAAACTAATTGGAGTCTAAACCAAGTGGAGCTGAAGGGCTGGGGATGACTTAGGTAGGTGCTTCTGGGACAAAGTAAGTATATTAGGGTTCTCTACAGAAACAGAGCAATGGTGTCTCTGTGTGTGTGTGTGCACACACATGCGTGAGAGAGAGAGAGAGAGATGTTGATTATAAAGAATTGGCCCACAGGGTTATAGTGGCTGGGAAATCCCAAGCTCTATAAACTGGAGACCCAGGAAAGAAGATGGTATAGTCTCTGTCTGAGTCTGAAAATCTGAGAACCAGCAAAGTCAATGGTATAAGTCTAGATCTGAAGGCAGGAGGAGACTGATGTCCCAGCTTAAGACTGACCATCAGGCAGAGGGAGGAAATTCTCCCTTACTCCTCCTTTTTATTCTATTCAGGCCTTCAGTGGGTTAGATGAAGCCCACCCACATGGGTTGGGTTGAGGGTTGTTGGGGGAGCAATCTGCTTTACTCACTCCACAAATTCAAATGTTAATCTCATGCAGAAACACCCTCCACCCTCAAAGACACACCCAGAATAATGTTTAGCCAAATATCTGGGTACACTGTGACCCAGTCAAGTTAACATTAATCATCACAGCAAGCAATTCTTATTGTCTGGTGGGTGTAAGCTCTGCTAACCAGGTTGAAGGAGGCATACCAGAAGCAGAACTCAACCTTGCGTGGCAGGGTTGGAGTTGACAAGAGCTCTGAAATGGGGCCAGGGCTGCAACTGATAAGGCTGGGATTGAGGTGGCTCTCTACTTAGGAAAGAACAACTAGTGGTACCAGAGTAGAGAGTTTGTCTGGCAAAGTAAACCCACATGGTGGAAATTAGATAGGGAGATGCAAGATGTTGCTTACTCTATTACCCATGGACAATGTCACCCTAACCACAGATGGCATTATGACAGCAGACTTCTGCACATATTCCTCACCAGTGGAGAGCAGCTCCCAATACAATTATACTCACTTCCTTGATAATCTCAATTATTCTCATTGCTTTTAGATACATAGATGACTTCCATATTTATATTTCCATGAAGAACCTCTCCCCTGAACCCGGCGTCACCGATTCAACTGCTGCTCAACACCTACATTTGAATACCCCATCTCCTCTCAGACTTACCATTCCACAATCGAATTCCTTTTCTTTGTCCACAAACCTGTTCTTTGCTCATTTTACTATTGGCAATGCCATCCTTCCCATGGCTGAAACTAAAAACTCTGGAGTCACCCTTGACTCATTTTTAAAAATTTATTTATTTGCCCTCAAACACCACATTCAATACAGCAGGAAATCCTCTTGGTTCAAGTTTCAAAATATTCCCAGAATCGGAGCACTTCTCACCACCTGCACTCCTACTACTAGCTCCAAACCACCATCATGTCTCTCCTAGAATATTACACCAGCCTCCTAACTGGTCTGTCTGCTCTGCCCTTACCACCCCACCTCCAATCTATCTTCAACAAAGCATCCAGAACAACCTTCTCAAGCATGAATCAGATCCTGTCACTCTTCTGCATAAGTCTCTCCATGGGGTCCCATCTCATCTGAATAAAGTCCCTACAATGGCCTGCAGGTCCTAAGCAGTCAGGTCCCTGGAACCTCATTGGCTTAAGTCCTGAGTGTTCTCCTGCTTCTTATGTTAGCCACACTCCCTTGGGCTGGTCTAGGGATTTTTACTTCTTGTTCCCTCTGGCTGGATATTCCTTCCCTGAGCAGCTGCTTGGCTCCCCTCTGTCCAACTCTTGTTGTCTTTGCTTAATATTAATTTCTCAGTTGAGTCTTTCCTCTAAGGCATTAGAACTGCATTTTTAAAAGGGATTAAAAATGAATTTTTTATTGAAATATAATAAAAGTGTGCATGTAATAAATGTACAACCTGTTAAATACTTATACCCTCAGTGCTCATGTAACCAGGACCTAGATTAACAAAGAGTACATTACAAATATCCCAGAACCCCCTGTTTTTTTTTAAATAAGTCAGGTGATACTACATGATCGGGTCTGTTTCTGGATTCTCTTGGGAGAATTGACATCTCCACAATACTGAGTTCTCCAATCTATGAATATGGTATATTTCTTATAAAGGGATACTTTATGATTCAACAACTTCCCTGGCAAATACAGGAAAATCAGGAAGAAAGTAACTAAGCTCATACAAGTTCTCTGGGGCTTGTGAGGGTCTCTAGAGAGAGTAGATGTCCCACTTCATATTCTCTAGGAAGTATACAGCTGTTCTTCTCAGCTTCATTGGGGGATGAAGTTTCCATGTGGAAAAAACAGAATTGCATTTTAGGAATCTGCACCCCCTCCCCCTCCACACACCATACATCCACATCCTTATTTACTCTCTTGGCTTTGTTTTTTCCCGTGGCACTCTTTGGTGTTTATTGCCTCTTTTCCCTGGGACAAGGTGAGCACTGTGAAGATGGGGCTACTTGCTGAATCCTCAGTGCCTAGAACAGCGCCTGACTCATAATAGCTACTCAATACGTGTTTGTGGAGTAAATGAATGCATCGGTTGGCCTCAGCCTAGCCTGACCAGCCTGTATTACAGACAGCTGGGTGGGACCAGGACCAGCGGGGACTTGTAATTTGGTGTGATTTTGGTGCAGAAAACTTCTTTCTTTGCTACTGTATATGATTCCCTTGCCAAATTAAAGAGCTTTGATTCAATGTAGAAACATGAAATGCAAAGCTCTTTAATCCTTGACAAGGATTGTGCAGAGGCTGGTTAGATTTGGTTATAAAGCTCTTCAACTGCCAGAAAATCCAGTCAGTGTGTTGTTTAAGTTCACAAATCAAAATAAACACCCATGAATTGAAATGAATTTGCTAAACCCCAGTATCCTATTTGGGTCAACGTCACTGTGTACCCGCTTTTCACCCTACTTAGATCCCATTAGATCAGAGGCTTCCATGCAGGATGCTGCCTCCCGCAGTGCCACTCAGTCTGACCAAGCCCACTAATGCCCACCTGAAAGTAGAGTAACTTCTGTGAAAACTATTTCTAATAAAGAGAGAAGTAATCCATGAGCTATTAACAGGGATTCATTTCCCCTATGGCCCTGGTAATTTCTAGAACATTGAATTAAAGCGTTCTCAGACCTTTACAAATTCTCAAGGCAAACATTATTAGCAAAAAGAAGCCCATACAGCATGTTAGAAGATAGATTGCCAGAAAATGTCAACGGATCTTCTGAATAAAATAAAAGAAGTTGAAACTCCTTTCCCCATCTTCTTCCCTTCTCCCTCCTTCCCCCAACATGATTAGAAAGTCATTTCATGTGTCTTATATGTTTGGTGAATCAAAAGCAAATGTACATGATTGATGGTGACAGGGAACACATTTAACTCATTATTCTTTACTTTGCAGCAAAATGATTTGTGTAAACTGTCTGCCTAGCATTAAAGGTAAAGCAAACTTAGAAACCCCAAAATGTTATATTTTCATCTAATATTTTCCTCTTGGTTTTATAGCTGTAATCACATATGGATTCTTTTATATGGGTCTTGGCATGGACTGAACAAAGAGAAAGGCAGCACAGAAAGATTACATAACATATACACAGAGTCCGGTGCCCAGCGAGGATGGGGCCCGAGAAGCGGCAATGGTCAGGACTTAATGCGAAAATCCAGTAGAAGCTGACACTCACCCTGGCCCTTCTCGGCTGGCAGGATATAGTCACTGATGTGAAATAAGAGCCATCTTATTGAACAAGCCTCTGGCCAAGCATCAGTCTGAGCTCTTTCAGAGATAATTGGCCTTTAATTAATTGCATGCATTCCTGAGTCCACCTGGGTATCCACAGACTGGGTCTACTCTGCCTCCCCACTCTTCCAAATTTTTGACTTTGGTTTTTTGAGTGCCATCCACTGTTAGTGATTGTTACATGAAAATCGCAAAGTCCTATGTAAGCCATAAGGAATAAAATATCAGATTTCCTTAAGTCTATTGGTTGTCGTTGCCCTAAGGTGATTTTAAGTGTGAATCTGTGTCCAGAACAATGATGAGGAATTTGGAACTTTGAGGCAACTATTCTACACATCTAGGGGTGCAAAACAAGGAAGCACCATTGATTTGATACCGTGGGTATTCTGTTAAGAACTTTGGAATTATAGTAATACTTTACGTTTGCACAGCACTTTTCAGTTTACGTGATATACCTTTTTTTTTTGAGACGGAGATTTCGCTGTCTCACCCAGGCTGGAGTGCGGTGGTGCAGTCTCGGCTCACTGCAACCTCCGCCCACCTCTCCCCCAGCAACCCAGCCGCTGCAGCCCCCAGGTTCAAGTGATTCTGCTGCCTCAGTCTCCCAAGTAGCTGGGACTGCAGGCACGAGCCACCACACCCGGCTAATTTTTGTATTTTTAGTAGAGACGGGGTTTCACCATGTTGCCCAGGCTGGTCTCAAACTCCTGACCTCAAGTGATGTGCCCACCTCAGCCTCCCAAAGTGCTGGGATTACAGCATGAGCCACCGTGCCTGGCTGAGATATACATTTTCACTTAAATTCTTTATTTGACCAGATACACAAGGAAACCAGATACATATGGAAAACATGCCAAATGCAAAGAACCTAATGTCTCTGACCTTTCTTCAGTTGTAGAATAGTAAGCCACAGGACCCATCACCATAGCTCTTTGGGAGGAGGAAATCGGAAGATGACTTCTGGTTGCATGGCTGGTTGGGGAATGGTAGAGCTAGGGCCAGAACGCTACAACATCATTGGCTTCTCAGCTCAGCGCTTTCCCCACTGTTACACATTGCTTCTCCAAGAGAAATGTCTTGAATGTAAACACTGCTTTGTTTTATATTCAAATCAATAGCTTCTAAGAATAGAAACCACTTTGCAACATTTGTAAAATGAGCTTATCCTAGGTTTCCCCTCAACCATGAAAAACTATAAAAATTAAGCTCTTTTCCAAGGTAGGAGATACATATGTCTGCCCCATTCCCTTGGTGGTAGCTTAGTCTGGAAAAGACCCAGGCAAGTGCTGTCTTGTCTAGACCATAATGCCTTGTAGTGGGAGGATGTATTGCTCAAGCCAAGGGACGCAACTGAGTACAGAAGGGAGATGATGACTGGTTTGTTGAGGGACATGTAAGAAAGCTATAAAGTTTAGTCTCAACCATTTGAAAGAAGGAAGCAGTAGGTTACAGTGCAGTATGATAGACTTCCCATGTGTGAAATGTGTCTGTAAAGGGGAGTGAGATCCGGACGGGTTAGGTAGTGCTAATAAGATGAAGAAAGAAAAGTATCTTGGAGAAAAAAATATAGTTAATCCTAATGTTTACAGACACCTTCTGATCATAACAAAAATATTCAAGTAACTCAAGCAATTCGAGTGGAGGTGTTGGGGCTTTGGATTGATAAGTCCTCAAGGTTATTAGCAGAGTAATCCATTTGCATTATAGGAAAATGCTGAAGGTACATGATTCCAGTAAGATTTGGAAATGATTATAGTTTTCCAGAAGTGTTTTTCATTTTATTTTTTAAATTAACATACAGTAAAGTTGATTTTGTGTATGTGTAGTCATGCAACCACCACCACAATCAGGATACAGGATAGTTTCCATACCCCCAAATTCCCTCATGCTGTACAGTCACACCCTCCTGTCACTCCTAGGCCCTGGCAACCACTGATCTATTCTCTGTCATTACAGTTTTGTCTTTTCAAGTCTGTCATGTAAAGGCATCATGGAGCATGTAACCTTTTGAGATTGGCTTTTTTCATTTAGCATAGTTCCCTTGACATCCATCCAGGTTGTTGCATGTATCAGTATTCCATCCTTTCTGTTGATGAATAGTATGACATCTTATATGCAGGTACCAGTTTGTTTATCCATTCATCCATTGGACACCATTTAGTTTTCCTCCAGTTGGGGCGATCATGAATACAGTCGATATAAACATTTACATGGAAGTTTGTGTGGATATAAGTTTTAATTTCTCTAGGGTAAGTATCTCGAATTAGGATTGCTGGATTATAGGGTAAGTTTATATTTAACTTTAAAAGAAACTGCCAAAGTGTTTTCCAGAAGGACTGTACCATTTATCATTCCCATCAGCAAGCAATGCAGGAGTTTCTGTAGCTCCGCATCCTTATCATCACTTGGCATTGTCAATACTTTTTATTTTAAACAGTCTAGTAGGTGGGCAGTGTGGTATCTCATTGTGGTTTTCACGTGTATTTCCCTACTGATGTTGAACACCTTCCCAGTGGTTATTTGTCATCTGTATATGCTTTTTGGTGAAGTGCTGGGTCCATTTTAATTGAGTTGTTTCTTTGAATTTGTTTTTTACTGTTTAAGAATTCTTTATATATTTTGGATCTCGTTGGATATACAATTTGTAAATATTTGCCCCTAATCTGTAGCTTGTGTTTTCATTTTCTTAACTTAAACTTTCTTTCCTGGAAAGAAGTTTTTAAGTTGAAATATTTGGAGTTTTTCTTAAAAGGTTAAACATTGAGTTACCATATGACTCAGAAATACCACTCCTAGATATCTACCCAAGATAAATGAAACTCTATGTATTAGTTTCCTATGGCTACTGCAATAAATTACTACAAACCTAGTTGCTGTAAATATCACAAGTTTTTTTCCTTCCTTTTCTGGAGGCCAAAACTTGGAAACTGAGTTTCAGTGGAGTTAGAGTCAACATGGTGGCGGGGCTGGTTCCTTCTGGGGGCTCTAGAGGAGAATCTGTTTCCTTGCATTTTCTAGCTTCTGGAGGCTGACCACATTCCTTGGCTCTTGTCCCTGTCATCGCATCACTCCAACATTGTGCTTCCATTGTCACATCTCCTATTTCTTCTTCTTTAGCCAAACCTCCTCTAAAAAGACAATAGAGATTACATTTAGAGCCCACTTAGATAACCTTCCTATCACAAGATCGTTAATCACTTCTGCAAAAATCTACATTCATCCCACATGCAAAATACATTCACCTCATTCCCCCATCCCCAAAAGTCTCAACCCTGCAAAACAATTCAAGTCCAAAATCAGAGCTGAAGATCAGCAACTCACATGTCCCAATGTCATCATCTAATCAGTTATGGGTGAGACTTTGGGTGTGATCAATCCTGGGACAAAATTCTTCTCCATTTTTGGATCTGTGAAACTAGAAAACAAGTACTCTGCACCCCAAATGCAATGGCAGGACAGCCATAGGATAATGGCTATAGACAGTGCCATTCCAAAAGGGAGAATATGGAAGGATGAAAGGAGGTACCGGAACCAAACAACTTCAGATTCCAATATGGCAAACTCCATTGAGCTTCAAGGTCTAGGAACAATCTTCTGTTGCTTAAAATGGGCATTACAAAGTTTGAGTCCTCCAAATGTATTCTTTTTCAAAATTGCTTTGGCTATTCTAGTGTCCTTGTCTTTCCATATATACTTTAAAATCAGCTTGCCTATACCTAAAAAAAATTCCTCCTGTGTTTTGATTGGAATTGTATTAAACCTATAGACCAATTTGGGGGAGCACTGACATCTTTACTATGTCGTATCTTCCAGTCCATCAATTTGGTCTCTTCATTTATTTAGGTCATCTTTAACTTGTTTTACCCAGTGTTTTATAGTTTTCAGCATCAAGATTCTGTACATGTTTTGTTAGATTTATATGTAAGTTTTACATTTTTGGAGCTATTATAAATGACATCTTAAAAAAATTGGGTTCCAATTGTTCATTGGTGGTATGTAGAAATATACATTATGTTTCTGTATTGACCTTGTACCTGGCAATCATATTGTACCGGCTAGCACTTCTTGCAGAATATTGAATAGAGGGAGTGGGAGTAGACATCTTTTCTTTGTCACCTGTCTTCAAGGGAAAACATTCATTTCTTTCACCATTAAGTATGATATGAACTATAGATGTTTTGTAGATACCTTTCTTTTGAGGTTGAGGGAGTTCCTTCCCATTTCTATTTTGGTGAGAGTTTTATTTTTTTCAATCATGAATGGAGGTTGAATTTTGCTAAATGCTTTCCTGCATCAATGTATAGGATCATGTAGTTTTTCTTCTTTAGACTGTTAATATGGTAAATTACATTGAATGATTATACAATATTGAACCAGCCACCATACATTCCTGGGAGAGACCCTAGTTAGTGTGATTATTTCTTATACATGTTGGTGGATTTGGTTTGTTAATATTTTTATGAAGAATTTGTGTGTGTTTGTTTTTTGGTGTATATTAGTTTGTACGTTTCTTAGACTGTCTTTGATTTTAGTGTCAGGTAATGTTGGCTTTATAAAATGAGTTGGAAATCTTTCCCTTCCTTCTGTTTTCTGGGAGAAATTGTGTAGAATTGGTGATTTTTTTTTCTTTAAATATTTAGTAGTATTTGGCAGTGAAATACTACTAGGTTTGGGCCTAGATTTTTTTCTTTTCTGAAAGTTTTTAAATACAAATTCAATGTCTTCAATGGTTATAGGACTATTCAGGTTAAATAGTTAATCTTGGGTGAGTTGTGACAATTCAAAGTTTTTGAAAAATTGGTCTAATTTATCTGAGTTTTTCAATTTATGTATGTAGAGTTATTCATAGTATCCCATTATTGTCCTTTTAATGTGGGCAGTGATAACCACTCTTTCATTCTTGATTTTGTTATTTGTGTCTTCTCTCTTATTTGTCACTCTTACTAGATATAAAGTTTGCTGATCTTTGTTAAATAATCGGCTTTGGTTTTATTATTTCCTGTATTTTTTGTTTGTTTGTTTCCTTTCTGCTTGCTTTAGATTTACTTTGCTCCTCTTCTCTAGTTTCTTCTTAAGATGAAGCTTAGATTTTGGATTTGAGACTCTTCTTTTTTGGTGTAAACATTTTGTGCTATATATTTCTTCCTGGTCCCTGCTTTAGCTGCATTCCACAAATTTTGATATGTTGTGTTTTCATTTTTGTTCAGTTAACAATATTTTCTAATTTCACATGAAACTTCTTTGATCCATGAATTATTTAGAAGTGTGTTGCCTAATTTCCAAGTATTTGAAGATATTCCTCTTATCTTTCTATTATTGATTTGTAGTCTGATTCCATTATGGTTAAGAACCTACTTGGCATGATTTCAATTCTTTTAAATTTGTTAAGGTGCATTTTATGGCCCAGAATGTAATCTGTCTTGGTGAATGTTCCAGGTGAGCTTAAAAAGAATGTATATTCTGCTATTGTTGGGCAGAGTGTTCTATAAATGTCAATTATTACTAGTCGGCTAATGGTGTTGTTCATTTCTTCTATACCCTTGCTGATTTCCTGTCTGCTAGTTCTGCATCTTACTACGAGAAGGATGCTGAAGTCTCCAATTATAACTGTGGATTTGTCTACTTTAGTTCCGTCAGGTTTTGCTTTGTGTGTGTTTGAAAGTCTGTTAAGTGCATATACTTTAGATTGTTACGTTTTCTTGGTGAATTGACCTTTTTATCATTATATATTATCCCTATATCCTTGTAATTTTCTTTGTTCTGAAGTCTACTTTATCTGATATTAATATAGCCACTCAAGCTTTCTTTTTTGATTGGTGTTTTCATGGAAAAAAGTATATCTTTTCTCCTCTTTTTTGTTTGAACCAAACCTATCTTTAAAACTTAAGTGATCTTCTTATAGACAGTTTATAGTCGGGTGATTTTTTAAAAATCGATTCTTTGAATCTCTCTTTCTTAATTGGTTGCATTAGACAATTTATCTATAATATTATTATTTATATGTTTGGATTTAGGCCTAATATTTTATTTGCTTTCTGTTTGTTTCCTGTTTCAGTTTTGAAAATTAGACTAATTTTTCAAAAACTTTGAACTCTCTTCTTTCTTCTTTTGAATCATTTTGAACATTTTCAGAATTTTTTTTGGTCTGTGGTATTTCTTATACTTCTTTATATAGTTTTTAAAAAATTGATTGCTCATGGGTTTGTAATGTACATACTTAACTTTTTAAGTCTACTTGGATTCCATGATTTGCCTCTTTAAGTGAAATGTAGAACCCTTACCAAACTATAGGTTTCTTTACCCTCCCCATTTTATGTTATAGTTGTATTATGTATTACAGCTGTTGCAAACTATATCAGACAATGTTATAATTTTTGCTTTTATCTATTTTAAAGAATTCAAGAGAAGTATAGTCTATTATATTATTCTAATATTTATTAATGTTGTTGTTTTCTCTTTGTTTCCTTCCTTTTAGTATCATTCCTGTTCTGTTTGTCCAACTTATGTTAGCAGTTCCTTCAGAGCCATGCTCTGGCAACAAACACTGTTTTCTGTCATCTGAAAATATCTTTATTTCACTTTCATTACTTAGGGACATTTTGGTGGATATAGAATTCAGGGTTCAACATTTTAAAAGTGTTGTTCTACTTTCTTCTTGCCTCCATTGTTTCTGATGAGAAATCCATAGTCATTTGAATTGTGGTTACCTATAAGTAATGAGTCATTTTTCTCCGATTGCCTTCTAGATTTTCTCTTTGTCTTTAGTTTTCTGTTGTTTGCTTACAATGTGTCTAGGCATTATTCTTTTGGGTTTATCCTGTTGGAGTTCATTGAGATTCTTCAACTGCTAGGTTTGTCTCTGGGGAAGTTAAAGAAGTTTTCACTTATTGTTTCCTCAAAAAAATTTTTTTTTCCTGCACCATATTATTTCTGCTTTCCTTCTAGGATTCCTATGATGCAAATGCTAAATCTTTTTCTGATGTATCAGAGGACCCTGAGGCTCTGTGTGAAACTTTTCAATACTTTTTTCTCTCTGTTGTTCAAATTGCACAATTTATATTGACCTAGCTTCAAGTTCATTGACTCTTCCCTCCATCATCTTTGCTCTGCTGTTGAGCCCATTCAGTGAATGTTTTAGTTATTGTATTTTTTAATTGTAGTATTTCCATTTGATTTTTAAAATTTTGATTTTTAAATTATGCATCCCGTCTTTTACTTCTTTACAAATGTGTTCTTTCTTAGTTATCGGGAAATAGTAGTTGCTTTAAGGTTTTTGTCAGATTATTCCAACATCTGTGTCATCTAGGCATTGGCATCTGCTGATTGTCTTTTTCCATGCAAGTTGAGATTTTCCTGGTTACTCTTATGGCAAGTAATTTTTTATTGTGTCTTGGATATTTTAATTTTTTTATTATGAAACTCTGATTCTTGTTTAAATTTTGTAAGAATGTTGATAATTTTATTTTGGAAGGTAATGACCTGCTTTATTTTATTTTACTTTATTATTATTATTGTTATTATTATTATTATTTGAGATGGAGTCTCACTCTGTCACCCAAGCTGGAGTGCAGTGGTGCAATCTCAGCTCACTACAACTTCTGCCTTCTGGGTTCAAGCAATTTTCCTGCCTCAGCCTCCCAAGTAGCTGGGATTACAGGTGCCCACCACCACGCCTGGCTAATTTTTGTATTTTTAGTAGAAACAGGGTTTTGCCATGTTGGCCAGGCTGGTCTTGAACTCTTGGCTTCAGGTGATCCACTCGCCTTGGCTTCCCAAATACTGGAATTACAGACACGAGGCACTGCGCCCGGCCTGATCGGCTTGATTTTAGGCTACAGGTTCTTATGGGGCTTCTATGGGTTGTGACTTCAATGTTAGTTGAGTTTTCAAAGCGTTGGCAGTGCTATTTGGATCTGTCCAATATTGCCCTCAGACTGGGTGGTGGTCTATATTGTAGTTTAGTTCTTAGAATCTAAATGTGCTGTGTAGGGTCAGTTTCATCCATGCACAGCTTAGCGTGAGCCCCAGAGTTTATAAACAATTTAGTGACTACTTCCCCATGTCCTCTTTCTATGTGATCTCTGCAATATTTTCAGGTTCCCTGGGGTCTTCCTTTTTGATCTTTTGATGGAAGGGCTGCTGAGGCTTTAGTTATCTGGCTTTCTGTATACTTTCTGTGATTGTGTTCACATCTGGGGCCAACTGGTAGAAGGGCAGAGAGAGACAAAAAGCAATAGGGTTTGGTTTTCATTCTCTCAGGACCATAGGTTTTTTGGGCAGAGAGGAAAATTCTCCTATCTCCTTTAATCTTTTTCTGGCTTGCATTGTCACCACTGCTACTGCCACTACTAGATGGCTTGGTGTTGGGGCACAGGAGGAGAGAAAAAGAAAGGAAGAAAGGAAAGAAGAAAGAGAGGAAGGAAGAGAGGGAGGAAGGAATGGATGGAGGGAGGGAGGGAGGGAAAAACAGTGATTTCCTCCATTTTTTCTAAGAGTTACCTCGCATTAGTTAGTTCTACTATGAGGCTTCTCCTGGAGGTTTTTTGTCCACATCTTGATGATCCCTTCCAGGTTCTGGCTGCCTCGAGGTCAGGCTAGAGGATACCAGAAGAGAACAATGGTAAATTCACTGCTGATTTGGTGGTATTTCTAATTCGGGTCTTCTTCAATCTACCTGCCATTGTTTATTCTCAATGTCTTCAAATAGCTGCTCCATGCATTCTGTCCAGGTCTTAGAACATCATTCAGTGGGAAAGACAGGATGAACTGTGATAACTCCATCTTACCCAGAACCAGTAACTCAGATATCTCTTTAGCCGCCATATGCTATGTTTGCCCTGTACAGCCAGAATGGGGAGAATATTGCCTTTAAGTCAGGGTCATCAGCATCATGGCTTTTTAGCATATTCAATAATCATTCTCTGTGGGGCAAGTTTCAGGTAGTTCACCTATTTTTTTTTTAATCAGAGCCTATGAATACTATAATTCAGCAAACTGCATTACAGTGGCATCCTGTGCGTCTCCTGGTAGAACAATGTGAGGTGGCCGTTTCAACTTCAAACTCATTTGGCTGATTTAGAGAAACTTAGGGGCACCTGTAACATGACACTGAGATCAATTTAGGCAGCCATCTGCCATCTTGAAGAATGGCATGCAATAAAACGTTTGAACTGAGTGTAATTTTTGTGGTTTTTATCATTAACTGCCACATGTATTTCATGGTAACGAGTGATGCAGTCCCAGTGATTAGGGTTTCATGTTCGGAGAAATACAGGGGTCCTGTCTTGATGGCTGTACTCTGTATACACTGGAGGATGGGAAGTGGATGTAACTAATTAATATCTATGAATAAGAGTCATCACTTCCTCTCTTTTTTCCATACCCTGTAAGTAGATAGGGTATCTCTGCCCACTGAGAAGTAACATATATCTCTGTGCCCACTGATGCTGGTGTGCAGAAGCTCTTTGTTGTCAGTCTGGCTGTGGAAGTCTGTTTATTCCTGGCCCCCATACCTGTGGCATTGCTTTTTAGGGTGATGGATTCTATCCTTTCTCCTTTTTCTAGACTGGGACAAATAGGTATAGTTTCTTAAGAAGCTTCTGTTGATTTCTTGTTTTGGCTAAAATTTGGCAATGAGAAGGACATTTCTATCTGTGGTTGAGTATTTTTTTTCTCTTTCTCCTTAAATAGGCTAGAGAGGCAAGAACAACTGAAAGAGGAATATTTGATTCCCCTTCAGAATGGGATTGGGTATTCCAGTCTAACTAGGATTCAATTTTGATCATCTGAAGATCTCAGATAGTATTTCCCTGCTATAAGTACCCATGGACCACTATATTATCCAAAATTGCTACCACAGCCCTCACCCTTCCTGTTATCCCTGGTTTGTGAAGTGTGAGGGGGGTTGTGCGGCTGTGCAGTGGGCAGCAGGATGGGACAGGGCAAGGATTATAAGACTCTGATTAGGACGCGATTTGCTGTAAGACCTGGGGAAGGCTACTGAACCTCTCTTAGCTCCCTATTTACCTGCTGTAAAAAAAATGGAAGAGCTTATGGTATTTTTGAAAGATTATCCGTATATGAAAGCACCTACCCCTCAGTCTATAAATTCTCTCCTTCAACTTTCTTAAGAGATGGAGGTAGGTGCTGTTTGGCTTTCTATTTGTGATGAGATTTGAGACTGGGTCAGAACTGGATCACTGATGGGAGAAGATAGAGGAATAATCCTGATATAAAACCACCCTCTAAGGTGGCATAAAGGCATCCCTACCTACAGTGCTTACAATTTTGTGTTGCCAACACTTTTGTAAATGACTGATGTCGGGGAAGGTCCCTGGAGCTCTTTGTGGTGAGATACGGAGTCAGCAGAATTTTCTGACTGAATACATTTTTTAGGGCAGCAGCATTGTTCATCAACCTAAATGACACTGGTTTTCCCAACCCCTTCAGCGTCTCTGGCAATTCACCCTCCACTCCCTAAGGCTAGATGATTTTGTCTGCATGGATAGGTGAGAACTAGGTGCATCTGTCTGGTTTTTCCCAGTCCTCTGCAACAGTGAAGATTTGCTGACTATTCTTTCCCATATGTTAATGAAAACCCATCCAGCAAGTGCAGCTTTGCCCAGGGAGAGCTCTGCACTGGTGTTGACTGCAAGGAGAACAGCTGTGTGCTGCAATGAGTTACCTCAGTGGATAGACATGTATTATTGACTTGAACTTGCTCATGGGACAGGTGAGCATGGGGACAGGGAGGGGTCTCTTTGCCCAAACAGGATCATAGCAAGTCCTCTCCCTCTTTCCATCTTATACCAACTGCAGGGTGATGGCCTGCCTGTCAGTTTTCTGGGGATGCTGAACTACAATGAGTGGTAAAACATTCTAGAAATGCAACAAGAAATAGAAAAGTGTGCTTCCCAGAACTCTTCTCAGGAGGCAGAAAGTTTGAGATTACTTTGAATACTTTAATAAGGTATTTGGGGGAATACTTTGATACGGTTTTTCGGCTAGGAGGGATGAGTCTCCTCCTCCCAAATGGCATGTTCAAGTAATGACAGATATTTTATAACTTGCTTTCTAAAAAGCATGGGTCTGCTTGACTGCAAAACTTTTCTTTTGCTGAGTATGCAAAATTGGGCTCAAGATTGAATTACTAGGGTCAGTAGCTGAAGACTCTGACCAGGGATCATTCCTCTCTCTATCACCCCATCTACTGCTCTGTCTGTCCTCCAAATACAAGCTGGACAAGTATTTTTAAAAAGAATATTTTGAATAAGTACCCTTTTTTTTTTTTTGCACACTCATCCTGTGGACCAAGGATATGCTAGGTATCCATTCAAAATCAGTCGTGGAGGCAAGGCTGGAAGTGAGTAGCAAAGCCATTTGATAGGAAGGAGAACGACAGGTACGAATAGTGTGTGGGGAGTACTAACTGAGAGATGTGGGCAAGTGTCATTCTGGTCATCAGGGTCCTGTTTGCCCAGGGCTCCTTTCAGAAAGCCAGGCTGGGTGATCCTGCATCATGTTAATGGTGCTACCCACACATGATCCATTTTCTATTTTGGGAGACCATCATGTCCCCTCAAAATATCAACTTCTCCCTTATCATCATATCTACCCAGAGTTAACTTACTGGCCGTTAGGAAAGTCCATGGGTGGCAGAGAGGACCTCCAGAGAATATTGCTGTCTTTTGGGGACAAACTCAGGCTGCTTAATGTTTCTCTTCAATTCAGAGAACCACTGTATGATCACTGATGTTCCAGCCTTTTCTAGCAGCAGCTAAGCAATAGGAAGCCATGAATCACAGGCCCCACATCTAATTGGCATAGTTCCTTTGTCTGAGCAGTAGAGCTATCTTGTCTATCATCAGCATCATCAGCATCATCACTATCACTATCACTCATTACTTATAATGACAGCTGACATGTATAGACTGTCTACAAGGTACAAACTCAATAAATGCCATCTCTTAGTATGGTTAGAACACATGCTCATCTGTTGCATAGAAAGTACTCCACAAATGTTAGCTATTTGCCAGGCACCCTGCTAAGCACTTTACATGCACCACCTCATTTCAGCTGCCTCCCTAGGAGGTAGGTACTAGTGTTGCTCTCATTTTGCAGGTGAAGGGAATTAAGGCTTGGAGAGGTTATGCTCCTTGGCTCAGGAGCACATGATAAGGCTGGGATTTTTTGAAGCCAGAGGCTGCGTGAACTTAGGCACTTCCCTGCTGTACTCAGTGAGCACTCAGGATCATGGTTTCCTCCTCAAAGGAAAACTGCTAAGCCCAGCTAAATACCTCAGCAATTTATAGGCTGCCCACTTTCAATCTCTGAACCAAATGTCTTTTTGATGAGGCCTAACATCCACTCTGAGAAACTGCAGAGGGGAATTTCTGAAATCGCTTCTAACTTCCTGTGAAAATATTCTCTAACTGACAAGAGATTGTCCAGATAACAATGAATACACAATAAAGCTGGCGCTTCTGCCTTTGCTACCAGGCTCACAAATAACCCATTTGGCTTCCCAATCACTCTGATACCTAAAACTAGCAGAATTTATGCTTGCGGCTGGAATGGCTCTGTTCAGCCAGAAAGCTAAAGTTTACGACTGAACCCTTTGCTCTGAAATGAAATCTAGTCTCTTTGGCGCGACTTTATTAGGCCATATTGTATGGCGATAGGAGACATAAGTACCCAGAATCTGCTGTCACTAAAACAGGACTGGGTTGGCGAGCGTTTTCGTCCTCACACTCAATACTGTGTCCTAAAATGGGAAAGTTGAATAGAAATTAGGGATGCAAATCAGGGCCATTTTCTGAAACTTTATTTTTAATTGAATTCAATATAGTCATGATATTGCTTCTGTATCTACACAACCCACATTCCAATGGAGATTCAGCTATTACTGGGGTCACTGAATCAATGGAGAGAGACTAAGTAGATAAATCTGGACCCCTGAAATATTGTTTAGGCTAATTATCACAACAGCCCAAACACTTGGATACCCATCTTGTGCTTAATTGTCTAAAAGCTTTCTCTGTAACTGGCTCCAATATCTAGCAATACTTCATGGAAAGCATTCTTTTTCATCTCTGGTTCAAATCCTTTAGGCTGTAATCGATTCTTCTGAATCTCTTGTCCTCAAGGCATCATGGAGAATACTTGCCCCTTATTCTTCACCGTCTTTGGGAACAGCTCCTTGCTACTCAAAATGTGGGCCCTATAGGGGAAGCATCAGTGTCATCTGCGAGCTTGTTAGAAATGCAGACTCATAGACTTGACCCCACCTCAGGACTAAGGCATGAGAAACTGGATTTTGCCAAGACACTTGGGTGACATACGTGCATATCAAAGTATAGATAGCACTGGACTCCATATTTCAAAGGACTTTTACTAAGTAAGCCCTCAGACACATCCACTGGTGAGACCTTGTCATTTGCTAACAGCAGTGGCTGGTGGGATTCTCACCAAACTGTCTAAAATAGTAAAGATCCTTCAAAGGCACAGGCAACTCTCTAGTTTTTTGTGTTATCAAAAGCAAGCTCCCCATTCCTATGTGGATTCAAATGTTCTTTCTAACTCCCTTCCTCTTCTCCCAGTTTTTTTTTTGTTTTTTTGTTTTTTTATTTTTTTTTTTTAGAAAAGATCAAGTTGTTTTGGCCTCAATTTTAGAATTTAGGAATAATGAACTTGCCAAATATCACCTTCCCTGGGCTCAGTCTACTTCCTGTTGAATTGTTGTTTGACTTTACTTTGGAATCCAAAAAATGAAGACAAGGAGAAGACAAGGAGGGCTGAGTCACATGGGGAAGATAGAATAGGCATGAGATGGGGAGGGACGGGGCTTCCTCTCCCAGAGGAATGCAGGCAGGACTTCTAGCTAGTAGGAATAACTCCAGTTAGATTGGTGGCAATATATCAGTTCTTGAGAGTTTTGTCTTTCAAATTCAAGCCTCCAAGTTATCGGATTTAGAATTTAGAAAACCGTAAGTCAGTTGCTAAGAAGCCCAAGATGTTCTGTAATGAAAAATTTCCCAGAAAATATTGCTCATAGTAAGAAGTTTTTTGGGAAGTGTAAAAATGACCCAGTTATACATACTCCCTGGTAGATCCTAACAGTGCAGAAATTTTTTCCATGCTCAGAAGCAGAATTGATTTATTTCATGCCCCAACACTAAACGCTATGAAGTTATTGAAGTTATTCATGCTTACTTATGATCAGATGCCTAGAAAAATTGTTCTTGTTTCTTTAGGCCTCTCTCTCCAGTTTTATCTTGCTTAGTTCAACTCAGCAGATATTAACCCAGCACCTCTTATTTGCAAAGTACTGTGCTGCTCCTTCTAGAAGATACAGAGCTGAGTAAGACAGCTCTTCCTTTAAGGAGCTTACAGTCGATACGGAAATGGAATTCCACCTCATTGTAGTTCTCTTCAGATGTCAGAGAAGTCAAATGCTGTGATGGTACTTAATGCTAATCACCACACATGGAGCACTTACTAAGTACCAGGTACTGTTCTAGACATTCTGTACTGATCATCTCATTCAGCCCACATGGCCTCCTGAGAGATGTGTGCAGTTACTATTCCCATTAAGGCAGGGACAGCACAGCACATTGGTGAAATGAGGAAAGGCCTCAGAGAGGAGGTAGTTTATGACTTGAAAGTTACAGGAAGCACTGGATTTTGACAACTGAAAAAGGTCATAGAGAGACATATTTGTGATAGAAGCGTCAAGGGAAACAGAGATTTCAGGGTGGGAAGTCAGGAGAGGAAGTTTTTAGATTAGCATTTCCCATCTTCTTAAGCTGCTCCTTGAAATAAAGGATTCTGTGACTAAATATCACGTTCTGGCCGGGCGCGGTGGCTCACGTCTGTAATCTCAGCACTTTGGGAGGCCGAGGCGGGTGGATCTCCAGGTCAGGAGATCGAGACCATCTTGGCTAACACAGTGAAACCCCATCTCTACTAAAAATACAAAAACAAAATTAACCGGGCGTGGTGGCAGGCGCTTGTAGTCCCAGCTAGTCAGGAGGCTGAGGTGGGAGAATGGCATGAACCCGCGAGGGGGAGCTTGCAGTGAGCCAAGATTGCACCACTGCACTCCAGCCTGGGTGACAGAGCGAGACTCCATCTCAAAAAAACAAAAAAGTCATGTTCTCCTCTTGGAGATTTACAATTCCTCTTAACATGTTAAATACTCTAAGGAGTATTGTGCTGAAAGTAAAATAATAAAATTAAATAAAACAAGTTGGCTTTGTTAAATTCTGTGCTTCCCAAGTTTATTTCATTCATTCAGAAACTATTATTGAGCTATGACTATGTACCACGCACAGTTCCAGGCAGTGGAGATTCAGGTAAAAATCTGTGCCTTCAACATTTCCCACATTCTAGTAGGGGCCACCACAGAATCCCCTCCCCATTCTCCTTTGTTTCAGATAACACCTGCTATTAAGTTTTGTCAAGTTCTTTCTGTGAAGTATTAGTTGAGAACAATTCTGCTTTTCTGAAGCAGGGGAAATTATGGGAAGTCAGATTTTTAAGACAGAGTGGTGCCATGTTGTGGACCAGCACAATTCCAAGTGTGGTCCATGGTCCATAGATGGGGACTGTGAGCTGTTTGATACTCATCCGTGACGAGTTAAGTACAGAAGATGAGAGTAAGTGCTTAGAAACTTTCAAAGCAATTGGATGGATTAATTTTATATGGATTGTGAATCTATGATAAAAATTTTGGATTTGTACCTTGCATTGGATTTGTCTTTTCATTTTTTTGTAATTCTTATTTATTTATTTATTTATTTATTGTCTCATCATGTTGTCCAGACAGGTCTAGTACTCCTGGGCTCAAACGATCCTCCTGCCTTGGCCTCTCAAATTGCTGGGATTACAGGCGTGAGCCAGTGCCTGGCCTGTAATTCATTTTTATTAGATTTTGCAAAAGAATGGATATTAGAAATAAAAGCTAAACCCTGGTCCCTCACCTCAGATGGGGTAAGAAGGGCTGTCCTGAAAACCCTGCATACGAAGCTGAACTATTCTGGGGTTGGTTTGGCAGACGTCTGACTGAAAACATTTACTTCCTGCTCAATTTACCCAAATAAGAATTATTTTCAGTGGTATTTTTAAGAATCCTTATTATTTGAAGGACATGTAAATATGTTCTTTACTATTAGCAAGGTTGCAAAACCAAATTCCTCTCTGAACAGAGAGTGAATAGGCCAATCTTTAAAAAAGGCTCTTAAGTGTAAACACCTTTTCTATATTGGAGAGAAAATTGAGGATAGGGTGGCAAAACCTTCTATGTGTTAAAAAAAAAAAAAAAAAGACCAGTTTCCTGCCACATATGTAACACTTTAAAAAATAATTTCTCAATTATTATTTTAAAAAGTTCTCATATCACTCTTGCTGTTTACCCTTCCTTTACCTTCAGTTCCTCTGGCACTCTGTCTTTCCAGAAATAAACCTGGTTGGGATAATGGAGTGAGGGAAAATACCATGTATTCTGGTACTTTTACATGTGGTGTAGTCTTTTAATCGCCCTCTGAACACCTCGTGTGGGTTGATTCTTTTTCATAATGCCTGATGGAAGAAATCTCATTTGATAGTCTGCAGCCCACTGGTCTGGGAGTAAGAGATTTGGCTCAAGTCCATTCCGAAATTAATATTTGGAGTTGTTTATTTATTTGTTCATGGCTGAAGCAACCAGTTTTCTGGCATTCCATCAAATCCCCCCAAAATTGTTTTAATTGACATTGTCCTGAAGCCTTTGGAAAAATCTGAGATCTTTTTGTCCTAGTCACACATTCTGGAAAATGCTCTCTGAAAGAGGCCATAATTGTGGAATGCCAAATTGTTATGGAGTCCCTGAAATCCAAGCAACTTTCAGAAAGGCAGCTGAACTGAGTCCACATCCAAGAAGTTCAGCGCTGAGATGCAGTTTGGCACAGAGAAGAAATACATTCTGAAAAGGTGCAAATCACTATTCTCTTCTGCTTTCTTCCTTTGGCTTCAACTTGATCACTAGTTAACTCCACCCCAGAAAGCTGTGCAGTGAGGCATTCTCTGTGCTGGCACCATTTGGACCTCAGCTAACAAGACTCAAACATTTCATTTTGTTTATTCTATGAATTGCTTTTAGGATTTGCAATTATACTGAAGAACGAAGAGGCTAAGAAGGGGTAGAGAAGGAGATAACCACATGCCCTTTGATAAAAACTGGGGCAAGTTTGTTGACATTGGAACATAGAGGGAAATAGAGGAGGAGAGAATCTGACAAGTCCCATGATGAAGTCTTCTTAATACCTTGCTGGCCTTAACATCGTACTTTTCAGCAAGAAATGAGAAAACGCAAGATTCAATTAAACTTTTCCCCTTGACAGAGCATGCTGTTGAGGAATGGATACAAATGACCCCCCATCCATTTTAGTAACCAGCCCAAACATTCATCAACTTAGAGCCCATCAATTCTGATTTCATGTTTAGTATTGTAGGCAAGGACTTGACACATTTTGTGGGGTTTTCTTGGGGGGTGTGGGGTCATGATAAATACGTTTTAATGGCATCTAAGATATGCCAGTCAGTTCATATGACTGCATTCTGTTTCAGACAATCTTATTATAAAGGACAGTGACAATGTATTGCATAATTGATATATATAAATATTCATTCAAATGTCTCTAATTCTTATTAAGCACTTCTAAGATTTAAAACTGTGGATCCTTTATAGGAAGAATATTTACTGAAAATTCAGATAGACTTTTTAAAAATAGTAAATGTAGTAAGTTCTTGTGAATACACTAACCTTCTACTACCTGTTTTGGGCAGTGTTAGTGTGTATATGTTACGACTCATCTCTTCTTATTGCAGCTATTAACATAATGGTCATTGGTTTTTATAATTTCCTTTTAGTGCTTTATTTTTGATGTGCATAATATAATGTATATTTGGATTAAAAGAATTTGCCTGTTTTCAATTAAATAAGGACTAGTATATGACAATCTTTGGAATTATTTACATGACTTCACGGGTAGAGGTGGACTTTTGCAAGATTATTTGGCTGTAATCAACACAGTTATTCAGACTTTTTACTGGGAACAGAAATCATGATGGCTGTAACATACTCCCAGCCAGGAGAGTTGAATTTTTCACATTCACTGGGCTGTTAGCATTAGAGAAACACAGTTTCACTCTAATCAGAGGAAGCATAAAAAATAAAAGGCATCATTACCAACCCACCATTAGTGACACACACAGAACCTGGGATCAGGAAGGTGTGACTTCCCGTGGAGCCAAGGCTGAGGTTTCCAGTTGGAAGGTACATTTGATGGGGGAGCTGTCTGCCCGTGGATTGGTGTGAAACCATTTGCTTGGGAGGTTCAACTAGACTGGATGAAAAATTAGATAATGAAGAGTAGATAAATAAGACAGTAAATGAGAGGTGTAGGCAAGCTAGTTCATTGGCTCAGTCCCCTGTTCTCACTGATGATCCCGTGTGTATTTGATGAATAAGGACCCACAGAGCATCATCTGCTCATCTTTGCTAGGCGCTCTTCTAAAACAGCTGGGGTTTGATGTGACAGCCAAAGGATAAATTGCTGCCTCAGGAAATGCTCTGCCTTTGACTGATTGCTGAATGGCTGGCAAATTAATTCTGGCACCTTTCCCTAAGTCATTTTGGTCCCATTCCTTCATTTTTTTCTGCTGAGAAGTGTGTCTTCACATTACAGTTAAAAATACATTGACAACACAAATGTGGGGAACAGCATGTACTATTTTAGGAAAGAAGTTGTAGGCTAGGAAGTTTCCATTTTGTATAATAGAAACCATACTTTTATGCTCTGAGAGGAGGCTTGAACCGCCCTTTCAGCTAGAGCCAAAATGGATTATTACTCCTTGCTAGACGTCTCGTAAAGTCATAGGCTACAGAGTTTGGGCTTTTGAGTCCTTGATGGGCTTCGGTTTTGATATTTCCCTCTTTGGTACTTGTACACAGCAAATCCTCCCCATTCCCCGAAATCCTAACACCACAACCTCCCTACACCTCTATCTTTGTGGTGGGTGGTTAAGAGTGTGAACTCTGAATCCTGTTTGTACCACGGATTCACTTTGTGACTGTCAGCAGGTTTCTTAACCTCTCTGTGCCTCAGTTTTATCATCTATAAAAGGGGAATTCATAATGACAATAACTCCCTTTACCTGGTCCAGATTTCTTTGTTCACTTTCATTTTCTTAGTATTAAACACAAGGTTTTATTTATTTATTTTAGAGACAGGATCTCTCTCTGTTGCCCATGCTGGAGTGCAGTGGCGCAGTCATAGCTCACTGCAGCCTTGAACTCCTGTGCTCAAGCTATCCTCCTGCCTCAGCCTCCTGAGTAGCTGGCACTACAGGGGTGTGCTACCACACTTGGCAAATTTTTTAATTTTTTGTAGAGACAGGGTCTTGCTGTGTTGCCCAGGCTGGTCTCAAATATCTAGCCTCAAACTTCCTGCCTCAGCTTCCAAAGTGCTGGGATACAGGTGTGGCTAAGGATTTAAATTCAATGTATTTTACACTGTTTTTTTTTTCTGTCCTAAGAATGCATTGTATGAGAAATGTACACTTTTGTTTTTGCTTTTCCAAAGTAAGTCAAAGATACCACACTCGAGACTTAGAAAAGTTACCTTGATAGAAGGTGATAATTTCAGCCCTTGGGTAGGTATAAAGACTGAAGTTCTGTTGCTGAGTTTGTGATGCACTATGATGTAATGACTCTGGGTTCTCACTCCTGACTTGTCTGATGTGATTGGCCTATTCGTGTCCTTGTTCTGGCATGACTTAAGGATTAAATGGTCTCAGTATTAATTATAATTACTGATTCTCCTGCTCTTATGTTATACATAAGGGTTTTAAAAATCTTTTTAATTGTGATAAAATACACATACAAAATTTACTATCTTAATCATTTTTAAGCATGTAGTTCAGTGGAACATTCACATGACTGTGTGACCATCACTACCATCCACTTCCGGAACTCTTTTTATCTTGCAAAACGGACACTGTCTCAGTTAAACGATGACTCCTCATTCCCTCTCCCTGCAACCCCTGGCAGCCACCTTCCTACTTTCTGTTTCTATGCATTTGAGGACTCTAGGTACCTCATATAAGTGGAATCATAACACGGTTGTCCTTTTTTGATTGGGTTATTTCAATTAGCGTAATGCCTTCAAGGGTCATCCATGTTGTAGCATGTGTCAGAGTTTTCTTCTTTTTTAAGACTGAATAATATTCCATTGTAAATTACCACACTTTGTTTATCTAGTCATCTGTCCATGGACACTTGGGGTGCTTCCACCTCTTAGATATTATGACTAATGCTGCTGTGAGCATGAGTGTACAAATATCTCTTTGAGATCCTTCTTCCAGTTCCTTTGGATATATGCCTAGAAGTGGAATTATGAATCCAATGGTAATTCTATGTTTAATTTTTTGAGGAACCACCATACTGTTTTCCACAGTGGCTGTGCCACTTTACATTCCCACCAACTACATACATTGCTTGAGAATATGACAGTGTAATTCAATTAGCAATTTTAGACTCTTTTTAAAGTGAAATTCCTTTACCAGAAACCTCAAAAACATATTGACTATCCATATGGAAATAGTGTTAAAGATGTGGAAATCTTAAACAGATGGCAATGGCAACGGATTTAAATGCTCCAGCATTTATTCAGTTGATTCGATGCTACTAGGTCTAGTGTGTAGAGACTATCCGCAGGTCTACACAAGGATGTGGAAGAGGCATTTTGTTTTCTAGAACATTCTGTACTTTTTTCCAGTTATACGACTTTCAGTCCTCAAGCATTTTGATTAGCCACAGAGGCAAACTTGCAGGAAAAAAGATATGGAAAAATCAGTAAAAGTCAGATATATGTGGTCAGGTATATCATAGTCAGATACATCTGGTGCTTTCTCTAGCAAAGAGAAAAATATGGGGAAGTAAATACCAGTTTTGATTTAATCAGAAGCTAGAACAGATCCTAAGATTAAAAATATATGCAGTCAATATTTGCTGAATGAATGACTCAATAAAACAATTTTTGCTAAATTCAAAACAAACATGAATAATATTGTTATCCTACAAAAAATGTGTTCCTTCTTATTTAAAAAGTTTAGTGATTCACCTACAATAAAATTTGGTATAAAGAATAGCTTCATTAGGACATAAAGGCATGAAAATTCTGACCAAAACTAAAAGAACCTTGTTAAAACCATATTAATTGAGGAATACCACCAATGATCAATAATAAAGGTTTGTATTTTCATTATTTTTGATAATCAGTTGTTGTATTTAAATTAGACCATAAACAACACATTATAAAAGAACACATATGAAAAGAATAGGCTGAATTATTTTACTTCAGGAATACTATTTGCCCATAAGGCTCTAGTATGGGGATTTGTAATTAGTGATACCTCATATAGTATCCTATTCATTAATAAAACAAATTATGTTAATACTGTTTCCCAAATATTCTATATTCCAACATTTTTTTACTAAGGCAGATTAGGCTTTCTTCAAATTAGTTAGAGTTAGTGACCTTTGCTTATAAGTCAAGCATATCTTTTATTCGAAAAAAATTATTGAGATCTTATGGTTTGGAGAAATTAAAAAGTTCAGGCTTAGCTAAACACATTGCAGTTAATTTTTAAAATCATACCATTTAGCAATAGAATTGGTTGAGTGACTTTTTTTTTTAAAGACCCCACTCTGGGGAAGGCCAATTTGTAGATAAACTGCTCATACCCAGCAGCACTGCCTAGCTAATGTCTAACCTGTGGGAGTAGGCTGGAAGCAGCTCAAACTAATGAGGTTAACCTACATAATCTAATTGCCCAGACTGAGCTAAAAGCAGACAAAGAGCACAGAGCCAGGGAGCCTTCAGTTTATTTCTAAATTTTTTCTGGCTTTTGTATGCTGGAGTGTCACCAAGTAGATGGTAGGTGTGCCCTTGCCCACTGTTCCTAGCTCTCCTTCTGGTCCACATGTTGCATTTCTCCCAGTGAACTGACTGACTGGCTGCCAGCAAGATGCCTTTTAATACAAGATAAGCACAAGCCGTTCTAAAGAGCCACTTCCTGTTGGCGGGGTGGCTTCCTCTCATCTTCCTCTTACCCATGCCCCCACTGGAAGGGAAGCCTGAGAGGCTGCAGCCAAAGACACACAGCTTGCCCTCCTTCCCTCAGGGAGGCCTGTGAGATCCCTAAGCTCCCATAGCGGCTCAACGTTCTCCTTGTAATTCACCAGTTTCTAAAGACTGACTCCATTGTAAGCCGGTAGCAGTGGCTCATGCCTGTATTTTGGGAGCATTTTGGGAGGCCGAGGCAGGCAGATCACTTGAGGTCAGGAGTTTGAGATCAGTCTGGCCAACATGGTGAAACCCTGTCTCTACCAAAAATACAAGAATTAGGGCCGGGCGCGGTGGCTCACGCCTGTAATCCCAGCACTTTGGGAGGCCGAGGCGGGCGGATCACGAGGTCAGGAGATCGAGACCATCCTGGCTAACACGGTGAAACCCCGTCTCTACTAAAAATACAAAAAATTAGCCGGGCGTGGTAGCGGGCGCCTGTAGTCCCAGCTACTCGGGAGGCTGAGGCAGGAGAATGGCGTGAACCTGGGAGGCGGAGCTTGCAGTGAGCCGAGATCGCGCCACTGCACTCCAGCCTGGGCGACAGAGCGAGACTCCGTCTCAAAAAAAAAAAAAAAAAAAAAAAAAAAAAAAGAATTAGCCAGGCATGGTGGTGCACACCTGCAATTCCAGCTACTCAGGAGGCTGAGGCAATAGAATCTCTTGAACCCAGGGGGCAGAGATTGCAGTGAGCTGAGATCCCACCACTGTACTCCAGCCTGGGTGACAGAGCAAGACTGTCTCAAAAAAACAAAAAAGAAGATTCACTACATTGTGAAATCCTTTCAGAGATGCCTAGCATGAAGAGGGTTGCTGGGAAAACCAGCTAAACTTGACTACTTAGAAAAAATGCATATTTTAATGAAATTTGGAGCAAGACCTCTCTGAAACTACATTTTACTTTTGTGATACTCCTTTTGAAATTTGGAGCAAGACATCTCTGAAACTAACATTTTACCTTTTGTGATATTCCTTGGGGGGTCAGAAAAATCTGTCATTTTGTGCAAAGTAGAAATATACTGTTTCATTATAATATATACATGCTTATTATAAAAGCCTTCAGACAATACAGGAATCTATAGAGGAAAAAAAGTATCATTCTACCACTCAGAGGTAACAACTGTTAGTGTTTTGATATAAAGCTTCCTAAATTCTTTTTATGGCTTTACAAACATTCAGATAACTATAGGCCATCTAAAAAAATAGGATCAGATTATGTACACTATTTTATAATGTGCCTTTTTACAGAATTTCTGTATGAACAGGTATACATTTTCATTATAATTTTTAATTGCTTCTTAGTATTCCATTGTATGTGTGCCATTTACGGTTATTTCCCATTTTTCATGAATAGAAAGGATGTTCTTGTATATTTTTTTACCTCTGTTTTCCTGTTTCTTTGCTATGAATACTTCAAATGGAATTGTAGTGTAAAAGACTGTGTACTTTTACAAATTTTGATAATAATTGCAAAATTGCTCTTCAAAACAGTTGTATCAATTTCCTTGCCCACTAATGTGGGTGAGTGCCCATGTCTCCGCACCATTAGAAGTCATACAGATTAAAGACTGTGCACGGTGGCTCACACCTGTAATCCCAGGACTTTGAGAGGCAGCAGCAGGAGGATCACTTGAGGCCGGGAGTTCAAGACAAGCCTGGGCAACATAGCAAGACTCTGTCTCTTAAAAAAAAAAAAATTGCCAGGTGTGGTGATGCACACCTATAGTCCCAGCTACTCCAGAGGCTGAGGCAGGAGGATTGCTTCAGTGCAGGTGTCCAAGGCTTCAGTGAGCTATGACCCACTGCACTCCAGCCCAGGCAACAGTAAGACCCTGTCTCAAAAAAAAAAAAAAAAAAAAAAAGAAAAAGAAAAAAGAAAAAGGAAAGAAATCACACAGGTTAAAAAAGTGTTTTAGAGGGCACACACTTTATGAGTTTAGGGTTATTGAAGGCTTTATATGGGTGCAGAGGCCGTGTTCCTGATTGCTGAAAAGGTCACCATTATCTAACCAGTGCATTCATTTGTTTGCCTAAGAGTGTAACTCAGGTTTCCCTTTTACAGCCCACCGTCATATTTTAAACTCTCCGCATGTGTTCCTTTCCTTTAGATTGAGGAAGACACATGGCAGAAATACTACTTGGAAGGAGTCTCAAATGAAATGTACACAGAATATCTCTCCAGTGCCTTCGTGGGTCTGTCCTTCCCTACTGTTTGTGAGTAAGTGACCTTTAACTGGATGCTCTTTGGCTTTCAGGGATATTGAATGTGCCCCTTGCAAGGAAGCCTCCCACCTCTGCTGGGTACAGTTGGAGCACTTGACAATTGCCGAGGGTATCCCGTGTGCTCGGCCCCATGTGATGAATAGGAGGGTGGGTCATTACATGGCCTCTGCCTGGGGAATTTCCACTGGCCCCACTTTTCTTGACAGGCCTGAGAGTCTTGGACTTGAATTCATCATTTATGCTAACTTATGAACTACAGTTATCCTGCATGCCTTCTGTGATGTAGACACATTTATGAAGAGTGGCATAAACCCCTGCCTGTCTGATTCTAAGAGGGCAAAACAAATCTTGCCAGCCCCTCAATGAAAGGAATTTTAATCTGTCTTCCCATCAAGTCTGATCATAGAGACAACAGAGAAGCTACTGAAATAAAGCCATTCAAAGTGTTTTCACCCTTTGCTGAGGAAATGTGGAACCAAATATACAGAAGGAGGCCTTGAGCCCCCACATAGACAACTGCCATGTTATAATAATAACAAGTCTTAGCTTCTCTTTCCACTGGCTCAGCAGGATGGATCAAAGCCACCCGCCATGGCCACTGCAGGTAGAATAGATGGTCACCTATGGGGGATGACCTCAAGAGCTCCAGGTGTCTGCCGTGAGGCATGACAGTGCCTCAGATTCCTCACTTAGAATCCTCATGTTTGCAATCCCACCACTTTTAGAAGCTGAGGTGAGAGGATCACTTGAGGCTAGGCATTCAAGACTAGCCTGGGCAACACAGTGAGACTTTATCTCTACAAAAAATAAGGAAAATTAGCCGAGTGTGGTGGCACACACGTATGGTCCTAGCTACTCTAGAGGCTGGGGTAGAAGGATTGCTTGAGCCCAGGAGGTTGAGGCTGCCCAGGAGGTTGATTACGCAACTGCATTCCAGCCTGGATAGCAGTGATTGTATCTCTAAAATAATAATAATAAAAAATCTCAGATGTTGAGTTTAAGATGAACGGGGTCTTTGTGCCCTCTGAAAACACAAACTCCCTGAGGTTGGTGAAACATTAAGCCTATTCTCCTGACACCTTAGCAAAGGATTTGACAAGGATTCTTCTCACTGGGAAGAAACAGGGGTATCTGGGAGCTCACTGGGCTGAGGAAGAAAAGCCATTTGCTTGCACTTCCTGCCTACATACAAACCAAAAGAGAGGTCTGAAGACATCGAAACAAAACTGATCAGGCTTTACCACAAAGGAGGGGACAGTCCTGGGTGCCCTTGGCCTCCTCTGTATCACGGTTTTCTTTCTGTATGCAGGAGGGAGGGAGGCGGAGCGCTTGGTGGCTTCGTGTTTACCTGGAGCCTCCTGTCACTGAACACAGCAGGTGCACTCTGTCAGTCCCTGGGCCCAGACCCTAAGCAATCCAAAATGGTTTGGCTGTTTACTGAAATTTCTCACCCTGTCTCTAAGCGAAAGTTTTAATGCTAAATGGACTGGAAAAGTGAATAGGTAATTGATTCGGAAGGAGTTATTTTCTGAAAATGGATGCCCTATTGTGACTCCCATGTGTGCCTTTCTTTGAGAGCTATTTCTCTTCCTGCCACTGAGAGGAGTTAAGCATTCAGAGGCATTGGGTCCTGGAACACTGAGGCTGTCCCAGGGGATCTCCCCCTCCCTGGAGCTTGGTCTGCCTAGGATACAAAGCCCCGGGGGAAAGCAGGCTTTTTAACAGAAGCTAGTTTTATAAAAAGGCAATTGAAGCCTTGGCTGTCTAATGTGGTGGTGGTCTGAGCACATAGCAGAGCTGCCAGCGCCTGCGGGAGTCTTATGTTGGTGAGGGTGTCAGCAGGGGCTCCGTCAAGCCCCCTTCCTTGGCTGTAGGGTTTCCCTGGCCTAACTGGTGTTTGTATCTAACAAGAGTGCTCCCTCCCCAACCCCCAGGCCCTTCTTGCTTTTCCACCCTTCTCTTACTCTGCTCTTGGGAACTGAGTCCGTTCCTCTTATGGGTAACTTGAAGGGTCAGGACTGCTCCCCCTACAGGCTCTAACTGGGATAGTCACTAGGTATGTTTGACTCACGTAGATATCAACTAGTTGCTGATATTTCCAAATAGTAGTATGTCACGTAAAAACTAGATTTCTGGATTCTTTAGAAAATCTAATGTGACAATGCAAGACCTGCATTTCCTCAGAATGCTAACTGGCTCCAGTTTGATGTAGCAAAGGGGTTAGTATAGTCATGTAGTTACTCCTCCCTGATATCTTAAACCAGGCCAGATTTGCACATAAATCCCAGGCCTGGCCCTGTGGTTGTGTGAGTTTGCCAACCCTGACCCACTGGGTGGTGTGGAACTTCACTGGCCTTCAGCCAGCTCAAGAGCTGGCACTAGTGGCTCTGTGAATATTCCCTTTGATTGATTTTTGTATTTAGAACATGTCCCAAGAAGGAGACAAATTGTTGTCAGATAATTTAGTATTTGCTCAGTAAAGTTTCTGGAATATATATATATTCCACTTCTGATGTGAGTGAGAATGTGTACAACTTAGTGCTATTATTCGTTTAATACAATGATACAGCAGAGGTAGAAATGATCAATAAAAGAAGGACATTTAATGAGATTTAGGAACATCCCAAAACATTGAAGCTCTCCTCAAGCATTTGATTATCTGGAGGCTTAATTATCTGTGTTTTCTACTTTAAATTAAAGAAAAGCCATAACTCAAAGTTACCAGCAGTTTAATGATAACACTCTTCAATTCAGGTTAATTAAAGCACAGCCGTAATTAGAGTGTAGTGTTGTATATCACTGGGCTGGCACATAAGTATTTTCATTACAGTAAGAATTGGCTATTCAATTTCAAAATGACATAAAGGATGCCAAAATATATTTTAAGCTGGTTCACGAAGAAGAAAAAGAATTGGGGAATATTCTGGGTATCATAAAGCACAGATAAAATATACAGATTTTCAGAGCAGTTTCTGTAATTATGCGCTGCGCTAAAACAATATGCAGCCAATAACATCTTAAAGCATGGAAAGAAATAAATGTGCTTTTTCTCTAGGCTGGCAAAATGCTCCCTTGCAGGGTGGGATTGGGAGAGCTTGGAGTTTTCTCAGAAGCTAGGGGAGTCATTCTATGAAAAGATATGGGAGCAGGATGTAGGGGTGAAATTTGAGATTGTTTCCCAAGAGAACAGGAAGGAGAGCAAAAGAGGCAGTGGGGGCAGAAGGTCCTGCCACCCCGAAAGCTATCTCTATCAATTTCAAGCCAAGAGATTCTCAGTGTAGCCTTCAGTCTGTGGCCAAAGGCCCAAGAGCCCCTGGCAAATCACTGGTGTAAGTCCAAGAGTCCAAAAGCTGAGGAACTTGGAGTGTGATGTTCAAGGGCAGGAAGCATCCAGCGCAGGAGAAAGATGAAGGCTGGAAGACTTCACAAGTCTAGTCCTTCCACTTTCTTCTGCCTGCATTATCCTAGCCATGCTGGCCGCTGATTAGATTGTGCCCATCCAGAGTGAGGGTGGATCTACTTCTCCCAGTCCACAGACTCAAATGTTAATCTCCTTTGGTAACACCCTCACAGATACACCCAGGAACAATACTTTGTATCCTTCAGTCCAATCAAGTTGACACTCAATATTAACCATCACAGATGCTTACTCCAATCTCCTTCTCTGAAATAGGAGTGCTATGACTTATCTGTCAGTACGGGTTAATGTCTTTTCCCCTCTCCCTCCTCTCCTTTTCCTTCTACCTTTATCTTTCTCATTGAATATAATAGAAGCACTTAGAAAGAAAGAAACACATTGCGAGCTATATGTGTATCCAAGTTATATTTACTTTTAACCTTTAGGAAATTCTCTTATCGGTTAATCACCGATTAATCAGATATTTAATGAATTGGGATATGTGCACCATTGTGCCAAGCTTGGTGCCACTTCTAGAGGAAACTGCTACTAGATTTGATCAAATATATGTGCATGAAAAGATTAATAGCAATACTTACAAATGCCAACAAATGCCAAGTAAAATATTCAGTTTCCCTAGGGTGGCTGCCTCCAGAGTTTACTGTCTGGCTAAGGGAAATAGTACCCATCGTCAGAGAGATCTAGACACCCACTGATAAGTGCTGTGGTAGATGCACACAGCTGGAATAGAGATGCTGAGAGTTATAGGGACATCTCCCTGTAGGCTGGGGGGACATGGGGGTTCTTCCTGGAAGAGATGACATTTGAGCTGTGTCTTGTCGGGAGTTTTGATTCAGATGGGGGATAAAGAAGGAAGAGGACATTCTAAGTGGTAGGGAATCTGGAGGCTGCGCCACCTGGTACCATAGGGAGCTCTCTCAACACCTAGGTCTCCGAGATTTTCCAGTTACAGCAAATTGCTTTCCTCTTTAGATGAGACAAAGAGATGCATCAGATTTATTTTGACTTGTGATTTTTTTGGGGGAAACTGATAACAGTGTTTTTGGTGAGCACTTGCGAAAGCGAGGGTGCACTCCCCTACCCCCAGGGAGGGCAGAGGGGAGGGGAGGGGCTGGACAAGGAGGAGCTGCAGGAAACCATGGGTTCAGCAGTTGGGCTGCCTCAAGAACACTGTGTTCTAGGTTCTGAATCTCACCGGGAACCTATTAGTCAGTCATTCATCATTTGCAAAATATAAAAGCTTAATTGTATCAGGTTTTACAGCTCAGAGGGGATTAGGACAAAAGATGTATTTAAAATATGGTATGTGTCTCTCTCTGTCCCTCTGCAGCTGATGGAGCAGTTAAAATTCAGGTTTGATGTGGAGTATTTAATGCCTGGGGAACTTGGGGAACTCCAATCAGATCTTCCTCAGCTGTGCTGAAGGGCAGGAGTTCTGTCCCCAAGCCCAGGGGCAAGTATGGATGCTACTGTGCTGGTTTAAGAGTGCAGGGGGATTCTCTTTTCCCTCCTCTACCTCCCTGCATTCAGTGCTCCCCTCCTAAATTCAGAAAATCATGCTCTCAACCTGTGTTATTTTGCACAGACAGATCTTTAAAAAGAAGCCGCTTGGGGAAATTTAAAATTTAAGACCGCCCGGCGAAAGCTGGGCCTCTTGCCCAGTGAAAACTGTAGCTAGTTTAACTTCAGTTCTGTGAAATCATTAGTTTTTGGAGAAAGACATCCAAATTTGAACATGGAGCAGAAACCAGGCAGACCCAATTGTTATATGATAGATTTCTTTAGCCTGGCTGCAAAAATGAGCATTTTAAGTGAATTTATGGAGAGGCTCAGATCTCTCTCTTTTTTTTTTTTTTTTTTTGAGATGGAGTCTCACTCTGTAGCCCAAGCTCGAGTGCAGTGGTGTGATCTTAGCTCACGGCAACCTTGTCCTCTGGGGCTCAAGAGATTCTCCTGCCTCAGCCTCCCAAGTAGCTGGGACTAGAGACGTGTGCCACCACAACCGGTTAATTTTTTTGTATTTTTAGTAGATACGGGGTTTCACCATGTTGCCCTGGGTGGTCTTGAACTCCTGAGCTCAGGCGATCCACCCACCTTGGCCTCCCAAAGTGCTGGGATTACAGGCGTGAGCCACCGCACCTGGCAGATCTCATTTTTTAAAAAATATTTTCCCCTCACAGAACTGGCTCTATTCATCCACTTGATTGGGGAGTATTGTAATTAGGGTTGAACATATATGAATAGAGATGTGAATACAGTATTGGTGGTTATTTCTACTACAGAGACCCAAGAGGTGACCTTCTATGAGCTAGTGAATAAACCGTTGACCCTAAAGTCTATTGAAATCCTCAATAACAGGCTACTGAGGCAGTGGTGGGTCCAGAATTCTCTACAGAAGGGTCAGGGAAGGAGTCCTGTTGGAAATGGGGTGGACGCTTGGGCTTTGACTCAACACTGGGTTCTTGTAGCAAACACATGGTTTTTTCTTTCATATTATGTTTCTCATTAATAATAATAGCAAGGCTCTCTAAAAATGCAGTTGTTCACACTTTAGGCAAAAGTTAATTGTCTGTATCAAGTAATGTATTTATAAATTCTAGTGTCTTAGGTGTGCTAGTGGAGATTGTGTGTGTGTGAGTGTGTTTGTGTGTGTGTGTGAAAGAGAGAGAGAGAAGGAGAGAATAAGAGAGTGGGAGAGAGGGTGGGGATATTCTGAAACCTTCCCACTCCACTCCTATCAAAGCTTCATAGAGAAAAAGAGTCTTAACATTTCCATGAACATTTTAAATCACTTCTCTTTTCTTGGTGCTGAGTCTTGGAAATCCGGATGTTTCAAAGTTTCTTTACCTGGATATTTCGATTTCTAGCGGCTGTCATTTTAAATTAAAGCTCCTGAATGTGAATCTTTTCCATTCCAGCCCCTCGATCCAGAAGACCTTGTTTCCCAATGTGCAGTGTTTGTATCCGTATCTACTTCAATTGCATGTGCCAACCTGACATTCCCAGGGGCCCTCTGGATAGCTGAAGAGGGGCTGGTGCTTTGGGTGGGGTTGGGTTCAGGGGGAATGATGACAGTTGCTTCTTTCATCCTCCCTCACCTGACTTGTGGGGTGAGTCCTCTTCAACAGCCCCAAACCTCCTCTTTGTATTTTCTTCCTGAAGGTGCAAACTCTATGACAGGTTTCCATGTTTAATTAACACCAGCAAGTAATGTTTCCAGTAAAGGGGGCTGATTTAATGGCAGGAACAATGTATTTCCCTCTGGGTAGGCAGAAACAGTTGGACTCTAATTCTTAAGAGCCTTTGTTCAGGAACATCTGGGTTGAAACTACTGTAGTTAACAGATGATGTTGGCAGTAAAAAAAAAAAAGGGGGGTTGGGCTTTGTATAATGTCGTTGTCAAATTTGGTAGACCTTTACCTAATAATTATCAAGAAAGCAATCTAACTTGTTATTATAACAGTTTTATTGCAGATTGCTGGCTTAAGACCTTTTTGTGACAAGTGGCATTTTTTTTCTTGAAAAAAGAAGTCATTTCTATTCCCCTGTAATTATTTTTGCAACCAGCAACAACTTCCTGCGTTGGACATACTGGGGCATTTTATTTTAGAAACCAATAATTAAATTATTGCTAGCTTATGGCTGATTTTATCCCATTTATCACATTGTGAAGGCTTTCTTACTTCCTTTTTTCCCCTTACCTCACCTCACCCTGCTTCCTGATTTCACACCAATTCTGTATATGTTGAAACACTGTAAGTTGAGTAAAGGCAGAATTAGAATAAGGATTAGATGGCTAATGCTCATTCTTCTTTACCAAAAAATGGTGTTGAGTGATGCAAGTAAATGTTTAACCAGAGAACATCAGTTCTGGGTATACTGAAAGTATATATATTCTTGGGAGTGTAAGGGGTACATAAGGGTATAAGAGGGTCTCTAGAAGGTCCCAAGGACAAATTGTTGTATCTTAGAATTGGACTTGCATCTTGGCATTGTGGATTGAAGGCAAAAATTAGATTCCCAGAGCATATCACTACTTTTATTTCCTTCTGTATCCTTCCTTTCCCATCTGTCTGCTTCTAACAAATAAGACAAGCTAAGAAGCAGCTTGTTTCATGATTCTATACTCACTTCCAAGCTTTCTCTGCATAGACTTTCCTAGTTTGCCACTTTATCTTTTCTCCATCCCTCCAGCCAGTCATGAGATTCTACTCCCCATTCATACATGCATTTATTTATCCAGACTTTACTGAAGGCTTACTCTTTGAACTTTGCAAAATGCCAGTGAGGCAAAGCATGCATCCTGTACAGGAAAAACTCAGTCTAGAGGGGAGAGATAAGCAAACAAGTGATTACCACACCAGCTCCCCTGTTCATTCACCTTGCTCTGCTCTTCCCCAATGGACACCTCCAACAGAGGCTGCATCTCTGCAACAGGATGCAGTCCTTAAGCCCAGGATTGTGACATTGGCCAACTCTCTGTGGCAGGATCTAACAGAAACGTGTGATTTGAACACTCACAGAGGGAGCCATAGCTCTTGCTTCCAGTGTAAATCATGGTGTATTATACTTGATTTGTATTTTGCAATATCTAGAGGATACCTATTATAGTAGGGATTAAAAACTTAGATACCTATAGGGTTCAGGCAGTTAGCAAGAAAGAATGAAGAGTGAGGCCATCTGAGACAATAGAGAGTGGTGGGAACTGTGGCACATTGGAGAACAAACATCCCATCCAGAGGGATAAGTGCTTCACAGCTGCACTCCCTTTTAGCATGTGGAATGTGGTGCCAATGTGGCCCTATCTGATTTTGCAAGGAAAGCTGAAAAGCCAGTTTCTATGTGAATTCACTTGTTGGCATCTATTTACAGTTTTTTAAAAAACACTGTACTTACCAAACAGAATGTGTCTGCCTGTTGGGCTTGTGACTGCCACTTCATTTCCTCTCTTCTGATGAGAAGCATCTGTGCAGCACATTGCGTCAAAGACTCGATTTCCACTTTTGGCTTTTTACATAAAAGTCAATTGACCTTGACCTAGTTGCTCTCCTCTGTTTGGGCTCAGTTTGTTATCTGCATAGGAAGGGCAAGATCAGCCAATCTTGAAGGGCTTGAGTCTGAAAATCTGTGTTGTGGCACGGCTTGCCTATGTTCTCTCTGTTCACATCATTCTATCCCTCTCCTTTCCTTTGGCCAGTGGGCCACAGCTTGTTTTGGGTCAAAGGACTTTTTAAAAGGGGCTTCTATAAGGCATTGTAGAATCAGCTTGGGTATGGATTTGAATGTTTTGAAGTTATGGATTTAAAACTGGAAGAGGACTCAGATCTGCGGGTCCATCCCCTATAAGGTTAAGGAATGAATACAAGGCCACATAGACCTTAGGACTTTCTTGTAGAGGAAACTCTTTTCTTTTTATATCCAGTTGGTAGATGGTACTGTAGTAGCTAGGAAGACATAATTCACCATTACTACGAACTGTTACTTCCCTTCTTACCAGCGGGATTAGGTTTATAAAAGCAATGAAGATCTTTGATCCCATGAACTACCAGAGTCCCAAAGTGGACTGGTCATTGCTCATAGGATATTAGCAAATTAACCTTTGCACGATCCATACTAAGTTTAAGATCAGCCTTCTCCCTGATGTTTTTGTATTTAGCTACTATTTACATTAGAAAGTGGTTACTTAATTTGGTAATTTGGTTCAATAAACATTGCATAAGCTATCTTATTTTTTAAAAAAACAATTTAAGCTCCAGAAGTAACAGTCCCATAAAGGGTGCATGTTAGCAGTGCTCTTTGGGACATAAATTAAGGATGGCATTTTCCAGCTGTAGTTGGATATGTGTGTTGGTGTTTCAGCAAGCTGCATAATCAGCACAAAGCCCAGGTCATTAGATTCTGCTGGCAGGAATCAGAAAACCTGCAAATCACCAGGAGATCCCAGATATGCCTGGATAGAAGTGGTCCTTTGACATCTGACTGTCTGCTGAAGGCAGTGCTGTGGACCACAACCTCACATGTAGGAATGAGCAATTGGTTTCACTCCCTGGAGAGCATGAGGCCTTCAGCAGCACTTTCCTTGAAAGCAACACATCCCCCTATCCAGCACATCTGATTATGTCACTTTTCTCTTTTAAACCAACTAAAATCCCCCAATTCCACTTATAATAAGCTGTAGACTCCTTGCTCTGGAAAGCAAAGACCTCATGATCTTGCTCCCCCCTCATTTCCTGACCTAATCACTGTCACGCTTGACTTTGCTCACTCAGCTGCAGTCTTACTGAATTTATTGCTGATCCTCAAACACTCAGAGCTCTTCCCTGCCTCAGGGCCTCTGTGCTTGCTGTTTCTACTTCCTAGAAAGCTCTTTCCCCATATCTTCTCATCATGCTGTTGTGCTCCCTGCATCCTCAGAATGGTCCTCCTGAACCATCACAGATGATATACCCCTTCTGAGTTACTCTTTATATTCTTAGGTTGTTTTATTTTCAACATAGAACTTGTCATCATCTAGGAATTTATTGTTTATTCACTTGTATATTTTCTTATTGTCTGTCTCTCCCAATACAAAATAGGCTTCACTGGAGATCAAGATGTAGGGTATCCTGCCAGGTATTAGCTAGAGACCTTAGGCATGTTACATGGACTTTCTGATCCTTGGTTTCATCACGTGTAAAATGGAGCTATCAATAGAAGTCTGAATAATTGGGGTAATAGCTTCCTCTTAGGGATATTGAGGGGATTAAATTGACCCACAAGGAAGCCTTCCCCACACTGTGACCCAGTATCTTATCCCCCTTACAATGCTGGAGCTAAATAAATAAGCATCAACTCATTGTTCAGTCTATCAGTTAATCAATATTCTATTATTCAAAATGGTAATGCTAATTGTAGACACTTGTCATACATCATGTATGTAATTATTTTGTTTATGTGAGCTTTTATTCTGTAAGTATGTAAGTGTATAGGTTCATCTAACTGTATTGTGCCATTTACATATTCATGTATTTTTATATATTTGTTCTATTTACATGTTCATGTCTTTTTATATGATATTATTTATTGATCTTATATCTTGAAATATTCTTTGAAAAGCCATTTAGAATGCTAGTACCATATTGCACTGTACTTTATGGCCTTATTATTGGACATTTAGGTTGTTTTCTATTTTTCTACTCCATATAAATAACACTTACTCTGAAAATCTTTAAGCATAAACATTTTACTGCACCTTTTGTTATTTTCTTAGACTTGAAACCCAGTAAGTGGAAACCATTTGTTTGTTTAGCTTCTCTGTATCGGTGGGTCTATTCACTATGCACTATGGAGAATTCCAAACAAGTCCAGGACTCTTAAGGAAGTTGCTCTGGTTAAGGAGACAAAGTTCAGACACATGAAACAATAGGGAGCGACCACAGCCAGTGTAAAATTGACTAAAGGCTCAGTGATTTGGTTACAGACAAGGTGCTGGGAGAGTTTTGAGAATAGAAAATCACAGGGTAGCAGTAGCTGGAGAAGACCCACTGCTTGCAAGATTAGAGTTGACGTGGCCTGTGAGGATGGGTTGGGAAGAGAGAAGAAGGGATCGAGAGTGGGGAACGCACAAGGGAAGGGATGGAAACAGGAACAAGCCAGCCTCAAAGCAGTCTGCTCTGCAGTCGAGAGCACCAAGCAGATGAGGTGAGACAGCTTGGATGGAGCCAGGAGTGACAATGCCATCGTCATGTGCTGGGCACTTACACAGAGGCCAAGTATTATTACCATCATTGCAAGCACACAGGGGTCTGCTCGGAACAACAATATGAGCCATTTGTACAAAAGACCGAAACGGAATCCAAATAACAGGTCCAGCTGGTCCAAATCTTTCCCTCCCCCTGTAGTTAACATTTTACTACCCGACCGAGTAACTAATGAATCTGGCCCAGAGTAAATCCCCAGGCACAAATTCCTGCTTGGGCTCTGTGTCTAGACAGCCAGACCTGAGTGCAATTTGCACTTTGAGCATCCAGCACCTTATCACTTGCAAGAAATCAGGTTTAATAGGGAAGATGGGGAGGTGTTGCTTCCACCCCCTCCCTTTGGCACAGTGCCGGTGGAATGAGGATCCCCTCGGTAATGACTGCATTAGGAGACCGAAAGATCGTAATAGTGTGTGTTATGTGGCTCTGGTCATTCAGAAGAACTGATTGGGAGGCTTCTCCATCTCATTGCAGGCTGTGTTTTGTGAAGCTCAAGCTCCTAATGATAGCCATTGAGTACAAGTCTGCCAACCGAGAGAGCCGGTAAGTTTGCGGTGACCCAGCAGCCAGCTGACACTTTTGATGGTGAGAGTGCGTTCTGAGAACGGTCGGTTCACTTCTGCTTTCTTGTGCATTATTTATCTGCATGGAACCAGATGTAAAACCTCTCTGACCCTAGAGCACATTTCGAGGCATGCCCCATCAGACACTGCAGCTTCTATGCCAGACCAGCCTGGCACCCAAAGCCCTGCTGGGCATTCAGAGAGTGTTTCTCCAGGGAAGAGGGATGAGTCCTCAAAATATCTCCACCTGATCATGCCGACCTGGACTTTTCACCTTCTAAGTATTAAACCAGAACTTAAAACCCCTTTTTACTGCTGTGAGCAAAAAAGCAGGTGGACTCTGGCCTCCTTTACAGCAGCCTTGGGGTAGAGCTGTGAGGGGAGACACCAACTCTCTTGATAGCCAAATTACAAGCAGCCTATTGTGTACCATATGTGCTTCTCCCGGTGCAACCAAAATCCAGGTGGCAGAATATCAGCTTCATGTAAATGAGCCAGGAGAGTGGAGCTCAGAGGCAGGAGCTCTCTTTATTTATTTATTTTACACTTAATTATGTGCAAATCAGACTGATGAGGGACTGGGTCTGGTTGAAATAGATAACATCCCAGTCAATATGTGAGTTCACACTGGAGGTGGGAAGCATCGTGCTAACAAGAAATTTTGCTGATGGAGTACTGTACACCTTACAGATAAAATAGAGATGATTTTTTTGCTCCCCAGTTCTTGTCAATAGTTTTGGAAGAAAGAGAGCTCATTGAGAAATGCTCAAGCTTTTGTTCTCTGAAATGACACCCACAGTCTATTCCTCTATAGTTCATATTTTTGATCCTGCAGATGCCCAAATGTAGAGTGCAGATCCCCTCCAACAAACACCTTAATAACTGAGCAGAGTACAGGGGAAGACTAGACGTTTCCTTTTATCATCATTTAAGGAGTTTTCCTTATCTGGGTGAATAACCCAATACAGCCAGACTTTCAAGTGTATAGTCTGTGTCTATGACAAGACAAAACAAAAGAAAAGAAAACACTGGATTGTAAACAGATCAATCCAATGTTTTCTGTTACCTTAACTACCAGATCAGATTGCTCACAAAGTCAATCTGATCAAATGTTAAGCTATTTTGAAAACCCAAATCAACCAAAAGGAAGAAAAAAATGGTAGATTTGGTGGCCATATGTAGAACATGGCTGTAGCAGTTAACAAATATGTAGATAGATAAATATTTTCTTTTTCATGTTGGCAAAGTGAAGAATATTGTTTGCAAAAACTGACAGTCCTGATTATTAGTTGTTCAGCAGATGAGGTGGAATTTTCTGGGGTTACTGTTTACCCATGTTTTTGCCAATACTCACTTGTACCTGTGTAGGGGAACTGTATGTATCCTGGATTTTTGCAAATGATATTCCCCGTGTTGCGAAATCGCAAATCTTTGTGTAACTCAGTGTTCTCTATTTACTTTTGTGCATCTTTCAAAAAAAAATGTCATGATGTGGGTGATGCTGATGCTGCATAGTGTTTTTCGACCATTCTGGAATAATCTGACTGCAGGAGATTGCACCCTGAACCTTGAGCAGTTGTCTTTCACTTGTTGCCTTTTGGTTCCAAGGAGAGAAAAAGAGCGAAAGGCTGTTAATGGTTCATTGTGAACTCAATGTCACTATTCTAAGAAAACTAACTCAGAGCACTCCCTGAAGATGAAACTTTTCTTGGATAGGCCCTTCAATTGAGTCACAATTCTGAGATGTTTTCAACAAAGCCATATTTGTAGATATAGTTTTTAGTATATATATATATATATATATTTTTTTTTTCTTCAGAAAAGGGCAAAAAGGACTTGTTTGGCTTTGTTTGGGCTTTCTTTGTGCAGTTGCCAGCTTTAATTCTCAAATGTGGCTTGGTCTCAGTGTGGAAGCACATTGGTTCTTGTGGAAAAAGGTGTGTTTGAGGGAATGTGGATCATGCCTCTGAGAAAACACAGGACTTATCAAACACAATATCCACGTGAAAACACACATTTTTTAAAATCTTCCCTGAGATAATAATTTTAATGTTTTTCTTTATTTAAACATGTCCCACTTCTTTCCCTCTCACATTTTCTAACTGACTGGGTGTGAAAATTCAAAGGACCTGTTTCTCCTTCCCACCTTCTTTAACCTGTGTTTAACTGCCTTTGTTGTTGGTTTCACCCCATGATACTGTTTTCATGCTTTGCCAAAAAACCTTGTTTTCACATGCATCCTTCAAGTGATTTGAAACAAAGGTTTTATTCCTTCTTTCCTTCTGGTGTCAGTCGATTTATTATCAAATTGTTTGATTTTAAATTCTTTTCTTGTCGTTTTGCAGAAGCCGAAAGCGGTATGCACTCTTCGTTAACTTTTCTTCCAACCTCCACCCTCTATCTTCACTCCTAACCACAGGACTAACCATTTGCCAAGAATTCAAGAAGAGAGAGATTATATATATGTATATATAATCTCATTCCCTTGTCTGGTGTATCTATATTATATATGTGTGTGTGTATATATATATATATATATATATATATATATATATATATACACACACACCCCTCTCCAACTAGAGTACATAAATTGGAAGTAGCCTATTTCTGTTCCTGTTTGATTTGTTGGTTCTTTTGGATGACGCACTAACTTCTTTGCAGGAAACCTAAGAAAGGAAAGGCACACTCCTGTTTTCAGTCATGGCACCAATAATGGGAACAAATACTATTAAAGTTGAACAGGAGGATGCTTCTCTCCAGCCCTTTGTGTCTGTTTCTGTATTGTCCTGACGTGTCTTGATGTCCATTGCACTCTAGTGCCATTTTGTCTACATACCACTTCCACATTCCCAGTGACCTCCTCCTCCCTGTGTCGAGTTTCTTGTCTATAGAGCAGAATTCCTGTCCTTTTATCCACAAAACAGAGACCAAGCCCTTACACTTCTATTTTTCCTTACATTTATTTTGGTGATAACATTTTGAATATTTTATTTCTTGGGCAGTGCTCAGTATAGTCTTAGAACACTGCTATTAAATTGCCAGATTATCACACTTGATTTACAGAGTTAGTACTGTTTATTGAGACAGACTCATGGCTTTTTTTTCCTAGTGTGTTTGGGCATATTTCTTAATATGAAGTTTCTCAATTTTCACCATGTGATTTCACCCTGTTTTGCTGCTGTTTTACATTGCATGAAGCATGACTAAATCATCATCAATGGCATTTAAAAAAAAACTTTTGGGTTAATAGTTCCAGGATAGCTTTTCAATAATGTGTTATCTAAGACAATATTGTTGAAAACATACTGTTGAGATGCCTACTTGTTCATCTTTTCAAGTTACTTTTCTCTGTGATTGTAATCACTGTCATGTGTTTGTGTTTGTAATTGTGTGTGTGTGTGTGTCTGTGCGTGTGTATTTGTCTGTATCTTTTTCCAAAATCTGATTCTTCTGTTGTTTTTTTGAGTACATGTGTATAAATAGAGGTGGCTTCCTGTCAGTTTGGTATTATTGATATGATCCAACTGCAAGAAGTTACTGCAACACTTTGCATCTTAAAGGTCCACAGTGGTTGCACCTCTGCTGTTGGCTTTTGGCCTTTGAGTCCTTTTATCTTGTGGTGAAGGCATGTTGTGATGTAGGCATGACTTGTCCTAAGTATACCAGAAAATGATTTGGCTTGCTCCCAGAACCAAATATCCAGCATTATCCTTTCTAGATCACCTCTCTGTTCCCCATCCCATATGGCTAATATTTTTTTGTATGTACGAAATATATTTGAAAATGCCATTTCTAAAGTTACTGAGATGGATGCAGGCTGAGTAAGTCCTCACCAGTATCTCTGGTGGACCACAGTGGCAGTCATTTGAGTCTGACCAACTGGGAGCAATCTTTATCATGCTGTCTGTGTGTAAGTGAACTGGGCTTAAGTATATTGACATATGAAATACACAACTGTGTCTCCAATGGTATCCTAAAGTAAAAGTGTGTGTGTCTAGTTGTGTGGGACTCCAGCAGCAGCATGTATTTGAAAGCCCAGAAAAAATGAAAAGTTCCAGAAAGGTGATAAGATTTGAGATGTGGGGTTTCTCTGAACTGTGCCTGCACATAGCCTGTAAACTACAAATGCAGTCATACTCTCTGAGAGGGGACACGGATTGGTTCAAACAAAGTTCCAACTGAGAGTCATTGTATATGAACTTGTGTGATCAAAGAAGCCTCTTCTCAATGGCATGATTCATCTGGGCATAGCATGAATGGAAACCCTAAATGGTTCTTATTTGCTTGCTTTAGTTAATGAAGTCCCATTAGCTTGCTAGACACAAATATAATTACTACGTTATCAAGCACAAAGTATGTTCTCATATAAGTCATGCTATTTTTTAAAAATTGCCTGAGGAATGGTACATTACACCTACCAAAAATGAAAGGGAGAGGAGAGAAATATATATGTATCATATTTACCCATAATGGATAGAAGTTTCCTTAAACAATATCTGTTTCACTTGAATTACGAATCATAGGTTGTCTTCAGAAACAGGAAACAAGTAAAGTTTACAATGATTGAAGACAAAACTAGATGTCCCCCAGTTATGCACAAGTGGTGGAGAAAGGAATGCATTACTTTCCTCCATCAAGCTGCAGTCTTCCAACCTGACCAGTGTTTAGCGAGAGATACCCAATGAAATGTGATACAACTTGAGACGCGGTGCTCCTCTCATGGAGGGACCTGATAGAGGCATTTCCCTGCGGGACTGAGCCCCGCTAGCCAATTGCACGTAGATGTGTTTTATGTCTAGGAACCCATATTTCTCTTTGAAGTTTTGCTTTCAATGTTGAAATCAATTGCCCCAACTTTGCAAGTGGCAGGCTGTTTACATATTGGGATATTTACATATTCATACTTAACACATCTGAGAGATTGCTAGATCATTGGCCAATCCCCTAGCCCTAGCAGAGGTGTGGTCACTCCTTTAATCGGCCTGACTGATGAGAATTGTAGCTTGTTCTTTGAAAGAAAACTGTGACCTCCTTTCCACTTATTTGTGAAAAAAAGGAAAACTTATGGAACTGAGGCTTTAAAAACTTATTTTTTTTATTCATTCAACAAATAGTTGAAATGTGCCTGTTGCGTGCAAGGCTCTAAGCCTGCTACTCCAGGAAACTCAAAGGTAAATAGAATGTGATCATGTTTTGTACCCCTCTACTCAACTGTGGGTTCCTTACAGAAAATACGTATTTGCTCCATGTAGGAGGTGAGTAAACAAAGAATAAGTCGAGACTTAAAACTAGTCTGAGAGCAAAAGAAACAGAGACAGCAAGGGACCACACCAGCCCCGTGCTTCCAGCTGTCACTGGATGTTTTCTGTTGAAACCAGTAAGGTCAAAGAAGAAAGGATAATTTATATGTTCCTTGAAATGAGGGAAAGTCCACCTCTGCCAACATGTCCTTGTTGGAATTCTGTTAATGGATATATGGGCTTTTTCTCTTAGAGATTTTCCTGATTCTTCACATGACACATGTTGAAGTTTATCTCTGATAAACTAGTGAATTATATAAAGTTGGAGCTAGAGAACTGATTCAGAGTGGCGCACAGAGAGAGAGACTTTTGGCAGTCAGTAGAACAAAACAAACTTAACATTGGATACTCTCCTAAAGAGATCAGAGATCCTTGGAAAAATTTATGTGTTCCTATTAGAAGGTCAATAACGAATTCTAAAGATAGTAGGCAAAAGGGGGAGAAGGTTATCACTATCCAGAATCCTTGTCTTTTTATATTTTGAAGAAGACGGGGATTAGCATTTTATTTAAACTTTCTAGATTTGGAATGTGTATAGAAGACTTAATGTCGAAAATATTAAAAACAAAAACAAAAACCAGTAATGTAGTTTCTGGTGCTTCAGCGCCAAGAGCATCTTTATGTATCTAGATTTCTTTCTTTCATTATTTCAAGGACTGGATCCATTCTTTAGATTCCCACCCAGAAGGCTGCCTTAGCCTTAGCTTAGTATCTGCAAATGGTTCTGCCTTACACCTCACATGGGGATGATTTAAACCCCCTCACCCCTGTTCACAGGGAATAAGAGGGCATCCTGGAATCCACATGATCTGTGAGGTAATTAGAGATGCTTTCGATTCCTTACACAATCAGCCATAGATTTAAGGAACACAGGATACTTCACTGTGCAGACAAAAGTCAGTCTAAATTAGCCCATCACCAGATATTGTGCAGGGATAAAATGCTTTGGATTTCCTTGCAGTCAGTGGAAAAGTCTTTCAATGCCAATAGGGCACCTCCTGGGTCATTTATTAGCAGCAGGGACAAAGTGGAGGGTGATGGTGCTGTGAGGATTTTTTTACCTCTCAGTTTTATAATCACCTAGCTCACTGAGAGTAGCAACTAAGAATTTAAGACCTTCTATGTGTCAGTCATGTAGCACATAGTACATACTTTAACTCTCTTAGAGGCATTGTAAGCTAGCGATTATTCACCCATTTTACAGATGAGAAGTGTGAGGCTTACCTGCATTTGCAAAGCCAGGACCCATTTTACAGATGAGAAGTGTGAGGCTTACCTGCATTTGCAAAGCCAGTGCATGGAATTTTTTGTGTATGTCCTTATACATTATTCTGTAGCGTACAGTTCTTTACCCTATAATTTCATCTCATTAATGGGCAAGGTATTTTGATAAGAAGACTGTATTATATTCCATGGGGTCAGCTAGAGAAAATCTGTGATAACTTTGTTGAAAATGAAATACACTTTGGATTTTTTTTTGCAAGAATTAAAAAAAGGAACAATAACCCACATGCATTGAGCCTTCTATACATCATCTCTCTTAATTCTCTAAAGATTATTGTTACCATTATCCACCTCTTGTAGGTAAGAAAGTTGAGTTCTAGGGATATTTAGTAACTGGCCCAAAGTCAAACAGCTATTAAGTGGTAGTGTTGGAATTTGGACCCAAATTCTGATTGCAGAGCCAGGGCATGTAAAAACTGCCTTGCAGGAAAGGAGGTTAAAAAAATGTGCAAAATTTATAATCCTGCCTTTCTAAAACATCATACTGAATTGGCTTTGAAAGATAAATTCATCTAAACTGTATGAGCTCTAACACTTCACCCTCGTGATTGCATGAAGTCAGAGGGCTTGTTATACCCATGTGAAGAGTTGGCGGAGGGGTCATTAGGAGGTGCTTATGGAGAGCCGCTGCTCAGTGCAGGCCGTGCTATTAGTGTGGACTGCTGCTGTCTGATTTGGGAGGAATCTCACTGCTGCCTGTGGTTGTAGGGCAGAACAGTTAAATCTTCATAGCCTTTTGGTATTATTGAGTGTTAATAATAGTCATGACACAAGTACAGTTTCCTCCTGTCAGGTATTGTTATAAGTAATGGTAGATGTTCTTGTGACCACAAAAAATTATTTTGCAATAATGATCTGCTCGGAGGTCTCCCAACCAGGTGAACAAAGGTTCACCTGGGTCCTTCCTGTATGACTACAGACGTATCACTTCATGACCACAACACTTCTCTGGAATGGTTTATCAGTAGGAAAAAAGATTATGTGTTAATTACCATCCTCTATATTTTGATTGTTTGGGGCAGCTGAGAACTTCCTTTAGACTGATTCCAAATATCTATTACCTTATTAAGCAACATCTTTTCAGAACAAGGAATACCTCTGTTGTATCTGTTGTTTTATTCAGAATCCCTGAATTCAGTATCCATTAAGCCTGAAGTCTTTTCTCAGTCTCTGCATCAGACAATCTTGTATTCTGCTTTTGATCTGCAGAAAATTAAACTTGTTTGTTTCATCCATTTATTAGATTAGGATACATTTATCTCTTCTGTCAGTCCAAACACAACTTGGTCCGCTAATCTATTTATGCCACTTTGAAATAGGACAATGTATATTTAGGTTCCCACTTCTCTGCAGGGCAAGTTTTTTTAAGGGGAGGTTTGCATTTGTTTTCTCAATTTGCCTCAATTAGGACATGCTAGACACACATCTTATTCAAACACCCTGTACGTTTTTATAAACAGCAGACTGGAATTGTTAAGTATATCCAACTGCTGACTTAAAAAAAAAAACTGTTTGGGTAAATCCAATTCTTCCTATAAAGGCTGTACATGGAATCAATTTCCATGTCCTTATCAATGTCATGAAGACGTTCAGCTTGCTTCCGCATTGGTTACGGGTGTCTTGTACCATTCCCTGCGGTAATATGTGGTGTGTGTACATGATGTTTATGTATATCTATAGGGGTCCCATTAATGCTCTGTCATTTAATGGAAAATTGTTGTAGCAATAGCTTCATCAGGCCAATAATGCTTCCGTGTTGACCACCAATAGCAGTTTCAAAAGGAATTTATTCTGATGGACTTTGCTTCAAATCATGTGCCCATGATGGCAGCTAGACTGCTCCATTATATAAACCCAGGCCCTAATACCTTGATTTGCTTTGATTTCCTCAACTGGGAGCATGCCAGCCTGGGAAGTAAGCAGTAGTGCTTAATGATGGCATTATCCAACTAAATGTATGGGGCAGTGGACATTGGACTCTGGACAAAATCTTTGGGGAAAGCTTTAGACTAGTGGGCCCCCTATAAACACAACAGTATGGTGTAGCCTTCAAGGTTTTATTCAGAACATGACCTCACAAATGTATCTTCTCTGTTTGTTTTTGTTCACTGAGCAGTATATTAATTAATCCTGGAAACCATCTTAAGATCCAAGAAGGTACTTTAGGATTTTTCATCGCAAGTGATGCCAAAGAAGTTAAAAGGTAAGAGTTTATTTTCAACTGGCTTTCTTTCTGGCCCGGCTGTAGACACCTTGACCCACGGAAGTAGGCAGGCTTCCATAACCCCAAAACTCCTTAACATGTCTATGGCCATCAACTGGTGTAAGAAAAACTTCCACGGACTCCAGTTCATGTAGTGAATTCCACATCTTTGAATGAGAATAATAAAATTTTAGAACTAGGAAGCCTAGTTACCTGCTCATTTATTTTGTGAGGGAGAAAATGGGGGCTCAGAGAGCTGAATGACTGCTCGAGGTCATCCTGATTCCTGATGATTCAGAACAACATAACAAGACAACTGGCTCCTTATCTAGTGCTCTTTACTTAATATTATCTGGGAAATTTACTTGAGAATTATCAGTTTTCTACTACTCTCCCTGCCAAATAGAATTTCAAAAGGTTGGGATTAATTTCAGATGGAATATGAAACTGGCTCTATTTCTATTTGTGGCCTCCTAGGTAAGTGGCTGAAGTTGTCAGCTTCAATTGTTAAGCCACTGTAAGTGCAGCACAGGATTTCACTGGCCTACATGTTTCATGACATTTTTATTCGTATCCTTAAACCTGTTTAAGCAGCCTAGGAATTCACAGGGCCCTTTGCAGCACAACATGGAATATTATTGTATTTGATTCTATCTTATGAACTTGGAGAAATTTACTAGCAGAAAATGTGATGCAAATGTTCAGACAGGTCATTCAGCTCAACAGTAATATTGCATAAAATATTTTAAGTACATTATTAATTGTGAAGGTCTATCATTAGTTATATAAGCCTATTGTCTTCATTGAATGAGTTCCTAGTCAAAGCCAGGCCTGTTCTAGGTGTGCTACATTCTTTATTGCTGCTCTTCAAAATAACCCTGGAAGGTAAGTCTTCTCAAACACTCAGAGCTTTGGTTTCCTCATCTGTAAAATCGAGATAAGTGATTTGTCCAAGGCCATGAGGCACATAAGTAAGTGGTGGAGCCCAGAGTGGAACTGGTCTTTCCTTTTCTAAAATCCACTCTCTTTCTACCAAATTTAATAATACTACCACATTCTTACAGAGGAGGGTTTATTACACCCCAGCACTATTCTAGGTACTAGGTTCTCTGTATCTAAAACTTGTTAAACTCTCACGCAACCCCATGAGATAGGTAGCATTACTCTTTCCCACTTTACATATGAGGAAACTGAGGCACAACTTGGCTAACTAACTTGCCCAAAGCCATACTGCTAGTGAGGAATAAAGCCAGGAAGTTGGAGCTTGCACTCTTAATTATTTGCCTAGGTTAAGCCTGATACGCTGAGCACAGAACGATGACATGTGACCGTGGATACTTAGGGTCCTCTTCCTCCCCATCCACTCTAGCAAACTAAGCCATACTGGCTACAGAAGCTTTTGGGAAAAAGAAAACATGGGCTGTTGGAAGGAAAAAGAATTCTTAAACTGAGTGCTCTAATAACTTAAATTTATTTCTGCAAATTGGGGAAAGATTGCCATGATTGAGTTGTGGGGGAAAAATACCTCCCTACTCAGTTCACAGAATCTCCCGGTTGTTCAAGAGTATCCTGAGAACTGGGTACACCTGAGAAGGGAAATTAGGATTAATGGGACTGAACCTTCCCTCTCCCTGTGCTCCAATCAGGTCTCCTGGAGAAGAAGCTTGTGCCCTTGTCCAGACTGTGAGACACAAAAGCTTGAAACAGCATCTCAGCACCAAGTACAGGAGGCTGGGGAGCACAGGAGAACCATATATCACGTATACCTCCCAGATAGCAAATATAACATGAAACTCCCATTTGTGTAATTCTATTTCCTATTGCATCTCTCACTAATGAATGTCACAAATATCAGGCCGTCCAAAAAACAAATTACCTCCTATATTAGGGAGTGCAATATGTCTCATTTCAGTGCTTTATGGTATTCACAAATACATGCTGACACAATCAGCTACAACACCAGGCTGTAATTTTCCATGGCATGTGATGTGTCAAAGCAAATGCTGTCAGTTAGGGGATCTCAAATAGATGAAGACTGCAAAAAACCACAGAAAGGACATTGGAGATTTGAATGAAACTAAACAAGCTTTGTAAAAATGGAAAAGTAGATTATGATGATCTCGTATCGAGTTTGCACCCTCCACTGCAAAAAAGCAACAAAAGAAGTTAATGAATTCTAGCTTGTAGAAACCTTCAGATGCAGTGTTTTAGTAAATGAGGAGTGAAACCATCCCACTGCAGTCTTAAGAAGGTCACTTGAGGATGGGCATTTGGGTACTTGCTCTTTCCTCCTTGCCACCAAATATTTTCCTTTTAAAATAACGTTGGAACATAGACTTTAATATAGGAGTCACAAAACGGTGGCTCAGTGACTCAGTTTGGCTTGCACATATGATCCTTTTGAGTCACAATTTTAAAATACAAATGAGTTGCCAAGGTGAAAAAAGTTACGAGCTTTTATATAAAAATCCTTATTACTCATTTCTCCTGAAAAATTGGCAGACCCAACAATACCGGGAAGCAGTCTCAAACTCACTCATTCATTCGCCCATCAAATGTGTATAAGTCGTTTACATTTAGAAGGCTCTATACAAGGCACCAGGGAAACAGTGGTGAAAAATGAACAATGGGGAGAAGTCCCAACTCTCGTGGGGCTCATATTCTAGGCAGGAAAGAATTACAGTTTTTTAAAAAATAATTAGTGGTAAAAGAATTAATGCAACTGGGTCACTGATTTGGGTTGGGTATAAGTGAAAGCTTCTCAGAGGGGTTGGTATTTGAGCAGAGATTGAGATGAAGGGAAATAATCCATCAGGCAGGGATCAGATAGGAAGAAGAGATGGGCTGGGAAGAAGTTCATTGTGGATAGGGACCCCAAGAAGGAAAGTGCGGCTAGGGAATAGATTTGGGGAGAGTGGTATGAGATGAGGTTAGAGAGAGGCAGAGGCTGGCTCCTAAAGCACTTTATAGAAAGGTTGGATCTGTTATAAAATGGAAGTCATTGATGGCTTTAAGCTGATCTGATGTATATTTTGAAAAGGTCATTCTTCCTGCATTGTAGAGAATGAGAGGAATGGGGCAGGAGAAGAGGTGAGAGACTCAGCGCCTATTGCATAGTTTAGGTGAGAGATGATGGCAGCTTGGACTGACCCCTGAGTGGAGGTGGAGAGAGGTGGGTTCCCATTCAGACTGTATTTGGGAGAGTGTGCAGAACCCCCCAATGAATTGGGCAGAAGTGAGGAAAAAAGAGGAATGAAGGATGAAGGCTAGAGTCAGGGCTTAGATTGTGTTGATCTTAACCAAGATGAGGGATACTAGAGAAGGAGCAAGTTTTGGGTAGTAGGAAGTTAAGCATTCTATCTGGGCTATGTTAGGTAGGAGATGTGTACTAAACATACACACAGTGATATCATAAGGCGGTTGGATCTTAGAGTCTGGAGTTCTGGGGATAAGTGTGAATTGGAGATGAATATGTAAATGTGGGTGCTGTTTCTTGTCCTGGCAAGAAACAGATGACAAACTTAAATGGGAAAAAGGAGGAGAGTTTTATGAAGAGACTGTAAAGTTATGGGCAAATAGTAAAGGAAAACCAACAAGGGATGGCCAAGCACTGCAGAGCTAGCAAGAAAGGGGAAGCCACCTTCACCCTAGATCTGTGGGGTCAAGGGGAAGGAGGGCTATCAGGAGCTGGAGAGAGAGGCTGTCGTGTGCCATTTCATAGACCTGTACAGGAGGGCACCCGGGGGGTCAAGGTGGTGACCTCATCCCCCCTCACCCTAGTCTCCTGCTGACTCCTTCCACTGGACACGCAGGCCAGGAAACCAGAGGACAAGGAGACCATACAGGCCAGCCTTGCAGGACACAAAGCTGGTCTGATGATGGGTGAAGCAAGATCACCAGCTGAAGGCTGCTTGTGGGAGGGGTACGGTGAGCTGGAGCAAGTGGAGAGGAGAGGAGAGAGAGCTGTTTTGGAGTGTGAGAAAGCAAGCAACAGGAGAATGGGGTAGATCCCAAAGAGTGGAAAAGGCCCCTGAAATCCATGGTTGTGGGTTTAAAGTGAGGTCAGCATGTTTTCTTTCCCAGCGAAACTCCGTTGCTCAGGTGCAGGTGTGCAGTAAGGGAGGGGCTTTGCGAGGTGAGCATGACAGAGGCAAAGATGGGTGGGGAAGAGAATGATTCTTGCAAAGAAATGCCACTTGGCAGAGGTCAGCTGAGCTTAGATACTCTGCCTGCTCCAGATCACCATGGACACCCCCGACCCTTGCCTCATTTCACTTATTAACCTTAATTGCCTAGCCTTGGAGGACATTATGCTTAGTGAAATAAGCCAGGCAAACATCGCATGTTCTTATTTACATGTGGAACCTACAAAAGTTAAACTCATAGAAGCAGAAAGTGGAATGGTGGTTAACAGGGGCTGGGGTTGGGAGGGATTGGGGAGATGTCCATCTAAAACATGAAATTTCAGTTAGACAGGTGGAATAAGTTCAAGAAATCTATTGTTCAATGTGGTGACTATAGTTAAAAATGAATTATATACCAGAAAATTGCAAAGACAGATTTTTTTTTTTTTTTTTTTGAGACAATGTCTTGCTCTATTGCCCAGGCTCCCAGGCTGGAGTGCAGTGGCACAATCTCGGCTCACTGCAACCTCCACCTCCTGGATTCAAGCGATTCTCCTGCCTCAGCCTCCCAAGGAGCTGGGATTACAGGTGCATGCCACCATGACTGGCTAATTTTTTTATTTTTAGTAGAGACAGGGTTTCACCATGTTGGCCAGGCTGGTCTCAAACTCCTGGCCTCGTGATCTATCCACATCAGCCTCCCAAAGTGTTGGATTACAGGCGTCAGCCGCCACACCCAGCCAAGACAGTAGATTTTAAGTGTTCGTACCACAAAAGGTGTGCTTCAGTTTCTTTATCTGTATAATGTATATGTTAATTAGCTTGATTCAACTATTCCACATTGTATATGTATTTCAATGTGTTGCATACCACACATATAATACAATTATTATTTGTCAATTAAAAATAAAAATTAAATTAAAAAAGAATCCAACTTTAGTTCATGAAGTAATCAAACTTTATCTTTTCACAAGTCTATTCAGGCTTATTATCATGTCATCATCTCTTTAGTATAGACCTTGGGCTCTGGTGCCAGGCTATGTGAATTCAATCTCAGCTTTGGTACTTTTAGCTGTGTGGCCTTGGGCAGGTCACTTAACTTCTCTGTGCTTCAGTTTCCTTATCTGTAAAATAGAAATAATAATCATACCTCCTTCAAAGGGTTGTTTGAGGATCAAATATGTTTAATGCTTATAAAATACTTAGAACCACACCTGACATGTAGTCTGTTCTCTATAGATGTTAGCTATATGATTGTTACCGTTATTATCATTATGTGTTAAGAGCAACAAAGGGGGAGGGAAAATGGCCAAAGGAAGTGGACGCAGAGTTACTTTCCCCAACTTGGATGCTTTCTACTTTCCTGTTCTTCCTGTGCCAAGGCAGATTGATTGGGTTCTTAGCCACATTGCCACTCAGGGTCAACAGTCAGCTAGGATTTCTTTTTATTTTTTTTTTAATTTTTTTGAGACATAGATGACAGCTGGCATTTAAAGAAAGAGTGGAGAATTTGCTAGGATAGAGCAAGCATTGGACTTGGATTCAGAAGTCCTGGGGCTGGCTGAATCCCAGCATGGAATGACTGGGCAGTCCACGACAACCTCCTCAGTTTACAGATGAGGACACTGAGTCCCAGAGATTTAGGCTGCAGGATCTCCAAGACCTCGTGTGGATCCAAAAGTCTTAACATTGGTTTCCAATGAGTGCCAATTATAAATCAAGTCCTGTGAAAACATAAAAAGGAACCTAAGAATCAAATGGTCAAGAATTGTGTTTATTTCTGCAGCCCTGGTCAAGAAAAGGCCATGTTCATAGCTGGCATTCAGTTTCCTGTTGGGAGTGGTAAAGGCAACAAGCCAGGGATTTTGTTAGTTCTTGGATCCAGAAGGTTGTAGGGTTGTTCCAGTGAATTTTATCACCTCCCCAGTACTGAAAGGGCACAGGCCTCTTGTGCTGTTCTAGGCACTGTGATTTCAAATAGTGCTTGAATGATCTTATTTTTCTTATCCAGAATATCTTTGACACAGCTAATGCACTGTGGAATCACCTATGGACATTCAAGTCAGATTAGGGGATTTTCTTTTTGAGTGCTTCATCTCATTCTCCTTCTACCTACCTATTGCTTCAATAAGCTCTACTCACCCCCTTCCAGTGGTCAGCTGAGCTTTGCTCCATAGTGAGAAGAAAACCATCATTTAGTGCATGTTCTCAGGGCTGGATAGCATGGGAATTGGTCCAGTCAGCTTTGGAGTAAAATAAGCTGTGAAACTCCAGAGGGGGTTTGACAGAGGAACCCACTGACTCGTGGCTTTCGTTTTTCCCTCTCTGCAGACCTCCTCAACTCTGTCTCCCTTTGGCTGCCCAGAAAAGGTGCTTTCAGAGTGACAAGCTTGATATTTTTATTTGACTGAGAAACGACATACTTCTGCCCCCTCAAATATATATTTGACCAGACTGTGGGAATTTTGGTGTTGTATTTAACTTCCCCACCAAGGGCCCAGGGCTCATTGCCCACATGTCCCCACGAGTAGCATCAAAGGCTGTTCTCAAAAATGAAAGACGAATGAGCAGACACAGTGTGTCACATCAGCAACTTTTTTCCCAGTTTCTTTGTAAATGGAAGTTTATGAAAAGGAGCACTAACTCAAATCACAGAATCCTGTGTTTGAAATAAATGGTCTTGCAACAAACATTTCCGTCTGCAAATGTCTAAACCTTTCAAAAGATTAAAGGAAATTAATGCTGGCGTGTTTCATTAATTTGGCACCACCGTGGAGGAAATGTGGTACTCATTTCATTTGGGTGGATTATGAAACGTGTCAGTTTTTCCATTCTCTTTCTCCAGGGCATTTTTTTACTGCAAGGCCTGTCATGATGACATCACAGATCCCAAAAGAATAAAAAAATGTGGCTGCAAACGGCGTAAGTAGTGTTTCTCTCCCTGTCCCCTCCCTTTCTCATTCCTATTCCCCAAATTCCTTTTCCTTCCCTTTTCTTATTAGAGAAACACTAAACATCGAGAGTTTTCTTGAGTATGTTTATGTTTCACCCAGCAGTTTAAAGAAATATGAAATAAATACCTGTCCTTGCTTTGTTAGAGCAGAGGATGAAAAATCACCACCATCAACACCTAGGAATGAAACCTGTGCCTAGTCCCTGCTTCTTTACTCTAGAGGTGCCTCAGTAGATGTGTCCAGTCTAACAGAGACAAGTATGATGTATAATAAGGAGGAGAACTAAAGCCACAGAGCACAAAGTGTTTTTGTATCGTGATTTCCAGTGGATTGGGGGTCCCTGAGTATATAGGGTTGAGAGAGAAACTAAATCTGAGGACTTGGTCTCCAAAATGGGAGTTGACTCTTTCCATTTGGAATTCCTGCTAGTTTTAATACCACAGGCCAGAGTTGGCAACTGTGATACCTTCAGACTGCCCCCAAGAAAAGAACTTTCCACTGCCAAAGGGCTTCAGTTGCCATCGTCCAAAGGTCGACCTCAAGCATCATCGCTCTTTGGGGTAGACTAGACTGGGCTCAGTTGTTTCTGGCATATTCTGTCTCAAGTCCCTTCTAAAGCAGTTTGCCACTGGGGCCTCTTGAGAAAGATATAGTGAGTCCAGAACGTGGAATTGTGAGCTCCTGAGATACCATGACTTAAGTGGTCTTTGCTTTGAGAAGGTTGTGCCTTTTGCAGTAATTATGCTGTATTGCCTAATAGAAATTGTTCTCAACCCTTGAAAAACAAACAAAAAATGATGCCATCCTTCCTATGGTGAGTTAGTCTTTTAAAAGCTCCTTATAATCATTGCTTTGATTCTCACCCTAACCCCATGTAATTGGCAGGGGTGTTATTAATCCCATTTTACAAAAAGAGGAAACTAAGCTTCCAAGTTTGAGAGGATGAGATTGCTGACAGTCACACAGCCAACATACAGGGATTTGGGCACACCTGAAGGCCTCTATTGATTCTCTGGGTGCTCTAACATTTTTTTGCAGAAGGGAAAGGCAATGTGGGCAGTCTTGGGTCTGATGAGTAAGAACAATTATGAAAGAGTACCCCATAAAATCCTTGTTCACAAGCAGAAGCCAGACAGAAGAGCACCATTCCTAAAGTATGCCACTGAAGGAAGGACCTTTTTCATTGTACTCCTAGAGTGGGGTACAGAAAATGTAGAACCAGTCATCTATAAATATCACTCTGCTGGAGGGTAAAGAAGTTCCTCAACCCATGGGGAAAATTCCCTTGGGGTGCACTCTTGGTCTAGAGAAGTTTCTGCAGAAATCCCCTCAGGGTGGGGCAGCTTAGGACCATGGGTTTCCTCCCCCTGTTTCCACTGACTTAATACAGCTGGTCCCCTTCCCCCAGACTCTTATCGAGATGAGTATTTATTGATATCTCAAAACAAGAGCCTCTAATTTCTTGGGACAAGAATTCCCCGATTCTGACAACCTACCGAGAAGAGCATCTAAGAGAGAACAAGGCCTAGAATGAACCTCACTCCCCATTCAACCCCCACAGACCCCATGAATCCAAAGACCTTCTTCACCAGGCAGTCCATCCCAGCCATGCTTAGTTGGTTGTGGACACAGCAGCACGGATGAGTTGACCAGACATCTCCTGAATCATTTCAATCAGAAGGAGCACAGCAGTCTGAGGGTTGAGGGAAATAAGAGAGAACAACAAATACAAGAGGTGAACACTTCTGTAAAGAAACGCTTGTAGTGAGGGGTTGGGAAAGGGAGGAAAGGTGAGGCCAATAACCCCTGACAGGATATTTGCCAGACCCTCATCCCACAGAGTATCAAGGAAATAGCAAGACTGTGATTCACATATTGATTAGCCGTTCACATATTTTTGAGTATCTTCTTTGGATGAGCTGCTATTTTTGGTTTCAGGGATGGAGTGGTCAACAAGGTAAAGTCCCTGCCCTCCTGAATCCTTTACTCTGGTGAATGGAGACAAACCATGATGATGTAAATAAATAAATTCAGAGATAGCCAGTGCTAAGAAGAGAGAAGAGACTGCCTGAGGGTTGAGGAATCCTGCAGTGGTGCTACTTTATAGCTTGGAAGGTCAGGAAGGCCTCAGTCAGGGGTGATGTTGAGGCCAAGACCCAATCCAGATAGGGAGACGAGCAAAGGTCAAGGTCAGGAGGCAGGAATAAGTTTGTGGTGTTTGAAGGATGGAAGAAAGGCCAGTGGCACTGGGGAAAGGGTAGTATGAGATGAGATTAGAGACGGAGACAGGGGACGTGGTAAGAAGTGTGGGTTTTAGTCCTATATTAGGAAGCCTTTGGAAGATTTTAAGTGAGGAAATGTCATCATTAGTTCTTAGTTTAAAAGATGTCCCTGGTGTCTGGATGGAGAGCATTCTCGGGAGGAAGGAGTGGAAGTGGAAGGATGAAGTGAGAACTTCTCTGACTCTTGCTCTGACATTGGAATGTCCCTCATAGGACGCCATAGTGGAACACAGCAGACTAAATTGTCCCTAGAAATAAGAAATAAGGATTTGGCCTCTAGGGTATTTTTCCACCTTGGTTCCAGACAGGTAAACAGCAGCAGGCTTTAGCTTCATCCTGGAGAGAGAGGCCCATAATTGTTTGAAATAATTTTCTTCTCTTCATTTCCTTTAAAGTTGGTGGAGCTAGTGAGGTATATAATCTCCCATTATGCACTGCACCAATTGCTGCAAAAGGCCTGCCTCTACAAAGCCAAGCCAGTGTAACAAGGGCCTCGCTTCCTTCTCTGTACATCCCTGTGCCTCCTCCCCCAACCTCAGCTTCTTCATCTCACAAAGGCCTTTGGCTATGTAACAATCAGAATTGTCTGAATATTGCTCCTACTAATTAAAAGGCCATAGAACAGAGGGCAGGATGCAGATGTGTGTGTGAGGTGAGGGGGTGGTTAGAATAAAATGAATTATTAAAAATAAACCTCCCCATGTAGGTCAGGCAAGTGAGGAAATTGGAGAAGATGTTTTAGTTGCAAAGAAACTTTAATTAGAAGAAACTAGGATTATTAGTAACACACTGGGGGGACCCCCATGCCTTCGAACAGACATTGCTTGGTTCCCTCTCTAAGTTGGAGAAGACAGCTGACCCACATACTCATCTGTCCAAACGTGTTAGTCCAGGTATTAATAATTCACCCTGGAATGGTAGATCCCATGAGGGCAGAGCTCATGACAGTCACTGGCCCTTACCCATAGCTTCCTAACCCTCCTTCCCCAACCCAGCCTTCCCCTTTCACTTCCACCCCTAGCTCCTCATTCACTTTCATTCAGTAACCTTCAACATTTCACGTCATCTCATCCGGAGAAATATCAGGTGCGGACATTCCATTTCTGGAAATCCTGTGATAGTATAGTTTAACGTTTGCATTTCTTTCCATTTCTTCATAGCTCTCTATCAAGGAAAAGAGTCAAATTCAGCTGTCTGGCCGAGGAGCAAGTTCTCAGGGTCTACTATTTACTCATTTTCTTTTTCTATATAACAAACCTTGTCTAATGATTTACATTTCTTCCCCCAGACTCTAAAAGTTTGCCAAAGTGTGGACTCCTAGTGGACAAGTAATGTCTAGTTTGATGTGTTTGAAGGAATTTTCTTTGACTTCAAATCATTGACATATCTTTGATTTATTTTTTTTCTCTTTGCTGCCTTGGAATACGGCCCCTACTCTATTTTAACTGCACACTGGTAGTGATATATTGTGAGTAAAACGGGTTCCCAGCAGCCCGGAGTCCAGTTCCCCCTGTCTTTCTCTAGAAGAGATACTCTTTTAATTTTCTGTACAGTTTTAGTTTCCCTTTTACTTTTGGTATTTATGTTGCATGTAGCAGTGACATCATGCCCCAACTCCTTCATCCCCCAATGCAGTCTACAGAGTAGCCTGGAGCCAGAGAGTCCCCAGGGAGCCTGCTCTCCATCCATCCACCCCAGTCCCCGGGCTCTGGCCAGCTTCGGGCACTGTCTTATTTTTCTATTTGAAAATAAGACCTTGACAACAGTGTGTTTCTCTTGAAGGCCTTGTCTCAGGACTTTTAAGGGACACTGATTAGGCTGAAGTAATTACCACTATAACTCCAGATGCTTCATCAGCTGGGGTAATTGTCATGCTTGCCTTTGATAAATTATACTTGGTCTCCTTTGTTATTGAGCTTGGATTCCTCTCCTAAAGGAAACACATATGCCACATATATATTCCCATGTTGTGATACATATATATATATATATATATATACACACACACAATATGTACCATGATGTATCAGAGTATATGTACATTCTTATATGTAAAAATTCATATTTTTACATATAAGAGTAGAGATATTCCATAGAGTGATGTATTTATTGCAGTACATGCTTCTCTGTATGAGAAGTGCTTGCTAGATAATTAATTGGTTACTCAACTTTGGGACTGTAAGTATCTCAATTGTCTTACTGGAGACAAGTATTTGCACAGTGGTAATTATTATCTGCAGTCTATGAAGTTCCCTTGCTTTACAACAAAGTTTTTCTTTTAGTCAGTACTCAGTAGGACACACCCAGTTGCTTTATGAATGTTAGTCAGACATCTTGGAAGATCCCTTTACCTGTTTAAGGCAGAAAAGCTGACTGGAGGAGAACATTCCATTTCAGCAATGAGCAATGTATAAGTCTGAACAAGTCAATACAAGTGTCTGAACCTCTAACTTACTCAAGGAATAGGATGCCCTTTTACTCAACAAGATGTGGCCATTGAGGAGGAGCTTTTAAGGCCAGCATTGAGCTTTGGGTCTTTATTCATGTTTGTAAGGCTCTACTGAAAAGGAGACCCAATCTGTGGAACAGTTCAGTCCAATGGCTCTGGAATTTGGAGAAGATGTTTCAAATTCAGTCCCCTCATTCCTTTGCAGCAAAAGAGGCAAGTTGATCATCTGATTTTGGTTAGTCATCAGTGTTTGGAGGGTATAGATTGCTCACTTTAAAAACAAAACACAATGATGACCTTCTTCAATTCAATGCACAGTCTTGCCAAAATCGACTCTGTGGCTTTCTTCATCGACAGAACCCTTTAAACATGGCTTGAGGGCATGGCCCACTTTCATACCTGCAGAGCTGCATACTAAATTGAATGGTCCTTCAGAATTGGAGAGAAAATGTGGTGTCAATCAACCAACAACTCTAGTGCCAAATACTTCTGCCTTCCTCAGCCACAATACAGTCATTAGGGGCAGAATCAACTAGCTCAGTGTGCTCTGTGCTGCTGACATTAACTAGCTTTTTCTTTCTCCTCTGTTTTTGGAAAACCACCTGGAAGACCTTTCTTCTTACTCCAGAAGGTAATGGGAGGAATTTTGCTAAGTGAAGACATCATTTCTCATTTATAGGACTTGAAAGAATATTCTCTGATTCCCAGTGCCACATCAAAGGCCTCACCTTAAATCCTGGTGGACTTTTTCTTCCGTGGATATTTTTATTAGTAACGTTAGTTGCTGCAGAGCCCATGAAGAGTAGCTCCATGTTTCTTGCTTGGAAATAATCCCTCCTTCATTTGACTGATTTTAAAAGTGAGGCTGTGACCTGAAAAGTATCTATTGATTGAATGGCAGATGTTTTTTTTCTTCCATCCCAGTCTTCCCTTGAATTTGCTCCATTTGAAATCTAAAACATTTTCCCCAGCAGTTGGAAAACTCCACCTGGGCCCCTCAGTCCAGTACTGCTTTTTCCTGCCTCTTCCAATCCACCCTGGAAATTAAGATTCTGCATTGGAAATTGGCTGACAATTTGGTTGCTGATGCAGGTGGCAGATGGTGCTGAGGATAGGATGGAATCCAATTCTTCCTTCCATTCCAGGCTTGGCTCAGAAAGGCCAGCCAGCAGAGAACCTGAGTTTGACAGCTGATTATCCATTTGACTCAAGGAAAGAGCAGTAACTGAGCTGCATCTTCACCAGCCACTTTCCAACAGGTTTCTGGTCTCATGATCATGGCCTTTGAGAATAGAGGAAAAGTTGTCCAAGAACACTTCTGAGAAGCCTTTTTGTTTTAAACACTCAAGAGTAAACAAATAGTTTTGATGATGTCCATTAGGGAAATACTTCTATTTTGTCTCTGTAAATAGTACTATGAAGTTATGATGGAAATGTTGGTTGAATATCCACTTCACTGTGGTGAAGAAAAGCACATAAAAGCTTTTTCTCAAATTGTGAAACTGCCAGGACCTAGGTCTTCGGAGGAAGGTGAGACTCAGGGTCAAATTCTTAGCAACCACATAACCTCATAGAATCCATGGCCCTGGTCCAATAACAAGAACCTTATGATGTGAACCAGAGGGTAAACTGAGTCCCTAGAGCCTTGTATTTCTGCTTTCCTAGAGTTAAGTTGGCCTATCGGGGCAGTTAATTGAGCATGAAGTTTCAAGAGCCCTAAGATGGAATGACAAGTAGCTTTGGTGTTCACACTTGCCAGAGACACACTCTTGTCTGCTCCCAGTCTCAGGAAGCTGCAGCAGGGCTTTAAAAAGGAGACGCAGTCAGCTGCCACTGAAATAGTCCTCCTGTGCCAGCTGTGGCTGCAGACCCTAGGCTCATCTCCTAGGACCTCTCACCCTTTCACTGCCCCTACCCCTAATCATCTGCTGTGGATCATGAGAAGCCATTGAATTGAAATGACACTGCATATATTTCAATTCTCAGAGACAGCAGGGTCCTCTTTCTGCTCCTTTTGGAGAAAGGCTAGTTCCAACTGCCCATGAACTAGCTGCTCTTCCACATTGATCCACTAGATGTCCTCATAGATCTACTTTGTATTACCATTGACATCCTGGGGAAAACCTTGTCTGAGAATTGGGATTTGGGAAGGGAACAATGGGTGACTACGTAAGAAAGAAAATTAGCAAACACCAAAGGAGAGAGGATGCTTTGTGTGGCCAGGGAGTAGATAAGAAACTTACTTCTGTTTGAAATAAATCCTGAAATTTTCAAAGTTGCACTTTGAGACCTAACCTTGGGAATTTAAAGTGGAACTCTTCATATCTAAAATTAACCTTCTAACCTAAATCAGCTCTAGAAAAGGAAACAGTCACTGAGAAATGGAAACAAAACACCAGTGGTTCTGAATATCCATGATTCACTGTAACAAAATTGAAGGGTTAGGAAGCCAGAGAGAGTTGAGAGAGATGAGGGGTGGTAATTTCCAAATTAGGAGGTCCATGACTTAACTTTGATATAATTTAATTTTACAACTTAAGAGTATAATTTTACACAGAGAGTGTTCAATTCTTCTGGAACATCTACCACCAGGGAGACAACTCCTCATCAGCTTTTAGTTAAAGAGTTTGTTCATGATTTGTATAATGGCCCAGAGGAGAGCTCTTCCTGGCCAGTACTCATATCCTTCAAGCCTGATGAATCGCTCCACCAGATGGGAGGTCTTACCTTTTAAGAAAGTGGACCCAGAAGTCTCTAGGTGAAGATACCTGACAGGGAGTCAATGGAAATGGACTATGCCAGCAGTAGCGAAAAAGAGCCACCTTCCCAGTTGGTGGCACCTTGATCTAGACATTCTGATTCATGAAGGTTTGTCAACATGTGGGGCTCAATAGTTTTTAACTGTTTCTGTCTTGTCTTTGAGCCTCTCATTGATCGTTCTTGCTGATTTTGTGTGTGTGTGTGTGTGTGTGTGTGTGTGTGTGTGTGTGGTGGCACTTGTTTGTCTTTTGAGATTTCTATTTTGCATTTGGTGTGAGTGTAAAAATGATTGGGAAGGAATGACAAGTAATAGCATGTTTTCTTTTTTATGCATATGCTGCTTTGGAATGTGACTGCTTATAATTAACAGTTAATCTTCTTATAGCACATGGTTTTTTGCTGCTTCGATTACCAGTTTCAGCCTGTTCCTGCATGCTAACAATAAGAAATTTTAGAACAATGCATGGTCGCCAGAACGGCTAACAATAACAGTTGCAAACAGTCCCTGAGAGCCACTGGTTTGTCACTGTGTTTCCTCCTGAACTCATATCAAGGAGGAGGTTTACATCACCCATTCTGATCTGTTTGCCTCTGAACAAATAGTTTCAAAAGTTATTTCATCCCCATCATCCCTCCCCTTATCCTTAAAGACGGTATATTTATAAGAACTTTCTTTCTCCACAAATGTGTCAGATTCTATTATTGTACATAAACCCAAAATGGCAGTATGGAAATGAAAACCAGGGACCGTTGCTAATGAGAAGCATAGCATTCCAGAGTTTGATGGGCTTCTCTTCTGCTACAGCATTTGATTAAAAAAATTGTTTTTCAAAATGATTTATCTACGGTGAAGCAAAAAAATCATCCTTGTTTCCCTCTTCTGTGTAAATAACAAATCAATATTTCCAGTAAAAGAAATAAGAAAGAGAAAACAAGGGAATGTCTGCAGATTGTATGCCAGATCCGGATGCATTTAAGATAAATTTATGTTCATGTCTTTAATTGAAGACTTTTTTCCCTTTCTTGACTTCAGCCGTTGCTGTTTGTTTGGGATGTCTGGGCATTCACACCATGCCTTCTAAATTCCTCTGATTCAAATGCTATAGTGGAACTTTTTTATTTTTTATTTTTTTTTGGTAAAAGCTAAAGCTCAAAGGAATGATATACCACCATTGAACAGGGCTGGGGCTGCATGATGATCTGAACAACAGACTAGCTAGGACACTAAAAGAACACGTCACTAAAAATGTGAGCCAAGTTTACAAGAATGGAGTTGCTGCTGAAGAGATCTCTCATTCATCTCCCCCAGTGCCTGTTCTTCACAATCATAACGTTACCCTTGCTTGACAAATATACTGTATGGCAAGTCATAAAGGTCTTAGAACAGGACTTGACCCATTTGAGAGATTTAAACCCCTCTTCCTGGTGACTGTAACATTCAAAGAGGGCAAAACCACAAGCCATATTTTAAAATAAGAGTGCAACCATTCTCTACAAAGAAAAAGAAAGAGTGGGGGAAATGACTTTCAAAATGGAAGGTGTGGGTGCAGGGAATAACACCTCCTCAGTTTAGGTTTACCATTTGGCAGTAATGCTTAGAATAAATGTGAATTCTTCTCCCACCTCGTGAGAGAAGCAGGCCAGTTCATGATAAGTGATAAGCAAACATGTTTGCCTGTTGTAGCATCAAAATGAGGTACAAAAACCTTCTCTTGTACTGAAATATAAATTGGCTTGAAAGGCAAAGGTGAAGGGCATTGGAAACTACGATGCTGACTTCCAACAACTTTTATAGGTTACCACTCAGTTTGGATCCCCAGGCAGTGCAGAACCTACCATACCAGCTTTAGAAGAGCTATCAATGCTGCATGCAAATTGCATTAAGATATTTCACGTGGAACCTATTCTTCTATTTCATGTTTTGTCAGTTTTAATCGATTTTGGCGAATATTTTCTGTATAAGGAAAAAAGAAATAATATGATTAACCAATAGCCTGATTGCTTCCTGAATTTCTATTTGGTGGGGAGAGAAAGGCAGATGCGATTTTCAGATCCTCTCAGCTTTAAGCAGAAAATACACCCATGAGTAGCTAAATGCATTCCAATAGAGCAACATCTCATATGCTTTTGGTGATTTCTTATTTGTGAACTGCCTTTAATGTCAAATCTGCAGCGTTAGTCTTGAGTAGCTGCATTTCTTATATGGACAGATTTGGATATTTGTTCTGTCAAGAGTAAATTTAAATTCCTGTAGCCATCATATAAACTCACTCTCGGGAAGTTCAGCAAAGGCATCCTTAGATACTGTATTAACACGTAATCGTTTCACATCTAATTTGATGAAAGCTTGTCCCAGCCTCTGCCTAATGCCCAGAAATGGATGGAAATTAGAAAGCCTACATATTAGATATTTTTGCATCTTGCAAAAACCATTTATTATACCAAATAAGCAGCTAATTTCATTGATTGGCAGTGTGTATATTTTGTCCTCCTGTATTAATCATATCAGGGGAAAAGTGTTGGTTACGTTTTTTGCTGTCGATAATTTGCTCTTCTTCCCATTTGAGAACCCGAGTGTATTCAGCCATGCCCTTTTCCTGTGGTCACCGCTTTACCTAGGGGAGAAAAATCATGTGCAACAGCCTTGGGAGACGATAAAGGCAATTTATATTTTCGCTGCTTTTTTGATGTACAACCAAACTGTTACCAACAATCACTCTGCATTTTTTTCTGGGTCAAGACTGTTAAAGTGAACTAAGACCTGTGTTAAATCCCTTCAGCTCCCTTCCAGCTGCCTTGCTGTGTGTGACCTTGCCATTAATTGCCGCTCTTCCTCTCCTCCCATCCAACCACACGGTTATAGCCAAGATGTCCATCTACAAGAGAATGAGACGGGCATGTTGTTTTGATTGCGGACGTTCTGAGCGTGACTGCTCATGCATGTCAGGCCGTGTGCGTGGTAACGTGGACACCCTTGAGAGAGCCTTCCCACTTTCTTCTGTCTCTGTTAATGATTGCTCCACCAGTTTCCGTGCCTGTAAGTTTAACCTCAACACACGTAGTTCCATGTTTGTGCTGTCTGTGGTATCATCCCTGTCTTGTGCTGTGCCCTGTGGTTCTGAGTCAGTCGGGCTGATGTCTTCTTCCCAGTGTGAACTCCTGTGTGCTGACATGTTGCCCCAGCTGCCTATGTCTCTGTGTACGTGCCTAGGAAGGCCTCCCTTCTGATTTTCTTAACTTACGCTTCTCGTAACAGCATGCAGGACTGTGATATTACAGTCTGGTGATATCTTTCCTCTCTCTCCTTTAAATAAATATAAATGGAAATTAAAGTGACAGCATATCACCTACTGTATTAATACAGAGATATGCAGAAGTGTACATGTTAATATTTTTGAAATGGCTGTAAATTGAATTGTATCAAAGGGAGGAAGGAAAGGGTGTAGCGAGAACAAGCCAGCTCTAGCATTGAATTGCTTTTAGTGAGCTTAGATAGTTTCTTAGATAGTTTCCAAAATACAACAGAGTTTTGATGCAGATGGATATATATATATATATATATATATATATATATATATATATATATTTTCTTTTTACTATGTCTCTCTAACCTGTGCCTCATTCCTCCAGTGCCAGATTTTGTCTTTTGTTCTGGAAACGAGTTTTCTATGTCTGTCAGCCTGCACTGGGCTAGTGGATTACAGAGCTTTTTCTCAGAATGATGACTATTTTGAAGGACTGTTCCATTAATATCTTTTATTTTTCCAATAGTATAGCCCCTGTTTAACTAAGGTATCTTGCAGCAATTGTGATTCCAAATGCCAACAAAAAATTTAAGTCAGAAACCTCTGTGATATCCCTGAGTCCATAGCACAGGCCTCTGATGTCAGTCTTCTTTGTCATCCACAAGCTCAGAGATGTTAAAGAACCTGTCAAGGCTATGCAGCTGGTAGCTGGCAAGGCTGAGATGTGCCAGTTTCCTGAGACCTCCCTTATCCTTGCTTCCCCATGGACTTTGCTGTTTTCCTGATACGGTTCATAAGTGAAGTTCCTGAAAGCTCCAGTTTGAGACCCTGGGACTGTGGGTCTTGGTCCAAGTGCAGAAAAGGCTGTGGTTCCACTGGAGGACTTTACTTGAAGTATAACTATAACTTTGTTTTCATGTTTTGGTAGCATAGAAGGTAGGAGATGGTTCTCGTTTCTGCACTTCCTCCCTTCCTCTTTAAAGCAGCCAACACATATATTGCTAACCTCTTGCTCCCTGTCCTCTCACCTTCCAAGTGCTCAGAGCTGGTTGAGCTACACTTTCCTAGCAGGGGTAGGTGTACACTGACGACAGGAGGAAGAAGATCACTGAGCTCTTAAGCATTTATTCCCATGGAAAATGAACTGGCTTGACTCCCCTGTGCTGGTGTTGAGGCTGGTCCCAGCAGAGTGCGGCTGTGTAGCCGGGATCCATGAGGCCTCTAGGGCTCAGGGAACCGGGACTTCACTGTGTGCCATGCCAGGTGCTTATGTTTGGGCCCAAAGTTCAAGTGCAAAGCATGATTTGTGCATCGAGCCATATTAGAGGCATTTGGAAAACTTTGATCTAGGACCAGAGAGTCATTCTCTCTGATTCACGATTTCCTGCTGCTCCAGAGCAGTGCCAAGGGACAGGATTCACTTCAAAGTAATACCTAATGGAGGTTGCATTGAGAGGGAGTGTGGACTGCCATATGGGCCTAAAATCTTGGAAAGATTTCTGTTACAATCCTTAGATGCTACCATATGAATCCTTATCACTTTATTTTCCCCTGAAGAGTTATCTGTAGTTTGCATGCCATTACAGAGATAAGCTAGGGCACAGCTGCACAGAGAACTTGTCTGTCTACGATGTGCAGCAAGACACCAAGTTCAAAGATAGGTGCTGGGGAGGAAGAGCAGAGGAGGGCCTGAGGTGGCATGAATTGGTCACATCTCTTTGACTGATGGTGGTGAAAGTAACCACAAGCCCCCGGGTTACTCTTCTGCCTAATGCACAACTTCTGTTCTCAAATAATCATGAGGCTCTAAAACCTTAGCCTAGACTCAGTGGAGAAAAGAAAGGAGCCACTCTGGCTCTGAGCTAGGGCCCCTTGGTCATGTCTTGGCACTGGCCAACAATACCAATCACAGCACACTCTGTGTCCCCCATGTAGACCCCATGGTGCCCAGTGTGTGTAATTTCCATTATATCCAAGAGAAATCTTAATTAGAGGGATTTCTCAGCTGTGCAATTTAATCCAACCATTGATGGAGACCAGGGAGAAGAAAACCTTGGGGTGGGATTGTCCCATTCTCTAAGAAACATTCTGTGAGTGGCATGTTGTCCCTCCCTTGCCTCCAAAATCAGCCCCCACCAGGGAACACGTGGAGCTTTGGGCTGCGTGTTGAAGCCTTAACTGGTATTGACAGCTCAGGGGGCGATTTGCCTTCTCCGTTTCATCAGTCGTCCTGCCGTCATCACTCCATCAAACAAAAGCAGATTTCATCCATCCCTGTGTGAGACCACTCACCTTTGACCATTAATAATAAGTTAGAAAAATCCATTCCAATTTGAGCCCCTTTTTGGGCCTGCATAAGCCCTTCTTCTCCAATTATAAAAATGTCTGTCTCTATGTGAAATTCCACTGGCAGTGCTCCAATAGCAATCCCCAGGCATCCCTCGCTGGTGGTGGAGTTGGGTGGTGCCCATTTGACAGAGCAAGTTGACTCAAGAGCAGTGGTGAGAGTGGGCTTTTCATTAAATATGAACAGATGTGAAATGTAGAGGGTTTGACAATTAGAAATGGCAGGAGAAGGGCCCTTGAATCAAAGTGAGGTCAGATGGGCGGATCAGATTACTTCTCTTACATTCTTTAGTTGTTCTGAAAATCATTTTGAATTAGTGTCAGCAGAGCCATGATGAGTTTTGCCCTTTGTCTTTTATGCTAGGGCTGTATTGTTTCCCAAGACACTCATTAAAGGTCATTATACTATTATGGAGCTTGCTTTGGTCGCAGTTTCCCAGTTGAGCCAGTGTGCTTTGGAGACTGCCTAATTCATTTCTCTCTTTCCTTTCGTTTCCCTCTTTACTCTATTTTTTTTCTTATAAGGGGAAAAATTTCCGTTTTCAAGGGATGTTAAATTGAAACACAAAGTCCCATTATGTGTTTTGTGAAGTGGGAAGAGAAGTAGCTGGTTCCCAGAGGAATGGTAATATATTAAAAGTGCTCACACAGTTCTGAAAACCTGCCTTCTAACAACAGGGGCTGCCTGCTCGGTGCACCCCTCTATGGAGGTGTGGCCCATTACTGTGGATCGGTTGAGTCATGTGCTATTATGATAGTTGTCTTCTGTTGAACTCAGGAGGAGATGGAAGGCCAGACTGTGTTGACCAAAAGAACTTCAGAGGGGAAGGACTAGTTTAGGAAAGACAAAAATCAAAATAAAAGGTGTCAGAAAAGTAAGGCAAATTGTGACCGATAAGGATTCATCACAAAAGGATTTTATTTCTGGCAAGACTGAAATGTTCAATATGGTAGGCTAGAATCAGTGCATAGAGTGTCATTTTATGATCATCTTGGTTTTGTTTCCACTTCAGATGGTCCTGGGCAAGAGTCCCAGCTCTCTCAAAAGACATCAGGATGGTATGGGCCTCGGCTTTTTCACAAGTAGCTGTGTTCTAGTACTATTAAATGTAAAAAATGAATGTCTAGCAACATACACATGCACATAAATATAGAAGTAGATTCCAATCAGTACGATTTCTTCCCACTATAATTTTGTAAAATGGACCTTTCTCTCTCTTTAGAAGTTTATTCTTGTTATTTCAGTCTTGCCTGCTATCTGATTGCTAAATGTAATAGAAAGGGACAATTAAAATTATGATGCAGTGGCAACGTAGGGCCATACTGATTCAGACCTGCTGAGACCTGCCTGACATGATTCTAGTCACAAAGCATCAGTAACTCTGGCACAAACAAATTAATCCTGTGGTAGAAGAGAAGCAGACCTTTAGACTTGCACTTGGAACCAGCTTTAGCTAAAGTACATGTGTGATTGCTCACACCAACCTTTCAATTTACTAATTGTTTAAACCTGCACAATTACATGCAGCCTTTTGCAAACTACTGTAGCTAATTTTAAATTACACATGACTTTTATTTTGGGTATAAATATAATACAAGAAGGCATTCAACTCCGATGGTTAAGCTGAGAGAAGTCCAATATGATTAGGTTGAAGGGAGACGTACCAAAATCAGTTTAGTGTAATATCGAGTCTTGTCAGATAATAAACAAAAATCAGCTTATCCTGAGTAGCCTTTGGTTTGTGCAGACAGAGAATTAACATTGTCAATAGAACTAAAGTCACTTAAGTGAACTAATGGCATTTTGAAGTACATAAAATCAGATACAAGGGCAGGGGGTGGAAACAGCTCTAGGAAAATGTCTATAATAGGACACACCCTATCCTGACAGTCTCCAACGCCTGTTAAAGGAGAGTTAATTTAATAAGCTACATTTAAAAATCAACAGCCTATAATTATCTCATTCCTTTTATGTGCAGTTTTAGGTGACTTCCTCAAATTCCCCAAACCTAAATTCTATTTGCTTATTTTACTTCTGGGCCCTAAAATCAATTACTCCCCTCTTTCCACCACCACTACCAGTGAGAAAAAGACAGAAAAAGGAGAGCCAAGGATAATAAGCACGAATCGATGTGATCATAGTTTTTCATGTATTAGTTTTAAAGCCTGTTCGTCTGAGTCTCCATTTTCTCCCATCTTCCCATGCTTGCCGTGCTGATGTGAGTGCGCTCTCTCTCTCTCTCTGTGTCAATATCCATCACACATGTGCACACCAAACACTACCAGAGCCTTTGGGTTGTCCCCTGGCTCTTTAGTTACCCTGGCCCATGCGTCTTGATTTGACCCTTTGTACTTCATTGCAGGAAGTAAAAACAGAGTGGCAGATCGGCCTAGGCAGCCACTGGGTCATCCCCTGTGACTAAGACCTAGTGATGGGCCTGGAAGGGGCTTCTTAAGACACTCTTATTGGTAGCAGGTGAGGCTACAGAAGCCACTGCCTCTTGCTTGATTTTGTGATAGCCACGCTGAGCCATAGGTTGACTGGAAATATGCCTTACTGTGGGCCTTAGCTCACTCTGTGCAGTGGGCAGCTTCTTAAATCAGCATTGTAAGGCAGAAATCATGCTTGGGCAAAATTGCCTTTGAGAAGGATCCTTTACATCGCTCATCTGTCAAGAGCTCCCAACACACTGGGTTCTTCTCCAGAATAAATAGCTGGTTGTTTCAGTTGAGTGTCAGGTAAAGTCACTGGCTTGTATTTGGGGACCTTGTTGTGCTTTCACCACCTTCCAAAAAAAGAGTATGGTTGAATTCCTGAAGATGAATACACTATGAAGATGTACTGCAGGTAGATGAAAGGAGACGGGAACAGTAGGCAAAAGGCAGCCAACTTCTCAAAAGAAATTCTTTGAAACAGGATTGGGAAACAAGAAGGAGAAAGGTCAGAATGAGGGAAGCTGACAGGGTCCTTTGTGTATACCCCATCATGGGACACCTTTCTTCCCAGGGACACCATGCTGTAATAAATGACTCGGCTCTTTAAGGACAAACTAGAAAAGATGTTGGCATGCCTCATGTAAGCCCAGAAGAGGCCCTTATGCAAGGTGACATAGAAATTATGTTTGCTTTTTTATTTCAGGACAGTGGCCGGTTCTCAGGATACTCATCCTGACAGCTTCTACCACCAGGCAGTGAATGCTTCCTCTTACCTCCATGGTGGAGGGCAGATGTGGCCAGTTAGCTCCTCATCTTCCATCCTCCTCCACTATCTCAGGCGACAGATGCCAGGGCCAGCCCGCCTTCCACTTGAGCTTTCTTGTCAAGGCTCTGCCTTGAGCCCAAATCCTGACCTTTACTGTATGAAATAAAGTACTGATGAACAAGCAGAGGTTTGAATTAGAGCAGGCTTGGAGCAAATGTCAAGTCCGTCTCTGCCTCTTTCCTCCACCTGCACCAGGAGCCTCGATTAGACCCAGTGTGGAGTTTGCAGCGCCTTAGGCTTTATGGGTCTGGGGAGACATAACTTATTAACAAAGAGTTATTAAATTTTTATCAATTTTACAACACAATGTAAATGCCTCCTATGAATCTACATTGTATTCATTATCATTTAAAACGTTAATTAAGTCGAAGTTGCATTTAATTTCTCTCTAAATGGGCCTCTGGGAAGACGCTTTTAGAAACATCTGTGGGAGCGTGCGGCTCACGGAGCTGGAGAATCCCCCAGCCCGCATTCAGGATCGCCCCCTGAGTTGATTGCTATCACGTGTCTGTGGCTAATTTGTTGTGATGTGATTGGGTATTGTCTCAAATTAGTATCAGACCAATAATGGTGTGAAGTCACTCGAGAGAGGCTTGTGGGGCAGTGGCACAGGCTTCACTGCATCCTGCCTTCCTTCCCCATCCAGACAGAAACGGACAGTGGGTCTGCAGCACCTGTGGTTTCCATCATGCCTTGGGATTCTCCTTCTCATATGGTGCCCATCATTTCAGTTGGATACTTCCTTCATCGGAGATGGATGCTTGTCATCTGGCCCAGCACATTTAGGACATTTGCCAGCATGCTCTTCAAAACGATCTTAACATTTGGGATCTTTGACTCCCAGTGAAGCCTAGAAGCTGCAAGCACAGAGCAGCCAAAAATGGAAACCAGAATGGAGTGGACCTAGTAATCATAAGCAGGTCATGCTCATTGGTGAGGAGAGACAGAGGGAGGCATACTACCAACATTTGCTGAAAAATTATGTTTCTCTTTTGAGGCTAGCATCATGTTTTAGTCTTATCTGAGCATGGGGTCACTCCCCAAAGAGATCTATATTCTGTGTATACTGCATCACCAAGGGAGTGAGACTTGTTGACACAGCATTACTAAGAAATGGCTAGTTGGTTAACTTGGATTCATGTTACGACTAGAATTAGTGTAGTCTCTACTCTTACTGTGTGCAAGCAACTCTGAGTACACAGGGAGGATGTGTGTATGTGTTGTTGCTGTTGTTAAATTTAACACTTATATAGCATTTGCTGCATTACAGGCACTACTCCCCCTATTACCACAAATATTAATTAATTTAACCCTTATTATGTGGTAACTGCTGTTTGCAGTTGAGGCAACTATAACCTGAGACATCTGCAATGTGCCCCATTTACAGATAAGGCAACTAAGGCACAAGGGTCTCATAGCCAGTGAGTCTGGCCAAGGGTCTCATAGCCTCATGTCACAGTCTCATGACTTGCCAAGGGTCTCATAGCCAGTGACTGGTGGAGCTGGGATTTCAACACAGGCCGTGTGGCTCCACAGAGTGTGGAGTCGGTTGAGTTGCTCAGTTACTCTTGCAGTTGAATATGATGGATAAGTCACTTAATCTCCAAGGGAGGAGAAAAAAGTGAGGATTCTGGTAATGAAACCTCGAGATAATGTAGAGAGTCCTGGGGGGGCCTCCTGCACAGCAGCTGGCCACCCAATTTGGCTAGAGTTTAAGACTTACTTAGCATGCAGGGAATTGACCCCCCTGAAGGGTAAAATGGGGCCCCATTCCTGGCAGGGGCCAGGCCAAGGGTTTTGTTCTTAGTCTGTAATATGATAGAAAGTCTTTAGACAGTGCGACACTATCATATTGGTGTTTGATCAGGGAAGTGACCTAACAGAGGCTTTGTTTTGGGAGGGCTGCTGTGGCTGCAGGGGAGGAAGGGACTGACTAGAGGGGAGCTGGAAGCCCCCCTCTCGGGGAGGAGACAAACAGAGGGGAGCCTGTTGTGGGCGGGCCCCAGCTGTTCTGAGAAGCCTTCAGAAGGAAGACTTGATCTATAGTCTGCAGGACCCTGCAGGTGAAGCACATTGCCCAGATGCAAATCCAAGAAGTTACAGTCTTTAAAAGACAGTTTAATTAGTGGCTCTGGAGCAGCTGAATTCCATGAGCCTAATTCTCCCCAGCTGACCTGGCAGCCATTGTGATTCCTAGCTGGGTTTGCTAGAGTTTCCTTCTTATTGGAGGAAGATTTCCTGACCCCTGACCCAGGACTAGGAGACCCACTCGGCTGCATCCACTACCACTGGCCTTGGGGATCTACTGCTTCTGTTTCCTTTTCCTAACCATTATTTCTTCCTTATTCCTCATCATCTTCCCCAGTTCAAATATATCTTACATCTTGAGTGTGTTGAAGGTGACAGGCAGGCAGCTCTCACCTGCTGGTGTGAAGTATTGGCTCAGGCTGAGCAGCAGACACAAAGCAAGTGGGAGCCACCAGTGGGGACAGCTGGCCAGCGCTGAGGCTCTTGCTTCCAGCTGCAGGTGGTAGCTTCAGTTAGAGCTCATGGGAATTATTCTTTAAATCCCTGTATATGGCAAGGAGACTTTTCTCCTCCTTTCTCAGGAAGTCAGCATGTCTCCTTACATCGATGGGGGGAAAATAATAAAGTGCTTCACATCCCATTCACTGAAAATCCACTGTAGTTTTCAAACACTTAACCTTCTCGAGTGGAAATACAAAACACATTTCCTGTGAAGTACTGCCACACAGAGTCCTAAAGAAGTCATGTGGCATTTCTAAGTATCATGCACAATTTTCTTTTCGGTTTTACTGCTTTGTGCATAAGACCTTTGTCTGTGTCCTTACTTATGTCAGCATCCGTGATTGTGGCATTTGTGTACACCATTGACCTCAGGGGGTCATTAAAACTGCATGGAAAAGCACTTGAGTCCTGGGTTCCCTCATGGTGGTAGGCTGTGCATGCTGAGAATGCCAACTTCTGGAAGTGCAATGTGGCAAAATGCACCAAGCCAACCAGCTGTGTGTTGTCCTTCTCTCTCTGGGGCTTTCTCCCAAACCAGCTTGTTGAATTACCTGGATAGTCAGGGGACCCTCCATCGCCACATCTGCTTACAGGGGTTCTGCTTCCCCAGCTGACCTTTTTCCCAAAGGGAATCTAAATGGACAGAGCTAAATCCAGCATTGTCAGACCCTTGCATTTGAAATCTCAGAGGGAATTGCAAAGGCCTTTCTGTAAATAGCTAGATAGTGCCTGCTTTGGAGGGAGATTGCTACACATGCCCACAGATTTTTATTCTGAGGAGACATTCTTTTGATGTCCAGCTCAGATGAGCAGGACTAACAAAAGTGGCCTTTCTTCTCAGACCATCTCATTTGGTCATCCTCAGGGGGAGCTAATCTCTCATATTCAAGGGAAACAGCAAGAAAAAACTCCCCCAGCCTTTTCTAGTAAATCTGAAAGTTTTCATTCTAGCCCCTTCAATACCGCAAGATGAGTCCCACCAAATGTTCCTAGAGCTGCAGAGAAAACCCTATGCAAATAGAAAATGGAATCTTTTGAGGCAGATCTGCATTAGGGATGATCGACTGCACTGAGAGACTTATAAATGAAGTGAGAAAGACTCCAGCCCTAGAGCTGGCACTGCACCAGCTGTATCGACAGTGCATAGATGGGCATCTGCACACCATAGAGCATGGGCTATCTTCTGGGAAGGGAGCTGACTGCTTGCATTAAAATGATCTTCATTTTGGCCAATGTCAGCTTTCTGGGCTGGAGCCTGTTGGATCACACTCAGTCAAGAAAGGACCCAGGGGCTGCCTTCCCTCCCTCCAAGGTCAAAAATGTAGCATGCTGACATCCTTGGCTGGGCTTCCTATATTGGCAAGAGTACTTGAATAGGAAATGGCCTGAAGGATTCCAGTTCAGTAAATATTTCATGAGTAAAAGAATGAATAAATGAAGGGCTTCCCAACCCTTAAAGGAATTGGTGATGTGCTAGAAGCCAGATCGCCCTAGATCCATGAAGCTTCCCAAAACTTTCTAAGCAGCAACTTACTATATAGTATATATATGTAAACATAAAAAACTGGGATGTACAAGAAGAGTAAGAGGGAAAAATGTAGTAAGAAAGAACAAGGACATGACTGAAGGAACTAGAAAATGATCAAATGGCAGGTGCAATTGATATTCTTTGTGAAGGATAAATTATGGGAAAGAAGATCTGGAAACAAAGTACCAGAAAAAACCACATAGGCAAAAATCCACCAATGCTTCCAATGAGGAGTGGCAGGGTTACTACCACATATAGAGCATTTGCTCTGGAAAATCAAGGACTTGTGACATTCACATTCAGTTTTATTAATTTCAGCAAACCTGATTATTTTGGTGTGAGTCAGGGCAGCATAAAACCAATGCATTGGGCAGGGCTCATGTGAGGAAAGGAGTCTGTTGTAGCTAGAGAGGTGTCAGCATCTGCAGGTGGGCACATCAACCTGCCCAAATGTAGAGCAACATTCGAGGCCTTTTATGGCGGTCAGGGTAATTTGACTCTGACTCGAGGTAGGCAGCTTGAATGCAACAGCAGCACCCAAATGATTCCTCCCGCGTGGAGGTATCCAAAAGCTGAATGTCTCATAGCTATTACCTATTAGGAGCCATTATTCTGTTTGTTCTGCTCAAGCCAAGGAAGAGTTTTCCTGATTGTTCTCAAAGCTCTCTCAGGCTGCACCAAGCATTCCCTTACCTTTGAATGGTTCTGAAATGCTCTCTGCATTTTGTCAAGGCTGATCTGGCCATTTCTTCAGTGCAGATGAGTAAATTTCCACATATGGCCTGTAACGTATCCAACTGAGAGAACATATCCAGCAGGGATGCTTCAAAACCAAAGCCCTAAACAGATGTTACTGAGAAGGGATGCACAATGACCTGCAGAGAAGAGAGATGCTAGGTGAAAATAAAAGCTGCAACTATGCTAGGAATGAAGACAGGGAGGAAGGGGCTCAGGTCATGTCACAGGGTCTGGAAGTTAGGGCATGAATGTGAAATTTGCAAGGGGCTGGTTGCTGGAAACACTGCTCCTTCACAAACATCTTCTATTAAGATGAAGATGGGAAACAGGCAGACATCTCCTGTATTTCCTCCTCTCTATGTTAGGGGATTCTGATGCCATTCCCCTCACTGTGCAGTGAACTGAGAGATCTTGTTGGCAATTACAGCCTGAAATTCTAGGAAACGTCAGAGCAGGCAGATACAAGGGTGAGATCTGTGAATTTTCTGGAAACTTTGGAAGTAAGTCCTGGTGAAGTCATGCTTTGACATGTTCACCAAGTAGATGCTCATGGCTATAATAAGAGTAATGTCTTATGTGTGTTTGAGTCTTTGTGCTTCTCAAGGCACCAACATCATCTCATTTCATCTAGGCATCCCCAGCATAGACATCATGTCCTACTACCATGTGACTTTGAGTAAGTTCCAGAACTTCACTATTTTTTAGCTTCCTCATCTATAAACTGGAGATAATAAGGACCTATCTCACAGAGTGGTTGCACGAATTCAGTGAGTGAATATATATAAAGATTGCCTGGTATATGTTGAATTATTATTTTTATCATCCTTCATTAACATATGAAATTAACAAAGAAACAGAGATGAACTTGACCAAGATCACATAGCGGATGAGTGGACTGCTAGATCAGAAGCTTGCCATCTCCCATAGTATTGATGGAAATAATAATGATAAGCCACTTTAACCATAACTAGTGCTTTTTTTTTTTTCAAATGACTGACTGTCATCAAGCTAGCCTTATAAGAGGTCATATCAGCTACAGGCAGAGAAGCCCACAGATAGTGGCTGAGAGTTGAACAGCTTAGTATAACAGACTATAAAAGTTAAATGGAGTCAATTTGTTTAATTTCTAGGTCATGGAATAATTGTCCCAACAGAAATAAGCCAACAAAAATACCAAGAGACAGCTATATCTCCCCAGAACATTGATTTCCATCTTGACTATCCAGTAGGCCTTGCAAAATTTGTGTGTAAAATGAGGAAATTGGAAGGTCATATTTCTAAGTTTCCTTTAAACTCTGAGACTCTGATTATCTTCCTTCTTCTGATTGAGAAAGGCTAAAAGTCCTTTTTGCTTCAATCCTTACTGTTATAAATCCTTCTAAAATGCTGATGTCTATTACCCAACATCGTGGTAGGTCCTGTGAGGAACAATTATGTGTGTAGAAACCTCGTAGTATATCAGTGTTAGTCTTCTGTCTGTGAGTTCGCAGCTTCTAGGGCAGGAACTGGGCGCACAGGGACACACCGAAAGAGCCCAGAAGATTCTTACAGGTTTCTACTTTATTGTCAGCTTGTTTTCTTCCAAGGTGTCTTTTATTTTCCTCAAGGAAAGCACAGAAAAAGGCCCTCTCCCTAACCCGGGGTCCTGGTATTATCTATGCTCCAGTGATTTGGGGGTTATTAGTAATCAGAACATTGTCAGCTACTGAAGCTATCCCAGACCAGTTCATATGCAGTGTCTCTACAAATGGCCCTGCCCTCCCACAATGAATGCTAACTGTTGACCTCCCCAAAGAGCCTCCTCATCATATTTGTTACACCTTGTTTTGTTATTGCCAGGTCTCCAGGAATGAAATCGTGTAGCAGGAAGCATATAGGGCCAAACGGGGACACCATCTCCAGGCAAAAGAGGCTTCCTAGTTGGAATAGTACAGATTTGATGGATGAAAATAAATGTGTGTCTTAGATTTTAGCCCAGCTGTTAGAATCCTTAGGTCCTGGGATCATTAGAAAACTGTGACTTCAGGTCTCATCATTCCTCATCCCCCTGAAACCCCTTCTTTATGGCTTGTCCATCCCTAAAATAGGTCTGGAGATCGTCAGCAAATTCAATGTGTTTTTGGGAGAGGGAGGGAAAGTTGGAACACAAAAAGAGGAGAACAGATGGGGAAAGAAGACATTCCTGTCCTTTCAAATTCCATCAAAATTTCTTTTTTGATGATGGTCTTGATCTCAACTCATCTTTTTCTGTTGTTATTGTTGTTTTTTGAGATGGGACCTCCTTCTGTCACCCAGGCTGGAGTGCAGTGGTGTGATCATAGTTCACTGCAGCCTTGAACTTTTAGGTTCAAGCAATCCTCTCACCTCAGCCTCCCAAGTAGCCAAGACTACAGGCGTGCACCACCATGTCTGGCCATATCTTTGAGGTCCAGTTGGTGTTGAGACTTCACATCATCACCTTTCCTACCTTGCTTTATGAGTAGCTGGGCTCTGTTTCTTGTTGATTTTGTAATTAATTAGATGAGTGCTTGGAGCAAGGCCAAGACTGGGCCCAAGTTTTTCACCCATGCCTTACCACTATCCCTTTCTTTCAGCAGACCTGATGTGTGGATAGGTCTAGGGATGAGTGGAATGAGTATCAATATGCACATTTGAAATTCTGAGTTTTACCCTGTAACACTCTCTCTTTCCTCCTACCGATGGCCAAGTCCTCTGATTTGGCCTCCAGATTACATTTCGAACCTTTTCTCACCATTGCCAGTGGCACTGCCAAGCTCACATGCTCATTTCTTCTTCAGCTAGTCTGCCATTGTTGCCCTTCAACCTTTCAATTAGTTCCTCTTGCCACCAAACCACCACCAACTTTAGTATTCTAAAGCACAGACTTTGTCATGTTATCCCATTTTAAAGAGAGAGACCTTTTGATGGTTCCTTGTTTTTTAAGAGGATAATTTCCAACTTTCTGCTATTAAAATGGCATTCAAAGCCTTTGCAGTTTGGCCTCAACCAGTTTCCCTAGTTCCGTTCTCCACATAAGCATCCATCATCTAACAATTCTCTAGAAGCGTCTTATTCTCATTACTTTACACATTTCTGGAACCTTTTCCTGAGACTGTGATTCTTTTCCTCTCTGCTTCTAGCAGATTAAAACTTACCCATCCTTCAGAGCAGGGGTCAGCACACTGTCCCATGGGCCCAGTCTGGCCTGCCATCCATTGTAGTAAGTAAAGTTTCCTTGTAACATAGTCACTCCCATTCATTTGCTCAGTGTCCATGGCTGCTTTCAGGCTACAACTGCAAAGCTGAGTAATTGTAACAAAAAGGGTATGGCCCAGAAAGCTCAAAATATTTACTATCTGGCCTTTTAGGGAAAAAGTTGGCCAACCTCTGCTGTGAAGGTACAGCTCAAGTACTGCCATCTCTGTGAAGCCTTCTTAACTAGCCCACCCGGAAACCAAATTAGAAAAAGTGAATCTCTTTTCTGTAAGCCTGTAACATTTCATGTAAACCCCATTAGACAGTTTTTATGTTGAGGTTTTTGTAGAAGTCAAAATTGGTCTTTGAATTCTTAGCATATTGCACACAGTAACCAAGACACACAGTGTGAATTCAATAAATGGCTGATTAACATGTAAACTCTGTTGACAATATGTTTCCATAGTTTATTAAGCATGTATCTCAAGGAAAAAGGTCTTTCATGAGAAGCTGAACCAGAGGCAAAAAAAAAAAAAAAAGTCTCAAGGCTAGAGATCTTCCTTTCTTCCTTCTTGTTCCTTTATACCTTCTTGAACAGAACCTTTGTTTCTGAACAGCCAACAGCCAATTCCTTTGACTGCTGGACAACTCTTGAATAGATTGATCTCAAATTGATCACTGCTTCTTCTGAAGGTAACACATTTGTTCCGTTGTTTCTGCTGACAGCACATGGTGGGCTCTGTAGTGGATCTGGGGGTGCTGATGTTTTCTCCTTCCATATGTCATTGGGTATTTGAGTCGGGGTAGGAAGCCATGGCAAACCCATTGCTTCTGTTCATCCACCTATGTTTCCTTATTGATTTGAATTTATCCCAAATAAATTTGGATATTTAAGGCAGGGTGTGCACCTTTAATTGTTCAGACCCTAGCCAATGGCCTAGACCTTATCTCACTGGACTAATACACAAGCTAACACTAGGAGTTATATCTAGGCAGGGTAAGCCCCCAACTCGAATCTTGACAGCCCTGAACCCCACCAGATTCCCCTTCACCCTTTGCATCTGTCCAGAATTGCTCCTGGAAACCCTGTCTCTCCAGAGTGAGTGGTAGCCAGCTGAGATGGGAGATGGGATGCCCATGGCCTATGCCTGAGACCCTCCTAGTCAAGCTCCCTGTCTGGATAACTGGAGACACTTCGTTCTCAAAGCAAGCATTGTGACATTTGGTTCTCTTCACACATGTGCCTTACCCAGCTTAGACAGATGGAAGAATTGAATGTAAAGAGATTCTACAGAATGTATTGGAAATAACAAAATTGTGTATGTGTGTTTTTAAAGGATACCCTTTTGGTTGCCGCATGAGTTATTTTGTTGTTGTTGTTGTTGTTAGAGATTAAATCTCAATAACTTTTTGGAATTAGAATGGGCTTCCCATCAGCTGAATGGGCTACACACTCGCCTCCTTTTCATAGCAATCCAAGAACTCCACTGCCTTCCTCACATCCCCTGCTATGTTATCAGCATGGTAGTTTTGCTTGAGATCAAATCAGGGCAACATAGGAACTGTCATTTTTCATTTACCGGGGCCCTTTGATCCCATTTGAGGTTTATTTGTTTCAAGTGAGAAACACAATCCCTATTGCATACATCTATTCTTTAGAGTACTTTTTTATTTTATTTTTTTATGTTAGAGATCAAATCAGAGTTGTAAGTAGTATGGTCATTAGTTATCACCACTAGATTTCACAGGCTACACTTTATTTCTGTTCTTACAAAATCACCAACCTTCTCTGTTGCATAATGATCACTTCCAGTGAAGCCACAATGTGCCTTTCTTGGGTACTTGGGTGTTAATTTATTTCACAGTTTCCTTTGCAGATGCAATCAGAGTCACCTATCACATTCCTGTTTCTGCTTTTTATTGTGTTCCTTTGCTATCGCGTTTGTGTGATCTTTTCCTGAAAAATGACAGGTAGTGTTTCTCTGCTCACTGTATCAGTGACATATTTTCCACAACTTCTCTATTGCTATTTTAAAAATATAACATTTTATAGATGTAATCTTAGTTGTTTGTAACTAGGTTTTGTTATAGGAGCAAATTTCCTAAATGGCATGTTGGTTTAGGTACATTTTTTAAAGAAAGGGAAAAATATTTTCTGCAAAATAGTTTCCTCTAAATTGTAAGTGAAGGAAAAGCTCTGTTAGTAAGATTATAATGCATTTTCCTGATTTCTTAGTACATCGAAATTCATGAACATTATTTTTATGTAAGTGATTAAGTTGTGGCTTTTAATAACACGTTGTTAGAGCAAAAAGAGCTATCCCTTTTGATTTACTTGTGTATTTACTGGGTGACTTACAGTGCTTTACATATTAGAATTGGTTTGTCAACAATTAACATTCTAGGTTTTTATATAACCCATACTTCAGGTAATATAGGATTATTAAACTACAACCAGTGTGTTAGAAATCTGCCTACTGGTAATACAATTCTTACGTATAACAGCAGCTGAGAAATACTGCTGTGTATTTATGCATAGATTGCAAGACAGATGGCCTGCAAGCCGCAGAAGGGCCTGACATGCAGGTCCACCAGCAGGTGGCGCTGCTTTTCTAGAAATAAACCCTCTACCTGGATTCTAGGTACTCTCCTCCTCCTCACTTTCTGCCTTTTCTCTTGCAGATTGTCTCCTTTATTTCTCTAAAATAAATATCTAAAACTGTTGTTGCTGTTGTTTGAAGAGATATACTTCCAGTACGACAATGCCCCTCAATTGCTAAGGTTTATTTGAAATCCAACTTGCCTGATGCAGTGCTTACTTGAAGCAAGTCCAAGTTAAATACATGTTACTGTTTTTAAAAGGTAACTACACACACAATACTGGATTCAGCACTGAGATTGGATTGCCTATGCTATCTGATTATTGTTATGTGGCAAGTTCCCATTTTAATCTAATATCTATTTACACAAATTAATCCCATAGGCTTCTATTCACCTCAGGATAATGAGGGGCATTTTTATTAAAGTGACTGATTGATATACTGAATTAATGTTTTATATAAAAATCACCTTAGTATGATGTTCTTTCATCAAGAGTTACTCTAGAATCCAGGCTGGGTGCAGTGGCTCACGTCTGTAACCCCAGAACTTTGGGAGGCTGAGGCGGGCAGATCACTTGAGGTTAGGAGTTTGAGACCAGCCTGGCCAACACGGTGAAACCCCGTCTCTACTAAAAATACAAACATTAGTCAGGTGCCTATAATCTCAGCTACTTTGGAGGCTGAGACACTAGAGTTGCTTGAACTGGGAGGTAGAGGTTGCAGTGAGCCAAGATTGCACCACTGCATTCCAGCCTGGGAGCCTGGGTGACAGAGCGAGACTCCGTCTCAAAAAAAAAAAGTAAATAATAATACTAATAAAAGAGTTGCTTTAGAATCCAAGTCATCCAAAGAATATTGCCTTTCTCTCGGGGCCAGAACTACATTTTGACAAACAGGATCAGAGTTTCTGTTAAGTTTTGTTCTGTTTTTTAGGAAGACTTTTCACAGAAAAGTTGATCAGCTCATCAACTAGGGCATCATAAATGAAGAGAGAAATCAAATGTGCAAGCAAAACTATTTTTAAAAATTATTTTGTCCACACATACCCAATTTTTCAACCGTTTTTTAAAAAAGACACAGCTATATCTTTTTACTGTTTTTTTTATGGTCTGCGGTATTCCTTTGTACAGAATATTTAGTGCAAACATTAGCTTATGTGGGAGAAAATGAATTTATTGAGGTTACAGAAGGGGAGAATTGAAATATGTCTCAGGATGACTCACTTATTTGTTTATGTTTTTCATTATTAAATTTTCTTCCTTTTTTTTTTTTTTTAAACAGTGTCTCACTGTGTCATCCAGGCTGGAGTGCAGTTGTGCGATCTTAGCTCACTGCAACCTCTGCCTCCCAGGTTCAAGTGATTCTCCTGCCTCAGCCTACCAAGTAGCTGGGACTACAGGCATATGCCACCATGCCCAGCTAATTTTTGTATTTTTAGAGACGGGGTTTTGCCATATTGGCCAGGCTGATCTTGAACTGACCTCAAGATATCCACCTGCCTCAGCCTCCCAAAGTGCTGGGATTACAAATGTGAGCCACCATTCCCAGCCCTTCATTATTAAATTTCTACCTATCAGGCCGTAAAGAACTTTGGAAGCATAGGCAGTATTTTACTCTTTGAATAGGATTTCTCTCTTTTGAGTTTTTAAACTTTTCTCAGGCATACTGCGCTAAGGGCTGCAAGTTGAGGATCTAGATAATGTAATGTATGTTCTTATTTAACTCACCCATGTGATTTTCACAGAGAACATCTTGAAATGTTATTGATTCAACAAAATCAAGGAGGAGAGGATTGGGGAAACATTTTCTTCTCAGTGAATCTATTTTAAAGCACTGGTTTTGTTGAAAATGATTTTTTGAAAATATGGATTGCAGTCAGTTTTCATGTAAAAGTCAAACCCTGACGGGTTTCCTTCCAGTTCTCTGTAGAGGGGATGGGATCAGCTGGAGTAGTTGAAGACAAGAAATAGCCATCCTGAAATCAGGGTAAATTTACCTGGCTGGGCTGTGAGGAATAGGCCTTGTGAGTTTCACGGGACCCCTTTCTGAGGCATTAGATAACTTTATTTTCCTGTTGAATAAGCTCTCCAGAAAAAAAAGAAAAATGAGAACTTCAATGGAACTGGACAGTTGCCAAGGGCCTCCCTGCTTTATTTCCATGCATGAATGTGTGTTTCTTACCTTGGAAAGGAAAGTGGGCTGAGCGAGCTAGGCAGTTTCTGATAGACTTTTGCAAGATGCAAAGCCCACCCACTATCCTCTTTGAACTTCAGTATTTAAATCAGAAGAAAAATAGCTTTCCCAGAGGCTTCAGATTATTACTAAATATTGTGCAAATTCTATCATTTGGAATGTAAACGCTTACACTCTCTGCCCTTTATACCTCCAACTGTGCCCTCAAACACATTTTCCTGCTCTAGCCAAATTGACTTTCTTACAGTTTATACAGTTTAGTATTTTCCAACCACCTTGCCTTGGTTCAAACTGTGTCCTCCACCTGGCATGCCCTTCCCACCCTCTACTGCCACTCCTTAGTCTGTTCAGCATCATGGGTCAAGTGCCCCCTGAGTGCCAGGCCCTGTGCTCCATCTGGGGATATACGGGACCTCTCTATTCATCCTATTCTTGTTTCAAGTCGTCTTCTTTTTCTTCCTTTCTTTTTTTTTTTTTTTCCTGAACAATTCTCTCTCTAGGACTTAACTTATTGTCTAAGACATTTCATGTAGCCCTCCCTTGACATTCTCATGCAACATCTTTTGTACTGTTGCATTTATGTAACTTATGAGTTCGTATATTCGTATTTAATGCAATTATCTAATTTCTCTGGCTAGGCTTGTGGTTCTCTCTTATTGTGCATCTTTAAAAAGATTTTAAAGAAAAGAACAAGAAAAAGGTATGCCCGACATTAAACTCAGAGTCATTACAAATCAGAGCCAGAAGGGTCTCATACTTAACTAATGCTCATCCCCCCAGGAAAGGGAAGTGTCTTGCCAAGGCCACACAGTTGATCCAAGGCAGGCCTAGAACCCCGGGGCTCCTGATCACTAAGCTGTGCTTCTCCCCTTTGCAACATCGCCTCTGTAGCTGCTCGGAGCTATTTATTGGGAACTTTTCAGGGCCCAGCATTGTGAGAGACTCAGTGATATGTGAACTCCAACAGAGGAGCTTATAAGCCTAGCTGGGGGAGTAGAACACATTAGAATTGAACACAAATTATAATAATGCAAGGCATGAGATCAGAAGTGCCAGGGGATTTTTTAAAGAAAGGAGAGAATTGATCTTGTCATAATCATCTGGGAAGGCCCCCTGGAGGAGGCAGCCTAGGCTGTCCCTTCAAGGGTGGTCAAGTAGTCAGGTGAAAGGAAGACATGGTGGGAGAGCCTGGTGAAGGAGTCACTGCCTCTCTACCCCGCCATGCCTCTGCCCCTTCTTCTGTCTCCCATGTGTCTGCACACGCCGATCAATCCCATGACCTCCCAGCAGAAATTCAAGGGAAAGAAAAGAGGCCCTCACAATCAGACGGCGTGAATTTCCTGTAATTTAGAGGAAACAGTGGGGTTCCTCTGTCCCCATCTGTCTTTCATTTGTTCTTGCCCTGAATGGTTCCAGCCTTCTCCAATTGAGGTCCGTTTAAACGTTTTCTGGCTTTTCTTGTTTTTATGACATTTGGCAAAACCTAATTATTTGACTTGAGCACTTCATTGGGGCCATATGAAACAAGGGACAAAGGTGACAGTTGAATGAGATGCAAGGCTAGGGGTCAGGTGGGGGTGGGAATGCTCACCCCATTCTAAGTGTTGGTTAGCGGCTCAATTGCTTGGGGAAGGAGAGAGAGTATGGACCCATGTGAATTACACCATGTCCAAATGTGGCAGACTGGTGTGGAGAAGGACCCAGCAGCAGAGAACTCTCATTGCTCTGACTCTTCAAAGCCAAGGCAATAATCATGGGTAGCATTTAGAAAGAGCTCACCAGGAATTCTTTTAAGTGCTTTTCACATTTTCAGTCAATTCTCACAACAACCTATTAGATAGGTACTCTAATTCTCATTTTATTGGTGAGAAAACTGAAGTTAGATAATTTGCCAAATACCTAGGTTCAGACCCAACAATGTGGCTTTAAGACCTGTGTGGTTAACTCTTAACCTCTCTACCCACTCAATGTGAGTAGGCATTTGTGGAGGGATATCCCATGCCTTAAAATCTTTATTTCGGGGATGGTACACTTGAGTGTCACTGGTTCCAGGGCCAGAAATGCAAACATGGGGTGTCTGCCCTATATATGGGGGTACAGTAGGCAGCAGTGGGGCATTTGAGCAGCTGATAAGCTCCTGCCCCAGGAGAATGGCACCCTTTTGGAATGAAGACTCAGTCCTCTACAAGATTTTTAATTAGAAGTTAGAAATCCATATTTGTATGGACAATCTTCAGACTTAAAGATTGTCCCACATGTGAAATCCTGTGTATCAGCAGGGTGGTGCCAAGCTCAGCACACTGGGGACAGTAGTTGGTCCTCAGGCTGTCAGCCTGCAGCCCCCTGGTTATGTCACATAATCCCAAAGCATCTCCGAAATTTGGTGTCCTTGGTCCAGTAGGGATCACAGTAGATCGTAGGACATTGAGGTATGGAGTAACTGGTCTGAGATCAGAGCTCTAAAGAGGGTCAGAGCTGGGACTTGGGCAGGTGGACTGACTCAAGAAGCTCATATCCTCATGCTGTTCTCACTCACAGGCAGAATTCTGGCAGCAAATGATCTGAATTAGAAGTCAGCCGACCTGGGTCCTGGGTCAGGGTCTGCGTATGAGTGCAGCTATGACGCAAAAGAGGGTGAGGCCAGAGCATCCCCAAGCCGCTTCCAGCCCTTCTGTTGCACTCCACACCTTGTTCTCCAATGCATTGACCAGAAAGGCCCACCATACACTAGCATTATAAAATATTGCACAGGATGTGTCCGAGGATAAATTATGATAGCATACAGATAAAGATTTTATAGTTCAAGAACATCTATAGAAGGTGATTATGCCCTTAAGAAATATACTAAATGCTGTGTTTAGTGTAAAGTCATAATCCACACTGGTCCTTACCTCCCAAGGTTAAAAGCATACTGTATTTCTAAAGTGTTCTGGCAGAATATTCTTCGTCGGGCACCTGGCTTGCACTAAAAACCCATGCATTTTACCTTTATCTGAGTTTGAAAGAAATTATCAGTGCACCCATCTGGAATATATATTAGAATTCTAGGGGGCTCTTGACACCATTGGCTCAATGGAAGATATGGTATTTCCGGATGAGCCAATAGTAATAATGTTAATAATAATAGTGGTTTGTATTTATATAACATCTTATGGTTTAGAAAACAGTTTCACATATACACAATTAGATTCTAGGCTGGTCTTTAAATATCACAATCATTGGGGCAAGCATTAATTTAAAGAATGTAAACAGCAAAGTGAAAATGGAAATGAAATGTGATTGACATCTTCTGCCAGTCATGGCTATTTGAACCTGTTTGGGGGTGGGGGGAAAGAAAAAGAAAGTAACATTGGTGTCAAAATATGTAAGCAAATAAAAACTTTCACCCCAAAGTGGAAATGTAAATCAACATTGTGTTAACCAGGAGGATTTGATGTGGGATGTGAAATAAAGTCCACGAGAGACCTGACCCCAGCTCTCTTTTCTGTTTCTCACTCTGGGCAGGTGGCAAATCTCAGATTCCTGAGGCAGCATGATCTTTTCTCCACTCCTTGGGATGCCTGACAATTTGTAAATCCACGAGGAAGTGTTTGTTGCAAGGGCCTTCCTTAACAATCTCATGCAAACAGCATGAAGTGATCAAAAGAAATAAGTCTTGTGTTAGATTTGCCTTGTCCAGTTCTGTGGGGTGGCAGAACCAGTACCTCAAACACCTTTGAGAAATGGTGTTCAGGGCTGGAAATTGGGCGAGGTGAGAGAAGCTTTTGCCCTGGGCACCAAATTTAAGAGGAGACCCAAAACCTCAGGAATCAAGATAAATGATAGTTTCATGCAATATTTTCAAACTATCAAAATAAAATATTTTCAAAATAATCAAAATTTAAAAAATCCAGGATGAACAGAATGTCATAATTTTAAGTGAAGACAGTATAAATATTGATTTCAAAGCTGACATTTAAGTACTGAATTCACTAGGGGTGGAAACAATGAGGACACCAGGAAACTAGCAGCTGTAGCCATGGGTGTGAGCCCTTCCAGGGTGCCAGGAGCAGTGTTTGGTATCTTACAGGCATTTTTTTCTTGATACACATCGGGGGACCTGATTTGACCTACAGTAAATCCAAATCTATTTGATTATAAACCGTCTTAGAAAAAGAGTTCCTTTACAGGCTCCATAAATTCCATTACAGTCCACTTTGTCTTTGTTAAATGTATGGGTTGGAAATTACAATTCTTTTATTCACAATGATGATTTTAGACACACAGCTCAGAAAGATCAGCATTCACTTAAAAAATATATTAGCATGCTTGTATCTATTAAGCACTATTGCTTTGTAAGCTCCAGCTGATGATTTTATTAAGTAGACTGCAAAAGGGGAAGAAAAATCAAGGATAATTATAAATTCATAAATACATAATTCATTGGCATAAAATGATTTAATGGAATGGATGTGGAATTATCTATTTCCTCAAGAAAATAACAGAGATATTCTGATTAAGCCTATAATCTTGTGTATGTGAAATTCTAGCCAAACTGATGGGGCACATTTTCTTTTCTGAAACTACCTTTGATAAGAAATGCATTACAAACTCATCAGTTTGGCTTCCTGTTAACAAAGAGACAGCAGCCGTCTGGATCATTCTGGATTCACAGTGAAACTGCCACACCATGTATCCTCCAACTAAAGCTGTGCAAGTTTGACAAGGGGCAGATGAATCCAGGAGTTATTGTGCAGAGGTTTAAATCTATGCGGCAGCTGACGGTTGAAATAATCATCTATATATCGCTCTGAGCTAGCTGGGGAAAGGTTGAAGCTGTATATTTTCAACATATCTAGTCTAATGGTTAATCTGTTGTCTTGTACGGGGCTCTCGCAGGGTGGACTGGCAGCACACGCTGACAGCTTCGAGGAATTGCTCACGGTAGATGTGGTTCGCCTTGCTTTCCAAAGTACTGGGTGGATGAATCTAACTTAGCTTGAGTTGGAAAATGTGAAACTCACCTGACTCATGACCTCAAACACGAGCGGACCAGCAGGGCTAATAGCAGGTTGGGTGGTAGGGACAGTAGAGTCACTAAGCTACCTCTGTTCCTCCCAATGTCCCCAGATCTGTGCACTTCAGGTGGGCTCCACGGGTATTTCTTTTGTTATTTGGCTGTCTTGGCAGGTTGGGAAGAACATTGTTCTTTGTGGAGACTGGAAAGCAAGGGAAATGTGAGAAGATTAAACTACTGCAGGGGTCAGCAAACTTTCTCTGTCAAAGGTCAGCGAGTTAATATCTTAGTCTTTGCAACCCATATGGTCTCTATGGCAAGTCCTCAACTTTGTCGTTAGAGATGGAAGCAGCCAGGGATGGCTGGTAAACCAACAACTGTGGCTATGGTCTGATAAAATTTTATTTATAGCCACCAAATTTCATATCTTTTTAGTGGGTTACCAAATATTATTATTCTTAGATTTTGTTTCCCCAATGACTTAAAAATGTAAACACACTCTTAGCTCATGTGATGTACAAAAACAGGTGGCAGGCTACAGTTTGCTGACCCCTGAACTTGAGAAAGATGAGAAAGAAGCAGCTGTTGGTGCCCAGGATGTGGCAGGTTTCATCCCTACTCTAAAAGTTGTCCCTCACAAACGCGGACTGCAAGTGCTAGGGCAACCTAAAGGAGTCAGGTTTAACTTTTGCCACAAAGCCGAAAGTTGGCTTTTGGTGTCAGGAGTAGGGAGTAGGGAGAGAAGGAAAGGAAAGTTGGGAGGGGCTGTTTGTATTGGACTTCTATACATTCCCCAGCCCTCCCAGTTGGATGTAAAGTAAAAATTATCTCCCATCTCCTAGTACCTTCCCATTCTCCAAACCCCATAGCAAAAATTCAGGGAAGTTCTCGAATTTTTCTTTTCAATTGTGCATTTCCTCTTAGAATTCCATCGTTCATCTCTGTGTCTCATCTCTAAGAAACTAATACCTAGTGATCTTTGCTTGAGACTTTTCTTTGCCCTTGAGGTAATAGAGAGTCTATTCCAGGGAAAAAGAAAAGGGCTAAAGGCAACCAGAAAATTCCAAAAGGATTTTCTACTGAATACTGAACAGGGCGGAGTGTTGGGCAATGATTCTAACAGGTCAAGTCTACAGCGAAGATATATGAGCTGCGATTCTAGATATGGGGGGCTTTGGTACATGCTGAGTTCCTCTCAGGATGCATACAGAACATAGTTTGAGATTGGGGTTGAGGGCCTATGGCATGGGTAGCATGGGCACATCTAATTTACCCAATTGGATTCTAGAGGATCCATTAGGCCCGCAGTATTTTGTAGAGAACACTGCATTCCATGTCATGTGGATTCTGTTCATATATTTATATAGTATTTTTTTTCTCTCTCCTATGGAGGAGCTGAATTCTTTCATTACTCTGTGTTGATGGACTCAAACTTACACAATTCAGGTTTCCTAGGCAGTGAATAGAGCCAGAAATACACCCTGTGATTAACTTCTACATAACCTATTGTTCCTTAAAGTCTCCCTCCCCATTTTCCTATTAGCTCCACAAAAGCCAGAAATGCAAAAGCTCCAACAAGCCTCCCTTCCCTGCCCTGGCAGCCTACCATGGGGTGGGCACTCCCTATGCCTGTCCTAGGGCAGTACAGGTCACTTAGACATTTTTTGAAATTCTTATTCTGCATAACGATAGATTTTTTAAAAACTGATACCCATTAGGTTTTCCAAGTAAATGTGTTTCCTATTTCCTAGCTAGAAGTTGTGAAATTATCCTGCCAGAATAATGTATATGATAATGTGGTTGTTTGATTTTAGAGAGGTGTATATGTTTGAGATATTATGATCGTTGGGGTTGCTTTTAAGGGGCAGCATCTTTCTTCTTTTCCTAATCTGTGGATTAATGTTAGCCGTGATGTCAGAGGTTGCAGTGAACTAAGATAACACCACTGCACACCAGCCTGGGCAACAAAGACCCCTTGTCTCAGAAAAAGAAAATATTAGCCACGATCTTTCAAAAAATAGATTTATAGTTGATTTTTATGAAGAATACTGCAGTGCTTATCAAACTTCTTAGTGATATGTGCTATTCAAGGTTGTCAGGCAAGAAACTCTCATTCCAAGGACATCACCCACTTTAACTCCCCTGCACCCTGATACTGCCCACTACTCTCTGGGCGTAGAACTTGGCTCCATTGCCTGGCTTGCCTGATCCTAGCTGTGCTTAATAGCTCAGCCTCGTCGATGGACACATGGCATTCCCCACCACGGGATCCATCCCGAAACAGCAGTCAAGTGCTCCTTTACAGGAATCATACTACCAAATTCACAGTATGGGTTGTTCAGCTGGCATGTATTATTATTTTTGTGGTTGTTTTCCCATCATCGCTTAAGGAAACAACCACACCCTCTTACCCGTCTGGTTCGTGTGAGAAACAGCCAGGCACCATTCCATCCTCCAATCCAGAGACTGCGCTCTTGTGGCCATGCCGTAAGACTTTGAGAGTTAACTTGCACAAACTTTCTGGTGAAAGTCTTAAACAGTCATATCAGAGAGAGCTTAGGTCAGCTTGGGAGTTTTGTTCATGGTGAATTACATTTTGCAACACGACTGTTGTAAAATTCCAGGAATTTTACCATCACTCCATACCCTTCATTTTAGTAAAACAACATTTGAAACACCCACTTTTCACTGGTGTCGCTGACGGCCGAAGGAAATGCCGTGGATCTGTCTTTCTGAGGAGTGGCAAACTCACGGCATTTAATGTTAGGCACTGATACCACAACTAAGGGGGCTGACCAAGCCGGCAGTTCGAGACAGACAGCAAAAGTTTATCACCAAGGATTGATGACTCGGAATATAATGATTATTCAGTAGAATTTGTTTTAGCAGACTTCAGGAAAGAATGGGTCTGATCCTGCTGCTAAACTGAGTTTTCGGTGTCTGTACATGTTGTGGGGTGACGGGGAACTCAGTATATTTTTGGAAATTATACCAAGAAGATTGTCTTCTGAATTTCCAGAAGTATTATCCCTACTGATACAGATGACAATAAGACGGCAAAAAGAATTGCAGGAAGTCATCAGGGTAAAAGAAAGGGAAAAAAATGGCAATTCAGCTGTGAGGGAGAAACTTCCAGTTTGATTCAAAGCTATTCAATGTTAAAATTGTTTGGAACTTTTCTAAAAGAAATTTCACTATGGATTAATTTCCATTTTCTTTTCTCCTTATTGTTTGGCAGTCAAGGTTGCAGCTAGATCACGCTATTCCAAAGATCCATTTGAGTTCAAGAAGGAGACTCCCAATTCTCGGCTTGTGACCGAGCCAGGTGAAGGAAGACTGGGACCCATTCCCATTTTTAATAACTACCCTGCAGCCCTCAACATTCTACTTTACCATGCTGAGCTCAGTTGAAGAAGAGCGATGCACTACTGTGGATTTCAGCTTGCACTTAGCTTGTTGGGCAGCAAAATACCAAAAGGGAAAACCGTAAAAAACGATTAATAATAATTAAAACGACCTCACCCCCAAACTGGCAGCTTGTGCAAGACTTCAGTCGGAAGCCCTGTTAGCTAGATGCCTTTGTGTTCAAACCACTTTGCATGACTCTTATTCTGAGTGACTCCAGTGTGAATATGACATTACTAATGACCTGCTAAGTGTGTACAGATGTGGGTTTCTCCAGATGTGGTGATTAATAACATAATGGAGATAGCGGTTGACTCATGTTTATGAGTTGTTTGCCTTTTATTACGTTTCTGAGTTTATTTGCTTTGAACTGTTTTTTAACTCCAGCCAATAAACTCACCTTTAAATCTTAAAGGGCATCATCCCCTTAAATCTCACTGGGGAAACAGGGCAGAGGGAATGTGCCCCAGGCTAGAGCTGAGCATCAGGTCCATCTAATGCAGGCATTAGACTGAATTAGGGAAGGCTGGGAGTTGCAATCATTGCCCCATTTCACTCCAAGGACCATAAAGAGGCTTGGTAAACCCTGACACAGTGTTTGCAGTCTGGCGCGGCTGATAAAGGAAGATATTTCTTTTTTTAAAAATCTAGTGAAATATGTAATCATTTTGAAGTAAGCCCAGAGTTCTGGCCAGTGTTTCTGGAAGACGTTGCTTTTGCTTGAAAACAGAATGCTGATGAAAAGTCGAGTAAAATGTTGTTACAGATGTTCAACTCTGCATTAAGGCTGTTGGAATTACCACCACATCTTAAATCAATTCTCAGAACATTGTCTGGAGGTTATGTCATTGAAATAACGAATCCTCTTTAGTCAAGTATAAGCAAACATGTTAAAACATCATTGTAACTTTAAATTAAACTCTAGCGCAAACCAGGGGATCTGAAGCCTCATTAGACTTGCCTGACATTTTTCTAGCACTGAGTCTTCCCAAACTGTAAAACTGTTAGATTCAGTGCCTATTAGACAAGGGAGCGCTGGGAAGTTACAACAGCACATTAAGTGTTATACTTAGGGATGTGCAAAAACAAGCCCTTGAATTTTATGAGTACTTGGAGACTGGATGGAGTTCAGCTCCTATAAAATTCCACGTTAGATTCCTGAACTTGTTTGTGTTCTAAAGAAGTCAGGTTTCTTTAAAGGATCATATCTTCATGTGGCTTCCGCAGCATGAAGGCAAGTGAAAATGCCATAGATGGAGGTGTATTGTAATTAGCCAAAATGTAGGTTAAATAAGAGCTTGTAAATTTGCATCGTCATGAGGTAGTGGCCCACTACTTCAACACGTTTGTCTTTCATGAAAGTGAGTAAATTTAAGTCTCCCTTTTAATTCCATTTTTATTCCTCTCATGTAGTCACAGAAGCCATGAAATGAAAATTATATTTTATAGCTTAACTAAAAGTTTTCCTAGATCTGCTTTCTTTATGCAGAAATTGATAGGATCCATATAAAGGCTGATAATTAAATATGGTTTATATCCTACTTATGAGAAAGAAGTTATCACTGCTTCTCTTGAGGGACCTAAGCCATATGTAATGGTCTCCATTACACAGCGTTCATATATTTAAGCTGGAGACATTTTCCCCCATCTCTTCAGGGAACAGATCTGCATTTTTAGGCTGTGAGTGCAGGAGGAAACCTTTAAACACAAGTTTCATTTTGGAGAACAAATCCCACTTTAAATGCAGTATGATTACGATGGATGATCTTTCTGAGTTGCAATGAAAATAAATAGTTTCTTTGCATAGAAGAGGCATAACTTTACTACCAGAATGAGGTGTCTCCCTTGAGCTGGCTAACAGGTATTAACTTGCAACTCTCCCATCTGAAGATCAGTGTAGCAACAAGGTGTAAAGATAATGGCCACTTAACCAAAGAGGATTATTTGTTATAGGCCCAATGCAAAAAGGGAAGCCAATGCTCAGCAAAATAATCCCACAGGCATGCTAGGGAGGATGACTTCTGTTCAGGTCTTAACTCATCTAGATTCATTGTGTAACTGGACACAACCATGGTAGCATCTGGTGACCTTGAAAAATGCTAGCCGTGGTAGACTAGGTTAGATAAAAACCTTTGGATGTGGGATTATAACCTTAAGAAGTCTAACTGAATTATAACCTTAAGATGAGAAAAACAGAACTTGCACCCCGACTAGAGTGACTCACATGCACTCACACAAACACACACGTGTTATTTGCTCCAGCATGCTACACAACCAGTCTAGGTCACCCTGAACACAATACACCAATTGCAAGTGGCCCATATTAAAAGATGACCTTGTCTTATACGTCTAGTTAGTGCAAGACTTTCTACTTCATTCTAAGATGGGGAAAGTGCGAAAGCATACCTACACACACACACACACACACACACCCACACACCCTCGCTGCCTTTCTACCCCATTATTGCCTCAGATGCCTGGTCCCCTATCCTGTGAAAGGAAGATGAATTCAGGTCAAGCTCAGAGTGCCTGTTTGCTTGCCGAGAGATGCATATCAACTCTAAGTGATTTTTTCAATACCATTTATGTGGCTTGTATTTATTTCCTTTAATCTTTTAAGTGCTGTTTAGTCTCTGTGTGATTTGCTTTGGATACTCATTTCTGATAAGATGCGATATCATCCCAGCCACATAGTCTCTGCCTGGAGCTCTAAATGACTGATACAGTCTCGGCCTGAGCTTGGGCCCTGGTGGGTGTCAGAGGAAGCAGGTGGTACAGGGGGTCGGCTGTGGGTGTTTGCAGGTGCTTTCTTGCCTTCATCTCTTCTGGTCTCACTCTCACCTTACACCACAGTCATTCCCTTTTCCTGCATCAGCCAGGGTTTAGACAAGCCCAAACTGACAGCAGAATAGGAGAGTGTAAAATGTGTAATACTTTGAAGCAGGTTTGGAGGGTAGTTGGATTATTAAAATAGCTTTGGAAGCATGTATCATAACCTACTAAATTTATTTAGCGTTTTCAGGGAAGTACCATATAATGCATGCTCTAATATGGGTCTTCCTGGATAATACCAAGTAGCTGACATGGCACTTTCTCCCCCATCTAAGACTCCTACACCATTAACATATATCAAGTCTCTTTTGATGTCATCACTGCTAATATTTCTCTTCTTAGCTTTAAGGTAACTGCTGTGCATTCTGAGTTTCAGGGTGCTTTCCTCCTAGTCTGTGTTGCAGTCAACTATAAGAATCCAAAGATCTTATTTTTCCTTCTTGATATTACAGCTTTAGCCTGAATTGTGGGGGTGGGGAGAGGAGGACTAGAATTTTGCCGCTGATGCCCCTGGGTGACAGGCTGGGTTTGCATCTGCTAATTATCAAGCAGTTCTCTTAAAAAGAAGCATGATGCAGGCTAATACATCTGCAAAGCTTATTAGTGGGTGTCTTTGGGCAAGAGCAGTAGAGTGTGCTGTGGTGTTTCTAAGTGAAGCTTCACATTGCTTAGCAATCTGTGTGGTTTAGACATTTGGAAAACAGCTTTTGGTTTCCAATCCCCTGTGCTGCCCTCCATCCCTGCCCCGCTGCTGCATCATCAGAGATTTCATTCAATGGCAACCTCCTCCTTCATTCCGGGGCTCTCCTCCAACCTCACCAGCCCCGGTGCTCCTGTCTTCATGGGTTGAAAAAGGACCCCGTTGGCACAGCCCCACAAGCCCTCCCTCCTGGCAGTTGGAGGGATAAGAGCTGAGTTGGGCTGGGGATTATTGAGCCAGCATGCACCAATGTGCCCCGATCTGATTGAAACATTGGCTGTCAAGGCCTTGAATCCTTGCCTCTTTTCAACGCTCTTTCTCTGGTATGCAGGGGTTAGGAACCAGCTAAGTTGGTTCATCTGGAGAAGCAGCAGGCTGGCAGTTATGCTGACATTTCAAATACAACTTTATTTCTGATTTTGGTTACAACAAAACGCAGTCTATTACTGGGCAAAGCAAAGTAACCAAAATTAACTCTAAGAATAATGATAAGTATTTTTTTTGGTATACAGATAAATCATGATTTCTTTTTTTTTTTTTTTTTTCTTATGGCAGGGTGTTTACAAACTGTTTTAGTCTGTTTAAAGTGTATGTTCAAAGGCTGGAGTGTAAAGAGGTGTTGCCTTCACCTTCTCTAAGCCGGCCTCTTTGACTAACACATTTGGTCTTTGTCATTGGGTCCTAAAAGACAGCCATGAATTCCTAGTGAGTGACTGAGCCTTGAGTGTGTGTCCTTTGATATTTTGCCTGTATTGCACAGTCTGCCCTCAAACTGTTCATAATCTCATGAGCTGCCTGTATTTCCAGTTGAAGATGAGCAGCCGTCAACACTATCACCAAAAAAAAAGCAACGGAATGGAGGCATGCGGAACTCACCCAACACCTCGCCTAAGCTGATGAGGTAAGGAGAGGGGCTGGTTGCCCACGGTTTCCCTCTTAGCCCTTCTCTTCCTCCCCTCGCCCTCTCCTCACCCTGCCAGGCCCAGAGTCTCCCCTCCCCAGCAAGCCCGGGGTGGGGGAGGGGAGCGAGATCGTTAGATGGCTTCTTAAAGGCTGGAGTATTTATTCTGTCAGCTTGTCAGCAGTTAATGATAGAGCTGAAAAAATTCTGTCATGAAAAACAGTTTGAAAAGCTGTTTGAAAAATACATAGGCTTTAAAGTCTTAGCTGTCACCATGTCCTGTCTGTGTGTAGTTCCTAAACAGCAGTGGCACTAATGATGGCGGTAACCAATCAGAGAAACTCGTGTGGTTAGTTTGCCTGCGGCAGTCTCTTTCTGCTGGAGTCCCTCCGAGGACTGTTTTCTGTACTTAAGGCCATATGTGAGATGTATCATCACAATCAAAAATGAACCTGAAGATTACCTTCCTTTTATCCTGTCGATTGAAATCAAATTTCTGTTAATTGATTTTGACTGATAAGAAAAAGTCTAATAATCTGTGGACTTGCCAAAGCAAAGTTCAAAAGTAATCCAGTTCTGCTCAGGCTAAAAGCAATATTAATTATGAAATACAGCATGCATGTACATGTTCCCTCCTTTCCTCCCTTCCTTCCTTCCTTCCTTCCTTCCTTCCCTCCTTCCTTCCTTCCCTTCTTCCCCCTCCCTCCCTCCCTTCCTCCTTCTCTCTCTTTCTCCCTCACTTCTTTCTTGACTATGGCTTCCTCTGGTAAATAGCAAGTGAAGTCAAATTTCAACAGCGTTCTGCAGTTTCTTCTTCTTGGCCTATCTGTCTTTTATCTCCCCTTTTTGTCTTCAATTCATCTGCCAATCCCAGCATTTTTTTCCTCCGACATCCTGACTCTCTACCACCCAAATGAAACAGGAGTGATTTCAGATTTGCACTGCTCACCCTATGTGGTTTCTGCTCTGGAAATGCCTGCCATCTTGACATTAGTTTTGTCTTTTCATGGCCACCGGCTTTGATTTTTGAAATAGAATAGTGGTGATTTCCACTCCCCATATTCAATAACATTTGCATGTTCCTGGCCCTCCACATCCACCTTTCTGGAAAATAGGCAAGGGCAGTCTTTCTTCATGTGGTTGAGGACACAGGTTTTCCGTGGAAGACTCACCCTGCCCAACTCCTTTTCCATATCACCATCTATTCCTGTTAAATGTTTCCTTAAAAGTTCTCTGCCTTCCACTTCACCCAGCCTTCCTTGGGTTTGGCTGATTTGCATGCTTGTTTACAGTTTATGAGGAGGAATAAAATGTGCCAACTGCCAAGCTTTTCGTTTTTATGATGCCAGTGTCATGCTAGCATTCATTTCCTATTTACTCACCTTTAGGTAATCACCTTATCTAATTCTAATAGTTATTCCCATTTAAAGTAGAGAAAAGCCCAGCCACTTTCCTTCACCTAAATTTAGAGAAGCAAATAAATAAATAAAGAGAAGTCTGAAAAATCTGAAACCTTTGGAGCCAAATTCCCTGTCCCTGTTTGCTATGTAAAGTATGGCTCATTTCTTTGATCTTGAGTAATAATAATTCTGAGGAGTTATACTGTTTTCATATGCTTCAAAGCTGTGTCAAAGTTTTGCTGCTTAAGGGTACTTCTTTATTCTGTTGGCTCTTGGGTACCAAGATGACAGGTCTTCTGTATGAGGTGGAGGCTTTTTTAAGTCGTAGCCTTCAGCAAAACATCAAATTACCAAATCCAGGGTAACATACTTCTACACAAATGCCTTTCCTGTAGATATATTATACCATATATATTAAATACTTTAGTGTTACACGCTACATTTTATGTGCAATAGAAAGTGATGGTTTGAGGTAGCCTTGGGGGGACTTTTTTTCCACAAGCAGAAAAAGCTAGTGTATATCGTATCAAGTATGGTTTTTACAGGACTTTCTGCCCGAAGGCCTTTGTAAATAAGTAATGATCAACAGATTGGCTGTGGGTTTTTGAAAAGCATGCCTGTGTCAGTTTGCATGATGGGGGAGAATTTTCAAAGTGGATCTTGCTTTCATTCGTTGCTGGAGAGGGGCTGAGGGAGGCAGTCATCCTGGGCTGGAGCTGTCTGTTTCATGGTACATCAAAATTGCTAAACGTGGGTCAGGTGGTGAGTGGAAACTTGCCAAGCTACAGAACTCGGGCTTCTCATGTTGGTTGCCTTTGGGCTGCTGCTAAGGCCTCAGTTCCTGTCGCTGGGATGTCTTATCCCACCAGCCCACCATGGTCTCCCTTCGCAGCCCAGCTGGAATGGGCCATCCCATGACAAGTGAGAAAGTCTTAGACACTCCTCCCTTACCACGTCTTTCTATGTCCCAGGTGCTCCACATTCTCCATCTGACCTGGGAGCAAAGATGGACCCCTCCTGAGCCCTCTCTCCATATCCCTTGACTTCCAGTTTACAGAAAGACCTCAGGGCCCTTTGTTTTACATTTGAATATCTGGCACTGGCAATGAAGTCATGGGTCCATTTTTGCTAAACCCCCTTTGTTGATTGGCAGAAAACAAGGGCTCTCCCAGCTCCCTGTGGCTTTTCCAGTTGCCCCCGCCTCTTCCGACACCTGCTTTCTACTCTCCAGTAAATGGGACTTTCAGGTCCTATTCCTCATGACCTGAAAAATCCATAAAGGAAGCTAATGACTTATTTGAAGTGGATTTTTCGACATGAGTTTGTGACTTGCAGTTTGAGCAGAATCAATCATTCTGAATGCGGGCAGGTTTTAGTGGCCTATGGGCAGTGACAGGAATAGCTCCAAGAGGAACTGGAGAACCCAGAATGGGCTAGGATGGGCTGTAATTTACCACTGTGGCTTCTGCAAATAAAACAGACTCCTGCGTGAAGGCTCCTTCCAAATCATCTGCCAGCAGGAGATGCAACGGGGACTCTGCACTAATGGTCTTTTCCTTCCCTTTGTTCTTGTATCAGGCTTACCCTAGTGTTTAAGTGTCACTTAACTCTGCACGATCATTAGGTGAACAGCCTTGTTTTGTATATCTGGATCCTGAGGTAGTATGTTTTTGAGTCACCTCAACAGAAAACAACCCTCATGTCCAGATAGAGCTGAATGGCGAGTGTCTGGGCCCCAGGCTGAGGACACACGTGTAATGATGGATAAATTTGGCTCCACACCCGCAGAGGAGGTGTGAGCCATGGAGGCTTCCAAGTCCCCGGCTCTCTCTGCCTGTTATTTCCCTTCCTTCCCGGTCTCTTACTGTGGAATTATTGAAGGAGCCTCCCGTAGTTTTCCTCTAAAATTACCAAGCACCCGTTGCCCAATTCTCCCTACTTAGTGGGGTGGTGCCTTGTAAGGATAGCCACGTCTTTCCTCATTTGTAAAGTCCTAGGGGGGCACAAAGTTTGTCTCTAAATAGCTAAGTCAAGAGTTCTTAATTTGGGGGCCTTACCAACCCTATGAACCTTCAATGAAAACTCTCTAGGAAGTCTTTCTAGGAAAAAATAAAAAGTACACTTGATCCCCTTTTACCACAGTTGAAGCAGGTTAATGGATTCCTGAAATCTCCATTCAGGATCCCTGGTTACAATCACATTCAGTTTATTCCAGAGCCACCTCCACATAGTTGCACGTACAAATGCTTTTTGGTTGATGAGATTTCTCCAATGGGTAGGTGGTATGGAGTAAACACCTGGGTTCTCACACTGAATCCTCACATGGAATCCAAAAAGTCTGTGCACTTCGGCTGCCTGCTTTTAATCTTTTTCTCAGATTAGCTCCCATCCAGCAAATATTTAGCGAGAGCCTACTGTGTGCAAGTTGTCATGGAAGTTCTTTAAGGAATCTAAAGTCTAGCACCCAAATGACTTTAGATCCCTTAAAGAACTTCCACACAGTCTAATAGATTAGATTAGATCCCTGCCTTCAAAATGCTTATAGTTTAGCAGAGGAGAAGACAAGCACATAAAAACACAGAATTGGGTAAGAACAAGCTGGGGGTTCCACTAGCATGGGCTGTGAGAATAGAAAGAGCTGTCATTACCTCTGGTTTGGGAGGCTGAGCCTGGTTTAGGAGGAGGTCTTATTGAACCTAGTTCCATACCATGAGGAGAATGCTCAACTAATAATATTACTTGTCTAGGTTTACCGAGACTGGATGCCTGTAACTCACTGAGTCCTAACTACAACTCTATAAGTAGTTATTACTCTTGCCCCCATTTTACAGGTGAGTATGTTGAGGTACAGAAATGTAAAGTCTGGTAAATCTAGGTAAGTTTTCCCTAATTAGGATGATGGAAGACATAGGGACAGTGCTCAGACCACAGTAAATGCCTGGGTGTGGCTATAGCCAGGGGTCTTTGGAGTGGCCTAGATGGAGTGGAGAATGTAAGAGTATTCTGGCACCCAGTCATGAAGGTTTTGCTTGTCATAGGCATTAGGGAACCCCTGAAGGTTTTCGAGGAGGCGGTAACCTAACTTGTGTTTTGGGGGAATCACTGGTGGCAGCAGAGAGAAGGGTTGGGAGTCCTCCATCAGGAGATTTCTGAGACACACACTACATAAGCACAGAGGTGTGAAATAGAAGGCCCACTCAACCCCAGCCTCTGCCAAGGCCGTTTGTGTGCTAAGCCATTCAGGGTCTGCTGTAGAATAGTAGACCAGGACTGGGATACATAGTTTTCCCAAGGACACACGTAATTCCTGACATCAGTCCTGAGACCTAGAGTTTTCCTCTAAAATCATCCTAGTTTTCCTCTAAAATCATCAAGCACCCGTGGCCCAATTCTCCCTACTTAGTGGGGTGGTGCCTTGTAAGGATAGCTACATCTTTCCTCATTTGTAAAGTCCTGGGGAGCACAGACTTTGTCTCTAAATAGCTAGGTCAAGAGTTCTTAATTTGGGGGCCTTACCAACCCTATAAACTTTCAATGAAAACTTCAGTGAAAGTTAGGATTTACATAGGATGTATCAGGTGGACAGTTTACACAGATAGCACCCAGCTGGGCTGGCAAGGATAATTGACAACACCCAGAAAAAAGAAATTGAACATTTTGAGGAGAGTTTCATGTCAGGAGACCCAGAAAATATTAGACATTAGTTTCCTGAATGGGAGGCAAAATATGATTTGAGGAAAACAGATTATCCTCTTGGGCATCTCCTGGTCATTAAGTGAAATAAACTCATCTACTTGTTAAGTCTCATCACCTCTCTTTTGACTCAAACCTTTCGTGGGGTCATTTTGTTAGGACTTCTCACATCAGAGCCTGCTAGCATGAAAGATTTTAGTAATAGAAAATGGCAAAATGGACTGAGCCAAGTCACCCTCACAATTCCTTCCACTGGGCAAAAGAAAGAAGGAAGGCAGGGACAGCTTAGCTAAGTAAATTCATCTCTTAATGCACAAACTGATAGCATATGACAGGCCTCCCCCAGGACTGGAGAAGAAAAAAGTAGTTGGTGTCATGGTACTGAGGCTTGGGTGGACCACACAGGTCCCTGGACAAGTTCATGCTCAGCAGATGGTCATGACCTTGCCCTCTTGTGTCAAGAGCATCTTGTACAACCTCCTGTAGGACTGATGAACGTGTTGGTTCTCCCAGGCTGTCTCCCAAACATAAAGGCAACCATTTCCTTCTTCTGAGAATGCTGGCTGCCTAACACTAGATAACATCTTAGGTGGCAGCAGGGAAAATAATGCAAGTAGATAGATGCAGAGAAATTGAAAAGGACCCTAGTTCTGCCAGGGTGGCTACAGCCTGGCCTGAGAGTTTTGTCAGTGTGGCTCCAGGGATGGCCGTCAAGTGGGAGATGGGGAGAGGGTGGTGGGCAGTGGTGTCTCGGGGGTGATGATCATTATCAGAAGAGTGGAAGCCCTGTTGAAGGATGTGTTAAGGCAGGAGCCAGGATTTGCTCTGCAAAGCCTCAGGAAGTATCAGGAAATAGTAATCACCCAGGAGCCAAGGCACCCAAGAATGAGGCAGATCCAGTTGGAACCATTTATGGTGCTGAACACCCAACTATGATTCCTTTTGAGGAGACCACCTAAGGCCTAATCCAGCCTTCTGTGTCTGATACAGGCTCAGACAGACCCGTGTGGCCTGATATTCTTGAACATTGTGCTCAAGGTCTTAGTGACTAGATACCATGTTGTTAAAGAAGGGTAGAACACTGAATTGTAAGTATTGCACTTTGCGAGGACTAGTATTTAATTTGCTTGTTTAAATTTATTTGCTGATTAGCTCATGGGAAGAGAAGTCAGCAAGAGAGAGTCATTAGTGCAGCATCTAGTCAGTAAATCCCCATCAAGAATCAAGTGTTGACACAATGCCTCGAGTTCCACAGAGTCACAGAGAATCAGAGTAGGCACCCAGAATGTGAGGCGCCTCCTTCAATTTTGCACCCTAGGCACCCTCTTGTCTAGCTGTAGTCCTGGCTTTGCTGAATAGAACTACAGCCTTATAATCTGTGTGTTGTTGACAATTGCTAACTTGGGTAGGATTTACTGAAGCCATATAGATTCTCCATCTGGGCAAAACTTTATAGTGGTGGTTCTTATACTTTAGCAGGTGTCGGAATCACCTGGAGGGCTTTGTTAAGATATAGCTTGCTGGTCCACAGCCCTACACAGTCTAATTCAGCAGATCTGGCCTGGGGATTGGAAATTTGCATTTCTGTTAAACTTCCAGGTGATGCTGATGCGGCTGGTCTGGGCCACAGTTTGAGAACCACTCTTTTGAAGAATCAGAACAGTGAGAGGAGCTTGAAGTGATGGGGGCCCATCTCTAAGAAGTGTTCAGACTTTGCACTGGAGAACCAAATAGTTGCTTAATTAAGAACATCTGTCTGACCACTGACATGAGTCCTCCCTGCTGATTAGTTACAGCAGCTGGCTCCAGGCGAACTTCAGGCAGCCTTGACTGGTTAGAGACATAATTTAGGGTTGTCCTTCACATCACAATGCCCTTTTTATAGCAAATGCTCTGTGTCCTAATTCATACGCAGTCCCTGTAAATGAAAAATGATGCAAGAACCCTGATTGTTCAAAAACAAATTGTTGCAAGATATCAGAGGTAAATGGGTTCTCACTGCACACGTTTTGGATCTCCACGAAAGGTTTGCTGAGTCTCTGTTGACTGCTTGAAGAGTGTTTGGGGACTAGAGATGATTCATCAGTTCCTTTAGTTAGTTTGATTGCATCCTCTGCTGGATTCTGGAAATACATGGAAGAGCAAAATAGATCCCTGCCCCTAAATAGTTCACCATCTAATGGATAAAACAGACATGGAAATTATTATTGCCGAAGGAGCATCTCTAGAAGTTCCCAGGAAGGGAAAATAACTTCAGTCTCTCTGGCTGTTCAGGATGATGGCTTTATGAGGAACACTTGAGCCAAACTGTGAAGTCTGAGAAATGTCTTGTTAGCCCCATCATGGTGCCTTACATAATAGATGCTCAATAAAGTCAGTATTTGCAGCTCGGATAAAAGGTCTGTGGAGGGATGAGAAATTCACCTCCTTTTAATCAAGCCTCTCATCTCCCAGGGAGACCACTGTAGGATGCCCTTAATTTGGATGGGATGCTCATAATGACAGAAAAGGCCTTATCGTGTGATAAGACATGAGGTCTCGAAAATCAAGCAGAGAAAAGAATGCAATTTTCTAGCCATTTTGTAACTTTCCTTTTTCATAACATTTTTGTGTGTTTGGCTGGTTTTTTGTACTTTCATGTAAATTTCTGAAGTCCAGCGTTGAACCCAGTGCCACCGAAGGAACTGGGATTTGCTGTCTTTGCCTGTAAGGGAAATTGTGCACTTTAAAATATGATATCAGCTTCCTCACAGCAGGTTTGCTAGAAAAGGGATTTGTGGTTTTGCTTTAGGCTGTTGTCTTCAAGGCGAGCTTTTTCTGTTCCTGTTGTAGCAGGGCATTTAGTTCACTTCCTGAGATTAATTGATGCCAAGTGGCATTTCTTGCTCTGCGAATCCTCAAAACAAAGATCTTTTGCAGGCACACCTCAGAGATATTGCAGGCTCAGTTCCAGACCACCACAACAAAGTGAATATCGCAATAAAGCAAGTAACACACATTTTTTTTCTAGTGCATATAAAAGTTAGGTTTACACTCTTCTGTAGTCTATTAAGTGTGTACATACCTTCATTAAAATAATTTACTCCTAAAAATGCTAGTAATCATCTGAGTCATCAGTGAGTTTTAATCTTCTTTCTGGTAGAGGGTCTTGCCTCAGTGTTGGTGGCTGCTGTCTGATCGGGGGGTGGTAGCTGAAGATTGTGGTGGCTGCGACAATTTCTTAAAATAAGACAACAATGAAGATTGCTGCATCGACTGACTCTTCCTTTGACAAAAGATTTCTCTGTAGCATGTGATGCTGTTGGATAGCATTTTACCCAGAGTAGAACTTCTTTCAAAATTGGAGTCAATCCTTTCATACTCTGCTGCTGCTTCATCAACTAAGTTTATGTACTATTCTAAATCCTTTGTTGTCATTTCAACAATGCTCACAGAATCTTCACTAGGAGTAGCTTCCATCTCAAGAGACCACTTTCTTTGCTAACCCGTAAGAAGCAACTCCTCATATGTTCAAGTTTGATCATGAGTTTGCAGCAATTCAGTCACATGTTCAGGCTCCACTTCTAATTCTATTTCTCTTACTTTTTCCACCACATCTGCTGTTACTTCCTCCACTGAAGTCTTAAAGCCCTCAAAGTCATCCATGAGGGTTGGAATTCACTTCTTCCAAACTCCTGTTGATATTTTCACCTCCTCCCATGAATCACGAATGTTCTTATTAGCATCTAGAATGGCGATTCTTTTTCAGAAGTTTTTCAATTTATTTTGCCCAGATTCATCAAAGGAATCACTATGGCAGTGATAGCTTATTAAATATATTTCTTAAGTAATAAGTCTTGAAAGTCAAAATTACCCCTTGATCCATGGGCTACAGAATGGTAGTTGTTCTAGCAGGTATGGAAACAACATTCATCTTATACATCTCCATCAGAGCTCTTGAATAATTGGGTGCGTTATCAGTGAGCAGTAACATCTTGAAAGAAATCTTTTTCTCTGAGCAGTAGGTCTCAACAGCAGGATTAAAATATTCAGTAGATCATGCTGTAAACAGATGTAAATGCCTGACTTCAAAGCTTCAAAGGACAGGCTGATTCTTGTTGGAACTAATGCAGCTGGTGACTTTAAGTTGAAGTCAAAGCTCATTTAACATTCTGAAAATCCCATAGGCATTAAGAATTATGTGAAATCTACTCTGCCTGTGCTCTAGCAATGGAAAAATAAACCTTCAATTTGTAAAAAAAAAAAAAAAAAAAAAAAAAAAACAAAACCATAATATCTGCAAAGTGCAATACAGCAAAGTTGAATAACATGAGGTATGCCTATGTTCTTCTTCTTTTTTTTTTAGACAGGGTCTGGCCCTGTTGCTGGGCTGGAGTGCAGTAGTGTGATCTCGGCTCACTGGCAGCCTCAACCTCCTGGGTTCAAGTAATTCTCGTGCCTCAGCCTCCTGAGTACCTGGGACTGCAGGCGTGCACCATCTGCCTGGCTAATTTTTATATTTTTTGTAGAGATGGGGTTTTACCATGTTGCCTAGGCCGGTCTCAAACTCCTGAGCTCAGGTGATCTGCCCACCTCAGCCCTCCAAAATGCTGAGATTACAGGCATGAGCCACCATACTTGGCCATGCCTGTGTTCCTTATTAGACTTTAGGCACACTGAATTTCTAGCTGTGGACACTGGAGGGTGAGCTGAGATGCAAGGGTTATGGGGTGAATTTCTGCTAATCATTCACATAAGTGGTGCATTTTGTAAATGCCTGCGATGCTGGTTTCCCTTTCTTGGCTGCTTAGAACACTGCAACTTGGGGTGTTTTGATGGAGAATGAACAAGATATGGCTGCCTCCTTAAAGTGGGAGGGTATGAGGTGGGCACCCTGCAGCACTGGCCTTCAGCCAAGTAGACCTTTTTGTTAAGGCTTTGCCTCTCCTCTCACTGGCTGTGCCACCTGAGCATGTTACTTATCTATTTTGTTTCCCATGTATACACAGAGCCCGATAATAACAGAAATTACCTACAGGTGTTCTTGTGAGTAGCAAATCATAAAATGTAGGTAAAAGTTTTAGTGCACCAACATTTGGAAGTGTTGGACTCATGGCAGCTATTCATCATAGTAACAACAATGGTAATAGCACTAGTAGCAGCAATAGTAGTAGTATTAATAGTAGCAGTAGTAGAAATAATAGCAGTAGCTCTATATCTTTATTATTGAACTGCTCTCCCTTTCCTGCCTCCTTTCACCATAATCAGAGCTAGTAATACATGAGTGGGTCCTAAGCAAAGTATAAAGGATGATAACCATAAGACTAGTTAACACTTCTTGAGGACATGCTCTAGGTCAGATGCTGTATTCAGGGCATGAAATATCTTTACTCATGTAATCCTCAAATGGAATCCATTGAATAATGCTAATGATTAACATTCCCATTTTACAGATGAAGAAACTAAGGCAATGTACAACTTAGCAAGTAATAGGTGAGCCAAGCCTTGAAGACAGACATTTTGGCTCTGGAGCCAGGGCGCTTAACCACTATGGTATACTGTCACTAAGGAAATAGGTGGTTTCCTGCCCTTAGTGGTATCAACCCCTGAACACTCCATTTGGAGATGGACTCTATAAGTCAGACTGCTCAAATTAGCTGGCTAGTGTTCAGGCTTCCTCTTTGCTTTAAGCTGGGCTTTCATTGGCATTGATCCTCAAATGCATGTCTAAGTTAAAGACGGAGAGAAGTTACCACTCTGGCAGAGCAGATCTAACATGCCTGTATGTTGGTGGTGGGGTAGAGAAGGTGGTTGGAGAGGGGAAGGATATTGGCCGAAAACCTTTAGAGGAGATACTGGGTATTACATATATATGTCTATGTATTCCTGAAATAATGGCGGGATGCTTTTTTCCCCCCCTTAAATGGACAAGAAAAACTTAAGATTCAAGAAGGGCAGCCGGGGGCCTTCAGCTAAGGGATATCTGATATATTGTGCCTGTTTTTCTTCAAGGTGGGCTATTGTGTTAATTTTCTAGGAATGCTGTAATCAAGTATCACAGACCCAGTGTCTTAAACAACAGAGCTTCTCACAGTTCTGGTGGCTAGAAGTCTGAGATGAAAGTCTGGGAGGGTTGGTTCCTCCCAAGGGTACTGAGGGAAGGATCTGTTTCAGGCCTCTCTTCTTGGCTTGCAGATCTCTGTCTTTTCCCTCTGTCTTCACATGATTTTCCCTCCTGTGGAAAAGTTGGCCCAAATTTCCTCTTCTTGTAAGGACACCAGTCCTATTGGATCAGAACTCACCCCAATGACCTAATTTTAACTTAATTACTTCTTTAAAGACCATATTTCAAAATACAGTCACATTCTGAGGTACCGGCGGTTAAGACTTCACATAAAAATTTGGGGGAGAACACAGTTCAGCCCATAAAAATGAAACAGCAGATATATCTCACATCATAGAGTTTCTATTACCCTAAAATAGGGCATGTACATTGGCTAAGTCGCAAGTGACAAGTGAGCCTTGAATTAATTATGGTGCCTTTTAGGGAAATTGAAAATTACTTTGTGAGTGGAAGACTTAGGTAATGTCATTATGATGTGAAAGACAATATCTAATCCTGGTCCTTGATTTCAACTAACTGGTCTTTGAGGAGTTGTGGGAGAGGCTTTGGAAGTGGGTCTCTATCACCTTGCAAACTGAAGATGTTGGGATCCCTTGTTCAGGGAGATTTCTCATGATCCTCCTTTCCATACAACAAACGGCCCAATTCCTCTGGGTCTCCCTGGATCACAGCAGTGTTGATTGGTGTGCTCAATGGCAAATGCTTGGACTTTCTTCTAGCAATAGAAGCTTTAGAAACTTTGATTTAGTCCCTGTGGACAACTGACTGTACACTCTCCACCTGTTCCAGAGATCTCTCTGCAGCACAGGCCAGCCTAAGGCACTTGAAATTACTACAGCAACAGCCATAGTAAAGAAATTTATACTGTCTGGCCAGAAACAGTTACAGACTCTATTGTTGCTGGAACGAATTGTGTTCCCAGCTTACTCCCAGACTGTGAAATCCAGTGAGTGTGTAACAGTGCTGGCCCTTACTGGAGCCATAAATTAATCCCTCTCCCACGCTGCTTACCTCTCATCTTCACTCTAGCAACCTTTCTTTACCTACTCAGGGCTCTCCAGCCTTCTGATATCCAACAATGGTCCAGTACTTTCAAAATTCTTCTAGCTGTGTCTTTCTCCAGTGACAGCACAGTGCTTCAAACCTTCAGGATCTTCTAGGCTCGCCCAACCTTTATATGCATATGCTCACTGTATCCCTTGCTCTTGTGGAATGGCTCAATGATAGAAAACCCACTGTCTTGGGCAACAACTCATTTCATTTTTGAATTACTTTCAATTTTTATAACAATCTTCCTGTTTTGGAACCATGATTTTTGTTCTCTCTTAATCTCATGGATCATTCTTAGTCTGCTGTCAATCAGTCATACTCAATCAGTTTAATCCATCTTCAACTTGACTGTCATTGCACATCTGGAGACAGCTGGAAGGCCTGGTCTGAGTCTTCTGTACCTTAGGTTAGGTGGTATGGTATGGGGCATCTTCAGCCATGGTTTTAGGTGCCATTATTTGGCCCTTTTCATTTGGGCCTCAATTCTCTGGGTGGGTCCTACTGGCTATTAGTGGATCAACACTGCAACATGCTGAGATTCCTCTTCATTTCTCATGGTTCAGATCAAATGCTAATTTTTTTTTTTTTTTTTTTTTTTTTGAGACAGAGTCTCGCTCTGTTGCCCAGGCTGGAATGTAGTGGCGTGATCTCGGCTCACTGCAAGCTCCACCTCCTGGGTTCACCCCATTCTCCTGCCTCAGCCTCCCGAGTAGAGTAGCTGGGACTACAGGCACCCACCACCATGCCTGGCTAATTTTTTTGTATTTTTAATAGAGATGGGGTTTCACCGTGTTAGCCAGGATGGACACGATCTCCTGACCTCATGATCCGCCCACCTTGGCCTCCCAAAGTGCTGGGATTACAGGCCTGAGCCACCACGCCCGGCCCAAATGCTACTTTCTTTGCAAAACCTTCCTTAATGCTACCCAAATACCAGGATATGAACAGCTTTTTTCTTGGTATTCTTGTATCACCTTGTACTTTGCTGTAACACTTGCCACAAGGTACTGTAACTATTGAACTATTGGTGTATATATATTTTTTTCCTGCTATCTTGTGGACCTCTCTTTGACTAGGGACTTTATCTTAATCATTACTGTAGCCTCCATTCCATGCTCAGAATAGGGGATTCTTATTGATTGCTTTACTGATTCAATTGGTTGCTTTACTGATTCAATAAACCAAAGTTAGAATTCCAGGTACCATGCTGGTCAGAGAGGGTAATGTCTTTGTTCCGGGAGGTTTTTGATGTTCCTCAGGTCAGTCTCTTGGGGGAAATCCTGGATTGTTTATATTTAAATGGTCCAGGCCAGGATGAGAGATGTGTGGGGAGTAGAGTGTAGTGTGGCATACCTCTAAGACTTCCTGGATGCCTCTGGATGTTCCATTGCAAACCATGGCTTGAGCTCCAGTGTGAAATTATGCCTGGTTTCTGGAAACCACTACCCCAGTTAATGAAGCTTGACATTAGCTGTCTTTTTTCTTTTTATTGAAGGGCGATCGATCATCAGGCTTGCTTATTTGCTTTTCTGGATGAAAGTTGTAGGCCACTGTTAACAACGTCTGACTCCTTCCCAGAAAGAATCAAGTATACCAAACCAAAATGTATCTCCTCTTCCCCAAGGCACACATTTTCTAAAAGTGTTTTTTGTCAGCTTGCTGTTTCATTTGCTTGCTTGCTGATATTATGGGAACATAGTTCTGAGTATCTTTTAAATCCTAAATGCACTAGGGGCAGGTCTCAGGTCATCCTGAGGTAATACTTTCTCTCCAACCAGTAAACAGGGCAAGAGAATTTGAACCTGGCTCTATATCTTCAGGGCAAGTCTGCTAATATCCTCTTGCAACTGAAATATGTTCTTCATGGGCTGGAAAGAGTTAATTTTGTTCATTTTCTCAAACCTCTTCTCCATGATGGCTTTTGTCTACCTACCTATTCCAGATAATATTAATAGATATCTATGCAACTGTTAAAGACTCTTCAAGGACAAAAACATCCCTCAAAATGTGCTCTCACCCTGATCTGTAAATAGTTCTTATCAGCCTTTTTATCTTAACATCTTTGACTAAGTTCAGTATTTGGAAGATGGCCTGGTGGTTTACATACCTCAAGACCTCTCAACAATCCAGACACTGAGATGCTACTCGGAGTGGGATTGTTCTTCTTTTAAGATCAGATATGACAGATATTCCTATAGTAGTCTAGCATGTTCGTTGAAGATAACTTTGCAAGTTGGCTTCACATAGTATTTGTCATTTGGTGTAGTCTAAAAGCAAATTCTCAGGCATAAATAAAGGCAGTGAGAAAGTTTTCTCACCTTATGTGGGAGTGGGGAGCATATTGGAGGGTCGTGGTAGTTATTCAAAAGCTTAATCCTAGGTTTTTGGGCCATGGAAGAGATTGCTGTCCCACTCTGTACTCTTGACATATAAGTGGGAAGTATCGGAGACATTTCAGAAGGACAAATAGTAAAAAGTAAATAAAAGTCAGCCTCTGCAGAGCGAGACTCTGTCTAAAAAAAAAAAAAAAGAAAAAAGAAAAAAGTCACCCTCTGATGTTGAAATATAGAATTTCAAAAGGTAAAATCACTTTACAATTTATGGAATGTGACCCGATGTATATTTTCTGTCTTGTGTTGACAATATTACTCAGAAAAGATAGCTCCATTTCAAGAGTGGTTAAGTATAGCTGGGACAATGTCCTAATTATATGGCCAGTTTTGCAGGAAGGAACAATGACTTCCCAAACCCGAGGTGCTGAATCACTATCAGAGATAAAAGCATGGACATTGACTATGATTCAAGGTGCAGGAGCTTATTTATTGTGCTATAAGCTTGTTAGAACTGCCTGATTCCATTGCAGTTCTTAAGGTTGTCAGTGAGGCTCTGCCAACCCACTAGACGGGAGGCCTTTATGGAAGCATCTTCCTTTTCCACCAATAGACAAGGCAATAGAGGGCGAATGTTGCCCTGAGAATTTGAAACAAGTTTATTAAGATGCATCTGAGCTTGAGGCTCTCATCTAAGATATGCAGCAGTTGGGAGGTGAAGGTGGTGGGGAGCATCATTGGATGGTTAGTGCATATACAGTTGTCAAGGCAAGGAGAGAGGGTGTTGTTTAGTATTGAAATCATGTATTCCAGATGTGGGCATTTGGTAGTCAGTCTGCTCTGAAGTGACATGCTGCTGAATCTTTAAAGGCTTCAGCCAGGGAGAGCAAAATCTGATTGGGCAAATTGCTAAAATATTTAAAGTGCAGCCTGTTAAAGCTTTTACTGCGAAGAGCATCACGTCAGAAGTTGTAGTCAGAAGGAGCGAGTAATTGGCTTTCCATCCTCATGCCAGTCAGTCAGCATGAGGCTCTATTCCTATTCCTTCCTCTTCATTGCCGAGGCTCATAGCAACCCTTTGGTGTGTCTGTCTGTGTGTGTGTATGTGTGTGTGTGTGTGTGTGTGTGCACGCTGGGGAGATCGAATAGCTGGTAAAATGAGAGGAAGAGGAGTGAGGTAGCCTTAAAAAGGGAGGCTGAATCCACAAAATGTTAGGAAGACCATTTAGGAAAAGAGGAGCGGGGGAAAGGCAGAAATGCTCCCTGACAAAGGTCACCTGCACTTCCAGAAGTGGGGTGGTGGTTTGGGGCAGTTGTCTCTCAAAGGATGGATTCTGTAAGCAGAAGAATGGCCTTCAGTGACAACCACTTCCTCTGCATCTTTCACATCCTCTGAGATGTAATTCAGGGGGCACTTTCCATTTATAATTTATCACATTTTCCACTTAGGTTTTCCTGTCCTTTTCTTCCCAGGCATGACCCCTTGTTAATTCCTGGCAATGATCAGATTGACAACATGGACTCCAATGTGAAGAAGTACGACTCTACTGGGATGTTTCACTGGTGTGCACCCAAGGAGATAGAGAAAGTCATCCTGGTGAGTGAGGGACTGTGCATCTGATGTTGCCCGCTTCTGCCCCAAACCACATTTGCTAGGAATGGGGTTTCCCTAGTTGGACAGTGGGATAATACTGTCCCTGGTCCTAATTATTTTTGATGAGTGAAATTCTGAGCATAGATTGAAGCAGCTAGACCTCTGATCAGAACATAAGCAATATTCAGATTTTTCAATCTCTGAATATATTGGCTCCTCATAAGAGTAGGTGAGCACTTGCTGTGGGAAAGCCATGGTGGGAGGTGGTATGAACATAATTCCTGTGGCCATGGCGCTGGTGTCAGAGCCTGCCTGTACCAATTATTAGCTGCATGGCTTGGGTAATTCATTTGACTTTTTGCACTTCGGTTTTCTTATCTGTAAAAAGATGAGATGAGAATGACCCTAACTCATAGGGCTGTAGTGAAGATTAAAATCCAACAGATGACTCAGTAAAGTTACCTCTTATTCTTACTATTATTAAATGCTGTGAGGAAAGCTGAATGCTGCCTGTATTGTTATTGGTTTATAGCAATGTTTTGTATTCTTATAGATAATAGCCTTGTGCATCTGTGAGCTTTCTTAGTGCATGTTGTAGACAGGGAAATGCATGATGATGCATGACATAATGATGACAATAATGAACTACAGTCCCCTTGGGGAGGCTGGGGCTCAGAGCCCTATTTCGTGGAAGGCTTGTGAACATCTTCATAGCAGCAGTGGGCTCACCCAGTCTCTCCCAGGAATGTCAGCATAGGTAACAATCCATTCTACTCTCTGCCCTTGTTCTATTAACAGCTTTGGGTCTTAATGCCTACACTGGCTTTCCTACAGTTTATTGTCTTGCTAATCCATGAGAAATGGATTAATAATCAGGAAAGTCAGATGGAAGGGTTCTTTCTCCCTTGGGCCTCTAATCCCCAGATTGGTATGGGTCTGTTCCTTTTTGTCAGCCAGGAAAATCCTATCATTTCTGATGTCAGGACCACCCTTCCTAAACAAGGACTGTTCTGGGTCCTCGGAATGGCTTTGTATGCTAACACACTGGACTTTCCCCTATGCTTTATCTATGTGTATGTGTGTTCTCAGCTTAATTATAAATGAGCATTAACAGCCAATACAGTATCAAGCTGGAGGCTGTCTCAGAGGTGGGAAAGTTGCAGGCAAGAGCACAGAAAGTCAGAATTCTTAGCAAACAGCTGTTGTCCAACTGACCAGGAGTGCAAATTGTTCTACTCGCAAAGCTGCTTCACGTATGTACATTCTTTTTGTTTTGTTTTGTTTTTTTGAGACAGAGTCTCGCTCTGTCGCCAGGCTGGAGTGCAGAGCCCTATCAGCTCACTGAAACATCTGCCTCCCAGATTCAAGCGATTCTCCTGCCTCAGCCTCCCGAGTAGCTGGGACTATAGGTTCGCGCCACCATACCCAGTTATTTTTTTGTATTTTTAGTAGAGACAGGGTTTCACCATATTGGCCAGGATGGTCTCGATTTCTTGAGCTCATGATCCGCCAACCTTGGCCTCCCAAAGTGCTGGGATTACAGGCGTGAGTCACTGCACCCAGCCATATATGTACATTCTGATGTATTCATGGCACTTTTGCCCTGGTGGCCTAAATTTAGCCTGATGTTACCACTTGTGGCAGGTCACAGGCTGGATGCCGTATCTGGGACCTAGGGTTTTAATGACTTGCCTGGATATTGGTGTAGTATGCATGCCAACTGATATTCAATCAACATCTCCTGCCAGCATAAAAAAGTTTAAGGAGGTGAGTTACTACTTCTATCCTATGAAAAATAACATCATTTAACAAAACATCTCCAGGAGGCCTACTATGTGCCACACACCATTCTAGTTACTGGAGATGCAATCCCTGACAACGACTGCTCTCACAGAGCTTGTGTTCTAGCAGGGTGGGGCTGGGGGAAGAGGAGTTATCTCTTTGTGTTCTAGCAGGGTGGGGCTGGGGGAAGAGGAGTTATCTCTAGGTAGACAAATGAGTACTTAATAACATTTCAGATATTTATAGGATGCTTTGAAAAAAGTAAAGCAGCATTGTAGGCTAGAAAGAGACTGGGAGGTGCTGTCTGGAAAGTATGATCCAAGAAGCCCTCTCTAAAGTAACACGGCTAGAGATAAGAATGACAGGTAGGGCCAGCTACATGAGGATGCTTTGAGGTTGTGTACCCACTGGGCACGGGAAACTAACTACTTTGGGGATTTGAAGATATAAGAGATAGTCCCAATTGTAATTTCCTGGATTAATTAGAGAGAAGATATAAAATGTAACCCATGAAACAGTGTATTTAAAGCTAAGTGGTAAGAGGTGCAAAATGCTATTGAAATGTAGGGGAGAAGGACTAGGGTGTGTTTAAGTGACCAGGCAAGTCCCGTCATACACACATAGGTTGTGCTTGGGTTGGGCCTGGAAGGATGCATGGGAATTCCAGATACATAGAGAAATGATCAGTTTCTCTCTCTAGTGTGCTTTAAACCCGGCAAAATCAGACACACCGGGGCTGAGGCTCTAGAATTAGGATATTCATAAGGTTCTCTGGGTGATGTAGCTGTGGCCAGTCTGAGGATGGGTGTTTTGATCCCAGATCGAAGTTCCTGGGGTCAGCATCTGTGCCTCGGCCACTCAACTAACTGTGCCTTCCCCACCTCCCTATTCTAGAATTCACTTCCACCCTGGGCCCAGTTTATATTCCTCTGGCTTGTTGAAGGGAGCTAGCCTCCCAGGTGACCTGGCCAATTACAAATAATTAGGAGCCCCATCACATAACAGTGCTTTATAGACTGGTTGGCTGTCTCCTGGTGGCACCCAGGCACTTGCACTTCCGTGCGGCCCAGATAACTAACTCCAGGTCTTCTGCAGGAAGTGGGGATATGTGATGTGAGCTCCCCAGTGGGTCTTCCTTGGTCACAGTTTCTAAGGCATTTCTTACAGCTTATGTCTCCGGTTTCCCTGGACTATTGCAGAGGGAAACCAATAATGGTGACAGCCCCTGCTTTATTCTAATGATCAGAGAGTGAAAGCTAGTTTCTTCCTCTCCTTGGGGGTTACTGTAATAACCCTGACATTGTTGTGAATTGCAACATTGGCATTTATACAATCAATGCAGTGGTCAATTCTAGAGATTAAATCAAGCAGAGTTTGATATGTACAGTGGACATTAATATGCCTCCCCCAAAGCATTGTAAGCCACATGGGGCCATCCAGGCATGCAGTGGGTGGACAGGAATGGGAGGCATTGAACCAGAAGGAGAGGCAGAGAAAGGTCCACGGCTGGCCTCCTGGCTTCACTAGCTCAGTGAATCAAAGGGCCAGCAGTGACTAAACATTTGTATTTCCTGGGAAGTTGGGGTTCTCCTCTAATAGAGTGACTGTGTTCTTTCATTTGTCTCCTTTGTAGATAGAGGTTTGGAGTTGGAGGAAGACACTGGCCTGTTGCTCTTACTAATCTCTCTCTAGCCCCTTGTAATGATTATTTGGGGAGATCTTTTCTCTGAATGATTTAAGCAAAACAGGCCCCTCCAGAAATGTCCCTGGAAAGTCCAAGGCAGCATTGGACAGGGGTCAGCAAACTTTTTCTGTAATAAGTCATATAATGAAAAATTTAGGTTTTTCAGGGTATAAGATCTCTGTTGCTACTGATTAGCTCTGCTGTTGTAGCATAAAAGCACCCATAGGCAATACCTAAACGTATGAGCATGGCTGCATTCCAATACAACTTTATGGGAATTTGAACTTTATGTAATTTTCACAGATTATGACATTGTCTTCTTTTGATTTTTTTTCAACCATTTTGAAGCACAAAAACAATTTTTAGCTCACTGAACATACAAAAGAATGTAGTGGGCCAGATTTGGCCTGTGGGTCGTAGTTTTCCACTCCTGGCTTTAGGTAGCATGTTCCACCTGCTGATGCACGGACATCTCACTGATAAGTCTAGAATTCTAAAGTCAAATTTCTCCCACTGAGCCCAGTGCAGGCATCTGACCATTTTATCATCATCTCAGCAAGCAAGCCAGAAAAGGCAGCTCATTTAATCAACAATTTCATGGAAACTAAGACTTCTCTTTCCAAATAGCATAAATATTCCTTTTCCTTTTTATTTTACCTCCTGAAAATTATTATGAAGGTCTGCTCACACATATTTATGGCATACCTTTCTTAAATCTTTTGTCAAAGAAGGTAGCAATGTGTATGGCTATACATTTGGACAGATTTATTACAAAAATATAATACATATACACGTGCTCAAATTATAGCTCTATATGGCATGTATATAACATTGATGAAATAAAAATAATAGCACATAGTAAGCTCTCAGCAAATATTTGCTTGATTCTTTGCACAAATGATTTATTTCACTCCTTACAACAGCCCTATGCAGTCTTCTCTCTGACTCTTACCCACTTCTCCCTGTTGTAGACTCGAAGTGAAGCTGCCATGACCGTCCTGAGTGGCCATGTCGTGGTCTGCATCTTTGGCGACGTCAGCTCAGCCCTGATCGGCCTCCGGAACCTGGTGATGCCGCTCCGTGCCAGCAACTTTCATTACCATGAGCTCAAGCACATTGTGTTTGTGGGCTCTATTGAGTACCTCAAGCGGGAATGGGAGACGCTTCATAACTTCCCCAAAGTGTCCATATTGCCTGTAAGTCCAAGGTCACATTATTGATGCCTTTTCTTCTTTTCATTCACAAAAGAAAATCCCGGATGGATATAATAGTTGTAGCTTTGATCATGCCTGTGCTTCTTCATCTGGGTATGGGCCTGAGGACTCAGCACTTCCCCTATGCTCTGTCAAGGAAAATCCAAACCCTGGGAGACCTTATTAAAAGGAATTTGCAGCCAAGTTCAGTCCCTCATCAGGGATGAAGTTTAGCTTGTATCAAGTATATTAACCATATCAGCGTCTAAACACTCTCACTCCTGCCTATACAAAACCTAGAGCATTGTTATATTATGATGTTTATAGTAAGGATTTGCTTACAGAACTATTTATAGCATTATACTTATGGCATTTTTAATGCTTGAAGAAACATTGATCTGTGCCACCTTCTGTTTTTAACTAAATAAATGCAAATAACAGAGTTCTTTATTTCTGCTGTACAGAAGGCCAACTCCTTCTGCAGCTCAGCCCCAACCCCTGTTCATTTAGAAGTCCAGCAACGTGTTCATGGTTGTGTTTGTGTGTGTGTCCGTGTGTGCATGTGTGCATGATATTCTTGACTGCAAAACATTAGGACTTCAGTCTGAAAAAACAGTCTGGGACTCCACAATTTAGTGTGAGGATATGGGATTTAGGAGTCATGTAATTAACTACTTCCTAATCATAATGAATGCATAGTCCACAAACTCTCAAAACATTGTAGAGAATTATGCATTTCAACATTTGATGTAATTCTCCACATCACAAATTCATGCAAATCTCACTTATCCTCCAAATATTTTTCTTGTAAGTTCACATCCCTGAAACTGAGAAACAGGGGCCAGGTGCAGTGGCTAATCCCTGTAATCCCTGCATTTTGGGATGCTGAGGCGGGAGGACCACTTAAGCTCAGGAGTTCATGAGCAGCCTGGGCAACATGGTGAGACCTCTTCTCTACAAAAAGTTAAAAAAATTAGCCTGATGTGGTGGCGTGTGCTTGTAGTTCCAGCTACTTGAGAGGCTGAGTTGGGAGGATCACTTGAGCCTGAGAGGTGGAGGCTGCAGTGGGCTGTGAAAGCACCACTGCACTCCAGCCTGGGCAACAGAACAAGAGCCTGCCTCAAACAAAAACAAAAACAAAACAAGAAACAACTGAGGAACATGGATTTCTCTACATGTTAAGAAGTCTGGGTTTTCCCCCACTTACAAAGCTAAAATGTATTATTTCTGTTATCAGCTTCCAAAACCTCAGAAATGGGGGGAAAAAGAGCCAAGTAATATAATTCATTAAAGAACACACAAGAATCTATCCACAAGCAGTACATGTTACTCATTAGATGCCACCATGTGCCTTTACATAATGCCTGACACAATAGGGACTCAATAAATATTTAAAGGAGTGAGAAAAAGATCGGACAGTTATCTTTTGGATGCTGGGCCAAAAACCCACTGCCTTAGTGAGCACAGGCAGTTGAAAATAGTCACCTATAGACAAACAGTCATACACAGAGGAGAGCATAAGCATATATATGCTTTGCTCATTCCAGAAATATGGTCGATTTGATTATATGATTCCATGGTTATCTTTCTGTCATGTGCTCCTCCACATAGTCCCCTGACCTCTGAAAGTGTCTTTGTAAAGGGTTTATTATTTTACCAGGATACATGAGTCTGTGTGTGTATGTGTGTGGAGAGAGATGGGTATATGTGTGATATTTGGTATTTGTGTGTGTGTTTTGTGTGTTTGTGTATGTTTCCTCCTGTGTGACCTTTTTTGTTTGTTTGTTTTTGTTTGTTTGTTTGTTTTGAGTCCAAGTTTCACTCTTGCTGCCCAGGCTGGAGTGCAATGGCACGATCTCGGCTCACTGCAACCTTCACCTCCTGGGTTCAAGCGATTCTCCTGCCTCAGTCTCCTGAGTAGCTGGGTTTACAGGCATGCACCACCATGCCTGGCTACTTTTTTTGTATTTTCAGTAGAGACAGGGTTTCACCATGTTGGCCAGGATGGTTGCAAACTCCTGACCTCAGGTGATCCACCCACCTCGGCCTCCCAAAGTGCTGGGATTACAGGCATCAGCCACCGCGCCCGGCTCTGTGTGCCCTTGTACACGTTCACTCATCTTTCTTCATGTATATGAATGAGCTGTCATCTTTGCAGGTCATTTCAAACCCTCCAAAATTTAACATACTCAAGCACAATAGATTTTCACAAAATGGGCCTTCACCTATGTCTTCACAGAGTTTATTGGTTAAACAGTACCCTGCCTATAGGGCCAGCCCAGAGAAACATAAGCGATTTCTATGTATGTCATTTGTATTTCTTGTAGTTTGAAATCACGTGTGTACAACTGCACAGGGATCATCTTATATCACAATTACGGCTGGCTTCCCTACAAGATGAAAATTAAAAGAATATGGATGCAGGCAATTGAAGCTTATGCACTGGCAAAATGATTCAGGAAGTTGGTTGGACTTGTTTTGTACCAAGAGATCACAGGAGAAGAGGGCATTCTCCTTCTCTCAAAAAGACGCTGCTCCAGAGCTTGGAACTAGTTGTGTCTCAGCAGCAACCACAGTGCTAAATGCCCCTTCCTCCATAGTTGCACAATATTTTAGGGCCTGAGAATAGAATCATGACTACCAGTGACTCATAAAAGAGGGTAGATAGGCTCCATCTCTGCAGCCAAGTCTCTTTCCAAAGCCAGTTCTCCAGAAAGGGAGATTAGAGGAGGACATTCCCAGATATGTGACAGTTGGCAAACCCTTGGTCTACACAATCAGTGAGTTGAAGGTAACTCAGGTCACCACACAGGCAAAGAGGAAGCTAGATTCAAGCTAGAGGACCAATGAAGCTGGTGGCCAGACAGGAGCCCCAAAATGATGCCGCGTGGCCACTGGGGAGCTATGGCATGGGGTGGCCTGATGATTTTGCTGTGGCTTCACCTGAAGACACAGAGCATGTGGAGGCCATGGCCCTGTCCTAACCTAACCCTTCTATTTTCCCTATGCTTGCATTCCCGGACTCTGTTGTTACTTCCTGGATCTGGGATTTTTCCACTGTCTTTTGTTGTTATTTTTTATGTTAAAAAATCTGTTTACTGGCTTATTTATTTTTTAAATGTACCTGTAATATACAAATATGTTCTTGTTATAAAATATTCAAGCAATATAGAAGTATATAAAGTGAAAAGCAAACTTTCCCCTCACCCCCACGAATCCTATTTCCCTTCCCAGAGGGAATTACCATTATTAGTGTAATGGCTATTTTTCCTGTGCTTTCCTTCCAAATTTACATACATTTATATATATGTAATTTTATTTTGTGGGTTTTTTTTTTTACATAAATGAAACTATACTTTTTTTTAACTGCTGTAGAACTTTTTTTTTCACTTCCCCCTCTATCTTAGGCTTCTAAACCAATGCCTGCATGGAGAGCCAGCTCTGCCTCTTTACCTCCTGCATACATTTTCACTGTGTGCATGTCCAAAAGTATATTTCTCCATTCCTATGTTGTTGGACAATTAGGTCATTTCCCTGTGTATTTTTTTCTTGCTGAAAATATGCAATAAAATTATATGATCTGAAGCTTAACTCCTTTCCATATCTCTTTTGCATTGCACACATTAATTCCACTCCATCCATAGCCTCCAAATTGAGCCGCACATCCAGGCCCACCTCATCACTCTGTGCTCACTGGCCATTTCTCCTTGGCTGCATTGGAACTGCTGTCTTTTGCCTGAGACAGAAGTGACCCGCTATTAAATAAACAGGCATTTGAAACCCACCCCCTTGTTACATTCTGAAAGCCAGAGGTTGCCACAGGACAGTTACTTAAATCAAGACAATTTCCAGGCAGGAAGAAGATGTAGAACCCTGGCATTATTCCTCTCCCGCGTTTGTTAGTAATAGCTTGATTGAGTATTGAGAACAAGCTTAAAATGCTGCCATCAGCACCGACTACCCTTTAGATTAGCACACAGCTCCTATTCCCTTGAATGTAGTTAGGCCAGCTTAATGTCAAGGCATAAAAAAGATACTTGTTAAATAATTTCCCAAAGCTCCGACTCAATCTTTAATTTGTTTTCCTCTTTCCCTCTCCTCTCACTTTTGCTCCTCTCTCTCTCTCTCTGTCTCTTTCTCCCCCCATCTCTGTTTTTTTTTCTTTCCTCTATGCCAAAGGGTACGCCATTAAGTCGGGCTGATTTAAGGGCTGTCAACATCAACCTCTGTGACATGTGCGTTATCCTGTCAGCCAATCAGAATAATATTGATGATACTTCGCTGCAGGACAAGGAATGCATCTTGGCGTCACTCAACATCAAATCTATGCAGTTTGATGACAGCATCGGAGTCTTGCAGGCTAATTCCCAAGGTAAGGACAGCCTGTAATACTTCTTTGCTGTGCCTGCAGGGGACAGGGGCTGGCAAGAGGGATATCCTTCACTCAGTAATTCAAAGAGGCTCACATCAGCCTGCCTGGCAGTGAAACCTGCGGTCACCATGATGGCTTTCAAAGGGGCATCTGCTGCCTCTTCTTTCCATTCCAGAATGCAGGCTTGAGACCTGGTCACCCACACACAGACTAGGTTGCCTTTCCAGAGGATAAACAAGCCTTTAAATAGCCACCCCCTCAGCTTTCCCAAGGAGTGGCTTCATGACCAGTGTCATCAGCTAAATGTCAGAGCACTGAAAAGAAGCTGGCTGCACAATTCTGACCGTTTCCTTCCAGTATATGTTTTTGCCATTGAGCTGGGATGGGAATGAAGCTTTGCTATTGTTAGAGCCGCCTCTAGGACTCTGCTGACCAAGGGATGGTAATCTCTGGAGAGTGGCAACTCTATGGACACTAAAAGTCATTTAGCAAATGGTGACACTTGTCAGACCACACATTTTCCTATAGGAGGCAAAGCAGCCTTAAGTGACACACGTCTGCCTTCCTACTCTGCCCCTAGTCTTTCCTGTCATTTGCTTTGGGACCCTGGGCAGGTGGTTACAAGTAAAGATGTCTAGGGGTCTCAGAAAGGCAACACAGCAAAACCTTCATAAAAAATGACCTCTGTAATCAGGATCTGGCAGGATAGGATGCAAAGCATTTTCCATTGAGTGACACCTCCGTGTAGGCTAGCCATGAATTGGAGGATAGTTGTTACAGACGAGCTGCCAGAGGGTGGCATTGGCTGCCTGATGGGGACCAGAATCCCATCAGTCCAGGATGGAAGGGTGTAGGAGCACAGCCCATGAGAGCTATGGCTACTGGGATATGAAGCATCACCTTATTGATAGCTTGGCAAGTGTCTGACCTCCTCCCCATCATGCCAGGCTTTCTAGAAGCTCAGCTGAATCATGCATCCTGGACCTGTGAGCTACATTATTTTTTGTCAACTTGACATCACCACCACTGCCTTCTAACATTTGCTTAGCATTGCAGAAAAGCCAGGAACAATAGTTCCTGGAATCCTCTTCCCTGCATGGCTCTGGGCTAGAGTCAGCTGGTGGGAGATGGGCACTGGGGTGAGATTTGGAAAGTGGAGGAGAAAGATAGGCTTTGATTCTTTGGAGGCAACTGCAGCCAGACCCTGGCAGACCCAGGTTCAAATCTTCTATCAGATGAGCTTTCTGGGAGCCAGTGTCTTCACTGCTACAGACTGAGAGAGGGGCTGGGGCTTCTCTGAGGATCTTGAGATTCACAGCAGCTTCTGGTCAAGCTTAAGAGAACCTTCCCCTTTGGTGGTGCATGTGAAATGGCTTCTGTCCTTCTGACATCACCCTGATACAGCCTGAAGCCTAATTTTGACCTCTCCATGCCACCGTCCTCCCTGCCACACCCAAATCTAAATCTTGGTATCCACCTGCTCAGCTGTGCCCGCAGGACAGCACAACATGTGAAGGCCTAGGAGAGGCTCTGAGCTTACTCCCAGCTGCATCCTGAAGAGGTAGAGCCCGCATCCTGTGCGGCCTGCCCGGGTAGCACAGGCGAGAAAGGATGTGAGAAGACAGTAAGCTGACCTTCTAGGAGTTGAAAGAGGCAAGCCGGCATTTGGTTCCTGCCTTTAAGCCCTTGACTTTCAATATGTGTCCTCTCTGCCCTGCCCCAGTATGGGTGTCTGTTGGGGGAGGCTGTTAGAGTTACAGAACCTCATGGGCCATCCCAGACCTGCTGGGTCAGAATCTGCATTCCAACAAGATCCCCAGGCAACTCAAATGTGCCCTTTTAAAGCACAGTAAACCTTCACATGAACAGGATGTGACCAACCCTTGGTAGATGCTCCTCCTCTCCTGGGGAGGAGTGAACCATCAAGGGGAAAGGAAAACAGTGAAAGCAATGATTCTCCCTTTAAGTACAGACAGAAGCCAGCAGGAGGAGGCAGGAAAACACTCCCTTTCCCCAACATGCCTGTTTCCTCCAAACTCGATCATGATTTTCCAGGGCCACAGATTAGAATGTCAGTGTATAATTTAGTTACATACACATCTGATATAGTTGTTCCTTCCAGTTCTCTTAAACCTCATCCCAGCCTCTTAGATCCTATATAAAGGCCAAACTGGTAACAATTCTTCCACTCCCCGGTGCCCAAAAGCCTTCTTTATTCTTTTATAGCACAGGATAAGCAAGAAAAATAGGTTTTGACAGGAGATATGGAGGAAAGAGAAAGGGAGCTTATTTTTCCTCCAAAGAAAAAAAGGGCACTCTTTCTTTTGTATACACACATGCACACAGTTATGGTCTGAATGTTTTTGTACCCTCCACCTACTCCCTGCCAAATACATACATTGAAATCCTAACCCTCAAGGCGATGGTATTAGGTGGTGGGGCCTTTGAGAGGTGTTTAGGTCATGAGGGTGGAGCCCTCATGAATGGGACTGGTGTCCTTATAAAAGAAGCCTGAGGCCAGGCATGGTGGCTCACGCCTTGGGAGGCTAAGGCGGGTGGATCACCTGAGGTCAGGAGTTTGAGACCACTTGGCCAACATGGCGAAACCCAATCTCTACTAAAAATACAAAAAAGTTAGCCAGGCATGGTGGCGGGTGCCTATAATCCCAGCTACTCGGGAGGCTGAGGCAGGAGAATCACTTGAACCCGGGAGGTGGAGGTTACAGTGAGCCGAGATGGCACCATTGCATTCCAGCCTGGGTGACAGAGCAAGACTCTGTCTAAAACAAAATAAAATAAACCAACAAACAAATAAATAAAGTAAAAGAAGCCTGAGAGAGACCCCTCGTCCCTTCTGTCATGTGAGGACACTGCGAGAAAGTCCTCACCAGAGACTGAACATGCCAGCGCCTTGACCTTGAACTTTCCGTTCTCCAGAACTGTGGGAAATAAATATCTGTTGTCTATCAGCCACCCAGATTATGGTGTTTGTTACAGGAGCCCAAATGGACTAAGACCGCACAAATGACAGAAGAAGGCAAAGGATGTGTTTCTATGCTCAGCAGTGATTCTCGTAGACCCCTGGTCAGCAGTGGAGAGGAGCATCTGTCTCTCACTAGCCAGCAGTCTGTTCTGCTCCCTAAGAGAGAGTGTCAAAGCTCTAGGCCCACCAAGACTTTATGTCCCATTGTTTTCTTGTCTGTCTGTCTGCTCCTCTCTTGTTTTTGAATACTGTTCTCTGGTGATACTCTAACCTTGTAAAGGCAGTGGTCCAGTGGGAGCCATCAACACAGAGAAATCGCTCCTTCCCCAGAGCTCACCTCTGGCTGCAGACCCAGCACTCCACTCCTTGGGCTCCTCCCAGCCTGTGAGCTGACTCTGTGAGCTGAGTTTCCCTGCTTTTCTATATCTGAGACCCTTTTGACTAACTGGAGTGCCCACTGGCCTGAGATACTTTTGTCATCCTTCATCTGGGCATTTGGCATGATCAAGCTCCAAGGGAATAGGGATTATGGGGAACAAAAAGGATTTCATGTTACTCTCCATTTTTTTTCTTTTCTTTTCTTTCCCTCCTTCCCTCCCTCCCTCCCTTCCTTCCTTCCTTCCTTCCCTTCCCTCCCTTCCCTTCCCTTCCCTTCCCTTCCCTTCCCTTCCCTCCCTCCCTCCCTCCCTTCTTTCTTTCTTTCTCTTTCTTTCTTTCTTTTTCTTTCTTTCTTTCTCTTTCTTTCTTTCTTTCTTTCTTTCTTTCTTTCTTCCTTCCTTCCTTCCTTCCTTTCTTTCTCTCTTTCTCTCTTTCTTTCTTTCTTTCTTTCGAGGTAGAGTCTCTCTCTGTTGCCCAGGCTGGAATGCAATGGTGTGATATCAGCTCACTGCAACCTCCACCTCCTGGGTTCAAGTGATTCTCCTGCCTCAGCCTCCCAAGTAGCTGGGATTACAGGTGCGTGCTGCCACACCCGGCTAATTTTTGTATTTTTAGTAGAGACAGAGTTTCACTATGTTGGCCAGGCTGGTCTCAAACTCCTGGCCTCAGGTGATCCACTCACCTTGGCCTCCCAAAGTGCTGGGGATTTCATGTTACTCTTATCATTTTGGAAAACAAATCTAACTTCCTCTGAGTGATAACTACACAGATTTCTGGCCACTGACACCTTGCTTTCCCTCTTATGTATTCTATGGTCCTTTATGGAACCTCATGCTCTGCATTGTCTGAAGAACTGTCTCCATGTCTCTAGAACCTCACTGGGTAGAAATGTGGACTCAGGACAAATGTCATGCTCTTGGGCCAGAATATGCATGCAACCCTATGGAAAGCTGTCCTAAGATGATATAATTTAGCATGAAAAATGTGCATTCACATTGAGAAAGTAGAGCCTTCATTGGACAGCTGCCACTGCATGTTATTAGGGCTCCTAGACTAACAAAGCCTCTTTTTTCTCTTCTGTTCTCTTTTCACACTCCCTTTTGATGTCACTTTTCTAGCCCACATGGTGTCAGAACTGACCCAGCCTAGGGATTCTGGACCAGACACTTTCTGAAAAGACCCAAGATGTGATGGCTTGTTGTCAAAAACAATTACAGAAAAGGTGGCATATCCCAAGCCAGATGGTATATCCGATGTGACAGTTGGGTCTATGAGATGCAGTTTTAATATACAGCAGGCAAAACTGCAGTGACAATTATATAAAGCAGATGAAGCTGCTTCTTGCTGGTCAGCAAACATCAGCTCAGAACCACTTTACAGCTCTTTACCAGCAACTAAGTGCCTTTATTTACAGAGTGCCTGTCACTTCCCTTTGGCTGGAGAGCTGGTGTATTATTTAGCACGCATTTATCTGGGGAAAACATTTCAATTTAAATCAGCTGGTACAACAGTGGCTCTTGCCAGACTGTTTCCCTGTGGTTCAAAAAGATGAGAACTGAGTCTGATCTTGGAAGAAAGGGTGAGCAGAGGGAGGCAATGTCCGCTCTCTGAGCTGCTTCAGTTCATACCTGAAAAGAGGGAGCATGCCATGGCATTTCCCATTCTGCTTTCATATTGTTTTGAAATGATGATCTTGTAGTTGCTTCCTGCTTACCCTTCCATGAAAGGTAACTCCTAAGGAAAAGAAAAAGGAATAAATGGCTGTTCTCCATGCATCAGGCACTCTAAAGGCCCAGAACACAAAGGTGACCAAAGGTTGCTTGGATTCAGCCACTCACTATGCTTGCAGGATTCAGGTGAGTGGAGGAGGTATCCCCATAAACAATGACAGTCCAAGGAAACAAGGACGAGGCTAGAAATAGAGGAACACAAAGGGATCCTTGGTTTAGGTATTTTGAGGAATTGAGAAGGCTTTCAAGAAGAGGTGGCATCGGCCAGGCACGGTGGCTTACGCCTGTAATCCCAGCACTCTGGGAGGCCAAGGCAGGTGGATCACAAGGTCAGGAGATCGAGACCATCCTGGCTAACACAGTGAAACCCCGTCTGTACTAAAAATACAAAAAATTAGCAAGGCCTGGTGGCACGCCCCTGTAGTCCCAGCTACTTGGGAGGCTAAGGCAGGAGAATCATTTGAACCCAGGAGGCGGAGCTTGCATTGAGCCAAAATCATGCCACTGCACTCCAGCCTGGGCGACAGAGCAAGACTCCATCTCAAAAAAAAAAAAAAAAAAAAAAAAAAAAGAAGAGGTGGCATCTGTGGATGACTTGAATGCATGTGGCTATGGAGCACTTGAAATTTAGGAATTAAATTTTTCCTTTTAATTTAATTTTAACAAATATAAAAATTTAAAGTGATCCATAGCCAGTGGCTACCATATTGGATGGTGCAGTCCTAGAGTGTAGACTTGTCTTGCTAAGGGTTTGGATTTGGGGGAGTCATCAAAGATTTATAGGAAAAGAGTAATTAATTCCATGCTTGAAAAAGATAACAGGTGGAGGCAAAGTGAGCTGGCTTGAGACGGAGCGAATGGAAGTGACGGCAAAGATTCCTGGGGATGTGTTAGAGGGACAGGGACAAGTACAATTTGGCCCCAATACAGGGTACATATAAGGCAGCAGGGAGAGATGAAGTTGAAATGTGGGTTGGGCATTGAGGAATTTCTTTTCTTTCTTGAGTTAGGAAGCTGTAAATAATTTTTTATGTGTTTATGAGTTAGGAAGCTGTAAATAATTCACTAGGCACTGGGGAGCTACAGAAGGTTTCAAAGCAAGAGAGTGATGGGATTGGACCTGAGCTTTAGGGAGATGGATCTGGCAGCCCTGTGAAGCATTGTTTGGAGTGGAAAGGAAGAAGATGCAAGGACTCTGGTTAGGAACTGTGGCTATCCAGATGGAAGCCTGAAACCTTGGACTGGAAAAAGAATGGGAGGTTCTAGAAGGAGTCACTGTACATGCAAAACAGTCTGCATGGATGTGTGTTTCCTTCTGGGGGTCAGAGGATGGCAGAGTGGAGGGACAGGCTGCAGGAGAAAGCAGTGTTGGGAGGATTGGGTTTTAGTCATGGTTTATTTCCACGGGGACTTAGTGGAAAATCCAGATGGGCATGAAAAGCTGAAGGGTGGAAATGAAGTCCTTAATCCAGGAAAAGTTTGCTTCTAGCAATCTGGCCCATTGCTCATGCTCTAGGAGCAAAGGAGAGCCTCAGAGAGAGGGAGAGAGGCAAGAGAATTGCAGGACAGAAGTATACCATCTCAGAAAGAGAGGGTAGAGGAAAACTTTGGTAGAAGCCGGAGAACCAAAAGCTGAGCCTGTCCCGAATGTCCCAGGGGAGGGAGGAGCCAAGATCTCAAACCCAAGACATATGTCCACTGCCTTTTTTCCATATTTTATGCTTTATAGACACACAGACACACACACACACACAAACACACACACACATACGCACACACACACACAGCTTTCCTCCCGCCCTCTTTGACCTGAAGCTATAGTTACACTAAATGAACATCCACATATAAGCGGACACCCTCCTTTCTCCACATTTCAACAAAGGTTAAGAGCCTCAAGTAGGGAATGACATTTTTCTTTGGAAGTATGGCAGCAGTCCTTGGAGAGATAGCATTAATTGGGGGCATAGGGTACACCTTCCCTATCCTAAAGTCTGAGATGTCTTTTACTGTTCCAAAGAAGAAAATGTGATTTCTCTTTTATCTTTGTGTGAGACAGTGTGGATTAGGATCTCTAAATTACTGGATGACAAAAAGCAGAACGAAAAGGGCCTTCCTAAAGTGGAACTCTGGGATGAAATCCACAGGACAGAATGCATTGAGGACCTCTGCATGTTAATTTTCAAATGATCAGTAAAGACAGGCTAGATAAACCTTGGTGATAAAAGCATCATTTCTTTTGAGCAGTGACTGTTTCATCTTTGTTGGGATAGGAGGGAATGTGTCAAGAGCTGTGAAGATTTGAAGCAGAAATTTGACAAACAAACAGAAAAATGTTGTAAAGAGGACGGCCAGAATGGGGCAGTGCCTGGACAACATGTCACTTGCCAAGTGGTTAAGAGAACAAAGCCAGCAGGCTTAAAGGGCCATTTAATCTTCTGCTCCATTGGACAAAAACCAGGGCCAATGGTTAATAATTAAGGAGAACAGGATTTTAGCCCAACATAAGGAAGATATTTCCAGAACAGCATGGACAGCCTGCAAATGCAGCGAGCCTCCTATCCCTGACTGTCTCTTTGCTAAAGGAGAGTTACTGACACGCTCTTTGTGATGGGAGGGAGATTGGTAGAGAGATGAGTTCTGTGGTCCTTTATAACTAAGGATATCCAGCATGTTCTTGATTTTTATTACATAGGGATCTGTGTTTTATATGATTTGCATTGTAACTCCAGAGGGAGAGCTATGGTGTTTGTCAGGATTGGGGTCATGAGTCTTTTAGTGGAAGCATTCATGTCCTTCCTGAACGGCACTGTCTTTGTGTTCAAAGATGGGGAGCGGACGGCATTGGGGTGAGCAGCTGCAGATCTGGCTTTTCCATTAATTGGACAGACCACCCCATCTTCAACTTCCACACCACCCTTCCACACCTGCCTTTTTCCCAGGGCTCTGCCTTCTCCCACTTCTACAAGCCTGGCTTTCCTGACCCCCAGGCTGCTCACTGTTTCTTGCAGACGCACCTATACATGTATCCTCACACACATTTCCCCTCCTTGAAGTCAGAGAAGAATTTTTTCAGCTGCTCCCATATAACATTTCATTACCACAATATTCTCTCTCAATTCTGAAATGGTGATAGGGGAGAAGCCATTTCTCTTTATACCCACTAAACGAACAAAGCTCAGCGCTAAAATATTTTTCTTCCATTGTAACTGAAACTGCTGTTGGCTTCCGTCCCAAAAACCAGAAAGACAATTATACTTAACTGTTTAGAGATTTATAAATACCACACTGGAGTAGCCTCTAGGTAGTAACTTTAGATATCTACCCCAATAATTTTCTTTTATTGGTTTGTGATTTAGATCTTATCTTGAGTCCTCTATAATAAGAGTAGTACATTTCATTAAAAGAGCTTACTAAACAATAAAGAAAATCTGGCTTAGGGCTCTGAGCAGATCTCAAGTACAGAAAGGGGCCTGCCCTGTTACATTTCTTCCGTGGACATCCCAAGATGAATCTCATCACAAGAATCTCAGGTGCAGATGTATTTCAGCAAAGCAGCAATTGCAGCTGTTTTCTAAATGACTTCAACTTAAGAGAATTTTTCCTATATAGCATATTTCATCACATGAGAGATCCTCTTTAACCCTGCCATTTACTATTCTAGTAATGTATTCCTAGCAAGAGAAACAAGGAAAAACAACAGCAGCAGCTATAATAAGAGACTGAGAAACTTGGACTACTTTTTGAACTCATGGAGGGTTTTATGCCCTCCATGCATGAAAGACTTTCTTGGAGAGTGGATGTGCAGAAGAAAAAGTAAAAACAGACAGAATCATCTTTTCCTTCCAAATGGATGCAGAGCAGATTCATGTCCCCACTCAGGCTGTGCCCGGCTTGTGACAACTGTCGTGAAGGGAAATCTTAGCTTCAGAGACAGAAAGCAGATTTTGGGTGGTCTTGGGGTTGGACTGAACTTATGGTTTTAGCATCTGGCTCTCACATGCCAGTTTACTCCTCAAAATTTGTGTGCCTGGTTAATGCCTTTTTTAAGAAAATGTAATTTTTTTTTCAGGTGAGCCATACACCAGACACATTCCTATGTAATATCTTATTTAATCTCCCTGACAACCTGCTGAGGGAGAGTTACCACCTTCATTTTACAGTTGAGAAAGCAGAGATTCAGGGGAATTAGGTACCTTTCCCATAGCCTTATAGCTAGTCAAGGGCACATGGAGTTGATCTCCAAACATCTGATTTCAAAGTCTATGCTTTTCTCGGCACATCAGCCTGTCTCTTAAAAGGCAAGTGTTATCCTGATGAGAATGGGCCTGAAGCTATACATGTACTTTCAAGGGTCATGGGGGCACCCCCAGGACAAACACTCAAGGGGATGAAAGTGCTCAAGGTGTGCCAGCCTCACTTCTAAACTGGTCCTTGCACCTAAGGGGCTGAAGTTTGTTTTCAACGGTTCTTGTCTCTGTGAATCCCCATTTTTTGAGCCCCTTGACCCTAGCTGTTCCAACAATGAGAGATACTAGGATTCTGTTGGCTTCAGTCTTTCTTGCTACTACCACTGGACAAATGAGTAAATCTGGGGGCAATGTGAAGCACTGTGCTTAGCCTGTCTCTGTGAACAGTATGACTGTTGGAGTCTTTCTTTTCTGTTTTTCTTGTGAATATAGATGGGACTTCGGAGCTGTAAGGAAGAGAGTGGAATATTTGAGACCTAGCTGTTACTTTCTTTGTGAAGACACTTAAATAACATTTTCAGGTTTTATTTACTCCTTCCATGCTCAAGCGGAAGTTTCCGTGACAGCAGATGAGAATGAAGAGACCACTGTAGCGCCCAAAGCCTAGGCTCAGAAAATGGTCCAGAGAAATTGTCTTATAGTGGGGAAACCACAGCTGTAGAATCAGAGAGAAGTAAAGGAAGTCTTGTAATCCCATGGACCCTCTAAGACACCTCATGAAATTCTGGATAAGGATAGGTCAACTACCTTATCCTGCATGTCAGTTTGGTTTGCATCCTATGCATGAGGTTAGTGCCCCTGTTGTCTCCATAGTCTATGCTGTCATAGAAGTAATGGGGTCTACAGGCAAAAGGGACAGAAACATAAAATAAGTTGTATGGAATGACTTTGACACACATACTTAAGGATACAGGGCTTGGAACATTTCAGTGTATTCCTTGTGCAGAGTGTGAGCCATTTCATTCAATACACCTGCTGTGAAGATAGCACACATGCCTCAAGCTGGCAGATAAATCTAGCCAGCTATTCAGTGCATTTTTGTCTTCACCTATTCTCTATAGGCAATAGCTCATGTGCAGTCTTAAAAACTTTACTTCTTTTCTTAAAAGCAACAAGAGCGAAATTCCATCTCAAGAAAAAAATAAAGAAATAAATGGCCCTGAGGCCAGATGCAGTGGCTCATGCCTGTAATCCCAGCACACTGGGGGGCCGAAGCAGGTGGATCACCTGAGGTTGGGAGTTTGAGACCAGCCTGGCTAACATGGTGAAACCCCATCTCTATTAAAGTACAAAAATAAGCCTGGTGTGGTGGCTCACATCTGTAGACCCAGCTACTCCAGAAGCTGAGGCAGGAGAATCACATGAACCCAGGAGGTGGAGGTTGCAGTGAGCCGAGATTGCGCCATTGCCCTCCAGCCTGGGTAACAGAGTGAGATCCCATCTCAAAAACAAAACCAAAAACAAACAAGCAAAAAGAAAAAGAAAGAAAGAAAGAAAGAAAAAGTGGCACTGCAAAGAAGCCAACTGATTTATAAATGACTTTAGTTCTGGATTTATTGAACATTTAAGGATATGGCTAGTCCTTAAATGCTTCAATTATACTTCATGGAATGGTCTGGAGGAAAATTATTTTCTGAATTCCAGAAAAGCAGGATAGTCCTTGAGCATCTTGTTACAGATCTCCAGGAGAGATGTTCTACCAGATGTTTTCAGTGTCCCATGCATGCTGCCACACAATGTGTTATGAGAAGGCAGAGGTGGCTTTGGGCTGTGGTAGTCAGGAAAGACTCCAGAGTAAAGGGACCAGAATTTGAAAATAAGTGTGATTAATATAAATAAAGGTTCCGACAGGCATGTGGAAAGGGCTGAAGCTGAGTAACAGAAGGCACAGAAACAGGAAAGGCCGAGTGTTTTTCACAGAGGGTCACCTGGCTATTTGTGTACTAATGGTATAACCAAGGTACTTAAAGGGCTCACTATGTCAAAGGAAATGCTTGTAGGTGGGTGCACTGTTAACCTGAGTAGATCCTCCAAAGAAGAGCCTGTTCTATTGTTTTGCTGACCTCTTCATGCTCGCCAACTGCCAGAAATCTTTCTAAATGCTTAGCACAGTACCTCACACCTAGTAGACACTCAGTAGAGGTTTGTGGAGGGGATGGATACATGAATACATGATTTAATCCTGCTATCTGTTGTTTGCAGCCTGTTCTCTCTTAACGTGCCCTCAAATGAGATAAAGCAGCCAAATACCTGTATTAAAAACCTACACTTTCCCTCCAGGATTTAGTCTCCCTTCATTTGACAACTGGGCACTGGACAAGGGTTACAGAGATCAAAGATGTTGCACTTGTCTGGAGGAGCCTTTATCAGATGGCCAGGTTGTCTCTAATATAAACTGTACTATTCCCTTAACCTTTACTAATAGCTCCTGGCCCTCAACCTTTGACTGGCCTCGCTGAATGTACTATTACACAGTACCAACCCAGGGCCCAAGGCTGTAGGACTGAGACCTCCAAAGTTCAACAAAGGGCAGAAAATATCTCTGCTTTCTGCTCCAGGGAGCTGTGAATGCTTCCTGAGAGCTTCCCTGGCCATGTAGAAATGAACATTCCTCTCAGCGGTAGACTGGAGCAGGAGGAACTTGGAAGATGTGTTTTGTTGCTCTAGTTCATGATAGTGAATCACAAACATGGCTGTCAGAGTAATGATGCAGTCATGGAGGGTTAAGGAACAGCTTTTAAATCCTGGTTCTGTCCATCATGAGCAATTTGACATAATAAAGATTCCAGATTTCATTTCCTCATCTATATATCTATATATTAAATGACCCCACCCCAAAACACCGAGGGATCAGTGTATGAATACAAAGACATAATGGCTGCAGAAAGGTTATTAAACATCAAAGGCTGTAGAAATAGCACTTTGCAGTCAAGTTCAGTCATGGCACACATGGGTCTGGAATGACAGCTTGGGTTTGAAGCCCAGATCTGCCACTTACTAGGCCTGGGAAAATTACTTTACCTCTTTTTATCTCAATTTTCTCACTAAGAATACTAAATGCACCTGGCTTATCAAATGACTATGAGAATTCAATGAGATACAGGACTTTCTATTGTCCATACAGTACCTTTAAGTAAGCCAGAAAAAGTCACTCTTTTCTCAAGACACCTTATTTTCATCTGCTGAAAAAAATGGTGATAATCTACTAATATGTTTGAACAATACACTTTTCTGTCATCTGCTGGGAAAAAATATTGTCATAAATATGCAAATATACAATGCCTATTGATATGAGTGGTACCCACTTAGATTAGCTACTGTGTAGTGCCCAACCTTCACAACCATACATGGCAACCCTGAATGAATGGCTGTTAAAGCACTTCCTACCTAGGATGGGAGAAATCAAGCAATGTTAGCTATTTTTGTTATTATTATTACAATTTTACTATTTTATTTCATCCCCTCCTACTCCCAGATTAACAAATCATAAGTTAGGATTATCCACTTGTACCTAGCAGCCAGAATTACTGTTGATCTGTTTGTCTGTAAATATGCATAGAAAATAGATGATGATAGAAACCAACACACCTTTGGAAGGTGAGCAGACCAGGTAAGGTAGACTAACAAAAGCCTACAGAGGAGTTGAGGAAGGACTAGGGCAGATGAACAGTGAGCATGGGGCGCTTCCCCTCCATAGACAGGCTAGCATGGCGCCATGCAACGCAGCTGCTCTCTGAAGCAGAGATTGGGACAGCTCGCTGACAGAAAACCTCATACACTTCCAACCTCTGGGGTTTGGTTGTGGTAGGAGCCCTGATGTTGGTGAAGTGACACCCTTCCAGAGCAGGACCCATGCTACTCCACCTAGTCAACAGATGGCACTTGGCCTCCCTCCTTTGCCTCTTTTTTTTTTTTTTCTTAAAACAGTAATTTTGGGTCTCAGCCAGAAAACCTATAGCATATTAGTTCTCAACTGGGAAAGGGGTCTTGTACCTACCCCTTTAAATAGCTAATAATGAATCTTCTCTGTGACCCTCCTCCTACCTCTTCATAGACACATAAATATTTATATACAAATTTAAGAGTTTTGTCTACCCTAATGATTTTCTTCCCCTCCAGGTTTATTGAAATACAACTGACAAGTAAAAGTTGTATATATTCAAGGTTTACAACATGATGATTTGATATACATATACATTGTGAAATTATTACCAAAATCAAGTTAATAAACACATCCATCATCTCCCATAGTTACTATTGTGTGTGTGTGTGCCCGGGTGTGTGTCATGAGGACACTTAAGATCTATTCTTTTTGCAAACTTCAAGTGTACTACACAGCACTATCAACTATAGTCACCACACTTTACATTACAGCCCCAGAATTTATTCATCCTATAATGGCAAGTTTGTATCCTTTGACCAACATCTCCCCATTCCCCCTGACCCTCACCACAGTCCCTGGCCACCACTGTTCTACTTTCTGCTTCTATGAGTTCAACTTTTTAGATTCCATGTATAAGTGAGATCATACAGTATTTGTCCTTCTATAACTGGCTTATTTCACTTAGCATGATGTTCTCCAGTTCATCTATGTTGTTGAATGACAGAATTTCTTTCTTTTTTATGGCTGAATAATATTCCATTATATATATGTGCAGGTACATACACAACACAGACCATATTTTCTTTATCTACTCATCTGTCAATGGACACCAGTGGTTTCTATATCTTGGCTATTGTGAATAGTGCTCCAATAAACATGGAGGTGCAGATGTCTCTTTGAGATACTGATTTCATTTCTGTTGGATATATACCCAGAAGTGGGATTGCTAAATCATGTGGTGGTTCTATTTTTAATTTTTTATAGAAACTTCATACTGTCTTCTATAGGGCTGTACCAATTTACATTCCCACCAGCAGTGTACAAGGGTTCACTTTTCTCTCCAACCTCACCAACACTTGTTATCACTTGTCTTTTCAATAATAGCAATCTTAACAGGTATGAGGTGATATCTTATTGTGATTTGCATTTTTCTGATGATTAGTGATATTGAGCACCTTTTCATATCTACTTGTTGGCCATTTGTATATCTTCTTTATAAAGATGTCTATTAGGTTCCTTTGCCCATTTCTTAATCAGGTTATTTATTTTCTTGCTACTGAGTATATGAGTTCTTTATATAGATGGGATATTAACCCTTTATTGGCTAGGTGGTTTTAAAATATTTTCTCCCGTTCAGTAGATTGGCTTCTCACTTTGTTGATTGTTTTCTTTGCTGTGCAGATTTTTAGTTTGATGTAGTCCCGCTTTTTAATTTTTGCTTTTGTTGCCTGTGCTTTTGGTGTCATATCCAAGAAATCATCGCCCAGACCAATGTCAAAGAGCTTTTCCCCTATTTTTTCTCCTAGGAGTTTTACGGTTTCAGATTTTACATTCAAGTCTTTAATCCATTTGATTTTTGTATATGCTGTAAGAGAAGTGTTCAGATTTATTCTTTTGCATGTAAATATTGTTTTCTGAACATCATTATTCATTGAATAGACTGTCCTTTACCTATTGTGTGTTCTTGACATCCTTGTCAAAGATTAGTTGCCCTTAAATGGGTGGATTTAATTCTGAACTAGCCCACTGTTTTTCAACCTTAGCTGCACATTGCACTCACCTGGGGAACTTTTAACATTCTTGAAATGCTCAGGCCATACTCCAGAGCAATTAAATTAGACATTGATGCAGGCATGCATTGGTGATTCCAACGTGCAGCCCAAGTTGAGAAACACCAGCCTAGCCCCTTACTTACTCAAGGAAACCATCTCTGATCCTTGTATCAGGCAGCTGATTTACTAAAGCTTACATTTCCATAGAAATTTATCTTGGAAATTTATTTATAGAATAAATCATTCTCCTAGGCATGATTGCTAGGAGATTTGGAAAGCATATAATGGGCATTGTGAAAATGCAAGATACATGAGAAATTCACAAACTTCCACATGGTTCCCAGCAGGGAGCTAGTGGGAGCTGGGAAAATAAACCAGGGGGTGTCCATTTGAGAGGTCAAGGCAGGTGGGCACAAACAATTCTTTGAATACCTAATCAGCATAGGAAATGGAAGAATTTTGAAAATCAATCAGGCCATGGGCCTAAAGGCAAGCAAGGAAGGTAAATAATAATAACATCAGGGTTGAGGTTTCACACTTAATCTATAAAACTACTTTTAACAGGCCCCTAGGTGATTATAAATTCGTGGTGGCTTTCTCTTTATTGGGATTATATGGGTCTATTCCATATTTCCAAAGGAAGCCCTTCCTATTATGCAGGTGTGTCTCCTTATTTATTTATTTATTTGCATTTAAGATATTGAAACTTTTTTAAAAAAAACTCATTTCTGTGAGCATTAAGTATATACCATGCAAGGAAGCAATTGTCTCTATCTTATGAAATATTAAATCAAAATGCTTCCTGTTCCCTCATGTCCCAGAGATAAATACAGCAGTACTTTGAAGCCCCTCTTGGAGCTGTTTTGCCTGCAAATTTATTGTTTTGTCTCCATTTTCAGAAAGCCCTGTTTTCTATGAAGTATAGCACTCTAGGTAGTTTTTAAGGCGCAAACTCCTCTGGAGTTGCCTGTGTCGGCAACAACTCTTATGTAGATGGCACACGAGGGATGGCGCGTTGATCGGCTCCTTTAAGATGACAAATGGGCAGAGAGTGTTATTGTCTTTGATTGCATGCCTTACATCATCTGTATGTAGGAATAAGAGGGCCATACTTTATCTTTAGCCATTTTATAAATATTTAAGTCCTTATAGTTGCCTAAAGATATTAAAGCATATTTTACAGTAGTCGGAATATAAATATTATATATAGCACAAGATACCAAAGTAGTTTAATGAATTCATAATTTTCTGCTCACATTTATTGGAATGTGTTTTATGTTCCAAAAGTTCCATTTAAAGAATAAGATACCATTCTACTCCCTGACAACACACCAAGCATTGGCCAGTGTTGGGGGCGGGGTCTGAGTTCCAATGTGGGGAAGATTCTATTAGGAAGCATGGAGGCAGGAAGTCTCTTCCCTGGAATATATTTCTTCTCTCTTTAGGTCTAAATATGTGTGTGTATGTGCGTGTGTGTGTGTGTGTGTGTGCGCGCGCGTGTTCGTGTGTGTGTGTGTGTGTGTGTATTTTTCTGAATAAATAATTCTGGTGCTTATTTAAGTCCCGTAGCATTTCAAAAAGAAAATTTTATATCTCCTTTCTTCTGTTTCAAGGAGATTAATTCAAATAACATAAGTAAGAGCAATAAAGATAAAGTTTGCAATTTTCCCGTCCTCCCATCTCCAACTCCCTTTTGTAAACAGGGATGCAGATTCTATTTGCCAGTATACAATGGTGATCCAGGGTCTTAATGTGGGTAGTGACTTCCCAATGCATTTTGAATATTTCTCCTGAAATTAAAGAGTTCCAAGTTGCATTTTCCTTTTCCTAAATGCAAAAAGATGACAGGGAGAATATTACTGCACCTCTTTTCAATTTTCCAGTGAAATATAAAGGCTTTCTTCTTTAATATTTCACAAAGTTCCTCCAGTTCCCAGTGGGAGTCTATGCTGGGTAATGTTTGCTAATTACCAACAACAAAACTAGACATACAACGTTGGTAAATTACCTGACCCTTTCCTTTTTAATGAGACAACAAGGATTTCGCGAAGTGGTGTTGTTTCACTGGTTAATGGTGTCAGCAATGTTGTAATTGTGGGTTGAGACACATTAGCTGAACAACCACATGTAGAAAGGGCTTTCTCTCGACAAGCTGTTTGGAGACTAGAACCATATTATCATTAAGCCTATGTCATTTGCATGCTGCTAATCGCTTACTTTATTATCCTGCATATCCATTGTCTTTCTTTAATTACTCTTTAAATTAAAATTAAAAATAGTTTTAAAGCCCACAATGCCCGAGATAGCATCTTGATTATGAAGATAACTTCAAGAAAATGGAACAACTGGTTATATATTGCCTGGATTATGAGAGTCCCATCGTTATGTACTGTGCCTGCAGGCCTCAGGGGCCTAATTGCGGTGGTTTCTCTTCCTTTAGCCCATAGTGTTTGTTTAATAAATGGTTATTTATGGCCTTCTCAGCCATTAGAGCAACTTTGGAGAAAGTACTTCCTTCTCCTTGGTTTGAGAAGTGAAGTTTTATCCTCTGGGCAAAGGTATAAAACTGAATCAAAAAAATCTGGATGTACACTAGAGCTTGTGAAGGAGTCTGTAAGGAGATCCTCTGGATTCCCTTTGCTAGCTTATTTTGTTGGAGATCACGTTTAAAATTTGGGGTCATGAAAGAGACATAAATCTCAAAGCTGAGAGGGCCTTAGAGTCATTCCTATTTTACAGATGAAGACACCAAGGGCCACAGCCATTGCCACGACTGTGATCGCATAGCAGCAAATGAATGATTTGACTGTTAGCAAATGGAAAGGATGCAGGGCTCCTGGAGGGAGGATCATGCCTTAGGGGCTACTCCTGAGAGAGGATATGATGTGTACCTGGAGTTGTGATGTGCAAGCTACATGGTTGTTGTGGTTTAATGTATTTGGTGCGCATCTCTTGTATGAAATGTTGATATGTTTGTTGATACCGACAATGTGATAGGATTCTGGAAGAGAGGGCTCCTGTGTTCCACTTCCTTAAAAGAACAACCCCATGAATGACTCCACAGACATTCCTGAATATTGAGTAGCTGAACACAGAATTATCGTGGTTTCAATATTATGTATGATGCACGGTAATCTAAAGGGATTTGGGACATTGCTACAACCTCATTTTATGGATGGGAGAACTGAGTTTGGATAAGACATTGAATCCTTCTACATTCTCACAGAGAGGTAGGAGTTGACCTGGGACTAAAACCCATGTGTTTTGTTTTCTCTGTCAGCTTACAACCCTGTTGTTGATAAATAATAGTAAGTTAGTACTGATGAAGTACATGCTCTGTGCCAGGTGCTGTTGTAAGCAGTTTCCCTGTATTATTATTATTAACTCATTCAATCTTCATGACATCTTCCTCTTCCAATTTGCAGATGAGGAAACTGAGACACAAAATTTAAATAAATTGCCCCAGATCACAAATTAGAAACAGAAAGAGGCAGGACCCAAACTCATTCAGTCTAGCCACAGTGTTCAAGTTCTAGACCACAAATGGTATGGCTTATTTCAGGTAGTGGTCAAAAGTTATTGACCACGCTGTACAGAGAGATGCTCAGAGTCAAACCAGCATCAAACCCTCATCTAGTGAAGATTCGTGTGTGTATGTATGTGGGAATGCCTGACCCCAAGATCCAAGATCCCAGTTTCCTATTCATCTGCCAGCATAAACGTATGTACAGGAAACACTTCAACACTTAAGAAAAAAAGATTCTTTCTTTTAAAGAACCATCAACTGTTTGGAACCTTGGTGCTATCTTGGGCCAGGCGTCTTGTCTCTAGAACCATTCAGAGATAGCTGGCTGAAAGTTGTTGATGCGATTCTGCTTTCCTGAATTTCATGGCAAGGCCTTGGATCACTTGGCAAACCCATCTTTTACAGCTACTTAATTTTCTGTGTGCTTAAGATATGGATGTTATACTTTGCTCGTGATTTTGGAGTTCTGGTTTCTGCTGTGCTGGCCATCAATTCATACTAAACCAAACAACTGGGGCCCATTTGGCATTTGGTATTTTAAATGTAAAAGGACATTTGAACTACATGACAAATGCTGAAAAACAAAGCCCATAGCACCAAGAACATAAAGAAACTGTTTATAATGAAAAAGTGGTTACATTTTCAGTCAATCTATCACTTTAATGAGCTCTTCACGTTTCTTTGATTAATGCTTGCAAAAGGGGAGAAAAAAATTGATGTAATGGAAACAAAATGGTATATAGTCTTGGCAGCATGAGGGGGGATGTCTGTGTGTTTTATTAGTATCCCCTTGATATCATTGTCTTGTAATGTATATATCTGCCTTTTCCCTGGCATAGTAAGCCTCTAGTTTACTGGAAATGTGATCCATCATGAAAGAGGAGATCCCATGTTAGTGGCAAAACAGCCTTTGTCCTCTTGTGGTGGCAGCAAAGAGGGAGGGTCCCAGAACAGGAATTAAGAATAAATAAAAACAATAAAGAAAGGTTAGCATAAGCTGTGCCATATTGAAATTGGGAAGTCCAGTGGGTATATGAAGATAAAACAGAAGAATTAAAGATGCTTAACAACATTTAAACATTAATATGTAGTAATTTGTATATATTTAGTAATAATTCATACATTTTAAAATAACGAATAAAGGGGATGGAAAAAAAGGCAGAGGAAAACATCTTCATAAAGTAACTAAATGTGAGAAGTTATTCAAGGCAGACGTCCTGGAAGAGGTAAAGAAACGACAGGAGCTGGGTTGGGAGGGAAGAGGGGGAACAGCGTTTCTGAAGTGGGTAAGGCTGGTGGGAGCAGGGATGGGCATCAGCAGGTGCCACTTTCCCTCTGTGTTGGAAACCAGCTCTGACTGCTCCTCCCTTCCCCTATGTGCATGGGGCATTGTGGGTTTCTTGGGCTCTTCACTGCCCATGTGTGCTTTATGTAAATGGCCTCTGCTCTGAGATTGAGTAGCTCTTACAAGATGGTGGGAGGCTGAAATAACAGAGAACTAGGAAGCCTGAAAACTCTCTCTGGGCCCTGTTCTTTTAAAGCCCCTTTGCTTTGTAACCTTGGCCTGATCACTTCCATCTCAGAACTTCAGTCTCCTTAACTGCCAAATCAAGTGGATGTTCAAAGACCTGTCAGACCCTTACAGATGAACCAGCTGTGTCCATCCATCATGTTCATCAGCTGCTCTCAACCCATAGAGATCACATGAGGTTTCGAGATTTCAGGGTCTTTAACATCAATTTATAATTTAAAAAATTTTTTTCATTACATAAATAAAATGTGTTTATTTTAGAAAATTTAGCAATTATAGAAACCAAAAAGAAAATGCACATTCCCTGTAATTTTACTGCTCAGACATAAGAAAGTTGACATATTTGTCTTATTTCCATAGATATAAATACTTTTACCCTCAAAAAAATGGATCATACATGTCAGTATGTTACCTGTGGTTTTTCACAAACATTTTATCATGACCATTTTTCTGTCGTGAAATGTTTTTCTGCATTATTTTTAGTGGATGCATACTTAACCAATTTCCCTAAAATTGGACATTCATGTTGTTTTCAGTGGAATGTTGTTACTTAATACCTATGAATGAAGACCCTGGCAGCCAAATTTTTAATGTAAGGAAATTATGGCTGTACACATATTTTTAGAAGTACAATTGCTTAGGCCAAAGTGGAGGTAAAATTATAAGTAATTTGATCCACACTGGCCAAGCAAGTATGTCTCATTATATTTTATTTTTTGAGACAGGGTCTCACCTTTTCACCCAGGCTGGAGTACAATGGCACAATCTTGGCTCACTGCAACCTCTGCCTCCCTGGCTCAAGCAATCCTCCCACGTCAGCCTCCCAAGTAGCTGGGAATACAGGCACACCCTACCATGCCCAGCTAATTTTTTTGTGTTTGTTTGTTTGTTTGTTTGTTTTTAGTAGAGACGAGGTTTCACCATGTTGCTCAGGCTTGTCTTGAACTCCTGAGCTCAAGCAATCCACTCACATTGGCCTCCAAAGTACTGGGATTACAGGCATGAGCCACTGCATCTGGCCTTATCTTTAAATTGTAAGATGAATTAAGATAAGGTAAAACTGAGAAGTTGAGATGTTGTGGAGAAAGCAATGATACCATGAGCTCTTGGGTAAACGGAGACATTAGACCGGGTGAATATTAGGTTTCTCTCCAAATCTGTAGTTTTAGGTGTGTTTGAGTTGTTACTAGCTTTGTCTTTTTCTTCCTTCCTCCCCTTAACCAACCCTTCTGAGAAACATCTTACACAGTAAGCTCTTTAAGCGAATTCTTTTTTTCTTTTTTTTTTTTTTTTTGAGACGGAGTCTCGCTTTGTTGCCCAGGCTGGAGTGCAGTGGTGCAATCTCAGCTCACTGCAAGCTCTGCCTCCCGGGTTCAGGCCATTTTCCTGCCTCAGCCTCCCGAATAGCTGGGACTACATCTTTAAGTTAATTCTAAGGAAAGAGACTGTCTGCTTGGAGAGACAAGTCCTGTAAATATATTTGTTTCATGTGTGTGAGACTTGTCTAAGAGCTGAATATATTTTACGAATCTTAATGGGCAAATAACTATAGAGAAGTTTTGTTTGTTTGGTTGGTTTAATTTGCTTTGGTTTGGGTTGGACCCAAAATGTAAACTCTAAAAAGGATGGGGCACTTTATTCAGTGGGTGGAGTCAACTTGCAAAGGTGCTAATCAAAGACAGTCTCTAAAAAAATGTACCGCTAAAAATGTCACTGTTAGTTACTGTAAATAGAAAGAAACAAGGAGAGTATTAAGCCAGGTCTTGTCCCTGGTCACTGGAGACAAGCAGGAAACCTTAAATGAAGATGCAGTCATTTGTTTCAGTAGAAAATCAGGCCAGCATGAATCATTTCACCGCGAAGAGAATGGAGATTTTTCTCAGTTGTTGTACTAGTTGGGACATTTTGGCACAAGTGAAATCCAATGCAAAAAGGCTTAAGTAAAAACAGAGACATATAACTGGAATGTCTCTGGTTTTAGGCACATTTGTGTGCAGGAACTTGAACAATGACAGAGCTCTATCTCATTCTCTCCACCTCTTGGTTCATTTGCCCTGTTTTCATTCACCCCATGGTGGGCTAACTGCTTGCCAGTAGCCCCACACCTGCAGACTCCTGACTTTGCAACCACAGAACCTTTACCATCTTTTACATAATGTCCTGGGGAGAATACGGACAGGCCCTAGATTGAGGAGGACAGACTCATCTCTAAACTGATGATGTGGCCAGGATTATGCAGGACCATCAGCGGCCCTGTGAAGTCAGGATGCCTGGCTTCATGTTGCCACTTCTGTTTCCAGGGTGGGGGCGGAGTTTCTTCCCTGCACCCCCAACAAACACTGTGGAATGGGTTTCTTATGCATAGAAGGAGTTAAAAAGGAACAGAAAACAGCAGATATCAACTATCCTGGTTCTGCTGCTAACTGGTTCTGTGACCTTGGATATAATAACTTCTCCATTCTAAGCCTCAGTTTCTTCATTTGAAGAATGGAGGAATTGATTAGAGGATTTTGAAAACTCTCGTGTTTCTAGCATAGAATGATTGCTGAAGAGGCAAAAGACACCTTATGGTTTGGCTCAGGAGTCACAGAATTATCTGTTTATACAGTTTCCAAGCACTGTCATTAGGCTTTGTGCGGGGGAGTCACAAATTGGCAGGGGCATTTCCCCGCTTCCCTCCTTGACACTGACCTCCAGCACCTTGTTGGGGGCTACCTCTACCCTGTTGGGGTGGCCTTTGGGGAGTTTCAGGAGAAGCTGCTGCCTTGGTAAATAATCTTTTTTTTATTGAGTAAACATGGTCAGCTGCCTGGCCTTCCTGACTCTGGATTCTAGCTTCATAGGAAGCCACTGAAAACTACTGTGAAAAAATATTACAAGGTTAAACTGAGGTTTTTCCTTTGGCTGGATTTTTCTTGCAGTCATTTCCAAAAACCTGTTTCCCAAATCAACCTGGTGTGTGTGGATTTTCTTCCCCTACAAGTTAGAAAGCAATTGTGCTTCTATACATGGAATTTTCTTTACTTCAGCTGCTGAAGCATTCGTTGGAATACATACTGCAAAAATGACTGCTGTGGCTATTACCGTAGTTGCTCAGGGGAGCTATTCAGATGCCTCATTTATTGGAGCTTAATAGATTAAAAGTCCAAATTGAGTCTCATGATATAAGCCTAATCAAGTTCTAATCTGCATAATTTTCCCATAAGCAGCAATGGGAAATTTGGATAATTTATGTTTCAGCAGTTGCCAATCATGTGTTAAATAGCATTGTTGCATTTACTTATCAAAATATTTTTATTGATCTGCACTTCATCTGACATTTGCCTTTGAGGTTTTTTTCCCTGGCATTAACAGGAAATTTAATTCATCTCATAGATGATGTAATATGAGATGTTTCTCTTGATTTTAACATGTCTTTATAGATCATTTTTAAAGGTGATCTTTCCCTTTTACAACTTCATATTGAATACCTGTCTCAGCAAACCTAGATGACTCGGCCTAATTTATTTCCCTAGTTTAACGTAGCATATGGATTTCTAACCATCATTTATATGCACACAATAAAAGATAATTTGGCCCACCATTTGAACCAATTCCTTTATGTTAAGTCTATCGGGGTGGGAGAAGCACTTACCTTCATTTCTCCATCTATTCTAGGGGAGATGATTGATAAGAATTTCCATCTCCCTCTCTCCCTGGAAAGGCTCAGGGATTTAACTAGGGAAGATTTAGAAAGTACTTTGTGTTTCCCCCATGGAAAAGTACTGTAATAAAGCATTTATTATATGTACTGAGTTGTGCATGCTGCCATACCAAAGCAAGTTAAGCATAACTACAATGGGTCCCAGTTGTTATCTGCTATTGTTTAAAAGTGAAAACAATAAAAAGTAAGACTGGCTCAGGCCTCAGACTTGCCTGCCAGGGACAGTACCTAGAAGGAGAAGGCCAGCACCCAAGTCAGGGATGCGGCACAGCCTGCAGGTGTCAGGAGTCTGAGGTCAGACTGCCTGGCTGCGGCTCCCAGGGACACTTACCAATTGGGTATGCTTGAGCCAGTTATGCCACTGCTCTGAATCTTATTTTCCTCTTCTACAAAATGCAAATATCAACAGTCCCTAAACACACAGGGACTGTTATGAGGAATAAACAAGGTGGCCCATGAAAAAACCCTTAGCCCAGCCTGGCACATAAGAAGCAATATGGCGTGGTGGCTTAGAGGAGACACTGGGACTTGTTTATCTGGGTTCCACTCTGAGATCTGCTAATTCCTAGATGTATGTCCTGGGGCAAGTTGCTTACCTTCTCTGTGCTTCAGTTTCCTCCTCTGAAAAATAGTAGTATATACATAGGATGGTTCTGAGAACCGAAGTTATTACGTGAGCAAAATTCAGTACATAGTAAGCACTCAGTAAGTGTTGGCTATTTTTTTTCTTTGGGTTCTAGTTCAGCCTTCCCCCTCTCTTCTTCATTCTCAATTATTAACCAGTTTAGGTCTAGAGTATTCTTGCCTTTGCTTTGAGTCTCATAAAAACAATGCCATTGAGCCTTTCTCATTTTCCAATGCACTTGGGTTTACAGTGTCCTGGAACCCTTTTCCAGCCATTACTTGTGTATATCTTGTCTGAGCCATAGTCCTTCTTTCCTTATGATCACATAAGGAATATTGTGTGTATATATATATATATATATATATATATATATACACACACACACACACACACACACACACACACACACACAATGCTCATTGCCTTCTCATTAGTATTCTAGGATTTTCTGTGTGTGAAAAATCTTTTTTAAGAATCTACTAAATACTTCTTCAGTTCTTTATCCATAGGGAAGGGGAAGTGATCCACGAATACTTATTGTATACCTAATAAAATATTAATATTGGTAGCCAGCATTTTTTAGCACTTGCCTCATACCAGATATTGTACTAAATGTTTTAAATACATTATTTTATTTTATCCTTACAATTGTCCTATGTGGGAGGTATTTGTGGTTTATCGATGAAGAAGCAGACTAGGAGAGAGTCTGCACAATGCTTATAGTGCCATGGCTTATAGGTGGAGGTGCCAGAATTTGAATCCAGGACACCTGACTTTACAGCCCATGCTGTTAACAATTTCATTCTATTTCTTTTCTATGTGCTGGGCATTTTGTAGATAATCTGGGAAGTTCAAAGAAATGAAAATCCAGTCTCTGACCTAAAGTTCTTATACAGTATATAGAATGAGAATATCTGTCATAGGATAAAGTTGGTCAAGCACTTATGTCTCATGCTGAATGAATAAAATAGGTAACAAAAACCTGCCACACCAGCCACTGAAGATTGGAGTGGGGAGAAAACTTACAGTGTAAGGAGTTCAGGTGGTCTTTGGAAGTTATTTATTTTATTTTTATTGTTTCCAGAAGTTATTGGGGTATTGGGGTACAGGTGGTGTTTGGTTGCATGAGTAAGTTCTTTAGTGGTGATCTGTGAGATTTTGGTGCATCCTTCACCCAAGCAGTATACACTGCCCCATATTTGTAGTCTTTTATCCCTCGTCTCCCTCCCACTCTTAACCCCTAAGTCCCTGAAGTCTGTTGTATCATTCTTATGCCTTTGCATCTCCATAGCATAGCTCCCACATACCAGTGAGAACATATGATGTTTGGTTTTCCATTCCTGAGTTACATCACTTAGAATAATAGTCTCCAGTCTCATCCAGGTCACTGCAAATGCTGTTAATTAATTCCTTTGTATGGCTGTGTAGTATTCACTCACATATATATGTGTGTGTGTGTGTGTGTGTGTGTGTGTGATGTGATATATATATGTGTGTGTGTATATATATATATATCTCACAGTTTCTTTATCCTCTCATTGATTAATGGGCATTTGGGTTAGTTCCATGGTTTTGCAATTGTGAATTGTGCTGCTATAAACATTCGTGTGCAAGTATCTTTTTCGAATAATGACTTCTTTTCCTCTGGGTAGATAACCAGTGGTGGGATTGCTGGATAAAATGGTAGATCTACTTTTAGTTCTTTGAGGAATCTCCACACTGTTTTCCATAGTGGCTGTAGTAGTTTACATTGCCGCCAGCAGTGTAGAGGTGTTCTCTGTTCACCGCATCCATGCCAACATCTACTGTTTCTTGATATTTTGATTATGGCCGTTCTTGCAGGAATAAGGTGGTATCACATTGTGTTTTGATTTGCATTTTCCTGATACTTAGTGATGTTATATACAAATGGCCAACAAACATATGGAAGTCATTTTTAGCACAAAACTTGCCTCCCATGGCCATGATCAACAAAGTGCTATGGGTACATGGCTAAAGAATCAGGAGCCCATCTGGTGATAGCTTTGGCTGTGGATGATTTAAACTTCAGTCTTTTCCTGATTGAGGACTTCTCATTCCATGTCTCTAATGGTGATATTCTTAGTCATCTTTTCTGGCAAAATAAGTGGTTGTTTCTAAAATTAACTTCCCAAGTGTTAGTTTAACTAATGAAGGGAGTGTTTCCCAGTTTCACTGTTCTCTAGCTGTAGATCTCTGGAGTATATTCCATGTGCCAGTGTGTTCACATGCAGAACTAGGGCGTTGTTTAATGTAGAGAGACTTCAGGTGCTACCCATGATATAGTCATGGCTGCAAGCAATAATGGGAAGGAGAGCAAGATGGTCAGAGATTGGGCCACAATTTAGACCTGCCCCTTTATCAAATGCAGCTATGAGGAATGCGGTGGACACCATCCTATGGCATCAAAGGCCGGATTGCCTCATTCCTTTATGGAAGGTGCTTGAATTTCTCTTCTCTCCAAAGCCATTTAAGGAATCTGGGGCAATCCTGCCGTTTCTGACCATAATTTTCCCATATCAGTACCCCTAAGAAAGAAACAATGCTAATAAATTATGTTCACCTTTAACATAACTCTACACCAGGGAAAAAGAAGAAGCCAACTTTGCTGTTATTGTTGCCTTTTGCTTTTAAAAATGTGTGACTAGAAAAGTAGGGAAACAAAAAGAGGCATGAAGTTTTCTTAGCAATAAAAGCACACTTTTTTGGGGAGTCATGCATAGGGGAGAGTTGGGCCTTCAACAGAGAGATGTCTTTGGACACCTACCATAGTTTGTCAGTTGCAGATGCTAATGGAACCAGGCCTGGTGACTGAAGGGGAAAATGGAATATGAAAGCAAAATGAAAGAAGCCTATGAAGCAAGCATGTCATTTCCAAATGAAGGTTTCATGCAAAGGAATTGAGTCTTTTCACAGCTGAAAATGGAATCTTTAAATAAGATAAAATAAAAGGATGCCGTGGCTTGTTGCGAGTTCTGTAATGAAATACAGTTTTCCTAATACCGTGTGACCTGCATTTCTCCCTGCTTTATGGGTGCTATTCCTTGACGTACAAACCCGTATTTTCTCAAGTCAGCATTTGATGATGGATGTCAAAATACAGGCCATGTATTATGCATATAGCATTACCGATTTAAGGTGTTTACTTGTCAAGTTGAAGAAATTCAAAAACGTCACATCCACTGAATCTGCACAGCTGTCACTTCCAGTTTTTCATGTTTTTGAATGAAACTTCTAATGAAAACAGTTTAGTTTTCCCCTTCACCATCCTAGAAGAAGAAAACAGCTAGCATTTAAAAATGCGTGTTTTTGGTTATGTGGTTGGCTGAAAAACATATATTCGAAAGTTTGAAAAGATGGACACTACAATGTCAATCAAAATGACTTACCCTTTTCATAGTGTATTAATGTAAAGAATCAATTTAAGTGCAGTCAGGGAATGGATATTAAGTAAAACTTTGTCTTTCTTTTTGAAAGTATGGCACTCAGTGATAAGAAATGTATACACGGGAGAGCAGAAAGTAAGAAAACCCTTTTATATTTCTCTGGCATTTTATGCATTATGCACCTCCAAAACAACAGGCAATTATTGAGCTCCCGTATTTCATTCCTGACTCACACCTAGCCAAAATGCCAGACTCAACACAATCTTGTCACATTGCTGGAAAGTGAGTCAGATATCTGGTCACATAATAATCTATTTGGAGTTTTATCCTTGGAAATTTAGCAAGTGACTTTGTTCCTAAAAGTCCCTAATTCATTGGTAAGCCCATGTAGCATTCCGCTGAAGGAAAAAAGGAGAAACCGAAGTGAGTGTGAATGCTTGCCTATCATCTAAATGTAATTGCACTGGGTCTTGCCACTTGCGTGGAGCTGCCGTATGCTTCGTTAGAAAAATTAATTTTTACCAGATGAATGTAGGAAGTAAATAGGTTTCTAATATTGATATGTGTCCATGCAAAACCTTAACGAGGCAGACATTCTGCCTAGCCGGGATATTTCTCACTCTCACTAAACTGAAAGTTACAGTTGTTCCAACCTCATCCAGGTATGTACTTGGCTTGGACCTGGGACCCAAAGAAGCCCAAACTGCAAAATCAGAGACCAAGCAGGCTGCTTTCCAATTTTCCTGTGTCCACATATACCTTATGTGGTCTGTGTTTGGCACACTGGGAAGTTCAAGGGATCAGCCATAAGCAGGTGGCATATACATTAGTCAGGAGGATTTAGATGCAAGTAAACTCCTTCTCCATTTAGCTTAAACAGAAAGAAAAAAATGTGAACATCTTATTATATTGTGTGTATGTATATGTATAAATACATTTGTGTATGTGTGTGTGTGTGTGTGTGTGTGTGTGTTTATGTGTATAAAATCTCACATAGGGAGAAATCCTGAGGTGGGATGGCTCCAGGCTGCTTGCCCCAGGAACTCCAGGACAGCTCTTCCTGTCATTCACTTGAGCCAATATCACTAAGTTAGTTATGCCCTCAGCTGGTGCCTCAGTTCCTGGCACTACAGGCACATAAAACCGTGCTCAGTAAATTAAAAGAGAATCTCTTCCTATGTGTTTCTTTTTAAGAGCAAGGAAACACTTCCTGAAAGCCCCAGGAAGATTTCCTGACACCTCCCATTGGCCAGAACTCTGTGAAAACTGAGGCCTAAGTCACTCACCAGCAAGAGGATAAGCAATTGATTGGTTTACGGTAACAGTCAGGCCAGGTTAGGTTATGTTGTGGTAACAACAACAACAAACAAACAAACAAACAAATCTCAGCGGCTTAAAGCAACACAGCTTTATTCTTGACTCACTCAGTATGCTTTGTGGGTCTGGGTAACTGTCCAGGGCTGTTGTCTAGCCTTCATCTCCATAGTAACCTGTATTCTCACAGTTGCCATGGCCTGGGAAGAGAGAGATGGCTGTCCAATACCTGAACCAGCAGTGATATGCACTGCTCTGCTCACTTTTCATGGGCCAGAGCATTTCATGTGTCACATGGCCATACCTAACTTCAAGGGGGCACAGGGGATAATTCTCCTGTGTCCCTGGAAAGAGATGGGAGCCAAGATCTATGAGCAGAATAAATAATTGGTATGAAGTCTGGATTTTTTAGGGAACTATGAAGTGAGTTACGATTATTTATAATGGTTTCCTACCCTGTCCTTCTAAAGAATTAATCATCAGAGTTTATCCCGGGAATACTAATTGTTGACCTGTGAATAATGCATAAGCTACATTTTTGGGGTTGTATGTATATAGTGTACTCTGATTATTTCCAAATTTTCTACTTCTCTGATTTTTCTTCCTCCTCTGTTTCCTTCCCACTAGGGTTCACACCTCCAGGAATGGATAGATCCTCTCCAGATAACAGCCCAGTGCACGGGATGTTACGTCAACCATCCATCACAACTGGGGTCAACATCCCCATCATCACTGAACTAGGTAGGGGTCAATGTCAGCTTTGGGGGGAGTTTTTGTTCTGTCTTTCAAACCATACAGGATATGAGGAGGTTGGTTTATTTCTTAGCCCTTTCAACTTTGTAGCTGCTATGGGGTTTGTTTTGAGGGGGCTGGGAGGAAGGTATGGGGAGAAATATGGCAGATTACCGGAAGGGAAAACTGATCTATCTTTCTTCTGAGATGAATAGACAGTTTCCTTCATGCTGGTCACTGTTTTCAAAGGAGCATGAGATGATGGATTTGCGATTGGGGCATTCAATTGGGAATGGAGAGGAAAGGAGGAAAGGCTTAGTTCACGGATTCTTTCTGGTGATTTTTACTGTAAGAACCTCTTTTGAGCATTCTGTCTGGACAGCTCCTACAATCTGAGTCCTCCACTGATATACAAAGCCTCGGATCTAAGCCAAACCCATTTTGGGAACAAGGTAGAAGCCCTGGGCTAATGTGTAATAACTTGACATTTAACGTATCGTAGTTGAATATCTCAGCCAAAAGCCATTTTCAGCAAATGCCATTCTGGCCCCCAAAATGATGGGGTTTTGAGGGCCATGTTGGTTGGACAATAGAATCTAACTTCTAACCTGGCCATGGCACTCCCTGTTACCATTAGTGAGTGTGCAAAACTGTAGAGTGGCCTCTTCCCCCAAGACAAATGCAAACTACCTGTGGTCCGGGGTCCCTTTACTTGAGAATGTTTCCTCTGTTATTCCCTCACTCTCTTCTTTTTCTGTACTTTCCTCCACTCCCTTTCCCCAACCCTTAAATGCTGTATCCAATTAGCTAAACCGGGCAAGTTGCCTTTGGTATCAGTCAATCAGGAAAAAAACAGTGGGACGCACATTCTAATGATAACTGAACTGGGTAAGAAGCACTGTTTTCCTTCACATCAGTATCTCCTTTTGTTCTGTTGTTGGTGTTTCCAACTATCATCAGCTTGTTTTTATTTCACCGGCTGTAACAGAAAGGCTACCCCATGGCACTGCTTTGAATGTGTTTTATTTGTGGCTCTGGTTGGAATCGACTGTCTTGTTCTGGCCTTTCTTAATGATTTTTTCCCCACACAGCATCAGTAAACCTTTGATCACACCCATCTGACCTGGCAGTTGTTTCCAAAGCATATTTGCTCTAATTCATTTTCTCTGGCCTGAGCCTTTTTTCCCCACTTTTTTTTGTCACCCCGCTCTCCCGCCTTCTCCCTTCTACTCCTCTTCCAACATACTGTCAGTTTGAATGACATGTCTTCACAGCTCTTAGAGGAAGTCAAAGGAGAATATCAAAATTTTAAGATAAGAAACCTAAGATGGCACTTTCCCTCCAGCTGTTTATTTTTCTTTATTCTGACTTTATTTGCCTTTTTTTTTTTTCCCCCCTACTAGGGCATTTCTCAGAAGCTCTGGTTCTGAAGCCATAAAAACACCTGGTCCCTAGGAGAACTTTTTTTACTAAAGGCAGATTTCAAGAAGGGTGCGGAGGATAAGGTTAGCAGCCACCCACGTGCAGCCCTGCACTCTGGCCCCCAATCCCAGCCCAGAATCCTCTCTGGGAGATTCACAATGGACTCAGGTGGACGATAAAGGCCTCCAGTCGTGACTGCATTTGTTAGGTTCTTCCCCACTTCCCCGTGACTTGGTTAATAACTCCATGAAGGGCACCCATCAGCAGCAAGTCTCAGAACTGGGGATTGATCTTCTAAATAGAGACAGCAAAAGTGCTGCTCAGCAGAGGGGTGGATAGAGAGGTGGGAGCACCTGCCTTCACATGACTCACAAATGAAATGAACACCCCATTTTCTTGGCCCAAAAATATATTTCAAAATAAGGGAGCAGGCTTTCAACACAGTAATCTTGCTTGCGAGATGTCTAGAAACCAAGGAATAAATTGTCCACCACTCAGCAGTGCATTATTGTAGGTATAGCTATTTATCAGGACAAATTCACTCAGGTCAGGGAGTATCACACTATTTTCTGTTTCCAACCATAGGAGGGGTATCTTTTTCATGTTTAGTGTAGTTGTTTAAAAGCCCTAGGTTTCTGGATTGCTCTCCTCAGAACTGGAGGGCAATAAGAGACCCAGGGCTCATGTGGTCCACGCCTCTGGTTGGAAAATTAATCCAAACATCTCCATCTCACAAACCTACAGCAGCATTTCAGAATCCTCACTGCCGGGAATTTCATTTTCTATTTGGAATTCACGTGCCGCTGACTAACTAGGATATCTTAATTTGTCATTAGTAGACGAGAAAAGGAAAAGCTTGGTGCCCCAAACCTAAGGCAACAATTCTGGTATTTGATTAGCATCATTGACTCTCCTGAAGCCTTTGTCCCACACCAGATTTCTTCCTTGTGTTCAGAGAATCTTTCAGGTGCTCACACCACCCTTGTCTTCTGCCTTGAAACCTATTTCTCTAGCCACTATACCACCCTCCTCAGACCATTTCACCTCCCACATCCCCCACAAATACTTCTTATTTATCTACATGTTCTGAGATGTGTTCTGCATTATGCCAGGCCAGTATAATGAATTTTAAGAGACACAGAGGGCACCAAGGCCACACAAGCTTTCAAAGCTGTGTAGCACATTCCACTTTTCATCTACTTGGAGACTCTCAATTGATGTTAGCATGGCAAAGGCTCCTCAGAGTCTCACAAGAAAGGACTGTGTTACAGCTGTTTCACCTGACTATTCCAATTGTATTTGACCACATATGCTTTGGGGTGATTACGTGGGTACCTCTTAGCACCCACATAATTACTGTTCTGTGAAATAGGCCTTGAGTAGCATTGCTTGCTCTCCTTCTGAGACTGGGTATTTCAGAACGGTATACAAGGTATTCACTGGACCCTGGCTGGTCTCTTGGAGCGCTTTTCCTATGACCCCAGATGTCTAGCTCACTGGCAATCGGGAGTCCCCTCCCCCTACTTGGAGTCACTTCACCTCCATATCTGGTACCAACCCTTCCCCATCTTCCTGATAAGAGGTAACAGATGCTGTGCTTTTCGGAGCATTGCCACACACACCATTGGTGGCTATTACAAGTAACTAAAACTGCATTCTTCCATATGTGGTCTCCAGTTTACATTTTCTGATTCACAAAACAGAAAGACTAAACAGTGGCCTACAACATCCCTTTGGACAAGTGAAGGGAGGTGAGGAAAAGCTACCTCTTGAAAGACCCCTGAGCAAGACCTTCAGTGTTTCCAAGAGAGGCAGAGGGAAGCTGGGTATTTTCATGCTATAATGGGTGGACAGGTATTTAATGTCAGAAGGGAGATCATGACAGCAGCTGGTATTTATCAAGTCATGGCATGATCCAGATGCTGGGCCAGGCTTACTGGGCACCATCCCATTCGTATGAGCCTCCTGACAGCCTCATGAGAGAGCTGCTGTAACTCCCCCATTTTACAGAAACAAACTAAGGTATAGAATGATGAAATGCTTTGCCCAAGGAAGTTGGCAGCACAGGCTGGACTGAAGCCCAGTTGTCAGAGCCTGGATTTTGGACTTTCACCACTAGCCTGCAATTCAATTGCTGCTTAAACAATGGGGACCCAAATGTGACCAATTTTGGAAGAACAGAGCAAAGATTTTCCCCATTAGAATTTTTCTCTGGGGAAACAAGATGATGTCATTTTAAAATACTAATTCCATGCCTAGCCTTTCATGCTAGTATCATTTATTCTGCTTCATACAGTAAACAAAAGTTTTTTTTTTTTAAAAAAGAAGAGTTATCAAGAAAGTTGCTTAAAAATTAAAACAATCACTCTAGAAAAAAGAATTAGCTGTTGATACATTTAGAAAGGAATCAGGGAAAGGAAACCTCATCTGTTCTCTTCCTAAAATCACAATAATTATTTCAGAAATTTTGAGTGCCCCCTTCTCCCATCCCCCCACCGACTTTTCCCCTATTACTTGCTCTGCAAAACTGATAATTTCCAAAGCCAAGATGGGAATGGAAATTAATTTGTCATTTAATTTTTAATAAGTTAAAGACATCTGAGTGACACAACTAATCAGCCTGCACGTACATGCGGGAGGAGTCCTTGAGGAATCCTCAGATGGAAATGAAATACAGCATCCAATGCTGCATCTGCTTGAATGCAAGCATATAAAAGATTGAGCTGTTTAGGATGGGAAAGGGAGAACGTGGGCGTCCCCATGCAACTCAAAATTCAGAGCAAGTCCTTGTCAGCAAGCAGCAGGAGACAGCCAGGCATCCATCCCACCTGGGGTTTCCTGTGTATTAAACAGGGCCTATTGGGTGTGGACCTAGATTTAGGGCCTGGGACCCCGGGAACTACCCAGGCCAATCCCAGTGGGTAGGCTGCGGGTTATGCCTGTGGCTGAATTCCTTGCTATCTGCCTTTGCTGTGCTCCCCTTCCAGCGCTCTTTACTCCCAATAAGCTGCTTTCTTTTCATTGTGGCTAAAATGACTATCCCAGCATGGCTGCTCATCATTGAAATATGTCCATCTCTCAAAGGACTTGGTTACCAAAAAACACTGGAAAGTGTTTTTAGGTCATGATCCTAAAGCTATGCCAAAGGACTGGCCAGCACAGTCTATTGGTCCTCCAGTGGCCTGCCGTGGAGCAAGCCTGCTTGAACTTATTGCTCTCCAGGTCTCAGACACTTAAACAGTGACACAGGAACAGTCCATTGAGTCCCACTGCCCCCCTTACCCAAAGATCCATCTACAGCTTATTCCATGCTTTTGTTTCCTTCTCAATGACTTCAGTATTTCTAAACCAGTAGCCTGGTCTCCCTCTGGCTTCAATGCCTGTGTGTGGTCTTCAGAGCTAATTCTTATTTTATGCTTTTTCTAGTGAACGATACTAATGTTCAGTTTTTGGACCAAGACGATGATGATGACCCTGATACAGAACTGTACCTCACGCAGCCCTTTGCCTGTGGGACAGCATTTGCCGTCAGTGTCCTGGACTCACTCATGAGCGCGGTGAGTTATCCTGTTCCCTCCTCCTCACTCAAGGGTGGAGGATGTGCCAATAGAGCACCTCCAACCTTTGAGGCCCTGGGCTGCACTGGGGCCACAGTGGAGAGCAAGACTCCTAGAAGCTCACACCTTAGAAGGGGAGACCCACATTATAAAACCATCACACAAGTAAATGTTTGATTATAAATTCCTCAAGTGCAAGGAAGGCAAGGCAGGCTAGAAGGAAATATAGGTGAGGGCTTGACCTGGTTTTGGGGATCCCAGAAAAATTCCCCAAGGGAGTTGTACATTTTATGCTAAAATTTGAGCCATAAAGAGGGGAGATCTTGGGGGAAGAGCATTCTCTGAAGAAGAAAGAAAGCAAATGCAAAACCTGGTGTTGGGGGGGACCTGAGGCTCTCAAAGAAGGCAAAGAAACCCTGTGAGGCTGGACCATGGGGAGACAAGGGTGCAGGAGGATGGCCAAGGTTAGACCTGCAGAACCTTGAAACACATTTTCATGGTTTTGGACTTTTTCTTAAGAATAATGAAGAGGCACTGAAGGATTTTAGTTGGAGAGTGACATAATCAGGTTCATGCTTTAAGGGGATTGCCTTGGCTGTTGTAGGGAGGATGATTCAGAGGTACAAGATGGCGGCAGGAGGTCTGAGTAAGAGGCTGTCATGGCTTGGACTAGGATAGAGCTGGTGTTGGGATCGAGGGAGGTGGATGGAGCTCAGTGGTATTGGGCAGTACAATTAATAGGACTTGGGAAAAGATTGAGCATGAGCAGAAGGTGGAGAGGACAGTGGGTCAAAGATGACTGCCAGGCCTGTCACTGAGACTGAAGTCCTTGGGAGAGAACCAGGCATGGAGGCAAGGCCTGGCTGGAAGGAGGGAGGAGTTAGTGGCAGAGAGAGGACAGTGGGCTGGCCCAGGGATCAAACACAGCTTTGGTTTCTTTTATAACTTGATGTGCATCTAGCAATCAGGCATTTGTTTTTTCACTTTTGCAACCGAAAAACAAATAACGATTAAAAAATGGGTCCCAACATTATGGAGCCATCTTTCACTGCAAAAGGCAAAAGTAGGCATTTAGAATGAGTCATAACCTGGGTATTATGAAGTCTTCCCACTGAGCATCTTTATTTATTATGTAGAAAATCTTCTTCATTTTGGAGTTCTCAAATTCTCAATTTGTGAAAATGCAGACATAGGCTGAACAAAAACTTGACCTTTGGAGAATCCATGATAAAGAGCTTTTCTGAACACATTAAAACCATAAACAGAACTCAGAGTTTTTACACACGTATATTTCTTAAAGTGCTGAAAGTTATTCTCCTGAATGTGCTAAACAACTGATATGCTAATTATGTACTGGTCTCATCTATTCATTAAATAATGCTAATCCCAGAAGGACCTCTATTTGAGGAAAGAAAAAACATAAAGCTTTTTAAGACTAATTTGGGTTATTCTGTATGCCTGAACATTGTCCAACTGCAAGCATATCTTATTTAAAAATCAGAATTTTGGATTTAAAAATGACTGTGAAATGACATTCGTCTGAATTAAGGTTAACTGGGCTTCATGCCATGCCATGGCTTTCCAAGCCAACAAGGAGATAAAATGGTCCTTGGAAAAGGGCTCCCTTGGTTTCCTGGGGCTCATGATCTTTCTTATGGCCTGATGATACCAAGGCTAACCTTTCTACCTGCTAGTGATGTTGGGCTCAGTTTGGGCAAACTCCTTGAGCAAGCCAGAAGGAATGATAGAAGCCTCAAGATGTGTTCCTAAGAAGACCATATTCTCAGTCATAGGCCTCATATTCTGCAAATCCAGTTTCAAATGGATTTTGGTAATTCATCTCATTAGAAATTTTTATTTTAGTTCTGATCCTAATTACAGAGATCTCAGAAGACTGTTCTAAGAGCTGGTTAAACTATTTACAGTAGAATTTTTTTTTCAGAACTACAAAATACTCTGATAACATTTTTAAAATTCCAAATTTATAAAATTGTTTATGTTTCTACATATCAGATATTTAGTATGTTTCTAGCAGGACTGGCTACATAATTTGCAAGGTCACTTTTCATGAATTATTAAGAATTTCAAAATGGTGACAGCAGAGTATTAAAACAAAAGAGACTTGGGGCTGGGTGCGGTGGCTACCGCTTGTAACCCAGCACTTTAGAAGGCCGAGGTGGGCAGATCACTTGAGCCCAGGAGTTTGAGACCAGCCTGGGCAACATGGCAAAACCCTGTCTCTACTAAAAATATAAAAAAATTAGCTGGGTGTGGTGGTGTGCACCTGTAATCCCAGCTACTTGGGAGGCTGAGGCCTGAGAATCGCTTGAGCCTGGGAGGTGGAGGTTGCTGTGAGATGATATAGCGCCACTGCACTCCAGCCTGGGTGACAGAATGAGACCCTGTCTCAAAAAATAAAATAAAATAAAATAAAACAACAGAGATGTGTCTGAGTACAGCCCTGTGCAACCACATAGGCTGAACACCCATGAAACCAGCCCTGGTTCCAAGGAATAAAATCGGTTTGAGCACTGGAGAACTTCTTTTCAACACAGCCAAAGGGGCATATGGTAGCCACAGGGTGGAGGTGGGGGCCCATCTGGATTTGAGTTGCACAAGCATCTATATCATCAGTAGGTAGTCAGTTCTTGGAAATTCAAATGAGAATTCAAAGTGAATTGATTTGAAATTTTTAAACAAGCCATCTCTCATCTCCTTTGAAATGCACACAAAAATGTTTGGGATAGTGTGACTAAGGCATGTTTGGATGCAATAGTATGGGAGCAGCATGTCTTCTGCATTCTAGCCTAGGATAAAAGGGTATCAGGAATCTGGTAACTGTCATTGTATTTATCATCAGGAGCATCATTTACTAAGGGCCCAGAACTGTGCGAGGCACTTTAGCTACACTATCGAATCTTTTGGACAATAATGTGAATACTCTTGGTTTAAGTGTTGAAGCAAGACATATTTAAGTAAGTCATTGATGGTAACTTTTCAAATCATTAATCAAAATGCCTATCAAATTATTCCAGGTCTTGTTTTCATTGTCTAGGATGAACAAGCTTCATAATGAGGTCTTGAGTAGGGTCTGAGTCCACAAATCTAGTTGGATCCAGACGTTTTGGTAAAATGTTACCTGTGATTTCTTTGCATTCTACCCCAACCTTAATGTATGAAAAAACAGATTAGTCAAGTGCCAAGGCAGTAACTAGAAGGAACAAAAAGGGCTGTCATGAATATAAATTGAGAAAGTGAGACTCCTCCAAACAGCAGGAGACAGAGGTAAACTTTCATTGCAGGCATTCACTCATAAGCAACATCACAACATCCACACACAAATCTCTTCAGCTGTTGACAGTCTCCTTATTCTAGCGCTCCTCCCCAAATTGTCATTTAATCATGTGTCTAAACATTCTCTGAATATTGTCCTTCATAACCCAACTCCTGCTGCTTACTGCTTCATTTGTTAAAAGAATAATATTTTGATTCATCACAGGCATTCCTGGAACAGATCAGGATGTTACAGACATGGCCCTGTGGCTTTATCTCACAAATCAACAGCAGAAACACAGGATGAGAGGGAATAATTAGGTTTTTGGATATATGTCTCTAAGAAGATCACAACTTAGAAATGTATTTTTCAGAATGATACCATCTTGATGCACACAGTCGCACCAGGTGAAAGGAATCCTCTCTGTTTTTAGGGATGAGACTCACATATGAGTATTCAGATTTCTTTTTCATCCAGCTATCACTTTCTCCCAACCCCAGCCCCAACTTAAGCTCCACTTGGACCCTGAAAAGTGAATACTGGACATGGACTCAAGCGCCAGATGGCTTAGATCTGGATTCCAGAACTGCTGTTTACTGGCTGGGTAACCTTAACCTCCCTGTGCCTCAGTTTTCTCATCTTTAAAATGAAGATAGTAATAGTACCTATGTCACAGGGTTGCAGAGATGAGTAAATGGGTAAAGGTTGTAAAGCGATTAGAGCGGTGCTTAGCACTTGACAAGCTCTGTATGTATTTATTGTTGCTAGTGTTTTTAATCAATACATTTATTGGGCACTTACTGGACACCAGGCATGATTCCCCATGCTGCGGATTCAGTTGTAAAAAAGAAGGATGAAGACCTTGCCTTCATGTTATTTAAACTTTCATTCTAGTGGGTTAAGAGTAAATAGGTAAGTGAATAAATGAATAGTGTCACATAAGGATAATTGATTTGAAGAACATGAAATAGCTTGAATGGGTGTGGAGACCTGTTTTACCCTCAGTGGTCAGAGTAAAATTATCCTAGGAGGTAACATTGAAGCTGACACTGAAAAAAACAGAGGGAGAGAACACTATAAAGGCCAAAGCTGCACAGTGGTGACAAGCTGGGTTTGGTTTGTTGGAGGAAGCAGTTGGAGGCCATTATGGTTGGAATGTGGTAGACAGGAAGGCAATCAAGAAGGCAAGGCCGCTGGCCACACTGAGTATTCCGAGTACAATAGACCACATCTGGCCAAGTTCTAAGTCTGGAATGAGACACTTCAGACTTGGCGAGAGGATCCTCCTTCTTCTGAAAGCCACCAGCTTCCTCCTAATGCCACTGTTTCTGGATACGCTGGCTAGGACAGTGAGCTCATCACTGAGTTGATTCCTGAAGCGCAACCCTTGATTATTTTTTTGTCCAACACCCCATCCTCATGCACTCATTTTAGAAGAAGAAATAGCACAATATATTGGCATAGTACTTGGCTTGATATCTTGTTTCTAATAAAAGATCTGTAATAGAAGTCTCGAAATGTCACATTGCAGTCTACATCTACCCCACAGACAACTTCTGCATTTATCAAGTTTTTATTTTTAAATTGAATTTGTTGCCAATATTTTAAAATAAGATTTTATATAAAATCGGGGTTCCTGCCTTCTTTAAATTAGAGTCAGAAGGCAGAGTCCCAGATTCCCGTAAAGCAGCTATTGGCTTGAGCTGAGCAGCTGCTCCCTTTAGCCACAGTCCACACTACTCTCTATTGTATCCCACCAGGCCTGCTTCATTCATGTCCCTTCCCTGCTTGGTTCATCCCACTGTCCTGGCCTTACCAGCCTCCTGCGTTTTGCTTCTAATCTTATGTGTCTGCATTGCAATGTCTGTGGTCAGACAGCATCCTTGGCCTTCCGGTCACTTGCTTGTCCTCTGAGTTAGGAGGTTGTGCACATGATGTCCATTTTCCTTGAGCCTTGGACCTTTCCTAAACAGATACCAATCACACTGAACCATCGTTATTGAAGGAGCAGTGAGGAGCCACCTCCTTCTGAGGAGAAAAAGGGGAACCCTACTACAAGAGCTAATGAGTTCCAATGCACACAAGTTGGGAGTGTTGTCGTTTTTTTTTTAGAAAACAAGATTTAATGAAGCTTTAGGTTTGCAGGGCCTACCTAATCTGGAAAAATAAAGAAAAAGCATATTATAACAGTGTTAAGAGAAAGAGCAGAGAAAAGCAGAGGCCCCTTTTGCTAGTGTACGATACATCTGAGAAGCGTGAATGCCAGCCTATGGAGAGACCCATGCGCAGGATCCCCCAGGAGCTAGAGAGAAATTTCAATGTGAGCCAGTTAAGGCAGGTGTGTCTTTGCTCTGCCCACTGCACCACAATGCCCAGGGCAGGAGTTTGCATGTCCAGTGCATTCATATTTTCAGAACAAAGGCAGTGACTTGGAGGAGGGAAACTGGGCCATGAATTAGGACTTGTAGCTTCTGGTCCTGGCTCACCGGCAGCCCTTGCACATTTTTTCTACTGTTAAATGGGAATGATGTTACTCCTTATGACTTTCTGCTAATTGGAGAATGGCAAAGGCATATAAAAATCTTTCACAGAGCAGATACGTATTTCTTAAGATCACATGTAATTACAAAGAAGCAGATTTTTTTGGTATATATGCATGTACATATATGTATATATATTTATGTGTTTGTGTGCACTTATCCTCTCTCTTTCTCTCTTTCATGAACACACATCTTAGATAATATTTGGGAGCTTAGTGGGTAGATGAGTTGGGGTACCCAGAAGATATGATTCCATGTTCTCATCTTTAATATCAGAGAGCTGGCCTGTTTGCCAGAAACGAAGTTATATCAGTAAGACTGGAGGGTGTGACCGTCTGGAATGTGGGTTCACATGATTTACTGTCTTTCCTGTACTTTCATTAAGGGCCAAACCCTTGAACCTGGTGTTATGGAGAGGCCTGAGTTCTCTATCAGTCCAAGCTAACCTAATGCCATGTGATTTTAGTTACATAAACAATTTATTGCTCCATAACCCTATTTCTTACACTCCACTCAAGAGCCTCCATTTCAACTGCTCACACGGAGACAGAGGGCACATGGCCGTCCCGAGGCAGAGGAGCTAGCAGTGGTGTCAGTCGGGTACATGGAGGTATGTCCTGCTAGACTCAGGACAGACCACTGCTGTCACATCAGGCCAGGCAGGCCTGGGGTAGGGAAAAAAAAATCCAATCATTTTCATCCCTCACGAAAGAAAAATACTAAAAATAAAAATCTACACCATGAAAACTAGCAAATATAAAAAATGGCAGCTATGACATGGAAAATGACAATTTTAGAGCAATTATAAACGAAAGGCAGAGAGCCATTAAAGTTAAGGCAATGTTATTAAAAGATGTGTTAATTTTCAGTTAAATTTTCTATAAAAGACCAATTAGTTTAAAAGGCTTGACAGCATTAACTGTGAAACATAAGCTCCGGTAATTATACTTTAAAAAAATAAAAAGAGGAGGATGCTTGGGCGGGTTACACTTGCAGGCACAGCGGGGCGTGGGCCAAGCGGGCTAGATGGCGCTGTGGGCTCAGGTTTCCCTGTTACAGTGCCTTGGTCCCTCCCCTGGCATTTCATGGTTTCCTCAGTGTCCTTTTACAGGACCTGAGAATCATCAAACTTTAGAGGCCAAGCGGGCCACCCTTGTGTTCTGAGCCAGCTCTCAGAGATTAGAATCAGAACGCCGAGACACCCGGAGAGGGAATTGTCTAAATTGGTTGCATTGCTAGTTGATGGTTCTTTTTATAAACTCCCATTTTTTGAGTATGCTTTGTCTATCAGAAGTTTCACAAATCCTCTCATTTAACTCTAATCTATAAATTTTTGTTTTGTTTTGTTTTTTCATCTCTGTTATATGGATGAGGAATTCAAGGCAGAGAAAAGTTAGGCAACTTTTTCATTGTTGTGCCTATTGGATAGCAAAGCAGGTATTAAAAGCCACACTAATTGGATTTGGAAATCTGTACTCATAACCAGGGGGCCACGTTGCCTTAATCAGAAGAAGGGCTTCGCTAGTCAGGTTTGCAAACTTGTCCTTGGCAGTGGGAAGAGGGACTCCTGTATTCCTTAGACTATGCGGGTTCCCTGATCCCAGGCTCTGAACAGGACCCTAACTCAGCTGTCTTATACTCAATGCCCATGTGACGCAAGGATAGATATTGAGAAGGTCTCTGCCTGAAGCATCCCTGAAGACTAACCCTGCCAGAGTTGGAGGTTCTATACAAGAGCTTCCCAGAAGACTTCTAGCACAGGTATCATGGTAAGGCACAGAAAAGACTGGCAGGACAAAAGCTTAGGAGGCAAAGGATCTCACCTACATGATCCTGCCTTTAGAATGTTTCATTTCTTCAATTTTAGCATTTATGTTAACCCAGAAAAAAATGTGTGCCTTCTGGGTCAGGTGAGTTGTAGAGAGGTTTCCTCCGCAGGAAGCGCCTTTGGTAATTGGCATTTGAAGTTCTAGCACCTGGTTTGCCCCATGATGCAGAAACAGCCATCACCTATGCAGAAAGCCTTGGAGTGATGCTTAATTGCAGACTGCTGAATGCTCCGTGAAGTGCCCTACCCCAACCCTCACTCCCATCACATAAGGAAATTTGCATCCTCCAATATGACTGACCTGACACCCTTTTCCAGAAAAGGCATTGTCTTTCCACCAAATTATTCAGATCCTGAAGAGATAGGTGTGCAGAGCACACCCGTCAGCAATGCTCAGAGTCCTTTTCTGCATCCGAATATTGGGGTATCAAAACAGGAGCAAAAGCATCTGCTGGCAAAAATACATCATCATTCTCTGTCATCACAGATTCTGCTGCCCCACAGCTCTGCTCCTGGATGCCTGCATGGAAAAATCAAGGAGAGCCATCATCTGGGATGCAGTGCCAGCTCAGAGAGCAGACAATTATGCTCAGAGATATGAGTGGTCCCAGAGTTGTTCAGACACCTGTGAAACCCTGGGACTGACTATGAAATTGTACCTGTTGATGAGCAATTCTAAAAGTCATGCACTCTTTGACTTTCACACAATTTCAGGCTAAACCAAGGCCCAACGATTAGTAGGTGCTCAATAAATGTCAGTGACTGATCAAAAAGATTTGGGTATAACTGATTTCAACACAGAAGTGGGAACATGTTAGGGTCAAATCCCAAAGATTTGACAAAACAATAACCTCCCAGCCTGACCTTCTAGATTTATCATTGCAATGGATAACCTATAGTGCCCTTTGTTTAAAAAAAATTGACTGTGTTTTTATTAGAACAGTTATTCATACTTCTTGATGAAAATTTGGAAAGCACAGAAACATATAAAAGAAGACATATAAAGAAGAAACATATAAAAATAAAAAGAAAACATATAAAGAAGAAAATATAAATGGCCTATGTTTCCAACACCAAGGATAAGCATGGTTAATATTTTGGTGTCTTTCCTTCTAAATGGATGGATAAATACAGAATTATCTCATTTTATAGGTTGGTTATTTTTTCCCTTTTCAGTTAATATTTTATCCAGAGTATTTTATTATTTCCTTAGGTGTCATGATTTGCAGAGCCTCCATAGGACTTTATGAGACTCCAGTCTGTGGATGTTCCAGAATCGATTTATCACTAAATTTTTGGCTATTTAGCTTTAAAAAATTTTTGTTATAGCAATGATTAATCCTGTAATAAAAATTATTGTACATAAATCTTTGAACAAGTAGCAACTTATTATATTGAGGCAAATGTACTGGGTTTTTTTTTTTTTTAACAAATAGGGACATTTTAAAATTTCTTGATACATATTGTCATGATATCTCCAAGAAACAATTTTACCAATCCACACTCTCGTCATACTGAGCCATCTCATACATTATGGCAAATGCCGATTGTCATTTTTCCTAGGAGGCCCTTTAATTGTGTTTATGATAGTTTTGAAGCATATCAGTTTTTAATCTGTATATAATGATGTAAATACATATTTTATATAGTGAATTCAGTTTTTATGCATAAAAAGTGCATGCTGAACATGAGAACTATCAAGCATCTTGAGATTAAACAGTTTGCTATATTTTTGTGAAGTTGTTTGTGGCTACATTTTTTGCCTTTAACTATTTAGTAACATTTACTTTCTTTTTTACAGAAATTTAAAATAAATGTATTTTCACAGCAGAAAATATATAAAATAAAATTATAGGAAAAAAACCCCAAATTCTAAAACCAAGAATTAACTACTAAGTAGAAATTTTGTGTACTACTTACAGTTACTTTCACATAAATACGTCTATCAGTTCAGGTATGCATTATTTTTCCCTCTGGAAGTCCCCAAATCAGAGCATTATGTACTTTTTGTAATACTTTATGGTAGAAATAAATGAGTGACCATAATAATAAACAGGATATCATTTTCTGATAACTTTCCATTAAACATTGAAGATTTATATTTAAAAAATAATTCAAAAAGTAATAAGTGCATGATTTGTTATATTATGAAACAGTGTACATTATAAAGTTTAATAATAAAAATGATCTCTACATTTTATAAACATATGATAATTGAAAACATTAAAAGGAATCATTAGTATGAAAAAGCCAATTAAAAGTAATATTAAAACTTAAAACCCAGTACCATAAAGATTCAATATTTAAAAGTGGGTACTCTTAAAATTAAATTTTAAATACAGAAAAAGTTAATTTCCCTAGCCAATAGTTTTGCAGGTATGCATTTTTAACATGAATTGTGATTCATGGTGTTTTGGGGATCCTACTTTTAAAAAACATTTTAGTATTATATAATTATTACCATGCCATTAAATATTATCTGAAAGCACAATATTCATGTCTGTACAATATGAGTCATGTCAAAGAACCATTGTTTAATCATTACCATATTGTTGAAAAATTTTTATCAGAGAGCCAGTTTCCCCCAAATCATTCATTGAGTAAAATCCCTTCCCTGTGGTATGCAATGCTTTCCTTGTTATACTAAGGAATGGATCAGCAAACTGTCTTGTAAAGAGCCAGATGGTAAATATTTTCAGCCTTTGAGGGCCACATAGTCTCTGTCACAACTACTTAACTCTGAGTTTGTTAGCACCAAAGCAGCCCCAGACAATACATAAACAAATGGACATGGCTGGGTCCCAACAAAACCTTATTTTAAAAAAGTAATGGATGGCAGAGCAAGATTTGGCCCAAGAGCCAGATTTGCCAACTTTTGTATTAAGGTCTTATAACTACTAAGCTATGGTTCTCATAAATCCATTCTGGTTGATCTTCTAATTTTTCACATTGTCTACAATATTTGGTTAGGAAACCTTTAAAATTTACTATACTACATGAGAGGACAATTTTGTACAACTCTTTCCAGGGGAAATTTAGCATAATTTTATCAAGTTTTAAAAAGTCCAATTCAAATCTGCAATTACACATATGTCAAACAACAATTTTACTGGAAAAAATGACATTAAATGGCCTATTTACATGTTAAGGAACATGGAATTTTCCTTTTTTCCTAATACTCTCCTCTGTCTCTTCATAGATGATTACTACTTTGCTTTTTGCCTAAAAACAGTAGCGATTCTTATTCACGTCCAGTGATTGGTATTAAAGAGAGTATCTGGAATAATACTGTTAATTCTCCTATGTATCTGACATTTTATTCTCCTTATTTCTAATTTTATTTGTGTTTTTTCAGTTATATTGTCATAAGTTTATTTTTTCAAGGAATTATTTCTTGAATTTAACAATTCACTAAATATCCTCTTGCTAATTCATTAACTGACACTTTTCATCCTGCTTTTTTTTAAAAAAAGAATTCTTTTAATACTTAATTTTACTTATTATAATTCTGTTGTATTTAATAATAGCATTAAAGGCTCTGAATTTGTCTCTATAGCATTGGCCTCAAGACATGATATTTTTATATGTCATTCTCAAATATTCTTTAATTTTAAAATATTTCATATTCTAAGTTTGATTTCCATCTTGACCTAGTAGTTATAGGATACTTAACAAAATTTTTTTGATGTTCTGGAATATTTACTTTTGCCTCTATTACATTGTATTTAATTTTTAAAATGTAGGTTATACAGCTTATACTTTGTTATATGTATTGAGATTTGATGGTTTTGGCCATTGATTTTTTTTTTTGTAATCGTTGTTACAAAGTTTAGTAAAAATACACTAAATCAACCTGATTATATCCTCAATTTTCTTATCTTTTGATCTATTTGGCCTGTAAAAGCTAAAAACAGTGATAGTGGGAATATTTCACGTATTACCCTTAGTCCAGATTTATTCTAGTGTAATTCTAATTAGTTTTGCTTTCTATATTTCAGTTATAATATTTGTCCATAAAAAATTATAGCTTTATTGTGTCAACTATGAATATAAAATTAACTTATCTAACATAATAGTTTAAAATTTTTCTTTGAAGCTATACTTTTTTTCTTCCCTTTTTCTCTTTTAAAGATATCAGAGTTTGATTTTGGCATTTGAACAAGTCTGAAAATCTTTGCCATTTTATAGGATCATTTAGCTCATTTATGTTTAGTTATATAACATAAGATGCTATAGTCTTGCATTATGTTTTTTACATGCTTCTATCATAATTATATGTTTTATGATCCATCTTTTGGTATGTGGACTATATTTTGTATGCTTATTTTCTGTAGTGTAAACTTTCCATTCTATTTTTAACTCTAGTTAGTTGTTACCAGCCATTCTATAGATGTATTTTCTAAGTATTATTGTCTAGAAAAATTTAGTAGTTCTTGATTCCTCCTTGTATAAGATCAGGCAATTTTCATGCCTTTATTTCCATCATCATCTCTATCTCATCTCATTTTTCTAACTTTAAAACATAATTTTAGCAATACTATATTAATAGCTAGTTTTGTCATTTTTTTAATAATTAGTTTTGACATTTGCATTCCATTTTGTAATAATATATACAATAATCTTTTACAATTCTGTTTTAAATATATTTTAACAGTAAACCAAATTTGCTCATATTTTAGTTACTAAGGGTTTAAAATTATCTTTAAAGAAGCTAATTTTTGTTTCTAAGTATTTAAAAAAATTAAATCAATAAATGCTTATGTACGCAAAGAGTCAAAAAATATTTCAGTTGCCTTCACAAATTATTGGCAATTTAACTATATGTAGAATTTTTGGAACAAATGTGTCCTGTCAAAATTCCTTTGACATTCCTCTTACATTTTCTAGAGAAGCTTCAGCCTAGCCTTATTTTATACTTGTATTTCTTACAGCATTGTTTTAGGTCATTTTTATTCTCCATTTAATATTTTGAATTCAAATATTCACCGAGTACAGGTCTAGGAGTTGGCCACATTAACTTGCTGAATGCTTTTGATCTGCATCCTAGATTCATTTCCCAGCTCAGGACAGGTTATTTTTATTTGTTTGTTTGCTTGTTTTACACGCTTGCATTTTGTTTACAACTTTGATTTGTAAATACTTACTGTTTATCACTTGACCTTTGTTGTCTTTTTCTCAATATCAACCAGCACTCTTATTAAACAAACAAACAAAAATCCCTATATCTTTCTCTATTTAGCTTAGAACTTCCTGGTTTTACTTCCGTATCACTAATTGTGTGTGTGTGTGTGTGTGTGTGTGTGTGTGTGTGTAATTTTCACCTCTAATACTCATGGCTCCTTAGATTAAAAAGTTGGCCAGTGCAAATTTAGTTGTCTTTTAACTATTTATTTTAAAAAAATGAGACACAACATACTATACAACTCATCCATTTAAAGTGTACGATTCAGTGGTTTTTTTTTTAGCATATTCACAGACATGTACAGCCATCACTACAGTCAATTTTAGAACATGTTCATGGCATCAAAAAGAAACTTTGTATTTTAGTTATCCTACCCTCCCCTACAACTCCACCCATCAACCCACCAACCCTAAGCCACCACTGATCTACTCATTATTTCTGTAGACATGCCTTTTCTGGATATTTTATATAAATAGACTCTTGTTGCAGGAAGTCAGAGACCCCAAACGGAGGGACTGGCTGAAGCCTTGGCAGAAGAACATAAATTATGAAGATTTCATGGACATTTATCACTTCCCCAATCAGTACTCTTAATAATTTCCTATGTCTGTCTTTAATCTCTTAATCCCATCATCTTTGTAAGCTGAGGATGTATGTCGCCTCAGGACCCTGTGATGATTCCGTTAACTGCACAAATTTTTTCTAAAGCATGTGTGTTTGAACAATATGAAATCTGGGCACCTTAAGAACAGGATAACAGCAATTTTCAGGGAACAAGGGAGATAACCTTAAAGTCTGGCTGCCTGTGGGCTGGGTGGAACAGAGCCATGTTTCTCTTATTACTGAAAACAGGTAAGAGAAATATTGCTGAATTCTTTCCCCAGTAAGGAATATTAATAATTAACAACCCTGGGAAAAGAATGCATTCCCAGGAGGAGCCTCTAAAATGGCTGCTCTGGGGGTGTCTGCCTTATGGAGTTGCAGATAAGGGATGAAACACTCCCTGGCCTCCTGCAGCGCCCCCAGGCTTGCTAGGATTAGGAAATTCCAGCCCGGCAAATTCTAGTCAGACCGGTTCTCTGCTCTTGAACCCTGTTAAGATGATTATCAATGACAACGCCTGCACAGCAGGACATGGAAGTTCCTTAATAATTCTAGTTTTGCCCTGACCTTGTGATCTCGCCCTGACCTTTTGCCTTGTGACCTTTTGTTGCCCTTGAAGCATGTGATCTCTGTGACCCACACCCTATTCATACACTCCCTCCCCTTTGAAAATTGCTAATAAAAACTTGCTGGTTTTGCGGCTCAGGGGGCATCATGGAACCCGCCGACATGTGATGTCTCCCCCAGACACCCAGCTTTAAAATTTCTCCCTTTTGTACTCTTTCCCTTTATTTCTCAGACTGGCCGACACTTAAGGAAATAGAAACGAATGTACATTGAATTATCAGAGGTGGTTTGTCTGATAGACTCTCAGTACAATGTGTTCAAGGTTCATCCATGTTGTAGCATGTATCATTGCATCACTCTTTTTTACGGCCAAATAATACTCATTGCACGGATATAATACATTTTGTGCATGCATTCATTAGCTAATGGAAATTTGGGTTATTTTCACCTTTTGGGTATTACCAATAATGCTGCTATAAACATCTGTGTACACGTTTTCATATGGACATATATTTTTATTTATCTTGGGTATATACTGTAAGAGTGGAATTTCTGGGTCATATAGCAACACAATGTTCAAACATATGAGGAACTGCCTAGCTGTTTTCCAAAGTGACTGTGTAGCAGGACGAGCTGCAGACAAAACTCCTCAGACACCGAGTTAAAGAAGGAAGAGGTTTATTCGGCCAGCGGCATTGGCAAGACTCCTGTCTCAAGAGCCGAGTATCCCAAGTGAGCAATTCCTGTCCCTTTTAAGGGCTCACAACTCTAAGGGGGTGCGTGTGAGAGGGTTGTGATCGATTGAGCAAGCAGGGGGTACGTGACTAGGGGCGGCATGCACCGGTAATTAGATTGGAACAAAAAAGGATAGGGATTTTCACAGTGCTTTTCTATACAATGTCTGTAATCTATAGATAACATAACCGATTAAGTGCGGGTCAGTCTTTAACTACCAGGCCCAGGGTGTGGCACCGGGCTATCTGCTTGTGGGTTTCATTTCTGCCTTTTAATGTTTACTTTTTCTTTCTTTGGAGGCAGAAATTGGGCATAACACAATGTGAGGGGTGGTCTCCTCCCTTAACTGCACCACTTTACATTCCCACCAGCAGTGTGTGAGAGTTCCAGTTTCTCCTTATTCTTACCAATTCTTGTTATTATCATCAGTCTTTTTTATTACAGCTATTCTAGTAGGTGTAAAATATCTCATTGTGGTTTTGATTTGCATTTCTCTGATGACTAGAGCTGTTGAGCCTCTTTGCATAAGTTTATTAACCACTTTTATATCTTTTTGGAGAAATGTTTAAGTCTTCTGCCCGTTTAAAAAATTGGGTTGTCTTTTTTGGTTGAGTTATAAAAGGCTTTTTAATACTGAATATTAGACCCTTATCAGACATATGATTTGCAAACATGCTCTCTCATTTTGTAGGTTGTTTTTTTCACTTTTTGGATAGTGTCCTTCAAAGAACAAATATTTTTTAAATTTTTATGAAGTCCAATTTAATCTGTTCTTCTTGTAGTTTATGCTTTTTGTGTCATGTCCAAGAAACTATTGCCAAATCAAAGGTCATAAAGACTTACTCCTATATTTTCTTCTAAGCATTTTGCAGTTTTAGCTTTTACATTTAGATCTTTGACCCCTTTTGTGTTAATTTTTGCATATAGTGTGAGGTATAGGTCCCACTTTATTCTTCTGCCTGTGGATACCCAGTTGTTGCTATGCCATTTGTTTAAAAGACTATATTAACTTCTCCATTGAATGGTCTTGGCACACTCACTGAAAATTAATAGATCATAACTGAATGAGTTTATTTCTGGATTTTCAATTATTTTCCATTGGTCTATAGGTCTATCCTATGCCATTACTATCTTGATTACTATAGTCTTGTAGTATGTTTTGAAACTGGGAAGTATGAAACTTCCAACTTCGTCTTTCTTTTATAAGGCTATAAGATTGCTTTGGCTATTTTGGGTCTGTTGCAGTTTTAGAGTCAATTTTTCCATTTTTACAAAAAAATGGACTTTGTGATTTTGATAGGTATTACATAAAATCTGGAAATTAAGGTAGTATTCCATCTTAATAAATCAAGTCTTCTAATCCAGGAACATGGGATGTCTGTCCATTTATTTAGGTCTTCTTTAATTTCTTTCAGTAATATTTTGTAGTTTGCAGTATACCAGTCTTGTTCCTCCTTCAATATATTTATTTCTAAGTATTTTATTCATTATTTTTCTGAGACAGAATCTCACTCTGTCACCCAGGCTGGGGTGCAGTGGCATGATCTCAGATTACTGCAACATCTGCCGCCCGGGTTCAAGTAATTCTCTGGCCTCAGCCTCCCGAGGATCTGGGATTACAGGTGCCCGCCACCATGCCTAGCTAATTTTTTTATTTTTAGTAGAGACTAGGATTCACCACGTTGGCCAGCCTGGTCCCAACTCCTGACCTCACTCCTGACCTCAAATGATCCTCCCACCTTGGCCTACCAAAGTTCTGGGATTACAGGTGTGCACCATGCTTGGCTGACCTCCCATTTTCTACCACATCGAGTTTAAAATCCCTTGCTTGGTTTTTAAAGCCCTGAGTTCCCCACGCCTCCAAGAAAACAAAGAAGATTAAAAATTCAAAGGAAAGTTGAGAATGGAGCTGACTGTTCCTCTACTTGGCAAAGGCCTCATGTCTCTGATATGAGGCCAAAATGTTTATCAGTGCTTCCTGTGCACCAAGCATGTTTCTAAGTGCTTCATGGGTAGGTCATAGAGCCCCACAGCCTTCTATTATTACATTTTACAGATCATGAAACGGAGGCACAAAAATGTTAAATAACTTTCCAAGGTCACACAGCTTCTGAGAGGTGAAGTCAGCATTAAACCCCTCAGCCCAGCTCTGGATCCCTGGATCCCATAACCTCTCCAGAAACATATCCTACTTTAAGTATCCTTTTTCTGCTTCTGTGCCTAAGGGCATATCTTAACTCTGAGCATAAATTTCCTTTAGGGTCTGGCAGGCTATGGATAACATTCCTAAATTCTTTTGCAGTTGGAATTTTGTATCACAATGGGTGTTTTTGTAAGTATTTCAATGAGGATTGTGAATCCAGCCCCGCTAGTAACTATCATCTTAATTCAGAAGTCCTCATGGAATTATGTGAATATAAATTTGGTTTTAATGACCACTGTTATTTTACAGACGAGAAAAATCAAAGTCCAGAATGACTAGGCAACCTCCAAGACATAGAACTAGTTAGCAAACCTGGGATGGGAACTTGAGCTCACCCTTACTTGGTTTGTTCCCTACTATGCCTTGCCAGCTAAACTCTCTAAGAAGCTGCTGAGGTGCAATTGCATCTTTCCTTACCTCTTTCCAAAGTGCATCCTCAAAAGCCACAGGCAAACTTTGATTTGAGTTTTTTAGCCTGCTTGATTTCTACTTACATAGGAAAATGGAATGCACACCCTTACCTGAGAATTTCTCAAATTAGGCTGGTGACAAATACCTTTTAAAGCTCCTTTATTTGACATCCTATTAATTTTTTTTAAACTCCCATTCTTTTGTTCCTGACAGATCTGTTATGTTTCAGATGTGACACAAATGTACACTTAGAGGGAAACTTCTTTAATAAGTGATATTTGCCTCAGACTACTGAGGTTATTTTAGAAAACAAAAGCCAAAGTACACTTACCAGGACATTCACCTTTTCATAAATTTATCCGGCATATTTAATTGATCGAGATTTCTGAGTTAGACAGTTATCAACGCATGTGGTAAATCGTTAAGCGTGTGGCATTAATGAAAGGTTTTGCCGTTGTCGTGGGGAGGAAGCTTCCTGGCACATGGATGACAGGGCCTCAGAGACAATGCTGCTTGGGTTAGTAGCTGGGGCAGGCTGCATTTTATTACACGTGTCCAGAATCTCATAGTAGTCACGTAGACTTTAGGAGGGGGAGGCAATATTTGTATCCCTACTAAAACCAATTATGGCAAACACTAATTATTCAGATTTGAGCCCTTTACTAAAAAATCCCCTGAACTGGGTTTTTTAAGTCAGGCTGTCGTAGCAGAGCCAAGCAAGAGAGAAAATAACGGAATAATTGGAGGCTGCTGTCTTTTCACTCCCCACATGAAATTATTTGAAGAGACAGGCCAGAACTTTAAACAGGAGATACCAAGAAAAGTTGTAATTTGGATGTCGGCTGTCATGACTTTAGGGTGTTTGCTTAAAGGACTTTTCCCTCACTTTCTCTCCTTCCCCAGACGTACTTCAATGACAATATCCTCACCCTGATACGGACCCTGGTGACCGGAGGAGCCACGCCGGAGCTGGAGGCTCTGATTGCTGAGGAAAACGCCCTTAGAGGTGGCTACAGCACCCCGCAGACACTGGCCAATAGGGACCGCTGCCGCGTGGCCCAGTTAGCTCTGCTCGATGGGCCATTTGCGGACTTAGGGGTGAGTCCACAGCACCGAGGTCACCTGAGCTTGCTGTTTGGGAAAAGCTTGATCCTGAAGAACGTGGTATCAGATGTGACAAGCTAGGCATCTGGCTTTTCTCCTTCCTATTGTAGATAACTGTAAGAGGTGATATTTATTTATAGTTTACTCTGGATCAGACACTTTGCTCTATGCATAGTCATTCATTTTAATCTTCATAGCAACCCTTTGATATAAGTTCTAGTATCACACCTTCTAAGTCAACTGAGGCCCAGAGAGAATGAGCACTAGACCTATTGGGAATTTGCACCAAGGCATCCTGGCTTCAGAGCCAGTGGGCTTTCTCCCTCCTTGGTGTTCTCTTCACGTATCCTCTGCACAAGGTGAGAAGCAGCAGGTGATGCCAGCATGCAGCCAAGGTTGGGAAATATTTCCACAGGCTCTTAGCGTAGCTTAGGGATACTCAACCCAACTATACATTAATAGCACATGGAGGTGGCCAGCCTCAGCCTGCAGGTTTCTTAGTTTTTATATGTGAATAGGACCCAGGCACTGGTGGTTTTCAAAGCACCAGGGTAGTCAGTAGTCAGATGTATCCAGAACCACCGGCCAAACAAACCGAATCTTATGTGGATCCTTTAATGCCTGTAAATCAAAACCTAGACCTTGTAATTTCTGAGAGTGGACCCAGTCACGTTCCCTCATGTCCTCCCTGTGACGGAAGTGGCCAGCGTCTCCCTTCTGATTCCATGTATCTGCCTAGTGTAGGCACTGTGACAGAAGTGTGCTGTCTTTGCCCTTATTCCCAGCCCAACCCCACAGATGCATTTAAGAGATGCAGCCATAAGTCACAGAAACTGATAAACCTGTTACACAAACAATGGTGTCGCCCAGAAAGACTAAATAGTGGAAAAGGAGCCAAGGAAAGGGTCTGTCTCTGTTTTTTCTGAAACAGTGCTGCATACTTTCCCCATATTTTAGTTTGATCATGGACTGGGACCTATGTTAGACTAGGCTTTTTTTGAAAGGGAATTTTCATAGCTAGTGGCTCTTTATACCTATCATTTACTTATTGATGCACTTGATTAGGATAAAGACTTTAGATAATGGTAAGATTTGGTCCCATCAGTGTTCTTTGGTATGAGACCAATATGAGAATTCCAATGATTGGAAGGACAAAGACAGTCATTTTATACCCAGTGAAGCCATCCCGCAGTGCCCAGTGCCCTTCATATAATACAGGTAACATCTACCTGAAGCCACCTGGCCGCTGAAGCCAGCATTTCCAAGTGGATGCATTTGCTTTCACTTTCTGCATCAGGCCCCAGACCCCGGGAAGGTGGCTGTGAACTGATCAGAACTGCGAATCCTAGTTATTCAGCCTGCAGACCCCTGGCTCCTAGGGAAACACATTCTCTTGCACCCTTGCCATCTCTGAGGTCTGTAAATTGTGCTTTTCACAGGGTCCTTACCTCCTGAAAGAGTCTGTCACCATAGGACCTGGTGGGGTCCTCCTCCTTGCGGTGGTTTTCATTATCACTCAGACAGTTTTGACAACACGAGCCTATCACAGCGGTTACAGCTGAGCTGGGACTGAACATAATCACCATTTTGCAGAGAAGGGTTCATCTCCTCAGCTGAGCATACATCTGAGACCATCAAGCTTTACACTTTGACTTAAAGTGAGGGAGAAGCATAATCTCCTTAGAGCTTTCAAACCCCACTGCGACAGGTGGAAAACTGGAGAGACACCAGAGGAAAACCCCATTGTTACCTGATCCCTAAAAATCACACATATTGGGTGTAGTCTGTTAAACATGTTGACTTCTTCCACTGCCGTCCCTTGGCACATGGACCCTCCAACTTGGGAGACACCAAAACAAGCTTTGATGAAAAGACCCGTTTCCCTGCTGTCCCTTGATTTTCAGGCAAATAAAAAGGATGTTTCTCTCTGTTCTTTTGCTGTCTCCCAGGATGGTGGTTGTTATGGTGATCTGTTCTGCAAAGCTCTGAAAACATATAATATGCTTTGTTTTGGAATTTACCGGCTGAGAGATGCTCACCTCAGCACCCCCAGTCAGTGCACAAAGAGGTGAGTATTGGTTTCAACTCTGCCCTCCCACCTAATCACAGAAATATTAATATCCTTTCCTGTCCCCTACTGTAAAGGCAAAGGTCTGTATACATCTCCTCAACATGCAAATTACTCTGCCCATATTAAATCCAACACTGAGTTTGGAGGTGATGGGAAGCATTTTTCTATAATTACTAATAGTAGATGTAAAGACATTTTGGTAAGAATTCAAGTTTTGTATTAATAGAATAATTCCATCACCTAATTACAAAAGTCTGAATACACAAACATCTCTCCCAAACTCTAGCTACTAGGATAACATCTGTTGGTACCTAATATAGAGATATTTTACATTGCTAGTGTTTAAGATAAGTTTTTTTGTTTTTTTGTTTTTTGTTTGTTTGTTTTTTGAGATGGAGTGTTGCTCTGTTGCCCAGGCTGGAGTGCAGTGGCACAATCTTGGCTCACTGCAACCTCTGCCTCCTGGGTTCCAGTGATTCTCTTGCCTTAGCCTCCTGAGTAGCTGGGATTATAGGCACACACCACCACACCCAGCCAATTTTTGTGTTTTTAGTAGAGAGAAGGCTTGTTGGCCAGGCTGGTCTCGAACTCCTGACCTCAAGTGATCCACCCACCTCGGCCTCCCAAAGTGCTGGGCTTACAGGTGTGAGCCACCACACCCCGCCCTAAGATAAGTGGTTCTTCTGCCATATCTCAGAATCCCATATTTTTACTTCACATATTTTAAATTGACTCGCTTTTTAACTTTTATATATTTATTTTTGAGACAATTATATATTATCACCTTAAGCAGAGAAATAACAGTTTAGATGTGCCAATTATATTTTTCTCATATGCATTAAAATAAATTCATAGCAGGCAAAAATTAAAAGTACATCCTAGAATTACCAAGATCAGTGAGTTTGCATAATATACCCTAGGCAACAGTGCTGCAGAGACAAGCGTTTCTCATCCCTGCTTGCATAGTAGAATCACCTGGGGAGCTTTTAAAAAATATTCTGATTACTCTAACTTAACTGGTCTGGAAGGAAGAAAACATCATATATATATTTTAAATTATGTAAACATTTTATATATAATAACCAGGGATTATAGTGTATAGCCAGAATTGAGAACAATTGCTATAGACCAGTGGGTTCTCAAAATTTAGCCATCATGAGACTCACCTGCAGAGCTTGTTCAACCACAGATTGCTGGACCCCATCCTCAGCACTTCCAATTCAGTAGGTCTGGGTGGGATTGCTTAAGAACTTGCATTTCCTAGTTCCTAGGTGATGCTGACCTGTGTGGCCTAAGGACCACACTTGGTGACCACTGCTCTAAGTGAAACAGCGTGATTTTCTTAGTCACATCTGCTGTTGACCAAAGAAAGCTCCAACTAATTGTGAAGAACAACAAAGTAGTGCTGATAAGTAGGCAGGTTTCTTAGATTCTTCCATGTGGTGAATTCCAAATTCCAAATTCTCTCACCAAAGTAGATTTTAAAAGGTAAAGAGCGAGAATAGTCTAAGGAGACACTCTGTCATGGTAAACAAAGATCTTGTGATGTATATCTGGGATTGTCCGAAAATTATGAAATGAAAGTTGCATCACACTTCATGAAACCTCTTGCGGTTGGGCTACTTGAAAGTGACTTTGACCTTGTATAGAAAGGTACATGTAGACCACGAGAAGCGAAGTTTGGTTCTTCCATTACTGGCTCTAATTCCACATCTCTGCCTGGGCTCCTGGCTGGCCTCCTTTATTGAGTTAAACAGAGGAAGTTTCCATTTAACAAGAAAAAGAATGTTTAAGGCCTCAGACCAGCTAGGAGTGCATCTTCCAGATCCTCTGAAAGTCCTGAGTAACCAGGCCATTGCTTTTGGTTCAGAGAGAGTTGAATTCTTTACTCAGTTACTCTCAGGAGGTGACATCTCTGCTTTCCCTGTCCAGGTATGTCATCACCAACCCGCCCTATGAGTTTGAGCTCGTGCCGACGGACCTGATCTTCTGCTTAATGCAGTTTGACCACAATGCCGGCCAGTCCCGGGCCAGCCTGTCCCATTCCTCCCACTCGTCGCAGTCCTCCAGCAAGAAGAGCTCCTCTGTTCACTCCATCCCATCCACAGCAAACCGACAGAACCGGCCCAAGTCCAGGGAGTCCCGGGACAAACAGAAGTACGTGCAGGAAGAGCGGCTTTGATATGTGTATCCACCGCCACTGTGTGAAACTGTATCTGCCACTCATTTCCCCAGTTGGTGTTTCCAACAAAGTAACTTTCCCTGTTTTCCCCTGTAGTCCCCCCCTTTTTTTTTACACATATTTGCATATGTATGATAGTGTGCATGTGGTTGTCATTTTTATTTCACCACCATAAAACCCTTGAGCACAACAGCAAATAAGCAGACGGACCAAAAGTTATTTATGATTCTGGGGGAAAAATAACCCAAAGGCATGCTCCAGACATAAATAGCTCACTGCAGGAACGAGTTCACAGATTAGAAGGGAGCACTTGTGATCAACGTCAGTTAGGCAGAGCAAGTTTATTTAATGTAAAAGAAAAGTTGATTCTGATTTATCAGGATTATCAGGGTGCTTTGGGTTTTGATTTTGTTGTTGTTGTTGTTTTCCTTTCTTTCTTTTTTTATACACACAATAAGTTAGCACATGTTTATTTGAAACAAGCAACCAAACAGCAATGAAAACATATTGATTGTTTCCAGTCTCTGGGCCGAAGTATTGCGAAGCATTTGAAAAGCTTTCACGATTTGTGTAGATGATTATGAAGGACCTGCTTGTTGCAAGAGAACATCAGTGATTTTTTTAGTTACTCACCAAGGCCTTTTGTCCCAGAGCCAGTTCCCTCTGGGAGTTCTTATGAACATTTCTCACCTTAATATGGAGGAGAGAATAGTATTCCAATCATGGATGTATCAAATTCTAGTCATTTAGTTTAAGTGAAAAGAGGTTTGATTGCATATTAAATTGTTATTCTGTCTCCTTATGTTGCCATATGAATAGCTATTTTTTTTCTTTCACTTTTGACATTTGGGATGAAAAGCCATATGTATCATAAATATCAGATGTAAGTCATTAAAAACTGCCTTCCTGGGACTTTTACATCTTTTAAAAGGTGAATTACTTACCTTATGTACAGAATAAATAATGCTCAGGAAAGAGCAAGTATTTTTCCATGCATTCTCAGGGGATCTTTTTACTCCCCTTTGTTTGATTAGTTAGGGCCCCAATGCCAGGTAGGAGGAAGGGCTGGGGCAATGGTAGAGTGAGAGGAAGACAAACCCAGCTGCAGATCATGCTTTTCTAGGAGCCGACATGCTAAATAAATTAGAATGTAGGAGGATCAGCCACAGTTGACTCAACAAAGACAAAAGCCAGCCACCACCTTCAACTGTTGGCACAGCTGTGCGGTGCTGGCTGTCCCAATGCAGAAAGCTGGTGGGAAGGAATTCCTCATCATCACTTTCTTTAATGTAGCCAATTTAGGCAGGGTAATGACGGCAATAGAGAGCTGCTCCTTGTCATTATGAGACGTGGGATAAGAAGAGTGCAACAGTGAGCCAAACACATTTTGGTATAGTTATTTTTTTCTTCTTTTGTTTTCTTTCTTTTTTAACACTTAGTAAGCATGAGAGGAGAGGTAGAAAAATACCCTTTTTTCAACATATAGTTGTCAGATGCTTTGTGCATGCAAATCATGCTTTAGGCAGTGCGGTATTTCTTAAAAACTGGCCAATTCACCATAACCAATTTCCCTTATGGATGGACTAGGCTGGTATATACATATTTGAAAAGTTTTACTTCAAAGAATTCCATCGAATAGAATAGGGGTAAAAGGGAGGAGGAAAACATGTCACAGCTGTACCATCTCTAAAAAGGTGTTTTTATGGTGAATGTTTTGGATTTAGATTTTGGATCCCCCGTCCCCTCAAGCATGATAGTTTTGGATATTTGCTTGCTGTGTGAATTGACAAGCACTTTTACTGACAAATGGTGAGGCTCAGTCAGAACCTCCACCCTCCCCCACACCAAAGACAGGGGCAGCGTAGTATTCAAACCAGTATTGTGGTGGGGAATAATTGTATACATGTAAATTATCAAGCCCTATGAGTGGAAGAATTTTTTCAAATTATTTTTGTCCCTCTATATATTGATTTATATTATGTATAACTATCTCTTTATATAAACTATATATAATTATATATATATAACTATATAATTATATATATATAACTATATATATAACTATATATATGTATCCCCTAGTATTGGATCATGAAGAGCTCTTCATGCATTCTTTGCAAAGGAGGTTATAAAGTTACGCCCTCAGAACATTTATAACTATAAGAATGTGCCAGTTAAAGTGCTCAACAGGAAATATGACAGTTTAAAAGCATTGTAAAACTCACATAGCTTACTTCTCTCTCTAAAGTGCAACAAGGATGAATAGAATGGGCCAAGGTATGACAATTAATGGTTCTGCATGACCTAGCCACTGCTGGGGGTTTTCTTCTATAACGTTGTCCTTGTGAAAACTTTTGTGAAATTAAAAAAAAAGGAGTTACAAATTTTATTCTGTTATTGGTTTGTTTATTTTTATTTATATTGTTCTGTTTGTGGTTTTATTTATTTTGTTTTGCTTTTCCCCCCCTCCCCTTTCCCTCTCCTTTTCCCTTCCTTCTTCTCTTCCTTCCTTCTTCCACTTTCTAAATTGCTCAGCGCAATGAGGCTGTGCTGCTGCTATCGCTAGATTCCTTAGAGTTTGTTTTGGTGTTCTTGGGTGTGGGGTTGGGTAATTTGGGGGGAACTTCTCTCCATCTGGCTTGCCTTTTAATCTGCACGTGGCCTCCCTGCCCACCCTGGTACCTTGCTCCAAGTCCGAAAGCATTTTCCTATCAAGAAACCCAGCTTCCTTCACTTCCCCCATTGCCACCCCCCAATCCCAGTCCCCCCATCGGTCTGTTCACATCTCTGTGTTCATCTTGGCAAGACCTACTCAATCAAGTGATGATGCCAGTTGATAAACTTCCCTGGAAAACATTTACAGCTATTCCATTTGGCAAACTTGCTTCTCTGTCAATATTTCATCCTCCTTTAAACCAGGAGGGTTATTAATGGCAAAAGCATTGGTCTTCTTTATGCTTGATCAGTATGACTCAAATTAAAAGTGTTCTGCTGTGTATATCAACTCAGTAGCCCACACCCAGTTATCTGGGAGCTGATGGTTCAGTCACTGTATTACCCAAATCTTTCCTGCCAGCTGCCTTTCAGACATTTGTTAAATCCCAACCAGAGACCGGGCAGATAGAGAGAAGTAAATCCGAAGTGCGTTTTATATACAGTCTGTTAGCAACTCCAATGAGATGATATTGTGATGGGAATGGAATGGGAACAGACTATGATAAGAGATGGAATTTTGAGGTTTTCCTGGACTTTGGGCACACAGTCATGCCCCAGTGGTAGATAATTGAGAATTCACCATATTTGACTAATGATAAATTTGATGATGGAGAAGGATCATTACTACTTCAATTTTATTTGCCAAAATTACTATATTATACTTTCCTTAATAGAGTGAAGAGTCCCCTCCATTGTTTTCTATTTGACTCCAAACTTCCCCTTCCTCTTTCAGTAGAACATCTGCTTACTTAGGAAGTAGGCATACAAGTTTCTTATTATTATATCTCTTCCTGTTCACTGCCTCCCGCAAAAAAAAAAAAAAAAAAAACAAGGAAGTAAGGGTAGAAAGTGAGAGTTCTTTGAAAATAAAGTATATACATTTAAAAAGTTAGGAACTCTGTTATCTGCACCATTCTAGAAGAGAAGAAATTTGTAAGCCATTTAGTCCAACTTGCTTTGGGCTTTGAAAGGGGTGAACAATAAGTAGGCTGGTAAACCAGAAGGCACGGTGAAGCCTTCTCAGTCTCAACACTTGGGTGATCGTGGCATCATCAGTGTCCCTAAAGTCTGCTACCCAGGTTCTTCCCAAAGCCAGTTCAAATGGATGGAGAAAGCTGGACTCTTATACACACAGTTAAACTTCTGCCACAATTGGGAGAGGTTTCAAATTCTGTTCTGAATATTAAAGATTATGACCCAGAACCTTACCATCGGTGCTCAATAAATATTTGATATAAATTGACTTTACACATTTTTATACCTTTAACCATTTTCTATATTACCCTTGTCCTCTTGGTTTGATTTTTTTAAAAAAATATGAGTGCCTCTACATGCCTTATGATGCTGCTGTGTTGGTGGCACTTTCTCAAGCTGGTCACATGGCTTCTGAGAAAGGGGAATAGCCCTGTAAGCTCAATGAGTAGAGACACTGAGTATGCCTCTTGGCAGCATCATCAAGATCCCAGATGACCAGAAAAAGCTTTTGTCTGGCTCTTCTGCAGCATGGGAAAAGCCTAAAGGTGTCTGCATCCCAATAGAGACAATTAAATCAACCTGCCAGGTTCCTATAGCAACAGGCTCCTTGAAGGAGAAAGAGGAGAGTACAGAAACTCCAGGGCCTGTGGAAGTCAAGACAGGGTAAAAATCAATTTCTCAATCAGCTTCTTTCAGCCCATCCCTGCTTTGTCACAATATGATAAAGAAGTAGCTGTGGGCACCTGTCACTACACTGGCTGACTGTCTCCCATGCAAGATTGCATGCCCATTGCAACCATTGGAGGTGAGAGGGATTATCCGAAAGGGATTAGTGAAGAATCTGTCCTCAGGGTGTTGGCTGGACCAAGGGCCACAGAGGAGGGCTGGGAGAGCAGTTTGCTCAAAGAATGGCAGCATCAGACTTTCAGTTAAAAGAGACAGAGTCATGGTAGCCAATTGCAAAGAAGTGAGAAGGTTTTTCATAAACGGTAATTGCTTTTGTTCTGGTACAAATAATTTGTATCTCTATGAAATAAGCATACTTTGCTCACAGAGAGGAGAGGAGGTAGTATGTGTGGGTGGGGACGGAGGAGGCATCAGGGTTTGCTGGGCAGAGGAAGTGTGCCAGGCTGCCTATCACAAGCGCGGGACAGGAAACCACACAGCATTACCCTTGAAGGTCGAAGCTCCTTGTTAGCCCTTACTGTTCTCCACGGTTGTCTCTCTCCAAACAGCATCTTTTCTTTTTGAGCCTTTTCTCTCTCAACCTCAGCTTGTGGTGTAGTGAGAAGAGGGCCAATTATTCCAAATGCTTTTGCTGTATCATTGTCTCCCCTTTTCTGCGATCTTCTCAAGGGAGTACTGTGAAAAGGCTAAATCCCATGGCACTGACAACCCACAGAGCCAACAGAGAAGCTCAATTATCACAGTGCAGCCTGTTTCTTCCTCTGCTGGTGGCAGCTCAGTCAGCCCAGCTCTGGGGCCCTTCCCTGCAAGAGCCCATTCCTCCAGGGTGACCTGCAGCCCTGTGGCTGGAGGAGGTTTTGACCCTTATTTTAAACCCTGTGATCTCAGTGATGAAACTAGAAATGCAAGAAACAGATGGCTCTCAGATGGGATAGGATGCCTGGTGAGTCAAAGCCAGTATTTCAGAGGCACAGAGTCACCCTGGGAGGGGAAAAACCCTAAGCTCCCCAGAAATAACACCAGGTTACCTCTTCCTCTCCTTTACCTTCCAAATGAAGATGACCAACCAAATCCCCCTCTGTCACCTCTGCTGCCACAATCCATGTTCTTCAGGATACACCCCGATATACACACCCCTGTTCTCTACCCCCAGAATCTCTGCTGAAGGGCATCATTTGTCATCACATTCAAGAGGTACGACCCATGCTTACATCATCCTTTAGTACTGATAGTACTCAGGCTAGTACTAAACTTACTCTAAAAGCTAACGCTTCAGCAATTGCCTTGGGCCAGGCATTCTCATGAGCACTCTTTAGTTACCTATACAAACTCAATCCTCACAACAGCTTCAGATGGAGATGCTGTGTCTCCATTTGAAAGACACAGAATCTGAGAGACACTAGAGTCTGTGAAGTTAGCCACTGTGATATAATGCCCGCTGATATTATTCCAAATACTCATAACCTTAACAACTCACATTTACTTACCATGTATCTGGACCTGTGTAAGTGCTTCAAGGGTACTGGCTTCATTTATCTAAACAACACTATTAGGAAGTTTGTATCATCAGCCCTATTTTACAGAAAAGGAATGAAGCTAAGATAAATTTGCTAATAACTTGTTCAGAGCCATGCAACTAGTACGTGAGCTAGATCTGCTTAACTTTCACCTCCTGCCCTGCGCTGTCTCCTTAGCCCGCATCTCCTTGCTTCTTCATGGTGGACAGCTCATAGCATAGCTGGTCTTGATAGGTGACATCTGCCAATGGCAGTGGCAATTGCTCTACCAGCATCTCTCTGCAGTTGTTTTCCAGAGTTTTATCTTGTCCCACTAGCCCCCTCCCAGCCACAGACTGAAATGACTCTTCTTTCCTAACTCCACGAACTCCTGACATGTCACACATTGTACTCAGAGCACTGACAACAGGCATCTCATCCTTAAGAAGCTTATTAAGAAATAAGGCTATTTTTCTCTGGCAGCGAGGAAGCCCTCCCACCCCGATCAATTGCCCTTCTCATCTTAGAGATGAAAATAAAGCCCCTGGAAATCTTTCTGGTATGTGAGATGAAACAGGGAGTGGAGATAAAGTCAGGGATTTGGATTTATCCTTGTCATGGCAGCATTCATTAGAGCTGCTTCCCTGAGTCCTCTTCCTCGTGGTCAATTTTGTAGCCACCCATTGGCATTGTTTCTTCTTCAGAAGGCAAGATTCAATACATCAAATTATCATTGTCCTACTTGCAGCACTCTCCATGGATGCTGAATGGCTGGCGATCATTGAAATGTGTGTTCCTTGGAAGCATGTTGGGAGAATCTGTTCGTAAAATACCTTTGCACCAGACATTTTAGTAAAACGCCCAGAGCATTCATACAGTTCCGTTTCCTGAACATCCTACATAACCAAGTCTCCAAAAACACACACATTTATATCTTAGGAGGCACCCAAATTAAACAGCTGTTTCTCAGGCATAAGGAAGACCTCAACTCCTCACCACAATGTGTGTTAACACAACTCACTCCTTGTGTTGAGGCAGCATGGCCAAAACATGGGCTACTCTGCTTAGATTTTTTTTTTTAATGGCAAGAAATGTAAAAGGAAAGAGAGAAGTTTAAATGAGGAAATAATGCTCTCTTTCTTACAGACAGCAGAAGGAAATTGATATTCTCTCTGCCGCGAAAGGTCAAAATGCCAACTTTGAATTGAACTGTAAAGACTAAATTCCGAACAATTATTCTCTTCAGCAGTTGTAAAAATTTCAGCAAATTGCAGCTGTCTTAGGTCTTTCACCCAAAAGACCTACTCATTTCCATCAGCTGAGTTCACTCTTCCAACCTGGCATGTCCAACCTAGCACTAAATCCCTTTGCAAAGTCAGTCTGCATAACAGCATGGCCAAAACCGAGGGCAGCTCAGGCAACCTGAGCACAAACACCAGGCTCAACCTCTCTGAAAATCATCTTTACACATAAACCCCTGGAAAAAGTCGTAGTGTGAAATTGTTTCAGCGGCCTGGCAAAGCTTTTAAAACATGATAACCATCACACTTTACTCCTCTCTGAAAGGTTAGTTTAATCGTAGATCACAAAAAATTGGTTTCCACAAATGCATAATGGTTCATCTATGTCACACTTGAACTAAATGGTTTTTTAAATGGAGCTGAAATTATTTTGATGTGTACACAGTCCCGGATTTCTATACAACCTTTTTTAACCAGCCCATCAGGAACCTTGCCTCTAAAGCCTCATTAATAATTCAGATGTGCTGATGACTTTAAAAGATCTATGGAATTGAAGCTTAGGGAAAAAAAAAAAACTCTGCTTGACAAAAAGATAAATGAATGTAGAAAGAAGCTGTAGGAGTCTGGCAAGCTGTAGATCATCTCAGAACAGATTGTAACTTTATCATTCTGTCAGGGGGAATAATTTAAAGCACTTAATCAGTTAGCTTCACTGTGAGGATGTAGCATTATGAATTCCTATCGTCCAATCTGTTCAAATCAAAGTGAACTTAATTATAATAGGTGAGTGAGCCAGAGCAGGAGAGGGGGTGGGGAGAACGAGGCAAGAGGCAGCAAGTTTCCTGTGGGGTAAACTGAGCTGCCGCATTAAACTGGGGCGAGGCTTTGACTCAGGCATATCCCAGCTCCAGTGACAGCCCTCCTCGACATTGACAGCTCAGGGCACTTGAAACAGCAGAAGTAGGAACTGAGGAGAAACAAGCAGAGTGGTCATGAACTGATCATAGATAATTTATAAATCATTAGCCAAACATGCACATACCCCACCCCCAACGCCCCCTATCAAACCAGGTGAGCAGTTTTCACTAATGTGTCCATTCAGGACCACTGACAAGGCAGTTACAAATTGTTCTGGTAAGCAGAAAAAGCAGCTACAGAGGCCATTGTCTCTATAGCAGTGGACGTGCTTGATAGCTTTTACCCTTTTTCTTTTTCTTTTCTTTCCCTAAGCCACTAAAGTGAGGCATATGATTCCCAAGTTAGAATGTCCTATTTGCCCAGTCCTTTCCTATCTATACACATGGCCAATTTCCCAGAAAATTTCAATCCTAGAAAGAGGTGGGGATGAGGGTTGAGTCTTGTAAAATAGCTTTGCACTGCTAAGAGGATGCTAGACCATTTTCATTCTCACCCCAGCCCCCAAACGCCCTGACTCAGCATTCTCTCTCAGCCATTTCTGTATTTAGGGTGGAAATGAAATGCCAAGACTTCATTGAGCTCCCTTGTCGACAGCTTGGGTTATTATAGTCAGTTAAGATATTGCCACTTGGAACTCTATTCATAACTTTATACCAACACAGAGTTTTCTTTCTTGAAATAAAAGCCACCTCAAAATCCTCTTTAAAACATTGGTCGCTATTCTGATTTTCATAGATTTTTGGCCAGCAAAATCTATGGGTTTAGTTTAGACCCCCCAAAGTGGCTACAAATGAAACAGGAGAGTGGTATAGTTGAGACATGGCTTTAAGTGTGTGTATTATAAGCAAAGCCAAGAAAAGGCTGGGAGGTGGTGATTCTGTGTAAGATTCTGGATCACTCGCTCTGCAGCAAGGGTGATGGTGCCCTTCCGTTCCACTCAAATCAATGGATGCACACATCTCTCCTCAGGCACAATGTCTGTACCCAATGGCTGATATATGCAACATCCCCTCCCCACCAAACCTTTTCTGGCCATGAAATTAACTCCAAGGGACATTGCCAGAGTCCATTCTCCAATCCCTCCTTAGCCTCTGAGGTCCGCCCATGGTGCCTATGAGTCCCAGTGGCACATTTTGTTCATCACTTGCTACAGGAAGCAGAGGTATATTTCAGGTTCTGGGGTCCTCCCTACACTGCACTGTCTCTCTTAGCAATTACTCACTGTCGGCTTCTATCGATTACCTTTTTGCGTTTTTCAATGAACTTTCCAAAGGCTTTACCCTAGGACTAATTAAACTTCTCATTTCTCCTTCTTGTTCTCTATCCATTTTGCCCTTTAGCAGAAAAGAAATGGTTTACAGATGAACCGGATAATGCCTATCCCAGAAACATTCAAATCAAGCCCATGAGTACCCACATGGCTAACCAGATCAACCAATATAAATCCACAAGCAGCTTGATTCCACCAATCAGAGAAGTTGAAGATGAATGTTGACTCCCAGGAGACCAGAACTATTTTTTTAAAGCCTGACAAACTTCATAAATGGTGATGTGACTTTTCTTCTTACATGCTGAATCACTGGTGGAAACGTTAGGATAAGCAAGAATTGCCAGAAAATAAAGTAGACAGATCTTTCTCTTTGTCTGCCTTGAATATTGCTTCCATGTATTTTGGAAAAGAAAATGATTTCATTTATAAATGAACATACTAAAATAGTCATGTATAGCCTCTAGCATTTTAAATTATTTTTATTTATTAGAAAGAAAATATATTTTTTCTTTTCATTGTCAAATATCTTCCCTATATCTAAACAATGCAAAATCTAAATGAATAAGTGGTCAGACTCCTTAATGTGTTTTTCTCTTCTTTCTCTCTTTTTCTTTGAGGAGAATGATGGTCACCACCACAATTAATTGTAATTAAGGGAAATGAATTATTAAAACAATTTTAAAATGGCCAATGATGTATACATGTATTTTAGTAAATCCAGAAAAGAAGACTAAGGGGACAGGTGAATACCTGCTCCTCGCCTGGATGGGTGTGTATTTTGATCTGCATTGACACCAGCTCTTAATAAATGGAAACTTATTTATTTTCACAGTTGAAAGTCATATTTTTGTAGTTCTAGTTTTCATTCTGTAGTTCTCACCCCTTTGTTCATATTTTTAAAGGGAAGACCTTCTGCTGCTTTTCTACAATTGGCAGATCAGGTTTGTCTGGCCAACTAAGGACACCAGGAGGGTTGTGGGCACACCTGGGATGTGGAAGCTGAGGACCAGATGCACACAAGGCATTGCTCTGTTTGCTGTTCTAGTGGTGGAGACTCCTACGTGCTGTTATGCTTCTCATTTTATATTTCCAAACCACCTGAGCGAGTAATGTCAACTTCGGGAGGGTCTGGTGGACTTTCTCCCCACTCCCCAAGTCTCAGAGCTTTTAGCCTGGAAGTTTGTAAAACTGATTAGTAGTTTTACTTTACCATAGGATGTGAGAGGGCAGTCATTCTTCTCACTGAGTTTTTGTTTAAAAACCAGGAAATTTCTACAATCATGGAGACAGATTTTAATTTGCATGCTCTCCTTTATTTAGTTGCTGGGGCCAAACACATGAACTTGTTACAACAATTTAAAAATAATAATAACAAAAGGAAAGCAACGAATGCACTTCATATAGACTGTTAGAAAAGGCCTTTGAAAATTACCAGCAGTGAAATCAAATAAATTAGCCACTTTAAACTGCGGTCAAAAGATTTTTCTAGCCATCAGATGCAATTACGATGTCTCAGAGCTCTGCTATCGCTTGCATGCTCGGTGTACAGTCTCCCGGCAACTGTTTTGTTCCAATCAACTTAGCAAGTCTTTCAACTTTAAAATTATCAATCTTTGATATGATCATCAAGGTCTCTGGAGAAGCATGGATGTAATAGTGATTTCTATTTTCTTAAAAAATGTAAACTGTGGACACTTAATGGAACCAAGCTAACCAAAGTATCTCCCCGAAGTTTCATGATATCTAGTCCATTAACTCTTTGGGCCATGACCTGTGGTACCTAGTTATGGTAGTGCAAATCAGATCAGAGCAAAGCAATGAGATCATCATGAAGACATATGTCCACTAAGTACTCCAATTACCAGCGTAGGCAAAATGAGCTTCCACCTCTGTCCACTCCCTGCAGAGCCAATATAGTCGTGCTTCCACCTCGTAGGCATTGTCCTGCAGTGATTTGTCGGACTGTGGTTACTCTGTCGTCACATTTTGTAGAATTAGTTCTATAAAAGTATTGTGAATACAATGTATGTCCAATTGGATTGTTTAAAAACTACTTATAATTAATCACTAGCCTACTCAGCAGACTAAAATGATGTCAACAGTCTATATTCAGGCTTATAAACATTTCTTGGTTTCCAACAGAAGTCAAATGTGTTTGTGGGGAGAACGTTTTGCTAGGATTTTGACAACTTTCCTGAAAGCTAGGCCTTTTTTACATAATGATTTTGCATTGGGGTCACCTTAGTATATTCACGTCAATCCACGCTCTTCTTTCCTTCGTGAACCATAGTGGGCTCTTCACTCCTGCTCGTAATAACCACCTCCAAATTTGTTAGAGTGATTTGGTCTCCTCTGGCAGGCTGTGGTGGCCACATAAAGGATCTTCCATTAGAGGGACACAGGACACAAAGCTCCATTCCCATGACCCTCTCTTCCCTGTGTCTCCCCTAACAAGGCAATCTGGAAGCAGAAATGCAAACTCCAGCCCCACCACACATCCACCGATGCATTTGTGGCTAGAAATTTTAATCTAAACTTTTTTTAAAAAAAATCATAATAGTTAGGATAGTTTCCTATAGCAAAGGGCTCCTTGATTCATAAGCACCTCCCCCCCAAAAAAACCAAATTGGTAAAAATTCATTTTCTTTTAAATAGAGCAATAAGTTCATACTGTGTTGCCGTTGTAATAATGAATTGTTCTGGACTAGAAAACAAAATGAGGCATTTTGTTAAGGGGGTAGGAAAATGACTGATTGTTGGGCCCTTTGGCAAAAGCTGGTGCCTGGTAAGTAGAAACGAAATGGAAACAGAAATAACATTTGTGAAATCACTGGAGGGCTCAAGCAAATGCCAGAGCTTCTCCCTGGCTTGTTCCTACTTGTTGAGCTCTTTGGCCCTGAGTCCCATCCATCTCCACTGCAACAGTCTGTCTTTCTGCCTACATCCGCCTGAGACCAAGGAGGGTCTTTGGTACAGTCCACATTATGAGGCTCTGATTTCCTATCCCAGTTTAGGGCTCCAGAAAAGCCATTCTCCCAAACTAATGATTCTTGGGTGCTGTGGGTCACCAACAGGCTGTTTACAAAGCAGAAAATATCATCACCATCATAACCTTTCTCCTTGAGAAAACTTTTATTTTTGTCTAAGCAATTTTATATTTTAGAATATCATCTTGAACCATTATAAAACACCTTAAATAAAAGTGATTGTGACTAAGGCACGTTGGAGAACATTCCAATCTTTCCTCCCAAGGGTTCTGGCACCTTATGATGTACTTTGTAAAAAAATTGATTGAAGATTTTAAATAAACAGGAAATTAGAAGTGTTAGGGTTAGATAAAGGAAAAGTGAAAAAGCATAAGAAATTTGGGACTTTTTCATGTTGAAAGGAGAAAAAGCACAAGTTCCCTAGTTACCATTTAATATGAGGGTGCAAGAGCCACATTTACAAACAACAAACTTGATCTTTAAAAATGTTTTTAAAACTCTCTGAGTCTCAGTGACTTCATTTGTAAATGAGAGTGATTCATCTAGATGACTCTAAGGTCTCTTTCAGGTCCCAGGGGACGTGATCTAAGTTAGGAGTGGGAACATGGGAGTGGCTGCTTCTCCTTGGCTAAGCCCATGCAGACTATTGTGTCCAGGACTGGAATAAAGGTCCTTTTTGCTGCATCACCCAGGCAACACTCCCAGCCTTACTCAGGAGTGGTGAACATTTTCTGCTCTGGACATAGAATAGGTAGGTTCATTCCTGGTCTTTTCACTTTAGATTCTCTTTAGGTTCAAGATGCAGATTTCTCAATTTGGACACACCTGCATCACGTTGGTCAAATTTTGCTGCCTGTTTCTAGGGTTTTCTTCTCAGTTTCATCCCTGCCTTCCCTTTTTTGTTGTTTTTTTTTTGGTTCAAGGCCCAGCTTCAGTTAATCCCTTCATCTCTATGCCATGTCTCCAATTCCTAGTATGTAACTAGAGGTTCAAGAGACCCCAAATTCCTGCCATTTTCCCCATTTATGTTTCCCCATGTGAATCTTCAGGAAGTAACCAGTCTTCCTTCTCACTTCATTTCCTGTCCTCTGTTTATTTGGTTATTTTCTTTCATTAATAAACTAACCATCTCTTAGCTACTTACATTCACAAATGTAATTTTAATCTATTGTGTTTCATTGTGAAAGAGAATCTCATTGAAGGAAGGAAGGAAGAAATTGAGGAATAAAGGTAGGAAGGGAGAGAAACAAAGACTATCCAACCAATTGACTGAGATGTGAGCCGGCTTGACTCCTAGGAGACTAAGTAGATCCATTCAGCTTGAACACTGAGTTCCAGGGCAGAATCTGTCCATTTTCTGTTTTGTTCTTACTTGCTGCTTTTGGAATGGTGGTAAAGCCACCAGTCACCATGAGCCTTGAAAGGACCTTCACTAATGAGGACTTGACTCACCCTCTTTAAAAAGCAAAAGAAACAGAATTTACTTACAATCTTCTGGTAAATTACCTTTCTGATCCTCTCCTTATTCCCAAAAGGCAATTTTTTTAATCCAGCAGAGATGATTTAGCATATAAATCCCAGGTCATTTGAGGAGGTGATGACGCTATTTGGATTTATTTATGAGACAGTAGTAATTATAAATGATTCCTAGGCAGTTTGTACTAGTTTGGTCATATTGGTTGTTTAAGTGGAGTCTCTTCTGATTGTTTGTTTCCAATAAAGTATCAGTTGTTAATAATTTCAAGATTTCCATAAAAATAAGAAAACTTGGAAAACATTTTTAATTTTATTTCTTAAGAGACCACAGAGCCTAATTTTCAATTTTTATGGTAAGCTTGCTTAAAACATGTATAAAAAGAAGCCTACATGCTCAAAGGCAGAGGCACCTTTAGCCCTACAACAGTTGGAAGCTCCATGATATCACAGCCCCACATGGATAGATTGGAGAAAGAATTCTGACTTAGACCACCTGTAGCAGACCTTCCTCTTTTGGCATATTTTTTTAATCACAAAAAGGACCTGAGACTCCCTATCTAAAGATAAGCCAAACTTGGGGTATACATTAAGAATCTGGGAAGAAAGAAAAAAAAGAAAAAGATATAATAAGCAGTATTTTAAAATACCATGAGTTATGGGCATGCATATGGTACAAAGAGTAGTTCTTTGGGTTGAAAGAAAGAAGAGTTTGCATTGAACTGCGTAGGCTGGCAAGAATGCAGAGGTATACAATGTTTGATGGGCTTTGGAGGCATTTCAATAGTAAATGGGTGACAGGACTGGAAAGATGTGGAATATGAGGGTTTTCCAGGGAGATGGGACTTAATGGGCCATGATGTATTTGTAGGAATGTGATTTCAATAGATTGACTATTTTGTCTACTGTGATAAGTTTGTGTAGGGGAACTGAGGAAAACTGAGATGAGACTTCATGGAAGGGGCTACAAAGTACAGTCTAAAGGCCTAGATAAAGTTTGAAACTTGATTTAGAAAGTCATGAAAAGCCACTCAGAGTTTTAAGCAAAGAGTGATGGGGCAGCAATGGCTGTGCATTTTTCAGGTTGAAAGTAGTGAGATGTCAGTTCTTCCTGGAAGATATCATGAGAATGCACACAAAACTGAACATTTTCTCAGCAGCAAGGAGTGCTAAAGGGTGCACACTCCAAGTCAACAACTCACCGTGTGCAGCACCTTCCTCACACATTTTGCTTTGCTTTCTGTCACAGGACCATCAGACGTAGAACGTCCTGACTCTCCTGAATTACTAGAATGTCAGCAACAAACTCACAAAGTAGATTAGAGGGTAGGAATAGATACATAAATTTTTAAAAACCTGCCAATCATACTGTTTTCTAGACAGTAATATAATAAGAACATGAGGCAGGACATCCACAAATAGTAGAGAATAATTAATAGTCCAGAACTGCCAAATAGGAATTCCCCTTATGAAAACACCCTTGCAGCTAATCAGGTAGCCCTTGTTTAGAAACCAATTAGCACTCATAAAATATTTGTACAAGGAGTGAGTGGGGGAGAAATGAGCACAATATGGGTTCTGCCATCAATCAGCTTATAATACAACTAAAGAAAGAAAACATGCTCAAAGCACCATTAGAGAAAGGGTGAGCCCTAATGACATAGTTTCACATTCAATATGGTAGGAGTTGAAACAAGGGAGAAATGCTGTGGTTTGAAGTGGTTCAACAAGGTAGGATTTCTAGAGAAAGGGGGGTTTAGGAGTTAGATAAGTAGAGGATCAGCATTCTAGGTATGAAGGCAGGATTATCTGGCATGTGGCAGGGTGAATGATGTTAATCAGTAACTGCTAATTGATATTTACTGAGCAGCTGCTGTGTCCTCACGATGGTAAGACTATTAGAGGAAGACAGCCCACCTGCCTAACTGGGAACACAAGGCACACATATATTGGAAAGATCATGTTGCACAAAACAGGTGTTCAATAAATAATTTTTGAATAAATGTGAACACTGAATAGCAAATAAATGTTATAGATCGTAATAGTTGTAGAAGATTGGTTGGGATTGTAGGGACTGGATGTGGGGCAATGGCTGTGGGTCTAGAGTATATTCATTGTGCAGTGGACACACACCTAATCTGTCCTCAAGGACAGAACCATGTGGAGGAATAGGAAAACAAGAGAAGCAGGCAAGAAGCGGAGGCAGTGAGTACAGCAGCTAAGAAATGTTACATTGGGTTCATCCAGAGCAAGAAAAGCTGAGAGCTGTCCGTGAGGGAAGGCCACACAGGCAAGAGGAGTGGGACAGGGGAGTAAAGGAGTGGGCTACAACAGGCCCTGCAGATGTGGAAGCCAGACCCACAGAGGCACTTAGAAAGTGAGGATCCTGGATGAATTATTTTAGGGAGAAAGTGTAGGTTTAGATCAGCTGGCAGATGTGTTTGTGGGCTACAGCCAAGTTTTTCAGGACTAAGAAGGAGCAAAATAAGTAGAACTTCTTGGGACAGGAGATCTAGGGTACTCCAGAACCAGGGAAATGAGAAACAAGAGGGGAATTTTAAGAAAGAGAGGGAAGATCATCTATGAGGTTGGAGATGAAAGGTGTTGGAGATGGTGAGGCACAAGTCAAAAGACTCACTCGAAGGGCAGGAACTCTGCTTATTTGTCCATATTCCCAGAGTTTGTCATGAGGTCTGGCCCACGTGGGCAGTCACTCGGCCACTATGTATCACTGTGGCTGCCATGGTGGATGGAGGCTGGACAGAACCTGTGGTGATCGGCAGTCTTTCTGGAGGACTCACCAGGGAGGGGTCTCAGGGTGGGCATCTCCTTTCACCTTCCTGTGCATGTCACTGCACTGTTCTTCTTCCCTCCCTGAACAGCACACACACTGCATCCTTAGTTTCAGGGGTCTGAAAACAAATGCTACGACCACCTTGCTTTGGTGGCTTTTCTGAACAGGCATTGTGAGAAGAGATGTTCTGGCCAGGTGAAAGTGGACTTTATTTTTAGGTAGGTTTTTCAGTTTAGAAAGGTTTCCTTTGCTTATCCCTTGAGGACTTCTGTGCTGCTGCTTCTCCTCCATCTTGCTAGTTAACAGAACAGGGGCAGAAGTGACACCAATGCTCTCGGCCATGCCTGCCTTGGGAAGCACTACCGGGCCCCACTGTTTAGAATCTTAGATGGAAATGTACACAAGGCATTGACACACGCCTGCGGGAGTGACCCAGTGCTTCCCTCCCATGGGACTCAGGGTCAGCGTGGGAAGGCAGCTGGCAGGGACAGGAGCCCCGCCCGCAAGGTGGACTGAGCCTCACTTCCACACAAAACCAGAGTCCCATCTGCCCCAGAGCGCTCGCTCTCCTCCCCTTCCTTCCGCTCAATGCAGCCTGACACGCCTTTGACCAGAACTGCAACATTTCAAACACAAACCCAGATCTGTTGGGAAATCCTAATTAAAAACGTTGCATTCCCAGGTGGCACAATCACATCCTGCCTAAAACTTCTGGCCCACATCCCACCACCCAGATGTTGAAAAGAAACCTTTCTCTGCTTAACACCAAAACCTGCACTTCAAGGTTTCTTTAGGGGACAAAGAAAAAAAAAGTACACACATGCAGAGTTCAGCCTACATGTTCATTGAGGAAAAAGAGCGTGGCTTATTCATCTTTCAATCTTTTGATTGTTGGCATTATGATTATGATTATGATTAATTACTCTGACCTGACAGGAATTGAAGAAGAGACTATATGCTGGTGCTCTGAAATGATCTACCCAACTCTGTCATCTGTAACAACCAGTGATAACTCTCTTGTCTTGTAAAAAGGGTTTGTACATAACTTGTACATGGTTTCATTTTGTATTTTTCGCAGATTAAAAATTTATGTATTTGTGTTCTAAAACAAGGAGTGTTTCTTGTGTCTTTGTAGCAGTTACATGCCATGGGGGTGAGAGGTGAGCTGGGGATGGTGAGGTCCCTGAGTTCTAATCAGGCAGCTTTTGTCTCCTCCCTTCATGCTCCTCCATGAAGGCAAAGTTGTGGATTGATTGAAACCATGAGCTTCCCTTTGCAGCTTCGAGTGCAAATAGACCTCCCCACCTCCATGGTCTTCAAGGAGCCAGTCAGTGGGTGCTGCCCAAGACTGCAATAGGCACGGCAGAGAGGAAGAGCTGCTGTCATTCAACGTGGTGCCTGAGAGCCCTACGCAGCCACACTGGGGCCAATGGGACAGGTGCTCCTGCAGAAGGCTCCAGCAAGCCGGCCACTAAAGAAATGCACAGCATTCAGTAGGTCCTTGAAAAGCTAAAGCATTTCTCCCCTCAGCCACCCACTCTCAAGCTAGTTACCATTTCCTGCCATTTGCACAGACAAATGGTGTTCTTTCCCCTGCATTTAGCTTATCAAAACCCAGGACAATGTGTTAAAGGTTTAACTCATCCTGCTCCACGCTCATCCCCAACAGGGCAACAGATGGAACTTTTAAAAGCCAAAAAAAAAAAAAAAAAAGCCCTTAAAAATGAATGTTGCCATGTTGGGCCATGCTCTAAACCTTCTTCAGAACCTTCAGAGTTTGCACTCTTTTCAGGGGCCTGGACTCCCAAGAGTAAAGCTGGTCCAGCCTAGAGAAAGGGAAGGATCTGGAGAATGGGAAAAAGCCATCCAAGGCATACAGATGTAATGTGCAGAATGTATTGAGATTTAATGTATTCTAGAGATTGTCTCATTTGCTCATTAGCCAAATATTTACTGAATAGCTATTATGTTAACAGTCCTCTGCTGGGAGCTGGGAAAACAACAGTGAGGAATTCTATGATTCCAGTTCTCCAGTCTGGGGGAGGGTTGGGATCAACAAATAAACAGGTGATAGTCATGTATTAAAAATTGATCTGCAGGGGAAAGCACAGTTTGCCATTGGGAACACATCAGAGGCGCACTTAGCTATTTGAAGAGAAGTATACCAACTGATAGATATTTTAAAAAAACAAATCCCCCTTCTACCTAAGTCAGTATAAGCCCTAACTGGAACTTATTTCCAGTGGTCAGCAAATGCAGGTTTACCTGTCAGAATGTGCCAGTTCCTGACTGTCCTTTGCACTCCAGTTTCTCAACTTGCCTTCTCCAATATTTGCTAACAAATCTGAATGTTGTTGGGGAATGTAATTGCAGAGCATATGGTCCCCATTAGTTAGGCAAACTCCACTGCCAAATTCAGCTCCAAGGAAGGAGTCTGCGTAAAGGATGAAGTATTAGGAAAACATCGACAGTGACAGAGAAGGCAAATATAAGAGATGAGACAGTGAGTTTCAAAAGAGCAGGCTCGGCAAACCCAGCACAATGAATGTGGAACATAATTTTCCATTTGTTGAGAAAACAATATATGTGAATTTGTACTAAAATCTCCCTGTAGCAAAAATCAAAGTAGACCATTCACCAGAATCAATGTTAACTGCTTTGCAATGTCAGATAAGATAGATTCTGCTTGGGAGAAAAACATGGGTGGAACAGAATAGAGAGTCTGCTAAGGAAATAAAGCAAGAGTGACATCAAAATGTAAATACAGACTTAACGCTATTTTAAATGTTACTGGACCAGCCTTTGAGAGGAGAAACAGAATCTCATGCTTAATAACCTCTCACATTCAGAGAGTATAAAAACGTAGGCTAAATGTAGTCAGAGACATGAGGTCCCCCAAGACCCAGGAAAGATGATCAGACAAGGTGAGAGCCTGGGCTTCATCGGGCAGAAGGCAGATTCCCCAGACCAGTCAACCTTCTGAAAATCAAAGAGGGACCTGGGCTGAACCTGAACCCATACTCAGCCTGGCCGCTTGGCCTCCTCTCCCAAGGAGCTGATGCTATGGGTCCTTCACCCCAAAGTCTACCACATGCTCGCTGGTTTTTAGTCTATTGTAATTAACTCAACCTATACCTAATTCAACAGTTTTTTTTTTTGAAAAAGCATTTAAATTAGGTGTTTCCAAAAATAATCAACTTCATTTTTCTGGAGTCAACAATCTCTTTCCTTCACTTCTATTTCTCTGGTTAACATACTGTTTAATTCAATTGCATACTACGATAACAAGTACAGGTGTTTAAACAAGCTCAGACTGCTGGTCAGCTCAGCTGGTGAACTCCCAAGGACACAGGTGAAGTAAGGAGTTCTGTGCAAGACACACAATTTCAGTATACCACGGAAAGCCGTTAACTTGTTCACAGGAGAAAGGAGACAGACATCAGCTAATCCAGCTAGTGGATAACTGGTGCTTATTTAAGAGAGCTTCTAAGGGAAATGACTTTTAATATCTATATATGGGTGACTATGAAAGTGAATTTCTTCACCCATTCCATGGAGTGCCAGTAAAAAAGATGAGGTAGACTTAATTGTTATATATTAGGGGTTGGTGAACTACGTCTTGAAGGAAAATGCAGCCTGCCACTTGCTTGTTTTCTAAATAAAGTTTTATTGAAACACAGCTATGCCCATTCATTTACATATCATCTATAGCTGAGTTTCTGATACAACAGCAGAGTTCAGTATCTGAGACAAAGGATAAGGTTCATAAAGCCTAAATATTTACCATCTTACTTTTCACAAAAAAATTGTGCTGACTCTTGGTCTATATTGCATATAGGGAGAAAATAAAATGTATAGTAGAATCCCATTCATGTTAAACAATTAGGTTTATTTATTCATTCATTAAAATTGGGAAGGAAATAAGGTCAAGTCATAAGCAGCAATTATCAGAGTAGTAGGAAGCAAAGGGGAAATATTAAGAGACAGAAAGGAGTTTTGCTTTTCACTTTATACATTTCTGTTTTATTTAGATTTATGTAGATCCAACATGCACAATTGTTACTACTGGAAAAATGTTAAAGATAATTCTTTTAGGAAAATTAATAAATAAGTTTAATTAGCTAACAAAATACATTTATAATAAATAAAAGCCTATGGTTACCCTGGGTGTAAGTGGCATTGCCAGGATGGGAACGCAGTTCTGCTGACTCCAAAGACCATTCCGGAGCTCTGCATCTCGTAGCTGCCAGTTTCCAAGTGGCCTGTATAAAGCAGGAAAGTGTGAGACATAGTGACAGTTTATCCAGTACTCTGAGTTTGCTGCTTTGCCACAGCTTTTGAGCACTGGACCTGCCAGGCTAGCAAGCAGGAGTCTCATTCCCCAACAAACTGTTCTTCCTGTAATTGCATCCCCAGCACCAATGCAGCAGCAGGAGAACTCTACCCACCTGCAGAAGGAGGTTGCAGGCCTGAGCTACTTAACTCCAAGGCTCTGCTTACATTCACCCTCAGGGTTCAACTCGACAGCACTGCACTGGGTCCTGACGTCATTCTATTTTGTGGAGTCCTTTTTATATCGAGGCATCTTCCCAAGAAAGGATATGCCCTCCAATAATCTTTTATCTATTAATTAATTAAAACAAAATTAATTAAGCATAATAGATTATGCATGCTATTGGCACACATTTTAAAGATACAGAATAAACAGTGAAAATAAATACCCCTCCCATTTCTGTCTTAGACGTCCAGCTCCCCTCCCTAAGACAACCATGGTTAATAGTTTCTTCTTTATCCTTCCAGAAAGTCTTTGCATATACAATCATAATCCAAAAATAGCATGCTATATACTTTATAACACTTTAAATGCACTCTATATATCTTTTTAAAACAATATAATGTGTAGATTTTTTGTCCATCCATCAATTTTCCTAAGGGCTGCATAGTATTCCATATAAAAATCATCTATTTAACCTTTCCCCTATTGATGATTATTAGGTTGTGTTTATTCTTTTGCTATTTCACCCACAATTTCAATGAACACTCTGTGCATATATCTTTGTGCACAAATGTAAGCATAGCAGTAGGTTAAATTCCCAGAAGTGGAATTGCCCTGTCATTAAAAAAAAAGTTTTAAGTGCAGTTGTAGTTGATTTGCCAAACTATCCCCCAAAGATGTTTTAAATCATAATTCTACCCTCTACCCCTGCATGCTGGCTTTCCACACCGTCTTCAACATGGGTTATTATATTAACCAGCATGCTTTTCACTGTAAGTAATAGAATGTCCAACTAAAAATTAGTTATGGAAATGAAAAGTCCACAGGTGTGTTAGTTATAGAGTTGGTTGATTCAGCAGCTGAACCTTGTTACCAAGAACCTGGGAGCTTTCCATTTTTGTGTTCTGTTGTCTTCAGCACACTGACAATGGCTGTGCTCATTGCCAAAGGACAGTTACAACTATTGTAGTGGTCACATACAAAGAAAATAATGTTCTATAAAAAAAGAAGAGGCTAGTTTTTCTCATGGGACTTTTTTTTTTAATTGAAGAAAAAACATTTTCTAGAGTCACCTAGTACACTTTCTTTTGGATCCCATTGGCCAGAATGAGGTCACATGACCACACTCACAATAATAAAAGACTTGATATGAAAAGGGCATAATAATTATATGTTTGACTTAGACTTTGAGCCGCCCATGTTAGTTTGGGAGTGAGATCACCTCTTCTACTTCTTGAGTGGGGAATCCAGCAAACAAAAAAGAAGGAGGAGTGGTCATAGACCAGACCACCAAATAGTGGCCAATGTGAGATTTGAAGGTAAATTTTAATTTCAACTACATATAAATGTTTAAATTATGAGCAAAGTTAAACATCTTTTGACATTTTGTTGCCAATTTTTCCATTTATATTTCTCTAACTGAACTTCCTATGTGATTTAATTTAAAGTTATCCAGTTTTTAAATTTCTTAATTAAATTTCTTTTTAAAATTTCAAAACTAGCATATGCTCACCATAAATAATGAAAAGATATTTATATTTAAAGTAATCTCCTAAAACCTCCTTTATATTTTCCACCCCTCCATTGCGAAACCAATGCAAATATGTAAAATAGGTGGGGAAATGTTTAATAATTTTTTGGCAAATGAAAAGCTCATACTACAAATAAGATTTTGCAACTTGCTTTTCTTAATTAAAAATACAGAATTATATTCCCTCCAGATTAATAGATATAATTAACATCTTTTTAATTAGTGTATCCTTTAATTAACTTATCTATTGAAAGTAGTAAAATAACAAAATTAAATTTTAAGAATAAAAAGCTATAGAAAATTAATATTCTAATTGATGTATAGATCTAAGTTAAAAGTCCACCCACCTTTTATGACATTCAGGTGTTTCCTATTCTTTTCCACCCTCTAGAGTTCCTTTCTCTCTAATAGACAGGGCCACTGCTTCCCTGAAGAGACATAAATGAGCAGGTGAGTGGAATCTAGGATGAGACCAAGGCTAAAAGTTTTAAGGATTGTCATCTGTAGGTCAGAGTCTCCCTGCCCCGCCAAAGTCAATTAACTCTTGAATACATCAGAGAAAAAACTGCTGTTAAAAGAGTGGTGCTAGGGGCATTAAAAATGAAATACAGAGGAAATTTCTGAAGTTTCAGAACTATCACACCTACATAAAGCAAACATAGGTATGTAGTTTACTAAATTATAGATGAACCATCAAAAGGGGCAACAAAAAATAGAAAAGATAGAAAATATGATGGCAAATCTGAGACAAACATATTATATAAGTAAATAAAAATGGGCTTTTTTTTAAAGACCTATGGTGAAAAAGTAAACCCAAAAATTATGCTGCATAAAAATGTTATCAAAAAATAAACTTTATTGCAGCACTATTCACAATAGCAAAGACATGGAATCAACCCAAATGCCCATCAATGATAGACTGAATAGAGAAAATGTGGTACATATACATCATGGAATACTATGCAGCCATAAAAAGGAATGAGATCATGTCCTTTGTGGGGACATGGATGGAACTGGAAGCCATTATCCTCAGCCAACTCAGGCACAGAAAACCAAACACCACATGTTCTCACTATAAGTGAGAACTGAACAATGAGAACACATGGACATGGGGAGGGAAACAATACACACTGGGGCCTGTTGGAGGGGGGGTGTAGTAGGGGGAGGGAGAGCATTAAGAAAAATAGCTAATGCATGCTGGGCTTAATACCTAGGTGATGGGTTGATAGGTGCAGTAAACCACCATGGCACACTTGTTAGCCTATGTGACAAACCTGCACATGTACCTCAGAGCTTAAAATAAAAATTAAAAATTAAGAAAAGGAACTTAGAACAGTTGAAAGTAAAAGCATATGCAAAGGCATTTGGATCAATAGAATTTTTGGTTTAAGCACAGAATAGCAAATTCATAGTATCAGATAATGTTAACATCAAGACAAAAATTATTGAACAAGAAAAAGCATGGTATTTTTTATGATAAAAGTACAGTATAATCACACAAGCTGTAACAACCACAGATACCAGACTCAAATTATCACACCATCAAATTCTGTAAAGCAAAAATAGGAGGGAACTTCAAAATATTCATGGAAAAACTGAAATAAAAAATAAAAATTAAAATCATATATCTTATTTATCAACATGAACTCCATCAAGGTCAAGATACTTTGTAAGTGATACCAGCTCTTAGTCCATCCCTAAAGAACTGAGGGTCCTGGGAATTTAACCATATTAATGTGGTCTATTTTACATTATTAACAGAAGCAAAATGGGTGGCCTATACAGACTTTTTAAGATTAGGAAACAAAAAGAAGTCAAAAGGAGCCAAATCAGGACTGTAAAGTGATGCCTAATGATTTCCCATTGAAACCCTTACAAAATTGACCTTTTTTATGAGAGGAATAGGAGCACTGTCCTGCTGGAGAAGAACTCTCTGGTGAAGTTTTCCTGGACATTTTTCTGCTAAAGCTTGACTACCTTTCTCAAAATACTTTCATAATGAGCAGATGTCGTTGTTCTTTGGCCCTCCAGAGAGTTAACAAGCAAAATGCCTTGAGCATCCCAAAAATCTGTTGCCATGAACTTTGCTCTCGACCAGTCCACTTTTGCTTTGTCTGGACCACTATGACCTCTTAGTAGCCATTGCTTTGATTGTGCTTTGACTTCAGGATCATACTGGAAAAGCCACACTTCATCTCCTGTTGCAACTCTTCTGGAAAACGCTTCAGGATCTTGATCCTGCTTGTTTAAAATTTCCATTGAAAGCTCTTTTCTTGTCTGCAGCCAATCTGGGAGCAATAGTTTTGGCACCCATCAAATGGAAAGTTTGCTCAGCTTTAATTTTTCAGTCAAAATTGTGTAAGCTGAATCAATTGAGATGTGGTGTTGACTATTGTTTCTGCTGTTAATCGTTGGTCCTCTTCAATTATTGCACAAGCAGTATTAATTTTTTCCTTGCAAATTGATGTAGCTGGTCTGCCACTGTGGGCTTCAACTGCAACATCATCTCATCCCTTCTTAAAACAAGTTATCCATTTTAAACTGCTGATTTCCATGGGGCATTCTCCCCATAAACTTTTGGTAAAGCTTCAGTGATTTCACCTTTCTTCCACCCAAGCTTCACCATAAATTTGCTGTTTGTTCTTGCTTCAATTTTAGCAGAATTCATGTTGCTCTGATAAGGGCTCTTTTCAAATTGATGTCTTACCCTTCTTAGATCCTGTCCAGACATATTATAAGAAGTTAGTACTAGTTTTTTTGTGCCAAAAATGTTTTGAAATCCATGCATAGTTTTTTCATAGTATGCATTTTCATAAACTTTTTCAAGACTGCTCATATATGAAATGTGGGGAGAAATACTTAGAAGCAATTAATAGTAGGAGATATTAATCTCTCTTATTCCATGAAAGATTGAGTGAATAAAAATAAGCAAGACTATGAAAAATTCAGCATTGTTAATAAGATAGATTATATATGTAAGTTTTATACTTGGGTATGTATATATGTTATATGGACATGTGTGTGTATGTATATATGTTATATGGACATATATGTGTGTATATATGTGTGTGTTTATATATACATGTATAATTATATATATAATGAAAACAGAATATGTTCCCTTCTCATGAAGCATTCTTAAAACTCTACCACATACTATTCTGCAAAATACCAATACACATTATTTAGTGCAAGAAAATTGGTAGCTAACAAAAAAATCAGAAAGAAAAATAAACTTACTAGCTGGAAATTAACTATCTCAAAGCAAAAATCAAAGCCAAAATTGGAGATTATTCAGAAAATCACAATAATAAAATACTTGATATTATAATCTATGGAATGCTGATAAAACACTGTGAAAAGGAAAATTCATGTATTTAAATACATATATTTAAGCAAGAAATAATAAAATAAGTTCAGCATACAACACAAGAAGTCAGAAAGAAAGTGAATGAAATCAACTTTAGACAAGAAAATAAACTAAAAAATATTAAAGCAGGCATTAATGAACTAGACAACAAAAAGTTATAGAACTAATGCATATACAAGAGCAATTCTATGAGAACAAAAAACAATGAAATAAAGAAGAAAGTACAAGTTCACAAAAATATAAATGGTAAATAACTATAAAAACAAATAATATGAATCTGAAGTGTGTTTAACTCTGTAAAAGTACATTTGAAAATTTTGATGAAATGAAAATCTTAGGAAAATATAAACTGGTGCTTAGAAAAGAGATAAGCGAAATTAACCTATTGCCCTGGGAAAAATGGAGACCATTGTTGAAGCATACTCACCCTTAATAAAAAATGTGTTAGGCCTAGTAATTTTGTGGGTGAGTTTCACCCAAAATTTAAAAACAGGTATTTTCAATGCTATTCCAGAGCATAGAAAAATAATGCTTTCAATTCTTTTATGAAATGTTCAAAACATTGTTTACAAAACCTGACAATTACAGCAAAAAAATTAGAGACCAATTTCACTTACAAATATTAATTCAAATATAGCAAATATGAAAATAAAACTTGCAACATATGTACAAAATACATATTTCAATATTAGGAATTATTACAGTGTAATTCTCCACACTAACATGTCTGAGGTAAAAATCATATTGTAATTTCTATATATGGTGAAAGAGATTTGATAAAAACACCTTGATCAAAAATCACAATAAAGTAGGTAATTTTCTTAACATTATAAACAATATGTATTTTAAAAATCAGCATTAGACGTAATGAAGGAACTACAGAACTCTTCCCATTCCAATAATGATTCCAGAAAGAAAGTTTAAGAAACTCAGCTTTGTTTATTATGTCTAGCTTATGCTATTAGACAATTTAAAAAGTGAGATGTCTTTAAAAATTGGAATGGAGGCAAACTTTTATTATTTGCACATTATGATTATATCTATGAAAAATCCAAGAAAATCAACTGGAAAACACTAATGAATTATAAAAGAATCAAATAAGTTGATTGGGTAAAAAAAAACTGAACTACAAAAGAGAATAGTCTCCCTAAGTACAATTATGAAATATAAAAATGTGAAACTATTAAGAAGTAAAAAATTATATGAAACAATTAAAAATAAAATATTAATTAGCTTAAAATAAATATTCAATGAAAAAATACTCAATATTATTAGTCATCATGGAAATGTAAATTAAAACTACAATGAGAAACAACTTCATGTACACTACGATGGCTATTTTAAAAGACTGACAATACCAAGGGCAGTGAGGATGTGTAGCAACTAAACCTTCCATACATTGCTCATGGTAATGCCACTTTGGAAAACAGTTTAGTAGTGCCAGTAAAGTTACAGATGTACTTTTTATTAAAAAGAGACAATTCCACTCATAGTATAAAACCAGATATTCACAGCAGCTTTATTCATAATAACCCTAAACTGTAAACAATTCAAAGCTTATTGACAGGTGAATGTATAAACAAATTATGTATTTATGCTATGAACTACTATACAACAAAGAAAAGAAATGAACGACTGATGCATATAAGAATACGAATAAATTTCAAAAATATTATGTTGACCAAATAATCAAAACAAAAAAGATACATACTGTATGATTTCATTTATATGAAACTCTAGAAAAACCTCTATAGTGATAGAAAGTAGACATGTGATTGCTTGGGGAAAGGCAAGAAAGGAGAAGATTGATTAGGATATGATATGATTGAAATTTGGGGGTCATAGAAATTTTCTATATCTTTATTGTGGTGGTTGTTATATGGCTGTATAAATTTGTCATAATTAATGAAATGCACAGTTAAAATCAGCGTATTTCATTGTACGTAAACTATACCTCAATATAGTTGACTGAAGAAAACAAAGACAAATTATAAAATGACAATAATCAAAATTGTGTAGTACTGATGCTTGACTTGACAGATTAGAGAGATAGAATAGACAGACAAGAAATTCTTCCCATATATCGAATCATTTAGCATATGAGAAAGATGGCATTACTTACTAGTGAAGGAGAGGTGGGTAATTCAAATGATATCAAGATAGAGTAGTCATGTATAAAAGATACAGCTTTATGCCTGTTACGGGTTAAATTCTGTCACCCAAAAAGATATGTTGAAGTTTTAACTCACACTACCTCAGAATATGGCCTTATTTGGGAATAGTGTCATTGCAGATGTAATTAGTAAAGATAAGGTCACACTTTACTCAGTGGGCCCATAATGCAATATGACTGGTGTCCTTATGAGAAGACACAGACAGAGATTGAAGTTGGCTATGTGATGATAGAGGCAGAGATTGGAGTGATACATTTATAAGCAAAAGAACACCAAGGATTGCTGGCCACCACCAGAAGCCAGGAAGAGGCAAGAAGGATTTGTCCTAGGGTCTCAGAGACAGCATGGCCCTGCTGCTAACTAGATTTAGAACTCACCTTCAGAACTGTGAGAGAATACATTTATGCTGTTTTAAGTCCTTCAGACCAGTTGTAGTACTTTGTTATGGCCCTAGGAAATTAATATAAGGCCTATATAACTCCTTTTGCAAAAAATAAGTAACTGAAAAGATTAAAAAGAAAAAGCAATGAAAGAAAACATGCTAGACATGAAAAGAAAATCTCAGATTGGGAAAGGTATTATAAAAATGATGAAATATTCAAAAGCCAAAAACTGGAACATTGTTGTAAACAACTAAATCATTTAAAAAGTATTCATACAAATTAATAAAATATGTATAGCTCTTGATTTGATTTGCTAAGTTTTGAGAGAATTTTTCTATCTATGTCCTAGAAAGGATCTTGTTATTTTTCAGTGTATGGAAAGCTTTTTCGTTCATCGTCAAACATTGGCATCAAGATTATACTGGCCTGATATAATGAGCTAAAAAGCGTTTCCACTTTTTCAATTCCCTGAGAGAGTTTATATAAAATTAGTGCTATTTTTTGCCCACAGTCTTTGGAAAAAAATCACTGATGAAGCTGTCTGTACTTGGAAATTACTTTGTGAGAAGTATTTTCATTACAGATTCAGTATACTTAATAGATGTAGAACTATTTAGATTTTCTTTCTCCTTTTCTGTTGGTTTTTGTGAATTGTGTTGGTTTAGGATTTGTCTATTTCATGTAAATTTTCAAAAATTTTAGTATAATACTGTTTATAAAATCTTTTTATTATCTTTGTAATATTGGAAACATCTGTCCTTTTTTATGTTATTGGTAATTTGTACCTTTCATTTTTCTGATGTAAATCTCCTTTCAATTTCCTTTAGGCAGAGTATATTTGTGATGAACTCTCTTAGTTTTTTTGCTTGTCTGGAAATATCTTTGTTTTTTAATCTCCTCTTAAATGATAATTTAGTAAGAAAATATAATTCTAGTTTAGTTTAGGCAGTGTCAATCTAATAATCTTTCCTTTTGAGTGTTCTCTCTTCTTTCTGGCTACATACAAGTTACTGTCTTGATCTTTGCTGTTTTGTGGCTTCATTGAATAGAAGTTGTCTATTTCATGTAAATTTTCAAAACTTTTAGAATAAAGTTGTTCATAACATCATCTATATTGGGAGCATCTATAGATATGTCCTCTTTATTATTCTTGTTATTGGTAATTTGTGACTTTCTTTTTCCTTTTTTAAAAAAATTAACCTTATTAGTTTATTAGTTTTTCAGAGAATCAACTTTTAGAATGAAATAAGGAAAATGATTCTAGAAGTAAAGTGTGAAATCCAGAATGAAGAGTGAGCAAATAAATTAGTAAACCTATGGGTAAATAAGAAAACAATGACTTTAAAATGAAAAGCAATAAATACGAGCTAAGGAAAAATAGTTTAACAATAGAAGAGGAGTAGATATAGAGTGATGATCAGAGTTAAACATTTTACATTCTATGACTTGCTCAGAAGATCAGAGATTTTTTTTTTTTTTTTTTTTTTTTAAAGACAGAGTCTTGCTCTGTCACCCAGGCTGGAGTGCAGTGGCGGAATCTCAGCTCACTGCAACCTCTGCTTCCTGGGTTCAAGCGATGATCCTGTCTCAGCCTCCCCAGTAGCTGGGATTATAGGCACCTGCCACCATGCCTGGCTAATTTTTGTATTCCTAGTGGAGACGGGGTTTCTCCATGTTGGCCAGGCTGGTCTTGAACTCCTGACCTCAGGGGATCCACCTGCCTTGGCCTCCCGAAGTGCTGGGATTACAGGTGTGAGCCACCGTGCCCAGCCACTGTTTTTTTTAAATATCATTAAGTTTAGTGTGCGATGTTAAAATTTAACAGTAACCATCGGCTGGGGGTGGTGGCTCAATCCTGTAATCCCAGCACTTCGGGAGGCAGAGGTGGGCAGATCATGAGGTCAAAAGATCGAGACTATCCTGGCCAACATGGTGAAACCTCATCTTTACTAAAAATACAAAAATTAGCAGGGCGTGGTGGCGCATGCCTGTAGTCCCAGCTACTCGGGAGGCTGAGGCAGGATAATCACTTGAACCCCAGAGGCAGAGGTTGCAGTGAGCCAAGTTCGTGCCATTGCACTGCAGCCTGGTGACAGAGCAAGACTCCGTCAAAAAAACAAAAACAAAAACAAAAAACAAAAAACAATCGAAAGGAAGAAATAGGGTTTATAACTTCCAAATCAGTACAGGAGAAAATGCAACCAAAAAATCTACCCAAAATAAACCACAAAAATGTTAAAAAGAAGCATCAAACAAGCAGTGCAATTAAGGTGGTAGAAGTAAATATAAACAGATATATAAATGAACATAAGTGAAGCAAATACTTTAATTAAAAATTAGTTAAAACATTGTTTATGGAACTTCCATCGCTTCTTGGCCTCATGGCTAAGATCAAGTGTGGAACTTCCAGAGACAGCCAAGGGGAAGTTGGGCAACTATAGCTACTTTCTGACTGGTTAGAGATTACTGAATTGATACTGATTTCTAAAACGTCTCATCTGAGTACTAAAAGCAAATACTTATGGACCCTGAAGGAGTCTGAAATGTAAACAATAATAATAACACAGTGGTTCATGCCTGTAATCCCAGCAGTCTGGGATGCCAAGGTGGGTGGATCACTTGAGGTCAGGAAACCAGCCTGGGTAACATGGTGAAACCCTGTCTCCACCAAAAACCACAAAACTTAGCCAGGCATGGTGGCATGTGCCTGTAGTCCCCAGCTACTCAGGAGGCTGAGACAGGAGAATCGCTTGAACTTGGGAGGCAGAGCTTGCAGTGAGCTGTGATTGTGCCACTGAACTCCAGCCTGGGGGACAGAGTGAGACTCCATCTCAATAAATAAATAAATAAATAAATAAATAAATAAACAAATAAATAAAATAACTAGACTAATATGAGACAAAATATGAGAATGACAAAAAACAGCTTTACAATAGACATGTTGAATGTGGATGTGGATAATTTGCCCAAAGTATATACAATTCTAAACTCATAGGCACCCAATAACTTGACATCTGACCTCAAAATATGTTTTAAAACAGTAACTCTTACAACTAGGAAATATTAAACACCACCATAATGAATGAAATATTCTATTTCAATGTAAGATAAATCATAAGACAAAAAATTAGATAAACTTAGAGACAGTTTCAAATCAGTATGTATTTAAAAACTAAGAAGTTTAGTGAACTGGCATGTATAGAATACTGCGTCCAACATTTCAAGAACTCATTATTCTTAAGTACACAGGAAATAGGAAAAAACAACCATGTAACTAATCAGTCAAGCAAACCTCAATAAACTTTAAAGAAGTAGTTTTAAATAAAAGAACAAATCATTTGGGAAATTAGAAAATCTTTGTACCTGAACATTAATGAATATTCTACACATGAAAATTTTTGACGTGAAGATAAACTGGTACTTAAAGGGAAATTTAAAGCCATATATACCTAAATTAGAAATGAAGAATGGCTCCAATTGATGAGTTCAGTATTTCTCTTGAAAACTAAAAAAAGAGAAACCCAAACGAATTAACATTAAGAAAATAAAAGGAAGGAAATAATTAAAGATAACCATAGAAATTTATGAAAATGAAGATCTAATAGAATGCATAAGCTTTAAAGCCAAGAGTTGTTTCTTTGAAAAGTCAAAGATTAGTAAAAAGGAAAATAATAATGACAAAGAGGAAACAAATAAATTATATTAGATATGAAAAATGGGCATAGGTAGAGATATATCTAAGAATAATAATAAGAAGAATATAAACCATTTATGCTAATACATTTATAAATAAAAATGAAGTTAATTTCTTAGTTAAAAATTTTTTTAACTGTCTTTGATACATAGTAGGTAGATATATTTATGGGTTACATGAGATATCTTGGTACAGGCATGCAAGGTATAATAATCACATCAGGATAAATGGGATATCCATCACCTCAAGCATTCATCCTTTCTGTTTCAAACAATCTGATTATATTATTTTAATTGTTTTAAAATGTACAATTAAATTATTTTTTTACTATAGTCACCCTGTTGTGCTAGCAAATACTAGGTCTTATACATTCTAACTATTTTTTTGTACCCATTAACGATCCCTACTTCCCCCTATCCATCCACTACGCTTCCTAGCCTCTGGTAACCATTCTTTCACTCTCTATTTCCGTGAGTTCAATTATTTTAATTTTTAGCTCCCACAGATAGGCAAGAAAATGCAATGTTCATCTTTTTGTGTCTAGTTTATTTCACTTAGCATGATGATCTCCAGCTCCATCCATGTTGCAAATGACAGGGTCTCCTTCTTTTTTGTGGCTGAATAGTACTCCACTGTGTATATGTATGACATTTTCTGTATCCATTCATCTGTTGATAGATGCTTAGGCTGCTTCCACGTCTTGGCTATTGTGAATAGTGCTGCAATAAACATGGGAGTGCAGATATCTTTTCAATATGCTGATTTATTTTCTTTTGCGTATATGCTTACAAGTGGGGTTGCTGGATCATATGATAGCTGTACTTTTAGTTTTTTGAGGAACCTCCAAACTGTTCTCCACAGTAGCTGTGCTAATTCACATATCAACAAAAAGTGTACAAGAGTCCCCTTTTCTCTACATCCTTGCCAGCATTTGTTTTGCTTGCCTGTTGAATAAAAGTCATTTTAACTGGGGTCGAATGATATCTCATTGTAGTTTTAATTTGTATTTTCCTGATGATCAATTATGTTAAGCACCTTTTAATATATCTGCCATTTGTATGTCTTCTTTTGAAAAATATCTATTCAAATTATCTGCCCATTTTTAATGGGATTATTGGATTTTTTTCCTATAGAGTTGAGTCCCTTATATATTCTGGTTATTAATCCTTTGTCAGGTGGGTAGTTTGCAAATATTTTCCCCCATTCTGTGGGTTGTATCTTCATTTCGTTGATTGTTTCCTTTGCTGTGCAGAAATTTTTTTAACTTCATGTGATTCCATTTGTCCATTTTTGCTTTGGTTGCCTGTGCTTGTGGGGTATTACTCAAGAAGTCTTTGCCCAGTACAATGTCTTGGAGAGTTTCCCCAATATTTTCTTCTAGTAGTTTCATTGCTTGAGGTCTTAGATTTAAGTCTTAAATCCGTGGTGATTTGATTTTGTATATGGTGAGATATAGGGATCTAGTTTCATTCTCCTGCATATGAATATCTAGTTTTCCCAGCACCATTTATTGAAGAGACTTTCCTTTCCTCAATGTACATTCTTGGAACCTTTGTAAACAATGAGTTCACTGTAGATGCATTGAAATATTTCTCTATTCTCCCCCACTGGTCTATATGTCTGATATTTTTTAGGAGAGTACCATGCTGTTTTGGTTACTATAAATCTATAGCATAATTTGAAGTCGGGTAATGTGATTCCTCCAGTTTTGTTGTTTCTGTTTAGAACAGCTTTGGCTATTCTGGGTCTTTTGTAAGTCCATACCAGTTATGATGTTATAATATTCTGTGTTTTTCTATTTACCTACTATTACCCGTGAGTTTTGTACCTTCAGATGATTTCTTATTGCTCATTAATGTCCTTTTCTTTCTGATTAAAATATTCCCTTTATCATTTTTTGTAGGATAGGTCTGGTGTTGATGATGTTTTTCAGTTTTGTTTGTCTGGAAAAGTCTTTATTTCTCCTTCATGTTTGAAGGATATTTTCACTGGGTATACTATTCTAGGGTAAAAGTTTTTTTTTTTCCCTTCAGCACATATAAGGTTTCCACTGAAAAGCTTATATGTCTATTGCCAGACATATGGGAGTTCTGTTGTATATTCTTTTTTTCTTTTCTCTTGCTGCTTTTAGAATCCTTTCTTTATCCTTGACTTTTGGGAGTTAGGTTATTAAAGGCCTTGAGGTAGTCTTCTTTAGGTGAAATCTGCTTGGTGTTCTATAACTTTCTTGTACTTAGATATTGATATCTTTCTCTAGGTTTGGAATATTCTCTTTGAATAAACTTTCTACCCCTACCTCTTTCTCTACCTCCTCTTTAAGGCTAGTAATGTATATTTGCCCTTTTGAGGCTATTTTGTAGATCTTGCAGGTGAGCTCTGTGATTTTCAATTCTTTTTTCTTTTTCCTCCTCTGTGTATTTTCAAAAAAACCTGCTTCAAGCTCACTAATTCTTTCTTCTCCATGATTAATTCTGGTATTGAAAGACTCTGATGCATTCTTAAGTATGCCAGTTGGATTTTTCAACTCCAGAATTGCTGCTTGATTCTTTTAAATTTTTTCAATCTCTTTGTTAAATTTATCTGATAGAATTCTGAATTCCTTCTTTGTGTTATCCTGAATTTCTTTGAGTTTCCTCAAAGTGGTTGTTTTGAATTCTCTGCCTGAAAGGTCACCTATCTTTGTCTCTCCAGAATTGGGCCCTGGTGCTTTATTCACTTTTTTTTTTTTTTATTTTATTATTATTATACTTTAAGTTTTAGGGTACATGTGCACAATGTGCAGGTTTGTTACATATGTATACATGTACCATGTTGGTGTGCTGCACCCGTTAACTCGTCATTTAGCATTACGTATATCTCCTAATGCTATCCCTCCCCACTACCCCCACCCCACAATAGTACCTAGAGTATGATGTTCCCCTTCCTGTGTCCATGTGTTCTCATTGTTCAGTTCCCACCTATGAGTGAGAACATGCAGTGTCTGGTTTTTTGTCCTTGCGATAGTTTGCTGAGAATGATGGTTTCCAGTTTCATCCATGTCCCTGCAAAGGACATGAACTCATCATTTTTTATGGCTGCATAGTATTCCATGGTGTATATGTGCCACATTTTCTTAATCCAGTCTATCATTGTTGGACATTTGGGTTGGTTCCAAGTCTTTGCTATTGTGAATAGTGCCGCAATAAACATACATGTGCATGTGTCTTTATAGCAGCATGATTTATAATCCTTTGGGTATATACCCAGTAATGGGATGGCTGGGTGAAATGGTATTTCTAGTTCCCCACCAACAGTGTAAAAGTGTTCCTATTTCTCCACATCCTCTCCAGCGCCTGTTGTTTCCTGACTTTTTAATGATCGCCATTCTAACTGGTGTGAGATGGTATCTCATTGTGGTTTTGATTTGCATTTCTCTGATGGCCAGTGATGATGAGCATTTTTTCATGTGTTTTTTGGCTGCATAAATGTCTTCTTTTGAGAAGTGTCTGTTCATATCCTTTGCCCACTTTTTGATGGGGTTGTTTGTTTTTTTTCTTGTAAATTTGTTGGAGTTCATTGTAGATTCTGGATATTAGCCCTTTGTCAGATGAGGAGGTTGCAAAAATTTTCTCCCAGTTTGTAGGTTGCCTATTCACTCTGATGGTAGTTTCTTTTGCTGTGCAGAAGCTCTTTAGTTTAATGAGATCCCATTTGTCAATTTTGGCTTTTGTTGCCATTGCTTTTGGTGTTTTAGACATGAAGTCCTTGCCCATGCCTATGTCCTGAATGGTATTGCCTAGGATTTCTTCTAGGGTTTTTATGGTTTTAGGTCTAACATTTAAGTCTTTAATCCATCTTGAATTAATTTTTGTATAAGGTGTAAGGAAGGGATCCAGTTTCAGCTTTCTACATATGGCTAGCCAGTTTTCCCAGCACCATTTATTAAATAGGGAATCCTTTCCCCATTGCTTGTTTTTCTCAGGTTTGTCAAAGATTAGATGGTTGTAGATATGCGGCATTATTTCTAAGGGCTCTGTTCTGTTCCATTGGTCTATATGTCTGTTTTGGTACCAGTACCATGCTGTTTTGGTTACTGTAGCCTTGTGGTATAGTTTGAAGTCAGGTAGCGTGATGTCTCCAGCTTTATTCTTTTGGCTTAGGACTGACTTGGTGATGCGGGCTCTTTTTTGGTTCCATATGAACTTTAAAGTATTTTTTTCCAATTCTGTGAAGAAAGTCATTGGTAGCTTGATGGGATGGCATTGAATCTATAAATTACCTTGGGCAGTATGGCCATTTTCACGATATTGATTCTTCCTACCCATGAGCATGGAATGTTCTTCCATTTCTTTGTATCCTCTTTTATTTCATTGAGCAGTGGTTTGTAGTTCTCCTTGAAGAGGTCCTTCACATCCCTTGTAAGTTGGATTCCTAGGTATTTTATTCTCTTTGAAGAAATTGTGAATGGGAGTTCACTCATGATTTGGCTCTTTGTTTGTCTGTATAAGCATTCTTATTGGTGTATAAGAATGCTTGTGATTTTTGTACATTGATTTTGTATCCTGAGACTTTGCTGAAGTTGCTTATCAGCTTAAGGAGATTTTGGGCTGAGAAAATGGGGTTTTCTAGATATACAATCATGCCGTCTGCAAACAGGGACAATTTGACTTCCTCTTTTCCTAATTGAATACCCTTTATTTCCTTCTCCTGCCTAATTGTCCTGGCCAGAACTTCCAACACTATGTTGAATAGGAGTGGTAAGAGAGGGCATCCCTGTCTTGTGCCCATTTTCAAAGGGAATGTTTCCAGTTTTTGCCCATTCAGTATGACATTGGCTGTGGGTTTGTCATAGATAGCTCTTATTATTTTGAGATACGTCCCATCAATACCTAATTTATTGAGAGTTTTTAGCATGAAGGGTTGTTGAATTTTGTCAAAGGCCTTTTCTGCATCTATTGAGATAATCATGTGGTTTTTGTCTTTGGCTCTGTTTATATGCTGGATTACATTTATTGATTTGCTTATGTTGAACCAGCCTTGCATCCCAGGGATGAAGCACACTTGATCATGGTGGATAAGCTTTTTGATGTGCTGCTGGATTCGGTTTGCCAGTATTTTATTGAGGATTTTTGCATCAATGTTCATCAAGGATATTGGTCTAAAATTCTCTTTTTTGTTTGTGTCTCTGCCAGGCTTTGGTATCAGGATGATGCTGGCCTCATAAAATGAGTTAGGGAAGATTCCCTCTTTTTCTATTGATTGGAATAATTTCAGAAGGAATGGTGCCAGCTCCTCCTTGTACCTCTGGTAGAATTCGGCTGTGAATCCATCTGGTCCTGGACTTTTTCTGCTTGGTAAGCTATTGATTATTGCCACAATTTCAGAGCCTGTTATTGGTCTATTCAGAGATTCAACTTCTTCCTGGTTTAGTCTTGGGAGGGTGTATGTGTCAAGGAATTTATCCATTTCTTCTAGATTTTCTAGTTTATTTGCATAGAGGTGTTTGTGGTATTCTCTGATGGTAGTTTGTATTTCTGTGGGATCAGTGGTGATATCCCCTTTATCATTTTTTATTGCATCTATTTGATTCTTCTCTCTTTTCTTCTTTATTAGTCTTGCTAGCGGTCTATCAATTTTGTTGATCTTCTCAAAAAACCAGCTCCTGGATTCATTGATTTTTGAAGGGTTTTTTTTTTTTGTCTCTAGTTCCTTCAGTTCTGCTCTGATTTTAGTTATTTCTTGCGTTCTGCTAGCTTTTGCATGTGTTTGGTCTTGCTTTTCTAGTTCTTTTAATTGTGATGTTAGGGTGTCAATTTTAGATCTTTCCTGCTTTCTCTTGTGGGCATTTAGTGCTATAAATTTCCCTCTACACACTGCTTTGAATGTGTCCCAGAGATTCTGGTATGTTTTGTCTTTGTTCTCGTTGGTTTCAAAGGACATCTTTATTTCTGCCTTCATTTCGTTATGTACCCAGTAGTCACTCAGGAGCAAGTTGTTCAGTTTCCATGTAGTTGAGCGGTTTTGAGTGAGTTTCTTAATCCTGAGTTCTAGTTTGATTGCACTGTGGTCTGAGAGACAGTTAGTTATAATTTCTGTTCTTTTACATTTGCTGAGGAGTGCTTTACTTCCAACTATGTGGTCAATTTTGGAATAGGTGTGGTGTGGTGCTGAAAAAAATGTATATTCTGTTGATTTGGGGTGGAGAGTTCTGTAGATGTCTATTAGGTCCGCTTGGTGCAGAGCTGAGTTCAATTCCTGGGTATCCTTGTTGACTTTCTGTCTCGCTGATCTGTCTAATGTTGACAGTGGGGTGTTAAAGTCTCCCATTATTATTGTGTGGGAGTCTAAGTCTCTTTGTAGGTCTGTAAGGACTTGCTTTATGAATCAGGGTGCTCCTGTATTGGGTGCATATATATTTAGGATAGTTAGCTCTTCTTGTTGAATTGATCCCTTTACCATTATGTAATGGCCTTCTTTGTCTCTTTTGATCTTTGTTGGTTTAAAGTCTGTTTTATCTGAGACTAAGATTGCAACCCCTGCCTTTTTTTGTTTTCCATTTGCTTGGTAGATCTTCCTCCATCCCTTTATTTTGAGCCTATGTGTGTCTCTGCACATGAGATGGGTTTCCTGAATACAGTACACTCACGGATCTTGACTCTTTATCCAATTTGCTAGTCTGTGTCTTTTAATTGGAGCATTTAGCCCATTTACATTTAAAGTTAATATTGTTATTTGTGAATTTGGTCCTGTCATTATGATATTAGCTGGTTATTTTGCTTGTTAGTTGATGCAGTTTCTTCCTAGCCTTGATGGTCTTTACATTTTGGCATGTTTTTGCAGTGGCTGGTACCGGTTGTTCCTTTCCATGTTTAGCGTTTCCTTCAGGAGCTCTTTTAGGGCAGGCCTGGTGGTGACAAAATCTCTCAGCATTTGCTTGTCTGTAAAGTATTTTATTTCTCCTTCACTTATGAAGCTAAGTTTGGCTGGATATGAGATTCTGGGTTAAAAATTCTTTTCTTTAATAATGTTGAATATTGGTCCCCACTCTCTACTGGCTTGTAGAGTTTCTGCCAAGAGATCCACTGTTAGTCTGATGGGCTTCCCTTTGTGGGTAACCCGACCTTTCTCTCTGGCTGCCCTTAACATTTTTTCCTCATTTCAACTTTGGTGAATCTGACAGTTATGTGTCTTGGAGTTGCCCTTCTCGAGGAGTATCTTTGTGGCGTTCTCTGTATTTCCTGAATTTGAATGTTGGCCCGCCTTGCTAGATTGGGGAAGTTCTCCTGGTTAATATCCTGCAGAGTGTTTTCCAACTTGGTTCCATTCTCCCCGTCACTTTCAGGTACACCAATCAGACGTAGATTTGGTCTTTTCACATAGTCCCATATTTCTTGGAGGCTTTGTTCATTTCTTTTTATTCTTTTTTCTCTAAACTTCCCTTCTCGCTTCATTTCATTCATTTCGTCTTCCATCACTGATACCCTTTCTTCCAGTTGATCGCATCGGCTCCTGAGGCTTCTGCATTCTTCACATAGTTCTCGAGCCTTGGCTTCCAGCTCCATCAGCTCCTTTAAGGACTTCTCTGCATTGGTTATTCTAGTTATCCATTTGTCTAATTTTTTTTCAAAGTTTTTAACTTCTTTGCCATTGGTTTGAATTTCCTCCTGTAGCTCAGAGTAGTTTGATCTTCTGAAGCCTTCTTCTCTCAACTCATCAAAGTCATTCTCTGTCCAGCTGTGTTCCATTGCTGGTGAGGAGCTGTGTTCCTTGGGAGGAGGAGAGACGCTCTGATTTTTAGAGTTTCCAGTTTTTCTGCTCTGTTTTTTCCCCATCTTTGTGGTTGTATCTACTTTTGGTCTTTCATGATGGTGATGTAGAGATGGGTTTTTGGTGTGGATATCCTTTCTGTTTGTTAGTTTTCCTTCTAACAGACAGGACCCTCAGCTGCAGGTCTGTTGGAGTTTGCTAGAGGTCCACTCCAGACCCTGTTTGCCTGGGTATCAGCAGCGGTGGCTGCAGAACAGCAGTGGCTGTAGAACAGCAGATATTGGTGACCTACAAATGCTGCTCCCTGATCGTTCCTCTGGAATTTTGGTCTCAGAGGAGTACCCGGCTGTGTGAGGTGTCAGTCTGCCCCTACTGGGGGGTGCCTCCCAGTTAGGCTGCTCGGTTGTCAGGGACCCACTTGAGGAGGCAGTCTGCCCATTCCCAGATGTCAAGCTGCATGCTGGGAGAACCGCTACTCTCTTCAAAGCTGTCAGACAGGGACATTTAAGTCTGCAGAGGTTACTGCTGTCTTTTTGTTCGTCTGTGCCCTGCCCCCCAGAGGTGCAGCCTACAGAGGCAGGCAGGCCTCCTTGAGCTGTGGTGGGCTCCACTCAGTTCGAGCTTCCCGGCTGCTTTGTTTACCTAATCAAGCCTGGGCAATGGCAGGCGCCCCTCTCCCAGTCTCACTGCCACCTTGCAGTTTGATCTCAGACTGCTGTGCTAGCAATTAGCGAGACTCCGTGGGCATAGGACCCTCTGAGCCATGTGCGGGATATAATCTCCTGGTGTGCCGTTTTTTAAGCCTGTTAGAAAAGTGCAGTATTAGGGTGGGAGTGACCCGATTTTCCAGGTGCCATCTGTCACCCCTTTCTTTGACTAGGAAAGGGAACTCCCTGACCCCTTGCACTTCCTGAGTGAGGCAATGCGTCGCCCTTCTTTGGCTCATGCACAGTGCGCTGCCCCCACTGTCCTGCACCCACTGTCTGGCACTCCCTAGTGAGATGAACCTGGTACCTCAGATGGAAATGCAGAAATCACCCGTCTTCTCCGTCACTCACGCTGGGAGGTGTACACCGGAGCTGTTCCTGTTTGGCCATCTTGGCTCCATCCGCTTTATTCACTTTGATAAGGTCATGTTTTCCCAGACAGTGTTGATGCTTGTAGATACTCATTGGTGTTTGGGTATTGAAGAGTTAGGTATTTATTGCAGTTTTTGCAGTCTGGGCTTATTTGTACCCACCCTGCTTGGGAAGGATTTCCAGGAATTCAAAGAACTTGAGTGTTATGATCTAAGCTGTATCTGCATTCGGGGGGACCCATGGCCCAGTAATGCTGTGGTTCTTGCAGATTCATGGAGGTACCACCTTAGTGGTCTTGGATAAGATCCAGAAGAATTCTCTGGAATACCAAGTAGAGATGCTCATTCTCTTCCCTTATTTTCTCCAAATTAACAGAGTCTATCTTTCTGTGCTGAGCCACTTGGAGCTTGAGTGGGGTGACACAAGCACCTCTATGACCACCACCACTGCGACTGCACTGGGTCAGACCTGAAACCAGCAGACCACTGGGTCTTGCCCAAGGCTTGCTGTAACCTCTATCTATCTACTGTCTATGTTTGCTCAAGACCCTAGGACTAGATAATCAGCAGATGGTGAATTCAGACAGGCTTGTGTTTTTTCCTTCAGGGTGTCAAGTTCCCCAGGCCCAGGGTGGGTCCAGAGATGCCATACAGAAACCAGGGATGGGAGTTAAAAACCTACAGCGTTCAACTGTACTGATGCTGAGCTGGCTCTCAAACAATGAAACAAAGTCTTTCTTACTCTTGCCTCCCTTTTCCACAGGCAGAGGAGCCTCACCACATGGCCACCACAACCACAGTCGCACAAGGAGTACTGTCAGGCTTCCACCAATGTTCACTTAAAGCCCAAGGGCTCTTACGTCAGCTTGTGGTGAAAGTTGCTAGGCCTGGGAGTCACCCTTCAGGGTGGTAGGCTACTGTCTGGCTCAGAGCAGGTTCAGAAATGCAATCCAAATGCCAATGCCCAGAATCGGGGACCCTAAGAGCCTGCCTGGTGCTCTAAATCTCTGTGGGCCAAGCTGGTACCTAAGGTGCCTCCCAAGTAGCTGGGACTACAGGCACGCACCATCGTGCATATTCTTTATCAATCTGTCTTCAAGTTAGCTGTTTCTTCTGACTATTGAAATCTACTACTGAGTCCTTCTAGTGCAATTTTTATTTCTGTATTGTGCTATTTCACTAAACATTTCCATTTTGTTCTTCTTTAAAAAAATAAAACTTCTTTATACTTATTGACATTCTGTATTTGCTATGACATTGTCATCATACCTTCCTTAACTTCTTTAAGCATGGTATTTTTTAGATCTTAGAACTTATTTATAATAACTGTTTTGAAAGCTTTGTCTGCTAAGTCCTACATCTCGGTCCTCTTTAAGTTGTTCCTGTTGCCATCTAATGATCTTGTGTGCAGTTTACTCTTTCCCCTTCCTTTGCATGTCTCATATTTTTTGTAAAAAACTGGATATTTAAAATTCTATACTGTGGCAACTCTGGATACTGATTTTTCTTCCCAATTATACTTTGTTGTAATTATTACTTTATATAACTTTATGTCTTATGAAGAAGCCAAGAGAAGAAAGGAGAACAGCTATACATTATGGAGTTTAAAAAATATTAACTGTATTAGTATAGTTTCTTAGGTACTTTTTCATTGTTGGTTTGCTTGTTGATTTGTTTACTCACTTCCTTGAACTCATATAATAAATTATATTTCTCCCTGCAGCGTGACACCTTTGATGTTGCTCCTGAGAGGGTACAGCCTAGGGATGGAGATAGTCACCCTGGGATTTACAGTGCTTTTAGTGGAGCTTTCTGGCAGTCTCTTTATGGGTTTCTAAGTTAAACTGCTTGCCTCTCTTGGTATCACACCCAGCTGTTGGGGTACACTAAATTGTAGGCTGATTGTTCTATTGTTTTTGACAACGACATGGTGCATAAATAGCTTCACAGTCTCATCTAATAATGTAAGAGCCCCTCATAAGGGTAGTTTTTGAAGCAAGTCACTGAAATTTGTTTTGACTCCAGGAGGGCTCTTCTTGGCTGTCTTTTTTCTTGTTGTTGTTTTTTTATTTTCCTAGTAACTAGTTGGCCTAGAGTTTAACTGATGGTTTCATGGATCTACCAACATCCTTTCAATTGCTTACATCTGAAATCTCCATTGTTTTTGACAGTGCACTTAGGCTTGAACTTTTCTACAGTCTGTTCCAAATGAAGTCAGTTCCCCTGGGGAGAGCATTGGATCTTTCTGTTCTTATGGGCTGATTTTTCTCCTGAGCAAAAATTTTAGGCGACTTCTCCAGAGGTGAGGTGGGGACAGTGGCATGCTACTCTTGAGTGACATCCTTGATTTATGGGCAAAGTGCTGGGTGGAGGCAGTAGCCTCTTGTCTTTTCTTGCCTCCCCAGGCATGAAAACCACCTTACCAACATGCTCAGGTGAGGGTAATCAGGAATCCAGTATTCTTAGCCTTCTACACCTGAGCTAGAGCCTTTACAAGAAGCAGGTGGGTAAAGGGAGGGAACGCCTGACCTCTTACCCATATTCACCTGGAATTTAGCCTCTGCTACATGGAAGTTAACAAGTATAAGAAATGCTGGTAGCCTGCCTCAGCGAGAGAGATACAGTAGCACCTACATGGGAACTGGATGGAGAGACCCATCTTATTGACCAAGCTCAGTCAGAAAGGCACTTCCACCACACTGAGCTGAAAAAGGGGAGAGAGGGATTAGGTCATAGCTCAAGTGCCACAGGCACTCACTGTTCTTACCCAGCTTTAATAGATTTTGTTAGATATTCCCAGAGACTTTAAATGGCTGTTCATTTTATAATTTTTACCAATTATACTTATTTCACTCAAGAGAGGATTTGCATGGCTCCTCCTGATACCATTCATGATGTTGTCTTCTTTGGGAAATTATTTTGCAAGATAGGGAAAAGCACAACCCACAAAATAAAAGTACACTTAACTGCATTCAGATTAAGAAATTCTCTCATTAAAAGATAGTATAGCAGCAGTAAAAAAAGGCACAGGTTGGGAGCAATTTTTTGAAACAAATATAGCCAATAAAGAACAGATATATAAAATATCTAAAGAACCCTCAACACTCAATAAAAAAGACAACAATCCAATGGAATAAAATTAATGATAGATGTGAATTGACAACTTGGAACAGAAACTGACATGATCAGAATATTCCTACAAACACTCAACCTAAGTAATTATCTAAGCAATGTAAATCAAAACCACGGTGAGCTACTATTACATACCTATCAGATTAACAAGCATTAAATTATTTCATCAACAACTTGCAGTGCCCAGAGTATAAATGCCAAATGCCATTCCCACTGAAACACACACACGCACACACACACACGCACACACACACACACACACACACACACACACCAAGGATCCCTGGAGAAGTGGATAATTTCAGACCTGGGCCAGGATAAATATAAGATGAGCGTGCAATAGCCTATCACAGAAAATAACAAGAAGGGTATCAAAACTGTCAAAGTGACTCAAGGTCCAACTCAAGGAGGCTCCATCAGACAAAGAAGAAAAATCTGAGTATCAGAAAGAACAAGAACTGAGATGGATTGAACCCCATCAATTATATTTAAATTCATGAGCTTTTATACGTTATTATTTTGAATTCTAAATAATACAAAAAATAAATTTATTAGTCATCATTGAAGAGTGGTTGTAAACCATCTCATTTTTTCCAAGAACAGATAAACATTATAAAACAAATCATTTTTGTTTCATCTTTACTGTATGAACTCTACTACTAAGTAACTCAACAGTAGAAGGGAAAGTTTCTCTTCATAGAAGTATTCCAGCTATTTAGTTGAGAAGGGGTGAGAAAATTAGAATTAAACATTTTGCAGCATGAAACAAATTACGAATGTAGAGATTGAGTACCAACTGCTAAAATCACAAGGAATCAGATAACCAGGCATTACAATGGAAAAATACGATACCAACCCTGTAGCCTATAGTCCTAACTAGCAACTTACTGGTCATATCAAACAGCATCATGGAGATGCAATCAGCAAAATCCAGTCTGTGGAAAATTCTACAGGATAAAACATTTAATTTCTTTAACAAGTAAAGGAAGTGGGGAAACAGAAAATAGGAAAAGGAATCTGCAGACCAAAAGAATACATGAGACATTAATCATTTCCAATATGTGAATTTTATTTGATACTGATTAAAACTATTAAAAATGTTCATGATGATACTGACACTACTGGATATTTGCTGGTAAGAAATTTTTTTTTGAGGTGTGGTACTGGCACTGTGGTCATTTTTTAAATAAAAAAGTCTTAAAGCTGTAATACCATACAATATTTACAAATTAAATGATAATGATTTTTTTTTTTTGAAACGGAGTTTCGCTCTTGTTGTGCAGGCTGGAGTGCAATGGCGCGATCTCAGCTAACTGCAACCTCCCCTTCCTGGGTTCAAGTGATTCTCCTGCCTCAGTCCCCTGAGTAGCTGGGATTACAGGCATGTGCCACCACACCCAGCTAATTTTGTATTTTTAGTAGAGACGGGGTTTCTCCATGTTGGTCAGGCTGGTCTTGAACTCCAGACCTCAGGTGATCCGCCTGCCTTGGCCTCCCAAAATGCTGGTATTACAGGCATGAGCTACCGTGCCCAGCCGATAATGATTTTTATGCCTGTGGTTTGCTAAAAAATGACATGTGATAAGGGAAGTGGATATCAGCACACATGAAACAATACTGACTACGAGATGATAATTCTTGAAACTGGGTAATGGATACTTAGGATCCATTACGTTGTTTCTCTATTTTTTTATGCTTGAAAATCTTAAAAGCTTAAAAGTTTTAAACAATACCATATTTTAGTAACGATTTGGAGCAATGAGTACTCTTACAGACTGCAGAGAAGAAGGGGAATGGGTTCACTTATGGGGCGGAAGTAAAGTAATCTATAGCATACTTTAAGATGTACATCGGCGGTCGGGCGCGGTGGCTCAAGCCTGTAATCCCAGGCTTGGAAGGCCGAGGCGGGAGGATCACGAGGTCAGGAGATGGAGATCATCCTGGCTAACGTGGTGAAACCTCGTCTCTACTAAAAAATACAAAAAAAAAAAAAAAAAAAAAAAAAAGAAAGATGTACATCACCTACGACCAAGCAATTCTGCCCCTGCATATGTGATGACTACGGAGGAGTTCTCCCAGATGTGCACAAGGTGGCAGGCAAAATACTTTCAGAGCAGCACATATTTGTGTGTGCCAAAAATTGGAAGCAGCCTTGATGTTCGTCAACAGAATAGACAGAGTGTGGTGTATTCATCAAATGCGTTTCAATAGAGCAGTAAAAGTTAATGAATTGTAGCTACATAAATCAACTTTGATGACTCTCACAGATACAATGCTAAGATGAAAAAAAGAAAAAGCAAAAAAAAAAGTAAATTTTAGAAAAATTCACATGTTTTTATAAAGCTTTAAACATATAACAACGTTACACTCACACATATGGGAATAACTGGAGATGCTATACAATTATAATGATATGAAAAGACGGATAGGTACCAAATCACGGGTGGAGAGTAACTGTCTAACAGAGAGAAAAATGTGTTTCAGGAAAGGTACAAAATAGAATTGAAATGTATGGGTCATGTATTAACTGTTATGCTCAGTTGTACACATAATACACAAGTGTTTAGTATTTTATAGCATTTTATATGCCTGAAGTTTCACAATTTTAAAATGTCAAAATGAGTGAAGGAACTGAGTAAAGGTTATGAGTCTAGAAAAGTAAAGCATGGAAGAGAGAACATAGGACCCAACATATGCAATCCCAGGAACGGCCATTGTAAGGAGATATTTGTGCTGATTCTTGAAGGATAACAATGAAATGAGCAAATACTTTCTTCTAAGAGACAGAAAAAGAAAGAATGTTCAAAGTAAGATAAGCCATTTTTTTTGCAGGGCCTGCAGGTCAAATACATGAGGCTGATTTTTTTTAATAGCAAGGGAGTTAAGAATGGTTTTTACCTTTTAAAATTGTTGCATTTAAAATAGTGTGTTATGTTCGTCTGTGCTACTTTAACAACATACATGAGATTGGGTAATTTATAAACAATACACATTTATTTCTCACATTTCTGGAAGTTGAGAAGTCCAAGGTCAAGGCACCGGCAGGATTGGCATCTGGTGAGGGCTGCTCTCTGCTTCCAAGATGGCGCCTTTTTGCTGAAATTTCCAGAGGGGAGGAAGGTTGTGTTTTTGCATGATGGAAAGTATGGAAGGACAAGAGAGCTCTCCCTTCAGCCTTGAGCTGTTTCATAAGGGTGTTAATTCCATTCCTGAGGCCAGAATATTCAGGACTTAATCACTCCCTAAGTGCAACATCTCTTAATACTGTTGCATTAGGAATAAATTTCAACATGAATTTTGGAGGGGACACTATCATTCAAACTATTGCAGATGGCTATTTAAGTATCTACATAGTATCCTGAGTTTTGCCTCTTGGTCCACAAAGCCTAAAATTTTACTATTTGGCACTTTAAGAAAAAGTTTGCCCAGCCCTAGAGCTTTAAATATTTGTTTCCCAGTACTTCTGTATGTATATTCCTGGTGCTGATATAGAAACACAAAAATACCCTCAGTTATAAAACGTCTTATGAGCTTAAGGGAGTAAGTGCAGTTTTATATTAGTCAGTGGCAAAGGTTGGAAATATAATTAAAACTGCCTTAAACAAAAAGGGTGTATTATTTGCTTATGTGTCTAAAAGTCCAGCATCATGGCTTTAGGCCAGCATGGCGAGCTCATTGTGCTCAATTACATCACGTGTTGTCTTTTTTTGTTTCTAGAGTCTGCTTTCTTCTGCACTGACTTCATTCTCAAGCAAGCTCTCCTGTTTTTTTTTTTTTTTTGAGGCCAATATTACTTTAATACCAAAAGCAAGATAAAGGCATTACAACAAGTACAATACAGACCAGTATCCTCCAGTGTCTTCAACAAAATATTAGCAAAAAATATTCCCCAAAAAATTAGCTAATAAAATTCAACCTTGTATGCATTACACACAATGGTCAAATAGGATTTATTCAAGGTATGCAAGTCTGGTTCAATATTCTAAATTCAATCAATATAATCCACCACATCTATAGATGAAAGAAGAAAAATTATATGGTTATATCAATTGCTGATAAAAATCTTCAGCAAAATATAACTGGGGGCACTTCCTCAGTTAGATAAAGAACATCTACAAAACAAACAAACCTCCAGATAACATCATCCTTAGTGGGGAAAAATGGGTGCTTTCTCCATAAGACCAAGAACAAAGCAAGAATGGCCCTTCTCCCTGCTCTTATTTACACCATACTTGAAGTCCCTAGTGTAATAGAATAAAAAGCTAAAATAAAAGGCATGTAGTTGGGGAAGAAAGAAACCAAATTGTCTGTAGACAATGTGATTGTCTATGTAGAAAATACCAAATAATTTTTTAAACCTTTCTGTAACAAATAAATGAGTATAGCAAGCTTGCAGGATAAAACGTTAATATACAAAGGTCGACTGTTTTCCTTTTTTTTTTTTTTTTTTGAGGCAGAGTCTCACTCTGTCACCCAGGCTGGAGTGCAGTGGTGCAATCTCAGCTCTCTGCAAGCTCCACCTCCCGGGTTGACGCCATTCTCCTGCCTTAGCCTCCCAAGTAGCTGGGACTACAGGCGCCCACCACCACGCCTGGCTAATTTTTTGTATTTTTTTTAGTAGAGAACGGGGTTGCACCATGTTACCCAGCATGGTCTTGATCTCCTGACCTTGTGATCCGCCTGCCTTGGCCTCCCAAAGTGTTGAGATTACAGGCATGAGGCACTGTGCCCAGCCAGTCGACTGTTTTTCTTTGTTTCTTTTTTTTTTTTAATCATACTTTAAGTTCTAGGGTACATGTGTACAACATGCAGGTTTGTTACATATGTATACATGTGCCATGTTGGTTTGCTGCACCCATTAACTTGTCATTTACATTAGGTATTTCTCCTAATGTTATCCCTCCCCCTGCCCCCCTCCCCATGACAGGCCCTGGGGTGTGATGTTTCCCTCCCTGTGTCCAAATGTTCTCATTGTTCACTTCCCACCTATGAGTGAGAACATGCGATGTTTGGTTTTCTGTCCTTCTGTCCTTGTGATAGTTTGCTGAGAATGATGTTTTCCAGCTTCATCCATGTCCCTACAAAGGACATGAACTCATCCTTTTTTATGGCTGCATAGTATTCCATGGTGTATATGAGCCACATTTTCTTAATCCAGTCTATCATTGATGGACATTTGGGTTGGTTCCAAGTCTTTACTATTGTGAATAGTGCCACAATAAACATACATGTGCATGTGTCTTTATAGCAGCATGATTTATAATCCTTTGGGTATATACCCAGTAATGGGATACTGGGTCAAATGGTATTTCTAGTTCTAGATCCTTGAGGAATTGCCACACCGTCTTCCACAATGGTTGAACTACTTTACACTCCCAACAGTGTAAAAACGTTCCTATTTCTCCACATCCTCTCCAGCATCTGTTGTTTCCTGACATTTTAATGATCTCCATTCTAACTGGTGTGAGATGGTATCTCATTGTGGTTTTGATTTGCATTTCTCTGATGACCAGTGATGATGAGCATTTTGTCATGTGTCTTTTGGCTGCATAAATGTCTTCTTTTAAGAAGTGCCTGTTCATATTCTTTGCCCACTTTTTGATGGGGTTGTTTTTTTCTTGTAAATTTGTTTAACTTCTTTGTAGATTCTGGATATTAGCCCTTTGTCAGATGGGTAGATTGCAAAAATTTTCTCGCATTCTGTAGGTTGCCTGTTCACTCTGATGGTAGTTTCTTTTGCTGTGCAGAAGCTCTTTAGTTTAATGAGATCCCATCTATCTATTTTGGCTTTTGTTGCCATTGCTTTTGGTGTTTTAATCATGAAGTCCTTGCCCATGCCTATGTCCTGAATGGTATTGCCTAGGTTTTCTTCTAGGGTTTTTATGGTTTAGGTCTAACATTTAAGTCTTTAATCCATCTTGAATTAATTTTTGTATAAGGTGTAGGGAAGGGAGCCAGTTTCAGTTTTCTACCTATGGCTAGCCAGTTTTCCCAGCACCATTTATTAAATAGGGAATCCTTTCCCCGTTTATTGTTTTTGTCAGGTTTGTCAAAGATCAGATGGTTTTGTTTCTAGAGCCTGCTTTCTTCTGCACTGACTTCATTCTCAAGCAAGCTCTCCTGGTTTTTGTTTGTTTGTTTGTTTTTTTGAGAAACATTGTGTTTAATGGTAAAGCTTAGCACACCCCAGCACCAGGAATGATGTGGAGTTGCAGCAGCAGGGACACGCAGGTGACCATCAGGGAGGGCAAAGAGGATGAGGAAGGCAGCCATCAAACCGAAGAGCCCCAAGTCCCCAGGCAAAGCCCAGAATGACACAGGAGAAGAACTGCTGCTTGAGAGACGGGTTTCTGGCATAGCCAATGATCAAGCTACCAAACACTGTTCCAATGCCAACCCCTGAACCAGCCACACTTACTGTGGCTGCCCCAGCACCAATCAACTTGGCTGCTGTGTCAATGTTCCGTGAGACAACACTGGTCTAAAACTCCTGTCTGGCCACCTGCAGTGGGGAGCTGCTATAGGAGGGCTGTTTAGATGAATTCTCTGGGCTATTCAAGAAGGAGGCAGACACAGGCCTGATTAGACCCCTGGTACAACAGCACATCAGAGCTGGAGAAATGAGTAGTGCCCCGGTCTGCATTTTTTCAGTCTGCACTCCCACTGCCCTGCAGCCCCTGCTCAGCCCACAGCGCTCGCCTGGCTCAATGTGACTGACTTACCTCCCAGCTTTAGCCCTTAGCAATGGCAGCTCCAGGCTTATAACATCCTATTAATTATTAGTCCAGGAAATTTCCAAGGGTATATATTCCTTATCCTGGCTTGGATTAAGTGCCCATCCCTGGATCTGGGGGTGGGTATTATACCTCCTTGAACACATAGCCAGAAAATATAGGAGGCAATTTTCTAGAGGAAAATGACAGGACTGTTCCATAAGAAGAAAGAGTAGATATAGGGTAGGCAGAAACCTTCACACGTTCCCTTTAAACTCTGTGCAGACAATGTTTTTTGTTTACTGGAAAGTTATTTCCCCTCTACTCCCACCCCTGCCAAAACTGATGATAAACTGACTTTCCCCAACTCTTTGGGTAATATAAAGTTTTCTATAGTCCTAGGCTGCTCACTTTTTGGTGGACCAATGTATGGATTTGTCTGCTTTGATTTCAGTATGTAGCTTTATTTATTTATTTTTTTTGAGATGGAGTCTCACTCTGTTGCCCAGGCTGGAGTGCAGTGGCGTGATCTCGGCTCACTGCAAGCTCCACCTCCCGGGTTGACACCATTCTCCTGCCTCAGCCTCCCGAGTAGCTGGGACTACAGGCCCCCGCCACCATGCCTGGCTATTTTTTTGTATTTTTAGTAGAGATGGGGTTTCACCGTGTTACCCAGGATGGTCTCCATCTCCTGACCTCATGATCCACCCGCCTTGGCCTCCCAAAGTGCTGGGATTACAGGCGTGAGCCACCACATCTGGCCTTCAGTATGTAGCTTTAATTTACATTTGCCACATCCTTGTAACTTAATGATTTTTTGTTTTTTGCTTTGGTTTCTCAATAATGCTTGTGAAAATTAAATTCTGTAGTCCACATTATAAATTAATGGGAATGCCTCTATTTGACACATGAAACAGTTACTGCCTGCTGCTATGGTTTCCACTACAGATGCAAGAAAAGAGTATCTTCTTGCTTTCATGGGACTGCTGCTGCCATGATTGAATGAGGAATACAGGAGGAATATAGGAATACAGGGAAAAACAGAGAGAGATCTTTTGCAACTCAGAAATAACCTTGAAAACAGTGAAAAGCCTGAACCCATTTTACTCCAAAGAAGGATTTAAAATTTAAGTTTACATGAGAATTGTTCGAAAATTTTTTCCCATATACCCTAAACTTCTGGTTGACTTCACTTTTAAAAGCTTAAAAGTTAAAACTAAAAAAAAAAAGAAAAAAGAAAAAAAGGGACTAGTGGGAATTATGGCACATGTATAAATCCAACAATTAACCAACATTTGGGAATACCTACAAGGCAAACCTTTGCTTTACTATATTTTCAACACAATTAAAATGTTTTAGGTGATAATCTACCTCTTTAGTCAGTTTTACCAAAGCCCAATTCCTAACAGTAGGAATGAGGAAAGGAGAAAAGGAGGTGAAGAGGTAACAATATTCTGCCACATGTATGGCGAAAAGCCATCTAAGACACACTTTCTCAGTCCCGGTCTGAATAGGAGAGTGAAGTTCTCAGCCTTAGTAATTGCCACCCCATCTGATTAAACCACACCCTCCTTAAGTCACTCCAGGAAATCAAGCATGGACAGAACTTTCAGGCCCCGATAGTCTGCTTAAAGCTGAAAGTTTACCTAAATAATGTTTTATGGGGGAAAAAAAGAAAAATGCACACATATATGGACTACCCAGACAAGTAGTTCCTCTGACATTATATTTGGAGACAGAGAGGTAAGGATTTCAGAAAATGTTCTCCTTTTGCTGAGCTACATTCAAGTTGTGGCTACAGAATCAACAATTAGACAGCCAACCCCTAAGAATATGTGCCAATAACTCTCTCTTGCCAGCTTCTGTCTTGGGTCCCAAACCCACTCTATGCCACCCTGACCCTCACTCCATATCCCTCACATCCACTAGCATCTCTCAGTGAATTGGCTGGTTTAGATGTGGGCCCTTACTCCATCCCTGGCACTGGAACTAACCCTTTATCAGTGGGTACATGTAGCCTCTCCCTTGTTGCGATTTTCTAACCAGAAACTAGTTATCCCACTTCTGACTCCCACTGCTGATGCCTGACCACATCCCTCCCACAAGCACACACAGCCAGGAAGGCAGCCAGGTAATCTCTGCAGCCAAATTGCCTGTTTGAATACTGTTGTGTTAAACATTAGCTGTGCAGCCTCTGTTTCACCCCTGTTCCTCAGTTTCCCTGCTTGAAAAAAATGGGGCTGATAATAATGGCACCTACCATCATTATTATGAAGATTGGGTGAGTTAATAGTGGTTGCTATGCTTAAGACAATGCCTTGTACATACTGCTGTGTGTGTTGATCAAAATAAGAGCCCATCCAACGCTGTCTTCTTGAGACATGGCTGTTCAGTTTCTAATCTGCATTCCCAAAACCAGAAAAGGAAAACTGTCAAGGATAATGACAGGCTGAGGGGGGAATTGAGCAAAAAGGAAACCTGGAAAGGACGAATGAAAAGGCTACTACATAGCTCATCCCAGGGAAGAGTCAGCATCAAACCTGAGCAAGGTCCCATAAAGCCAGCATCTAAAACCTCAACTCTACTTACAGCAATGGAGACAATGGAGAGGGAGGCAGAAGGCTCCAGTGAGAGAGATAACAAGCTTCTGTCCATTTAAGAAAAAGAAATCAGACAGAAATCTGGTTGTAGCTACCAAGATGCTTCCTGGAGGAAGGTGGCTGACTTTTTATCTGATGTGTCACTTGGTGAAATAATTGCTGGCAATAATGGTGCAATAGCAGCCTGCTCGGGGTACTACTTATCCGTGTCTGTTCTATCTTTCAACTTCAAAGTTCCCACTGCCTCACGGAGCACATCAGAATGACACCACTGTTGTTAACAGCAGTGGCCTAATGCAACACACAGAAGTCAAGTGATTTCTCTAGATAGGCAAAATTAAACACACACACACACACCACACACGACTCATGGAGAAGTGAGGTTTGTGTGCAGATCCTGACACTCCACTTTAATTCGCAAGTTGGGAGAGGGAAGTGGATTGTAGGTTTAGTCACCTTCAGGAAACAGTAGAATCTGAGATGGGCAGGGGCACAGGAGGTGGGACACAGAAGTATAATGCCAATAAATGCTCACCGTCACTGGCCATCAGAGAAAGGCAAATCAAAACCACTATGAGATACCATCTCACGCCAGTTAGAATGGCGATCATTAAAAAGTCAGGAAACAACAGGTGCTGGAGAGGATGTGGAGAAATAGGAACACTTTTACACTGTTGGTGGGACTGTAAACTAGTTCAACCATTGTGGAAGTCAGTGTGGCGATTCCTCAGGGATCTAGAACTAGAAATACCATTTGACCCAGTCATCCCATTACTGGGTATATACCCAAAGGACTATAAATCATGCTGCTATAAAGACACATGCACATGTATGTTTATTGCGGCACTATTCACAATAGCAAAGACTTGGAAGCAACCCAAATGTCCAACAATGATAGACTGGATTAAGAAAATGTGGCACATATACACCATGGAATACTATGCAGCCATAAAAAATGATGAGTTCATGTCCTTTGTAGGGACATGGATGAAATTGGAAACCATCATTCTCAGTAAACTATCGCAAGAACAAAAAACCAAACACCGCATATTCTCACTCATAGGTGGGAATTGAACAATGAGATCACATGGACACAGGAAGGGGAATATCACACTCTGGGGACTGTGGTGGGGTCGGGGGAGGGGGGAGGGATAGCATTGGGAGATATACCTAATGCTAGATGACACGTTAGTGGGTGCAGCGCACCAGCATGGCACATGTATACATATGTAACTAACCTGCACAATGTGCACATGTACCCTAAAACTTAGAGTATAATTAAAAAAAAAACATAAAAATAAAAAAAAAAAAAGAGATTACAGAAATGGAATTCTCTTTCTGGTTTTCTAGTAATTCATTCCCATATTGGGAGTGACCAGGTCTCTTTATGAAATCAGAAAAAAATATGAATTCAATTGTGATTAAGAATGCAAGAGACTTCTACAGTTTCTCGCCTTCATCCCACTTCAGATAATGACTTGTACCATCACATCTTTACCTGATCCTCTCAACCTCCACCTCTCCTGTTATTCACTGCAGGAAATTGACACTTAGATATCATTGTATCCTTAAGTCTCTTAGCCTTGGATAAGGCTCCTCATCACCTCCCTCCATCCTGGGATCATTGCCATCCTATGCCCAAGTGGTTAATGTGGTTTAATCAAATCAAGGACACTCTCTTAGCAGTTTCTTCTCAAACTCCTCAGTTTCATCTTCTTCTTGACCTTTTGCTCACGTGTCCTGCTGATTTCATGAATCTTAGATTAACACACCCCTCACTTCTCTTAGCATCCATCCCCAAGCTTGTTACCAAGAGCTCACATTGAGAATCCTGTGGCCATGATGATGAGCTACTTTGCGTGCTTATAATTTCCAACTTCACCTGGACCCATAATTCTCTGTAATCCATTTCCTCATCTCTGGTCAATTGCTTTTCATATCTCTATAGCATCGCTTCAGCAAGTTTAACGTGCATAATAGCCAATTGAGGAGCTTATTAAAACACATATTTCTGGGCCCCATTTCAAGAGATTCTGATTCTGTAGGTCTGGAATGGAGCCTGAGAATTCATAGACAAGAATTTCTAACAAGTTTCCAAGTGATATTAACCACATTGGTCCATGGGCCACACTTTCAGTAGCACTAATGTTAAGCTCCTGGCATATAGTAAATTTTTATTAAATAATTATTTTTAAAAGACCTCAATCCTTTCCTTTCCCCATTTCAACAGACCTCTTTTACTTGGCAATGACAAAAAATGCTTTAAAATATAAACTTTTAAAATGTACTTTCTTTCCTTCTTCAACTTATGTTTTTATCCATCCCTAAATTTTCACTTTATATGCCAGAAGAAGTAGTGACTGGATTGCTACTTCTTAAAAGAATAGATGTGTGTTATTTTGTTCCGCTTTGCTATAAAGAAACACTTGAGCCTGGGTAATTTCTTTAAAATCAGGGTTTATTTGGCTGATGGTTCTGCAAGATGTACAGACATGGCACCAGCATCTGCTCAGCTTCTGGTGAGGTCTTAGGAAACTTACAGTCATGGCAGAAGGTGAAGGGAGGCTCAATATATCACACAGCAAGAGAGGAAGCAAGAGAGAGAAAGGAGAGGTCCCAAACTCTTTCAAACAAACAGATCTCACATGAATGAGCTGAGCAAGAACTCACTCATCAACAAGGGGATGGCACTAAACCATTCATGAGGGATCCACGCCTATGATTCAATACCTCCCACTAGACCCCATCTCCAACATTGAAGATCACATTTCAACATGAGATTTGGAGGCAACACACATCCAAACCACAGCCAGATGGGAGCAATGTGGAGTTTCTAGAGGAAGACTTGGGTCAGATCTTCACCTGATTTGCTCTGTCATCTGCCCTTAGCACTGCAGAAAAACAGAAGCAGGGAAGATTAGGAACACCCTCCTGGCCAGACCCAAAAGCCTGACACAGCTGACCACTTTCCCCTTGACTCTAGAAAACAGGAATGTGCAATCCAAATGGAATAGCAACATGAGCAAAGATTCTTGACCCAGGAAGACCTAAGTTTATGTACAAGCTCCATCATTGCTCAGCTGCATGGCCTTTGGAAATCCACTTAACTGCCTCCCCTAGATGCAGTTTTACTGATGATTGCAACACAAATCTTTGAATGGAAATTTAACAGTGCAAAAAATAGAATTTCCTTTTTTTTTTTTTTCAATATTTTAAGCTCCCATTCTATTGGCAGGCAAATAGACAACCTTAATCTTTTCAGGGCTTCCCCACCACCCCACAAGGCTCTTCTTTGTTCTCAGGGACTCAGAGAGTTCAGGTTTGGGTTGAGGATTTCTCATCTTGGGTTAGTCAGGATCCTCCCACACTGACATCTGCTGAGATGCCTATTCCCATCTGGTCTTTTGTTGTGAGTCCATGAAGGTTGCTTTGGAGCCATCTCTCATTCCTGAACCCAAGGCCTCCTCAGGCTTACCCCTGTCTGAGCTAGCTCATGCCTTTCTTGAGTGTATAAGAAGCAGTCCACTGCTACATTGCTTTATAGGGCAGTAAGAAGCTCAGCGGGTTTTTAAAGATCTTCCTCACTCCCATGCCACTCTTGCCTTGAATCCTTCTCCTCTTTTACCTTGCTGGGACATGAGGAATCCTGTGAGGCTGCCTGTGACGCATCAATCAGCCTGGGACACACCATGGTCCCAGGCCTTTCTGTTTCCCAGAGCACTGAGAACCAGAGACACAAATCTCCCTCCTTTCAAATTTCCTAGAGCTATTTATTTTTGAACATTAAAAGTCTAGGCTTTTTAAATCAAAAGTCCGTTTCTCCTACTTTCTCTTGTAACATCTGTTCTATGAGCCAATGGATGCCACATGGGAAAAGGCCTGTGGGTACAAAGAAATTGCAGGAAAATGTCAGTTAATATTTTGAAATCTTCCAATCACATGTATAAAGTGGAATAAAATCATTTTTAAGCTTACTGTGGGGATTAAATGGCATAACCCGGGTTAAGTTCTTTGTAGCATTTGATTTAAAATAAATACTAGGTAAATATACTTTCCCTTCCTTTAGTTTCTCCTACCTTTCTGACCATTTTGGCTTTTACTCAATGACTTTTCTTCCCTTACCTTTTCCCTCCCTTCTCTTTAAATCTAGTGGTTCCTTAAGTGTTAAGCATTTGTCTCTGAAAACATTTTTACAATTCTCCTGAACACCTCACAGACACCTCACATTCATCATGTCAAGAACTGCATCCAGCTGGGTGTGGTGGCTCATACCCATAATCCCAACACTTTGGGAGGCTAAGGCGGGTGGATCACGAGGTCAGGAGACCGAGACCCTTCTGGCTAATACGGTGAAACCCCGTCTCTACTAAAAATACAAAAAATTAGCCAGGCATGGCGGCGTGTGCCTGTGGTCCCAGCTACTGGGAAGGCTGAGGCAGAAGAATGGTGGGAACCCAGGAGGCAAAGCTTGCAGTGAGCCGAGATCATACCACTGCACTTCAGCCTGGGTGACAGAGCAAGACTCCGTCTCAAAAAAAAAAAAAAAAAAAAAAAAAAAAGAACTGCGTCCATGCGATTCCCCAAATCTATCCCTCTTTTGGGATTTTCTATGTCAGAAATAACACAACATTCACAACTTTGCTTAAGAGAGAAGCATCAACATCAGTCTTGATATCTTACTTCCACATCATCACCTCCCACAGTGAATGAGTCCTCAGTGAATATTTCTCCAATCTGACCCCTCTTGTTTATTTTCACAACCACTGGTGTAGCTGTTTCTCAGCACATCATACTTCATACCTTATCCTCCTAACTAATCCCTTTTCTTTCTATTTCTGGCCATTCTCTAGTCATCTACTAACAGTATTCTTTTTCTAAAACTTAGACATTGTTATGTTGCCCTCCCAAATTAAGTATTTACCATGTTTCTTCATTCCCTACAGGTAATGGTATTCATAGACCTTGGCTTTCTAGTGCAAATCTTCCCATCCATCTCTATTTCTTTCTTTTTCTCCTCCTCCTCTGCCCTTCACCCACAACCCAAGGCAGTTCACAGCAGTGGTATTATAAAAATAAACTTGAGGGCATGGCCAACTGTGATAGGATACAAGAACTTTGTTACTACTACAAAGTTAGAGGTTTGGACAGGTGTATGCTTATAAAGTGAGCTCCTTTAATAATGTCACTTTCATAGGGGAAAGAAAACACAAGAAAAGGAGAGAGGAAATAAAGAAAAGTGGTTTCAATACCCTAACCACATCATCATAAGATTTATTGTGTAGTCCAGTGCTTCGGACAGAAGATTCCTAAAAACAATCTCTGAGTAAATGAAGGCACCCTTGGAGGTTTTACTTCTGTATCCTCTCCACCTCCCTGGGACACTCCTGTTGGGTGATGAATACATGATGCCACGTTCTTAGGCCCAACACTGCTGGGAAGACCCTTTTGACACACAAGCCTCTATGTTTTCCACCTTGCCCAACTACGCTCACTTTTCAAGCTCAGCTTAAATATCAGCTCCTATGTTAAGCTTTCATGGACACTGTGGATCATTTCTACTTTCCCAGAGATATTAATCATTTTCTTCTTTGTACTTCCACACCACTTGGGGAATATAGTTTCCAAGTGCTTCAGTGCTACATTGTTATTTGGTGTCTGTATTACATCTTATCATTCTGATACAAAGTGAACTCCTTGAAGAGCCTATCTTGTTCTTTTGTTTCCAGTATCAGCACTCAGAGTGGCAATCTCTGAATTTTTGTTTGGCTAAGTTGGGTAAGAAGTTGAAGGCAAGAAAGCTAAGAAGTGTTTGCCCAGCCATATACATTGAAACAAATATGCCTGGGTCTTATTTCTAAGCAGAAACATGATGATTGGCCTTTCCAGGATGGTAGAATTGTCTTTACCTAATAAATACTTTATTTCTTCTGTTTGTTCATTTGTCCTAATCTCAGGGAAAATCCTGGTCCTTGTTGTCCAGGGGTTTCTCAGGGGATGGAAGACCATAAATCCATGGATTTCTTCCCTCCCAAACTTCCCACACTCCAGTGAAAAAGCATGTATAGAAGACCCTCTGTCCAAACCAGAGCCATGATGTAGAGCAAGTAGCAGAAGTATGGGAGATTACGCATGGAAGGCCAAGGAAACCTTGTCCTCCTGGCACACACAGTTTCATTCAGAACACAGTGGGATGCCCATTCTGCAGCTCTTTTCAAGTGTACCCATTTGGTTACAATATACTGCAGTTCCTGAAACACAATGCCTGCTCTTTCTCCCAATGAATGTTGAAATGTATGATCCAGTTTTTGAAGGTAAATACATGTCCCCACCTGTATTCTGCAAAGGCAAAACCAAACACTTCTCATTGGAAAATTTCCTACCTCTAGCTAGAGGTCACCTGTTTCTTCACTGTAAACCTCTGGTTTCAATTATGTCCCTCCAGGGGAAAAAAGCAACACTCTGGAAATTTTAGAAATCATTTTCTTGGGTTTTTTGTTCTGAGGGACTAATCTGAAAAGTTGTACTATCCCCAAGGTGCCTCAGTCCCCAAAAGGGTGCCATCCACAGTCCAGCTGGTCTCAGCCCCCATATATGGAAACTAATTATTAAAGCCATATCCTTCTTGATTGAAGATCTTCTAATGGACAGCTAGAAGCTTGGCCATTACTTTCCACCTGCCATAGTGTCAATCAATTGTGGGAGAAAACTATTTTTATGTCAATCAAGAAATCCATGGGGATGTTGTAACCTGTTATGATGTATTACCCTTTGACCACTGTGACTTGAAGGCTCTGGCATTAAAGAGCATGTGCCAGAAATAATTAGAAGTTGCTCTTAATTGTATTCACATATAAATGAAGCATTTACCACTGGAGCATTTATACTGTCTGGAGAAGAAGCCTGGGAAGTCCATCTTCCTTGGTGCCACCATTAACATCACTATTAATCAAATGTAGTAGGTTGAGATTCAAAGCTATTGCCCTAACACTGTAAATATTTAGCACCAATGTGATTACTATTATCCTGTATTAATGTCCTGCCACAAGTATTAACAAGACCAGTATAGCAAACTGACTAATTTTTAATGCCCTTAGCACCCCGTGGTGAAAGAGATGGATTTTCCAGGAAACAGCCATTGTGGAAAACAGCAATATATAGGGCTGAGACTGGCCTTACACATTTTAGTGGTTACAAAAATGTCTCCCCCCACCCCTGGTGAGTTACAGCTCTCGGAGGTATGACACTGAATCACCTTATCTCTCCCAGTAACTGCTCTGTTGTGCCTGGCTCAGGGGCATTCATCTGAATGACACCGACCTCAAAATCGGAATTTGGGCTCTAAATCTTGAGCATGGGATATTTTTCTTTATGGGCCAGATTTCAGAGAGTCCAAAAGAAGAGCGGGAGAGAGAATCACCAACACACACCTGGCTTGCACTTGTTCACAATTCATCTCGGCCATTGCAACATCCTGTCCTTAGAATGACCTTACAGAAAAGGAGAGCTAAAGGGAATAGCTACAAAAATGAGAATGGCTGAGGAGTAAATAAAACAACAGGAAGGCAGGCAGGAGCCACAATGCCCAGACTGAACCAGAATAAAACAAATTCATTATACTGTAAATTGCTCACACTATATGGGAGTCTATTATGGGGAGTTTGTGAGAACTGGGAAGAGGGGCGGTAGATTCTTACTATAGCCAGAGCCCATCGATCACTCCAAAATACCCAGGGCCAAAGAAATCTAAGTCGTGATGGATTGCTCATGGTTGTAGAGGGTGAGTGGAGAGTAGGTAAGTTAAACCCCCAGATTGCCGTGTCCATGGTGTGAAGTACATTACAGGTCTTTCTTTTGTATTTCTGCTATGAATGCTTGAGTGTAATTCGCCAACCTGAGGGCCTAATACAGGGCCAGCCAGAGGGTCTAGTACTCAGTATATTTCTGTTGACTTCAAGAGGATTGTCCTGAAGTGTTAAAGCACTGAGCACATAGCCTAGCAGAGATAAATGTCAATAATTCTGTAGCTGCATAATCACTTCCTCCATTTAAGCTTGCCCCCTTCACCATGGATGTATAATCCACAAGATACATAAGCCCTCTCATTCTCAAATTACTGCTGCATTCATTCTTTCATTCATTCATTTAGCAAATATTGATCGAGCAGTTGCTGTGTGCTAGGCACTAGATCAATCAGTGGCTTGGAGTCTGGTAAAAGCTTTGGTATCGAATGGGTCTGAGTCCAAATTCTGGCTCTGTAATATTGATGTTATTAAGTTCCTTAATGTCTTTGAGCTGCAGTTTCTGCTCTGCAAAATGAACACAATCAAAATGCCTACCTTGAGTTAATGTGAAGAGTAAGAGAGCTTGCATAGTGGATACTTAGCACAGAACTCTGCATGTGGTGAGCTTCATAAATGTAGTGGCTTCAAGACCCTACCTAAATCCAGGGATCACTGTGAAGCCTACCTTGGCTTCCACAGCCTTGTGAATTGTCTTCCCCTGAGCCCAGTGAGTATTTACTATTTGTTCTTTAGGTTTAGTTCCTGACTTTTTGCTTTATTTGGTAGGCTTTCTTTCCTGGACTATTACTCCATGAATAAACCTTTGGACAAAGTTTTGGTTTTTCCCATGGGAAAACACAATCGCTAAGAAGCCCAGGTTAGGAGCAAATTAGGAGCAGGGTACTGAGTCAAGATGAAGATCAAGGCAGGAAAGAGTTCAGCTTCTCAAAAGTAGAGTGAGGCTTAAGGGAGGATGGATAGAGTCCTTGTAGGGAAAAATTGGATAGGGCTAAGAAAGGGAAACAATGGGTAAGTACCTAGTGGTCATCCCAAAGAGAGTGGGGGCATATTCTGTCATGTGAGAAGTCCCCTAGAGCACAGGGGGAAGTTGTTAAGGATAGTGGTTCACAGCACCTGGATGAAGGAACAGAAGATTTCCCATGTGGATTTTGGAGCACTCGACATCGCTCAGGGACCATCAACAGCTGTTTACCCTAATTCTTCATCTCTACTCTTTAATTCTTCTTGGCTATAAGCAACTTTAGTTTCATAGAAGAGAGTTTCCCATAGTGACTTTACCTCTGTGCCTCCTGAGCCCCTTGGGACATCTGGATGTCCAGTCACAGGCTGGGATTCAAGAAGATAATTCTGAAGAATGAAATGGTAAGTAGCAGAGAAGTGAGAAAGAGCCAGTTATGGCCCCTGGATTTCAATGTTCTTGTTCATAAAGTGGAGTTCTTAACACTCTGATATTGTAAGTAAAGTTTTACGTATGTGTGCACATGAAATTTTTTCTTAAGGCAATTAGCAGATTTCATCATATTCTGAAAGACAGCTGAAAATTGTCCCTGTCTTGCTTTGCTCAGAGGACTCTCATGGGATGGTCTATGGTCCCTTGATAACCACTGAACATTCTCAGGAGCTTCCACAGTGCGTAGTAGAATAGGAGGCCAGAGAATATAGGATCAGTAACTCCATCTCACTTTAGTAACAGTAATTCTTTATTTATTTAGTTAGTCGGTTTTTGTTATTATTAGTATTATTTATTATACTTTAAGTACTGGAATACATGTGCAGAACTTGCAGGTTTGTTACATAGCTATACATGTGCCATGGTGGTTTGCTGCACCCATCACCCATCATCTAGGTTTTAGGTATTTATCTAATTAGGTATTTATCCTAATGCTCTCCCTCTCCTAGCCCCCAGCCCCTGACAGACCCTGCTGTGTGATGTTCCCCTCCCTGTGTCCATGTTTTCTCATTGTTCAATTCTCACTTATGAGTGAGAACATGTGGTGTTTGCTTTTCTGTTCCTGTGTTAGTTTGTGGAGAATAATGGTTTCCAGCTTCATCCATGTCCCTGGAAAGGACATGAACTCATCCTTTTTTATGGCTGCATAGTATTCCATAGTGTATATGTGCCACGTTTTCTTTGTCCATTCTAACATTGATGGGCATTTGGGTTGGTCCCAAGTCTTTGCTATTGTGAATAGTGTCACAGTAAACATACATGTGCATTTGTCTTTATACTAGAATGATTTATAATGCTTTGGGTATTTCATACGTGTCTGTGTGAAGAGACCACCAAACAGGCTTCGTGTGAGCAACATGGCTGTTTATTTCACCTGGGTGCAGGCAGACTGAGTCCGAAAAGAGAGTCAGCGAAGGGAGATAGGGGTGGGGCCATTTTATAGGATTTGGGAAGGTAATGGAAAATTACAGTCAAAGGGGGTTGTTCTCTGGTGGGCAGGGGTGGATCTCACAAAGTACATTCTCAAGGGTGGGGAGAATTACAAAGAACCTTCTTAAGGGTGGGGGAGATTACAAAGTACATTGATTAGTTAGGGTGAGGCAGGAACAAATCACAATGATGGAATGTCATCAGTTAAGGCTATTTTTACTTCTTTTGTGGATCTTCAGTTACTTCAGGCCATCTGGGCATATACGTGCAAGTCCCAGGGGATGCGATGGCTTGGCTTGGGCTCAGAGGCCTGACATTCCTGCCTTCTTATATTAATAAGAAAAATAAAGCAAAATAGTATTGAAGTGTTGGGGCGGCAAAAATTTTTTGGGGGGTGGTATGGAGCGAGAATGGGCGATGTTTCTCAGGGCTGCTTCAAGCGGGATTAGGGGCGGCGTGGGAACCTAGAGTGGGAGAGATTAAGCTGAAGGGAGGTCTTGTGGTAAGGGGTGATATTGTGGGGATGTTAGAAGAAACATTTGTCGTATAGAATGATTGGTGATGGCCTGGATACGGTTTTGTATGAACTGAAAAACTAAATGGAATAACAGAAGGAGAAAAACAGGTATAAAAGGTCTAAGAATTGGGACGACTCAGGATGTCTGATTAGAGAGTGCTTAAGGAGATTTGGCATAGTCCTGCCAGCAAAGATTATTTATTTACTTCAAGAGTTAAGAGTGGCAGTTTGGGGATAGCACCAGGAGATATCAGCTGTGATGGCTTGGAAAAACAGTGTAAACAGGCAGTGTAAACAAGAGCAGGGCATGTATGAGTAGTTGAGAACGGTGAATAGGAGTATGACTAGACAGAAAATAGTAGGGATGACAAGTTTTTTCTTTTTTTTTTTTTTTTTTTTTTTTTTGGGGCACAGTCTAAGTTGGTCTGGTGTCTGGAATGAGACTGGGGCCTAATAAAAAGGAGCGTCTATACAGGACCTTCAATGGGCTGTACCCTGCAGCATTCCGAGGACAGGCCTGAATTCTGAGAAGGGAAAGCGGTAAAAGTATTGTCCAGTCCTTTTTAAGTTGGTGGCTGAGCTTGGTGAGGTGTGTTTTTAAAAGACCTTTAGTCCATTCTACTTTTCTTGAAGATGGAGGACCATAAGGGATATAAAGGTTTCACTGAATACTAAGAGCCTGAAAAACTGCTTGGCTGATTTGACTAATAAAGGCTCGTCTGTTATCAGACTGTATTGAGGTGGGAAGGCTAAACTGAGGAATTATGTCTGACAGAACGGAAGAAATGACTGCGGTGGCCTTCTCAGACCCTGTAGGAAAGGCCTCTACTTATTTTGAGGGCCTCTAAAAGTATTAAAGCAGCGGCAGCCACTGCACGCAGACATGAGGGCTAGGCTAGAACAGTAAGGTCAAGTTGTTTGGACAGAAAGGCTACAGGGTGTGGTCCTGGCTCTTGTGTAAAAATTCTGACCGCCTAGGAATGCCTAGGAAGGAAAGGAGTTGTTTTGTAGAAGGTGCTTGGGTTTGAGAGATCAGTTGGACACGATTGGCAGGGAGAGCACGTGTGTTTTTATGAGCATTATGCCAAGATAGGTAACAGATGAGGAAGAAATTTGGGCTTGATTGAAGTAATGGGGGCTGTCTGTGAAGCTTTGAGGCAGTACAGCCTAGGTAATTTGCTGAGCTTGATGGGTGTCAGGGTCAGTCCAAGTGAAAATGAAGAGAGGCTGGGATTAAGGTTGCAAAGGAATAGTAAAGAAAGCATGTTTGAGATCTAGAACAGAATAATGGGTTGTAGAGGCAGGTATTGAGGATAGGAGAGTATATGGGTTTGGCACCACAGGGTGTATAGGCAAAACAATTTGGTTGATAAGGAGCAGATCCTGAACTAACTTGTAAGTCTTGTCTGGTTTTAGGACAGGTAAAATGGGGGAATTGTAAGGAGAGTTTATAGGCTTTAAAAGGCCATGCTGTAGCAGGTGAGTGATAACAGGCTTTAATCTTTTTAAATCGTGCTGCGGGATGGGATATTGGCGTTGAGTGGGGTAAGGGTGATTAGGTTTTAATGAGATGGTAAGGAGTGCATGATCAGTCGCCAAGGAGGGAGTAGAGGTATCTTTCTTATACTTGTGGGTTAAGGTGGGGGGATGGATACAAGAGGACACAAAGGAGGCTTTGGATTGGGAAGAAGGGCGGCAATGAGATATAGCTGTAGTCCAGTAATAGTCAGGGAAACAGATAATTTAGTTAAAGTGTCTCAGCCTAATAAGGGAACTGGGCAGGTGGGGATAACTAAAAAGGAGTGCTTAAAAGAGTATTGTCTAAGTTGGCACCAGAGTTGGGGAGTTTTAAGAGGTTTAGAAGCCTGGCCGTCAATACCCACAACAGTTATGGAGGCAAGGGAAACAGGCCCTTGAAAAGCAGGTAATGTGGAGTGGGTAGCCTCCGTATTGATTAAGACGGGGAGGGGCTTCCTTCCACTGTGAGAGTTACCCGAACCTTGGTGTCCGTGATGGTCTAGGGGGCTTCCGAGGCGATCGGGCAGTGTCAGTCTTCAGCCGCTAAGCCGAGAAGATCTGGGACGGAGTCAGTCAGAGAGCCTTGCGCCAGAGTTCCAGGGGCTCCAGGAGTGGCTGCCAGGTGAGTTGAACAGTCCGATTTTCAGTGGGGTCCCACAGAGATGGGACACGGCTTAGGAGGAATCCCAGGCTGCGGGCATTCCTTGGCCCAGTGGCCAGATTTCTGGCATGTGTAGCAAGCTCCTGTGGGAGGAGGTTCTGGAGGAACGCCTGGCCGCTGCAGTTCAGGCGTTTGGAAGTTCTTGTGTGCTGGAGATGTGGCTGGGGTTTGTCTCACAGTAGAGGCAAGGAACTGCAACTTTTTTCTATTATTGTACACCTTGAAGGCGAGGTTAATTAAATGCTGTTGTGGGGTTTGAGGGCCGGAATTTAATTTTTGGAGTTTTACTTAATGTCGGGAGCAGATTGGGTAATAAAATGTATATTGAGGATAAGATGGCCTTTTGACCTTTTAGGGTCTAGGGCTGTAAAGCGTCTCAGGGTTGCTGACGAACGAGCCATGAACTGGGCTGGGTTTTTATATTTGATGAAAAAGAGCCTAAATGCTATCTGATTTGGGATAAAGTAAAAGGAGCATTAACTTTGACTATGCCTTTGGCTCCAGCCACCTTTTTAAGAGTAAATTGCTGGGCAGGTGGGGGAGGGCTAGTCACAGAACAAAACTGTAAGCCAGACCACGTGTGAGGAGGGGAGGCGATAAAAAGATTACAGGGTGGAGGAGCAGAGGCTGAGGAAGAATTGGGACCTAGCTTGGCCTGGTGAGGAGGGGAGAGGTCAGATGGGTCTGTAGAAAAGGAAGATTAGAAAGACTCAGCGAAGCTTGGGGTTGGGACTGAGGGTACAGGTGGGAGGGAAAGAAGGAAGATTTGGGACGAGTTGCACTGGGCACAGAGACTAGGAAGGGACTGATGTGTAAAAGAATGCCTGGACTTCAGGCACCTCAGACCATTTGCCCATTTTACGACAAGAATTATTTAGATCTTGTAGGATGGAAAAATTGAAAGTGCCGTTTTCCGGCTATTTGGAACTACTGTCGAGCTTGTACTGGAGTCCAGCGGCATTGCAGAAGAAAATAAGGCATTTAGGTTTTAGGTCAGGTGTGAGTTGAAGAGGTTTTAAGTTTTTGAGAACACAGGCTAAGGGAGAAGAAGGAGGAATGGAAGGTGGAAGCTTACCCATAGTGAAGGAGGCAAGCCCAGAAAAAAGAGTAGAGACACGGAGAAGGGGTGGGGGGTTCTTGCCCTCCAGAAAAGCAGAGAAGGGGTTGAGGCATGGAAATAAGGGATTGGGGCACAGAGATAAGAGGTCAGGGTGCGGAAATAAGGGATTGGGGTGCAGAGATAAGAGGTTGGGGTGCGGAAATAAGTGATTGGGGGTTTCTTGCCCCCTAGGAAAGCGGGACTTGCTGCTAAGGGTGAAGGAGAAGGGGTTGAGGGGTACTTGCCCCTGCCCCAGGAAAGCGGGACTTGCCGCTGAGGGTGAAGGAGAAGGGGTTGAGGGGTACTTGCCCCTGCCCCAGGAAAGCGGGACTTGCCGCTGAGGGTGAAGGAGAAGGGGTTGAGGGGTACTTGCCCCTGCCCCAGGAAAGCGGGACTTGCCGCTGAGGGTGAAGGAGAAGGGGTTGAGGGGTACTTGCCCCGGCCCCAGGAAAGCGGGACTTGCCGCTGAGGGTGAAGGAGAAGGGGTTGAGGGGTACTTGCCCCTGCCCCAGGAAAGCGGGACTTGCCGCTGAGGGTGAAGGAGAAGGGGTTGAGGGGTACTTGCCCCGGCCCCAGGAAAGCGGGACTTGCCGCTGAGGGTGAAGGAGAAGGGGTTGAGGGGTACTTGCCCCGGCCCCAGGAAAGCGGGACTTGCCGCTAAGGGCGAAGGACCAAGGCAGGCATCCCTGCGTGGTCTGACACCCTTGAAACGTGAGTGTATAATCAGAGGGCGTCCCTGCAATGATTAAACACCAAGGGAAGGCTGCCTCCCCAGTCCGTGACCGGTGCCGGAGTTTTGGGTTCATGGATAAAACATGTCTCTTTTGTCTCTACCAGAAAATGAAAGGAATTGAAATTAAGAGAAGGGAGAGATTGAAGTGTGGCGCCAAGATTGAAAGGAGAAAGAGGTTGAGGGATAGTGAGGGAGTTTGGAGACGAGAGTAAAAAGAGGCCGCTTACCGGATTTGAAATTGGTGAGATGTTTCTTGGGCTGGTCAGTCTAAGGACCTGAGGTCGTAGGTGGATCTTTCTCACCAAGCAAAGAGCAGGAGGACAGGGGATTGATCTCCCAAGGGAGGTCCCCTGATCCGAGTCACGGCACCAAATTTCACTAAGCTAAAAGTCAAGCTGGCAGCTGCTTAGTTCCGGCACCAAATTTCATGCGCGTCGTGTGAAGAGACCACCAAACAGGCTTTGTGTGAGCAACATGGCTGTTTATTTCACCTGGGTGCAGGCGGGCTGAGTCCGAAAAGAGAGTCAGCGAAGGGAGATAGTGGTGGGGCCATTTTATAGGATGTGGGAAGGTAATGGAAAATTACAGTCAAAGGGGGTTGTTCTCTGGTGGGCAGGGGTGGATCTCACAAAGTACACTTTCAAGGGTGGGGAGAATTACAAAGAACCTTCTTAAGGGTGGGGGAGATTACAAAGTACATTGATTAGTTAGGGTGGGGCAGGAACAAATCACAATGATGGAATGTCATCAGTTAAGGCTATTTTTACTTCTTTTGTGGATCTTCAGTTACTTCAGGCCATGTGGGCATATACCTGCAAGTCCCAGGGGATGCGATGACTTGGCTTGGGCTCAGAGGCCTGACAGGGTATATATATACCCAGTAATGGGATTGCTGGGTCAAATGGTATTTCTGGTTCTAGATCCAAGAAAAAACAACCCCATTAAAAAGTGAGCAAAGGATATGAACAGACACTTCTCAAAAGAAGACATTTATGTGGCCAACAAACATGAAAAAATCTCATCATCACTGGTCATTAGAGAACTGCAGATTGAAAAACCACAAGGAGATACTATCTCATGCCAGTTAGAATGGTGATCATTATAAAGTCTGGAAACAACAGATGCTGGAGAGGATGTGGAGAAATAGGAACACTATTTATTTTTATATTCAAAGGAGTTTTTACTCTTTTAAAAAGTTAGAAAACAATCAGGAAAAAATAAAGAGGAGAGTTACCTGGCCGATATAGCTCCTTTTAGCTCTTGTATCTGCCTCCACCCTAGCAGCCAGGCATCTTGTAGGAGGCCACCCATTGTCTACTTGGTGTCAGTGGCCTCAGCCCCTGACTGCAACCACATGACATAATTCATATTTTCTGGATTTTCCAACTATGAATCCATTTCTCATTTTCTTATTTTCATTCTTGCTATGCCCATATAATTTTATGAATTTCTGAAAACTACCTTGGCTCTTTTTTTGTCTAATTATATAATTTTCTTTATTTTATTTTATTTTATTTTATATTATTATACTCTAAGTTTTAGGGTACATGTGCACAATGTGCAGGTTAGTTACATATGTATACATGTGCCATGTTGTCGTGCTGCACCCATTAACTCGTCATTTAGCATTACGTATATCTCCTAATGCTATCCCTCCCCACTACCCCCACCCCACAATAGTACCTAGAGTATGATGTTCCCCTTCCTGTGTCCATGTGTTCTCATTGTTCAGTTCCCACCTATGAGTGAGAACATGTGGTGTTTGGTTTTTTGTCCTTGCGATAGTTTGCTGAGACTGACGGTTTCCAGCTTCATCCATGTCCCTACAAAGGACATGAACTCATCATTTTTTATGGCTGCATAGTATTCCATGGTGTATATGTGCCACATTTTCTTAATCCAGTCTATCATTGTCGATTGTTGGATATTTGGGTTGGTTCCAAGTCTTTGCTCTTGTGAATAGTGCCTTAATAAACATACGTGTGCATGTGTCTTTAAAGCAGCATGATTTATAATCCTTTGGGTATATACCCAGTAATGGGATGGCTGGGTGAAATGGTATTTCTAGTTCTAGATCCCTGAGGAATCGCCACACTGACTTCCGCACTGGTTAAACTAGTTTACAGTCCCGCCAACAATGTAAAAGTCTTCCTATTTCTCCACATCCTCTCCAGCACCTGTAGTTTCCTGACTTTTTAATGATCGCCATTCTAACTGGTGTGAGATGGTATCTCATTGTGGTTTTGATTTGCATTTCTCTGATGGCCAGTAATGATTAGCATTTTTTCCTGTGTTTTTTGGCTGCATAAATGTCTTCTTTTGAGAAGTGTCTGTTCATATCCTTTGCCCACTTTTTGATGGGGTTGTTTGTTTTTTTCCTGTAAATTTGTTGGAGTTCATTGTAGATTCTGGATATTAGCCCTTTGTCAGATGAGTAGGTTGCAAAATTTTTCTCCCATTCTGTAGGTTGCCTGTTCACTCTAATGGTAGTTTCTTTTGCTGTGCAGAAGCTCTTTAGTTTAATGAGATCCCATTTGTCAATTTTGGCTTTTGTTGCCATTGCTTTTGGTGTTTTAGACATGAAGTCCTTGCCCATGCCTATGTCCTGAATGGTATTGCCTAGGTTTTCTTCTAGGGTTTTTATGGTTTTAGGTCTAACATTTAAGTCTTTAATCCATCTTGAATTAATTTTTGTATAAGGTGTAAGGAAGGGATCTAGTTTCAGCTTTCTATATATGGCTAGCCAGTTCTCCCAGCACCATTTATTAAATAGGGAATCCTTTCCCCATTGCTTGTTTTTGTCAGGTTTGTCAAAGATCAGATAGTTTTAGATATGCGGCATTATTTCTGAGGGCTCTGTTCTGTTCCTTTGGTCTATATCTCTGTTTTGGCCCCAGTACCATGCTGTTTTCGTTATTGTAGCCTGTAGTATAGGTTGAAGTCACAAGATGGCTGAATAGGAACAGCTCCAGTCTACAGCTCCCAGCGTGAGCTTTGCAGAAGATGGGTGATTTCTGCATTTCCAACTGAGGTACTGGGTTCATCTCACTGGGGAGTGCCGGACAGTGGGTGCAGGACAGTGGGTGCAGCGCACTGTGCATGAGCCGAAGCAGGGCGAGGCATCACCTAACCCAGGAAGCACAAGGGGTCAGGGAATTCCCTTTCCTAGTCAAAGAAAGGGGTGACAGATGGCACCTGGAAAACCGGGTCACTCCCACCCTAATACTGCACTTTTCCAATGGGCTTAACAAACGGCACACCAGGAGATTGTATCCCACACCTGGCTCGGAAGGTCCTACGCCCACGGAGCCTCGCTCATTGCTAGCACAGCAGTCTGAGATCAAACTGCAAGGCGGCAGCAAGGCTGGGGGAAGGGCGCCCACCATTGCCCAGGCTTGAGTAGGTAAACAAAGTGGCCAGGAAGCTCAAACTGGGTGGAGCCCACCACAGATCAAGGAGGCCTGCCTGCCTCGGTAAGCTCCACCTCTGGGGGCAGGGCACAGAAAAACAAAAGACAGCAATAACCTCTGCAGACTTAAATGTCCCTGTCTGACAGCTTTGAAGAGAGTTGTGGTTCTCCCAGCACGCAGCTTGAGATCTGAGAATGGGCAGACTGCCTCCTCAAGTGGGTCCCTGACCCCCGAGTAGCCTAACTGGGAGGCACCCCCCAGTAGGGGCAGACTGACACCTCACACGGCCGGGTACTCCTCTGACACAAAACTTCCAGAGGAATGATCAGGCAGCAGCATTTGCGGTTCACCAATATCCACTGTTCTGCACCACTGCTGTTGATACCCAGGCAAACAGGGTCTGGAGTGGACCTCCAGCAAACTCCAACAGACCTGCAGCTGAGGGTCCTGACTGTTAGAAGGAAAACTAACAAACAGAAAGGACATCCACACCAAAAACCCATCTGTACGTCACCATCATCAAAGACCAAAGGTAGATAAAACCACAAAGATGAGGAAAAAACAGCAGAAAAACCGGAAACTCTAAAAATCAGAGCGCCTCTCCTCCTCCAAAGGAACACAGCTCCTCACCAGCAACGGAACAAAACTGGACGGAGAATGACTTTGACGAGTTGAGAGAAGAAGGCTTCAGAAGATCAAACTACTCTGAGCTAAAGGAGGAAGTTCAAACCAATGGCAAAGAAGTTAAAACTTTGACAAAAATTAGACGAATGGCTAACTAGAATAACCAATGCAGAGAAGTCCTTAAAGGACCTGATGGAGCTGAAAACCATCAAGGAGGCCTGCCTGCCTCCGTAAGCTCCACCTCTGGGGGCAGGGCACAGAAAAACAAAAGACAGCAATAACCTCTGCAGACTTAAATGTCCCTGTCTGACAGCTTTGAAGAGAGTTGTGGTTCTCCCAGCACGCAGCTTGAGATCTGAGATCTGAGATCTGAGAATTCGTCACGAGAACTATGTGACGAATGCCCAAGCCTCAGTAACCGATGCAATCAACTGGAAGAAAGTATCAGCGATGGAAGATGAAATGAATGAAATGAAGTGTGAAGAGAAGTTTAGAGAAAAAAGAATAAAAAGAAATGAACAAAGCCTCCAAGAAATATGGGACTATGTGAAAAGACCAAATCTACGTCTGATTGGTGTACCTGAAAGTGACGGGGAGAATGGAACCAAGTTGGAAAACACTCTGCAGGATATTATCCAGGAGAACTTTCCCAATCTAGCAAGGCGGGCCAACATTCAAATTCAGGAAATACAGAGAACGCCACAAAGATACTCCTCGAGAAGGGCGACTCCAAGACACATAATTGTCAGATTCTCCAAAGCTGAAATGAAGGAAAAAATGTTAAGGGCAGCCAGAGAGAAAGGTCGGGTTACCCACAAAGGGAAGCCCATCAGACGAACAGCTGATCTCTCGGCAGAAACTCTACAAAACAGAAGAGAGTGGGGGCCAATATTAAACATTATTAAAGAAAATAATTTTCAACCCAGACTTTCATATCTAGCCAAACTAAACTTCATAATTGAAGGAGAAATAAAGTACTTTACAGACAAGCAAATGCTGAGAGATTTTATCACCACCAGGCCTGCCCTAAAAGAGCTCCTGAAGGAAGCACTAAACATGGAAAGGAAAAACTGGTACCAGCCACTACCTTGGCTCTTTTAAAAGATGATTCTGTTTCTCCACACTAGCTTTGGTGCCCCTTAGGCAACACTTTTCCAATTCAGTCCAGCCCCCGATCTCTCCAGCATGTAGGTGGAATGTCCACTGAGCTCACTTGGGGCCTGGATCTTATAGGGAAGATGTGGGTATCCACCATGCTTTAGAATATAGACCACTGCATAGATGCCTTCCAAGCGTTTCAAGCTCCAAACTCATTCATCATGTCTTCTGAAACCCAGAGGGCATTCAAATCAGTGTCCAGCCAAACACTAACCCCAATGGCAGCCCATCACAGTGCACAGCTAGCTGTAACTCTCAATCCCTCAAATTTGAATGATACAGAAGATGAATAAAACAGCATATTCACAACAATGGGAAAATAGTAAGAAAGACATACTATAGTATATCCATTCAATGTAATCATATATGTACAATCTAAATTGATACTTACAAAGAATATTTAATGATGTATGAAAATATGTATGATTAAATCTTATGTAAAAAAGTAAACTCAATTATACAATAGCTTCCTGAGAAGTAATGAATAAGAGGCAAATTTTTTCAGATGTTGCAAACCTTTATGATTGTCTTGGCTATCTCCAGTGATTACAAGATGGCTGCTGCTGTTCTAGCCATTAGGTGCGCATTCCAGCAGGAACAAAGAGGGAAAAATAAGGAGAAAAGAATATTACCTTAACGAGGAAAGCAAAACTTTCTCTGGAATTTCTCCAGAAATTCCACAGACAATTATGTTTATGTCCCATTGACCCACACTATGACACATGATCAGGCCTGGATGGAAAGTAGATAGGGATAAGGAGGTTGGGAACAGGGACTGGATCAGCCAGTCAACACTGAATACCCCTGGTGGTAACTGAAAAGTCACCCTGAGCTTAATTTAGTCACTCCCCTGCCAGACCACAAAATTATTCAAACAAGCCAATCACACCTTCCTAAGTGAACAAAGGGTCACCCCACCCCTGTGTCACTACAGAGCCTGCCTGCTACAACTCCTTTCAGTTCTGTCTGCTCCCAAGCAATTCTCATGTTTTTCTGCAGGGACTGTGGTGTTCTCCCACTCTGGGCTGTGAGTATATATGACTAAGAAACTGCTGTTTGTCTCAGCTGTATGGTGTCAGACATGTGTTCAGCCATCTCATATTATTTAGGGCAGATGGTGCCTCCTACAACAAGGAGGTGAATAGAAAGTGATCAGACTACTCTCCCATCTCCCTCTCTCCCTCCCTTCTTTTCTTCATTACTTCCTTGATTTCTTTCTTGCTTGCTTTCTTCCTTCCTTTTTTCTAATACTACATGCCAGGCACTTCTCTGGGCACTGGCATTACAACAGTGAACAAGACACACTCAAGCCCTGCCCTCAGGTAACTTACTACCTAGTCAGAAAGATATCTGCTTATATTGTATATTTTCTTCAAGTACTGGGGGCACATAAGAGGAGCAACAAATCTAGAGCAGTATGTGTGTATGTGTGTGTGTGTATACATACATCAGAAAAAATTGAGGTATGTGAGAGGGAAATAGCCAAGCAGAGGGGTTAGAATGGTGAGAGAGGGGATTTTAAAATTCAGGGTGGCTGAAGCTGAGAGTTTAAGGAGCTTGAGAACATTGTAGTGAAGTGCCTCTACAAAAGAATTGGCTGGGGGAGAAGGTGGAGAGAAATGTAGAGGCCAAATCTTGGAGAGCCTTCCCAGCAGAGAGAAGGCTTTCATGAAGGAGCATTGCAATGATGGAGAATATGGATCACATTTGCTTCTAGGAAAACCTCAAGGGCTGCAGGGTGGAGAATGACTGGGAGGGTACCACAGTGGAGAGGAAGGTAACTAGGGAGGCTGTGGCAGTAGTTGGGGCAGGAGAATATCATGCACTCAACCAGCAGAGTCGCAAAGCCGCAGGGAGAAATAAAGGGAGTGTCTAAGACGTCACTTTTTTTTTTTTAACCTAGTGGGAGAGTGACATAATGGGCTCTAAATGATTTTATACTCAAGGGTTTTTGTTTCTGCCATCCTCATAAAGGTCAGAGAAGTAAAATTTACCTGTTCGCTTATAGAAGAAGGGTCCAATTGTCAATCACACACCTAATTTTCTGCAATTTCATATCAGTTAGAATTTTCTGCATATGCACTAGAAAATGCAACTAACAGTGGCTACAAAAATAGACACTTTTTCATACAGAGTGAAAGGCAGTTGGGTCAAAGATATCAGAACAGATACTAATCTTGGAGTTTTCCTCTTTCTCACAAGATGGCTGCTGCAGCTCCATCCCTCATGCTTTCAAGGCTGTAGAAAGAGTAAGTGGGAAAGGCTGTGTCAGCATTATGTGCCCTTATTTCAGGAAAGAGAAATATTTTGCAAAAATCCTCTTCCTGAAGGCTTTTTCTTCTTCCTTGTGGACTCTGCTCACCCTTAGATGCCTAGGAAGCTGAGATAGCAAGTACTGGTTTTCTGAATTCTATAGAAGGAGACAGAAAGGGAGAAGGGGTTGGGAATGATAACAGTGTTTGCCACAAGTGCCTTACAAGCCTGGGTTATATTTGAGGGTGGAAGAGAAAGTCGTGGTGGCAAGCATGTAGCAGAGGTCAGCCACAGTTATGAATTTTATGAAAGGTTTGCTGGGAAACTACATTTAAGAGAATATATATAGTGACTGTGATTCCCTCGACAGCACAACTGAGTGATTTGCAATGTACTTGCATTTCATGGCCCTCGTTCCAAACACTGTCTCTTGCTTTCATGTCAGACACTTGAGTTGTTTCAAAGTCACCAGGCTGGCCCACTATTAAATTACACACACACACACACACACACACACACACACACACACTTTAGAAGCCCCTAGTGCATGGTAAGAAGTGTGCTTGCTCTTCCAATGGCTGCAGCATCAACATTATTGGTTTGCTTGGGCAAATATGCTTTTTGCAAGACTGAAACTGAAGCAAGATTAAAACTGCCCTCTGCCCCAGATCTTGCCAAAAATCTGGAGTCTAAATTCCATTAAAGCAGTTTTGCATCCATGGTATCATTTGATTCTCACGGGAATCTTTCAAAGCAGGCTTTGCTCATCCTTTTAGAAGAGAAAACTGATCCAAAGATATGAAACGATTTGCTTAAGATCACCTAGTAGAGTGAGGGGGTCAGAAACAATTCTTGAGTTCAAATCTCAGATCCTTCGAATGCTGGATAGCTCAAAAGACTGTGGGAGTAGCAGCAAAGCAAGGTAACTGGGAAAAGAAGTTCAGCATTGATAAGCTTAACTGTAACTGTAGTTTAGGAAAATCTGGAAAGAAGCTGTTCTGTAATGTGCTAACAATGCACCCCAAAACTTAATTGTATTAAACATCAACTGTTTTATTATGCTTATGGGTTCTGTGGTTCAGAAACTCATACACATCACAGTGGGGAGGATGGTTTGTCTGCTCCGTGATGTCTGGGGCTTCAGCTGGGAAGAGTTAAATGGCTGTGGGGCTACTGGCTGGGGGCTGGAATCATCTGAAGACTTTCACTCACATTTCTGACTCCTGGGCTTGGATGACTCCAAGTCTGGGCTCTGATGGGACCCTTGACTTAAGCAGCCATGCATGGCCTTTCCACATGGCTTGGGCTTTCTCACAACATGGCGACCTCAGGCTAATTGGACCTTTTACATGGCTGCCCACAGTTCTAAGAGAATGTATTCCAGCAAAGAAAGAAAAACTGAATGACCCTTTATGGTCTAGCCTTGGCAGTCACAGAGTGCCTCTTTTACCATACTCTGTTGGTTGAAGCAGTCTCAAATCCACCCAGATTCAAGAGGAGTGGATTCCTCTCACTAGGAGGAGTATCAAACAATTTGCAGCCATGTTTTAAAACCAGTGCAGGGGCCAATCTATGTTGGTTACCTTTATCTTGAATGGACATTCAATATGAAAAATGTATTCTACTATCTTTCCAGAGAGTATCTGTAAATGCATTTATCTGGCCCTAATACTATCACTTACTAGGCATATAACCATAGGAATCATGCCTAGTTTCCCTGAGTCAAAATTTACATGTCTTCGAAATGGGGATAATACTAATATCTCACAGAAGCAATGAGCTTCTGTAAGAAGGAAATGAGGTGCAAAATGCCTAGCAAGGACCCTTTCGATATTTATTTAACACATACATCTTAACACTTACTATGTGCTAAATTGTTCTAAGCATTTCACAAAAATTGTCTCATTTAATCCTCATTTATCCTAATGACAAAGAAACTGCTATTATCTCTATTTTAGTGATGAAGAAACTGAAATGCAGAGAAGATAGTTAATTGTCCATGGTCACAAAGCACAGAAGTGACAGACCAGGACTTGAACTGAGCAATATGGTGCTAGAGTCCATACTCTGCTTTGTAGTTCACAGTGTAGATATAAGTGTATACTTGCATATATGGTTTCTTGAGCATGCACAAGTGGCAGCATGAGCCCAGGGTTTCGTTTTTTGCAAAGACTGTTCATCTAGACCAGAGGTCCACAAACTATGACTGTGGTCCAAATGTGGCCACTCCCATTTGTTATACATTATCCATGACTGCTTTCATGCTGCAATAGCAGAGTTAAATACTCATGACAGAGACCATATGGCCTGCAAAGCTGAAAATATTTATTATCTGGCTCTCTGCAGAAAAGGTGTGCCAATCCCTTTTCTAGACCTTACCCGCGACAGCCCTTTATCCTGTGTTTCTTGGAATTCAAACACGTTATATCTTTGTTCTGATTAATCCCTTCATTTAACATGTGCTTATTGTGTTCCTAATATGTGGCAGCCATAGTTCTAGATCCAAAAGCTACCTGGCAAATAAAAGACAAAAATCTTTGTCTTCACAGAGTGTATGTTTCTGGTTGAGGAAAATAAAAAATATATAAAGCAATAAGCAAAACCCAGAATGATTGTAGAGTGTAATGATTGCTGTGAATGAAATAAACAGGATAACTGAGGTTACAGAGGGGACTTCTTATAAATAGAAGCCATTTTAGTTGAAAACTCTATAACTGCTGCTAAAAGCGTTCTAATGATAAAGTATGTGGGAAGGAGAAATAAATCGTCATCTCTGAGAGAGAAATAGAAAGCTTCCTAGAAGGTGTAGGAGGATGGCTGCTTAGGGTGAGTGCCACGTGCGATGTGATACTGAGTTGTACATGAAGCTGGTCAGCCTGATTGCATTATTTTTCTTCTCTTCAATGTGAAGCAACGTGGATGCAGACATGGAGAAAACAGGGAGTTTAATGAAAGTTGAGATTTTAGAAGATAATAATGAATGGAAATAAGGTGAGAGGTGACATGAAAAATTTAGCCTGGAGACAGATTTTGTTTGGCTCATTCATTGTATTAAAACTATGCATTTGAACGCTTTTAGATGGAGCACAATCAATTTGGTTCATCCCATCTGGACAAGTTCTTGCTGTGTTTTCTCTTGCCAGTTTTACTCATTTATGTTGCCTGCCTGGCCCCGTAAGCTTGTGAGATTGCAAGCATTGAATTGTGGTAATAGATGATGGACTCTTACCTGCATGAGGAGGAAATGGAAAGACAGGGAGAAGTAAAGGCTTATAAGAGAGTGGTTGGATTAATTAATTGGACTGAAGTTTTGATGAGGCCAGGAAAAGTTCAAAAAAGTTTTTCTAGCTGTGTGATGCAGTCATTAGGAAAGTCTAAATGCAAATCACTCAAGGGCAAGCCTGGGCTAGAATGCAGGGAATCATTTTCCTGACAAAACAACTTCTCTTTTTTCTCTATATCTGTCTATATTTATACATATTCGAAAGCCACATCCTCAGAATAAATAGAACACACAAAATACCCAAATTTCAAAGTAACTATAATTTTAAAAAGATAAAATATCAAATTCCAGTGAGCAAACTTTCACACTCCCACATTTGAGGTCAGCTGGGACAGTTCAAAAAACCTCAAGAGAAGAATCAGCTCATTGTATAGGCAGTGGTTAGAAGTTAACGGGTACTATGAAAAACCGAGAAGTCAGATGGCAAAAGACTACCTAAGGAAACACTGGACTAGGGGTATTCAATAAAGTATAAGTGTAAAGGTAACCAACAAAACAATAACAGAAACCTTCCAAAATGGAAGAAATAAAAGGAGAAAAAGAAAGAAGAAAAAATTAAACATACACATCAAATGAAAAATAGCAAATAGAATGCAATTAAAAATTATTTTGCCACAGTTGGAACTAGACATATAGTCACACTGATAAATTAGAATCGATGTTATCCACTTAATAAAAGAAAAACATTTGAAATATACACAAAATAAGACTAAAAGATATGTTGTATATAATAGATATACTTAAAATGATTTGAAATGTTTGGAAAAAAGGTATGGGTGGATAAGGGTATACTAAGAAACTAAGGTAATTGGAATTAAAAATAAAGTAAGTAAAAGGAACATATTCTTATAGTAGACAGAAGAGAATTCAAACCAAAAAATCACATTAAATGCAGAAAATGTTTAAAGGCTAAAAGCCACAATTCACAATAAAGATATATTATAGAGATCTATGCACCAAATAATGTAGCAATCACCTTTAATAAGCAAAACCCATAGGAGATTCAAGAATACACTTTAACAATAGAGAATTTTAACACAACAGTCTCAGTACAAGAACTATCAAGCGGACAAAAATGCATAAGAATATAGAAGACCTAAAAATACATAAGAAAAATGTAGATCTTATGAATATATATTGATTTTTATATATTATTATAAGTTGAATTATGTCTCCCAAAATGATAAACTGAAGTCCTAACCCCTTGCACCTTAGAATGTGACCTTATTTGTAAATAGGATTGTTGCAGACGTAATTAGTTCAGATGAAGTTACACTGGAGTAGAGTGAAACCTTAATCAATTGTGACTGGTGTCTTTATAAGAAAAAGAGAAGAGACAGAGACACACAGGATAAGACAGTCATGTGATGATGAAGGCAGAGATTGGGGTGATGTACCTACCAGCCCAGGACTGCCATGGATTGTCAGCAAACACCAGAGCTAGAAGACACAAGGAAGGAGTCCCCACTACAGGCCTCAGAGAGAGCATGACCATGACTTGATCTCTGACTTCTCCTCTCTGGGACTGTGAAACGATACATTTATAGTGTTTTAAGCCACTCAGTTTGTGGTTCTTTGTTATGGCAGCACTAGAAAATGAATACACACTCTACTCATAGAGAATACAGTTTTTCAAAGGCTCATATAACCTTACACACGCACACACACACACACACACACACACACATCAAAAGGAAACATCAGTGAATCCCATACGTTAGCAGTATTACATGCACATGCAACAGTCTCTGATCGAAATACAATTAAATGAGAAGTGTCAATATAGTAACAAAAAAAGAAAGCAGAAAAAAAACATGTGAATAAAATGCAAACAAAAGAAAAAAGGCTTAATAAAGTACCTGGAAAGTAGAAAAAAGTAAACCCTCCATTGTAAAAACTCTTTGTTGAAAGAGGAATTATGGAAAAAAAAATGAACACAAATGAATTAAATACCAAGCTCAAAAAAAGAAAACCAAAGTATGAAAAAATAATTTCAAGGTAGGAACTAAAAAAATAACATTAAGAATAGAAAAATGGCAAATCTAATTAGCAGATAAAATCCTGTTTTGTTGAAAAATTAACAAAATAGACAAACCACTAGCTAACTTAATCAAGAAAAGAAAAGAAAGATCTCTAAACAAATAATTTTGAAAACATAGGTGAAATGGAAAATTTTCCTCGGGAAATAAAGTTAATAAAATTGACACCATTAGGGATAGAACACTTAAACCAATTTTCATAAGAGAAATAGAGACAAAGTTATCAAGAAACTATCCCACAAGACAGAATCTGACCCAGATGGTATCATAGATATTAATAGTGTGACAGATGCTATCACAGGCAAACTTCATAAAACCTTCAAAGACTGGGTAGTTCCAACGCTCCATATATTGTTCCAGAGCATTAAAAATGAAGAAAAACTTGTTAATTACTTTTATGATGCAACTATAATGTTGATATGTAAACATAATAAAGAGAGTACAAGAAAACTAGAGACCAATACCACTTTTAAATGTTGATGAAAAGTAACTAAACTAAATATTAGCAAATATACTCCAACACTTCATTGCAGTAAGAAAATAAACACCATAACCAAGTATCATTTATTCCAGGTGTGCAAAGTTGACTTAATATTAGGAATTCTATTTATGTAACAAACTATATTAATAAGTCTCAGAAATAGACCAAACCTCCATAAATGCTGAAAAATCTTTTGGGAAAATTCATCACTTATTCTTTAATAAATAAGTTAAGAACATATAAACTGATTGATACTTTCTTATCATGAACAAATATGTAAACCATCATAAAGCTAGCATGTTTCTTATTGGGAAATACAAGAGGTATTTACAATAACATCAGTCAATTGGAGGAATAATAATGGTAAAGAAGGGGTAAAGTTTCTCTATCTGCAGATAATATGATAACATCAGGAACAAGGGAAGGAATCTACCTCTACTACTTCAATATTGTATTAAAGGTATTTGCTAGTGCCATAAGACAAGAGAAATCAATTGGATATAATGATGGTAAAGAAGGGGTAAAGCCCCAGGCAATCAATGATAAAGCTAACGTAAGAAACAAAATAATTCAGCAAGGTAAGAGGATATAAAATTAATATCTAGAAATTAATAGCCTTTATATGCATGAACAACAACCAGTTAGAAGACATAATGGTAGAGAACCTCCATTTATAATAGCAACAAAGAAAATTAAATAGTTAAGAATAAGTTTAACAAGAAATGTGCAACATGTCTATGAGAAAGACTTTTTAAAAAACTTCTGAAGACACAAAGTGAGCTTGAACAAATGGAAAGACATGCGTTCTTCTTGGATAGAAAGACCCAACTTGATACAGATGCAGTACCCTAAACTAACATGTACATTTACCTCAATCCAAGTTAACAGCACATGTTTTACATGAAGCTAGACTAGTTCATCCTAATGTTTATTTGAAAAGTCAGCCATGATAAGAGTCTGGAAAACCAGTGTATATATATATATACATATATATATATACACACACATATATATATACGTGTATATATATACATATATATGCATATATACATATATATACATATATATGTATATATACGTATATATACATATATATATATATATACACACACATACACACACACACACACACGCATATATGTATGTGGAATATAAGTGGTAACTATTCCACCAGCCATTAAAATATTCCATAACATCTTTATAATTAAGAATGTCAGGTAGGCTCATGAATAGGCAAACAGACGAGTGTACTAGAATAGAAAATCCAAAAATAGACCCAAGAACATATAGACGTTTAGTCTATATGATAAAGATATTTCAAATCAAGGGACTTATCAATAAAGATGGACTTTTTAATAAATGGTGCTAGCACAACTGAGCAGCAATTCAAAAAGATCAACTCAGAGCCCCACCTCACACCACACACAAGAATAAACTCTAAATTTAGAGTTTATATGTGTCAAAGATTTGGATCTAAAGAGTTTCTATATTCTACTTTTTGAATAAGAAACAGAGAAAATAATAAAATGTACATGTTAGGCACAGGAAGCTCTGGAAGGAAACCAGAAACTGGTTTATAACTTAAAGAATAAAACAGGAATTCACAAATTCATACTATTATAGATAATTGAATAAATTAAAAAATAAAGGAGAAGGAAATGCTGTCTTACAGTTGAATGTCAGGAAATAAATGTAGAAAGAATGATAGAAGTAGAAAACCACCACAGTAATTCTTACTTCAGGTATTTATCATCAGTGAATTCTAGAACTGGAAGGAGAACAAAAGTGTGATGAGAAACAGGATTCTCAGGTAGTCTCAAACCAACTTTTCGTAAGGTGCAAAGGGAAAGAACAAATCCAGATAATTGGCAACATTACCTTAACAAAATTATTGAAGTTAATATTGCCAGTCATGGGACAAATTGGCCAATAAGAACGGGCAAGGAAGAGGTAAAACTTCCGAATTACGCACTGAGAAAGACACAGTATCACTTTTGTTATGTTCTTAATAAAAAAATGTAAAACACCAGTTTAGTCATAAAGAAATACCAGGCAAACTCAAATTGAGGGACATTCTATAAAATAGCTGGCCAGTACTCTTTAAATTTGTCAAGTCATGACAGACAAAGACTGAGGAATTGTTTCACATTAATGGTTATTAAGAATGTTACTGAAATCCCAGGGTTTTTCCCCCATTCCCAATTTAATAATGAAGTAAACACTTTTCTTAACTGGAGAATCTTTTTTTTTTTTTTTTTTTTTTTTGAGACGGAGTCTCGCTCTGTCACCCAGGCCGGACTGCGGACTGCAGTGGCGCGATCTCGGCTCACTGCAAGCTCCGCTTCCCGGGTTCACGCCATTCTCCTGCCTCAGCCTCCCGAGTAGCTGGGACTACAGGCGCCCGCCACCGCGCCCGGCTAATTTTTTTGTATTTTTAGTAGAGACGGGGTTTCACCTTGTTAGCCAGGATGGTCTTGATCTCCTGACCTCATGATCCACCCGCCTCGGCCTCCCAAAGTGCTGGGATTACAGGCGTGAGCCACCGCGCCCGGCCGAGAATCTTTTTTTAAAAATAGTAAACTCATTGTAGTTCATTAGCTAGAAAAAATTAGTAAGGGCTCAAGATATCACCAAAAGATTTTCTTTGGGGTGTGTGTGTGTGTGTGTGTGTGTGAATTGACCAAGGCAAACACATAGCTCCCCTCGAAAGTGTTATTCACGTACCTGGGAAATTCCTGTTGACCCCTTTATCTGGGCAAATGGAAAAGTCATAATTAACCAAATGTATATGGTCAGCAAATGTTTCTTCTTGGATGCAGGGTGTTATTGTTTCTGTTGCAAGGGATAAACTGATAGCAGCTCATGGGCTGGATTGGAAATTGCAAAATGTGTTTAAAGAAAGCCTCATTTTTATACAATGCCTGAGCCCTTCTGAGTACTCACATTGCTCCTCCTGTAAATGATCCACAGTAGCACTTTCTAGCCCATCACCACCTCAGGTTTGATCAACTCAGGTTTGATCAATAGTCGTGCTGCATATAAAGTTATGTCTTACAGGATGTCAATATTAACCTTTCAAGTGTGCATCTTTCATGATTTATCCATCAATAGCACTACTAAATATGTTTTATATGCTGCAAACACTTATTTCCACCAGGCAGGGAAACTGATATTTCAAAGCTAACTACCTTCCATCAGGACACTCTGCCTCCTGAAATCAGGGAGGCATCTCACCTGACTGAGCTGGAAGTGACCAACCCTGTGCTTACCATGGAAACTGCAAGGCAGCACCTCTACACCCTCCGCAAGGGCAAATATTTTTAACCCAACACAACACCTAAACATTTACAAATTGGTTTTACTATGAATCGACACCATTCATTTTTTGATGACTATACTTTTTCAATCACTTGTTACATGGTAGGTACTGAATAAAGGGTTTGCCAATTTTAAACAATTTCATTTAACCCTCAGACAAATCTCAGAGGTAGATAATATTATCCCATTTTATAGATAAACAAGTAAAAATAGGTAGGGTAACTTCCCCAAAGTCACTTAGCTGTAATAATACAAATGGGAGAGCCAGTATTTGCAGCTGTGAATGGCATGAAAGTGATATTGAATCATTGTGCAATGTATCAGCACCACCCATGGGGAACAGACCTTAGGAGCCCTCCCTAGTATTTCAGGTCTGTCCTGTAGTTAGGGGCATTATGTGCTATTACCCCAGCTGTTAAAATAACTCCATTATCTAAGAGCATTTTGTGGCAAGGTTACTAGAAACAAAATTTAAAATTTTGCCGGAGGCACCATGATGCCTATAGTAGTTTCCTGTTACTATGATAACAAATTGCCACAAAATGTGTGGCCTACAACATCACAAATTTATTATAGTACAGTTTTGGAGATGAGAGATTCACAGTCCGCCTCACTGGGCTGCAGTGAAGGTGCTGGCAGGGCTGACAACCCTGCCAACAGGTGGCCCCAGGGGAGAATCTGTTTCCTTGCCTTTTTCAGTTTCCAGAGGCCACCTGCATCCCTTGGCTCATGGCCCCTTCCTTGCATCACTTGTTTCTTGCTTCTATCGTCACATCTCCTACTCCTGTCTGTGATCATTCTGCCACCTTTTTGTAAGGATCTTGGTGGTTACATTTGCTGCACCCAGAAAATCCAGGATCATCTCCCCATCTCAAGATCATTAATCACATTGGCAGAGGCCCTTTTATCATATGAGGTCACGTATGTAAAAATTCCTGGAATTAAGATGTGGACATATTTGCAGCACGATATTCAGCCAGCCCCAATACCATGGGTATAAAATTTCCAAGTGAGTTGACACTCCAAAACAGAAATTTTCAAAGAAAATAGCCAAGCCCAATTCCATGACTCTTGAAATCCCTCACCCACAGTGAGGACATAAAATGATCAAGAGTAGATTTTGAGAGGAGGACTTCTTCGGTGAAAACTGGGCTATGAGCTCTTCCCCAAGGGAAAGGAGAGGAAGTAAAAATCACCTCACTTTATGTCTTTCGGGGAACCACTCAGGGAGCTGATATATGTCCCTTGGAGTTTGGCCACAGTGAGGACCATATCTGAGGACTCTCAGAGCAAAGAGCTGTGGCTGCTGGCATTAGCATCAGGGCCAAAGGAAGAAGTTTGCACTTGAAAAGAATATTAGGTATTTTCTATGTCCCCAAGCTAGACCATACAGGAAAAAGAAAGTGACCCTTGGGCCATTTAAGAAGTCTACCATTGAGTACTACCTGGAGGGGCAATAGGACTGCAACAGAGAGACACCTGTGAGGGGCAGTCCTCCAACAAATTAGGGCCCAAGAGAGGCCCGAAGGAAGAGTTGCGCTACTCACATCACAGGATTACAGTTGGAGGAGCCCAAAAAATACCTCAAACATTTCAATCACCACTTTAAACACTAGTAGGATGGATAGGACACATATTATAATAGTGCCCTTCAAACAACAGCTGTTTCCCCCTTCCTGCTTCAACGTGGGATGGAACTAGTGAGTAGGAGAGGAAGTAAGCAGAAAAGAGTGAACATGTCAACCACAACTGCCTTCCCAGTGAGTTTTCTGCCCTCTGGCTGCCCAGGGAGGCTGAGGAAGTTTAATCATCTAATTGAGACTGTATTTGAAATCTACAGTGACCATACATTCTTCGATGACCTAAAAGTCAGCAGAGAAGGCTGTTGTAGTTTTATCTAGTGGCAGGGAAAATTTTGCCTCATTTAATAAATTAAAGAAAATGGCAGCTGATTTTACATTGGAAGTGGTTGAGGAGGAGGAGGGAAGGCATTTAGCAACGCAGCTCAGGGCAGGAGCCTGAGAAACCAGTGCAAATACTAGGGCAAAGCTGAGCAAAGGAACACTGGAGGGACAGAGAAAACAGCAGGGCTTTGGACAGGAAAATAGGTTAGGTCGAGGGGAGGGCAGGGAGTTTCAAGACCTCAATTGGTTTCCCTTCAGGACATTTGCTGAATCTTGCAGCTGTGCAGGATAGAGGCTAAAAGCCTAAGTGACAACTCTTTGAGAGGGAGAAGAGAATTCTTAGCACTATTTTGAGACAATGATCAGAGTTCAGGATATACCAGTGGGAAGAACCTAGGCTCTTGGTTGAAAACCATGAAACCTCAGGAGCAAACCAGGTATAGTCTGTGTCTTACCAGGACTTTGACCCATCTTAGACTCAGGATGGATTGGATCAAGGGGGTCAGCCTTTACACTATTTTCCCTGCAAAGGGAGAGGAATCCTTCTGCAGAAGAAGTTATAAACTTGCATCTCTATGTTTTTATTATATATTTATAAAGTATATTTTATATATTTATATATTTAATATATATTATAACTTAACAATATATTTATAAAATATATAAAATAAATATATTGTTATAAATTATATGATTATAAAATAAATATATTGTTAGAAACAAGGAATGTATTAATAGGTACTCCATGTTCTTCATCATCAGAGAGATCCAAAATAAAACCATCATGAGATATTGAGAATGGCTAAAATTTTTTTTTAAAGTTGACATTATCAGGTGTTGGAGAGGATGTAAAACGGCTGAAATAGCTTAAATCTGGGGATTCCATGAAAGTCTTTGACTAAGGGTTGGGCTATGCTTGCGCAGGACAAGATTACTTGAGAATTTCCAAAAAGTAGGTTCTATGGAGAGGAGAACAGAACTTTCGAAAAAATATTTAGAAATATTTACTACATCTAAATATACATATGCACTATAAGCCAATAATTCCACTCTTTGATATATACCGATAGAAATGAAAGCTTATATCTATGAAAATTCATGTACAAAAATGATTATAGCAGTTGTATTGATAATACCTTCAAACTGGAAGCAACTTCTGTGTCCATGAAAAGGGAATAGTAAGTAAAATGCAGTAAATTCAGACAATGGAATAATACACACAATGGAAAAAACATTCTTACAGATTACTGATACACAGGACAACATGGATGTTTTTAAAGACATTGTAAAATGAATGAAGATAGACACACTAGTATGTAAAATATTATTTCATTTATATGAAGTTTAAAAACATCTGTAGAGATAGATAATCCAAATAGGTTATCCCTAGGGGTCTAGTGACTGGGTAAGACTGGAAGCAAGATTGCTGGAATTCTGAAATATTCTGTATCTTTGATCTAGGAAGTTGTCACACAGTCGTCACACATATGTTATAATTCATCAGACTGTAAACTTAAGATGTTTGCATTTCATTGTATGTGTTACAGCTTGATTTAAAAAATACTAGTCACACAAGAAGACAGGACTATGCAGCCAAAAACTAAGACTAAAACAATACATAAAATAGATAAATTGTGATTTGGCTGACAAAGGCTTTAAGATAAATGTGATTAATTTGGTCAGGACAATAGACATAAAGATGGACAAAGTAAATTAAGAGAGAGAGAATTTCACTAGACAATATGTTTTGAAAATCAAATATAATTTCTAGAATTAAATAATGCAATATCTGGATTCGACTTTTAGCTATGATGAAGAAATGTACTGAACTAGACCTCCCATTATTAATAAATATAAAAACACAAAAGTTTATCAAGCATTAGACAGCAGGGAGCACAGATCTGTGGTCCCTGAAGAAGAGAAACTGAAGGAGTGGACCCCATTCAATAATGATTGTCCTAGATCTCTGCTGAGAGATAATTTTCAAATCATGGTGCAGGAAGCTGAAGTGCAAGCAGAGTTCAGCACTCTTGCTGAACTGAGAAGGCAGAGATCGGAGTGTCGGGCAGCTAAGAGTCTGGAATCTAAGGACGGGACATGAGAAAGGAAGAAGTTGTGCAAAGAGAAGATTCAGAAGCACATGTGAAAGTACATGAGGTCACAATTCTTTGGAAGTCTGTGACGACAGGTTGGGTGTTACTTTCACAGGACAAGATCATCTGAGATTTCCAAAGACCAGGTTCTATAGATATGAGAGCAGAACAGAGAAACTAGAGGTCAAGCAGTGATGGAGAACAGTGGAAGTCTAGCCCAGCTGTAGTGAAGGAGGTTGTAGTGAAGACGTCCCAATAACTCCTTATTGCCATCCTAAGCATCCAGATAAGATACTAGAAAGGCTACATATTAAGAATAAGGACCTACTGTAGAAAGTCTATTCTAGAACCTCCCTAATACAGTCTAAAACCAAAATCTGGCAGAATTCCTAGAAAGGACAGTTTAGAAGAGAAGTATTTCCAAGTTAAAAAAAAAAGGTTTAGGAAAAAGTTCAGAATTTTCACAGGTGTGGTCCAACAAGTGGAAAACTAAGCCTACACAAATTTAAGTTGATCAATCCATAATTGAACCATTTACCTAAACAAAAATAAACTATCCTCAGAAGAATATAATAAAATCTACAGTGTCTACAATGTATCATCAACTATTTAGTAGAGAATAAAAACCCACTAGAAATGGAAAAAAGTAAAAAAAAACTGTGACCCGTAATCAAGGAAAAAGAAATAGTCAATGGAAACAGACCCACATTGCCCCAGATGTTAGACTTAACACGCAGAAACTATAAAGCAGTTATTACAATAAATTCAAAGGTCTAAAATAATATATGTTCAAGGAAATAAAATATAAAAATATACTCTTCATAAATGAACAGATAAGAAAGCTATTCAGAGAAATGGAAGCCATAGAGAGAAAAACAAATAAAAATTTTAGATCTGAAAAAGAATAGCAAAATGGAAAGAAAAATAGATGTGTTTGGCAGCAAAAGGGAGCTAACAGAAGAAAGTGACGATGCATATAGATAAATAGAAATTATCCCAACTTAAAAACAAAGAAAAAATGGGGGAACTGTATGTAAGCAATGCATCAGGTACCTGTGGGACAATATTAAATAACCCCAAATAGGTATAATACAAATCTCAGGAATAGGAAAGAGTGATGATGAGACAGGAAAAGGTTTGAAGGGTTAGTAGCCCAAATGTCCCAAATTTGATTTTTTTAAAAACCCACATATTTACAGATTCAAGAAACCTGGGAAACCCAAAGCAGGATAAACACACACAAATCCCTAGGCACAATGCAGTAAGATAGTTGAAAACCAAAGATTTTCAAGAGAAAGCATTGAAAGCATCCAAAGAAAAACACACTTTATATACAGGACAAAAATATTACTAACTTCACTGAAGACCAGAAGACAATAGAATGAAGTATATATCTAATGAAAATACAGTTTAAATTGAGGATTAAATTGTTGGTTAAACAAAATCTGAAAGAATTTGACAATAGCAGATCTTCACTCTAAGAAATGCTAAGGGATATTCTTCAGACTAAAGAAAGTGTTACCAGATAGAATCTCATACTTACAGGGTTCTATAGGAAATAACTAATTTTTATTTGAAACTCTTGTTTTAAATTTAAAAAATAGCACAATATGTATATTGTGGTGCTCTTTGCAAAGGCAAAACATTGAAAACATGCTAAATGCCCACCTGTTTTGTCATTTAATTTTATATACATCTATTCAAGATAAAAACTACAAAGACATTAAAAATAAAATTGAAGATCTAAATGACATAAGAAGATGTCTATGGTACCTTACATTTTTTGTTTCCTTTAAAAAGCAATATTTTCTTTTTTTTTCCTTTTGTTAACGTACATAATTAGGTTTTAATTTATTTGGAACCTCATATGCACATGGGCCCTGAGTGTTGTCAATTACACGCAAGCCTGCCTATGTCTCAACTACAAGCCCTTAAAAAAGTTAAGACAGTGACAGATGGAGACCCGATGTGACAATAGTTCATGGAGACAACCTCTAATGCCCTGAGTCCGGGCCTCTTCCCCCAGCCCCTGTTGCTGAAGACACATTAGGGTGGTTAGCCCTTGAGCTCATTTTCTGGATCTGAAAGGGTCACTTTTATAAATAGAATCTTCAGAGATAGACAACTTACTTCCTGATGTGTCAGAGAAGGGCAGAACACCTGTCCATGTTCCCTGCGGGGATCTAGTCCTGGCATAGAGGCTTGTCTACAGCCTGATTCGGTGTGCAGGAGCATCTTGGCGATTATGTAACATTTACATACATAGTGTATTACTTTCCCATTCCTGCTGTAACAAATTACCACAAATTTAATAGCTTAAAACATCATAAATTTGTTATCTTGCTGTTCTGGAGGTCAGAAGTTCGAAATGGGTCTCAGTGGGTCAAAATCAAGGCATCAGCAGGGCTGTGTTTGTTTCTGGAGGCTCTAGGGAAAATCAATTTCCCTGCCTTTCCCAGCTTCTAGAGGCTGCCTGTATTCTTGGCTTGTGGCTCCTTCCTCCATTTTCAAAGCCAGCAGTCGGGGTCAAGTTCTTATTGCATCTTATCGCTTTAACGCTCCCTTCCCAACCTTTGATTTCCCTCTTTTCTACATTAATCCTACTTCAAGGATAAATTCTATCATAACGTGAGTTTATTACCATCCCTTATCCCGTCTGCTGCCTTGATTTCCTTTTGCTGTATAATATAACATATTTGCAGAGTCCTGGGATTAGAAACGTGGTAGGAGAGGGCATTATTCTGCCTGTCCCACAGAGACCTGTCTTCCCTCCTGCATCTCTTTGTCCTCAGTCAAGCCCCAGACACTGGTCTTTAATGAAAAGGGGTAAAGTAGAGGTAGGTTTGGGAACGGGTGCACACAGGAGCCTGGAAGAACTTTGGCTTAAAAAGCAATAATTTGATTATTTCTGAGAAAAGTGTGTAAAATCTATCCCTATGATTGTGTGTGTGTTGTTGTAGTTGGATACATATAAGTTCATGATTTTTATACATTCTTGATAAAATTCTGCTTTTATCTGCAGTCCTTTATATTTCTATCTGTAATTTTTGTGTCAAGTTATATGTCATTAATATTGACAATGTCACACTAGTTTCCTTCTGGTAATATTTGCATTTTTTCCCCAAAATTGTTATATTTAACTTTTCTGCATCTTTTTGTGTCATTAACTTATAACTGGATTAGGTCCCCGCTCCATTCAGTTAGATAGTACCTGTTTTTAATAAGTACATTTAATCTGTCCCTACTTATTTTGACTACTGAGGTGTTAGGACTTTTCTGCCATCTTATTTTGCCTTTCTTTTTCCTATATTTCTTTCTTTTGTCTTGTTTACCTTGTTCCCTGCCTCTGTCAGTCCCTCTTTCCTTACTGAAAATAATGTGCTATTGAAAAATCATAATTAAGTGTATTTGTTAACATTTTAGGAATGGAAATACAATTCTAAAGTTATTTTTATATTATTTCCTGAACATAGAAATTAATTATCATGCTTTTAACTACCCATTAACACATTTATTTACCTAACCACCTCCTTTCAAGCTCTCAGTTTGATCTAAGAGAACTTAAAACACACAAAAGCAAACCCAAAAGACTTAAAAATGATTACTAATATATTAAGTAGACTAACTTTTCTAACAACAGTAAAATAAAACTAGAAATAAATATAAAAGACAGTAAAGAACAAATATAAATTTGGAAATAAGCAATCAGGCCTTTAACACTTGGATTAAAGGAAAAGCTACAATAAAATATATACACAAGTAGAACAGAATTACAATGGCAATATTGTAAAAGCTTCTAAGATGCAGCTAATGTATTCCTCAAGGTAAACTTATGTCCAATTTATCTTTTATAAAGATATTTATAATAAAAAGATAACTGAAAATAAAAGAGTTATTCCTATAACGATGTAAGGAAAGACAAAACAAAATAAAGGTGTACATTGAAGTAAGTTAAATGAAGGGCAAAATAAAGCTAGAAGCAGAAAATGAAAACAAACAAACAAAAAACAAGTGAAAAAATAAAAGAATGACAATGCACATAACAAACTGAAAAGCTTTTTAAGGGAAAAAAGATCAATAAAATAGATTTTTATCCTATATTATATAGATCAGGGAGACAGAAATAAAATAAACAATACTGGTAATGGAAAAGAAGGCTAATGTATAGACACTACAAATAAAAAATTGTTTAAAATGCTATGAATAATTATGATAAATTTGGAAAATTAGATGAAGTGGACAATGTTTGAGAACATTACTGATTGCTTAGAAAACAACTTGAAGATTTGGATAAACAATAACCATTAAAAATCAATTTTAAAAGTCTCTCTTTTCCAAACAACAACAAAATAATTTTATAGGAAAGTTTGTTATGCTTCAAGAAATATATATGATATAAATTGTTTCAGAGAATAGAAGATGGAACACAGTCCAGCTCACTCTCTTAAATTAGCGCAACTTTGACAATATACTCTGACAAGTAAATAAAATTAGAGATCACTTTCACCTGTAAATATAGATTCAAGAATCCTATATATAATATGATTAATTATATGTCAGCACTGTATTAAGTACATATAATATAAAGTAGCAAATGAAATAGTATGAATGTATATTTATAAAGAAAATATATATGTAGCTGTATATGGTTTATATGCTTATTTACTTATGAAAACTATGCAAGCATAGTTTATTATGAAACAAAACTATGCATTTCACATATGGTAATATGGTAACATTGTATTACTATGAAATACATTAAATAAATGTTATATTTATGGATTACATAATTAATATATATTTTAATATATTTATTAAATAATGTTTATAAAGGTGTTAAATATTAAAATGTTTATTAATATATATTTATTCTATATGTGTATTAAACCAAGCAAGGATGATTTAATATCAGAAAATCCACTTATATAAGCCATGAGACTAAAAGAGTAAAGAGAAGGAAATATGATCATTTTAATAAACAGAAAAGGAATTTAATGCAATGTAACTCTCATTATGGAATTTACAAAAGGTAAAGATCTTATCAGAGATCTTTGCAAAATGAAGGAGTTTGGCTCAGTGGCTCAGGCCTGTAATCCCACACTTTGGGAAGCTGAGATGGGAGATCACTTGAGGACAAGAGTTGTAGACTAGCCTAAGCAACACAGTGTGACCTTGTCTGTACAAAAAATAAAAAAAAAAAAAAATAGCTGGGCATGTTGTCATGTACCTGTAGTCCCAGCTCCTCACCAGGCTGAGGTGGGAGAATCCCTTGAGCCCAGGAGTTCAAGGTTGTAGTGAGCCATAATCATACCACTGCACTCTAGCCTGGGCAAAGACACTGTCTCTAAAATAAAATAAAATAAAATGAAAAACAAAATGAAGGAACCCTTCCTTAACTTGATAAAATATTATTTCTCAAAAACTGACTGAAAACAGCATACCTAGTGGTGAAACTTTAGAAACCTTTAAAACCTTTAAAGTTTGATGCACAATGAACATTTCAGCTATTACTGCTTCTATTTAACATTTTATTAGAGCTCCTCACCAATGGAGTAAGAGAAGAAGAAGAAGAAAAACTACAAATGTTGGAAAGAAAGGAAACAAACTCTTTTGCAAGAATGTTATATTCTATATTAAGAAATCCAAGAGAATCTGCAAAGTATTAGAAACAATAAGATTACTAGATAGAAGACCAACATACAAAATTTGTAATATTTCTATATGCTAGAAATAACCAATTAAAAATGTAATTTAAAAAATATAATTTCTCACCACAATAGAAGTCTTAGAACATCATAGATAAATAAGTTTTAGTAGTAAACTTAAAAAATATCTAAATAAGTAGAGAGATGTAACATGCATATTGGTGAAAAGTTTCAATATCCCTAAATTTTTCTTTTTCTCTAAATTTATGTATCCATTAAATGCAGTTTCCTTCAATATGTGTGAGGGAAAAGAACTCCCATTAATTCTAGAAAACAGATAACAAATAAAATCATCAAGAATGCTTGCTGTAAATGTAGTTCAAATGCCAAAATAGACCAGTGTCTAAAATACTTTTCTGGAAGGAAGCATCGAATTTTCATGACATGATAATGTTACCACCAAGCAATGGGGTGCTTCCCAATGTGCATAGAAGCCAAAACTATGGCACTGTTTTGTTTTGATTGTTTGTTTTATAGAAAACAAAGGCTTTATTATGAGGTCCACTGTTAAGGAGACAGGAGGCAATGTTCAAATCTGTCTTCCTGATTTGAGGTTTGGGCAAATTTTATGGGTTAGGGAGGGCAGGTTGGTATGTGGAAGCATTGATAGGACAGGCTTTGATTGGAAGGACCTCAAACAAGACAATTTGTGGTAAGGCATGGAAAGGGGTCTTATTACCGGACATTCCTAGACAATGGACCCCTCTCTTTCAAAAGTATTCCAGCATTTGCATTCTGGCCATGCCTCAATCTTTTGGTTTCATGGGGTGGGGGCTGAGATTCGTACAGATATCAGACAAATCATACTGATAGTGTAATCTCCAGGGAGGGAATAAGGGAGACTAGGATTCAGGTTAGGTACTGAAGGGGTTTCAGATGTACCTGTAGTATTTTATTCCTTTTTTTTAAAAAAAAAAAAAAAAGCTTAAAGCAAAAATAGCAAAACATTCAGATTTGCTATATCTTATCATATAGATAGTAGGTACATACGTGTTCATTATATTATTTTCTACTTTTCTAAATGTGTGAAATTTTCATAGTAATAAAAATATGAAAAGCAAAAGTTAATTGCAAAACTTCATACTCTGAGTTAATTTTGTTTAAAATAATTGTGTGTGTGTGTGTGTGTGTGTGTGTGTGTGTGTTACTTTGCTAGGATTGCCATAACAAATACCACAGGCTGGGTAGCTTAAATGAAGAATTTTTTTTCATATTTTTGGAAGCTAGAAGTCTGAGATCAAGATCAGCAGGGTTGTTTCTTCTAAAGCTTCTCCTTGGCTTGTAGATGGCCATCTGCTCCCTATGTCATCATAGGGTCTTTCCTCTGTTTGCATCTGTGTCTTAATCTCTTCTTATAAAGAAACTAGCCATAATGAATTAGGCCCCACCCTAGTGACTTCATTTAACCTTAATTACCTCTCAAATGCCCTATCTCCAAATATAGTCACTTTCTGAGGTACTGGGGACCAAAATTCCAGCCCATAACAGTGTGCATATGAGTATGTGTGCGCTCTACAAAGAGAATAAATTACCTAGGAATATAGCTAAGAAGGGAAGCAAAGAACTTCTTCAGGAAGAACTACAAATCACTGCTCAAGGAAATCAGAGAAGACATAAACAAATGAAAAAACATTCCATGCTCGTGGATACGAAGAATCAATACAGTGAAAATAGCCATACTGCCCAAAGCAACTTATAGATTTAATGCTATCCCTATTAAACTACCATTGACATTCTTCAAAGAACTAGAAAAAACTATTAAAAATTCATGTGGAACCAAAAAAGAGCCCAAATAGCCAAGACAATCCTAAGCAAAAAAGAACAAAGCTGGAGGCATCACGCTACCCAACTTCAAAGTACACTACAAGTCTATAGTAACCAAAACAGAATGGTACTGGTATGAAAACAGACACATAGACCAAGGGAACAGAATAGAGAATTTAGAAATAAGACTGCACACCTACAACCACCTGATCTTCAACAAACATGACAAAAACAGCTAATGGGGAAAGATTCCCAATTTAATAAATGGTGCTGGGATAACTGGCTAGCCATATGCAGAAAATTGAAACTGGACCCTTTCTTTATACCTTATACAAAATTTGACTCAAGATGGATTAAAGACTTAAATGTAAAACCCCAAACTGTAAAAACCTTAGAAAAAGATCTAGGCAATACTATTTAGGACATAGACACAGGCAAAGATTTCATGACAAAAACACCAAAAGTGATTGCAACAAAAGCAAAAATTGACAAATGACATCTAGTTAAATTAAAGAGCTTCTGCACAGCAAAAGAAATTAACATCACAGGGAACAGACAGCCTACAGTACGGGAGAAAATTTTAGCAATCTTTCTGTCTGACAAAGGTCTAATACCCAGAGTCTACAAGGAACTTAAATTAATTTACAAGAAAAAAACCCCATTAAAAAGTGGACAAAGGACATGAACAGACACTTCTCAAAAGGACATTTATGCAGCCAACAAACATATGAAAAAAAGCTTAATATCACTGATCATTAAAGAAATGCAAATCAAAACCACAATGAGATATCTCATGCCAGTCAGAATGACTATTAAAAAGTCAAGAAACAACAGATGCTGGTGAGGTTGTGGAGAAAAAGGAATACTTTTACACTGTTGGTGGGCGTGTAAGTTAGTTCAACCACTGTGGAAGACAGTGTGGTGATTCCTCAAGGCTCTAGAACCAGAAATACCATTTGACCCAGCAATCCCATTACTGAGTATATAGCCAAAGGAATATAAATCATTCTGTTATAAAGATACACATACGTGTATGTTCATTGCAGCACTATTCAAAATAGCAAAGACATGAAATCAACCCAAATTCCCATCAATGATAGAGTGGATAAGGAAAATCTGGTACATATACACCATGGAATACTATGCAGCCATAAAACGGAATGAGATCATGTCTTTTGCAGGGACATGGATGGAGCTGGAAGCTGTTATCCTCAGCAAACTAACACAGGAACAGAAAACAAACACCACATGTTCTCACTTATAAGTGCGAGCTGAACAATGAGAATACATAGATACATGGGGAGAAACAACACACATTGGGGCCTTTTGGGGGTTGGGGGGAAGGAGAGCATCAAGGAGAATAGCTAATATAGGTTGGGCTTAATACCTTAGCACCTTGGTATTAATACCATGATATCTAGGTGATGGGTTGATCTGTGCAGGAAACCACCAAGGCATACGTTTAACTGTGTAACAAACCTGTACATCCTGCACATGTACCCCAGAACTTAAAATAAAAGTTGAAGAAAAAAATGAAAAATGTGTGTGTGTGTGAACAGAGTATTTTTTCATCTTCTCATTTTCTCCTTTCCCATACAGTGTCTCAGCCTTGATGCAAATTTATCAGCTCAAGCTTGTCCTGCATCTTTCTCCCGGAAAGTTAAATCACATACACATGGGCATCCCCTGTGAGCATCCGATTCCTTTCTCCACTGTGCTACCCCAAACACCCCTGTCCTATGAGAGGGTACACGCTAGGAATTTGAGAATGCTTTTCCCTTGAAACATCAATTTTATATCACTTCAAACTGAGCCCCACAAAAACAACTATGCCACATGTACCATGGATTATACTTTTGGCTTACTCCATGTTTTCTATCTTATGTGGTTCTTCTTGTTAGGTTTTCTTTTGTCACAGTATTTCTGTCTTTAAAAAGCAAACAAATAATCATTAGTGTGCAGGAAGCAAGAATCTATATGGACAAGTGTTTTTAAAAGAATCAGATGATCTCATTCTCAGCAAACTAACACAAGAAAAGAAAACCAAACACCACATATTCTCACTCATAAGTGGGAGTTGAACAATGAGAACACATGGACACAGGGAAGGGAATATCACAGACCAGGGCCTGTCATGGGGTGGGGGGCTAGAGGAGGAATACCTAATGTAGATGACGGGTTAATGGGTGCAGCAAACCACCATGGCACATGTATATCTATGTAACAAACCTCCACATGCTGCACATGTACCTCAGAACTTAAAGTATGTAAAAAAAGATCTCATCGTACCTAAAATGCTGTAAAAAAGAAAATCTTCCTTCGAAACTAACTGTAAATTTTCTATTCTACTTCGATTTAGTGTTTTTCTTTTCCATTGATCATCTCCTCTCCCCCTTATAGGTAATTTTTAAAAAAACTAATTGATGTCACGTGACCTGAAGGAGTACAGACTCATTTAAAGAAAGAGCACATTATTAGAGGTGAGAACTGAAGCCATCTCCAAACTGTGGCTTAAAAACTATTTACTTTGTCTGTGGTGTCTGTGTCTAATCTCAAATGGATACATTAGAGGCAAACCCACTTTTTGCAAGAATTATGATTGTACAGATCTAGAGAAAACTCAGCTTAAATTATGATCCTTGACGCTGAACCAATGAATACAAACCAAAGAAATAAAAAAGTCCTAATCTTTAGGAGGAAATTGGAGAGGAAGGATTTTAGGAATTTTAAAATTTGTAACCCCATCTATTGAAAATCCACATCATCAGCAATTATTTTCTAAGCATAGGTTGGGTGCACATTTCCCCACTTGGTACTTGGGTTATGTCTAGTGACCTAAGGAAGCCCAGAACAAAATGTGATACGCATTCATGCAAGCCACCCTCAGCTGTCTTCCAGGATTACTAAGTATTCAGCACTGTAAACTCTTACTTGTTTCTTTAAAATTGTTAAAGCAGAAATGCCAGCATGTCAATAGCAAAGTAATATCCAGATCATATATTATTTCTTTCAAGAGGCTGGAAAAAAGCACCGTGCATCCCCCAATGAGGACAAGACTAATCACAGAGCCAGTGCCAAGCTGTGGAGATTTCCCTGGAGAGCTCATCTTTTCATCACATGTCACAGCTTCTCTCAGTCAACATGCTCTCCAGAGCAGCTTCCCTTCCATCCACAGGCATCACCATTCTGGGGAAGGAGCTCTGTAGCAAAATCCAGCTAGGAGAAGACCATCCTGGTACAACAGTCTACAGTAGCAGCAGACTAAGAAAACAGAGAGAGACACACCAGCATGTAGACCAACAATTGGGAATTCATGGTGACTACCTGCCTTGAGTACTTGAGCAAAACAATGTGGGGTGCCAACAGCCCACGTGTCGTTCCTTCTCATGCTGTTTGTTGTCTTCTTCATCCATCCACATACATAGCTATGACAGGCTTTGGAAGCATGAGTGTGCTCCCACAGATGTGTGCATACACCAACACCAACACAAACACACATACACACACTGACACATTTAGAAGGAAGAGTGTCAATACAGTTTGTCAGTCTGCTTTTGAAATTCCTGCTTAGCTAGATCCAGATACATAACCCTTATGATCACAGAAGCCTGCAAAATTTTGCATTATTGCCTTTCTCTTAGATTGTTCAGGTGAGGTTAATTCTGTCACTCCCATATCATCTGTAAAACAAAATCTCTCAGCTTTGCTCATTTGCCCATTTCTGCAAGTCCAGAGAAATGCATTCATTTATCCATTCAAAATTGGTGCAACTGACCCTCGTGAAGGTGGAGAACACCAAGCAGTGATGGCATGCAAAGTGTCAAGAAATCACGGCAGCACGTGGGTTGACTTGGCCCAAGGTCACCAGAAACCAAGAGCTGCCTATAGTGACAGAGGCCTCAGGCAGATCAAACGATGATGGATGGACTACAATGCTGGCCACAGAGTCAAAGAATTCTAGGGTCCTCTAGGGCTTCTGAGGGGTGGGTGAACTCTTTCTAGCTCTAAAATTCCACGGTTGTTGGCTCAGAGTCACCTCAGTCTTGCCAGCCACAAAAAAAAAAAAAAGCAAAATATTCACTGAAGTGGCATTGAATTGACCCAGCCAGAGATGAAATGTTCTTTCTTTCCTTGTTTGTCCCCAAGCTGTACTGCATTCCCCTAGCCACACTTCTGGGAGAGCCAAGATGGATGATGAGGCATTGCTAAAATATTTCGCTGACAATGAATAGAAATGAAGAGATTGTCAGCAAGGACTTCTGTGGAGGTGGCAGGGACGATGGGAAAGGGCAATTGTTTTCTGAAGTACAGTTGTCACTCTGTGTTAATAACTGCACATGACCTTTCCGTGACAAAGATTCTTTGCTGGGTTCCACAGTGAGTGGCCAGAATGATTTAAAATGTGAGCCTTGACAATGGGGGGACAGTGCATTTGAGTGAGCAAAGCCCTGTACTGTGTTTTCTCCAAAGCCTTTGCTTGTCATGGAAGCTCTGTGGAAGGTGAAAAAGAAGGGAAGGGTGAAAAATATCACAAGCACCACTCCCCAGAGCACGCTATGCTTGGTAACTAAAGAGTTTCATGCTTAAAACTGCAATTCCAGTTTGTTTTAAAGATCAATGAAGGCTCCATTTCTTCCTTTTGCCTCAGGGATAAATGACTAAAAATAACTCATAAATATTTGTGAATCTCTCTTTACCGCTAGACCTACCCTAATCTCCCAAGTTAGACTCCCCTTTCATTAAAATTGATTTCCCAATTCAACCCCCACTCTTCCCTTGATGTCTTTGTCCAATGCTTGTTTTGTATTCCTCCTGTCAGCTTTCCTAGAGCTTCATGTGCACTGATAACCACTATACCCTGAGCTGCCAGCACCAATCCCAAGCTCTCTGGAGAGTTTTATGCTACATTATCCTCAGCTGTTGTTTGTCTAGGATCTTCTCTTCTACTTCTGCATGAACCCATCAAGCTTGCCTTGTCTCAAGGAGCAATGGAAATTCAATATAAAAATGCTAATTTAATATGGAGACCTATTAGTCAAAGTCTAATAGGTTCCAGGGAATAGCAGGAAGGGTCAACTGTGAGCTTCCCTCCCAAGACACTTTCAGTCCAGCAGCACAGAGACAGCCGGAGGGGAGCTGAGGGAGGAGGCCATTCAAGAAGACACCTTCCAAACTGAGATTGCAGGAGTGTGGGACCTAAGAGCAAGGTAGTCCTAAAGGCAAGATGCCTTAACTTTGCATAGGCCAATCTGAGGCCCAAAAGGTGAAATGATTTGCTATTAGCAGAGATCAGCAGAGTTGGGAAGGTGTAATATTAGCAGGAGCTAATAATAATGTTCACAATATTTCATGAACGCTTGTTAAGAGTTAGGACCTGTGCAGAGAGCATTACATTCAGTCTGTCATGTCATCCTCACTTTAACCCGAGAGGTTGGTCCTATTATTATATAAGAGTAACTCTTATAATTTCCACTTATAAGGTGGAAATTAAGAGATTAAATTACTTTCCAAGGTCACAGAGTCAGAGAGTCAGAGAGTTAGGCTGAATCCTGGGTTCTGCCAGCACAGTCTGTGTACCTTTGGCCTTCTACCATTTTTGTAACTTCCTTCAAATAAGAAGAAAACAATAAACTACAATCAAGTGAAAACACCTTACCCGTATGCCTGATTTCCTTGCTCTTGTGAATCCTGAGCCTGGCCTTTTCTGTTTCAGGACTCCGGGTGTCATTAAAAGCATCCATCACAGAAGAGATATTTCCCTAAAGGGCCTTCGTTCCCTCACTTGTAAAATGAGAGGGTCGGACCAGGTAATCTCAGAGGTGCTTTCTGGTTCTTACATACTATGATTCCAAACAAGGATAACTATCCTTGAAGACTGTAAATTTCAACCCTTTTTACAAGCCCTACAGAGGAAAGAGAGGAAAGAAAAATTGATCACATGCTTGTGCAAATTTAAGTAATAGAGAACAGAGATGCTACCCTTGTGAATTCCTGGGTGATATGCATGACTTGGAAAAAGAAGAAAAGTATTTCATGTAATACCATAGGGCACCTTTAGCTCAGCCTTTCTTCCTGAAATAAAAATACAACCGAGGTTTTCAAGTTAGTTGGTGGATGGATCACCCTGTTCTCCCTCATCATTCTCCTATGATTCAACAAACATTAGAGAGAAATTTTTCTGCTTAAGTTCCTTCCTACAACAGAAGTAAATATCTTACTTTTATAAAAATACATTTCTTAAAGATAAAATACAATTCTACAATGCTGTTTCAGATAGATTTGCCATAAGTCAGATATCCTCGTTCAAATAATGGACTATGAACATCATCCATCTTGGGGAGTCAAGAAGTACAGAACTTGGTCTTATTAAGGTGCTCTGTTATGAGGCCCTGTCACTGATACAATGAATTGTTTTTCAACAGTGCTGTGGCTGCCACCATAAGTCTTCAGCTTGAATGAAAAGGCAATTAAGAAAGGAACTTGGAACAAGAAACCCAAACTAAATACTCTTCTTTTTCCAGTTCTAACATAATTAAAATGGTGTATAACTGCCAGCTGGCTAAAACTAAATAAAAATGTGCAATTAAGGGACACCAGTGAGACCAGCTATATCTCAAAAAACTCTCTTTCCTGCTAGTGCCACTTCATTCTTACTTTTCTTTCTTGCAGGAGTTTCTGCTAAGCTGTAGTAAACCCTGCAAGTGGGCAATGGAAAGGTTGTATTTCCTGATTTCCCATTTCACAACCCTCAACTACTCTAGAGGTGGTTGGCCCTGAGGGATTTCATGTACTTCCTGCTGCTTTGCACAGAGCCACAGAGCCCATTAGTCTGAAAGTGTTCAAAACCCGTAGCCCATGTTACCTTCTGATGTAACCATGATAAGAAAGCCTTAGTCTTCCAAGAAAGCAAAAAATCATACTCCATCAAGGACTGTAATAGCAATATATCATTGCATTAAAAAATACTATAAAACTTAGTGACTTAAAGAAGATTATATATAATTATTATCTCATTTTGCGTCAGGAATCTGGTCATGGCCTAGCTGGACCATTGACTTGAGGGTCTCTCACAAGGCTGCCATCAAGGTTCAACTGAAGTAAGATTTGCTTCCCAGCTCATGCAGCTGTTGTTCTCAAACTTTAGTGCCTGGGGTCCAGTTGCACTAAGGGCCTCAGATTCTTGCTGGCTGCTGGCTGGAGGCCACCCTCATTTCCTTGCCATGTGGCCTCTTTAACACAGCAGCTTCTTTCATCAAGACCAACAAGACAGAGAGTCTTGCTTGCAATCTTTCATAACCTAATCATAGAATTGACATCACGTCACCTTATATATGCTCGTGATTTGAAGTAAGTTACTAGTTCAGTCAGCCAATGGCACTCGAGGGGAGCAGATTACACAAGGATGTGAACACCAGGAGGTAGGGATTATTGAAAGTTGTCTTAGAAGGCATGTACCACAAGAACAAATACTGTTCCAAGATGTGACCATCCCCAAATGATAGAGGCCAAGATCTAATTAATTAGATTAGCCTCCTGCCCAATTTTTACAGCAATATTAACATTCTAGGAAAAATACCCTCTTCAGTTACAGGTGCCCTCCTCCCACTTCCAATATGACCTACACATGTGTGATCATCACAGATACTACTTGGAAATAGAATCTTTTCTTTTATAGTAGTTAAGCCTAGAATGCTGCATTATTTCTCACATAATTTACAAGGGTAACTCTTACAGTTTAGTTGCTGTTGATGTGACCTACACATACACAACTGTTTTAAATTTACCAATAAATCCTTGTGGCAACCTGGGCAAGTTACTTTTCTGTTTTGGATGTAAATTTCCTTTTCTGAATGGTATTCCCTAGGTTGTCTTCCAGGGTTTTTATAGTTTTGGGTTTTACATTAAAGTCTTTAATCCATCTTGAGTTAATTTTTGTATATGGTGTAAGGAAGGGATCTACTTTCAATCTTCTGCATATGGCTAGCAAGTTGTCTCAGCACCATTTATTGAATAGGGAATCCTTTCCCCATTGTTTGTTTTTTTCAGGTTTGTTGACAATCAGATAGTTGTAGGTGTTCAGTCTTATTTCTGGGTTTTCTGTTCTATTCCATTGGTCTACATGTCTGTTTTTGTACCAGTACCATGCTGTTTTGGTTACTGTAGTGCTGTAGTATAGTTTTAAGTTGGGTAGCATGATGCCTCCAGCTTTGTTCTTTTTGCTTAGGATTGTCTTGGCTATTCAGACTCTTTTTTGGTTCCATATGAATTTTAAAATAGTTTTTTCTAGTTCTGTGAAGAAAGTCAGTGGTAGTTTAACAGGAATAGCACTGAATCTATAAATTGCTTTGGGCATTACGGCCATTTTAATGATACTGATTCTTCCTATCCATGAGCATGGAATGTTTTTCCATTTGCTTGTGTCATCTCTGATTTCTTTGAGCAATGCTTTGTAGTTCTCCTTGTAGAGATCTTTACCTCCCTAGTTAGCTGTATTCCTAGGCATTTTATTATCTCTGTGGCCATTGTGAATGGGAGTTTGTTCATGATTTGGCTCTCTGCTTGAGCGTTGTTTGTGCATACAAATGCTAGTGATTTTTGCACATTGGCTTTTTATGCTGAGACTTTGCTGTCCTTGCTTATCAGCTTAAGAAGCTTTGGGGCTGAAACAATAGGGTCAGTTTGTAACAGGGAGCTGTGTGTCAAAAATTACTACACAATAAATATCACAGGGAACTTTGTATGTCATACTGAATCCTGATATTTTAGAGCATTTTAAAAATATAACTCCAACAGGGTTCTTTTTGAACTTTCTTTGGTTGAACACCATAAAATGTATTTCTTTTGCATTTAGTGGCCATGATGTATAAAAATGTGTATCTTTAAACATTTTATGACAGGTCTCAGGAACCGAGTGGAACTGAATAGAAACAGACTCATCTGCCCTATCTTGTGCTTCTTCCAGGACATACACTCACGCCTATGCTGCCTTTTTGAAAAGTACAAGGTCCTTAAAGACATTCACACTGTTGGACCTAGTACAGCTACAAGTTGGAAATTATCATAGGAAAACAACCAGAGATATACAGGGATGTATACTCCAGTGTTATTTTTAATAGCAAAATTCAAAGCAATTAAAATGTAAAATAGTTGCAAAAAGGTTAAGTAAGCACTTTAGGTATATATATATATAATTAAATTGTCTGCAGCTTTAAAACTCTTGCTTATTGGTAGTAAAATGTTACCATGCCCATTTTACCAGTGAGGAAGCTAAAATCAGAGAAATTCAGTTCCTTGTACAATGTTAAAGTGTCATAACCTCTAAGCTGGAAAATTAACCTCTGGTCATTTAGTCCAACTCTAATTTAATGTGAAAGCCTTCTCCATATTGCCCTAAGTCATCTTCCAATATGCCTGCTACTTCCAGTGGACGGTGTGATAGACAGAATAAGGGACCCCAAAGATATCTTCATCCTAATCCTGGGGAGCAGTAAATATGTTATTTTACATGGCAAAGATGAATTAACTCTGCAGATGAGATTAAGGTTGCTAATCAACCGATCTTAAAAGAGAGATTTTCTTGGATTATCTGCATGGACCCAGTGTAATCATAGGGGCCCTTAAAAGTGAAAAGAAGAAGCTGGAGGCCGGAGGAAATTGTGACTATGGGAAAACGGGTGATTGCAGGCTACTTATGGAAGCTGGAAAAGGTGAGGGAACAATATCCTGTAGAGCCTCCGAAGGAATGCAACCCTTCTGATTTTCCCCCAGTCAGGCCCATTTTGAACGTCTGACCTCCAGGCATGTAAAATAATACATTTGCATTAATCCACTAAGTTTGTGGCAATTTTTTAGAGCACCAATAGGAAACTAATACCCAGGTAGCTCTTCACTTCCCCAAATGGCTTCCACATTCCAGATCTTGCAAGGCAATGTAGAAGATTGAACTAAATATTTATTGACTAGGATAAACCTGAAAGATACACTTTGGAATGAAAAATAGAATTCATAATACTCCTCTGATGTCTCACTCAAATCTGAATGCAAAAGCACATTTCAGTCCATGGAAATTATGTGCTATAACAGATCTCACCACGTTATCTTGCAATTACATTCCACATTGGTTGCAGAGGCTACCTCCCAAATGTGGTGGTACATGGTATATTGAGATCCTCTGGTTTCTTAAGAATTCTTAGACATAGATATGGCGATTAATTAAATGTCTCATTCAGTGAACAGATTGTAATAATTGATGAAATTGAAGGCTTATTTAAATGCTATTCAGAATCTATATCCTGGACATTTTCAGTAGGGATTTAATAAAGAGTGTTTTACAATTTACCAGACTTGAATTGTTAGAGAGAAAATAAAAGAGTCATCACCTTATATATTAATCATTAGATTTCATAGTTGATCATAGTTATTTTATTTATTACCATTATCTGCATAAAATACAGTATTCAAATGCATATAGACAGTCACATGTATTCAGGGGCTTGTAACCTAGGAAAAGGAAGCTCGGTTTCTCTGTGTGCCCTTTGTTTACTTTCATGAACCCAAAGATGCATTTCTAATTATGTGGGGACATCACCCAATAATGCAACTGCTGTTAAAAGGTCACAAATTAAATGGCAAAACCGAAGGCAACATGGAGTTTTTTGACAGCAATCTTAGAGCTTGGAGAATTCATAAACCAAGTAAACCTTCTGACATAACTATAAAATGTGGTATAAACCCTAGAAAAAAATGGTCATCTTGAAAGGGTAACAGCACTTTTATGAGAATTCCAACCGCACCATGGCAACATCAACCCGTCAAAGCAAATGAAGGGTAGTAAAAGTAAAATTAAACATGATGAAGGGGACACCAGCTTGCTAACAGCTTTCCAAGCAGTAAAGCTTTCAAATGTTATCTCTTCATTGGTCTGTTCAATCACACATGCCTGCTACCAAGCTTTATCATATTATGTATCTTTCTCATCACTGCAGCCTGCCACAGCTTTGATGGACTTGTCTGTGTATTCACAAAGGAGGGGAAGAGAGCGCTCCCCTTCCCCCACTGCACCCCTCCTCGTGCGCCCTCATTCCTCTTCTGTAATTCTTCTCTCCCACCGTCCTCTCTTGCCCTTGTTCTGATGTCCAACATGAGTCTCTCTGGCATCCACAAAGGTTGTTGTGCAGCTCTGAGCTTTGGGGACTAAATATAGATCAAAGCCCCATCCTATATGCAGTCATCCAAGAAACAGGTTCCAAAGTGTGTCTGACTTTCTCCTCTCTTTCTGCTTTCAGAAATCATCATCCTTTCTTCCTCATGGTTCTTTTTCCTCCTTATAATCCCTCTTCCTTACCCGTTCTACAACCTCCTACCGGGAAAATTGTGAGGGCATTTTCATGTGTTAACTAACAGACTCGCTAATCCCCTGGTCTGAATACCTTTCCCTGTTTTCAGGGACCCAGAAATCTCAAGGTTACGTTTATTCCCTGACCTACTCCACCACCAGGGAGTCAGGACAAAATTCTGGCCCTTTCTTTCAGTGCTGTAAACCTCTCTTAACTCTATTTCCCAGTTCGAAACAAATAAGGTTCCCATTCATTGTGCATGTGGTGTTTGCATATGCCAAATTCCTCAGCCTTTAGACCATGAGTTATTCAACTGTATGAGAAGGAAAAAAGAAACACAAATGACTAAACAGCCAACTTAGGCCTCCCATTGCCCACACAGTGATGAGGATATACGAGAAAAAATAAAAAGCCCGGATGCCACGCTGTGCTGCTTACAATTAGTCAATAGGGGGTGGAAAGGGAAAGGAGAAACCAAGAAAAGAAAGGCGAAGTTGCTGCAGCCAAGTGTCTCATAAAATTGCCATGTTTTAGCCTGAGTTTATTGTCTGTTAGTGTTGGTAATTGAATTGCTTTCTCCACTGTGAGCTAGTATGGGAACCCACCTCCCTTTTCTATGATCAACATTGAAGTGTGTTCCCAGTTAAATCAGCCTCTTTGATTCATTCATCCATTCAACAAACACGGAGCCTCCACTGTTTGCAGAGTGGGACTCAGAATGCATTTGAAGTCTGAGAAAGGGCAGCAAAGAACCTATGTATGGGCACTTAGAGATTCCTACCAGCACATTGAGGGCTCCACAATAATACTTGACAAACTTCTCTGCATGTCTGCCTCATGAGTCCAGTCTCAGGTATATGGTTGTCCTAGCTGTAGCCTCCAGCTGGGAACCCAGGTGTCTGTTTTTGCTATTTTTCCATCTCTAATTCTGTCGCTAAAGAATCACTGTATAGTTCCTCACCTCCTATCTACAGTTGCACAGGTATTTATTTGGGGGATATACTAAAAATATAAATGAGATTATGGTTCCAAAAAGAACCATGTCACTGTGTGTATGCATAAACACACACGCATGTGCATGCTCACACATGCGCGCACATACACACACATTACTTTAGTTGTATTATTCTTTACTTCAGTTGATCCTAATATAATTAAAGCAATCAATATCTCTTCCCAAAGTGTAAGAATTTGGTTATGTGGTGCGGTTTACAATATCAAAGGCAACACATTGTACTTCTTGGATGGTTTTAATATAAAGAAGGCTGAATTACAGAAATTTAGGGTAGAGAGCAGGATTGAGGTCTCAATAAGTAGGGGGTTGTTATTGTAATCACAGCCTTTCACCAACTTGCTCTGAGACCTTGGACTAGTCACTTTTATTTTAAAATACAAACATACATATAAATAAAATTATAAATAGATTTCTATCTATAACTTTAACACCAACTATATGTGAAAACCGGAAGTATTAGTTTGCTAAGGCTACCATAACAAAATATTACAGACTGCGTGGCTTAAACAACAGACAGGTATTTTCTCCCAGTTCTGGAGGCTGAAAGTCCACCATCAAGGTATCTTTGGGTTTGATTTCTTCTGAGGCTCCTCTCCTTGGCTTGTTGATGGCCATGATGATGGCCGTCTTTTCTCTGTACGCGCATATCTTGGATATCTCTTCTTCTTGGCTTTAGTTTAACTTGAATACCTCTTTGAAGACCTTATCTTCAAATACAGTTCTATTCTGAAGTACTGGGATTAGGACTTTAACATATGAATTTCAGATGGACACAGTTCAGCCCATAACATTAGGTGCTAGGGCTACAAACTAAATGGGGCAAAAGGCAGTCCTTGAGACAGAAATAAAGTTAATTATACTGCAGCATAAGAAGTGCAGCAATAGAGGCAGCCACTGACTGGGTAGAGTGAGGGTACAGAAGCAAAATCAGCAAGTCAGCTTGACAGGGTCAAAGAAAATATCAAAAGGGAGACAGTATTTGCCCTGGGTCTTGCTGTCATAGTAGGAATTTTCCAGGAGAAGACTGAGAAAATGGAAGGGAAAACATGAGGAAGTGGCAGGGCATTTTATAAGGGTAGATATTTAAGGTCAACCCAGTGGCCTGTGTAGGCCAGTGCTATCTCACAGTAAGAACCTAGTGTGCTACTTGGGAGGAGAGAAATGTGTCCCAGACATCCTCAGCCAGTTAGACCCCTAACTGTTCTAAATCTCACTTGAGCCTATTTGAGCCATGGTGAATTTTGTAGGTCTTTACTCTGTGTGCAGTGCTGTCCGAGGGTCCCTGGAGGATAAAAGAGGCATGAAACCTGTCTCTTCACAATCTAGATAGGAAGATCAAATAGTTGAAATAACTGGAATAACATTACAAATCAACAAATGGATAATTCCCAAAACTACTCACTTCCTCTCCTTAAGGTATATGTTTTCTCCTGGCTAAAAAGAGGAATTTTAGACTGAATCTTCCCTAGGCTCTGCTAAAGGATCAAATGGGCTATGACAGGGTTTCTCGAACTTGAGTAATAGCCCCCCACAAAAAAATTCACAGATCTTCCCCATGTTGGCTTAAATTATTGACATTACTTAAGAGCATAGACTCAGGAGCCACACTGCCTGGGTTTGAATGTCATATCTGCCACTTACTAGTTCTAAGACATTGGTTAAATCATTAAACCTCTCTTTGCCTCTGTCTTCTCATCTGTAAAATGGGGATAATAACAATACTTATATTCATAGTATTGTTATGAAAATTAAATGTGTTAATATTTGCAAGGCACTAAAAAATGTTCCTGGTATGTTATAGGTGTTATATATGTGTTAAATACAATTTTCTATAAATGTATGAGGTAAAACTAGGAATGAAATCTTTATGCATATAGCTTTTGGGTGTAAAAACAATTGGAAAACTACTCAGCTATAAGGCAAAATAATTTGAAAATTAAGACAAAACTAGGAAGCAAGTAAAATTGAAGTTTACAGTGTTAATTCAATGTGACGAATCATGCTTTTGTTTAAACAAAATCATAGAAGTTGTCGTTAATTACATAAAGATTTAGACTCAGATCTAGTTCTACAGTGAATTTGCTTCTGTATTTTGACTCTAGTAATAATAATGCAGAGGAAGTCTCTGTGCATGCATAGTAAGCTTTTCAGAATGCTATGAATACTTTTAAGACTTTGTTTGCTAATTCAGAATAATCAGACCTCATTCTTTATCAGCACTCAATTAGTGAGCAGTCCTGGAATGCCAATTTTAATTAAATGTCATCATTACATTATTAGCCCCTGCATGAAATTGTTCTCTAAATCACAAAGTTGCTCAAGTCAGAAATTTGGAGGCCATTCCTGATTTCAACCTCTTTATTCTAATCCTTGAACTGAGCAAATCTTGACAAGTATTTTTTGACTCTGTCTTTTTCTTACCTACCTTGACACCAAAGGTGGCAACCATTTCTCTGGGTTTCTGCCAAGCCTCCTAACTACTCTCCCCCTCCACTCTCATGCTCCCAATTTTTCTCCTTAAAGAAGTTTACAGAAACTTTAAAAATATAAATATTATCCTATCTCTGCTGACCAAACTAAACTCTGATCAGCTCCAGGGCCTAGCATTGAAGGCAATGTACCACCTCTCCAACCTGTCTGAAGCCATCCCCCCTCATACACTACCCCAGCCATGCTGGCTTGCATTAATTTCCTTCCCAGGTAGTCAAGAATTTGCAGGCCTTGCAGCCTTTGCCCATGATCCATGATCCTTCTCTCTGTGGAATGTTCATTCCACATGGCTGGGTTTTTCTCTTCCTTCAGATGTCTGTGTAAAAGCTATGTCCTCAGAGAGGCCTTCACAAGCCTTTCTAATGACATTATTCCTGATCCCAGTTCATTATTCTCTATCACATGGTATTCATTTCCTTTATAGCATGTGTCACAAATTATAACCATAGTGATAGGGACAGGAGACAGGGAAATTCTGGGCAGATGAAGGAGGGTCCCTGGCCAGGATCCCACCCTCAAGCCAAAAGGCCTAATACCACCGTCCAAAGTGAGAACTTGCATCCTTGTTTTTACACTCAAATGTTGCCTTTTCCAAAACCACCCATGACCCCACTCTGCCCCACCCCCCATCCTGTGCCCATAAAAGCCCCAGGCTCAGCCAGTGGAGAGAGTAGAAGCAGCTGGACATTGGAAACTATGGTTTGATGTCAGAGAGAAGTGGCTTGAATTCAGAGGGACAGCTTGATGGCATAACTTCTGAGAGGAGTCTGGCCAGGAATGGCCAAACTCCAGGGGAAGATTACCTTCCCGCTCTGCCCTCTTTTCATTTCCCCTTCCCACCAAGAGCCGCTTTCATCAGTTATAAAATCACCTTCATTCACCACCTTCAATTTGTTCATGTTACTTCATTCCTCTTGGAGACTGGCCAAGAACTTGGATGCCATGAGTGTCAGAGCAAAAAGCTGTCACACTGACCCTCCACTGAGCTGTTAACACTTAAGCCATCTGCAGACAGCAAAGCTAAAAGGGCACTGTAACACTTCCTCTGGGCTTCGGGTGTTGCGAGCACCCTCCCCTAGATGCTGCTGAGGGGCTGGTACAGAGTATGCCCTTGCCAGTGCCCAAAAGCACTCACACCAGCTCCTGCACTTGCTTATCTGTGCTCCACCTCCCACAAGGGGTGGAGCAGTGAGTAAGTGAAGCTTGCCCCTGCCAGCACCCATGAACTCCAGTTCCTGCCCTTGAAGGGTCAGGAAAATATGCTGCTTTGATAGGCTTATTTATTTGCTTATTTACTTTTCATTCCCTTTGTGAAAATGTCGGCAAACTAAGCCCAGGCATCAAGGCAGATTCATGTACCTATGAGTACCCAATACATGGCACAATATCTGGCACATAGTAGGCACTTTAAAATATTTGATGAATAAATGTTTACTCTAAATCCATTATTGGTGGAATTCAGATCAGAAGAGTTCATCACATATTTACGACTACATTAACTCCAAAATGTACTTCTTCAAGTGGTCCATATAGATAGGGTTTTGGTAATACATCTTTTTGAAATGTGAATACAGAATCTTGGGCCATGGTGCCAGTTTTTTGTTTTTGACACATTGTATTAGTTTTATATGGTTGCTGTATCAAATCACCACAAATTTAGCAGGTTACAACAACCCAACTTTATTCTTCTACAGTTCTGTCATTCATAAATCTGACATGGATCTCATTGAGGTAAAATCAAGATGTCAGTAGGTCTACAATCTTTTCTGGAGGCTCTAGGGAAAATCAATTTCCTTGACTTTTTAGCATCTAGAGGCTGCCCACATTCCTTGGCTAATGGCCCCACCCCTCCACCTTCCAAGCCAGCAATGGTGACTTGAATCCCTCTTACTTTGCCTGTCTTTCACCCTTATTTGGTCAGGTATCTCTTTCTGACTTCAGCCAAGAAGGATTCTTCACTATTTTTTTTTTTTTGAGATGAAGTTTCACTGTTGTTGCCCAATTCTCCACTTTTAAGGAGATTACATGATTAAATCAGGCCCACTAGAATAAATCCAGGATAATATCTCTGTCTCAAGGTCTGTGACTTCAATCTTATCTGTAAAGTCCCTTTGTCACTTAAGTAACATTCCCAAATTCTGGGGCTAACTCAACTGTCTCAGCATTATTTTCTGCTTAAGTGACTATAAAACCTTCAGTCCTCAGGTATGCTATAATGTTTTCATTATCCTGAAATTATCATAAACACACAGCATAAAATGGACCCTAAAAGCAAGTGGATATCCTTACCATGTGGTCATCCAGATAGCATGGGATATCTGTATACAAATATATGGGTGCGTAATCAAACCACAATGTTCAAAAATGCTCCTTCATCTACAACAGGAATAAACCTTGAGAACATTATGCCAAGTGAAATAAGCAAGTTGCAAAACAAATACTGTATGATTCCACTCATTTGAGCTAACTAAAGTAGTGAAAATCATAGAAACATAAAGTTAGAATGGTGGGCTCCATGAGCTGGGGAGAAGGGGGAATGGGGAGTTATTGTTTAGTGGGTATGGAGTTTCAGTTGGGCAATATGGAAAAATTCTGAAGATAAATGGTGGTGGTAATGGTGACACAACAACGAGAATGTACTCAATGCCACTGACCTGTGCACTTAAAAATTGTTAAAATAGTAAATTTTATATTATGTGTATTTTATCTCAATAAAAATATTCCCCTCGCAAATGTATGAACTCCTGAGAACATATATATTCAGACCCATGGGGTTAGAGTCCCTAGTTTGAGTAACATGGTGTATCATACATGCTTATAATCATTGAGAAGACGAAATAAGAGGGGTGTTGCATGGGAGGGCTACTTACAGAAATGTAGGGCTGCCATACTTCCTACCTTATTTTCAGGTACTCACTCATACGTGCACCTCTTTTTGTATTTCTGTTGGACAGAACCTAGAATTACCTGTTGGTAGGATAAAGTTCCTCAAAAGTGGAGATTTCACCCCATTTATCCTATGGCTTTTTGAGTTCCAAACTTGATGTTCCAGTCAAGTCTAACCTGGAAGCTTCTTTCTCAAGGTATCTGTTATGATATGGCCTGGCTCCTCAATGGTCCAAATCAATGTATTTCACCGTTAGTGAGATAAGCATCTTAATAAAGTGCTCCACTTATGGGCTCTGGATTTAGGGTCATCCTTATCCCCACAACAGAAATGCCTGCTGTGATGACCTGTGGGCCATCAACCCTTAATTGAGTTGTGCATACTCTATACTTAAAGCACAAATCATGGAACACCAGCATATTATGAGAAATGACCAAATTCAACTTCCTTGTTTTGCATATTGAAAAACCAATGCTGAGCTTCCCAAAGAGAACAAGAACCTGAGGACATCACCCTTCTTGGAGCATCTCTGTTGAGTGGAAAGGGTAAACTTGGAAAGTCTGTCTCTTTTTGCTAAGGGCACTGCAGTTTAGTTCAAGACACTCTGGGATGATCCCAGGATGTCCTCCCTTTTTCTCCATGACCTTGGTTCAAAGGTGGGGGCCTTTCTTGACTCCTTGGTTAATGCAGAGGCAGATCAGACCCTTCTATCCTCTCTGCTCCCAGGCTGTTCAGGCCACCAAGCTGCCTCAGCCTTTATCATAGGTCGGTGCATGTGTTTATATGTCCATTTCCTTCTACTGAAGATTTCCCAAATGATATAAATAAATGTCTTTCCAACAAAGAGAGTCTGTGGTCAACTCATTGTTGAAATGCAGAGTCAATGAGGTCTCTCTAGGACTTCTTAGCACATTGAATATGCCTTTGTGCATTGTGGATCTCCATCAGGGTAATAGGTGGTAGGTAGAAATTCACACATTTTTGACCCAGAAACTTCTGTTGTTAGGGCATAGCAGGTGGCCCCTTGAAAAATACTGCTTTATCTCAGTTTGAATGCCCTGTACCCAGTTATCATGTGTTAGTCTTCTTTGTGCCCAAAACATATAGCACTACACTGAGTACATGACAAGTTAGGAAACATATTTAACGAAAAAAAGAGTCAAGTTATGTATTTTTTCAAATTCTCAATTTGTTCATCTTAGACCTAAGATTAAATGTTATTTTGCTTGGTGGTTTTAAAGTGTTGGAAAGGAGGAGTATTTGAATGAACATAAATTGATAAACTGGAAAACACTTGGTATAGTTTGTGTTGCCATCAATATCACTACTACCACTATCATTCTATTACTACTAATAAGTGATTCATGGAGAATTATTTCTTTTAACCCTTCCTCTATAAGTATTACATATAGCTCCTAAGTTTTCTTATGTGTGTGTGTGTGTGTATATATATATATATATATATATATATACATACATACATACACATACATACATATATATATATATATATATATATATGTAGTTTTAGACTGGCATATGTTCTAAGAAATGTGATATTAGGCCATCTCATGGTGGTGCAAACAACGTAGAGTGCACTTACACAAACCAGGATGGTATTGCCTACTACACACCTAGGCTATATGGTATGGCCTATTGCGCCTACACTACAGACCTCTACAGTATATCACTGTACTGAATACTGTAGGCAATGATAACACAATGTTATTTGTGTATCTAAAGGCAGAAAAGGAAGAGTAAAAATACAGCATAAAAGATAGGAAGTGGTACACCTTTACAGGATACTTACCATGAATGGAGCTTGCAGGACTGGAAATTGCTCTGGGTGAGGCTATGAGTGAATGTGAAGGCCTAGGACGTTACTGTACACTACTGTAGACTTTATAAACAAGTATACTGAGGTTATACTAAATTTACAAAAATATTTTTCTTTTTCCATAATAAATTAACGTTAACTTACTGTAACTTTTTAACTTTATAAACTTTTAATTTTTTTAAAACTTTGTGACCCTTGTGTGGTAACAGCTTAAAACAGAAACACAGCTCACACTTGTGCAAAGATATTTTCTTTCTTCATATCCTTATTTGATAAGCTTTTTTCTATTAACTTTTTTAAAACTTCTTAAATATTTTGGTTAAAAACTAAGATGCAGACACACACATTAGACTAGGCCTCCACAGAGTTAGGGTCATCAATATCACTGTCTTCCACTCCCACATCTTGTCCCATTGAAAGGTCTTTTGGGTCAATAACATACATGGAGCTGTCATCTCCTATGATACCAATGCCTTCTTGGGTTACCTCCTGAAGGGCCTGTCTAAGGCTGTTATGAAGCTAAATTTTTTTAAAAAAGTAATATAAGGAGATACTCTAACGTAACAATAAAAAGTATAGTATAGTAAATACATAAATCAGTAACATGGTGGTTTATTATCATCTTCAAGTATTATGAGGCAGGTGCAGTGGCTCAAGCCTATAATCCCAGCACTCTGGGAGGCCAAAGTGGGTGGATCTCTTGAGCTCAGTGTCTACTAAAAATACAAAAAATTAGCCAGGAATGGTAGTGCAAGCCTGTGGTCCCAGCTACTTGTGGGGGCTGAGGGGGGAGATCACTGGACCCCAGAGGCAGAAGTCGCAGTGAGCCAAGATCGCACCACTGCACTCCAGCCTGGGTGACAGTGAGACCTTGTCTCAAAAAAAAATATTTATGTCCTATGCATAATTGTATGTGCTACACATTTATACAACTTGCAGTGCAGTAGGTTTGTTTATACCAGAGTCACCACAATTACATGAGTAATGCATTGTTTTATGTTACCACCGTTCCATCATTAGGCAACAGGAATTTTTCAGTTCCACTATAATCTTATGGAATCACCATTGCACATGTGGTCCGACATTGATTAAAATGTCATTACACAATGCATGACTATAGAATCAGGTATAAAACACAGTTGAATGGATCATTTACTGAATTCTTGCTTTCCAAGTAGCCTATGCCTGAGAAAAAATAGTACCCATGTATCTAAATAAATATTCAATTGCAAACCTCATTCATCTAGTTGTAATTTTTGATAATTGTTATTACTATAATCATATATATGATCATTATTACTACAACTAAATGTGTGTGTATAAGTGTGTTGTATATTTATGTGTATATGTATATACACATATGATGACATGTGTCATTTATTGAGCAACTATTATGTGCCATTTGTGGTGACCAGTTCTTTACAATATTATTCTCATCCTCATAGTGATCTGCAAAACTGGCATTAGTATCCCCATTTTAAGAAGAAGAAATCAAGGCCTAGAGATGTTACATAACCACCCAGAAGTGTAGGGACCCTGTGCTTTAATTTTCTGAAAGAAGCCTGGAAATATCTGCTCAGCTTAAAACAGACTTGCTCATACCTTGCATTTATCCTGCTTACTGTGATGAGTTATGGCCTATGCCCAGAACAAGAAAATTCAAACTGAATAAAGGGCAGAGAGTAGCCAAGCAACAGAGAGTAATATTTGGAACCTAACACTGTGTTACTGTAACTCAAGACCATCCAAGGCCCAGAGGAAGGGCAGTTTGCCTAAAGTCACAATGAACATTTCCATAATGCTGATCATATGCCCAGCATTATTTTCAGCTTTTTACTTCACTCAGCCCATGCTCACAGCATCCATATGAGGGTTATAATTATTTAAATCATTTTACAGATAAGGTAAAACAGAGGCCTAGAGAGTCGGAGTAATTTGCCCATGGTCACAGGTAGTAAGTGGCTGGTTGGGATTTGGACCCAGGCAAACTAGATTTAGCAATCCAAGTGCTTAACTCCTGCACCAGTACTAGTAATTTCAGCACATCTAATGCCTCTTTAAGTCATGTTCCTCCTCAGTTGCCAAGTCCCAATAAATCCAAGGTTTCTTCTAACCATGTTATGTCGTAACTATCATTACCTTGTGATGTTTCATTACCATAACTGTTTCCCAAGTGGCTTGAAGCTGGTTCTCCCATCTGTGCCTCCACAAACCCCCACTGTAGTTGATGGGCCATAGGCATTCAGCTGCTCCCCCTTGCAGTCCAATTTTACTCCTCCCCACTGCTCAAACAACTCCCAGAATTTTGCTTTCTGATGCAAGGTTTAAAAGGGTATCATAATCACACAATTACCTTCCAACAGGCCATGCTGACAATGCAATCATCTGTCAGGAAACGACATAAGTGGCTCCTGCATGGGACTGTCTGGACTACACTAGGCAAAATCAGGTTGGTGCCATCATGCCTTCTAACCAAAGGAGGACAATAGAGCTCTCCATTACCCAGAATGGGAGCAGAGCTTTCTCAGCCTTTCCTGTTCACATACTGAGATTCAGAGAGAAGCCACAAATGGAGGGAAAAAACATCTCAAGACAAAATGCCTTTGTCCCATTTCTTTAACTAAAGACAGTTGAGCATGTCTTGTTGAAGGCTCTTGGAAACCAATTAAAATGTTCTCTGCACATCTTTTCACGGAGGAGTGTATTCCTAGCGTTATCTGGCAAGTTTATCTTCTGCAAAGCCAAAATGTAGTCATTTCATCTAGTCAATGAATAAGGGAAAAGATTGATTTAGAGACCCATAGGACCTTTAGGGCACAAAGCCCCTGTGTCCTATTGATGCTGAGTAGGTAAGGAAAGACCGTTCATCTCATTGCATTATGAAAAATTCCTCCCCCACATTGTATTATGAAAAATTACCAATATACACATAGTTGAAAGGATTTTACAGAGAACATCCAACATCCATATTCAACCCCACCCTATGATATGACCTTATGTCATATCTATACATCTGTCCACTCCACTGTCCCATCTCATTTTAAAATAAATTCCAGCTGGTCATGGTGGCTCATGCCTATAATTCCAGCACTTTGGGAGGCAGAGGTGGGAGGATCGTTTGTGTCCAGGAATTCGAAACCAGCCTGAGCAACATAATGAGACCCCTGTTTCTAGAAAAAGTCTAAAATTAGCCAGATGTGGTGGGGCTTGCCTCTAGTCCCAGTTACTTGGGAAGCAGAGGCAGGAGGATCACATGGGCCTGGGAGGCAGTGGTTGCAGTGAGCTGAGATCTTGCCACAGTCTGGGTAACAGAGCAAGACCCTGTCTCAAAATAAAAATAAATAAATAAATTAATTAATTAAAATAAATTGCAGATTTTGATACTTTTCCCCAAGCACAGACTATTAATTAAATTCAATATTTATTTGAATTTAAAAGTACTTCTTTCTCACCTTTTAGTTTGGAGACAAAAATTGCATACAGTGTAAGGTAGAAATGTTAGGTGGACTCTTCACTGAGTTTGAACACATGCATACATCTTTGTAATCCAAACCCCTCTCAAGACATAGAACACAACCATCAGTCTAGTAAATTCCCAATCTGTCCTTAATCCCACCTCTCTAGTAGTCAACTACTATTCCATCCCCATCTCCTGTCCCATAGATTGGTTTTGTTTGCTCTAGAGTGTCATGCAAGTGGAATCATAGAGTTGGTACTCTTGTCTGTGAAGTCTCTTCCCTCAGTGCAATGATTTTGAGATTTATCCATGCCATTGTGTGTATTTGTCATTGATCCCTTTTTATTGCTGGATAGTATCTTCTTGTGTGGATATACCACAATTTTTCTATCCATTACCTGTTGATGAACACTTGCGCTGCTTCCAGATTTTGGATATTGTGAATAAAGCTATTATGAATATTCATGTACAAGTAATTTCCCTTGGGCAAATGCATGCTTAAGAGTAGAATTACTAATGATAGGGTAGGTTCATGTTTAGTTTATAAGAAATTTTGAGACCTTTTTGTCAAAGTAGTTATATCATTTTACACAATGTTTGAAAGTTCAGTTTGCTCCACATCCTCATGGCCCTTGGATGTTCAGTCTTTTTAATAATTCTGGTGGTGGTGTGGGAACCTCATGGAGGTGTTAATTTGCATTTCCAAGATTACTAATGATGTTGAGCACTTTTTCATGTGCTGATGGCCATCCATATGTCTTCTTTCGTAAAGTTTCTGTTCAAATATTTTGCCCCCTCCCTCATCCCACCTTTTTTTAACGTGAAGGCTGGGTCAAACCTTGGCTCTCTTTCTGGGGAAACAGATTCAGAAGCTTAAGTGCATGTGCAGGCGTTAGGAAGCTCCAATTCATCCCCGCATATCCACCACCTGCCCAGGCTCCAAATAATCTGAAGAGATAATTTTTGAATAAATGTTAGTTGCACTCCTCATTTGCTGGGCTCTGCCAACAGGCAGCAGGAATTGACGGCTTGTTAGTAAAGCCTGGCCCCTTTGTGAGATGTTTTCAGAATGATTGATTTACAATAAAGTGGTTCCTGGTGGGTGCATGCAGGTGGAACTGATGCGGATCGATTCCAGTGGCGCTAACTAATCAGCTGTTTAAACTGGCAGGGAGAGTGCTCAGTGACAGACACAGCGCGACCATCATTTTCCCCCTAAGATTACAAATTAACTTGTTTGAGTTTGCTGGGGTGTGTGACAACTTGGGGCCAGCCTCAGAGGAGGGGAGGGCGGCTGTGGCATCATGAGGCCTCTCTGGGATCTGCCTTTCCTATCAGGCTGGACCTGGGCAAACAGCCCTCTGGCTGGAGCAAGAGATCTCATGGAAGATACTGGGATTTTCCCTCATTGAAATCCACCCTGCACCAAGTGAGGGGGGCAACTGAATTTCAAAGGGTCCACCCCTCTGTTCCTCTTTTCCTTTTTCTCTTAGCCTTTTGCTTGATCCCGCAGCAGACCTTTGCCTTCCTCCCTTCCTTTCTTCACACAGGATGAACACGGAGGGAACCAACCTCTTCTTTCTTCCCTCAGCTCTTGAAGAGAATTCAATATCACCAAATCCGGCCGGGCGCAGTGGCTGAAACCTGCAATCCCAGCACTTTGGGAGGCGGAGGCGGGTGGATCACTTGAGGTCAGGAGTTTGAGACTAGCCTGGCCAACATGGTGAAACCCCTCTCTCTACTAAAAATACAAAAATTAGCCGGGCATGGTGGCGGACAGCTGTAATCCCAGCTACTCGGGAGGCTGAGGCGGGAGAATCGCTTGAACTCCCAGGAGGCGGAGTTTGTAGTGAGCCAAGATTGTGCCACTGCACTCCAGCCTGGGGGACAGAGGGAAACCCTGTCTCAAAAAAAAAAAAAAAAAAAAAAAATCACCAAATCCAAGCTCTTCCCAGTGGAGGAGGGCTATTATTGTGTTTCATTTTGTTTTGCTTGTAAGCCTCTTCCTTTTATAGCAGGATTAAATTGTGGTACCGTTTCAGCATTCAAATCTTTGCTTTTATAATAGTAATTGCAAAACTTGATCCTGAAAATTATGAGGTTGTAGGCTGAAGAGGTCAGATTCGATGTGGAGAGCAAGGAAGGTAAACTTGGAGGAGCTGGTGTGACCTTGGCCCAGTCGTGGCCACCAGTAGGAAGACCTGGTCTGGCTGTAGACTCTGAACAAATTCTGGCCTCCTGCATCCGGTTGATATGTCCTAACTCACAAAGGTTTATAAAACATTATCTTATCCTCACCATAGCTCAGTGAGAGGCACAAGGACTGCCAGGTTATATATGAAAAAGTACAAATTACAGAACATCCTCACATAGATTCTGAAAGCCATGAAACCTGACCTCCAGTGCAGGTCTTTGGACATTAGTATTTCCAATTACTGCTCTGGAAGAATGAATTAGCAGGCCAGATAAAATATATGTGCTTTATGAATTGCCCGGAATGGCATTTCAGTGTTAGAAGGTGAATCTGTTACACTCCAAATTTCCACTTCAGAATGAGTTGTTTCTTTAGAACTTTATACCATTATTCTCAGATGCTTCCAGAAGAGGAGCCAGGTAAGAGCTGCGACAGGCTGCATCCAGATATTAAAACTTAGTGTAAAGCTCCAATAATTAAATCAGTGAGGCCCCAGGGATAAACAAGCAGACAAATGAAGTAGAATAGGTGGTGGCTTTGTAACAAACTATAGGATTAGAGAAAACAAAATATGATAAAGGAGGCATGAAAAACCTGCGGAGAGAGGATGGAAAAGATTAATCAACAAAAGGCTCTGGGGCAACTGGATAATTCTTAAGGCAGAAAAAGTATATTTAGATCCTTAACAGATGCCACATTCCAAGATAAATACCAAATATTTCAAGGTTTAAGTGTAGCAATCCAAATTATGAAAGTTTTCAAGGACGGTCATGGAGGCTCATGCCTGTAATCCCAGCACTTTGGGAGGCTGAGGTGGGTGGATCACAGGAGGTCAGGAGTTCAAGACCAGCCTGACCAACATGGAGAAACCCCGTCTCTACTAAAATTACAAAAATTAGCTGGGTGTGTTGGTGCATGTCTGTAATCCCAGCTACGCGGGAGGCTGAGGCATAAGAATTGCTTGAATCCCAGAGGTGGAGGTTGCAGTGAGCTGAGATTGCGCCACTGCACTCTAGCCTGGGCAACAAGAGCAAAACTCTGTCTCAAAAAAAAAAAAGTTTTAAAAACATTTAGGTGATTATTTAAGTCTTGGAATTAGCAAAGATTCTAAAAAGAAAAGCAAAGAAAAATGAATATTCTTGAATTTATGTTAAAAAAAGATCTGTATATGTACAAAACAATACAAAGATTAAAAGCCAACCACAGACTAGAAGGAATATTTGCAACAAAGATGCTTAAGGGTTAATCTAACTTAACATATAAAATCTTGTTAAAATAGATAAGAAGAACAGGAGGCTCAATGGATAAATTGAAGCCAAGGATAGGGAGAGATAAGTTATAATGGAAGAAATAAAAATGTTAAATTACCTTTTCTTTTTAAGTTCACCAGTAAACAAAGGACTAAAAATTGAGATAATGCGATGCCATTTTTTATCTACCAAATTAGTGAAGATGAACATACGATAATACTTAATGTTAGCAATTATATGATAAAACAGACACTCCCATACACTTATGGATGAAGGTTAAATTGTACAAATTTTCTGGCCTATATGTCATGTTGCTCCTACGATTTTCTCTGGTCTTATCTCAAATTGCTTTCTCCTTTGCTCTCTGTTCCAGGGTAAGGAAATATTTTTTAAGTTGGTGTCATATAGATTTTCCATATTCCTCGAAAGCACTCAGACTTCCCCATCTGCTCTCCCTCTGACTTTATCCTCCTCCTTTTCATTTCTCTCCTCTTTCCCCTCTTCTCCTCCCTTTCCCCTCTCTCTTCCTCCTCCTTCTCTATTTTCCTTGCTCCTTCCCTTCTTCCATGTTTATACCTCTTCTCCCCTTCCGTTCTTCCTCCTCCTCTCCCTTTTCCTCTATGTCATCTCCTGCATGCCACTTAGTTAAGCCTTACTCATCCTTGAAATCGCAAATCAAACATCACCTAATCAATATAGTCTCCTTACTCTAAAAGGGTCACGTTATCTGGTTATTTGCTCTCGTAACACCTTGTAACTTTTCCTTGGAACACGAGTCACAATCGGAACTTATATATTTACAATTATTTGATTAGCATTTTCTCCCTCATAGGATTACATGAACTATGTTATTTTTAGCCATCACTGAATCCCCAGTGTCTAGCAAGGTGCCAGGAAGTAAATTGATACATGTTTGTTGATGTCTTGACAGCTGACTTTCCAAAAAGCCACTGGAATAAAGCTAAGCTTACTAAACCTACTGCAGTAATGGAGAATGCCAACTTAACAGAGTCTTAGTCATGTCTCAGAGAGAGTGGTCATGGGTAGAAATCTTTAGGGTTTAGAGATCTGGGCTCCAGTGATTTAAGGGAGGTATTTCAGTATAAGGATTTCACCGGGAGTGACTAAATCTTATGATGTAATAGTTTAAAATAGGTGATAATAAATAAAACAGTGGGACAAGGACCTTTAAGCAAGTCTTGGCAAGTAAAAGTAGTTTGATTCACAAGCTATTTGCACACACAGGCAATCTATTGTTTTGACAAGGGATCTGTTTGTCCATATGTACAAGTTAATTATCTATATTACTTAGTTCTTAGAAATTTTCTGAAACTACAGGTGAAATTATGTATTGGTTTACAGCCTTGTCTTAATGGGCAACAATTTCCTGGAAGAAGGAGTGAAATCATATTGATATAGCTGGCTTCAGTTCTCAGTCCTGAGAATTCAGCTTTGTGGCAGCAGGAGGTCTCAGTTTTCAGATGAATAAATAGAATGCCATTCTGGTAGTATATAGTGAAGTGCTTAAAAATGTTTTTACAATATTTCCTAGAAGTTCCTTCCTAAGAGTCTATCATAAAAATCAGATATACAAAGTTTTATGTGCAATGTTTGGAAGTGTCTCTGTGGGAAATTAAGGTGACCGTTGAGAAGCAAGATGACTCAGTACTTGAGAGAAAAGAAGGGATTTTCTCTCCTTGGGAGAGCTTAAGGAGGGAGAAGTGGAGGTGAGATGAAAAAGTTGTCAATAAATTCTCAATTTTGCTTTTGATCCACTTGTGGAAACCATGTTCAATATCTATTGAGGGTTTCTCCTCTTCTCGCTCAAACCTGGTCACATGTTTCTAAGAAACACACATATATAACTCAAGCTCCAGAAAAGCATACAATTAAAGCTGTGACTACAGTCAGTAAATGAATGGTAGACATGTTGATCTCACCTCATGTCAGAGTAACAATCTCCTGGTGAGACTCCAAGGTGGAGAAAATGCTGCAAATTCCATGTGGTGCCAAGGCTAAGGTTTTCTTCTGAATATCTAGAGCTCTTTATCTGATTCTTCTTTATCATAACAATGCATATAAAGTCAAAATACACTCACTTCCTTTGGTCTTTTTTGTAAAAAGAATTTTTTTTTTTTTTTGGACTGAAGTCTGTGACACTGAGTATGTGGGAACTGAGACCCTAGAAGGTTGGCAAGATTATAAGAGAGTGAGTTGTGGTTCTAACACTGAATAGCTCCTTAATGGCTGGGCTTATATCCCAAGATATTTTCCAAATATAATTCCTAAGATTAGGCGAATTGCCAGATGATAATAGAAGAGGGCAACGTTTGTTTTTCGAAAAGGTAAAAGTATGACAAACTATACATCTGAGATTTTTTTTTTGATCAGTGTTACAGTGTGAAATAATACAAGCTGGTTTATGAGTACTGAGGTGGAAAAGCAGGTCCCACCAGGATGCAAGATAGGGTCATTAGGAAAAAAAATAATGACCGACAAACCCTATTTACTGTTCTTGGTATTGTTTGTAGATTAAGAATTTGTAGATAAATTGTACCTGGATTTTCCCATGGCATTTGACCAAGTTTTCAAAATCCCTTTGTGGACAAGTATCGAGCAGGGACCCTCCCTCAGTAAGGTGACAAGTACCTAGCTGAAGGATTGTATTCAAAGGTACGGATTAATGTATTAGTTTCGATCTGCAAGAAGATGTCTAGTTATGCATATTCAGAATAGCTCTGAACCAGCAAGGGCTATTCATAATGAAATATAATCTTATATTAAGTAGTGCTAACATCTCAATAAACCAAGGTTATATTTGGGGTCAATTAAAATATTGTATGTCCTGCAATAGAAAATCTCTAAATGTCTCCTCTCTCACAATCTTTTCAAAACTCATGAGACTTGCTGTTTTAATGATGATAGATTTGACATTTTAATGATGATGCTGCTAATAATGCTGATGATACTTTCATTTGGGTTACCTGAGTAAACAGCTTCTGGGTCAAAATGTACAGTTTTGTTGAGTTATTTAAACAGAACATATAGGTTCTTATTCTCATATTACATGTCAGTTTCAAATATACTTTAGCCAATGATTATTAACTTCAACCAATGGAAAAACAAGGCTCAATATTAAAGAACTCTTCAGTAAATGAAGAAAGTAGATAAGCTGAAGCTAATTCTAGAAGAATTAGTCAAAGTATATGAACATAGGAAAGACATGAATATTATATTGCTGCATCTCATTAAAAGAGTCATTTACCTAGCACATATAATTGTGATTGTATCATTCTAGTCACCACCTGGACCATGTTAGGGAGTCTGGCTATTAATGTGTAGATGATAATTCATAAATAATAAGGTTATAGATGTCAATTACTTAGTACTTACAGATGCATAAATCTCATAATGCATGTGGTAGCCAGATAAAAAATAGAATGTCCTGTGCAATACCACAATATCATATATTCTACAAGAGTTATGGGAAAATGTATTTTATAATTATTTATTCAGCAGGTATTTATATATTCTCTCGTGTGGTCCCAACATTCATCTAGGTACCAGGGATATAGTAGAGAACAAGATACATGAATAAAAGGAAATAAATGGGGAACAATAGATTGAATAAATGAAATAAAGCAGAGTGATGTATGAGAGATTGCATGGTGGTGGTGAGGGGATACTTTGAGTCAATGAAGAGGTGCCCTATGACTTGATTCCTGAATCATCTGGCAAAATCAGCCAGCCATGTGGTGATGAGGGCAGAAAGTTCCAGGCACAGAAAGGGAGAGGAAAAGCCCAGGAGTGAGAATGAGCATGGTGTGTTCTACGAATCAAAGAAGACTTTCATAGCTGGAGTGTTATAAAAGGGTTAGAATGAATCTGATTGAGATTGAGAAGGGGAAAAGGGCCAGTTCACCTGGTGACTGCAGCCCAAGGGCAAGACATTGTACTTCAGTCTAAGCAAAATGACAAGCCGTTGGAAGGTTTTAGGTGAAGGAGCAATATTTCCTCATTTGTTTTTAAAAGGGTACCTATTGGGTGTTGAAGATATCGTGGAGTGTATATGAGTAAGCATGGAAGCAGGGATGTGAGTTAGAAAACTACTGCATTAGTCCAGGCAAGAATGAGGTTAACTTGCACTAGGGAGGAAGCTAAAAGACAAAGAGGATTCTTTCAGGACATATTTTGAAGGTAGAGCTAAGAAAACTCAATAAGCTATGGATGAAGTGAAGTATCATGAAAGTGGAGGAAATCCAGCCTGGCCAACATGGTGAAACCCCGTCTCTACTAAAAATACAAAAAAAAAAAATTATCTGGGCGTGGTGGTGCGCACCTGTAATCCCAGCTACTTGGGAGGCTGAGGCAGGAGAAATGCTTGAACCCAGGAGGCAGAGATTGCAGTAAGCCAAGATCGTGCCACTGCACTCCAGCCTGGGCAACGGAGTGAGATTCTGTCTCAAAAAAAAAAAAAAAAAAAAAAAAAAAAAAGAAAGAAAAAGAAAGAAAGAAAGAAAATGGAGGAAACAAGGATAACTTCTAATTTTGGAGGTTGAAGGAAGTTAGTGGATGGTGGTGCTGTTAAATATGTATTAAAAATATGTACTGAGGCTAAAGATATGTAACTTACGTGGGCTATTTTGCCAGGCATCTGGTCAGTACTTATGTTCAGAACAGCACCAAGCAGAGATAAACAGAATCAAAAGCCATGACAACATTGCTTGAAAACTTTAATCTGGCTATGTCTAAAGCCAGAGACGTGCTGCACTTGCTAGTTATGTGAGTCAGTAAACCACCTTTTTGCTTAAGCTACTTTGAGTTGAGATTTGATCAGTTGCAAACAAAAATTGTAGACGAAAATATTGCCTCATTGAATTTGGAAGGGAAAGACAATTAACATTTGAATTCCTTGAAGCTGCCAAGAGTAATACATTCCAGTCTCAATTAAAGTTAAAATAACTTTATGTTTAAGGTTGAGAGATCCGGGGCTCAGAGATAAGAGACTTGCCTGAAGTTGCATACTTTTTCAGTAGAGTTATGATTTGACCGCTGATGTATCTGACTTCAAAGACCATGCAATTTATATTACGCCATTCAGTAAGAAAACATAGAAACTAGATTTAAAAATAATAAAATATACTTTTTTGATTTCTCTATTTCTTTTAGTTTCTTCTAGAGTTCCAAAACTGAGAGAGAATAAAGATGATTATTGAAGCATCAGAGAAATAGTTGAATCTCCAAGAAGTTTCTTTAGTAGATGTAATGTAGTGTATGAACTGTTAAGCAATCAATCATGGGTGGATTTCAAACCTGCTAAAGTGGAATATTTCTAGCCTAATTGTCCATAGGCTAAGGCTGGAAAACGTTGTCTTTTTTTCCCCTTGCTCAGGGAGACCAGATTTCATATGTATGCAGGAAATGTGGAGCCAAGCTAACCATTCATTTCCATATTTCCAAGCAGGCTGGGTGAGATTGACGAGGAAGGGCAAGTTGGGGATATAAAATCACCATCACAGATTCATGCTGGGAAAACTCTTCTCGAGAGCTGTACAGAGACAGGAATACAAGAGGGGGTTCTTCCTAGGTGGAGAGAGGTGATAATTAAACATAATTTGTAGAAGAAAATTAATAGTGATGGACTTGAATCCTTTATAGCAAATGTAAATTTCAAAGCAATTTTGTGTTGAGAAGTAAAAAGCTGTAATATATGTCTGAGTGGTATATGCTGACAGTAAATGGTCCTCTTGTGTGGTGAGTTATTAAAGACTTTCATCTCGTGGTTTTCGATAATGAAAAGGGAGGCAGTTTGGGTACATTTTCTGAGATATGTCCCTTACGTTGATTTAGCTTGTATGATCAGTAGGTTATCTCAACAGCTGTATGGAAAAGGTTAAATTTGCTAAAGAGGTAAAAGACGAAAATGTGAGAAGCATGCTACTTTAGAACCATGTATTATTTCCTCTCTGATACTAACAAACTATGTCTAGGGGTGACTCATTTAATCTTTCTGAGGCTTCGTCTCCACACCTTGTCCAAATATCTTGTCCATGGCTTTTTCCAACTCCAATTATCTCTGATTCCTTTCTTTGATAAAAATATCTTCTTGAGAATGAGCTTTTCTTCCCCTCTTTAAGGAGCTATCCCTGAAGAAATCTCAGGGACATTTTGCTTAGGTAATTTTCTCTCTGTTTGAGAAATTTTCTTCCTTATATTTGAAATGGATTCAAGAATCGGCTCCAGGACTAGATCTCCTTCATTGAACAAGGTACACAGATAGTGAAGGATTAAAGCCATACTGCAAAGCCTGTTGCTCAAGCATTCACAAAGGCCTGCAGAAGGAATTTGTCTAGGTCAAATAGGTCACAATAGAAATACCAGGTCACAATAGAAATAACTATTGGCTTGGGAAGTTCTTGAATGTTCCGGCTGTGAGTATTAGACCACAAGGAAATGAGAGGTAGGACTCTGAAATAAGGAAGTGGTCATATTTTTTGATAGTTTACTATATATATTAAACATCAGAGGGGTTAAAAATGGGGACTTCATGTTAATAGATTTTATGGACCTTAATAATTAATGCATGTTCTAGAGCAGAGATAAACAGAGTCATCTTAAATTAGTATGATATACTTGTCAAAACTAGTTAATTAATACTGATTTGTTATTGTTAACTAAAGTCTACACTTCATTTGGATTTAATCAGTTTTTACCTAATGTTCTTTTTCTGTTCCAAGATTCCACATGTAAAGAAACTTACATTTGGTCATCGTGACTCTTTAGAGCCCTCTTGACTGTAACAATGCTTATATTCCTTATTTTTTATGACCTTGACACTTTAGAAGAATATTAGTTAGTTATTGGGTAGGATGTTTCTTAATTTGAGTTTGTCTGATATTTTTTCTCATGTTTAGACTGTAATTCTGGGATCTCTGAAGACCATAGAGTTGTAACATGTCATTTTTATCACATTATATCAGTGTACATACTGTCAATATGACATATCACTGATGATATTGATCACTTGATCACATGGCTGAGGTAGTGTTTGTCAGGTCTCTCCACCGTACAGTTGCCCTTCCCCTCTCCCCTCCCTGCCGGTGTTCTATACTATTCTATTTGGAAGAAAGCCATGAGCAACCCACATTAAGGAAATGAGGAGTTATGCTTCACCTTCTTGAGGAGAAAGTAACTACATACATTGTTTGAAATTCCGTATGGCAGAATTATCTATTCTCATTTATTTATAAATTTATTTAATAAATTGTTTATATCAATAAGTGTGTGTGTATATATATGTATATATATGTATATATGTATGTATATATGTATATATGTATATATGTGTATATATGTATATATGTGTATATATATACACACATATATATAGTGCTTTGGGTTATATTTCAATACATTTTATTTATTTTGTTGTTCATAATGTTCCAGCCTTGGCCATTGGGAGCTCTGACTGCTGGCTTCCATGTGTTCTGACATAACCCCATTGTTTTATTTTATTTTTAGTCCTTCCTTACTTTCTGACATTATAAGATGCTCTAGGATCATCTTGTATATTCTTTGCTCTAGCCTCATAATCTGCCATTTCCTCCAGGAGCCCTGGTTTCTTTTATCAGAGAATGGTATTTGAAACCAAAGTTTGGGTGCTAGGCATGCTCTTTGCTAAGGAGTGTCATTGATTCTAGGCCCTTTCAGTGGGATGAGGTTGGAAATATATGTATATACTAACTGTGTAGACAGACATATCTATAATTATTTTTACATTAATCCACCTGTATCTAAGTTAATCTAAAGATAAGTTTACACTGATATTTTCAACTCCAGTTCAGTATTCTATGATTCATTCTAGCTTTCCTTGTCTGTAACCTCCAAATCCGACAGTGAGAAACCTGGCTCCCAGGAGCTGTCATCCATTTACTTATTTATTCAATCTCATCATGCATGCATAGTGTGTTGAATTGTCAATCTGTACTCTTACGAGAAATAACTTTACCAACTGGAGTATGGTGCTTATAGACAGTTTCTCTTGACTTTAGTCTTATAATTTCCATACATTTTCAAAACTACTTAGGTCAGTACTTCTTTTCCTCTTACTTGGTAAGGTATGTCATATATTTATAATACATTTGGACTCATTTGACACAGTCTGGGCTCAATCTTGGGATCTCCACACCTCCTAATTGATTTCTTAACATTTGCATTTATAGAACATACAGTAAGGTTCGCTTTTGGTACCGTAATGTTTCATGAGTTTTTACAGATTCATAGTGCCATATATCCATCACAACAGTATCATGGAGAATAGTTTCATCATCCTAAGAAATCTTATGTGCTTCACATATTCCGTTCTACCCACCTACCCTGCAGGTCTCTAGCAACCACTGATCTGTTTTCTGTCTCTCTACTTTTGCTTTTTCCAGAATACTATGTAAGTGGAATCATATAGTATGTGTTGTTTTTAGTCTGGTTCTTTTACTCAGCCATACACATTTAAGATTCATCCATGTATTTGCTTGGATTGACAATTCATTCCTTTATATACCACTGAGTGGTGTTCCATTATAAAGATATATTATATTTTATATTACATATATTACACTAACCATTCACTTTTTGAGGGACATCTTTGTTGCTTCCAGTTTTAGTAATTCTGAATACAGTTCCTATAAGCATCTGTGGGCTGGGTTTTGTGTGGACATAAATTTTCAGATAAGCTGGATAAATACATACAAAAACAATTGATGGATTATATAGCAAGACTGTGTTTAGCTTTGTAAAAAAAAAGAGTCATGCTGAAAGAATTAAAAGCAATAACTTGAAGAAAAATTCATACACCAGTATTAATAGCAGTAGCCCCAAAGTGGAAACAACCACAGTGTCCATTAGCAGATGAATAAAAAAATGTGGTATTAATATATCCATTCAATGGAATATTATCTAGTCTTAAAAAGGGAGGACATTCTTACACATTCTACAACATGGATGAAATCTGAAGATATTATGCTAAGTAAAATAAGCCAGTCACAAAAGAACAAATACTATATGATTCCAATGATTCCACTTACATGAGGTACCTAGAGGAGTGAAATTCATAGAAACAGAAAATAGAACTGTGGTTGCCAGTGGCTGGAGGAAGAAAGGAATGGCCTGTTACTGCTTCATGGGTACAGAATATTATTTTGAAAAGATGAAAAAGTTCTGGAGGTGGATGGTGGTGATGGTTGCACAATAATGTGGATGCTCTTAATGCCACTAAACTGCACACTTAAACACAGTAAAAATGGTAAGTTTTATGTTATGTAGATTTTACCACAATTGAAAAATACCTCGTCTAAACAATAAAAATCGAAAAACTGCCAAGTTGTCCTCCAGAGTGGATGTACTATTTTGTGCTCCTACCAGCCATGAATGAGGGTTCCTGTTGCTCTACGTCCTCACCACATTTGATATTGTGAGTTTGTTGTTGTTTTAGCTATCCTAGTAGGTGTGTAGCGATATTGCATTGTGGTTTTAATTTGCATTTTTCTAATAACCTATGATGTTGATAATTATTTCATGTGCTTGTTTTCCATGTGTACATCCCCACTGGTGATGTGTTTGATAGATATTTTGCTCATTTTTCAGTTAGGCTGTTTTCTTCTTGCTGAGTTTTAAGATTTCTTTGTATATTCTTGATACGAGTCCTTTGTCAGATACTTGATTTGCAAATATTTCCTCTCAGTTTGTGGCTTTTCTTTTAAGTCTGGTAACAGTGTATTTCAGAGTAGAATTTTTCATTTCAGTAACATACAACTTATGTATTTTCTCTTTCATGGATCATGCTTTCGGTTTTGTATCTAGCAAGTCATCACTAAACCAGCATTAGATTTTCTTCTAGAAGTTTAAGTTTTGCATTTTACATTTAGTTCTGTATTCATTTGGAGTTAATTTTTCTGTAAGTTGTGAGGTCTGTGTATACACACACACACTTATGGCATATGGATGCCCAATTGTTCCAGCACCATTTGTTGAAAAGACTATCCTTTCCCCATCAAATTGTTTTTGCATCTTTGTCAAAAATAAGTTGACTATATTTATGTGGTATCTTTATCCTTTTCGATTGGTCTGTGTGTCTATTTTACCAACACCATGCTGTCTCTAATGGAAGTGTAAGGCATAGTATGTTTTGAAATTGAGTAATGTGAACCCTCCAACTTTTTTCTTCTGCATTTTCCATATTGTGTGGCTGTTTAGGTTTTTGCTTTTTGTATGAGTTTTAGAATCAGTTAACAAAAAAAAGCTAGCTGGGATTTTGATTGGCGTTGAGTTGATTCTATAGATCAAGATGAGAAGAACAGACATTTTAACAATTATGATTATTCCAATGCATGAACATAGGATGTCTTTCAATTTATTTAGATCTCTTAAAAATGTCTTTTATCAGTGCTTGTAGTGTTCTGCATATGGATCCTGAACATATTTTTTTGATTAATATCTAAGTATTTCATTTTTTGTGATATTGTAAATGTTATTTGTAAAATTTTAAATTTCAATTGTTCATTTGCAGATACAAAGGAAAGCACCTTATTTTTCTATGTTGAACTTGTATCCTGTGACCTTGCTTCTCATTAATTAGTTCCAAGAGGTTTTTTCATTGTTGTTTGTGTTTTTTTTTTTTCTGTAGAATCTTTAGGGTTTTCTACATAGACATCATGTCATCTGTGAATTTCTTCATTTCCAATATGTATGACTTTTCTACTGTTGCCTTATTTTATGCTCTAGGATTTCCATTGTAATGTTGGAAAAAATGTAGAGAGAAAGGATATCCTTGCTATGTTTGCAAAACTATGGAGAAAGCATTCAGTTTCTTTAGCTACAAGGTTTATATATATATATATATCTTTTACCAGGTTAAGGAAGTTCTCTTTATTCTAGCTTTTTTTGGTAAATAATAAATTAATGTTAAATTTGTTAAATTTGATGTATTTCTCCGTGTATCGATATGAAAATGTTATTTTTCTTATTCAGTCTGTTAGCATAGTGAATTACATTGATTGGTGATGTTGAACCAGCCTTGACTTCCTGAACTGAATTCCGCTTGGTAGTGGTGTATTATTCTTTTTATGTATGTCTCAAGTTAATTGATGAGCATTTTGGTAAAAAATCTTTTTGTCTCATTTATGAGATACATTCACTTATAGTTTTCCTTCTTATTATGTCTTTATCTGATTGTTATATTAGGGTTGTACTGGCTTGATAAAATGAGTTGGGAAGTGTTCTTTCTTCTTTTATTTTCTTAAAGAGGTTGTGGAGAAATTGTATAATTTATTTCTTAAATATTTGGTGGAATTCACCAGTAAAACTACCTGGAACTAGTGGTTTATTTTTGGAAGGTTGTAAACTATGAACTCAATTTTGTTACTATTTATGGTACTAGTCAGATGATCTGTTTCATGACAGTTAATGTCATTTGAGACATTGGTCTATTTCATCCATATAAAATTAGTGGGCATAGGGTTGTTCACAGTATTTCCTTGTTATCCTTTTAATGTCGTTGGGAGCAGGAGTAATGACCCCTTTCTCACTCCTGACACTGGTAATTTGAATCTTCTTTCTCTTTTTCAGGTTTAGCCTGTCTAGAGACTTACCAATTTTTAATGATCTTTTCAAATAAGCACTTTTTGGTTTTGTTTTCTCTGTTGTTTTTCTGGTTTAACTTTTGTTGATTTCTGCTCCCATTTTTTAAAATAATTTCCCTTCTTCTGCTTGTTTAATTTGTTCTTCTTCCTATAGTTTTCTTAGTTGAGTGACTCTAAATCGTTCTCTTTTTTAATAAGTGTATTTAAAGCTATAAGTTTCCCTCTAACCACTGCTTTTGCTACTTCCCATACATTTTGATAAGTTGTATTTTTACTTAAGTATTTTAAAATTTCTTTTGATATTTCTTTTTGACCCATTATTTAGAAGAATGTTGCTTAACCTCCAAATATTTGGGCATTTACCAGCTATCTTTTTGTTATTGATTTCTAGTTTAATTTTGCTGTAGTCTGAGAGCATATTTTGTATGATTTACATTATTTTTTTAAATGTATGGCATACTTTATGGCCCAGTATATTATCTATCTTCATGGATATTCCATGTGTCCTTGAGAAGAATATGCATCCTGCTGTCCTTTGATGGGGTATTCTATGCAATGCCAACTTGATCAAACTGATAGTGCTGTTCATGTCACATATCTTTACTGATTTCAGCCTGCTTGATCTGTCAATTACTGGTAGAGATGTATTGACGTCTCCAAATATAATAGGAGATTTGTCCATTTCTCCATTCTTTCTATTAGTTGTTGTCCCATGTATTTTGAAGCTCTGTTGTCAGGTACACACAGGATTATAAGTGTTAGGATTTCTTGGAGAACTGACCTAACTATCTTTATGTAATGTCCCTGTTTCTCTTTGAAATATTTTCCTGTTTTGAAGTATGATTTGTCTGAAATTAATATAGATACTCTAGCTTTCTTTTGATCCTTTTCCATCTCTTTACTTGTAGCTAAAATCTTTGTATTTAAAGCAGGTTTCTTCTAGACAGTGTATAATTATGCTTCTTTCTCTGATATGACATCTCTGATCTTTAACTGTGGTATTTAGACCATTTACATTTAAAGTGATTATTTATACAGTTGTATTAAAATTTACCATCTTTGTAACTGTTTCCTAAGTATTATGTTTGTCCTTTGTTTCTTTTTATCCCGTTTCTCTATCTTCTCTGGCTTTAAGTGAGCATTTTATAATTCTCTTTCATCTCCTCTCTTACTGCATCATTTATACTTACTTTGAAAATGCTCTTAGCCACTGCTTTAGGGCTTATTTTATATGTGCGTATAATTATATATATTATTTTACATATAAATATATATTAAAATAAAATAAAATACACTATTATATATAATATAAACATACTATTATATATAGAAATGTATATTCATATACACATAAAATAATCTAAGCCCACTTTCAAATAACACTGTACTACTTCAAATATAGTATAGAGACCATATAACAGAGTATTCCCAATTTCTCCAACATCTTTTATAAACTTTTACTAATATATTTCACTTATTCATATGCTATGATAACCTAATGTATTTTTACTATTATAGCTCTGATAACACAGTTTTCTTTTAGATGAATTAGGAGTAATAAAATACAATATTCTATTTTTAGCTTCATTTATTTCTTTTCTGACACTCTTTCTTGATGTAGTTGCAAATTTCTGGCCTGTGTAATTTTCCATCTGTCTGAAGAACTCGTTTCAATATCTTTTTGTAGTGCTATTCTGCTGGCAATAAATTTCCTGTTTTTGTTTGTCTGAGAAAGTCTTTATCTCCTTTACTTTTGAAGAATAATTTTGCTGAATGTAGAAGTCTATGTTGACAGTTTGTTTTTTTCTTTCAACACTTTAAATATTCCACTGCACTCTCTTCTTGCTTCCATGGATTCTGACGAGAAGTCTGCTTTGTTCTTATCCTTGTTCCTATATAGGGAAGGTTTTTCTCCCACCTCTGATTTGTGTCCAGATTTTCTCACTATCTTTGGTTTTCTACGGTTGTGTTTTCTTGCTTGGTATTCTCTGAGCCTCTGGACACTGTGGTTGAGTATCTGTCATCAATTTCAGTAACATCTCAGCCATTATTAATTAAAACATTTCTTCTTCTGCCCCACTCTCTCTTTGCTTTCTGCTGTTTCAGTTATGCATATCTCCCCACAGTTCTTGAATATTATGTTCAAGTTCTGTTTATTTTTTTCTATTTGTGTTTTAGTTTGAGAAGTTGTTATTGACCAATCTTCAATTTCACTAATTTCTTCTTTGGTTGTATTGAGTGCTCTTATGGAGTCCATTGAAGGCATTCTATTTCTATCACTGTGCTTTTGATTTTTAATTTTTTTTCTTTCTTATAGTTTAACCTGTCTTATGAAATTACCCATTTGATCTCACATGTTGTTGATTTTTTCACTAGAACCCTTAACATATAGCCACATCAAATTCCTTATCTGTGAATTTCTACTTCTGTGTCATATCTGAATGTGACTGTGATGATTGCTTCTGGCTTTTCTTGAAAAACGAGACTGGCTTTTCTTGACTTAGGCTATGGCTTATAATTTTTGGTTAAAAGTCAATATGTTGTATCAGTAATGGCTACTCAGGTAAGTAGGTTTTTTTGGGGGGGATTTATGTTAATCTGGCTCTAAGATGGGCTGTGTGTCATGTTTGTTGTAGCTTTAGGGACCATTTCTTTTTTGTAGTGCCATTTCTTTTTTGTTTCCTCTCTTGGCTTTGAGGCTTCTGTTAACACTTCTCTTGAGAGGAGTCTATATCTTACAGATTTTCAGCTATAATCCTGTCATATTTTGGTTTGTTGGTGTGGTGAGTTGGGAGGGGAGGAAGGGAAGTCTCCATCTTTCAGTGGAGTTCTGTCTCGGAGTGCAGCCTTCACAAATGTTTTCCTCCTTTCCCCCAGGAATGTAGGTCTCCCACCTTGCCTGGCTACCAAGTTCCCAATAATATATTGAAAAATAAATAAATAAATATTTGAAGCTCTGCCCTCTGTTAATTTTTTTTTCTTTTTGTTGTTGTTCTCCTTTTTGTGTGTTACCTTAGGTAAAACATAAGACTAGAAAAGACTTCAGTGGGAAGGAAATCCATTGCCCTAGTTTCAGTAAGTTTTAACTGCTGTTCTACGGCAAAATATTTCTTCTTGGAGAATAAGCCTTTGTTACAGGGAAGGAAATGGGAGGGTTACACTTTCTGCTTTTCCCTTCCCCTTGTCAGAGACACAGGAGATTTTTTTTTTGGTTTTTTTTTTTTTTTTGGATCCTCACCGTGAAAACCTGGGGGGGGGTTCCTGGATGGAAAACTGGAGAAAGTGTGGGGGTTCTCCTTTGATTGCAGCCCCCAGGAATCTCTCATGATCAAGCTACTTAGCACTCAGCCTACAGCAATTTGTCGAAATTACTAGAAAAAGTAGTGGTTCTACAACCTTTGGCTTCCACTGGCTTCTGCTTCAGGTAAGTAAATCTCTAGTGCTGCATCTCTCTGGGTCACTTTTACCAGATTTTGGAGTAGCAGTATACCCTGTGGCCTCAGGTATCTGATGGGTTCAAGAAGAGTTGTTTATTTTCAGTTTGCCTAGCTTTTTATTGTAATGACAGGAGTGATGACTTCCAAGCTTCTTCCTTATCACAGCTAAAATGGGAAAAGCAACGTCTATATGGAAAAAATTAGATGTGCTCCACTTCAAACTTAGAGACGTGCACACTTTGCACAAATAGAAATATAAATTGAACAATTAAATTGTGTAAGATATAAGCAACACTTTAAAAACCAAAAATACATAATACAGGTTTTCTGTACTCACCAAAAGATGAAGAGAAACTTGAAAAGTGGAATTGGTGGAGGAGACATGCAAGGGGGAGACTCTTGAGAAAGTGCATTCATTATTTTGCCCCTCTTTCTTATTTAACACTTTGTAGCTTCACTCAAACTCTTTTTATTTTATTTTATTTTATTTTAGATTCAGGAGATACATATGCATGTTTGTTACATGAGTATATTGTATACTGGTGGGGACTGGGCTTGTAGCGTACCCATTACCCAAATGGTAAGCATTGTACCCAATAGGTTATTTTTCAACCCTCAGCTAGCTTCCACCCTGTCCATTTTTGGAGTCTCTAGTGTCCATTATTTCCATCTTTATGTCCATGTGTACCCATTGTTTAGCTCTCACTTATAAGTGAGAACATGTGGTACTTGGGCTTTTGTTTCTGAGTTAGTTCACTTAGGATAATGGCCTCCAGCTCCATCCATGTTGCTGCAAAGGACATGATTTCACTCTTTTTTTATAAGTACATAGTATTCCATGGTGTATATGTAAAACACTTTCTTTATCTAGTCAATTGTTGATGGATACTTAGGTTGGTCTCATGACTTTGCTATTCTGAATACTGCTGCAATGAACATATGGGTGCAGGTGTCTTTTTAATATAATGATATATATTTGTTTGGGTGGATACTCAGTAGTGAGATTGCTGGGTTGAATGGTAGTTCTATTTTTAGTTCTTCGAGAAATTTTCATAATGTTTTGCACAGAGGTTGAACTAATTGACCTTCACACCAACAGTGTCTAAGCGCTTGCCTTTCTCCACATGCTCACCAAACATCTGTTGTTTTTTGACTTTTTAATAATAGCCATTCTGACTGGTGTAAGGTGATATCTCATTGTGGTTTTAATGTGGATTTCTCTGATTATTAGTGATGTTGAGCATTTTCTCATGTGTTTGTTGGTTAAACTCTTACAAATAAAATTAAAGAACAGAAAAATATATACTTAAGGGAATTAGTGCTAATTCCAAAAGCATTTTGAAAACACATAGTAAAAGAGTAGACACTTCAGGCTGAAGAGTTGAAGAAGCAGCTCCTCTTAATCCTTCTCACTTGGCACATTTTCACAAATAAAATGTTTTGGTTCATGGAACTATAACTTGTATTTAAAGTTGTTCCATGTGGTATTCACTGACTAGAAAGTGTGTCTAGAAAATTGGCGAGTGTATTCTTGCTTGAAACTGTAATGTTGAAATACCACATCTTAGAGTACATTAACTTAGTGTGCTTGTTGGTGAAAAAGTCATTATACCAAAAAAGAAAAGTAGTTGTGTCCAGGAAATGGTATGTTTTTTCAAGAGCTCTTATGGCAAAACATTATTAACTAAGCAATGCCTATGTGAGGTAATTCTGTAATTAGTTCTAGTTTTAATTTCTTTTAAAGTCTGGAATCTGTTAATTAGAAACTATATTTTCTCCAGAGCAATGTAAAAATCACAGCACATTTTCCTTTTTCTCAGCTTTGCCCTTAGCCTCCACTAATGCCCCTGGAGCAACTGCCTGAAAATTTAGTTCATATTATTGTTGTTTTTTTTCTTTTCATAATAAATACTTATTTAGGTCTAACAACAAGTAGTTCTCAATTCTTTGCTATTTCTTCACACATATTCCTGCTTCTTTCTGGACTCATTTTCTTTCCCGAATGTAGTTCATCCTCTGATTAGTAGTTATTTTCAGACACGGTCTATAATTTATAGAAGTTCTGAGTCCAAAATCACCTTTAAATGACAATATTTGTGGGGATAGAATTCTAGAATCAAAGTATTGTCTTCATCACTTTCAAGATATTATTTTATTTTATTTTAGATTCAGGGGATATATATGCATGTTTGTTACATGAGTATATTGTGTACTGGTAGGGACTGGGCTTGTAGTGTACCCATTACCCAAGTGGTAAGCATTGTACCCAATAGGTTATTTTTCAACCCTCAGCTCGCTCCCACCCTCTCCATTTTTGGAGTTCTTGTATGCAATATTGATAATGACGAATCTAGTGCTATCTGAGTTCTTGAAGCAGTTTCTGAGGCAAAGAAAATAGTTTATTTGGGAGATGATCCCAGGAAACCCTAATAAGAAATCAAGACAGGAAAGGAAGGGGAGGAGGCCCAAGAAGGTGTGAATGATTGAGCTGGTTACCACTGGGGAAAATGAACTTATTCTTCTGAACAAGTCTAGGAAACAGTGTAGAATCTTTGCCTCAGAATTATCCCACTCTAAACGTAAGGAAGCTGAAGTGTTCACACTCCAACTCTTTTTCACCCATTGGTTTAGGATTTCTTATGGGGAGGCATCAATTCTTGTTTTCTAATCATTGCATTTAAGGCTACCAAGTATGGCAGAGAATTGATGGTAATTGCTAGAGTAGATTGCCTTTTTCCCTCTTGGTATGTGTTACAATTTTCTCTTTATGGTTGATATCCTGATGTGTATCTATAATATGTCACTATAGCATTGATGGTGTTAGTGTTGTGTGTATTTTAGTCCTACTCTGTCATTTCTTGCCATTTAAGGATGTGTGGCTTTCTTTAGTACTTAGAATTATCAGTCTTTCTTTTTTTGGAATATTACTTTTTCTTCATCCTCTCTATTTTCTCTTTCAAAACTTTTGTTACCTACATAGTGGGACTTCTGTTCTATCCTCATAATAGTTTGTGCATATTTAAAATTGGGTTTTTTTCTTATGAAATATTTGTTATCTTGATATATTCCGGGTACAAGTCATTTATTAGATATGTTACTTGCAAATATATTCTCCCAATCTGTGGCTTGTTTCTTCATTGTCTTAACAGCATTATTTATTTTTAGTTATTTTTTAACTTTAAGAAAATTATTAAGAGAGCAGGAGTTCTTAATTGTGATGGAGTCTAATTTAGCAATTTCTAAATGGTTTCTCCCCTTAGTGTTGTATCAAAGAAAGCCTTTCTCCTACAATTTTATTGAGAAATTTTGTAGTTTTGGTGTTATATTTAGGACTATAATTCACTTTGAGTTAATTTTTGAAAGCTATGAATCAAAACTCATTTTTAATATATTGTTATTAACTTTTTTCTAGCACCATTTGTTGAAGTTGTTTTTTAGCACCATTTGTTGAAGTGACTGCTTATCCCCCACAAAGTAGATTTTTCTTCTCTTTTGAAAGTCAGCTAATTATATATGTAGAAGTCCATTCCTTGTTTCTTTATTCTGTTTCATTAATCATCAACCTTAACTCTAATGTCAAACTTTTTTGATTTCTGTAGTTTTATAATAAATCTTGAAGTCAAGTAGTATAACTTTTTCAACTTTGTTATTTTTCAAAGTTGTTTTAGTAATTCTAGGTACTTTGCATTTCTATAAGAATTTGAGAAACATCCTTTCCATTTCTACTAAAAAGACTTCTGGAAATTTGATTGGAATTACATTGAATCTATAGTTAAATTTGGGGAGCATTGACATCCAAATGATAATGAGTCTTCAGATCCATGAGTACAGTATAGCTTTCCATTTATTTCTGTCTTTAAGTGTCTCTCAAATTTAGGAAGGAAAATTCCTCAACATGATGAAAAACCTATAGCTAACTTCATCCACAATGGTGAAAGACTGAATGCATGGATGTTTGCTTTTGCCATTTTTAACATTGTATAAGACATCTTAACTAATGTGATAAAGTGAGAAGAAGAAGTAGCAGTGAGCAGATTGAAAAGTAATAAGCTGGATTTATTTGCAGACAACATAATCATCTAAGTAGAAAATCCAAGAAATCTGCAAAAAGCTAACATGAACTAATAATTGATTTCAGTAAGATGGCAGAATATGATCTCAATATACAAAATCAATTGCACTGGCCAGGTGTGGTGGCTCACACCTCCCAGCACTTTGGGAGGCTGAAGTAGGCAGATTGCTTGAGGCCAGGAGTTGGAGACCAGCCTGGCAAACATGGTGAAACCCTGTCTCTACAAATTTTACAAAAATTGGCCATGCGTGGTGGTGCATGCCTGTAATCCCAGCTACTCAGGAGGCTGAGGCACGAGAATCTCTTGAACCCAGGAGGCGGAGGTTGCAGTGAGCCGAGATCATGCCACTGCACTCCAGTCTGGGCAACAGAGTGAGGCTCTGTCTCAAAAATAAATAAATAAGTAAGTAAATATACCAGTTGCAATATCATAAATATGAATTATTTGTCAATAAGTATAAGACCATTTGTACAAGAGTTGTACATTGAAACCTACAAAATATTATAAGAGAATTACATCTGGAGACTGAATGGCATTGTAATGCCAAATTTTCCAAAATTAATTTATAGTTGCAATGCAATCTCAATCTCAATCAAAATACCAGCAGGATTTTTTAAAACATATTGACTAATTGATTCTAAATTTTATAGAAAAGCGAAGGCCAGAATGGTCAAGACTATTGTGGAAATGATGGTCATTGGAATACATAACCTGCTGGCAAGACTTACTTTTAAGCTACAGTAATTAAAACAGTGTGATAGATATATAGTTTAATGTGGTAGAATAGAAAGTCCATATATAGTCTCACATCCACATGGCTAACTGATTTTCCAAGTGTGACAAGGTAAGTCAGTAAGGGAAAGAAAATTCTTTTCAACAAATGGTGCTGAAACAACTGTACATCTATATGGAAAAAATGAACCTCAATCCTTATCTTACTCTATATATAATAAACAAATCATCACAAATAATAGAAGCAAAATTACAAGGTGAAACAGTTTTACTTCTAGAAAAATTTAATGGAGATAATTTTTGTGACCTTGGTATCTTTGTGTGTTACCAAATTTCTTTCTGTCTTCTTTTTTTTTTTTTTTTTTTTTTTTTTTGAGATGGAGTCTCTGGAGTCTTGCTCTTTTGCCAAAGCTGGAGTGCAGTGGCGCAATCTCGGCTCACTGCAAGCTCCGCTTCCCGGGTTCACCCCATTCTCCTGCCTCAGCCTCCAGAGTAGCTGGGACTACAGGTGGCCACCACCACGCCTGGCTACTTTTTTTGTATTTTTAGTAGAGACGGGTTTTCACCATGTTAGCCAGGATGGTCTCAATCTACTGACCTCGTGATCCTCCCACCTTGGCCTCCCAAAGTGCTGGGATTACAGGCGTGAGCCACTGCACCCTGCCCAAGCTTTCTTTTGTTTTGAGACGGAGTCTCGCTCTGTCGCCCAGGCTGGAGTGCAGTGGCAGCCTCCCGAGTAGCTGGGACTACAGGAGCCTGCCACCACGCCCGGCTAATTTTTTTTTTTTTTTTTTGTATTTTTTTTAGAAGAGACGGGGTTTCACCATGTTAGCCAGGATGGTCTTGATCTCCTAACATCGTGATCCACCCGCCTAGGCCTCCCAAAGTTCTGGGATTACAGGCGTGAGCCACTGTGCCCGGCCCAAGCTTTTTTTATAGCACATAAAAAAGCATGAATCATACAAAGAAAAAAATGATGAAGTAGATTTCATAAAACTTAAGAAATAGAGTGTTTTGAAAATGAAAAACAAATCATACCCTGGGAAAGAATTTGTGAAACATATCAGATAAAGGACTTGTATTCCGAATAAAGGACACTTAAAATAAAATTTTAAGTAAAAATGCTTTTTTAAAAAGGGCAAATGATTTGAACAGATACTTCACCAAAGAGTGTTTATGGCTAGATAAGAACGTGAAAAGATGCTAAACATTTCTACAAAATAGAAATGCAAATTAAAACCAGAGTAAAATACTATTATATATACGATAGAACAGCTAAAAGAAGAAGGCCAAGAATCTAAGTGCTGACAAGAATGTGAAGTTGCCAGACCTCTCACACAATTGCTGGTATGAACAACAAGTTATGCAACCACTTTAAGAAACACACGACAGTTTCTAATAAAGTGAAGCATACTTTTACCATCCACCCAGCTTTCCCACTTCTGAGTATTCAAGGGAAATGAAAACATATCTGTCAAAAGATTTGTGCCCAAATGTTCACATCCTATTTATTATAATAGCTAAAAACTGGAAAAAACAGAGATATATCAATTGGTTAATTTATAAACATATCCTGCATATCAATTGAAGTGACACTACTCAGCAATATGAAAGTCCAAACTATTGAAGTCATCGATGACACCATGAATTTTGAAAGCATTGTGCTAAGTAAAAGAAGCTTAATACAAAAGATTACATACTGTATGATTCCATTGAAATAAGATTTCAGAAAAGGCAAAACTGTATTGGCAGCAAGCAATTCAGTGGTTGCTCATGGCTGGAATGGGATGGGGAGGGTAGAGTTGACTGCAAAGGAATAAAGGACCAATTTTTGGAGGAAAAAGTTGAAAATAATATAATAAATCAATTCGAATAATTTTGTTACATTAAAATCAGAAGTCACTCTACTAAGACACTCTTCTGAATAGTCTAGCTGTGTTCTTTGCTCCAGACCAAAGTACTCATTTATTTTCTGGTTTCTTTTGTTGCCTTTTTCTTGAGATTAAAAATTAATTTTTTTGGCCAGGTGCAGTGGTTCATCCCTGTAATCCCAGCGTTTTGGGAGGCCAAGGCAGAAGGATCACTTGAAGCCAGGAGTTCTAGATGGGCCCGGGAAGCATATCGAGACCTCATCTCTAAAAAAAGTAAAAAAAAATAGCTGGCCTTGGTGGTGCATGCCTATAGTCCCAGCTACCGAGGAGGCTGAAGTGGAAGGATTGCTTGAGCCCAGGAGTTTGAGGCTGCAGTGAGTTAGGACTGTATCACTGCATTCCAGCCTGGGCAATATAGCAAGTTCCTGTCTCTAAAAAAAAAAAAAAAGAATTTTTCTTTATTAGCAAAGGACCTTTAAAATTTCAGTTTTGATATGAACAAATCCTAGTATTCTCATTTTTCCGTTACTATGAGGAGACAATATGTGGGGGCAATTTGTGGTTGAGGCGGTAAAGTCCTTCCCCTTCCCCCCCACCACACAGCTGCCTGCTACCTGGGGGCTCCAGGACTGACTGTAGATCCATCCACCTGACTGAGTTTAGACATGAACCCATAGAAAGAAGGGCTTCGTGAATCTTTCCCTGACTTACCTTCACAGCTTGCTTAGACCTGAAATCTGTCTAGCTATACAAGATTTCTAACACAACAGGAATTGTGGACTTAAGATATTTCTAACTATCATAGTGCCAGGATGGAGAAGCAGAGGTGAAGGTAATCATTTTCAGCCATTCATGTTAGCTCATCATGCGTGTCTCAATGGCTTCATTAGCAACACAAGCACACAGAAGTATTTAAAAGTTTACTTCTATTGGAACATCTTTATCCCACATCTTTTATTTATTTATTTTTACCTTCTATAACTGTCATTTTCAGTATTTGCAGGCCATCTCGAGAGAGAGGAAGAAAAATACGCTGCGTATATCACATATGATGTCTGAACCCTGTTGTTATCATCACTCATGGGTGAGATGGGGAATAACAAGGCATGAGTTATCCCTCACCTCCTCATTCACAGAGATAAAAACATAGAAATGCCATCCCGACATTTAAGTAAGATATACATACCAAGAATGGTGAAGAACAATAAATTGCCCCAGTAACTCCTATATTCCTTCTACAATAAAATGGTAGACTTGAGGAAAGCAACACAAGCCTTTGGAATAAAATCACCATTCTACCAACTTCAATCTTTATATTTATTTGTATAAAAAGGTTTCCCAGTGTGTTGGGTGTTCTAAGAGCCTTAGAGAGCACAGAGAGAGTCTGTAAACACATGTACCTGCACATGGAATGGGCCAATTCAAGCAATGGTTCCCTAGTTCAAGGGCTGAATTTGCTTGAGAAATTTAGGGAAGTGTGAGACATTGCAAACTTTCTGAGCAACAGATTTATAAAAGAGCTTTGGCTTTGTAACTGTGAGTTCACATTCTTCATATTAACTTAGCACAAATTCTGTGGCACCACTCAAGTTATTGCCTATGTACAAGAGCCTGTTTCTGGATTTGAGTATAGGACCCTCATTCAAATGTTTTCTCATATTGTAATGCTGTATATCTGAGCCTCTGAAGATCATGACAACAGATTCTGGTCCATGTTTAAGATAAGACTTATCCCTCCCAAGTTTACCCCCCCAAGTTATAATTTCAAGGGAATTTGTGAAGCTGTGATGTTAAAATCCCATTACACACGTTAGAGTAATCCAATGATATTTACTCCAAAAAATATTTTTTTCCTCCAGGAATAGGTAGCTCTTTAAAGGATGTTCCTAAAATATTAACGTATTTCAAATTGTCTTGCATTCATCAGCCCTGTCATATCTGGGCAAAACCACAGGGGAACTAAAAATATAATAATCAAAAACCATTCCAGGAAGGTTTTACATATGGCTTCTTGTTTGTGGCAAAATCATCTTTCATCCTCAGTGAGACAATTAGAACTACATGGGAACCTTAAGGACTGTTAAGATGATTAAGAGCCACATTTAATAGTTGCTCCAGTAGCATCTTGACAAACATTTTAATTTTATATCTCTCAAGTAAGCCCATAAAACAGCATGATCTAAAAATTTTTAACAAATACATTAATAAAAATTTAAACATGCATGGGTTACTTATGCTGTTTTGAGTTAATTACATAGTAATATTGCCTTGTATTCATCTTAATTAGATTAAATATTGATCAGTGCACTTTCCATTGGTATTTCATTAACACACAATAACTGTCTTGTTATGTCTACATGTAACTACATTAATTAAAAAGTCCTGCTGGAAATGAGAAGTTATGGGAAGATATACAAAGCTAGCCCTTTTAAACATAAAAAGGACTAGAAAACTCACACTTATGAATTGAAGCAGAAAATAAAAATTAAACTTTCCCTATTTTAAGGGTTTAAAGTAATTAGATAGAAGAACAACGATTCATTTTTTTCCCCATAGGATGTCAGTTGTGATATCAGCCACACTAAGTTCATCTATCACTCTGTGTTAAGGAAGAGGTTATGAAATATTATACTTATTCCTGAGGATTATGGCCTTTGTTTATTTCAAAAATAACCTAGCTTTTAAACTGCATCATAGATTTCTTAGCATGTGATTAAGGCTGTTTATTTTCATACTGATGAGCTAAGAGCTGTTTCAATGAAGAGGTGCTGTAATTTTTCCCATGATCTGGAAAATAATTCATGGCATTTTTATGTTGTCATTAACTGTCACATCTCTTGAGTTAAATATGAGCCCTGTCATTTGGAAGTCAGAAAGCAGCTCCTAAATTTCTCAATTTCATTAGCAATTGATTCAAATCATTTCCCGAAAATAGTCTGAATTGACATATGAATTGTAGTGGTTCCTCAGCTTGGTGATTAATTAATCAAGCCATCAGGTTCACATTAAACTATTTATCAATCTTACGATTCCCTGCTTTTCAGAAAAAATTAAAAAGCACTCTAATCATATTTTATGAGTTTCGAGAAAAATTAAAATGGGACCAGAGAAAGTAATCTGTGCTTCCTAATTCAGAAGCTCCACAGTATCAATTTCTGTAACTCAAGACACTAAAAAGAGGAGATGGGGCTCAAATCTATATACCAGGAAAGACACTAGAGTTATTTCTGCAGGCTTCCGTTTCTTCGTCTATAAAATAAGAAAATTGAATTATAATTGAACTAAATAATCTAGTTTTTTTCTCACGTTAAAAATTTTTAGTCCATGCAAAACAGTAATATGTTATTGTTAGTTTTATTAGTTTGATGTGTGCCCAATTGTCTTTACATTAAAGCAACCAAACTCCTGGTTATTGATAGAGCCTCACAGACTCCATATTAAAATTGCAATTGACATCTTTAGACCAGCATTAGCCACTGTTCTGTAATTTGTGTTTGAAATACTTCTTTCTGGTAAAGGCCACATCAGTCTGGGTCTCTTCTATTGTGCTATTATAACAAGAAACCACGGTCAATTGCTTCAGCCCAGAATGACAGGATCAACCGTTCCAAGATTGGGCCACACCAAAAGCCATTTGTTGGCTAAGAAAATTGCTGGCAAAACATCAAGTTGTTTGCCTATTTAATTTCACTCACACTTTGCTGAGTTTAGTTAATAGCCAGTTCTTTTCAAAAGAAATAACTAGCCAACCAAATGTAGCCTCTTTTCTTTCAAATTTGCTTTGTGTATACCCACATTCATTCGGCACAAATCCCTCTGTTGTTATTAATAGAAAACAGAGCTTTCTCTTGTAAAGTTAACTGCATTTTCAGTGCTTGGCTTCCTCTGGTGCTCTAGAAAGGAGAGTGTAAGTCATACAGAAAGGACCCCACAAGTGCAGTTAGAGTGGGCATCCATGAGGCCTTGGTAAATCCTGTCCTTCCCACCCCTGCCCTCAGTGCCTGGAGAAACATCAAGGGTCCTGGCATCTAAAATGACAGAGGCAGTTTCAGGGTTTCATCCCTTTAGCTATCCTTTCTCAGGAAGCTCAGGAGAATGAAGAGAAATGAACTGTGCTGTCCTCCCATTTCTTCTCATCTTCAGGTTGAGTTGTGTTTGGTTCACCCCCCACAGCACAAACTACAGAGAAGGGGCCTGGGACAGAGAGAGGACCACAGGGAAAACACTCCAAGCATGGAGCTCTGGAGGCCCAAGTGGAGCTGCTTTCCACTTTGTGTATACTAGATACACTATAGCAACAAGAATGATTCCTCGAATGCTGAGAGAATGGACTCTGGCCTTGGGGACCGTGATCCCACCTTGGACCCCTGCAGCTCCGAGAACCCCCAGCTCCACCCTTGCCTCACACACATACGCTCTTTGTGAATGAGGAGAATAAGACCCAGAAAACAGAAGCCCAAGAGCAAAACATTTTTTGAATTCTTATTTTTTAAATTTTATTAATTGATAAGTAATAGTTGTATACATTTATGGGGTATGGTGGGATGTTTTGATATATGTATACATTGTGGAATGATTAAATTAAGATAATTAACATATTCATCACCTCACATGCTTATCATTTTTTTTAACTTAAAAAAAAAATCTTATGTAGATGGCTATGGCCTGTAGGGGAATGGGTGAAAATGGGAAAACAGAAAGGGTATTCGACACACAAACCCACAAAGGACCTCACATTTAGACTTCAACTTTATCTTTGAAGGAGGTTATTCACAAGATTGCTGAGATGCTTTACAGACCTAGGGGAAAGTTAAAGTTAATCACACAGCCCGAAAATTCTACTACGTGTTTCACTATGGAAAAATACTGTCCACAACCCCTATTTTAGCAATTCTGTGATTATCTTATGCATAGCACATTGATACCACATTTTTTAAAAGAGTTAATTTGTTCAGTGTAACTGTTTTAAAAATAACACAATTTTTATAGCACTGTTTTAATATTTCTTCTCCTTTTTTTATGTATACCAAGAGCCTCAAGATAATGGAGAAGCCCAGGCCCCTTCCATCCTCTCTGAAGCTTTGCACATTTGTACCGTACATCCTTCATTTTAATCCCTACAATGCCAGAGTTCCACCCTGCAGGAAGACAAAGCCTTGTAGTAAAAGGAAAATAACCTATGGGAGAGGAACATGACAAGTACCAAAGGAACAACCTAAGCCCTCTAACAGCCTTGGTACATTGCCAAAAGACACCTCCAATTATATTACTAAAGAGAAAGAAAAATTCTCTCCTTTAGATCATAGCCTACTCCTGCTATTTGGTTGTAATGCACTTGTAATGCATAGCTATCCCAAGCCCTTTCTGGAATATGCCATACTTTCAGGCTCCTGGGCTAGTACCATGAGGATGGAAAGGAATTGCATTTGCAAATGTCAGCCTACCTCATCCATCTCCCCTCATTCAAACAATACACATTCGAGGTTCAGCAATCGGAGTTATATATTTTTCCTTAATGTTGTTGTAAGGTAATGGTTCTCTTATCTGAAATTCATCAGCCTGCTATAAATTTAAACTCCATTACTGCCAATAGAGAAAAGCTAAGCACCAAACCACTTTCAATAAATTTGCACTTATGCAATTGAACTGATACGGCCTCAGAGGAAAAGGTGAAACTCATCTTGAGATATTTAAGTTAGTCTGAGTCACTGCTTCGTCTGGTGTTAAATTGGATCCATCGAGAAATGTAGGGCAGCACTCATCAGCCCTGAGTTATAAGAAGAGATTTCAGGCTGAAAGAAAAAATCTGTCTCCAGCATTCATTATTAGATGGTGTAATTCTAAGAAACCACTGGCTGGCTCTGTTATTTGGCACACCTAAATGCTACAAATGGAAACCCTGATGGATGAATATTTTTATGAACAACGTTAATCAGGCTCAGAGCAGCCCAAGCCCTGGGGCTTTGTCATGTCCAGTCATGAAGCTGTAAGTGAGGATGTCTATACACTGACAGCAAAGAGGGTAATTCCTAACGTTTGCATGGGGCTTCATCATGTATAGAAAATATTGCTTTTAGTCTAGGCACCCACTCTGGGTACCACAATTGTTGTTTACTATCTTCTGTTTCTGATGAGAAAACTGAGGCTTAGAGACATGAAATGACCGCCCTTCCTGGGTGTGTCATGGCTTGAAATCAGGTCTTCCTGGCTCTGTGGTTTTGGTAGTGGAAGATGAACACACCAAATTTAGCAGCCTCAAAAGGCCTGTGTGGCTTTCTTCGTAAAGAAGAGCATCTCATTCAGAAGCCCAAAGAAGCAAATGAGCTACCCACAGAGTCACCACCGTAGCTTTCTTGGAGAGGAGGGCTCCAGAGGCTTCCCTTCTGAAACAATCCAGCATTCTGGAAAGTGGGGGAGGTGGGTACCTGCTAGCCAATTAGATTGACGGTTTGGCAACAGATGGTAGAGTGATCAGCAAGAGCTCCAGGCTATTAAGGAACAGGTTTGGAGATTTAGAAATTTAAAATAAATTTTATTTATGGTTGCAAAGACTCACAAATCTCTGCAGACTCAAGCATGGGAAGTTTAACTCCCAGGAGGTAATGAGCATGCTACAGGTTGTGGGAGCTTAGCTGTCAGATACACACACACATACACATGCACACACACACAACCCTCCCCAACCCCTCCTTCTACCCCCAGCCTCTGCCCATTCTAAGGCCAGAGCAGGCATTACATATGGGTTGTAAGAACTGAACAGCATTTGCGCTTAATTGGAAGATATACATTATTCATGAGCCTTGAGTCTGTGATGACTTTGGCATTCATTAGGGGGGAAAAATGGGCATTAGTTTTCTTGGTACAAAACATTTTCGTATTAAACCTCATTTGCAACCCTCTTTTCAATATGAGGAATTAGAAATGCTTTTAAGCAAAGTTAGGAACCAAGAAGTAGCTGGGAAACAAGCAGCAGCAACTTCTAAAGATGGAAAAGAAAGTAGTAAGAACTGGGAATTTTTAAGCTCTGAGTACAGGAGAGGAAGAGTCAGCCTCAAATTCAAACAGGTTAATAATAATAACTACAATGATAATAATGAGAAATGTTTGTATGACTACACATATGCTTATGTTTGTGTATACTAGATACTGTATATGAATATGTATATTACACATGAATACATATTTTATATATGGAGATACATATAGCCTCACAATTTATTTCAAAGAACTGGATGAGTTGTGAAGTTTTTCTTCTTACCTTCATTTTTCCAAAATAAAAGACATCATCCCCTAAGAGATAAATTATGCCTAATTTAGGGTTGTATGGTACCCTTCTTCATTTCATTTAGAACAGATTTTAAAACCTACTGGAAGCTTTTGCAGACTTAAGGTTGAATCTTTCTAGCTTCCTTTTTCACAAGTATATCCAGAATCCTAAAATTAAGATCATCTAAATAAATTTCTTTATTTTGCAAATGAAGAAACTGTGGCACAATGAGGGATCTGACATGGTTAGTGTGTCAATGGATTAGAGGTGAAGAAAAATGGGTATCTTTCATAAACACCCTTTCCCACACACAATCACCATTGCCTGGGAAAACCCTGTAGCCACGGGCTTTGAAGTCAAAAAATATGGGTCCAAACACTGTAGGATGGGGTGGACAGCAAGCTTCTTTATCTCATTAAGCCTCAATTCTTCAATTATAATATGAAGATAATTTCTTTATTTTTTAATTTCTTCATTTATAAAATGAAGATACATTGTATACATTTTTTACAAGGTGTAGAGGAGATAAGTATACCTTATCTCGGAATAGTGCCTGGCATATTCTAGACATCCATAAAAGAGTGCTATGGTTGTCTTGTTAATTATACCATCTGAACACACAACCCACCTGGATATTCTTGCTATTGCTTTCTAGGTGTGGCACACTGGGGACATTTGGCTACTTCTCCATTAGACATTGACTTTCTCAGATCAGGGTCATCTTTTTAGTCCTACTTTGTGTTCTCCGGCACATGGCCCTAATTCAACCAGTAGGTGCTCAGTAAGGATTCAAATTGTGTTTTACATGGTGGGGCCATTTATGATGTGCAGTCTTTTCACATGCCCTTACTGATGATGATGTACATGCCTTGGGAAACCGGTGAGGACTTGTGATTTAATATCACAGGGAAATCCCATTTGTAAGAATGTTGACAAGCAAAGGTCCCCACTTTATTTTAGTTGATGCTCACCTATACTTGCCGGACCCAGGAAGACACGTACCACCATCTCCAGTTAATAGAGGAGGAGAGTGAGTATCTGAGGAAGTGAAATGATGGCCTTGAAGTCATTGGCAATGAATTGAAGCTGGAAAATAATCTCAGGGCATCCATCTTACGTCTAGCATGTATTCCATTCAACATTCTTTTGCTCAATGTAGACTCATTGTCTATTGTTTTAGGTCAAACTCCACAAAGCAGGTCACTATTTAAGGATGGTGCTTTCAAAAAATGGGATAAATAGGTTGGTTAGTTGGTGAGTATTTCATTTGAAAAGGTCTCAGAGCAGGAATGAAGTAATTGCCTGACACTGAAGGGGTGAAGCATAGTAACTCCAAGAGGCTCATCACAAGCGTGAAATTTCTTTGTAGTTTCCCATTAAAATTCATGTTCATTTACACTCAATGCCAAGGTATATGCATGTTTATTTTAATGCATATTTACTCCTTAAATCTGGAAGTAAAATAAGTATGCCAAGAAACTACCATGTTTATTCTATAGTTCAGGATATCCATGGCCCATAGCTGTGCAGTTCAGACAAGGAAAAATGGTTAGAGGGACTCTCTTTCTCTATGGTACTCCCCAAACCTCAGCTCAAGCCCAAGTGTGTGATGACCCCCAGTCTATGACCATTAGGGCACAGCTAATGGGCCTCCACCAGGGCATGCCAACAGATGGCAACCTGACTTACCCATCCACCGAATTTTCTTAAGGAACTGCTGAGGATGTTTGCCTTCCCACTAAAGCCCTCAGAGCAGCAAGCAGCTGAACTCATTTCTCTTCTGTCCATGTGTATTAATTCCTCTTTCTGTAATGAGATACAGAAAAGAAAAAGAGGAAGAGGACTGATGTGGAGTCAGATTGGGCCTGATGAGTTATGGAGCCTGCCTTCTCATCAGCGATGTAAAACAGCCCCTCTCTATTTACTGCTGCTGTCAGCAGGATCAATAAATAACATTTTCAGTGACATGAAGAGGGAAAGCGTGAGCTCAATGAAATGAAGGGGAACCAGAGGTAGAAGCAGATAATGCTCTTTTTTCTCTGCTTGCCCTGGTAGGAGTCATCTATTTGGCCAGTAGGGGATGGGGGCAGCAATTCGATTTGGCTTTTAAGAAAGAAGGAAGAAGCCAGGCGCGGTGGCTCAAGCCTGTAATCTCAGCACTTTGGGAGGCCGAGACAGGTGGATTGCCTGAGCTCAGGAGTTTGTGACCAGCCTGGACAACACGGTGAAACCCCGTCTCTATGAAAATACAAACAATTAGCTGGGCTTGGTGGTGGGTGCCTGTAGTCCCAGCTACTCGGGAGGCTGAGGCGGGAGAATCGCTTGAACCCAGAGGCGGAGGTTGCAGTGAGCTGAGATCGCGCCACTGCACTCCAGCCTGGGTGACAGAGACTCTGTCTCAAAAAAAAAAAATGAGGGAAAAAAATAGAAAGAAGAAAGATACATTCCTGAGAGTGGCAGAGGGGTCCTCTGTTGGGAGGAAAGGCAAAGAAGGACATGATTCATTGCCACCATAACTTCCCTTTTCCGTCCTCTGTAGCGCAATACCCCCATCTGAGCCTGTAAGCTGCCATCACCTGGCTCAGGTGGGTCATGGCCCCATATTCTTGGCCACCTCTGAGGGAGGTATTTGTCTATTTTTTATACTTTAGAAATAGTCCAGGGTTAAGGTGAAACCCAAAGGAGGCATTTTTTGGTTTGCCAGATGGCTGAGTGGGTGATGACCATTAAGCAAGAACCCCATGGTCATAGGGGCTGGGTGGGGGTAAGGAGGGCACCTAGTGCACAGCAGAATTCCAGTCCCTCTAACAAGAGTTTGGAGTCAAGTAACATAATCACAGAATGTCCACTTTGAAGGAATCTCTGAAGTCATCTTGTCCAACCTCCCACCAAACATCAGATCATTTCTTTAGCACACATGAGGAGGTTGTCCCTGCATCTAGGCACCGCCATATTCTTCAATACAATACCTGTCTCCGAAGGCAGCTCTTCCCAGCATAGACCCCTCCATGCCGCCTGGGTGGATGATGCAAGTGAAGTGAGTCAGGAGCTCAGTTAAGCACAATCTGTCCACTTTGCATGCCCTGTGAGATGGGCATTCCACCCACTCTGACCACAAATGGCCCCCCATCCTGCCTTCACTTTATGGACAGCTGTGTAAAAAGATGCCTCAGCCAAAAGACCATCAAGGAAACTCAGTTTTAGGTTTGGTGAACAAAATAACTTTGAGAGCTTCATTTGCATTAATGTTCTTTTCCTTGACATTTTCCTAGCCTGTTCATTTGGGCTAAAAACTGTGGGTGGTTGAGAGTGATTTATAACTCTTGGATATCTCAGACTCTTTGTGGCATTTAAGTTTTGGCAGAAACCAACTGTAATAGCTTCAGAGGTATCTTGGGGAGAAAGAGGAAGAAGAGGTAGGAAGTCGTTAGGACAGAAGTGGAGAATAATGGTGGGCACTGAGAAGAGATGGATAGAAAGACAAAAGGAAGAAGAGAAAGAGAAAAATGGGAAATGGAGAGAGAGAGGAAAAAGAAGGGGGCTGGGAGAAAAGAAAGGTGAGAAGGGGAGGAGTGAGAGACTGTTTAGAAAAATTCCTGCTCTCATCAACTCAGCTTCCAATTTATAAACACTGTTAATTGGGTGGAAAACATCACCAAAAGAAGCTCTTCTTTAGAGCTGTTGAAAAGTGCCAAGAAATAGAATATGAACATATATGTATATTTATTCCAGATTTAGATTCCAAGGATCATTTGGGAATATCCAGTGAAATCTCTCTGAAATAAAGGGACGTTTATGTCAGAATTAAAGCTTTTTTCTATACTATTAATATTGGATGCTTACTAGAGTCTGTGCATTGTTCGAAGTACCTTACCAGTATGAAGGTATCAAATCCACGTGACAAGCCTACAAAATTAAGGCCATTACCATCTGTTTTACCAGGAAGCGTAGAGGCTCAATGACTGTCCATGGCCACATGATCGGGAGCATAGGAGTGTAGTAGTCCATTCTCATGCTGCTATAAGGACATACCCAAGAGCAGGTAACTTATAAAGGAAAGAAGTTTAATTGACTCACAGTTCTGCATGGCTAGGGAGGCCTCAGGAATCTTACAGTCATGGCAAAAGGGAAGTGAACATGTCCTTCTTCACATGGCAGCAGGAGAGAGAAGAATGAGAGCTGAGCAAAGGGGGAAGCCCCTTGTAAAACCGTAAGATCTCATGAGAACTTACTATCATGGGAACAGCATGGGGGTAATTGCCCACATGATCCAATTACCTCCCACTGGGTCCTTCTCACCACACATGGGGATTATGGGAACTACAATTCAAGATGAGATTTGAGTAGGGACACAGCCAAACTATATCAAGGAGCTAGGATTTGATCCCAGGCAGTCTGGCTCCAGAGCCTGGGTGTTTAAACCACCATATAATTCTGCCTTTCATTCCCTTTGGAATCATTCATTCAGTTAATTGATATTTATTGAGGTCCCACTATGTGTCAGTCAGGCTTGAAGCTTCCGATAGTAACACCATCTGGGCGCAAAGGATGCAAGCAAGCAGGAACGAGCATACTGTACTCTGGACAACTGTAATGATGGGTGAGACATCCCAATGGATGGTAATTCCTTGGTTACTTGTCTCCATGTTCTGAAAGGGGTAAGCAAGCCAAGGGTATAAGGATCTGCATTTCTAACAAGCTCACAAATGATCTCAATGTTGCTGGTCTGGGGATGGATTGTTTTGAGGACTGCTGTGTTAGAGATACTGCTCTAAGCAAAAAGAACAGAAAGTGAGACAAACTGATTGAGAAGTTTCCAAGTGAAGAGGCAGGAGAAAAGGATGTCTCCAGGTCTGGAGGGGACAGAGAGATGGCACTTTGGGAAACGGAGGTAATGTTGAGAGGCTGGAACACAAAGTTGAAAGCTAATGAGTGAAAGGATATGGTGCTGAAGAGGGCCACTTGGGGGCTAATAAAATGAACAGAGCTCTCACCTCATCCAGGAGAGGGTCACCCCTCTCTTGACACCTTGCTGAGGTACTATACAGTAGGGTTTGCTGTTCCCAAATTGTGGAGTCATCTTTCTATATGAAAGCCAAGTCAGATTTCTAATCACCTGGCTGTCCTTCTTCCAACTCCTCTTGGAAAATCTGCTCCAGGCTAGACTGATCTCATGTTTCTGTTGCTGCATGAGTCTATTAAACACAAGTAGATGACATGGCTTTGTCTGTAAGTCAGCTCTTTATGGAGATCACATACATGGCTGTCTCTGCAGAGGATTTTGAGAACTGGAACATTGCACTGTCTGTCCAAGAGATCACAGTTTTCACTACTGAAGGCATTCATTTACATTAAGCTAGTGAATCACTACAGGACTCCTATTAATATGCAAATGTATAATGGGATAGGTAATTTATTACTACTGTAATCCTCATGAATACAGTTTTATGATTTTATCAGATTGTCTAGTTGTTATCCACAGCCTGGGCTATGGTTGGGGGCGTAGAGAATCTGTCTCAGCATTTCCTGATGGATGGCTCCACTCAAATAGAGGCTACTGGCCTTCAGACAACTAAACAGTGACAGATGTGCATTCACAGCTGTTTCCAGGACCATCTGCACACACATCCAATTTTATATCCATTGTCCAGTTCATTCCAGCTCATGTGATAGTTGCCTGGGAGTTTAGATAGACAGACATGTGCATTCCCTCTGGAATTGTTTTATGGTCCCAATCAGTAATGAACAACAAATTTTTAGGAAATGTATCTTAAGGGTAGAATGTGAAAGTGGATATCCAAATGGATGGTCAGTAGGAATAAGTAAATATACAGAATGAGGAAAAAAAAGGGGTGCAGTATACTTCAAGTGAAATGAGATAAAGAGGGATAGAGAAAAGAATAAATGCAGAATAATACTGGAGTACTAAACACAAAACTCCTTCCCACCAGTCTCATGGTTGTTCCAAGATTATGTGGGGAAGAGGTGGGCTGGATCTATATGAATCTGCACACTTGGTCATGGGCCCAGCAGAGGCATGATCTAACTTACTCTCTAAATGAGCTACCAGTTGGAATGGTGTCATAGCACAAATTTTTCATCAAGATAGAAACTAAATCATATTAAGGAAAAAATCATTTTTAAGCACTGAAATATGACTTAGAGTTTGATTTTTTTTCCTTTTCTTCTGCCAGAAGGATGCTTCATTGAGTACCTTAAGGTATCTGGCAATTAATGTGGAATTACATAGTGGGAGGGGCATGAGGAAAGATGAGGAGAAAGAGTTCCAATGATCCCGACAATTGCAACAATTGCTAGTACAAAAAGAGACTTGTCTTTTAAGGTTTGGGCTAGCAAGACCCAATGAACTTCGTTTTACCCTCATCAGATGTTGATAGGAGGACAGTTTATGTTTTCTCTCTCTCTCAAAACCTGATATATGTCAGGCCCCCAGCTTGTTAACTGCTGATTTGGCCATCATTAGTCCCTGCTTCAGCTGACTGCCCCATTTATCTTGGCTTAATCCATCACCATGCCAACATATAAGCATATATAGGTATTCTTCTATTATGCTCATGTAGCACATTGAAGCATGCTTCAATTTAAAGTGACACACAAATCTAACTTTTCTCATCCTTTAATTTGACTCAGTGGCAATGGAATATGGGAATAACAGACAATATATAGTCTATTAGCAATTTTACCGTGAATCACTGTTAGAGTCTGTCATCTTAGTATTTACTCAACTGAGTCTCATGTGGTCTAGTTGAGCATCACATACATGCCTCTATTTTGCTTCCTGATGTCCTTTGTACACCTCTAGCACAGCATATGAAACATGAATGCATCCACCACATGAAAATATTTATAAATATATGATGTTAATAGTCAAAAAATTGAACAAGGATAACACAATTGATTCTGTTCCAATATCCATAGTTAATAGTTACTGCATTTTTTTTTTTTTAGACAGAGTCTCACTCTGTCTCCCAGGCTGGAGTGCAGTGGCACAATCTCGGCTCACTGCAACCTCTGACTCCTGGGTTCATGCCATTCTCCTGCTTCAGCCTCCCGAGTAGCTGGGACTACAGGTGCCCGCCACCACGCCCGGCTAAATTTTGTATTTTTAGTAGAGACGGGGTTTCACCGTGTTAGCCAGGATCGTCTCTATCTCCTGACCTTGTGATTCTCACACCTTGGCCTCTCAAAGTGCTGGGATTACAGGCGTGAGACACTGCGCCCGGCCTCCATAGTTACTGCATTTTTAAACTCATTAAAGGAAACAGTCTGAGTAAGTGGCTTTAAGAATTAAAGACATAACAAATAAAAAGACATTATGACATTAGCTTTTGTGTTTCTGAAGCTCTTTCTGGGAGAAAAAGATGGGGAGAATTTTCAGTTGGCTACTAGATCATGGTAGGGGAGGGTACGGGGAAAAAAAACAACAAAAAAACCCCACAAACTTCATTGAACTTTAAGTGATTGTGGTAGTATATACATTTTTTAATTTGGTGCTTGAGAAAATGACAAAAAGAACCTTTGAGAAAATTCAAATTTGTCCAAAAGCACTACTAAATTGATCACAACAGCACTTACATAGATTTGAAAAATAACTATATATGCAGACACATGCACACATACATACATGAAATCATGAAATAAAGTATATACATTATACATATATATCCAGGATCATGTATACATACTGTTGATACACACACACACACACCATTATAGGAAGCAAATCTACATCTCATTCTCCATGTTCTCAATCTTGGTTTTGAATTCTTGTCTTTAACTCTTCTCAATTCATTTTATACTTGTCCTTCAAACAGTCTGTATTAGTCCATTCTCGCATCACTATAAAGAAATACCTGAGACCGGGTAATTTACAAAAAGAGGAGATTTAGGCTGGGTGTGGTGGCTGACACCTGTAGTCCCAGCACTTTGGAAGGCTGAGACGAGCAGATCGTGAGTTTCAGGAGATCGAAACCATCCTAGCTAACATGATGAAACCCAGTCTGTACTAAAAATACAAAAAATGAGCCAGGCATGGTGGTGGGTGCCTACAGTCCCAGCTACTTGGGAGGCTGAGGCAGGAGAATTGCTTTACCCTGGAGGCGGAGGTTGTAGTGAGCCGAGATAGCGCCACTGCACTCCAGCTTGGGTGAGCAAGACTCCATCTCAAAAAAAAAAAAGAAGAGGTTTAGCTGGCTCATGGTTCAGCAGGCTGTACAGAAAGCATGATGCTGGCCATCTGTTCAGCTTCTGGGGAAGCCTCAGAAAACTTATCATCATGGCAGAAGGGATAGAAAGCAGGCTCTTATTATGTGGCTGGAGCAGGAGGAAGAGAGAGAGGGAGAAGTTGCTACACACTTTGAAACAACAAGATCTCCTGAGAACTCTATCATGAGAACAGCACTAGGCAGATGGTGCTAAACCATTAGAAAAGTCCCCCTTGATCCAATCACCTCCCACCAGGCCCCACCACCAACATTGGGGATTACAACTGAACATGAGATTTTGGTGGGAACACACAGATCCAAATCCTATCACGGTCTTAGATAACAGCCTTGTTTACATTCCTTTACACTTTTCGGTTGGCTGTGTCTTGGCTTTATTTAGCAATAGTGCCTTTTTCCTAGAGTATTAGAATAATTTTTATTGAAAGTGATAGAGAATGGTTGCATCAGACAATGAATTTCTTTGTTTCTGTTGTTTTCTTGCTGTTGGTTTATTTCAACTTAATTTGAATGGATGAAGAGATATATAGCTTTAGGCATTGCTTGATCCAGGTGCTCAAATGGTGTTGTCAGTACTCTGGCTATCTTGTCATCTGGGGATTCTTCCTTCCTCTGTATAATTGCATCATTCTCAGAGAAGCTCTTTCCAGGGCATGGGAAACATGGCTACTAGCATCCCCAGGCCTTCCTCTTAGTGGTTCATGATCTAAAAGGGAGAGAAACATTCCTCCTTTCAGTGCCCATGTGTAGAATCTCAAGGCAGGTTTCTAAATGGCCCACTTGGGTCACACCCCTCCACCCCTGAATCATCATTAGACCTCTTTACACCTTGGGTCTACCATAAAGACTTGAGCCAGCTTAAAGTCAGGTGATTAAATGGGCATCCATGAATAAAAGCCCCATCAGAACTACAGGGAATGGTATGGGTGTTGTGGAGGTGTGGTGGGAAAAGAAGTGCCCATAGAAAAGGGGACTAGAAGTAGAAACCACTTCTCCACCTTACCTATCCAGGTGCCATAATGCAGATAATCATCTGTCCCTATTTTATCACACTTGGGGTCCTCCAGTCCTTTACTGGGCCACTCAAATCTCAACTTTTTTTTTTCTAAGCATCCTCTAAATTACAGCTGAAGTTGCTTAGGACTTTCCTAGGGAGATTATGAGTCAAGAAGAGACCAAGAAATAAAATTCTTGCATGGCCAGTAAGCCTTAGAACAGGCAGTAAAAGGCCGGGCATGGTGGCTCATGCCTGTAATCCCAGCACTTTTGGAGGCCAAGGTGGGCGGATCACGAGGTCAGGAGATCGAGACCATCCTGGCTAACACAGTGAAACTCCGTCTCTACTAAAAATACAAAAAATTAGCCAGGCATGGTGGTGGGCACCTGTAGTCCCAGCTACTCGGGAGGCTGAGGCGGGAGAATGGCATGAACCTGGGGGACAGAACTTGCAGTAAGCCAAGATCACACTACTAAACTCCAGCCTGGGCGACAGAGCAAGACTCCGTCTCAAAAAAAAAAAAAAAAAAAAAAACAAAGAAAAGGCAGTAAAAGATGAGCACATGGTCTCCATTTAAGAGTTTTGAAAAAGCAGTCAGACATTCTGTACATGCTTAATAAATATCAAACAAATAACAGACACCCACGAAGATGGGTTCTGCTCATGACCACTGGCTGGATCCCTGGAAGAAGAAGAGAAGCATAACTTCAGATGCGTTTCCTAGCCCAGTTCCTGCTTTCATCTCCAAATTATTTCATCTATAACCATTGAAAATAAGCCCTTCCTAAAATGGCTTGTGGTATAGTACATGGTGCTTGAATGCTAGGATAAGATAGACTTGTGACAATGAGGGCCAGTGACTTAATATCTGTAAGCTTGCTTTATCCTTTATCTGTAGTGTAGGGATAAGAATATTCATTTTGTGGGACAGTTGCAAGGGTCAATCCTCAGCCTCTTTAAGCTTTGATTTCATGATCTGTACAATGGGTATATAGTAATGCCTTCCTCCTATGGTAAGACAGAGACTGAAGTTGCCTACTCAATGTTCATTATGCTCCTCTCAATAATATAGTCCTAGTTTTAGTAGGGGAAACAATATGCCAGGATTTTTTTTTAAAGCCCAGCTTTACTTGAAGATAGGGGTGGTATTAATGTGATACAGGTGGAAATTGTTAAGAGTATAGTAGAGGAATCCTTTTAAAGGGGTCTGATATAGCTGAGAGCCATAGTTTTTGACCTTTATTCATCTTTCTGTTTGTAATTAGGATGTGATGTCTTCAGCCTCAGCAGCTATCTTTGGTACCAGAGGAATAGACAAAGAAAATTGCTGAGACTTTGGCTGTGACATCTTTAAGCAGTTGAAACAATGCCAGCAAACTTTTCCTTCTGGACTTCTTGTTATGTGAGAAAAAAAAAATACAGTATGTAATTGTTTAAGATTTTTTAAGGATTCAAAAAAGTAATCCATATAAAGCATTTACTGCAAAATGTGCAATACTGAATCTTAAACACTTTGATTGTGTTTCTTTTTTTTTTTTTTTTTTTTTTTTTTTTTTTTTTTTGCTCTTACCAGGAGGTGACAATGGAAGCTTTTCTCCCAGGTATGCCACAATTGCCACCTGGCTGACAACAAATGCAAACTGGGATTGATTTATAAGATGTACCCAATTTCTGAAATGTTAGGATGGGAAAATCATTTATCTTAAAATCAATGAAATAGGACAATAATCATAGCTAATATTTATAGAGCAATTCTTACTCACATATATAACGGTGCCTAACTCACTACCACTTACATGGCAGGTACTCACAGTGTTATGTTCTGTCTTTCATTCGTACACCTTCTAATGCTAGGGTGTGTCTGCACGGGAAGAGCCAGTCTCTTTCAATAACAGATAAATGGCTATAAATTCCAGGTGCACACAGGAGGTGGCCACAGGAACAGCACTTTCTTACTACAAGGAAACCCAAACATGGATTTTGGAAATATAATGAGTTTTGAAGCAAACTGTCTTTAACAGGGGACCTGACAAGGCTGGTTTCTAATTCTGGTTGGCTCTTCAGAGTAGGTCTGATTAATGGGCTGGAATTAGTACTCCTGGGACAGACCAGTTTATTGAAATATTCAGAGTCTCCCAATGTCACCCTCCACCCCTGCCTGGTGGGGAGGCGGCGTTTCCATGACAATGCAGTACATTTAGTCAGCAGCACCTTTCAAGTAAACAGTAATCCTTCAGAAAAACAAGAAGGTCATTACAGCAACTTGTCAAATCAATGCAGAGGGTGTCGGGGCCGATTAAGGCATCTTCTCTCGCAGCTGACACAGTGTCAATAGTACTGGGCCACCACTGCTCAGGCAGATGATTGAAGTGAAGTGCCCATCAGTCAGGGCGTTGAGGTGGACTAACGATTCCCCGCGCTGCCTATTAGAGCTACATGACAACTCAATACTGCTTGCTGGCAAAGAGAGAGAGGGAGAGGGAGAGAGAGAGAATGGAAAAAAATAGTGACCTTGTTGCTTTGTTTGAAGCTGAATTAAATTGACAAGAGCAGCTAATCTTTACCTAGGGCGATTAACAGAATTAAGGACCACAACAAAGGCACCCAAGGTTCTAACATCTATGCAAGGGCTCAGAGATGTTTATGATGTAGGAAGCACTCCTTGGGTATTCAGGTACGATACAGATATATATTCTGAGCCAAGCCTTCTCCAAATGAAGCATGGGTAATCCCATTAACACCCTGCTGAACCAACGTGTGAGAATGGAAGGCATTCACTGAATATGCCTCTTCCTGCATCACTCAGGAAGTCTACTCTTCCTGGTGGCACTGGCTGATCACTTTAGACTTACGAATCTGGGCTGGGGAAAGGCATAAAAATACAGAGTTTAATGTATTTCCCTGGAGAAATATTTTGCCTTATTTTAAATCTTCTAAGCCCACAATTCCACAGCAGTTTTATACAAACCACCCAATGGTTTCAGAGAGAGAGAGAAACAAGATGGGTAAAATGAGGCAAGCAGTAGGGCAGAAGACTTTGTGGGACAAAGTGGTTGGAGGAAAGACTAGAAAGCACATTAGGACCCGCTGAAGGGTGGCCAGCCATTTGTATGGCAAGTCAAAAAATTCCTATTTGTTAGTCTATTGGCAATAAAGAGCAATTAATGACTTTAGGCAGGAGAATTATGCAATTAGACGGCTGTGTGGAGACAAGGAAAGAGATGGGGCAGAGACTACTACAATAGCTTCAGGCCAACAGAATAAAATCCTGGATTAGAGTTGGTCAGGGACTAGAGAGAAGGACAAAGATGCAAGAAATGTTTTATAAATAGAATCTGTCAAGTGCTTGCTCATAGAGATAGGGCAAATATAGCTGGAGGATTGCCACAGCATCTTTTCCAAGAAAGCTGGTCTTGGGGGAGTGTGGGACCCTGAGAAGAATTTGCGCAGGGCTAACTAAGGCAACACAGCCAAGGGAGAAATGTAGTCTAAGAGGATAGCCAAGAATATCACCATGGAAACAGTCTCCAAGAGCCAAGCATAGAAGATGATCCAAAGGTAAAAGGGAGGTCCCAGGTCACTGAGGTGAGACACTCAGGAGATTTGGTGGAGGTAAGAATGCACTGCTGGCTGGGGCAAATTATTCAGGACTGAGATGAGCAGGAGATGATCCCTCACTCCGAAGTGGTGCTAGGATGGAAAGATCTGATGATATATGTGCTCATATAAACTCAGATACAAGCAGTAGCACTAGGAATTATTTCAGGATTCTACCTGAGCAATTCAAAGCAGGGTGATTTTAACAGAAGTAGCTGAGACAGAAGATGATGTAGGCAGAGCAATAATGAGTTAATTTTTGGGCATGATGAATGAGAAACACCTACATGCTAAGGGGACTTGTTGCATGTAAAACTGTAGAGCTTAAATTTGGAAATAAAATGTTGAGACTAGACAGTATGTAGCTTTAGTTAAAGCCACAATACTGGATGAGAATACCTATAAAGAATGTGTCTGTGGAGAACAGTGAGAAAGATAGATTCTTGTGAAAAACACTTAAGAAGAAGGTAGAGAGAGCTGACTCACTAAAAGAGAGAGAAAGGTTGGTTGCAGAGTAGGAAGAAAGTTAAGGGAGAATAATGTTTTCAAAGTGGGCAGATGGTTAAGGTCAAATGCTACAAGGAAGTGAATTCAGAAAAAAAGATAGAACAGAAAAGGCTTTCGGCTATTTGTTGGAAATCTTGGGTTAAAAGAGTAGTGTGGATAAAACCTAGAATAAGCTGGGTTAAGGACTGAATGGAAGGCATTGTCAAGACTTTTGATAATAAAAAAAGAAGAGAGAGAGATTGTGTTAACTTTAGGAAAATGTATAGCAGAAGGAAGATGACTCAAGAATGAGAAATATTTACAGATATTTGAGATCAGAAGAAGTGCCAGTACAGTGTGAAAATATTAGAGAAGACATACAGGAAAGTCTAGTATAGTGTTTTCCAAATTAGCCTGAAAATAACAATTACCTGCAGGTAATTGTTAGCTACATTCTTGGACCCCAATCCAGATCTTCCAAATTAATGTTTCCACCAGAGCAGACTGGGGATCTGAACGTTTAATAAGCATACCTGGTGATTCTTATAATCAAGCTGGTTTAAAAGATTGCTCTCTGAATGTTTGATATTAGAACAGTGGTCCACAGACTTGATGGCCCATTGAAATCAACTGAGAAGCTTTAAAAATAATATCAGTGCTGGGCCGGGCATGGTGGCTCACACCTGTAATCCCTGCACTTTGGGAGGACGAGGCAGGTGGATCACAAGGTCAAGAGATGGAGAATATCCTGGCCAACATGGTGAAACCCCATCTCTATTAAAAGTACAAAAATTAGCTGGGCGTGGTGGCGCACACCTGTAGTCCCAGCTACTCGAGAGGGTGAGGCAGGAGGATCGCTTGAACCCGGGAGGCAGAGGTTGCAGTGAGCTTAGATTGCACCACTCCACTTCAGCCTGGCAACATAGCGAGACTCCATCTCAAAAACAAACAAACAAACAAACAAAATATATATATATACACACACATTATAGATATATATACACACATAAATATACATATATATACACATATATATATGTGTATGTATATATATATATGTGCCCATACCCCATGTCCAATAGATGTTGATTTAATTGGACTGGGGCTCTGCCTGAGTGTTGGGAATCATACCATTTCTGCAGGAGATTCTAATGTACAGCCAAGTTTGAAATGTAGATGTGGGAAGATGAAGATGACTGAAAATAAGCTTGGAGGAAGAAGAGAGGAAAATATGGTGGTTTCATGCCTCCATGGCCTTTATTATGCCGGAGAGAAGACTCTGTCACCTGCTGGGAGTAAAGTGACATCAGTGGAGTGGTGGGTTTAGGGGAAGGAGCAAAGAGAGTGGACAGGAATATGGAGTTTAATAGCACTAAGGATGTCATGACACAATACCCTTTCTCCAGCAGAGCATCTATCTATTCAGAAACAGAGTAGGTAGATGAATGTAGTACCGGATTAACAGGGCAAATGCAGCAGTTTGACCAGCGAGAGGAGACTTGAAGAAATGGAATAGAGTTGTACTAAAATTATTTAAGAAGATGGCATGGTGGGAATGTAAATTGGTATAGCTGTTAATTAAAACAGTATGGAGGTTGCTCAAAAAATTAAAAATGGAACTACCATATGATCTAGCAACTCCTCATCTGGGGAAATAGTCAAAGAAATGAAATTAGCACCTCATAGAGATGACTGAACTCCCACGTTCATTGCAGCATTAGTCATAATGATCAAGATATGGATACAAACTAAGTGTTCATCAGTGGGTGAATGGTATATATACACAATGAAATACTACTTGGCCTTAAAAATAAAAAGAAAAATCTGCCGTTTATGATAATATGGATGAACTTGGAGATCCTTATTCTAAGATCACTTATTCTAAGTGTAATAAGTCAGAAACAGAAAGAAAAATACTATATGATCCCACTTATATGTTAAATCTGAACAGAGGCTAATACATAGAAACAGAGAGTAAAATGGTAATTACCATGGGTAGGAGGAATGGGACAGAATAAGGAGATGTAGGCCAAAGGATACAAATTTATAGTTAAGTAAGATGAATAAGTCTAGAGATCTAATGTACAGCGTGCAGACTACTGTTAATTATGTTGTATTATATACTGAAAATTTGCTGAGAGTAGATAGTAGATACTTTTAGCATTTTAAAAAAGATAACTGTGAGTAATGGATAAGTTAATTTGCTTGAGTGTAGCAATTATTTCACTATGCAGATGTATATCAAAACATCATGTTATACACCTTAAATATATACAATAAAAATAAACAAATGATAAAAAGGAGGCATAATTACAGGGGAACTGTTGTGATTAGTAAATCACAATTTTAGTTTATGATCTTGGAACTTCAAGTCCACAAAGTGTGGCCATGGGGATGACTTGCCCACATGAAGTGGAGGCGAATATCTTTGGAGTAGAGTTGGTTAAAGAACTGTGAAGCTTGAGTTTTGGGATTTGGGATTGCTTAGTAGGGTAAAAAGCCTGAACACTAGAGTTGTCAACTCTGGCTCTTTCACTTACTAGCTGTGTAACCCTGGGAAAGTTATTTAACCCATGGAAGACTCAACTCCTTCATCTATAAAATAATGGTTTTAATAATTATTAGAAAAGTTAATGAATGAGATAATAGTCAGCAATGTAAAATAAAATGCTGGAGGAAAGACCCAACAGGATGAGAAAACAAGAGAAGCTTTTGAATTGGTTAATTAGATGGCTATTGGTGATTAGTATCAACAGGGTGATGAGGCAGGAGCCAGATTACAAGGGGCTACAAAGGAAGGACATGAAGTAGAATTTCATGAAAAGAAAGAGTTATTTTATGGTATATTTAGGCAAAGGCTCAGGCACTGAAGACTTATAGGACTATAGTGACGATTATAGGACTATTATGATGGTACATAAAGCATTCAACCGGGTAGACACATTTGTACCCAATAAAAGCTATCTGTTATTACTACTACTACTATTCACAATACCACAATTTTGCTAGTGACAATCACTCGGTTGGGAAATAGGAATACTATTTGCTTTAAGAATTTGATGACTGTGTTGAATAAATAAAGAATATCTGATACGTGGCCAGGAGTGGAGAATATATTATATTTGAAATCAGAGACATGATAGTAGACATGATGGGTATGGTAGCTATGCCAGCAACCTAAGTCTATTAGACAATATTCTGACTATTTTGTTGTCATGCTCTCTGCTAAAATGGAGTTTCATGACAAGTCTATTTATAATTATTTCCTAAACTTGGGGCCACTCTAAACTTGTTTGATGAATGCCTTTATATCTACATCATATTTCTATGCAGCTCATCCGTTTATATTACTGATCTACTCAATCAAATATGACAAAATGCTGGCAGGAATAGGGGAGGGGAGAGGAAGAGTGAGAGAATCCATTCCAAAATAAGAGGAAGCATGAAATAAAATCAGAAATAAAAACTTTCACTAAAGGTTCTGAGCCCTGCTGGGCACATATCTATATCCTATAACTAGACAATGCACTTTAGTATATGGAAGAAATTATTACCACAGATGCTTTGCTGTATGAAAGTCTGAACTCTTGAGAAGATGCAAAAATGGGGCATTGCTGAGAGGGATCTGGTAGACTTTGCAGTGAGGGAAAAACATTCTAACCTCTATCTTAGGGACAATCAGGCAGAAAGCCTAGTTATTTCTACAGAGCAGAAACAATCTCTGAAACAATCTCCAAAACAATGAAGGCTTCACAGTTTGGGAAGAAAGGTTTAATGGAACACTTGGTTTTAAATAACTCTCATGAGACCATCAGAGCACTGGGACATAGAGTTATTGTAGTGGCTTTTAGTTGGCAGGACTGGAAACAACGGATGGAAGTTGAAATAGTGGATGGAAGTTGAAGGGTGGGAGATGTCAGATCTACATAAGAAAGGACATTTGTACAGCCAAAGATACCAGAGGAAAAAACATAGTCTTCTTAGGAAATAGAGATTTTTTCTTTGTTTGCTTGGCATTACAGACCCACTAAATTAGATGAATTAACAATTTCTGGGAAAATTGTGGAGGGATTTAACATTCCAAAAGGATATTAGGTTCTCAAGTTTTCTTTGGATGCTGAGATATTTCTTTTGACTTTTTTTTTTTTTTTTTTTTTACAGAGTCTCACTCTGTTGCCAAGCTGGAGTGCAGTGGCACAATCTCAGTTTACCACAACCTCCACCTTCCGGGTTCAAGTGATTCTCCTGCCTCAGCCTCCCAAGTAGCTGGGACTACAGTTGTGCACCACCATGCCCAGCTAATTTTTGTATTTTTAGCAGAGATGGGGTTTCACCATGTTGGCCAGGATGTTCTCCATCTCTTGACCTCGTGATCCACCCGCCTCGGCCTCCCAAAGTGCTGGGATTACAGGTGTGAGCCACCATGCCCGGCTTTCTTTTGATGTCTTAAAAAAACTAGGGCCATGTGTAATACTCACATGCTAAGATAACTTTTATTCTTCCTTGTAGTAAGCCAAGACTGGGTTGGTCAAAGCTCTAACTACATAGGCAGCAGGATATTTTGGAAAGAACTCTGTAAAAAAGCTTTAAGGATACATTTTTGGAGAATAGGGGTTCCTGTTTATATTTATTGAGAAATATGATGTTAGAGGATATATTACAGACTTTTTGTAGTTTATTTCATTTAATTTTCACAAAAGAACCATGAGGTGAGTGTAATCCCTATTTGTTAAATGAAGATCATGAGGGGCTAAAGTAGTTAAGTAAGTAATCTGTGATAATGGCTAGAAAACCAATATTTGAAATGAGATTTATTTATCCTATAGTATGAAGTCTTAGTCACTACAGTGTGTTATTCTTAGCATCTACCACTGATTAGGTGTCTGACTTGTACGTGAGTCATGTAGCATTTTATCTTTAATACTAGCTCTTATTCATGCTATAAAATGAGAGAGCATTGTTGCACAATGATTTGTGGGGATTTCTGGGTAGCTAAAAATAATAGCAGAAATAGCAGAAATCTAAGTGTATATCTTCCTAAATATTCTTTTAAAACAATAGAGTACAACAAGAACAACAACAACAACACAAAAAAACTGCACAAACCCCACACTCTCAACATAACTAGAGGACAGAATTACCAAACCTCAAAATAACTGTAGAAAGAAAAATTGCCAAATCCCAGTGAGCTGTCATTCATGATCCCACCACAAGCTTTTCAAGATGAGCAAGGGCAGCTTGAGAAAAACTAGAAGAAAAAGAGAAGATGGGAACAAAAGGTGGACATAAATTTGTCTGAAACCATGGCCAGAAAGAGAGAGTCTACTGTAAGTGTGAAACTGCTAGAAATTTCTATTGATAGATCTAATCACCAATGACAAGAAATGTTCCAAAGGTAGATATTTGAAATGGCAATCTCCCCTCCAGCAGTGTAGAAGTGCTCCCTTTTCACAACATCCACGCCAACATCTATTAGTTTTTTATTTTTTAGATTATGGCCATTCTTGTAGGAGTAAGGTGGTATTGCATTGTGGTTTTGATTTGCATTTCCCTGATAATTAGTGATGTTGAGCATTTTTTCATATGTTTGTTCACCATTTCTATAACTTCTTTTGAGAATTGTCTATTAATGTCCTTAGCCCAGTTTTGATTGGATTGTTTGATTCTTTCTTGCAAATTTGCTTGAGTTTGTTGTAGATTCTGGATATTAGTCCTTTGTCAGATGTATAAATTGGTAAAATTTTCTTCTACTCTGTGGATTGTCTGTTTACTTTGCTGACTGTTCTTTTTGCTGTGCAAAAGCTCTTTAGTCTAATTAAGTCACACTATTTATGTGCTTTGATTCCATTTGCTTTTGAGTTCTCAGTCACGAAATCCTTGAATAACCCAATGTCTAGAAGTGTTTATCCAATGTTATCTTCTAAAATGTTTACAGTTTCAGATCTTAGATTTAGGTCCTTGATCCATGTTGAGTTGATTTTTGTGTAAGGTGAAAGATGAGGATTCAGTTTTATTCTCCTACATGTGGCTAGCCACTTATCCCAGAACCATTTGTTGAATAGGGCATCATTTCCCCACATTAAGTTTTTGTTTGCTTTGTTGAAGATCAGTTGGCTGTCGGTATTTGGGTTTATTTCTGGGTTCTCTATTCTGTTCTATTGGTCTATGTGCCTATTTTTATACCAGTACCATGATTTTTTTTTCTATGACTTTATAGCATAGTTTGAAATCAGATAATGTGATGTCTCCAGATTTGTTCTTTTTGCTTAGTCTTGCTTTATCTATGTTGGCTTTTTTTTGGTTTCATATGAATTTCAGGATTGTTTTTTCTAGTTCTGTGAAGAATGATGGTGATATTTTGATGGGAATGGTATTGAATTTGTAGAATTGCTTTTGGCAGTATGGTTATTTTCACAATATTGATGCTACCCATCCATGAGCATGCAATGTGTTTCCATTTGTTTATATGGTCTATGATTTCTTTCAGCAGTGTTTTGTAGTTTTTCTTGTAGAGAATTTTCATCTCCTTGGTTAGGTATATTCCTAAGAATTTATTTTTTTGCAGTTATTGTAAAAGGGGTTGAATTATTGATTTGATTCTCAGCTTGATTGCTGTTGGTGTATAGGAGAGCTACTGATTTGTGTACATTAATTTTGTATCTGGAAACTGCTGAATTCATTTATCAGTTCTAGGAGCTTTATAGAGGAGTCTTTAGGGTTTTTTAGGTATACAACATATTATCAGCAAACAGTGGCAGTTTGACTTCCTCTTTACCAATTTGGATGCCCTTATTTCTTTCTCTTGTCTGATTGTTCTGACTAGGACTTCCAGCACTATGTTAAATAGAAGTGGTGAAAGTGGGCATTCTTATCTTGTTCCAGTTCTCAGAGGGAATGCTTTGAACTATTCCCCAGTCAATATTTTGTTGACTGTGGGTTTGTCATAGATAGCTTTTATTACATTGAGGTATGTTCCTTGTATGCCAACTTTGCTGAGGGTTTTAATCATAAAGAGATGCTGGATTTTGTCAAATGCTTGTTCTGTGTCTATTGAGATAATCATGCTATTTTTGTTTTTGATTCTGTTTATGTGATGTATCACATTTATTCACTTGCATATGTTAAACCATCCCTGCATCCCTGCTGTGAAACCCACTTGATCATGGTGGATTATCTTTTTGATGTGTTGTTGGATTCGGTTAGCTAGTATTTTATTAAGAATTTTTGCATCTATGTTCATCAAGGATATTAGCCTATAGATTTCTTTTTTTTTGTTATGTCTGGTGATGCTGGCTTCATAGAATAATTTAAGGGGGATTTGCTCTTTCTCTATCTTGTGGAATAATGTCAATAGGATTGGTACCAATTCTCTTTGAATGTCTGGTAGAATTCAGCTGTGAATCTGACTGGTCCTGGACTTTTTTTGTTGGTAATTTTTTATTACCATTCCAATCTCACTGCTTGTTATTGGTCTGTTCAGGGTATCTAATTCTTCCCGATTTAAGCTAGGAGGGTGGTATCTTATTCATCTCCTCTAGGTTTTCTCGTTTATGCATGTAAGGGTGTTCACAGTAGCTTTAAATGATGATGTAGGTTGTAATATCTCCTGTTTCATTTCTAATTAGCTTATTTGGATTTTCACTCTCTTTTTTTTGGTTAATTTTGCTAATGGTCTTTCAATTTTATTTGTCTTTTCAAAGAACCAGATTTTTGTTTCATTTATCTTTTGTATCATTTTTTGTTTCCATTTAACTTAGTTCTGCTCTGATCTTGGTTATTTCCTTTCTTCTACTGTGTTTGGGTGAGGTTTTTTCTTGTTTCTCTAGTTCTTTGAGGTGCAAACTTAGATTGTCTATTTGCGCCCTTTCAAACTTTTTGATGTAGGCATTTAGGGCTATGAACTTTCCTCTTAGCACTGCCTTTGTTGTATCCCAGAGGTTTTGATAGGTTTTGTTACTATTATTGTTCAGTTCAAAGAATTTTTAAATTTCCATCTTGATTTCATTGTTGGCCCAATGATCATTCAGGAGAAAGTTATATAATTTTCATGTATTTGCATGGTTTTGAAGGTTTCTTATGGAGTTGATTTCCAGTTTTATTCCACTGTGGTCTGAGAGAGTACTTGATATAATTTCAATTTTCTTAAATTTACTGAGACTTGTTTTGTGGCCTCTCATATGGTCTATTTTGAAGAAAGTTCCATGTGCTGATGAATAGAATGTATACTCTGCAGTTATTAGGTAGAATGTTCTGTAGCTATATGTTAAGTCGATTTTTTTCAAAGATATAGTTTAAATTCATTGTTTTTTTGTTGACTTCTGTCTTGATGACCTGTCTAGTTCTGTCAGTGAAGCATTGAAATCCCCCACTATTATTGTCTTGATGTCTATCTCATTTTTTAGGTCTAGTAGTAACAGTTTTATAAATTTGGGAGCTCCAGTGTTAGCTGCATATATATTTAGAATTGTGATATTTTTCTGTTGGACAAGGCCTTTTATTGTTATATAATGTCCTTCTTTGTTTTTGTTAACTGCTGTTGCTTCAAGGTTTGTTTTTTCTGATATAAGAACAGCAACTCCTTCTTGCTTTTTGTGTCCATTTGCATGGAATGTCTTTTTCCATCCCTTAACTTTAAGTTTATGTGAGTCCTTATGTGTTAGGTAAGTCTCTTGAAGGCAGCAAATAGTTTGTTGGTGAATTCTTATCCATATCCATTCTGCAGTTCTATATCTTTTAAGTGGAGCATGTAGGCCATTTACATTCAGTGTTAGTATTGAGATGTGAGGTACTATTCCATTCATTGTGCTATTTGTTGCTTGTATACCTTTTTTTTCTTTTATTGTATTCTTATAAGTCCTGTGAGATTTATGCTTTAAAGAGGTTCTGTTTTTATGTGTTTTCAAGATTTGTCTCAAGATTTAGAGTTCCTTTTAGCAGTTCTTATAGTGCTGGCTTGGTAGTGGCAAATTCTCTCAGTATTTGTTTGTCTGAAAAAGACAGTATCTTTCCTTTACTTATGAAGCTTAGTTGTGCTTGATACAAGATACTTGACTGTTAATTGTTTGGTTTAAGGAGGCTGAAGATACAGCCCAATCCTTTCTAGCTTGTAGGGTTTCTGCTGACAAATCTACTGTTAATCTGATAGGTTTTCCTTTACAGGTTACCTGGTGCTTTTGCCTCACAGCTCTTAAGATTTTTTTCCTTTGTCTTGACTTTTGATAACTTGATGACAATGTGCCTAGGTGACGATTTTTTGCAATGAATTTCCCAGTTGTTCTTTGAGCTTCTTGTATTTGGATGTCTAGGTCTCTAGCAAGGCCAGGGAAGTTTTCCTTGATTATTCTCCCAAATATGTTTTCCAAACTCTTAGATTTCTCTTCCTCAGGAACATGAATTATTCTTAGGTTTGGTCGCTTAACATAATCCCAAACTTCTCAGAGGCTTTGTTCATTTTCTCTTATTCTTTTTTCTTTGTATTTGTTGGATTGCATTAATTTGAAAACCTTATCTTTGAGCTCTGAAGTTCTACTCCTGCTTGTTCAATCCTATGGCTGAGGCTTTCCAGAATATCTTGCATTCCTCTAAGTGCATTCTCTATATCCTGAAGTTGTGATTTTTTTAAATTTATGCTATATATTTCACTGAATATTTCTCTTCTCATTTCTTGTATGATTTTTTTTTAATTTCCTTAAATTGGACTTCACCTTTCTCTGGTGCCTCCTTGATTAGCTTAATAGCCGACATTCTGAATTCTTTTTCAGGTAAATCAGGGATTGCTTCTTGGTTTGGATCTGTTGCGGGTAAGCTAGTGTGATTTTTAGGGGTTGCTAAAGAACCTTGTTTTGTCATGTTACCAGAATTGTTTTTCCAGTTTCTTCTCATTTGGGTAGGCCATATTAGTGGAAAGATCTAGGGCTCAAGGATATTCAGATTCTCTTTTCCCATGGGGTGTTCCCTTGATGTAGTACTCTCCCCTTTTCCTAGGGGTGTCGCTTCATGAGAGCCTAACTGTAGTGATTGTTATCTCTCTTCTGGATCTAGCCACCCAGCAGCTCTACCAGGCTCTGGGCTCGTGCTGGGGTTGTCTGCACAGAGTCCTGTGATGGGAGCCGTCTGCAGGTCTCTCAGCCATGGATACAAGCACTTGCTCTGGTGGAGGTGGTGGGGGTGAAATGGCTTCTCTGAAGGTCCTTAGTTTTGGTTGTATAATGCACTATTTTTGTCCTGGTTAGCCTCCTTCCAGGAGGTGGCACTTTCAAGAGAGCATCAGCTGTGGTAGTATAGGGAGGATCAGGTGGTGGGTGGGACTCTAGAACTCCCAAGAGTATATGCCTTTTGTCTTCTGTTACGGTGGTGAGTAGAGAAGGAGCATCAGGTGGGGGCAGGGCTAGGCATATCTGAGCTTAGACTCTCCTTGGGCAGGGCTTGCTGTGACTGCCATGGGGGATGGGGGTGTTTTTCCCAGGTCAATGGAGTTATGTTCCCAGGAGGATTATGACTCCCTCTGCTGTGTCAGGCAGGTTATCAGGAAAGTGGGAGAAAACCAGCAGTCACAAGCCTCACCCAGCTCCTATGGAAAAGAAGTCTCCTATGAGACTATCCAAAAGGCCAGTCTCACTCCCACGGTGTCCTGCTTAACAGCACCGATTCTGTTTCCAGGCAGTGGGAAAGCAGGGCTAAGAACTTGTCCCAGGCTACCTGCCTCTCAGCTGCGAAAGCAAGCAGGGCTTTTGTATCTCCCCTGCTGTGGAGTCTGCAAACCGGATTTATGCCCTTTCCCAAGTTCTGGCCAGGAGACTTTGCATTTGGTTGGAATTGTTACAAAGTTCAGCTGGAGCTTTCCTTCTCCCTGTGGTCTTTTCCCAGTACCTCTGGCAGCTCTCCCCAAAGGACCTCTGTGAGACAAGTCTGAAATAGCTTCCCAGGGGACGCACAGAGCCCACAGATCTTTTTTCCGCTGCTTCCTCTACCCCTGTATTTCACTCGACTCTCTAAATTGACTCAGCTCTAGGTAAGGTCAGATCCTTTTCCCATGATCTAGATCTTCAGGTACCCCAGTGTGGGTAGGTGTTTGGCAGTGGACAGTCCCTCTTTCCCACTTTCACAGCTTGGACACTCATGGTATTTGGGCTGTCTCCCAGGTCTGCAGGCGCAATCTGCTTCCTTCAAAGGGTCTGTGAGTTCTCTCTGCTTTCCTGGTTTATTCCTGCAGTAGTTCTGGAGCAAAAGTTCATGACGTGAGTCTCCACAAACTGCTCTGTCTGTCTGAGTGGGTGCTCTGCTGTGCATAAGTTTTTTAACTTGATGTCTTCCCATTTGTTCATTTCTGCTTTGGTTACTTGTGCTTGTGAGGTATTACTCAAGAAATCTGCCAACTCCAATGTCCTGGAGAGATTCTCCAATGTTTTCTTTTAGTTTCATAGTTTGAGGTCTTAGATTTAAGTCTTTAGTTCATTTTGATTTAATTTTTGTACATGGTGAGAGATAGGGGTCTAGTTTTATTCTTCTGCATATAGTTTTCTAAACACCATTTATTGAAGAGATTGTCCTTTCCCCAAAGTATACTATTAACAACTTTGCCAAAAATGAGTTTACTGTAGATGTATGAATTTGTTTCTGGGTTGTCTCTTGTCTTACAGTGGTCTATGTGTCTCTTTTTAAGCCAGAACCATGCTGTTTTGGTTACTAGAGCTCTGTACTATAATCTGAAGTCAAATAATGTGATTCCTCCAGTTTTTTTTTCTCTTTGCTCAGGATTCTGTGTCTTTTGTGGTTCCATATAATTTTCTGAATTTTTTTTTCTGTTTTCTGTGAAGATTGTCATTGGTATTTTGATAGAAAGTGCATTGAATCTGTAGATTGCTTTAGGTAATATGGAAATTTTAATAATATTGACTCTTCCAATTTGTGGACATGGAATATCTTCCATTTGTGTGTGTGTGTGTGTTCTCTTCTATTTCTTTCGATAATGTTTTGTAGTTTTCATTGTAGAGATATTTCACTTATTTGGTTAAATTAAATCCTAGATATTTTATTTGTAGCTATTGTAAATGGGATTACTTTCTCGATTTCATTTTCAGATTGTTTGCTGTTAGCATATAGATATGCTACTGACTTTTGTATGTTGACATTGTATCCTGCAACTGTACTGAATTTGTTTATTGGTCCTGATAGTTTTTTGTGAAGTCTTTAGGTTTTTCCAAATATATAAGATCATATCACCTGCAAAGAAGGATACTTTGAATTTGTCCCTTCCTATCTGGATACCTTTTATTTCTTTCTATTTTCTGATTACTCTAGCTAAGACTTCCAGTACTACATTGCATAACAGTGGTGAAAGTGGGCATCCTTGTCATGTTTCAGATCTTAGAGAAAAAGCATTCAGTTTTTCCCACTCAGTATGATATAGCTGTGGGACTGTTGTATATGGCTGTTATTGTGTTGAGGTATGTTCTTTCTATACCCATTTTTTAAGGGTTTTTAGGGCTTTTATGATGAAGGGAGATTGAATTATGTCAAATGCTTTTTAAGCATCAGTTGAAATGATCATATGGTTTTTGTCCTCCATTCTGTTGGTATGATGTATCACACCAATTAATTTACATATGTTGAACCATCCTTGCATCCCCGGGATAAATCCCACTTTGTCATAATGAATGATCTTTTTAATGTGTTGCTGAATTTGGTTTGCTAATATTTTGTTGAGGATTTTTGCATCAATGTTCATCAGGGATATTGGCTTGTAGTTTTCTTTTCTTTCTATTTGCTTGTGTCTTCATCTGGTTTTGGTATCAGGGTAATACTGGCCTCATAGCATGAATTTGAAAGTATTTCCTTCTCCTCCTATTTTTTGGAAGTTTTAGTAGGGCTGGTAGTAGTTTTTTAAATGTTTGGTAGAATTTAACAATAAAGATATTGAATCCCAGGCTTTTCTTTGCTGGGAGACATTTTATTATAGCTTTGATCTTGTTACTTGTTATTGGTCTGTTCAGGTTTTAGATTTCTTGATGGTTCACTCTTGGTAGGTTGTATGTATCTAGGAATTTATGATTTCTTCTAGGTTTGCCAATATTATTGCATATAGTTGCTCATAGTAGCCTCTAATGATCTTTTGAATTTCTGTGGTATCAGTTGTAATGTTGCCTTCTCCATCTATGATTTTAATTATTTATGTCTTCTCTCTTTTTCTCTTAGTCTGGATAAAAGTTTGTCTATTTTGCATATCTTTTAAAAAATTAACTTTACATTTTATTGATCTTTTGTATTGTTTTCTTAGTTTCAATTTCATTTATCTCTGCTCTGATCTTTATACTTTCTTTTCTTCCATTAATTTTGGGTTTGGTTTGGTCTTGATTTTCTAGTTCTTTAAGATGTATCATTAGGTTGTGTATTTGAAGTTTTCTACTCTTTTGATGTAGCTTATAGCTTTAAACTTTCCTCTTAGTACTGCTTTCACTATATACCATAGATTTTGGTATGTTATGTTGTCATTGTCGTTTGTTTCAAGAAATTTTATACTTTTTTTCTTAATGTCTTCATTGTCCCACTGGTCATTCAAGAACATAGTGTTTAATTTTCATGTGTTTACATAGTTTCCAAAATTCCTCATGTTATTGTTTCTAGTCTTATTTAATTGTGGTCAGAGAAAATACTTGATATAATTTCTTTTTTAAAAATTTTTTTTTACAGCTTGTTTTTTGGCCTAACACATGATCTATTCTTGAGAATAATCCATATGCTGAGGAAAAGAATGTGTACTGTGTATTCATTAGATGAAATGTTCTGTAAATATCTATTAGGTCCCTTGGGTCTACAGTTACAGATTAAGTATGATGTTTCTTTGTTGATTTTCTCTCTAAATGATCTCTCTAGTGCTTAAAATGAGAAGTTGACATCTCCAGCTATTCTTGTATTGGGATCTAGCTCTCTCTTTAGCTCTAATTATATTTGCTTTATATATCTGTGTGCTCCAGCATTGGGTGCATACTTAATTAAAATTGTTATAGCCTCTTGTTGAATTGACCCTTTATCATTATAAAATGACTTTATTGTCTCTTTTTGTAGTTTCTGTTTTGAAATCTATTGTATTGGATATAAGCATAGCTATTCCTGCTCTTTTTCTGTTTAAACTGGCATGAAATATCTTCTTTTATCCCTTTATTTTCAGTCTATATATGTCTTTATAGGTGAAGTGTGTTTTTGGTAGGCAACAGATCATTAGGTCTCATTATTTTTAATCCATTCAGCCACTATGTCTTTTGATCGGAGAGTTTAGTCCATTTGCATTCAATATTATTAATAATAAGTAAGAACTTATTCCTGCCATTTTGTTATCTGTTTTCTGGTTGTTTTGTGGTCTTCCTTTTTTTCTTCCTTCTTGTCTTTCTTTTAGTAAAGGTGAATTTCTCTGGGGTTATGTTCTAATTTCTTGCTTTTATTTTTTATTTTTTTATTTTTTTATTATTATTATACTTTAAGTTTTAGGGTACATGGGCACAATGTGCAGGTTAGTTACATATGTATACATGTGCCATGCTGGTGCGCTGCACCCACTAACTCATCATCTAGCATTAGATATATCTCCCAATGCTATCCCTCCCTCCTCCCCCCACCCCACAACAGTCCCCAGAGTGTGATGTTCCCCTTCCTGTGTCCATGTGTTCTCATTGTTCAATTCCCACCTATGAGTGAGAATATGAGGTGTTTGGTTTTTTGTTCTTGTGATAGTTTACTGAGAATGATGATTTCCAATTTCATCTATGAAGGATGAACTCATCCTTTGTGGAAGAATTTCATCCACAAAGGACATGAACTCATCCTTTTTTATGGCTGCATAGTATTCCATGTTGTATATGTGCCACATTTTCTTAATCCAGTCTATCATTGTTGGACATTTGGGTTGGTTCCAAGTCTTTGCTATTGTGAATAATGCCGCAATAAACATATGTGTGCATGTGTCTTTATAGCAGCATGATTTATAGTCCTTTGGGTATATACCCAGTAATGGGATGGCTGGGTCAAATGGTATTTCTAGTTCTAGATCCCTGAGGAATCGCCACACTGACTTCCACAATGGTTGAACTAGTTTACAGTCCTACCAACAGTGTAAAAGTATTCCTATTTCTCCACATCCTCTCCAGCACCTGTTGTTTCCTGACTTTTTAATGATTGCCATTCTAACTGGTGTGAAATGGTATCTCACTGTGGTTTTGATTTGCATTTCTCTGATGGCCAGTGATGGTGAGAATTTTTTCATGTGTTTTTTGGCTACATAAATGTCTTCTTTTGAGAAGTGTCTGTTCATGTCCTTTGCCCACTTTTTGATGGGGTTGTTTGTTTTTTTCTTGTAAATTTGTTTGAGTTCATTGTAGATTCTAGATATTAGCCCTTTGTCAGATGAGTAGGTTGCGAAAATTTTCTCCCATTTTGTAGGTTGCCTGTTCACTCTGATGGTAGTTTTTTTTGCTGTGCAGAAGCTCTTTAGTTTAATGAGATCCCATTTGTCAATTTTGGCTTTTGTTGCCATTGCTTTTGGTGTTTTAGACATGAAGTCCTTGCCCATGCCTATGTTCTGAATGGTAATGCCTAGGTTTTCTTCTAGAGTTTTTATGGTTTTAGGTCTAACATTTAAGTCTTTAATCCATCTTGAATTGATTTTTGTATAAGGTGTAAGGAAGGGATCCAGTTTCAGCTTTCTACATATGGCTAGCCAGTTTTCCCAGCACCATTTATTAAATAGGGAATCCTTTCCCCATTCCTTGTTTTTCTCAGGTTTGTCAAAGATCAGATAGTTGTAGATATGCAGCGTTATTTCTGAGGGCTCTGTTCTGTTCCATTGATCTATATCTCTGTTTTGGTACTAGTACCATGCTGTTTTGGTTACTGTAGCCTTGTAGTATAGTTTGAAGCCAGGTAGTGTGATGCCTCCAGCTTTGTTCTGTTGGCTCAGGATTGACTTGGTGATGCAGGCTCTTTTTTGGTTCCATATGAACTTTAAAGTAGTTTTTTCCAATTCTGTGAAGAAAGTCATTGGTAGCTTGATGGGGATGGCATTGAATCTGTAAATTACCTTGGGCAGTATGGCCATTTTCACGATATTGATTCTTCCTACCCATGAGCATGGAATGTTCTTCCATTTATTTGTATCGTCCTTTATTTTGTTGAGCAGTGGTTTGTAGTTCTCCTTGAAGAGGTCCTTCACATCCCTTGTAAGTTGGATTCCTAGGTATTTTATTCTCTTTGAAGCAATTGTGAATGGGAGTTCACTCATGATTTGGCTCTCTGTTTGCTTTTAATTTTGTGAATCTGATGTATGTTTTCTCTTATTTGATGTTACCATTAGGCTTGCAAATAATATTTTATAAGCTATTATTTTAAACTGATAAAAACTTAACATGATTATGTAGACTAAAAACAAGAAAAGAGAAAATGAATAAAAACTCTACACTTTAACTTTGTCCTCCCACTTTTTAACTTTTTGTTGTTTTTCTATTTATTTATTTTTGTATTGTCTATGGGTTGAAATGTTGTTATAGTCATTATTTTTGATTAGCTCATCTTTTAGTTTTTCTAGTCAAGATATAAGTACTTTACATACCACAATTATAGTTTTATAATATTCTGTGTTTTTCTGTTTACTTACTATTACCAGTGAGTTTTACACCTTTATAAAATTTCTTATTGCTTATTAACATCATTTTCTTTCAAAATGAAGAAAACTCCCTTTAGAATTTCTTGTAGAACAGGTCTAGTGTTAATGAAATCCCTCAGCTTTTGTTTGTCTCAGAAAGTCTATTTCTGCTTCATGTTTAAAGAATATTTTCACCAGATATGCTATTCTAGCGTGATTTTTTTCTTCAGCACTTTAAATATGTCATGTCACTCTCTCCTGGCCTGTAAGGTTTCCACTTAAAAGTCTAATGCCAAATGTATTGGAGCTCCATTGTATGTGTATACATATATATATATATATTCTCTAGCTGCTTTTAGGATCCTTTCTTTATTTTTGACTTTTGGAAGTTTCATTATTAAATGTCTTAAGGTAGTCAAGGTAACCTTACTTGGGTTAATTTTTCTTGTGGTTCTATAACCTTCTTGTACTTAGATATTAATATATTTCTCTGGATTTGGGAAGTTCTCTGCTATTATCCCTTTGAATAAACTTTCTACTCCTATCTCTCTCTCTCTATCTCCTCTTTAAGGCCAATAACTCTTAGATTTGGCCTTTTGAGGCTATTTTCTAGATCTTGTGAATGTGCTTTATTCTTTTTTCTTCTCTCCTCTGACTGTATATTTTCAAATAGTCTGTCTTTAAACTCACTATTTCTTCTGCTTGATCAATTCTGCTGGTAATAAACTCTGATGCATCCTTCAGTATGTCAATTACATTCTTCATCTCCAGAATTTCTGCTTGATTCTTTTAAATTATTTCAATCACTTTGTTAAATTTATCTCATAGAATTATAAATTCTTTCATGTGTTTTCTTGAATTTTGTTGAGTTTCCTCAAAGCAGTGATTTTGAAACCTCTGTCTAAAAGGTCACATATTTCTATCTCTCCAGGATTGGTCTCGGGTCCCTTATTCAGTTCATTTAGTGAGATCATGTGTTCCTGGATGATTTTGATACTTGTGGGTGTAGTTTTTTAAGTCTGGGCCTGTTGTACCCATTTTTTTCAGAAAGGCTTTCCAGGTATTTGTAGGGATTTGGGTGTTGTGATCTAAGTTTGTAGTCACTGTAGCTGTATCTGCATTTGGGGATACCCCATGCCCAGTGATCCTGTGTCCCTTGCAGACTCATAGAGGTACTGCCTTGAAGGTCTTCGATAAGATCCAGAAGAATTCTTAGGATTACCAGGCAGAGACACTTGTCCTATTTTCTTAATTTCTTCAAAACAAACAGAGTCTTTCTGTTTGCTGAGTTTCCCAAAGATTGTGGAGGGGTCATATAAGCACCCTTGTGACCACTACCATGATGACTGTACTGGGCTAGACCTGAAGCCAACACAGCACTGATTCTCACTCAAGGCCTGTGGTAACAACTGCCTTGATACCACCTATGTTCAATCAAGTCCCTAGAACTCGACAATCAGCACTTGGCATAGCCTGCCAGGATTGTGCCATTGCCTTCAGGACAGCAAGTCCCGCCCCCTGTCCTCCCAAGTCCCAGGCAGATCTAGAGATGCTTTCCAGGAGCCAGAACCTGGATTTGGGAACCTTAGGAATCTACCTGGTACTCTATTCTACTGCAGCTGAGCTGGCACCTAAGCTACAAGACAAAGTCATTCCCACTCTTCCCTCCCCTTTCTGCAAGCAAAGGAATCTCTCTCCATGGCCACCACTGCCCAGGCAAGTACTGCTTAGCTACTGTCCATGTTCACTCGAGGCCCAAGGGCTCTTGAATCAGCTTGTGGCAAATACTGCCAGGCCTGGAACTCTCCTTTCAGGGCATTAGGCTCCCCTCTGACCCTCCCAGGGCAGGTCCAGAAATGCTTTGGAATCGAGAATCCCAAAAGCCTGCTTGGTACTCTACCCCACTGTGGCAGAGCCGGTACCTAAGCGTCAAACAAAGTTCCCCTTACTCTTCCTTCTTCTTTTCCCAAGCAGGAGTCTCTCCCTGTAGTCACCACAGCTGAGAATGTGCCGGTTGATGCCTGATGCCCGCACAACTCTAGGTCTCACCCAAGGCTCATAGTAAGTACTGCCTGGGTGTTGCTACTGATTATTCAGGGCCCAGGGGCTCTTTAGTCAGCAGATGATGAATTCTTTCAGGACTGGGTCCTTTCCTTCAAGGCAGTGGGTTTTCTTCTGGCCCAGTGTGTGTCTAGAAATGTTGTCCAGGAAGTAGAGCCTGGAATGGGGACCTCACAACTCTGCCTGATACTCTATATGAGTGATGTGGCTGAACTGATATCCAAGTTGCAAGACAAAGTCCTCTTTACTCTTCCCTCTTCTCTCCTCATGCGAAGGGAAGGAGTCTCTCCTGGAGTTGCTAGATGCACTGCATGGGGTTGAGGGAGGGGTGGTGCAAGCACTCTGTTGGTCATCCAAGCTAGTGTCTCACTAGGTTGCTTGCCCCTAAAGTTCACTTGCTCTGAGCCCAGCACAGCACTAGGACTTGCCCAGAAATTTTATTCATTGTGGTCTAGACAGTCTTTCAAATTTATTTAGAACCACAGACTCCTTTAGCCCATGGTGGGAAGGCTTGCAAAAACTCAACTTCTGAACACTGAGATAGGCGGTTTTCCTCTGGCCAGGGCTGAACTAAATGCACCCTCCACAGGCACTGGCTGAGTTCTGCTCGGTGTTACTTTCTGCTGTGACAGGGAAGTACTGAGTTCCAATGCAAAATCCCATGATCACTGCACTCTCCTTCCCCCAAACACACAGGTTCTCACTCTGTGCCATGTGGCTGCTGCTGGAAGATTGGGGAGAGGTGGCATTGGCAACTCAAGACTGTCTTTCCTACCCTCTTCAGTGCCTCCTTCAGTGATATGAAGTTAAAACGCAGTGCTGTGATCAGTCACCTGATTTTTTATTCTTCTGAAGGTACATTTTTTGTGTGGCTAGTTGTTCAATTTGGTGTTCCTGCAGGGATAATGATCAGTGAAGGCTTCTATTTGACCATCTTGCTCCTCCTCCACATCCCAAAACATTTTTTAAAAATAAAAGATCAAAGAATATGCATCAGGTAAATACATTAACATAGGTAATATAAAACACATAATTATGGATATTATTATGCTAATGAGACCACACATATCTCAGAATTTGAAAAAGCCTTTCAATTTAATTTACAAAGCAAGATTCATGCACACACATACACATAGTACAGACTATACACTGATAACAGAGAATATTATCTTGAAATCAATCATGAGACCTCCACAACATTGATTCTATGTTAGGATCAGTTAGGTAACAAAGAAATCAGCATTAACTTTTGTAAAGTAGAAATATTATGAACAACAATCTGATCACTATGCAAAAACACTCAGATATAACCAAGAAAAAAATGTTAAAAACCACAAAATGTCTTTTTGCTAGAATTTATAGACAATCTCATGTAAAGGCAAAAAGCAAATTTAAAGTATAGAATTTGTAAAAAAAAAAAAAAATAACAACACTACTTATCAGAATATATGGATACATTAAAACAATGTTTGAAGAAAACAGAATAGCCATAAATACTCTTGCAAATATAAGACAAAAGAATAAAAGTAAGAAAATTAAATATACAGCTCAACAAAAATCTTAGAAAGATATAAGAAAGCAAATTTTGAAAATGCTCAAAGAAGAAAATAATAATTGAAAAAAGATATTACTCATATACAGAATAGGTAAGAGAATAGAGGGACAGCACTGTTGTGACACAGGTACAGGAAAGTTTACAGTTGAGAGTGGAGCAGGATCATTGAGAAGCCTTTTCCTATGCCAGAGCCCCCAATCTAAAAACAAGATAATGCTAAGAAATTTAAAATTAGAGTGAGCTACAGGTAATAGAAACAGTAAAACCCAAACCCAGCTCAATACCTAATTTGATTGACTAATGACCCAACAGAAAACATGTGCCTGTTTTTATGCGTAATTACTATTGGCCTCAGCCACTACTGGTTTAGATAGAATGTCTGGCACTCAATAAAAAATGAAAAGATACTAAAAAGCAAGAAAATGCCATCCACTGTCAAGAGGCAAAGCAATAAGCAGAATCAGACAAAGAGGTGATCCAAATGTTGGAATCATCAGACAGGAAATTAAACATAACTATGACTAATATGCTAACGTTTCCAGTGGAAACAGTGGACAACATTCATAAACAATATACAGATGAGAAGTTTCTGAAGAAAGAAAGATGCTCTAAGAAAAATATACATACAGAAACACTAAAAATAAAAATACATAGTAACAAATATGAAGAGTGCTCTTGATGAGCTTATCAGTAGAGTCAACACAGCTGAGGAAAAAAAAAAATCAGTGAACTTGAAGATAGGTCAATAGCAATTACCCAACTGAAGCACAAGGAGAAAAATGAGTGGGAGCTGGTTAAGGGGTGGCACAAAACAGAGCATCCTAGAGCTGTGAAACAGTATCAAATGGTCTAATGATGTCAAGAATAAGGAAGCAATATTTTAAAATTCTCTTTTTGAAAAACAAAATATACATGACACTAGTTTTTTCTGAGCAAGAAAAATTGAGGACATGTTAAAAAGACACAGAAACCAACATAAGAAACACCCATTGGCCAAGTCTGGGAATTTTTGAGAAATAAAATAAATAATAGGAAAAATTACAATCCAGAGATTAAAATAAAAATGATGGATCTATACTGATATAACCGATGAATGAAATAATGAAAGAATAAGTGAGTAAATGAGACAATTTTTCCTTCAACTAATACATGCAGAAGGAACAGTGGAAATAGAAAATCACTATTTGAGAAATATCACAGTACTATTTGTTTCAGACAAGAATCATCAGTGGATGCTAAAATTAGTGGGTGAAAGTGCGAGAAACAGGATATTTATATGATTTCAAAATAATGCTAAACTATTTCTTAATTACAAATAGAAAAATAACCATAATTAAAATACATGGCATATATCCCCTTAACCAAGTGATATAAATGTCACTAGTAATAGCACAAATTAGCAAGTACCTGTTGATATGTACTTTGAGAGGAACACAAGATCAATTTTGCAGTATCTTTGCCAAAAATTTAAATCAGAATTAAATCATAGGGAAGCATTAGACAAACTCAAATTGAGGGCCAGTCTATAAAATAAATGTCTGGTATTCTTTAAAAGTGCTGAGGTCATGAAAAACAAAGACAACTGAGGAACTTTCCAGATTGGAAGAGATATTAACTAAATAAATAATAACCAAATGTAACATCGTAACCTGTATTGAATCCTGGACCAAAAAGAGCATTAGTGAGACAATTGGAGAACTTTGAATAAAGTCTGTAGATCAGATAATAGTAGCCTATCAATAATATTGTTTCAATCATATTAAGATTTAACTGTTGGCAACTGTGGGTGAAAGACATAGAACAGTTTTTGTACTACTTTTGCATCTGTCTTTGAAACCTGAAATTATTTTAAAATATAGTCATGCATCACTTAATGATGAGCAAAATATTGTTATGTGGAGCAAAATATTGTTATGTGGAGCATAACTGAAACAAGTTATTAAAAATTTTAAAGTTCATAAAAAGTAGTGACATAAGACAACAATCTGCTGCCATGGTCATATTTCTTGTCTATGTACTTTCTAATGCACAAACCTAACCATGACTCTCTCCTTTTTAAAATCTTCTAAATCCCTCACCCTCCTTACCTTGTTCCTACTATCTCACAAGACTCAGCTCTTACCACTCCCCAACCCATACCCTGGATTATACCATCCTGAGTTTTTTTAATGTATCAGGCTCTCCCAAGCTCATGGGCTGTCAGGGGCCCCTTACATTGAGCCTGTAGCACTAGTGTTGGGCCTAGTGCATTGGACATCCAGAGAAGATTGTTTTAACTCTCCTCTATAAGATGAAACGATTTTCAGTTGAAATCACACAACAATTAATAACACTTATTAGTTTCCTAACTTGTTTACTAGTTTGAAAACAGACAATTCACAATTCACAATTTTAAAAGAAGAATAATGTCAATTTAGAGGGTATTATAAAAACCTGCAACATATGTCACATTTGAATTAAATCTGTCCTTATCTGTTACAAAATAATTACAACTTGTAGTTGGTACTATTTCCCTGTTTTTTCATTTTGAACACAAATAGTGGTCACAATAGCATGAAGTAACTTTAGCCCTGTCATCTTTCTTGTGGTGGGAGGCATGGGAGGAGGAGGACTGACAGTATAACTAGGAGTTATCTGGATTAACTTCTGTGTAGAATAAAACGTTTCTTAAAGAACATGTAACAAAAATGCACTAATTTCCTGCTTATGTATATATTATTCAAACTCAACAGTAAGTTCTACAATTATTTAGAACTTAGACCAACAAGTGGTTTTTTTAAATATAATTGATATTATTTAGAATTGCCAGTACCTGGTGATAATAAAAAATATGTAACATTTAGTTGATTTAGTTGATTCCATTACTGCTTTTAGTTTCTCCACAGTGTTCCCCCTCATTTCCTGCACCTGGCTGTTCCTCCTGCCAGCCCACCTCTGCGATGAAACTACATAGTACCCTATGTTTTCTCCTCTGATTATCACTATCACCCTGCTTCGTAATAGCTTACTGATATATCTATCTCTTCTATGATATTGTGAGCTCTCTGAAGGCAGAGACCATGCTTTATTTATTTATCACTATATCCCCAACATTTGCTGCACAATAGATTCTCAATAACTGCTGAAAGAAGTTTCAATAAATATATGCATACAAGAAGTGGCTGAGATTCCTGCACATATACCCCTGACAAAGGTAAAAAACAAACAAACAAACAAACAAAAACTCCAAATTCAACACTGCCCAAAGTCTTAGGACTTTGTAACTGAAGTCAGTACAAACTTCTGATGAAGCAGAGGAGGTGATCCCAACCAAAGGCCAAACTCCCCATCAAATACTGCAGAAATACCAGGTGGTAAAGAACTCAAAAGTGGTGTCAGACAATACTGGATTAATATGCCAGCTCTGCCACTTAACTTAGTGACAACATTTGAAATGTTTGGAAACTTGCTTGACCTTACTAAGCCTCAGTTTTCTAACTAATTAAAGTAGGTATAATCCCTACATCATGTAGGTCTCTTGTGAAATATACATGAAATGCCTTGTTGTCATGTCTGGCAGAGTCTGGCCATAGCAATGGCTAAGTAAACGTTGGTTGCCATCCATTCTGCTCATTTTCTCTGACAACTGAGTTCAAACACACTCCAAATTAATATCTACTACATGTATAAAACCCAAAGGACAGCATCTGTGTAGCATGATATTTCCCTTAACATAGGAAATATCTGATACAATTTGGGGATGTGGCAATTGTAAATATTTTTCATCAATTATAAGAAGATGCAGTCCTGGAACTCCAGGCTCCACTTGATGCTGTCAGGACCATCCAGGGTGCCCAGTGGGTGGCTGACAGCAATTGAAGAACAGTTTCCTACATCCCTGTGGGAGGTTTGTATAACACCAACAGGGGGCCACAGAGTCCAAAAGCAAGGATTAACCAGTATTATGTTCTCTTCTTTTCAGTAGATACTTAATTGGTGTCTGTTACTCAACCTGACCAGCTTCCAATAATCACAACTTATTTTCCACTTTGATAGGACATAATTAGAGAAAGAGAAAAAGAGAGCACACAGGGGGATTGGTGTAGTCATGGATAGATAATCAAGATTTTTAATTGAATTTCATGTTTGAGCTTAAGCCTCTCAATGGAGATTCTTTATTAGATCTATCATTAGCAAAATTATTCTATTCTCTTTTCCTCATTATTTCAAATTGGCCAGCAAAAGAAAAGTATGATGTCTCAACATATATGTTTCTTGGGAAAAATAATTGAAATGATGCAAATGATAGTTTAATCCAGTGCTACCTAATAGAACTTTCTGCAGTGAAGAAAATGTTCTATTCTGTGCTAAGCAATACAGTAGCTACTAGCCACATGTTAATGTTACTGAGTACTTGAAATGTGGCTAGTGCAACTGAGGAACTAAATTTTTAACTTTATTTAATTAAAACTAATTTAAATTCAAATAGCCAAATGTGGCTGTGACTACCATGATGGAAAGCACAGATAAGAAGCTACAATAAATGCCAAGTTGAATGTTACCATGCTCTCAGAGTATTGGTGTTGAGCTGCATTGCTAAAGGGCTGCCTGACTCCACGCTTCAGACTTTCCTGTATATTCCTGTCCATCTTGCACTCCTCCATGTTGTTTTAAATGTCTTCCACTGAAGTCTAGCTATCATTTTCTGATTTCTACCTCATAAACTGCCCTTTTCCTGGTTTTATGAGGCATTTGCAGTTTATTTCTCTCATTACTATCTGTTTTACACCTGTTTCCCCTTTAGGTAATAGCTCCCCAGTTTTCTTTGGAGCAATGTCTCTTCCCCAAACCACTCAAGTGGTTTGAGTGCAGCTGACTCCATCCTGGGACTCAGAAGTTAATAGATTGAACACAGTTGAGGAACGAATCCTGAAGATAACTCTATAGAAATTTCTAAAACTGAAAAGCAAGGAGAAAAGGAATTAAAATAAAATAAAAATATTCTTGGCAGAATATCCAAGAACTATGGGACAATTACAAGAGGTGTAAACAAGCACATAAAGGGAACACTAGGAGAAAAGTAAGTGAAAAAGGAGCAGAAGAAATATTTGAAGTAATAATGACTGAGAAATTTCCAAAATTAGTGACAAACAATAATCCTCAGTTCCAGAAAATTCAGAGAAAACCAGACAGGGTAAATATCAAGCCTATACCTAGACATATCACATTCAAACTACAGACAATAAATGATAAAGAGAAAATCTTGCAAGAGGGTTGGGGAGAGCACCTTACACATAAAAGAACAAAGTCAAGGATTATATGGCACCTTTCTTTAGAAACCACACAAGAAAAAAAAAAAAAAAAAAAAAAAAAAAAGGATAGGAAAGAAAAAGGGTGGAGTAAAATATTTAAGTGTTGAAAAAAAAATCCCACTAACCTAAAATTCTGTATCCTGCATAATTATCCTCCAAAAGTGAAGGAAAAATAAAGACTTTCTTAGTCTTTACTTTTCTACAATAAACAAAAATTGAGGAAACTCTCTCAGTATGTCTGCCTTGAAAGAAATGTTTAAAAAATTAGTTAGAGAAAAAATACAGGTAAGAAACTCAAACCTACATAAAGAAAGGAATAAATAAGGAAAAAATTAAATAAATATTATATTTTTCTTAATTATAGTTGATCTAACGTATATTGACTTAACAATAGAAACAATGTATTCAGTGATTATTGCTTATGGATATGTGAAATGAATGACAACCATGTTATAAGGGATAAGAAGGAGGAATTAGGAAAACTGTTTTCATAAGTTACTTTTACTATCTGGGAAGCAGTACATGTTGTTTGAAAGTGGGTTACATTAGTTGTAAATGTATATTTCAAACTCCAGTAAACCCACTGATAATATTTTTAAAAGAAGTATAATTGATGGTAAGAGATGAAAGAAAATGGAATTATATAAAATGTTCAATTAAAAGCAGAGAAGGCAGAAAAAGAGTGGAACACAGAAAAACACAGAACAAGAGCAATAATTAAAAAACAGTTAAAAATAAGATAGATATTAAGCCAGTTATATAAAAAATCACTTTAAATATGAATTATCTAAATACACCAATCAAAAGACAGAGATGGCCAAAGTGTACTGAAAAACAAAAACAAAAGCAAGACCTAACTACATGTTGTCTACAAGAAATCTACTTTAAATTTAAAGACGTGGGTAGATTAAAATTGAAAGAATGAAGAAAGGTATAACATGCTAACACTAATCAAAAAAAACCTGGATTAGCTACACTAATTTCAGATAAAGCAGACTTCAGAATAAGGAAAATTATCAGGGATCAAGAAAGGCACTACATAATGATAAAAGGGTCAATTCTTCAAGAAGATGTAACAATCCTTAATGTGCATGTGCCTAACAACAGGACATCAGAAGAGAGGAGGCAAAAAATGAAAGACAAGGAGAAATCTATGAATAAGCTATTGTAGTTGAGATTTTGACACTAATAGCAATTGACAGATCCAACAGTCAACTATATAAGGATATATAGTTGAACGGAAAAGCATCATCAATCAACTGAATATAGTTGATATTTACATAATACCCCATCTAACAACAGAAGGATACATATTCTTCTGAAGCTTACATGGAATATTCACCAAGATAAACAATACTTTGGGACATAAGACATTCCTTAACAAATTGAAAAGAATATAAATTATACAATATCTCTTTCCAGACCACAATGGAATTTAACCAGACATCAACAACAAAAAGATAGCTGGAAAATCCCCAAATATTTGCAGATTAAATGACACATTTCTAAATAACATGAGTCAGAGAAGATACCTCAAGATAAATTTTAAAACATTTTGAACTATCATGAATTAGATTTTGTCAAATGCATTTTCTGGATCCATTGATATGCTCACATATAATAAGTTTTCTTCTTTAGCCTGCTAATATAGCATATTTCATTACTTGGTTTCTAAATGTTGAAACATCCTTGAATGTTTGGGATAAATCTCACTTGCATGGTGTATCATTCTTTTTATACATTGTTGGATTCAGTATGCAATATCCTCTTGAATATTTTTACATCTGTATTAATGAGGGATATTGAGTTGTAGTTTTCTTTTCTTATAATGTCTGTGTCGGGTTTTGGTATTAGAGTAATGCTAGCTGCATACAGTGTGATAGGAAGTGTTTCCTCTACTTTTAATTTCTGAACAAGATTGTAAATAATTGGCATAATTTCTTTTTTAAATGTTTGATATAATTCATCAGTAAAACCATATGGGCCAGGTGCTTTCTGTTTTAGAAGATCATTCATTATTGATTCAATTTTTAAATAGGTATAGACCTATTTGGGTTATCTATTTCTCCTTGTGTGAGTGTTGATAGATTTGTGTTATTCAAGGAATTGGTCCATTCATCTAAGTTATAAAATGCATGGGCATTGGGTTGTTAATAATATTCTTTTGTTATTCTTTTAATGTCCATGGGCTCAGTACTGCTAGCCCCTCTTTTATTTTTGAAATGAAATATTAGTAATTTGGGTCTTCTCTTTTTTATTGTTTCTTTCTTAGTAGACCTAGATAGAGGATTATTAATTATATTTCATTAAATATATATTTGTGCCTTGATTTTCCCATTTGTAAAATGTGGCTATTTTTCAGAGAACCAGCATTTGATTTTGTTGATTTTCCCTACTGATTTTCTGTTTTTAATTTCACTGATTTCTGCTCTAATTTTTATTATTTCATTTATTCTGCTTTTTTGGATTTAATTTACTTTACTTTTTATAGCTTGCTAAGGTGGAAGCTTTGGCTATTGGTTTGATCTTTCTTCTTTCCTAATATATACATTTCCAAGGTCATGGAAGAGCCATCTGATATGGCCCCATGATTCAAAGAGCCCTCCAGTGTGTGATTTATGGCATGTTTCAGTGTGTAATGCAAATGAGAGAAGCTGGTGTCATTAGAAAGAGTCAGGGACAAGATTGTCACATAAAGTGGCATAAAAGTCTTAACATTGGAGAATCTCTATGGTAAACATGTTGCAAAACCACTTTGTGGGCACTGCCATTCCACTTCCCTGAAATGACTTCCATGGTCTATTCACATTTTCCTTGATATTTTTTCAAGTCACTGTAGTATAGTAAGAGCAAAAGCTCTGCAGTCAGGTGGCCTGAGTTTATTTCTGATTCCATCACTTATTTGCTGAGTGACCCTGGACAAGAAACATATCATCTTTGTGCCTTGACTTTCCCATTTGTAAAATGTGGGTAACAACTGTGATTATTTCATGGAGTTGTGGGGATTACAATCAGGTAATTCATGTAAGATGTCTCTGAGATCAACTGGCACACACCATCGAGCTCTTCCTCTTGCCCAAATGTCATTAGCAACTCTCATCACCAGTCTATGACCTGACTGCTTTGCCAAGCTACCTTCTTATCCTTCTTTTTGTATAATAATCTTTATCTTGAAGCCAGAATCACAGAAAACACTTTTGGGAAATGTTATTCTATAATTTAATGTTTAATATTGGAATCACCAGTCCTAAGATCTGCTTCTTGAAAAGAGAATTTCTTGGTCAAAACATTAGCAAATTTCATCCCCTTTTGGAGATACACAAAACACATTTATGTATTAAGGGCTCTGTTAAGTCCTGTAATAAAAAAGTTCTTAACCACAGATTTTCTAAATTCATCTGCTGACACAATCTCTCTCTCTCTTTTTGTCAACTAATAACTATTAATATTTTGCAGAATGTGTATTAAATGGAAAATAAGCAATGCTGAACCCCAAACCAATCAATCCTCTCCACTCCCATTATTTACCCCCTTGTCCTTTTACCATTGCACACACAATCTAAGATTTTAAATCTCTCTTTTCCAAATTGTCTCTGTATTATTGGGATGAATTTCTCTTGAGATATTTGGCAGAGAGTGGCCGTTCTGTGTCACCTCTCTGATGGATAATATTTCTCCTTGCTGTTTGTGATATTCCCTGAATCAAAAACCCACAACCAAAAGAATTGTAAAGTGGAGGGCAGATGCTCAGTCCAGTGTGGGTCTGTTATTTGTAACATATTGAGTTCTGGAAGACAGGAAATATTCTACAACAGGCACTCCAATATCATGTAACATCATAGAGAAGCCTCTTGAGAAGAAAGCTTAAGGGACAGTAAGTCCCAGGACACTTAATTGGAAAAACAAAAGAGCTGAGAGAAAGCCAGGATTTCTAGAGCTGCCTTGCTCCCCTTTCTTCTTAAAATAACCAATTACCTGATTTATAATCCTTTGGGTATATACCCAGTAATGGGATCACTGGGTCAAATGGCATTTCTAGTTCTAGATCCTTGAGGAATCACCACACTGTCTTCCACAATGGTTGAACTAGTTTACACTCCCACCAACAGTGTAAAAGTGTTCCTATTTCTCCACATCCTCCCCAGCACCTGTTGTTTCCTGACTTTTTAATGATCGCTATTCTAACTGGTGTGAGATGGTATCTCACCGTGGTTTTGATTTGCATTTCTCTGATGACCAGTGATGATGAGCATTTTCTCATGTGTCTGTTGGCTGCATAAATGTCTTCTTTTGAGAAGTGTCTGTTCATATCCTTTGCCCACTTTTTGATGGGGTTGTTTGATTTTTTTCTTGTAAATTTGTTTAAGTCCTTTGTAGATTCTGGATATTAACCCTTCGTCAGGTGGGTAGATTGCAAAAATTTTCTCCCATTCTGTGGCACATATACACCATGGAATACTGTGCAGCTGTAAAAAAGGATGAGTTCACATCCTGTTGCGGGAAGTCAGGGACCCCGAACAGAGGGACCAGCTGGAGCCACGGCAGAGGAACATAAATTGTGAATATTTCATTTTAATATGGACATTTATCAGTTCCCAAATAATACTTTAATAATTTCTTATGCCTGTCTTTACTTTAATCTCTTAATCCTGTTATCTTTGTAAGCTGAGGATGTACATCACCTCAAGACCACTGTGATAATTGTGTTAACTGTACAAACTGATTGTAAAACACGTGTGTTTGAACAATATGAAATCAATGCACTTTGAAAAAGAACAGAATAACAGTGATTTTTAGGGAACAAGGGAAGACAACCATAAGGTCTGAATGCCTGTGGGGTTGGGCAAAAGGAGCCCTATTTTTCTTCTTGCAGAGAGCCTATAAATGGATGTGCAAGTAGGAGAGATACCGCTAAATTCTTTTCCTTGCAAGGAATATTAATATCAATACCCTGGGAAAGGAATGCATTCCTGGGGGGAGGTCTATAAACGGCTGCTCTGGGAATGTCTGTCTTATGCAGTTGAGATAAGGACTGAGTTATGCCCTGGTCTCCTGCAGTACCCTCAGGCTTACTAGGGTGGGGAAAAACTCCACCCTGGTAAATCTGTGGTCAGACTGGTTCTCTGCTCTTGAATCCTGTTTTCTGTTGTTTAAGATGTTTATTAAGACAATACGTGCACCGCTGAACATAGACCCTTATCAGTAGTTCTGCTTTTGCCCTCTGCCTTGTGATCTTTGTTGGACCCTTATCAGTGGTTCTGTTTTTTCCCTTTGTCCTGTTCCCTCAGAAGCATGTGATCTTTGTTAGACTCTTTGAAGCATGTAATCTTTGTACCTATTCCCTGTTTTACACCCCCTCTCCTTTTGAAACCCTTAATAAAAAACTTGCTGGTTTGAGGCTCAGGTGGGCATCATGGTCCTACCAATATGTGATGTCACCCCCAGTGGCCCAGCTGTAAAATTCCTCTCTTTGTACTCTTTCTCTTTATTTCTCAGCCAGCTAACACTTATGGAAAATAGAAAGAACCTATGTTGAAATATTGGGGGTGGGTTCCCCTGATAATGTCCTTTGTAGGGACATGGATGAAGCTGGAAACCATCATTCTGAGCAAACTATCAGAAGGACAGAAAACCAAACACCACATTTTCTCACTCATAGGTGGGAATTGAACAATGAGAACACTCGGACACAGGGTGGGGAACATCACAGGGTGGGGAACATCACACACCAGGGCCTGTCATGGGGAGGAGGAGGGGGAGGGATAGCATTAGGAGAAATACCTAATGTAAATGAAGAGTTAATGGGTGCAGCACACCAACATGGCACATGTATACATATGTAACAAACCCACACATTGTGCACATGTACCCTAGAACTTAAAGTATAATTAAAAAAAAAAAGAATAACCAACTACAAAATGTCCAAGATCCAAGCAAACTATAACAAGGATACAAAACAAATGGTATTTGCGAAACAACATTGTTACCAAAGAAAAGGAAATATCCACCATTTGTTTTCTGGCTCATGAGGTTGCCTTTAAAAGGACGACCTAGTCTGAAGGATTGGATCTAGTTTCCAGAGCTAGGAAATATATACCAGACACAGCACGCTTGTAAGACTGTCAAAAAGAATTGGAGCCCCTCTGAATTGGGAAAAGGCACTTCTCCTGGTGGCAGGAACTTATCTTGCTCAATGCATGTCAATATGACCACACATCATAGAGTCTCACATTCTGCAGATGAAAGACATTATCCCACCCAGGAAGATACTAGTTATTCCCCCCAAATGAATCTGAGGAGATCAGACTCATATGGATACCATTTGTGGAGTGTTTATATGAAAACTATGAAATTTAACTTAATAGGCTGAAGAAAATAATAAACAAAAAAACTTTTCAAAAAGGCAAGTATGAAAAAATGTAATAAAGGTTTATAGTTGCCTCCAAGATCTGTTTTAGGAATGCCATTATTTCTTAAACTGTGTTCCTTAGAATGCCAGAATTTAGCAAGAATCTGAGAAAAAAATGTTAGCTCAGAATCAGCTCATAATAATCTGTGCTCTACAGTCCCTATTGGTAAATGACATGTTAAGGACTTTGAAAGTCCTAGAATAAAAAACAAAACAAATGTTTGTTTCATTCTGGTTTATTTCAGCTTCCCTCTAATGTATATAAGCTTATAGCCATTTTATTTGAAACATCATGTAAGCTCATTACAGTTAAGTAGTAATGTTAATCATTTCCTCTCTAGATATTAGGCAACTCAAAGTTTGAAACGATTGCCCCTACTGATTGGACAAGCTAAAATGTTCCCGGTAGGAAAGTGTTTTGAGAAGCTTAGAATGTCTGTACAAATACATCTCAGGTACCATGTTGCTGAATGCCCACAAAAGTGAGCCTACCCTATTGGTAAAACTAACGAGGTGAATGACTCTCTCCAGAATATGCCACCATTTTTTAGGCTCCCCTACAATGAGGGATTTTTTTTTCCTGAACAAAATATAGAGCAAATAAAAGATGATAAAAGTTATGATTTGATTAAAGGAAAAGATAACAAAGTCCATAAAATTACATGAGGCATTGTCAACAATTAATTTATCTATTCAACAAAGCTTTATCAGTCTTTTTAGGATTCTTTCTGTGATCAATCATAGAAAATCTAATTCTGACTGACTTTATCAAAAAGTAATTTTACATTACATTTTTCAAAAATGACCACAATCATATTTCCAGTCCCAAATGCTTTTCTTAAACATTGCTCTTCTTCTTCTTCTCTTGGACCTGACCTCCACTGAGTGCTCCAACCAATGGAGGATGGCAGAACTGATGCCATGAGAATTTCCTTGTTGGGTCATAAAAAGGGTGCAGTTTCTGTGTTGTTAGAGGGTGGAATGGGGCACTCCCTCAGAGTAAAACTTGTCATTCTGATGTAAGGAAGCCCACACTAGCCCATAAGAAAAGAACAAATGAAGAGGTCCCTGTAGACAGAAGCTGGAGCCCCCCAGGTGACCACCAGCATCAATTGCCAAGCCTTCAGATGATTCTAGCCCCCAGCCCTCAGGACAACATCACAGACACCTAGTGGAGGAGATGCAATCTCTCCCTGTTGAACCCTTCCCAAATTGAAGACACACAAGCCAAATACATTCTGCCATTGCTCTAAGCTACTAAGTTTAGTAGTAATTGTTAGGCAGCCATTGTCACTGGAACAGACAATGGCCCCTGGTATAGATAGATCAGGGGCTCACACATTACAATACAGGTATATCAGGGATCAAGTTTTTCCCTCCGTCTCATGGTTTGGCTCTTCTCCTAGCTGACTCTCTTCCCAGATGAGCTCTACCCTCCTGGAGGTAACACAGATTCAGCCCAGTGAGAGGAGACCATCCTCCTCTTTCCCAGGAACCCCAACACAAGCTTCGTACTACTTTCCTGGTTACAGTGAGATCCTGGATCTATCTCTGGCCCAATCATGGGACCAGGGAAATTCATAATGCTGCTTGGCCAGATGTGATTCACTCTATCTGGGAGTAGAGAGTGTGTAGCTCTGGAAAAACTACAGAGACTGAAATTTAACCAAGTGGGTCCCCAGACAAAATTCAGGGGTTATCATAGGGAAAATATTGCTTGAATAATACACAGTTAAATTTAAAGCTTCCTGGGCTTAAGTGATCCTCCCACCTCAGCCTCTCAGTGTTGGGATTACAGGCATTGCACCTGGCCCCAAGTAAAATTTTTAAAAAGAAATTAAAAACAAATGTCAACTATAAGCATACATTATGAAAAAAATAAAAATATTTATTGAGTACTTAATTTGCACAAAGCAGAGTTGTAAGTGCTTTACAAGTATTAATTCACTGAGCCGCTTACTACTATGAGGTAGATCTTGTTACTACTGCCATTTTACAGAAAAGGAAATGAAGATGCAGAAATTACGTAAGTTGACTAAATGTCTGCATGGCTTGCAAATGGTAGAGCAAGGTTTCACACCATAGCAGTCCAACTCCAGAGGCAACCTTTTAACCACTGTGCTCTAGTGAGCATAGTGTTGTCATTCTATCCACTTTAGTAGATGTGAGGAACACATAAACAAGTAAATAGGCATCTGCCTTAGAGAAACCATTTTGCGGCTGGGCACGGTGGCTCACGCCTGTAATCCCAGCACTTTGGAAGGCCGAGGTGGGCGGATCACGAGGTCAGGAGATCGAGACCATCCTGGCTAACACAGTGAAACCCCGTCTCTACAAAAAATACAAAAACAAAAAAAATTAGCCGGGCGTGGTGGCGGGTGCCTGTGGTCCCCGCTACTCGGGAGGCTGAGGCAGGAGAACGGCATGAACCTGGGAGGTGGAGCTTGCAATGAGCCGAGATCGCGCCACTGCACTCCAGCCTGGGCGACAGAGCCAGACTCCATCTCAAAAAACAAACAAACAAACAAACAACAAAAACAGAAAAACGATTTTGCTATTGAAAGAGAATGTAATATCTTTTATGTATTACATGTTGGTTACATATTACTTGGTTAATATGTAACCAAGTAATTGCAAGTCAACATATCCATTTCTCCAAGAAAAACAGAGCACATAACATGCTATGAGAGCTCAGGACAGGAAGAAATTACCTATACCTGGGGCGGAGACTGCATGCTAGGGAAATTATAGTTAACAATAATTTAGTGAATATTTCAAAGTAGCTAGAAGAACTGTAATGTTCCCAACACCAAGAAAATATAAATGTTTGGGGTAATGGATATCCCAATTACCCTGATTTGATCATTACACATGTATACATGTATCATAATATCACATCTACCCCCCAAATATGTACACAGTGATATATAAATTTTTTAAAGCACCCAAAAGGAGGTGACAATATGCTGGTCCTTAAAATACAAATGGGACTTTTGCCTTGGGAAGGGGTAAGAGAGGGACAGGTGTTCCAGGCAGTATATGCAAGGAAAGACCATGTATTTTTCTAAAAACTATCCAGAGTTACTTATTCTTTCAAAAATGTATTTATTGAGCACATACTATGTGCCAGGCACACCTGTGGAAACTTAGGGTACATCACTGAATAAAACAGTCAAGGATCCCTGCCCCTGTGGAGTCAATGTGCTCGCAGCCTGCTAGGGGTGCTGCCTATGCTTCAGCAAGAAGACAGAACAGCCATCTCATGTCCCTTCAGGCAGGTCGATGCCTTGTTCAGCCAAGACAGCTAGCCCTGACATCTTCTGTATATCACCAGATTCCCCACAGAAGAGCTAGGCTAACTTTGATTGCAGCTGTTGCTATGTGCAGAGAGCAAGAAAACCACCTCCCCGGTCCTGTAAGAGACAAAGGAGTAAAGATGCTCCTAAGCATGTTAACCAAGGCTGACACAAGCATGGAGCAGATGGGTGTGGGCGTGTGTGTGTGGTCTTGTGTGCATGCATGCACTTGCACATATGTACATTGTGTGTGCCTGGTTGGACATGTACTGTGTGTGGCATGCTCTTAGGGGAGGAAAGGGAGTGAATTCCATACTCACTGTGGCTCAGTGTTTCAGAGCTTGGAAAGCCTGGCTGGGCACTCATAATGTGGGGAAGAGGGTGGCATTTGAGTTTTCAGTAAGTGACAAACTTTATTAGAGACAAAGAAGCAGACGCATCCTGTTCTTTCCCGTAGTTCCTCAGGCGGCAATCAGAGTTCAGGGAAAGCCTGGAGGAGAAAAGAGAAAATATCCCTTTTCCCAGGAATAATTGAAGTGGTCTGTACTATTTTATTAGGAAAAAAATTCTCCCTTCCAACTGGCATCCTCAAAATTATGTATTGAAATTTTCCAAAGAAAAGTCACACCACACGGCATGAATTTTAAAAATAATTATTCTTGTCGTCTGTTCTGGAATCTGTGTTCTGGGATTTCATTCAAAACTTGAGTCCTCAAAAAAAGAAAACCATGTCTATTGGCTTTTTCTTCCTGAACCCTGGACAGTTACCCTCAATGATCTTCTTTTAAAAGTATCTCCACCCATCACACAGTGCTGTCTTCTTCATTCTTCCATTCAACAAATTTGTTTTTAGCACTTATTATTGTCACGCACCTGTGCTAGGCAACAAAGCTACAGTATGAATGACACAAACATTTCCTTGTCTTCATAAAACTCATAGTTAGCTCATTACCTTTATCTGTGGTAGGGCTAATGAGGATGTGCTTGGGAGAAAAAGAAAGAGCCCTGGAATACTTCAAATCCAGAGTTTTCCATAGGACTGCCACATGGCAGAGGCTAGCACTAACTTCCTTCTTCAAGTCTGCAATTTGGTGTGCATTTTTTGTTCATCAAGCCACCAAAAATAGTTACTTTAGTCATTTTATCTGAACACATTGTGTGGCAGTTGGAAGACACGCACACCAAGAGAGCAGTTGGCCCAGACCCCACTTCTTCACTTAGATGCCTCTACAACCTTGCTAGATGAGCCGCTAGACTCAAGATCCACATTGCCTGGGATCAAACCTTGGCTTCTTCTGTTTGGACAAATTACTTAACTCATAACCTGACTGTGACTATTATTCCTAATATTAAGTCCACTTTACAGTCAAGGAAGCTGAGGCACAGAGTGATTAACTTTTGCAAGGTGTTTAGAGCAGTACCTAGAATTAGCATGCCTTTAGATTACTTCTAGGCAATGAGAATAATTCAATCAAAGAATATTTATTGAGTACCTACTTTACCTGACACTCTGTGAGGCACTGGAGCTGTGAGTGCAATATAAGGCAAGGATGATCCCTGTTCTCCCGGAGTGCAAAATTTTTTAGTGAAAATGCAAAATTACAGAACGTGCAAAAGTTTCTATCGTTTGCAATGAGTTTATTTCCTGGGTTTGGTGATGTTTTCTTCCAAGTGATGTTTCTCAACTATTCTGATTAGTGCTGTCATGACGACTGAGGCTCCTTAGCAAATGGAGACCCCAGCCCCACAGCCTGACTAGATAGAGCATGGAAGTGGCTAAGCCATAGATGACTCACGGAAGGACGGTAATATTGCCATAGCAATGCAGAGCCGGCAATGCAGAGTCAGCAATTAGAGGACTTTGTCTTTTTGCCAGAAAAGTCCCTCTCCCCACTCTTGCTATGAGCCTAGTGTCCCTGTAACTAAGATGTCAAAACATTGCTGTTTGGACTGAAGGTCCCTCCAGAGATAGACAAAGGGAGCCTAAGGGGGTCATGGGGGCAGGTCTTCAGAGACCCTCCTCAGAGGCTGTACCTCCCGAATAACTGACAAATGTCATATCTCACTCCTAAAACCCACAGGTCATAGAATCAGTTAGCTACCCTCAATCCAGCAACCCCAGCTTTGAAATGGATGCAGGGCAGGTGGTAGGTGTCTGGCCTGTCAGTTTGATATATATGGCAGGTGCTCAACAAATGTAGATTCAGTGAAGGATAGTGCTGAATTTCCATCTCTGAGTTCAAAATAATTTGAGAAAATATGATAGAAATTGTGAAGTACTAGATTTCAGAAAATATGATTAGAAAAAGCGTGGTACATCTTAAAATATAACTTTCTGGCACTGAATCCTGCCACCTACCATCTCCACCTCTAACATGGATGCAGTTTATAATTAAGAGCTTTCAGATTTTGAGCACTTATTATGACTTAGGTGATTCTCATACTCTAATTTAATACTTCATCTAACTCAGTTCTCACCACTGCCCCATGAACACCTCATTATAATTATCCCTATTTTACAGATGAGGAAACCAAGACCGGGAGCAGTTTAATAACTTGCCTGAGGTCGCAGACTTAGAGCATGGAATTTGAATCCAGATGGGCTTGATCTGAAGTCCCAGCTCTTAGCCACCACCTGATACTATCCACACCCCAGAAACTAGCAAAGGGACAATTACAAGCTTATGAGAATGCAGTCACCCAAAGGGAGACCAGGTCTGCAATGGCAGCAGGGATTTTGCAGAAATGGAAGCTACAGAGCTGAAGTGAGGAGGCCTCTTGAGCTGCCTGGGCTAGGACAGGAAGGAGGGATAAATGGGAAAGCATAATTGTAGAGGCCCTAGTCAAACATCCAATTCATCAACAGGTTCTTACCTAGCATCTTTAAGGACACAGAGCTGAGCTGGGCCCTTCAGAGAAGGTGCCTTCTGGGGCCTGCCCTTGAGGCCTGCAAACCTTACGAAACAGTTGGGGAAAAGGCTCAGAGCAGGAGCCAGAAGACCCAAGTTCCAGTGCTAGTCCCATCTTTCACTTGCTGTATGATTCAAAAAGGGCCCTTCCTTTTGTGCCTTGGTTTCCTTATGAGTAAAAGGAAGGGCTCAACATTCAATGACACTGCAATTCCATCACTAACTTGAATGAAACATCAGTAAATACATACATATATCATTTAAGGAATTCAGTATATAAATTGGATGATCCCCCATAGCTTTTCCCCATGTCTCCCAATAGCTTCCAAAATAATCTAAGACTCTGCTGACAGTCCTGCTGATACCAAAAGAGCTCCTCCCTTTCCATCGTGTCATTTCCCCATGTCCCATTAAACAAAGCAATAATAGATTCCATGATTTTAATAGAGGAATCACAGTAATAATAATCTTAATGAGAGCCAAGAATGATTCAGGGCTCATTATGTTCTGGTTTTAGACTGAATGCATTACATTCATCACTTCATTAATCCTCATAACAACAATCCCCCATTTTATAGATAGGAAAACTGAGACCTAAAACTGTGGAGGAACTTAACAAAGTCACCCAGTTGGTGAATGAAGACACAGGATTTCAACCCACTGTGGTCTGACTCAAAAGCTCCCCAAACCGTACTCTGTAGAGATGCCATCTGGAATTGCCAGAACACCCTCTCTCGTCCACTGTATTAGTCAGTGCTCTCCAGAGAGACAGAACAAATAGGAGATAGACAGACAGACAGGTAGCTATTAGGTTGGTGCAAAAGTAGTTGTGCCAACCATTACTTTAATGGCAAAATCACAATTACCTCTGCATTAAAGTAATGGAAAAACTGCAATTACTTTGCACCAACCTGATAGATAGATTAGACAGACAGACAGATAGATAGATAGATGATAGATGATAGATAGATAGATAGAAAGATAGATAATAGACAGATATAGATAGATAGATAGACAGATGAGAGGAGATTTATTAAGGGAACTGGCTCATGTGATTATGGAGCCTGAGAAGTCAGACAGTAGGGTTGTCTGCAAGCTGGAGACCCTAGGATACCAATAATGTGACTCAGTCCAAGTCCAAAGACCTCAGAACCCAGGAAGCCGACGGTGTAACTCTCAGTCCGAGACTAAAGGCCTGAGGACCTGGTGGGCCGCTGGTGTAAGTCCTGGAGTCCAAAGGAGCTTGTTTCTTCTAACCAGGCCCCACCCAATTGGATGGTACCTGTCCACATTGAAGGCACACCTTCCCCACTCAGTGGTGTCTGTGTCTGTGGAAAAACCCTCACAGACACATCTAGAAATAATGCCTTACCACTTCTCTAGGTATTACTTAATCCTGTCAAGGTGACACCTAGAATTAACCATCACATCCACCATACTCCAGTGGCTTGAACAACCCTCTCCTGTGGCATCTCTCTCTTAGTGTTACTGGGATGCTGGGTCAGGAGGACAGGAAAAGTTATAGGGATGAGGGGTTTGACTATTGCTTCTCTTGTTTAAGAAATTACTTGTCTGTCTTTCCTCCTAATGGAGCACCCAAAGTTACCCAGGAAATTAACTATAGCACCATCTTTAAAGCAAAACAAAACTTTGTGCCACTCATAGCAGTCTACCAGTTCTTAGGCATTGGGAAAAAGCAGATATGGAATAACCTTGTTCCTGATAAAAATAGGTTTTAATTATGAGAAGGGCAAATCTTGGCCAAAAGTAGGAAAGAGGACATTTATGTGCCAATAATAAGTAACCCCACTGAACTCACAGCAGTCATGGCCATATTGGCGGGATACTGGTACGGCCCCTTCTGTGATATTTATATCCTGGCATATTGTTTCTGGAATGCAGCTTGTCCAAAGAGAAATATTATTAGTTTTGGAGCCCCAGAGTGCTAGGTTCAAATCTCAGGGCAAGCACTTATCAACTACGTGACATAAGCAACTTATACAACCTCTCTGAGCCTCAGTTTCCTTATCTGTAAAATGAGCCTAATAACACATCATGAAATTTATGGGAAAATTAAACGTGGCAGCATGGCATAAAATATCTAACACACTAGCTGGCACAGAGTGGAAGCCCTTTATTGGTTCATTTCCTGTGATCTCTTGACCCTGTAATGAATGTTACCATCAGATATGGAGACATAAAGGAATCCCCAGCCTGCAGGCCTGAGGGGGCTGTGGGAAATGCAAAGGAACTGGCCCACCTTTGTGCCTTGGTGGTAACTTGGGGGAGGTATGAGTTTGTGGGACCTTCCCAGCCTCATATAAAAGAAGTCACCTCCTTTGGTCTTCTTGACAGTATCTATCAATCAGAAGTGGGAGTGGGTTGGGGGGTTAGAATGGGTAGAAATGGGCAGAATAATCCTGATTGATATATGGGTAGAACAGGGTGGCTCTATTAGAAGGTCCTATCATCGTTCTATTAGCAGCAAACGCCTTGGTGAGAAGTGTTTAAATCAAATGGGACACACAACATTCATTTTGGAGTATATCATATTTAGTGTCCTTCATAATTGGCAGTTCCTTGACAGACAGAAGTTAAATGTTTATTTGTAACGCATTATTGCTCCTCTCTCATAATCCACTATTATTTGTAATCCAATTTTGAATCTCAACACTAACATAATTCTCTGAGGTAATTGTTGGGCCAAGGCCAAGCAGCCCACATTCACAGAGCACAATTGGTAAATCTCTTGGCCCTTCTCAGCTCAATTTGTTGTAAGTCAATTAATGGGTTATGAGCAGCCAGGGCCATCCTGCCCTGCCTTGCCTGCTGCTTGATCTCACAGCTAGGTTCTTCCCACTGTTGGGGCCATTTGCCCACCACCTTCTTGGACTCTCAGCCTGCTCCTGTCCTAGATCAGGAAGTCATAAGTAGCTCAGATTTGGTGCCCAGAGAACATGCTGGCTCTGAGTATGGCTTTTGGTTCCAGTTACCTCTCTCCTGAGGCCACATACCCAGTTCCAGTGACTGGATCTTGCTTTAATACTATGCTCTTTTGGAACTTTGGCAAAGCTGTATTAGTCGGTTCAGGCTGCCATAACAAAATACCATGAGTTAGCTTAAACAACAGAAATTTATTTTCTCACAATTCTGGAGGTTGGAAGACCACAATCAGTGTGCCAGCATGGCTGGTGTCTGGTGAGGACTCTATTCCTGACACCATCTTGTGGTGTCCTCACATGGTCTTTCCTCAATGCGTGCTTGCAGACAGAGATCATTTTTTCTTTTCAGAGGGCCATCAATTGTATCAGATTAGGGCCCCACACTTACAACTTCATGTAACCCTGATTACTTAAACACTCCATCTCCAAATACAGTCACAGTGGAGGTTAGTCTTCAACATATGAACGTTGGAAGACACAATTTATTATTCCACAGCAGTGGTTATATCCTAGTTTTGCTGGGGTTCACCCAGCCTTGTATGTAGGATACAGATTCCTGTGGCTACTCTCCACTCAGGTTGTCTACTTACCTGGTTCATTGATTGACCCTTCCTTGACTTGCAATTAGCACCCTCCCCTTGTTCACCTATGGGAATATATATGCTTTCCTCAGGAGCTCTTCTGATACCATCACTATGATGTTTGGGATGCTCACTTTCACCACCTGTCTGGACTTTGCACACTTGAAGGGAAGGTATCAAGTTAGAGGTCAATGGCTTATGCAGCTGCCCCATAACAGCTTATGCAGCTGCCCCAGAGGGCATGTGGTACCCTCTGTTGAGCACCACAGAAGATTCCTTCAGGGAGGAGCAAGAAGGAACAGTAGGAAAACTCATCATTGAAATTAGAATGAACAAGAATCTGGGTCTACATAAGAGACAAAAGTGAGAAGAGAGATTTAATAGCTACTGCAGCAAGGAAAAAAAGTGAAAGCTTTATTATTAATAGTATTATTGTTGTTGTTTTGGCTCTTCTGCAGCACAGGCAAAATTCTAAATGAGCAGGTTATAAATTAAAAGGCTAAGGTAAGGTAATTGGTCACTATGGGCAGAACATTTGGAAGCACTGGACCTAGGTACACAGAGAAAAACTCACATGTTGGGAATACATGAAATCACCTTGTGTTTATCATTCTTAGCTAAGAAAATACATGTGAGGCATTCCATTATTCAACAAAACATTATAAAGCACCTACTGTGTATGAAGCTCTCTGTCAGTTATTTTTCTGAAAGAAAACTTAGATTTGTATGAAAACAAAAGTTATAGGACAGCCCCACCACAGACAATCAAAGTACAATTCTGAAGAGATAGAGAACGGCAAGCAAATGCTACGATGTTGAACTTAAACATTCGCTCTTTCTGCATTCCTAAGAACGGTGGTGTTTTAGCCAATGGCAGTTGCTTTGAGAACAGAAAAGAAACAAGTTCTTAGTCATTTGCATTGTACTCATCTGTTTCAAAGTCAGTTTTTTACTGGCTTCTAATGCACCAAGCTATGGAGAAAAAAAATGCATATTTCTGCTAAAGTGGAGAACTCATGATTGCTAAGTTGGTGCTGGATTACCTCTGATTTTAGTGAATGCTAACTTTTTACTGTTCCAAGTTCTGGTGGGTTCAGGCCTGGCTCAACCTAGATACACAAGTAGATTCAGTGCTGGAGATCTTAGGCTGCTGTGGCCATAAACCAAGGTGCTTCATAGAGGGGGTTACAACTTGGAACAGATGGTTGAGTATTTCACCAGGTCAGGTGCAGCCCCCGACCACAATCATTCTCCAGTCTTGTCTCTGGTGGTGAAAAGCTGGACAGCACTCTAATGGCTGGCTAATGAGCATGATTAAAACCTGGTAATTACTCATCCTGGGAGGAAATGTTCAATCCTGCAGAATACATTCTGCTTTATTATCTGTGAACTTCTCGTGGACAGGGACTAGAGATTGATGGGATTCCATTATGTGGAGGGTGTGTGGTTTGCAGAAAAGGGAAGGTATCTTCAAATTGTCACTGTTGGAGACTTGGGATGCTCTTCTGAGGACAGGAGGCTCCCTCCCAAGGATGCTCAAAAGAGCACTTTGTTTTTTCCTCTTAAAGCTGCAGCCTCTGCTCTGGCAAGTAAAGCAGTCATTGAGTCTAAACAGAAATGTGTTTTTTTCTGCGTCAATTTGGTTAACACTGTGCTGTCGAGTCTTTACAGTCAGGGCAGATTATATTACAGTCATTACAAGTAGTTAATGAATTTACATTGACTAATCCATACAATGCTAAAGATTTTTCCATCAGGATTAATATCCAAAATGTTCAGGACACTCTGTCTGTTGTATGGCTCTGCTCCTCGCAGCACCATTGTGACAGGTGGGGGTTGTTTAATGTCCCACGGTCAGACAGGAGTGACAGTCAGGGGCTAGACAATGGGATTCAGGATGGCTTGGATAATTTTGTAAACAAGTGCCAAGGCTGGTCTTATTCCTCACCGACTAGGCAACTGCTAGCTTGCTTTCCTCTCCTCCAGCAGCTGGGGTAAGCAGCTTTGAGAATGGCCCTAGGGCCGTGACATCTCTGGAAATGACCACGTGTGTACCTTGCTCTTGTCTGGCCACCTGTCTTCTTACCACTGCTTGCTCTGGCTCTTTGTTTCCTTACTGTGTCTACTCAGCATGACTATGACCTCTTGTCTCATTTTGATCTTAGGTATCTGCCATCCCCTAGGCATCAAACATAACCCACTCCAGACTGCTCACCTTTTGAGAAATCTGGCTTCTCCTTACCCATGGCCTCAGCTGCTCTCCAGCCTAATCTCTGCCCTCCTAGCCACAGCTTCACTCCACAGATACCTTTCTGTTGATGGCCACCACCTGATGCTGGTGGATGGCTCCATTTGCCCATCTGAAGGGTAAATCCCAAAGTAAGTGGGAATCGGAATGACCTGGAGAAGAATCATGCATGTCAATTCCCCACCCTGTCCATTCCATCGGCACTGAGGCTCATGAATCTGCTTTTTTATCAAGTAGCACAAGGGATTCTTCATGCCTGATAAAAAGATGCTCAGAGTTCAAGGATGCCCCTTATCAGGGCATCTCCAGCAGGTTCCCATCTCTGACAGCAGTGTCTGCACTAGCCAGTTTATTAACAGGATGATGCCAGTAAATGCAGCTACTCTACAAGTGGGATCAACTCTCAAGAAGTAGACTCTCCCAATACCGTACAAATTCTGGTCAGTCCCACAGCTTGATCTAGGCTTATAAAAATCAAAACCTTGGCCACCATTGGGTCTCTTTACTTCCAAATTCTGATGACTAGGGGTGGTAAAAATGTATTATTTTGACTAAATGAGAGCCCTTTCAGAAGAGAATAGTTAGGAGAGACCCCAGTGGGAAATTGGCAGGGGAGAGAATGAGGAGAAGGCTAAGGGTCCCAGGCACTCCAGCCTTTACATGATCATTTGTAACTCAATTAGGTATAAAGCTAAGACTTACATGAAACTTATACAAGTTCATGAAGTTTGGTTTATAGTTTATACAAACAGAAGTCAGAGTAGGAAGTAAGAGAATATCATTATAGTTTGGGGATGCCGAAGAGTATCTTGAATTAATTATATCAATAGTCATAATTCTATAACACATTAGGAGGGGTGCTAACCTGTACTGAGGGCCTGATAGTGCCTGAGGTTTTACAAGCATCACTGCTTTTACTCCTAACAACCACTCTGTGTTGTAACACTGCTATCATCTCCCACTTAAGCAAATTCTGATTCAGAGAATCTGAATAGCCTGCCACAGGTCACATAGGTAGCACAGTCAGAACCAGAATTCAAACTCAGGTCAGCCACTGCAAAATACTATGCCTTGAGGACATTGAAGACATTAATTCAATGCAAAGCTGTGGGAGATTTCTGTCTGCAAAACAGTGTCACCACCCTTAACTCTCACCTGCATATCTGCCCTTCTAGGGGACAATACCATGTTTGCAGGCCTTGGTTGGCTCCGTATGAATGGCTAATCCAAGACTATTAGGATGCATCAGACAAGCATGCTGATCAGTATGTTGCCATTACACCAAATCAATATCAAAGACTGAGGTCTTAAATGATTTTTTTTCCAAGTAGATCTTAGGACTGTAACTATATAATATGTATATTCATTCTTAGAGCTGCTGAAAGTTAAGTAGAGCATGTGCTATTAATTTTCTCCTGTAACTTTTCTATTTGAATTTTAGTTCAAATACCTCCTCCTCTATGAAGCCTTTCTGATTTTTATAATTAAAATGTGCACCCTTTCCTCTGTGTCCTCCATTGTCATTTCTGGAAACATCGTCATGTTCTGCAATTGCAGTTGCTTGGGCATGTAATCATATGCTCCCTCCAGACTGTACATGCCTAAAGGGAAAGAATTGAATTTTGTTCATTTTTGTTCAAAGCCAATGTTCAATAAATGATGATTGAATTCACAAATGGGGAATAAACCATATTGCTGAAGTAGATTCTTTGCCCAAGCCTTCACACTTAATATGAGCCACAAAACCCTGGTCTTCCAGACTCTGAGAAGTCAAATCATCACAAATATGCCTTAAAAGGGGTTGACTGAGAGCCCAGGGTTGGCAGAAATGCAGATGAGTACGTCAGCATCTCTGCCCCTGGCGGCTAAATCCTCCCTGGCCCGGACCCAAAAGGGCAGATCTGGGCAGCTGGAAAGCTGAATTCTCCTCACTTCTCTCCACCACAAGAGGCCTGTTTTTGTTTGGTTGAACTAGTCAGTAGGCATCTTTCATTTCATGCCAGATCAGTGACCCTAAGCCTGCCCTTCATCAGAAGGATCTGGCCTCTGCGGCATTCCCACCCTGTCTTCTCTGAGCTGTGCCTAATGGTCTCAAAGGCATTTTCCACTTTCCTGGACTGAGCCATGAACTGGAAGGGCCTACAGGCTCATGACAAAGGCTTGCCCAGCCTGTGTATCCCAGCCCTGGGACTGGAGCACCACCAGGCTTCCAGGAAGTCTCATAAAGGGGCCAGTTATAACATTCACCCTCCCTCAGAACATTCCTTGTGTCCCAATTAGTTTTGGCTGAGGGGATAGTTGGCCAAGAACAAGGAGGCAGACACATGCCCAAGTCAAGCCCATGTGACCAGGGCACTGCAGGGAACTCTGTGGGAGAGCCCCCCAAAGGCCTTCCCAAAGTGGCTTTCTCCAACTCCTTAGCATTCTTGGCACTTGTGTCCTTTAAAGTCATTCTATTTGGATGTTTCATGACGTTTGTTTGCATGTTTGAGACTATTTCTCCCTGGTTTGAAAATTCCTTTTTGAGCCAGGTTTTAGATTTTTTTAGAGTGAAGAAATTTTTGTCCTCCCTTAAGCAGAGTTGCTGAAAGGTCCCGCTCATCCAGTGAGTACCTTCTGTGAGAAGAGAAAAGCATATCAAAACATATTTTTTCTTAAATGCTAGTTTTGGGTCTGACTTGGGAATCAGCCTTTTGATACTTACTCATTTGGCTTAAAGTTGTTAAACACCCCTGCATTCGGCACTGCACCAGGTACCAATGTGCTAGAAAGGAAAATGAGGTTCCTATTCTTGGGAAGCTTCCAAACAAGTTGCAGATGCAAAATCTTCACCCAAAAAACAGCAGGAGACTAATTTCCAAGAAATAAAGGACATATTACACATGGGTTCTGTATATAAAATCCCTGGAATCCCAGGGTCTATGAACAGGATTTTGTGTGTAATAACACCTGCATGTGCGTACAGGCACATGTGATATATTTACTTATGTACAAACATATGCACATATAACTTTTTCTGGGGAGAAGTATCTGTGTGTACAGGCACATGTGATATATTTACTTATGTACAAACATATGCACATATAACTTTTTCTGGGGAGAAGTATCTGTGTGTACAGGCACATGTGAGATATTTGCTTATGTGCAAACATATGCACATGTAACTTTTTTCTGGGGAGAAGAATCTGTAGTTTACTGAGATCCTCAAAATGTCCCCCAAACTAACTTCACTGTGTTAGAAGTAATTCCCCACTTGAATATTGGGAGTCTGCTCCCAAATCTTCCTCAGTAGGCTAAAACATGTAAAAGTCAACAAATCCATCTTGACTCTCTTCTCATGTGTTTTACTCACCACCTTAGATTCTGCAAAGAAGCTGTGTGTACCAGGCTGCACTTGCTCAAGACTTATCAACTATGGGTTAAAAGACGCTCTTTGTGGATAAGATTTAGTTAATGAGCATTTCTCTCCAAACGTGCTGAGTATCATAGGTATACTCTTTATTCTAGTCTTGGATAGATTAAGAAAGTAACATTTTACTTCCTAAGATAATACTTAATGCACTCCCTGTACAACTGTGATGGCATTTAGTTATAATATCTTAACTGAGTCCTCTCCCTAGAGAGAATGTAAGTTCCTAGAAGGAAGGAAAGAGCTATGTCTTAAAATGTTTTAGCATCCAAAAAAGTTTTGGGTTGAGGACAGCCAACAATCCCTGTAATCATCATAACTGATCATGATGATTAACAAGGTCACATTACCCTGGAGGTCTCCCAGTCTCCAATGGGCCATCTCTGGGGGCAAGGTATGTAATAACTTTGGAGGCGTCCTTGCTGGCAAGGGCTGCTGCAGCAATAATCACAATGACAATGGCACTTTCTGGAATTATGCAACATGGAGGCCCAGACATGGCTATGAGAAAGTTTCTCCTTCCACCACCTCTTGGTACCCTGCCATGGTGGACCTGCATGCCTCACTCTAGGACCACTTAGAACAGGTTGTGAGGGATATTGGGAGCACTATCAGAAGCTTCAGCTTGGAGCCTAGCACCATGGAGAACTGAGGCAGCAAAGCAATAAGAGAATAGAGTTTCTTTTTTTCTTTTTCTTTTCTTTTTTCTTTTCTTTTTTTTTTTTTTTTTTTTTTTTTGAGACAGAGTCTCACTCTTGTCACCCAGGCTGGAGTGCAGTGGTACAACCTTGGCTCCCTGCAACCTCTGCCTCCCAGGCTCAAGCAATTCTCGTGCCTCAGCCTCCTGAGTAGCTGGAATTACAGGCGTGCACCACCATGCCCGGCTAATATTTTTTGTTTTTGTATTTTTAGTAGAGATGGGGTTTCACTATGTTACCCAGGCTGGTCTCAAACTCCTGACCTCAAGTGATCCACCCACCTCGGCCTCCCAAATTGCTGGGATTACAGGTATGAGCCACTGCGCTCAGCCAGGAGTTTCTAATTGAACTTGGGCTAGAAACAGGGAAACCATGGAGAACAACCATGTTCAGAGTGCCCCAGAGCTTGCCAGGTAAGCGCATGTATGCCAGGAAACCACTCTTCGCTCTCTTCTTTTTAACCTCTGGTGTCTACTGGTTGAGTCTGTGGCTGGTTAGCTTGGTGGTTAGAGTACAGTGCCAATGAAACCAAGGTTTCAGATGTAATCCCTCCTTATACGCACTTACTATTCCCATTCTTTTTTCTGACCAGAGGCTGCGTTCCTTATTAACAGAAGGATATCCCCCTCTCCCTTTAATACACAGACATGCACTACTCTCAAAGGTTTCTTAGAAAGAATATAGAATTAACAGTGAATGGAAGCACAGAACCTACAATTTGAAAGGAAACCAAAAAGCTGTTCAGTGCCATCTCTTGTGTGATTCCCATGCTGCATCTATACAATCTTTGACCTGCATTTTCTCTCACTACTCTCATTGCTCTCACAATTATCATGTATTGACTTGTATGGTGCATGCATTATGTCATGCAATCTTCACAGCCACCCTATGAGATTGGCACAGATAACATAAACATTTTAGACTAGAAAGCTCTACATGAGAAGGGTTAGGTGCAATTCCCAAGGTCAAGTAGCTTTTAAGTGTAGGTGGCCAAATTTTAGCCCAGGTCTGCCTGACTCCAAAGTGTCCAAATCTTACTCACTGTTCTCTCTTATACTATTTTTTGCCCATGACAAAGAAAAAATGACATGACAAATGTCCATGACAAAAAATGAGTAACAGGGTTCATACTTTTTCAATGGTGCTGGCTGTGAGAAATTTCTTTCTCATCCAGATTTATTTACTCATATATTAATTCCTCCATTCAACAAAAATGTATTGGGTGCTCTGCCCCAAGTACCAGACTGTATGATTCCATATGCAGAGGTCTCATTGGCTTCCTGGGGTCATGTGACAACTCTAGTTCCTTCACGTCTCTGGAGGCAGCCTAGATGAACGTGGGAAGTTTGTTCTTCTCTGATCACAATGTCCCCAGTCCCTTCAAAGCTCTTCATTTAGGATATTTCCATTGCTTTACTTGTACTGAGTCTCCTCTTCTGCATACACTTCATGTTTGCAGCATCCATGGTAATGACCAGCACACTAACTTGGTACCTGCCTCTGATCCCTACTAGAGCAGGACCATCTTCCTCCTCAAGGAGGCACCCTAATGTCAGGGACCTCTGATACAATCCTGTCCAAATGATGTCCTAGTTTTGCCAGAAATAGTAACAAATAAGACTATCGTTGACCGACAATTTACTATATATCAGCCACTGTTTAAAGTGCTTCACATGAATTAATTCATTTCATGTTCACACCAACCCTATGAAGTATGTACAATTATTGCTCCCAATTTACAGATGAGGAAACTGAGGTTCTGAGAAGTTAAGAAACTTGTTTCATCAATCCAGATAACTGAACCCAGGCAGTCCTGGGTTCCAGAGGCCACATTTTACCTCTCACAATGGTTTCTATTAGCTTAGGAAGGTAGCGCCAAGAACTGTTGTCAGCCAGTCAATGCCAGTCTCCTCACAGTGATATAGGAATTAAAAAGCAATTATTCAGGCAGATAGTGAGCATAAGGAAGTCCTTGGTAAGGTTTTCCTTTTAATGAAAAGGAGCCCCCAAATCATTTTATTTTCTAACAAAGAGTAGCCTGTAAAATCGAGCTGCAGACAAAGACAAGTAAGCTGGAAGCTTACATGGGTGAATGCTGGCTGTTGTGCCTATAGGAAAAGGCTACCTGGGACTAGGCATGATCAAAATGGCGGCTCCAACTTCCCTTCTCTTTGACAGCCACAAGTACAGTAAGGAGCACACAAGATGTCACTGGCCAAGTGGAAAGCCTATTTACATAATAAGATTAGGGTGGGGCCACCAGCCTTCCTACTATGTAAACATCACACCTGGTGGAACCAATCTGTGGGCCCTATGTAAAGCAGACACCACCTCCTCAAGACTGCTTATACAATCTGCTGGGGTCCTCCATAGGCTGGCTTTTCCCTTTCAGATGCCCCTCTCTCTCACAAAAGAGAGAGAGCTGTTCTCCTTTCTCTTTCTTTTGCCTATTAAACCTCTGCCCCTAAACTCACTCCTCGTGTGTGTCCCTGTCCTAAATCTTCTTGGCATGAGACGATGAACCCTGGGTATTTACCCCAGACAACAAAGCCACTTCAACAGTACAGTTGCTTTGGACAACTTTTGCTTTTCCTTCCAGAGTCCACAAAGCAGGCTGCCTGGGCTCAAGGCACACTCGCCAGCTCAGTAACCCTGAGCTCTACCTCTCTGGGCTTCATGCTCAAAACCCTTATAAAGCCCATCTCTGCATCCCACTTCCAGTTGTTCCTCTGCTGCACAAGGGGAGCTGAGCCATTTGTGGACCATTTAGCCTTTGAAAACCTGTGTCCCTTAAAATAGCAGATATTTTTAAAAAGTTGTATCCATTTTTTAATATCTGTCACAAGTTCTTGTAAAACTATTAGTTAACCTTTACTAGCTCTGCCATTCTCAATAGGAAAATATGTTTTGAGCCTCCTATTGTATAGGGGCAAAATTTTCTCCCCAAAAAGAAAAACTACACAAACTTAACAGCTTCTTTATTCATAATTTAAGATGGTTCTTTTTTTTTCCTGAACATGTATAATTTATGTTTGTGCATTAATTCTGTGGTTAATGGTTACAAAATACATCAAATATGTAAAGTGCTGCATAAGTGCTTAATTAAAATAAAAACAAAAAAGTGATAATAATTAATTGTACATCTCAAAGGCTAGACAGCATTATAGTTCACAGTGACTAGCAATTAATATTCTTATTGTTAATAATAAGCTCAACTTTTTATGTAAAGTAGAACATGTTAGAATTTCCTGGTTAAACACTGAGTCAAAAGAAAAAAAAATCCTTAAAAATATTTTCACCATATAAAGCTTCTGTGGGAAAACAGCTTTCAAATTCACATTTTAAATCCTTGGTTAGATTCAGTTTCATTATAAAATTTTTGACTCGGAATTATGCTATTATAATATCACCATTTTTAAGTTTATATTCCTCCCCAAGGAATCCTGAAAATATTCAAAAGCCAGGGAGAGTGATCTTAGTTATAAATACCAATTCATTAGTGCTTTAAATGGATAATATGCAATAAGGTTCTTAGTACAGGGAAGGGACTGTCCAAAGTGCTTTTGAAGAATTTTTTTTTTGTTCATCTGACAAACTTATTGAGTACCCACTGTGAGCTGCACACTATGCTAGGTGCAAGAAATACTACAGGAAATAAAAGCTGCTTCAGTTTCAACCCTCTGTGGTACAGATGATCTAGGGAAGAACATGGACATGAAAGAACTGCAAACAGAATGAGCACCGGAAGAAGCAAATGTTTCTACCTTGAGTTATGGTTCTATAGATAAGGCAATTCCCATATCAGATGGTAAATGACTGAGTATTGTCACTGAACCACCCCTACTTTGTTTTTCTAAGTCAGTTTATTGAGGTTCTCTGCCTTTTAAACTGACATCTTCATGAACAATCCATCTGTTTTAACTTAGCTGAAAGAAGGTGAATAAAGCAAATGGATATTATTTGGGGTCAATTCACTGAAAATAGACAAACTAATGTATTTATTGAGAGCTATTCATCCACCAGGTATCCTTACAGGTTCACTGGACTTGTTCAAGTTTTCTTTGTCAAGTAAACAGTAGCCCCTCACTGGCAGATCTCTGGACCCACTCATCGTTTCCTTGGCTGGCCAGGGTGAGGTGGTGGAGTAGGACTTAGGGAGAAGAGGGACTGCCTAGGGGAGTCCATTTCTTTAAGAACTAGCTTCTGCCACCTGTTCTGCAGGCTGCACTGCCTCTCACTGCTTAAGTCCCCTTCAGAAGCAGTAGGCTATTAAAGAGAGACAAATAATCTTATTTGGAAAACTGAAATATAACTTCCTGTCACTATGCTAATGAAGCAATAAAGTTAGAATTTATAAAGTATTGTATTTAATGAAAATACTGCCAAGAAAGGATTTAAGTGGTTCATTCTAGAACACCCACCCACACAGAGCTCTTCCTTCGGTACACACTTTGGCACTGGATCTTACACTGTTGGGTCACAATACTTTTAACCCCATGAAAGAAAAATTTCTGTTCTCAATAGACTAGCACATCTCATACCAAAAAAGACCTCCTGGGGTCTCTGGCAGGCAGGTGTCCCTCTCTCTATATGGAAATATAATGTCACTCCTTAGTCAACCAACTTGACCCTCTCAGCAAAGATTTTTAAATTTGAGGCCTATGGATAAACCTCAAAGGATTAATAAACCCCAGAGATGTATACGCAGTGTTTTTCACACAATGGATTTGTGTCACGAGAGTTTGCATTCTTTTTTACTTTACTTGCAAAATGGTCTATTGATTTTTAAATGTTTAAAAACCACTGGTCTTTCTAAGCTCCTACAGTAGATCACATGAATGATTCAAATTCCTCACCTTTCCTTCTATTCACACTTCCATCATGTGACTTTGAGGTTTGTGCTGCTAAAGAAGCAGAGTCTATGTTCCTATTCCTTGAATTTGGGCTCAAGCCTGTGACTCTGACCAACCTAATGAGGAAGAGATTTAGTATGTCAGCTCCAAGCTTGGGCCTCGAGAGACATCATGTGTTTCTGCTTGGTCTCTTTAGCTTCTGCCATCACTATAGGAAAGATGTACCTGGGCTTAGATGCTGATGTCAACAAGAGGATGGGAGAATCCTGAGCTGTTACAACCAAGATGCCTCAACTAAATCCAACTCAGAGTGGAGCTCCCACACAACCCTTAGACACAAGAGTAAGCCCAATGGAGATGAACCAAACCAATCTTTATTAGGAACACCAAGCTGATCCACAGATATGCACACTATAATAATAAATGACTGTTGTTTTAAGCCACTGAATTTGAGATAACTTGTTACACAGCAATAGCTAACTGATCCAAATTCTAATTCTTGATGAGAGATTCTTGAGCTGCTCTAAAATCTCTGGAAATTTGCTTGCAGACATGTCCTCAAGTCCAATCTTTGACAACTTTTTTCTGTGTCTGTGCCCTGTGCATAAATCTTGCATAAATCCTTCCTCCAGAATTGTTCTGTCAGTGTCCTGTAGTGAGCTCTTCTGACTCACATTGACCCATGTTCAGTGACTACTGTTCCCACTTGACTGTAGACAGGATTCATGAGACATAAAGCCTTCTATTAACTCAGGTTAATGTCAGGAGAGGACATTTGCAGGGTGTTAAGTGAGAAGATAATAGAATATAAGTACTATTGAGTAACTAAAGCCAAAAAGAGGGGCAGAAGCATTGCCTATGGTTAAGGAGAGAGTAAATGCTTTGATATCTACCTATTCCGTGTTTTAATTCTCCTTAGGATTTTTCTGTGTATTAAAAGATAACTCTCTCTGTCAACATGGTTCTTTGAACACAATTCATCATATAACTCCTTCATCTATGGGGTCAATTTTCCTTCTGCTTCTATGGCAGAAATACGTGAGGGAGAAGCATCAGGTCAATTTTCCATTGCCCACAGGCCTTTTGATATAGCCCATAGTCTACATTCCAAGCTAACATATCTGAAACACCCAGTTACACCTCCTCCCCTCTTCCACCCTCAACTCTCAGCACTCTCTTGTATTGGAACTGTATGACCTTGAGTAAGACTCATAATCTTTCTGGCCCTTGGTTTTCTTGTTTGCAAATCTAAGGAACTGGGTCACCAGGTGGCCTTTATGGCTTATCATTATAAAATTCCCTGATGAGTCTTATCTGCTTATCCAGATTTATATAAACATAACTTTTTTTTTTTTTTTTTTTTTTACTTTGGAAGGAATTTTGAAAACAATTCATCCCCAACACTTTAATTTGTGAAAGAGAAAACAGAGCCCCAGACAGATAAAGTGATTTGCCTAGGCCCACCCAGCAAGTCAACAACAGAGCTGACATGGGATCCTGGGCCTCTTTACTTGTCAACACTGTCTTTCTTTCGACCTCCTTGAAGCTAGAGGATACTTTCAAATTTATCTTTTTTTTTGTCTTCATCCATACAGTCCAAGAATTGTAACCAACACTCAATAAATCTCAGTAAATATTTATTGACTTGAATTGGGAATGAGTAAGCATTGGTTACACAGCCAAGAACCAGATTTCAAAGTCTGTTCAGCCGAGATCCACATTCTCTGGAGGCCATCTTCCTGCATGTGGGGGAAATTATGATTGTGCATAACTAGATTCTTAAGTTTCATTTATGATCAAAGGGCCAAAACAGCTCCTTATCTAGCACTAGGTTGACATCACTGGATCTTCAAACTCCCACACTGCTCACCATGAAGGCATAGAGGACAATTTACACATAATTTCTCACTCACAGTTTAGGCTCTGAGAGGAGAGATAGACTGCGAGCAAGAACATAATGGATTATATTCAGGCAGACAGCCACTAACAGTGCTTATTGTTTCAGAGGGAACTAATGTTTCTCTGAATAAAAAATAATATACACTCACCAGGAAAGTAAAGCGAAGGAATTAACTATTAAGAACAATCAGAGATGGATTATTACTTGTCAGAGTCTCAAATATTGTTCTTTCCCATTTTAGGAGAGGTGAGAGATTGAATATGGTCCCCTCCTGGGTGGCACTACTTTTGAAATGAAAAGACAGAGAGCTACATATCACCCTGGCCCATACTCTTGGGAAACCACATTAATAAAGCTCAGCTTACTCCCAAATCAGGCACTTAAAGCATTCCAAGGGCACTATTTCTGCATGTTAATAAATGTGCAATAGAAAGAATGTCCTGGCCAGGGGCTGTGGCTCACGCCTGTAATCCAAGCACTTTGGGAGGCTGAAGTAGGCAGATCACAAGGTCAGGACTTCAAGACCAGCCTGGCCAATATGGTGAAACCCTGTCTCTACTAAAAATACAATAATTAGCTGGGCTTGGTGGCAGGTGCCTGTAGTCCCAGCTACTCGGGAGGCTGAGGCAAGAGAATCACTCGAACCCGGTAAGCCCAGGTTGCAGTGAGCCAAGATTGCACCACTGTACTCCAGCCTGGGTGACAAAGCAAGACTCCATCTCAAAAAAAAAAAAAAAAAGAAAAAGAAAAAAGAATGTTCTGTGCACAAACATACTTGGGAAATTCTCCATTATAGAAAAATTTTTAAAGGTTATTTGATTGTTTTTAAAACTTATGTAAAAAAAGTGTAATTTGATACAGAAAAAGAATATATGGCATATAAGTTATGAAGTTTAATAGTAAGATAAATATCTGCGAACCCCAATTAACTTAAAAAGGAGAACATTACCAATAATGTTGTATTGTAAACCTCTCCTTGTTTCTCTCAACTGCCACATATATACATATATATTTGCACCATACTATATGTATGTATGTGTATATGTATATATTAAATACATTATTTAATTTTGCTTTTTCTAATTTTATAGTAATTGAATCATACTCTAAGTAGTCTTCTATAACTTGTTTTTTCCAATTATTATTATATGTCCAGAATTTATCCATGCTGTTGTGCATAACTGTAGATCATGGAACTGTTACTGTTCCATGGTGTAATATCCTAACATTTATTTATCTGTACTATTTGTTGACGGACATTTAGCTGTTTTGCATTTTTATCTATTGTGAATAATGCTAGAATGAATAGTCTTATAAATGACTCCTAAGACAAATAGGCAAGAGATTCTCTAACATTTACATCTAGGAGTAGAAATGCTGGGTCATAAGCAGTAACGTGAATGTTTAAATTTATAAGAAAAAGGCAAATTGTTTTACAAAGTGATTAATAAAGGCAAGTTGTTTTATGAGGTGGTTATGTTGATGCATTCTCTGCCAGCATTACATAAGAACAGTATTGTCGTTACACCCGGAAAGAGGTCTCTGCCCAGGCCTCTATTTAAGCCTAAGATGGGCTGGAACTAGGAGTACTGTCTGGACAGGGCATTCTAGACCTTATTTCTCCTCTTTGGGTTACTCTCTGATCCTCTAATCCCTTCCCAACTCCCTTACCCCTCACGACACACACAAGTTTAGCAAATGTCCTGCGGAGCTCCCACACTCTCACTTATGGAGTTGTCCTGGAGCCCCAACGTGGGGTACCTGTTCCAGAGATTGGGCTAACATGTTGCTCTTGCTGGCTGATGTAATATCGCTTTTGCAGGATTTCATGTTATAGAACTGCCAGAATAGTGCTGACAAGCTTTGTGGGATGACTCTAATTGTTTATATGGACAGAGTCCCTGAAAAATGCATTTGCTGAGAGGCCTGCACATTCTATCAGTGGTCATGTGTCAGAGTTTCCAGTATTCCACAGTGCTGTCACCGTATAGTACTGTCAAACTTAATTTTTGCAACCTAGTGGGTATAAAATAACTTCTTATTGTGGCAGTAATTTGCATAACCTTGTTTTGATAATTTTTTCATATTTTTATTTGCCATTATGATAATATTTCTGTGAAATTCCTTTTCAAGTCCTTGCACCATTGTTTAAAATTGTGGTAAAATATACGTAGCATAAAATTTACCATCTTAACCATGTAGTACAGTAGTATTAAGTATATTCACATTGTTGCGCAACGAATCTCCAGAACATTTTCTTCTTGCAAAACTGAAACTCCATACCCATTAAATAATGACTCTGCATCGTTCTTCCCTTCCAGCCTCTGAGAGACATCATTCTATGGTTTCTATGAAATTGGCTGCTCTAGGTACATCATATAAGTGGAATTTTACAGTATTTGTCTTAGTGACTGACTTCATTTAACATAATGTTCTCATGGTTCATCCATGTTACAGCATGTGTCAGAATTTCCTTCCTTTTTAATGTTGAATAAGCCATTTTATATATATTGTTTGTCCGTTAATTCATTGACGGACAATGGGGTTGCCTCCTCGTTTTGACTATTGTTAAAACATGGGTGTGCAAATAGCAAATATCTCTTCAAGACTCTACTTTTAATTCTTTGCAGATACAGCCAAAAGTGGAAGTGCTGGATCATATGATAATTCCACTTGTAATTTTTTGTGGAATCACCATACTGTTTTCTGCAGTAGCTACACCATTTTGTATTCCCTCCCACAGGGCGCAAGGATTCCAATTGTGCCGCATCCTCACTAACACTTGTTATTTTTGTTTTTTGATAGTGTCCATTCTAGTGGGTGTGAGTTGATATCTCATTGTGGCTTTGATTTACTAATGATTAGTGATGTTGAGTATCTTCTCATATGTCTGTTAGCCACCTGCATATATTCTTTAGAGAAATGTCTATTCAACTTCTTTGTCCATTTTTTTATCAGGTTATTTGTTGTTGCTTATATATGCTGAATATTAACCCCTTATTAGATGCATGATTTGAAATATTCCATTCCGTGAGTTGCCTTTTCATTTAATTGTGTCTTTTGACATGCAGAAAGTTTTAATTTTGATGCAGTCAAGTTTATCTATTTTTACTTTTGTTGCCTATTCTTTTGGTGTCATTGTCAGGAAATCATTCAATGTCATGAAGTTTTCTTCCATGTTTTCTTCTCGGAGTTGCATAAGTTTAGGTCTTATGTTTTGGTCTTTCTTTGATATGTTTTGAATTAATTTTGTTTATGGTATAAGGTAATGGTACAAATTCATTCTTTTACATGTGGATATCCAGTTGTCACAACATTTGTTGAAGAGATTATTCTTTCTCCATTTACTGGCATTGGGATCCTTGTGGAAAACCATTTGACCCTTTAAGTGAAGATTTATTCCTGACTTGTCTATTCTATTTAATTGGTCTACACATTTCCACTATGCCAGTATTATGCTGTTTTGATTACTGTAGCTTTGTAACAAGTTTTGAAATTAGGAAATGTGAGAACTCCAACTTTGTCCTTTTTCAGGATCACTTTCGCTATTTGGGATCCCTTGAGATTCTGTATGAATTTTAAGATGAATGTTTTTGTTTCTCCGAAAACTGCCACTGGAGTTTTGATAGAGATTGCGTTAAATCTGTAGATTTAATGGGAATACTTACCATTAAAATATGGACTTAATGGGTAATATGTATCACGGATAGTATTTACATCTTAAAATACTCAGCCGTTTAATCCATGAACACAGGATAACTTTCCATTTGTTTGCATCTTCTTTAATTTCTTTCATCAAGGTGTTGAAGTTTTCAGTGTACAAGTCTTTTGCTTCCTTAGTTAAGTTTATTCTGAAGCATTCATTCTTTTTGATGTTATTGTAAATGGAATCATTTTCTTTTTGAATTGTTAGTGAATAAAAATGCAAGTGATTGTTGCATGTTGATTTTATATTCTGCAACTTTGCTGAATTTGTCTATTAGTTCTAACAAGTTTCTCTGTGTTTATGTAAAGGCTAATATGTAGGGTTTCTTTTATATCTTTTAAAAAATCATATACATTTCTTATTTTGGAGAAGTTCATTACATTTTTCAGTGGCTAATTTTTATTGGTGGCATGCAACACAAATACTTTTCACACAATATGGCTTGTCTTTCATTTTCTTTATGGTGTCCTTGGAGGAATACAAATACTTATTTTAATGTACTTGAATTTAGCTCTTTTAATTGGCAACTTTTGAGTTTTAAGCTATAATTTGCTAGCTCAGTTTAATCAAGGTATTCTCTTATATATACTTCCTTATTTCAATTGTTTAATGTTTACATTTAACTACTTACTCCATCTGGAATTGATTAAGTGTGTGGTATGTAGTAGGTATTTAATTTAATTTATTTATTTACTTACTTATTTAATAAGTAGAGCCACCTGCCCCATCATTTACTTACTCCAATGATGTGACATGCCCTTCTCTGGCACATATAAGGTGTTTATAGATGTATGGGATTCTGTCTGGAACTTTTATTTGGCTCCAAATTAACTTTTTCTGCAAAATAGGAATATTATCTTAACTATTTGGTTTTAAATTAAGTCTTGATATCTAGTAGGGAATGTTTCCTCATCCTATTCATCTTCTGTAAGAATGTCTTGGCTAACTAGGGACATTTGCTCTTTCATATATACGTTTTAAAATCAGTTTATCAAATTTCATTAAAAACTCAGTTGGAATTGCATTGAATTTACAATTCAATTTTAGGAGAACTGGTGTCTTTAAGATTTTAAGTCTTTCAACTTGTTATTGAGGAATGCTCTTAATTTATTTAAATGTCTTTAACAACTTCAGTACATGTATTGACAGTTCTCCATGAAGGAATTGCATATTTGTTAAATTTATTCCTAAGTATTTTCTGTTATTATAAAGAGTATCTTTTAATTTAAATTACATCTTCTAAATATTTATTATTGATATCATGAGATGCAATTGGCTTTTGTTTATTGATATTATATCCAGCCACCTTGGAAAGCTCACATTAATTTTTATAATTTATATTTAGATTCTCTTGAGTTTTCAGTGTAGGTAATTATATCATCTGTGTCTATGTTTTCTTTCATGCCATCCTTATACCTTTTACTTCTTAGCCTTTTCCTGTTGCACCAGCTAGAATCTCCATTACAATGTTTAATAAAAGTGATGATAGTGGAACTCCCCTTTCCCCCTTGACATATAAGGGAATAATACTAACTTTACTATTATGTGCTATATTTGCTGTAGCTTTTTGTTGAATACCTTTTGTAAAGTTAAGGAGGGACACTGCTATTAGTAAGATTTTTTTGTTTGTTCATTTTGTCATGTTTTTATTTCCTTTATGTTAATAGTTGTTGAATTTTATCAAATTATTTTTCTGTTAACTATTGGAATAACTTTTTCTAATTGTATATTTAATCTTCTTAATGTTTGGCATTACATTTATAGGTACTTGGGTTTTAAACAATCCTTCTATTTCATCTTTCCATAAGCCAAAATTTATCATGATGTATATCTTTTTTTATAAACTGCTGGCTTCAAATTAGAGTTTTGTTTAGAATTTTTAAAAATTGCCTATCCGTTATCTTTCTTACATTTTCCTTATCTGGGTTTACTCCAAGTTTATATTGACATCCTTTTCTATTCTCAAGAAGGTGTTGTATGTTGCAAAAAAACTATTTTTTGAAAATTTAGTAATACTTATTTGGGTCTTACCTTCTTTTGGTGATTGATTAACTATCTTAATTGCTATAAGAGTATTGTCTTTGTTTTTAAGTCAATTTTGGTATGTTATATTTTCAAACAATTTATCTGTTTCATCTAAGTTTTCAAATTGACATATGCTTGTTCACAGTAGTCAGGTTTTTATCACATGCTGAATCAATAATTAGGTCTCCTTTTTGTTCTAATCATCAGAAGTTTGATTATTTTATTACTCTTTTCAAAGCACCAACTTTTGGCTTTATTCATCTTGTATCATGTATTTTTTCAACTTCATAGATTTTTACTCTTATCTTTATTGCCCTACATCTACTATCTTTGAGCTTATTTTATCTTTTTTTTTTTTTTTGCAGGAGACCGGAGTTTTATTATTATTATTATTATTATTTTATTTATTTATTATTATTATACTTTAAGTTTTAGGGTACATGTGCACAATGTGCAGGTTAGTTACGTATGTATACATGTGCCATGCTGGTGTGCTGCACCCACTAACTCGTCATCTAGCATTAGGTATGTCTCCCAATGCTCTCCCTCCCCACTCCCCCCACCCCACAACAGTCCCCAGAGTGTGATGTTCCCCTTCCTGTGTCCATGTGTTCTCATTGTTCAATTCCCACCTATGAGTGAGAATATGCGGTGTTTGGTTTTTTGTTCTTGCGATAGTTTACTGAGAATGATGATTTCCAATTTCATCCATGTCCCTACAAAGGACATGAACTCATCATTTTTTATGGCTGCATAGTATTCCATGGTGTATATGTGCCACATTTTCTTAATCCAGTCTATCATTGTTGGACATTTGGGTTGGTTCCAAGTCTTTGCTATTGTGAATAATGCCGCAATAAACATACATGTGCATGTGTCTTTAAAGCAGCATGATTTATAGTCCTTTGGGTATATACCCAGTAATGGGATGGCTGGGTCAAATGGTATTTCTAGTTCTAGATCCCTGAGGAATCGCCACACTGACTTCCACAATGGTTGAACTAGTTTACAGTCCCACCAACATTCTTGAGTTGAATGATTACAACTGTAGTTTTCTAAATCTTAACCAGAATGCTTATAACACCAATTATACACATTTCTTCCTTTAAGCATTTATGGCTATACATTTCCCTTAAAGTTCTATTTCTGCTATATCCCACAACTTTTGAGATAATCCTCAGTTTTAAGTATATTTAAATTTCTATTATAATTTCCTCTTTGCCCCATCCAATAATTAGACATATGTATTTTTAATTTCCAGAAATATGAATCTTTAATAATTTTTGGTATTAATTTCTACCATAATTTTATTACACTCAGAAAACATTATATGCATATTATCATTCCTGAAAATTTGTGGGTATCTGATTTGTGGCCTATGTGATTAGTTTCTGTAATTGTCCTCTGTGAACTTAAGATGAATGGGTATTCTCTAATTGTTGAATGTAGGGTTGTGCCTATGTCCATTAAAATAGCTTGTTGATAATGCTTTTCAATTCTTCTTTATTTTTACCAAGTTTTTGTTTTTGCTGTTTCTAGCAGCAATTGAGAGACATGTATATGAACTTTCTAATGTGATAGTAGATTTGTGTATTTCACCCTATTGATATTTTCTTTATATATATTTGAGGCTTTATATTTTAGAGTTGTAAAATCTTCCTGGTAAATGATATTTTAAAAAATTATATAGAAGCCCTTTTTACCTTTAATACAATATTTGGTACTACAATCAATTTTGTATAACAATAAAATAACTATCTCAGTTTTCTTTGAATAATGTTTCATAATATTCTAAGCAAATTTTTAAAAATTTTAATTTTTTTTTATTTTTTAGAGACAGAGTCTTGCTCTCTTGCCCATGCTGAAGTGCAGTGGCACAAATCACAGCTTATTGTAATCCTGAGCTCCTGGGCTTTTGTGATCCTCTGACCTCAGCCTCTGAAGTAGCTGGGACTACAGGAACATGCCACCATGCCTGGCTAACTTTCAACAATTTTTGGAAAGACAGGGTCTTGCTATGTTGCCAAGACTGGTTTCAAAATTCTGAAATCAAGTGATCCTCCAGCCTTGGCCTCCAAAAGTGCTGGGAGTACAGGAGTGAACCACCATGCCTGGCCAAAAACTTTTTTATTATAGAAAATGTTAATATACACAATAGTAAACAGAATATTATAATCAGTTGCTATAAACCAATTACCCAGCTTCAAAAATTATCAAATTATCAACATTTTACAAATTTTGAAATATTTTTCCAACTTTTTGTCTTTAATTTTTCTGGGTCTTAGTGTTTCATGTGTATTTCATGTTTATTTCTTTGTAATAGCCTATGGCTAGACTTGCCTATTTTTAAATGTCAGTGTGATCTTTTTTACTTAGTACTGAGTTTCACCTGTTCATATTTATTGGAATTATTGATATATCTGGAACTACTTTAATCTCTTCACTTGTGTTTTCTATTTCCCATGCTGTCTTTATGTTTACCTAGTCTTCTTTCCTGCTTTTAAAATGATTATTTTCAGCCAGGTGTGGTGGCTCACGCCTGTAATCTCAACACTATGGAAGGCCAAGGCAGGAGGAATGTTTGAGCCCAGGAGTTCAAGACCCGCCCTGGCAACCTAGTGAGACCCTGTCTCTACAAGAAATTAATTAGTTAATTACATTTTAAACACTATTTTAATTATTATGGTAATCCTTTAAATTAGACTTAACATTAAAATTAATACATATCTTAACCCACTTTCCAAATAACATATGTAGTTGAAAATACTTTTATCCTTACCCTCCCTCTTATAATTTACATGCTAATTTTCCACCATTTTATTTGGTTTACTTTTTAGAAATCCATAAATTTGCTATTAATATTATTACTATCATGAGTAATATTATTACTATCATGAGTATTTTATAAGAATGTTGTTTGTTTAGAAGTATGTATATATTTACTAATTTATATATGTATCTACATATTTTAGAAATTCTTCATATTTCATATTTTAGAAATTCTTCCAGTGAATATTTGTTGATGAAAATAGTTTGAGAATCTCTCTCCTTTATTCTTATTTTGGTAAGATGGTTTTGCTGGATATGCAACTCAGTATTTTATATATATATATATTAGCATTATATATATGCATATATTTATGCATTAGCATATATTAGTATTATAGATATATTAGTAGTCATCTTTTGGCTTCAATTGCTGCTATTGCCTTTGTCTTATTATAATTTTTAAGTATCTGTTATTCTCTCTTGCTGTTTTTAAGATCTTTTGTTTTGAGGTGATACAGTATTATTATTACATTACATATTATTGCTGTTGTTGTGTGAACATCTTGCCATTTAGTAGAATATATATATATGTTCCTATACATGTGAATTTATTGTTTTGATAAGCTTTAAAAAATTGTTAGCCAATATATCTTGATTTTTTTTCTTTGTTCATCCTAATCTCTACTTCTGGGACTAGTTTGATTCTAGGTCTTGTTATCTTATTCTTCTTTTTGTAGGAAGTCTTTTATTTTAGGTTCGGGGGTTCACGTGCATGTTTGTTACATGGGTAAATTGCACGTGGCTGAAGTTTGCTGTATGGATAATCCAGTCATCCAGGTAGTAATCATAGTACCTGATAGTTTTTCAACCCACACCTTCCTTCCACCCTCCCCCATCTAGGAGTGCCCAGTGTTTATTATGGCTACTTTATGTTCATGTTCACTCAGTGTTTAGCTTCCATGTGGTGTTTGGTATTCTCTTCCTTCATTAATTTGTTTAGGCTAATGGCCTCCAAATGCATCTGTGCTACTGCAAAGAACACTAGTTTATTCTTTTTTTATGACTGCATGGTATTCCATTATATGTATGTACTATGTTTTCTTTATACTGTCCACTGTTGGTAGGTATCTAGGTTGATGCCATGTCTTTACTATAGTGAATACTGTTGCAATAAACATGCATATGCATGTGTCTTTTTTGCAGAACAACTTATTTTCCTTTGGGTATATACCCAGTAATGGGACTGTTGGGTCAAATAGTAGTCCTGTTTTAAGTTCTTTGAGAAATATTTATGCTGCTTTTCATGATGCCTCAAATAATTTATATTCACACTAGCAGTGTCTAAGTGTTTCTTTTTCTCAGCAAATTGCCAACATCAGCTATTTTTTTACTTTTGAGTAATAGCCATTCTAACAGGTGTGAGATGGTATCTCATTGTGGTTTTGATTTGCATTTCTCTAATGATTACTGATGCTGAGCATTTTTTCATATATTTGTTGAGCACATATACATCTTCTTTTGAGAAGTGTCTGTTCACATCCCTTGCCTATTTTTAAATGGGGTTGTTTGTTTTTTGCTTGTTGAATTGTTTACCTTCCTTACAGATTCTGGATGTTAGGTCTTTGTCAGATGAATAGCTTGAAAATATTTTCTCTCATTCTGTAGGTTGTCTGTTTGCTCTGTTGATAGTTTCTTTTTCTGTATAGAAGCTCTTTAGTTTAATATAGTCCCACTTGTCAATTTTTGTTTTTGTTACACGTGCTTTTGAAGACTTAGTCATAAATTTTTTACAGAGGCCAATGTCCAGAATACTATTTCCTAGATTTTCTTCTAGGGATTTTATAGTTTTAGGTCTTACATTTAAGTCTTTAATCCATCTTGAGTTAATTTTTGTATATGGTGAAATGAAGGGGCCCAATTTCAATCTTCTGTATATGGCTAGCCGTTATTCCAGCACCATTTATTGAATAAGGAGTCCTTTCCCATTGCTTGCTTTTGTCAACTTTGTCAAATATCAGATGGTTGTAGAATGTGGCTCTATTTATGAGTTCTCTAACCTATTCTATTTGTCTAAGTGTCTGTTTTTGTACAATTACCATGCTCCTTTTGTTACTGTAGCCTTGTAGTATAGTTCAAATTCAGATAGTGTGATGCTTCTGGCTTTATTCTTTTTGCTTATAATTGCTTTGGCTATTTGGGCTCTTTTTCTGTTGTTCCACATGCATTTTAGAATAGTTTTTTTTCCTAATTCTGTGAAAAATGAGACTGGTAGTTTGATAGGAATAGTGTTGAATCTGTAAATTACTTTGGGCAGTATAGCCATTTTAACAATATTTATTCTTCCTATCCATGAGCATGGAATGTTTTTCCATTTGTTTCTATAGTCTCTAATTTCTGTCAGTGTTTTGAAACTCTTGTTGTAGAGATCTTTCACCTCCTTAGTTAGCTGTATTCCTAGGTATTTTATTCTTTTTGTGGCTATTGTAAATGGGATTGTGTTTTTGATTTGGCTCTCAACTTGTACATTATTGTTGTATACAAATGCTACCACTTTTTGTACATTGATTTTGTATCTTGAACCTTTACTGAAGTCATTTATCAGTTCTAGGAGCCTTTTGATGAAGGCTATAGGGTTTGGTAGGTATAGAATCATATCATCTGTGAGGAGAGATAGTTTGACTTCCTTTATTCCTATTTGGATGCCTTTTATTTCTTTCTCTTGCCTGGTTGCTGTAGCCAGGACTTCCAGTACTATGTTGAATAGGAGAGGTGAAAGTAGACATCCTTATCTTGTTCCAGTTTGCAAGGAGTGTGTTTCCTGCTTTTGCCTATTCACTATGCTGTTGAGTCTGATTTTGCCATAGATGAAATTTATTATTTTGACATATGTCCCTTTTATGTGATGCCTAATTTTTTGAGTATTTGTAATATGAAGCAGTGTTGGATTTTATCAAAAGTCTTTTCTGTGTCTATTGGGATGATCATGTGGTTTTTATTTTTGATTCTGTTTATGTGGTGAATCACACTTACTGATTTTGGTATGTTGAACCAACCTTGCATCCCAGGAATAAAGTCTACTTGATCATGGTGAATTAACTTTTTGATGTGCTTCTGGATTTTTGTTTGCTAGTATTTTGTTGATGATTTTTGAATCTATGTTTATCAAGGATATTGGCCTGATGTTGTCTTTTTTCATCATATTTTTGCCAGACTTTGTTATCAAAATGATGCTGATATTGTAGCATGAGATAGGGAGCAGTCCCTGCTCCTCAATATCTTGGATCGATTTAAGTAGGATTGGTACTAGTTCTTATCTATATGTCTGGTAGAATTTGGCTGTGATTCCAACTCATCCAGTACTTTTTCTTTTTTTGGTGGTAGGTATTTTGTTATTGATTTAACTTTGAAACTCATTTTTGGTCTATTCAGAATTTCAGTTTTTCTTTCTGGTTCAATGTTGAGAGGTTTTTTGTTTCCTGGAATTTATCCATTTATTCTAGGTTTTCTAGTTTGTGTGCATACAGATGTTCATAATAGTCTCTGAAGATTTTTTTGTATTTACATGAGGGCAGTTGTAGTATCACCTTTGTCATTTATGATGGTGCTTATTTGGATCTTCTTTTTTCTTTATTAATAATATAGCTAGCAGTTTACCAAACTTGTTGTTTCAAATAACTTTTAGTTTTGTTAAGCTTTTGTATGGATTTTCACCTCTCAATTGCATGCAATTCAGCTCTGATTTTGGTTATTGGTTTTATTCTGCTAGCTTCAGGGTTAGTTTGCCAGTGTTCTTCTAGTTCCTCCAGGTGTAATGTTAGGTTGTTAATTTGAGATGTTTCCAACTTTTTAATGTAGGCATTTAGTGCTATAAACTTTCCTCTTAACACCATTTTAGCTGTGTTTCAAAGATTCTGATATATTGTATCTCTATTTTCATTAGTTTCAATTTATTTTTATTTCTGCCTTGATTTTGTCCTTCATTTGAAAATCATTCAGAAGCAGGTTGTTTAACTCTCATGTAAGTGTATGGTTTTGAGAGGTCCTCTTGTTACTGATTTAGATTTTTATTGCACTGAAGTCTGAGAGTATAGTTGGCAGGATTTTGATTTTTTGTTGATTTGTTGAGACTTACTTTATGGCCAAGTATGTGGTCGATCTTAGAATATGTGCTATATGCACATGAGAAGAAAATATATTCTGTTGTTGGGTGGGTATTTTGTGGATGTCTATTAGGTCCAATTGGTTGAGTGTCAAGTTTAAGTCCAGAATTTCTTTGTTAGTTTTCTCCCTCAATGATCTGCCAAACTCTGTCAGTGGAGTGTTGAAGTCTCCTACTATTATTCTGTGGGTAAGTCTTTTCATACTTGTTTTATGAACCTCGGTACACCAAAGTTGGGTGCATATATATTTAGGATAGTTAAGTCTTCTTATTAAATTAAAACCTTTATCATTATGTAGTGTCTTTCTTTGTCATTTTGAACGATTGTTGGCTTAAATTCTGTTTTACCTGATGTAATAGCAACCCCTGCTCTTTTTTGTTTTCTGTTTGCCTGACAGATCTTTCTCCATCTTCTTACTTTGAGCCTATGGGTGTTGTTACATGTGAGACGGCTCTCTTGAAGATAACAGACAGACAGTTTGGTCTTCCTTCTATATCTAATTTGCCATTCTGTGCCTTTTAAGTGGGGTAATAAGCCCATTTACATCCAAGGACAATATTGATATGTAAAAATTTGATCCTGTTATTGCATTGTTAGCTAGTCATTTTATAGACTTGATTGTATAGTTGCCTCATAGTGTCAATGGGTTTTGTACTTAAGTATGTTTTTGTGCTGACAGGTAGTGTTCTTTTATTTCCATGTTTAGCACTCTCTTAAGGACCCCTTGTAGGGGAGGTCTAGTTGTAATGAATTCCCTTAGTGTTTTCTTGTCTGAAGAGGATTTTCTTTCTCTTTGGTTTATGAAGCTTAGTTTGGCAAGATATGAAATTCTTGGTTGGAATTTTTTTCTTTAAGGATGCTGAAAATAGGTCCTTAATCTCTCCATTTTATAGCACTACCTGAGACTGGGTCATTTATGAAGAAAAGAGGTTTACTTGACTCACAGTTCCACAAGCTGTACAGGAAGCACGGTTGGGAAGGCCTCAGGAAACATACAATTATGGCAGAAACATAAGGGAGAAGCAAGCACCTTCTAAAACAGATTTTGGGGGTGCTGCTGTAATAAAAACCTAAAAGTATGGTATTGACTTTGTCACTGTGTAAAAATTAGGGTTTTGAGGTACATGCTGCAAATACAAACTTTAAGGACAATTCTGTTTAGAGCTCAGAACTCAGAAAGAAAATAGGAGAGCTGAAGAGAACATTCCTATGTTCTTAAAGAATACATTAATAATCAGGAACAAAATGATGGTAGAAATATAGATTTTAAGGGCTATTCTTCTGACCTCTCATACAGAAATGAGAAACATGCCATTGGAAACTGTAGGAAGCCAATCCTTGTTATAAAGTAGCAAAGGACTGTGCTAAACTGTGATTTAGTGTTTTGTAGAAGAACTTGAATAGATGTATCTCCAAAGAAGGAATACAAATGGCCAAAAATCACATAAAAAGGTGATCAGCTGTCATTGACCAATGAAAAACAAAATCACTATGAAATACTACTTCACATCTATTAGGATGGCTATAATAAAAATAAAAATGAAAACAACAAATGTCAGTGATGATGTGGAGAAATTGGAACCATATACATTTCTATTGGGAATGTAAAATGTTTCAAATTAATGTGGAAAATATTTTGGTAGTTCCTAAAAAGGTAAGCCTAGAATTATTATTTGACCCAGCAATTCTATTCCTAGGTATATCCTCCGAAGAACTGAAAACAGGTACTCAAACACCTGCTTGTACACAAATTCATAGCAGCACTATTCATAGCAGATAAAAGGTAGTAACCAAATGTCCATCAACAGACAAATGGATAAGCAAAATGTGGTCTGTAAATATACACAATTGGAATATTAATCAGCTATAAAAGAAATGAAGTACTGATACATACAACAGTGTAGATGCATCTCAAAAACATATGCTAAGTGAAAGCAGCCAGACACTAAATATCACATACGGTATGAGTCCATATATGTGAAATATCCAGGTTAGTTAAATCCATAAAAACATAAAACATATTGGTGGTTGCCAGGGGTGGAGGGGAGTGGAGAATGAGGAGTGACTGCTTAATGAGTACAGGATTTTCTTTCAGTTTGATAAAAATTTGGAACTAGATAGATGTGGTTGCAGGACATTGGGAATATACAAAATGTCACTGAATTGTATACTATAGCCTGCTTAATTTTACGTGACATAAACCTCACCTCAATAAAAAAGTATATGTGTAAATTTCTCCAATTCTAGGTGTATTTTAGCAAGTAAACTTGTCAGAGTACCCAGTCAATAGTACACTGGAATTGGAAGTGGTAATTTGTTTTTTTTTTTTTAATTGTGGAATCTCTCAGTATGATTTAATGTACTAATGTGCCTTGACAACTTCCAAATAAGAGATAGAACATGCAGAATTTTGGCGGGGGAGAAGGTATTAGGCATATAATTTTAAAGAGAGCCTCATGGGTACTGGTAGTAGTGGCAGCAGCAGCAGTAGTAGCAGTATCAGCACCAGCAGTAGTGAGGATGGTGGCAGTAGTAGCTGTAGCAGTAGCAGTAATAGAGATAGCTGAAATTGTTGTTGTAATGGCTAACATTGAGTGTTTATTTCATATTTCATTCTAGGTACTTTATAACTATTAACTCTCATAATACTCATACTAATGCTACGAGGTGATATATATTTATATTACTATTATTTATATACTATAATTTATATTATTATCTCAATTTTCAGATTAGGAAACTAAGTCCCAGCTATTAATTTATGTAGATATGGGTTTGGTCTAGCACGTGGATCTGTCCGCCAACAAATATTCATAAGTCAAAGTTCCCTTAGGGTGAATGTTCCCAGCTAGTCAGAAGCTCTGGGCAGGCACAAGCATTGATAAAAAGGTGGTCTGAGAGAAAAGCAGCTAAGAAACCTCCAGAGCATTTCTATTACAATTCTTTTGGAGAATTATGAGTGCAGGTAGTAGATTTCTGATTCCTGCATTCTCTTGTGAGCACTCACTTCCCTCCTGTTGATGAAGTTTTTGTTCCAAAGCTCTGCTGCTTTTTTGTTTCTCATTGCCCCAGCTCAATCCAACTGAGTCCTCCTACCCCTTAATTATAGTGATATATATATCACTATAATATATATATATATATAACCTCTAGTGTGTCTATGATCTATACATGAGCCTTGAGTTCACACTGCTTTGGAGGATGATGTATGTTTCCATGTTTCTGTAAGGACGCATGCCACAGTGTTAATTCAGTATGGGCATTGGTGCCAGGAAGGGAGGTGGACTTGGGATTGCAGAATTTTCCTCCTGAGCCTACCCGGAACCCCCTCCTCAGCCTCCTCTCTATGGACTCCCATCACCCTCAGCTCCATCCATCACAGCTGCAGCTCAGCCTGGTGATGTATTACACTAACATATCATTAGTGCAACGGCAGAGCAAGGAGCTTTGATGATGTATTGGGGCCATACATCATCAGAATGAGTCACTCTGATGATGTATAACTCAAAAGATGGTACTATCCAGGGAAATGTGGACATACCATAAATCAGGGACAATGTTAAAGAAGAAAACTCAGGACAGCCTCGGAAGGAAAATAAAGGTTCAGGGGTCTCCCGCAGTAGGGATTGAGAGGCAAAACTAGTACATTCTTAACGGCTCAGATTGAAGCTTTCTGTTAGCTGTGGCATTCTTAATGACTAAACCAGATCACCAGCATCCCGGGTGACACTTGGATTTCCTTTCCATCTGGAATGTAGTTTGGCTTCTGCCTTCCTGCAAAGCCCCTTGTTTTGACAGAGATACGGAGTCCATCAGATCAAAAGAAAAATGCTCCAGGTCTGCGCTCCATCCGGGTCTTCTTGGATTGCCATCCATTGCAGGGATTGTGGAAGGCTTTTTAGTCTATGATGGTTTAAGCTTACCTTCTCTCTGAAGTGTTCAGCTTTCAGTCATTTATTACTGAAGTTCCATAGACTCATGCAAGAGTGTGAGTTTGACATTAGGTTGAAAATATAAAGCTATAAAGCCAGGGGAGGCCTTGCTGGGCTGCAGGAGTTATAAACAGTTGAGGATTTCTATTTGTCAGTGGGATAGATCTGGACAAAACTTTCTTTGCTTTTCTCTCTTCAAATTAGCCACAAAAAGGAGAGAAGATTCTATAATATTAAACTTAAGGCACAGAAAACAACCCCAACTAGATGTTCATGGGGCCAATTTACCTGATTGGCCTAGAAATATTGGCACTTAGGTCTGGAGTCTGCTGAAACCTACAACATCCTGTCCTCTACCTTTCCACTTGACTCTATCCATAGGGAGATACGTTATGAAAATTGTCAGCCTCCCTCCAATCACCTCAGTTTGGGGGTGTGTGTGGCATTTTCATAATTAAGAGCATAAAACTCTTTGTAACTTTTAAAAGTGATAAAGAAAGTCTTAAGGAAAGGGAGTTGAGAGCCACAGGCAGAAGGGGGAGGTAAGACCACACACAGGCACATGGGGGAAAAAATTAACGTTTGTGTTTAATGCTTTATTCAATGCTGAACTGTCAACTTGAGATCTGAGGCCATAACATACTGGTTCTATCCCTCCACCCATCCAAAATAAAATAAAAATCAAAGCCTAGGTGCTTTGCGACTGCAGAATATCAGAACTCAGCCCTTGGCATATGGGATCCATTATAGGCAAGAACTCTTCCTCCAGGGGTTCCTTCCTCTAGTCCCCACCCACACTCCAGCAGCAAGCAAAGGCTCTTCCAGCCAACCCTGGTCATGTTGCTGTGACTCATTGCCTTTGTTTTATTACAAGCTCCACAGTGGACTCTGTCCTGAAGGGCAGCACAATTGGAGAGCTCTCCTAGGGGGTGCAGGAGAAGGGTTTTGGCCACCATAAAACACAACGTTGCCACTCCCCTCCCTGTGGAAAGGATGGGGGCGGTGGGGGGGCCTCCACCACCTGAACAGCAGTTAAGAGAACAAAATGCTTTCTTTTTTTATTGTTCTCAAATAGCTGTGCCTTCAAAGGCCTTTAAAAGTTGAAACAAAACAGATCTTGCCTCTGCTCTTTATTTATTCTTTGGCGGGGGGAAGGGGAGAAGAATGAAGTTGCTGATAAAGCCAGTACATTTCTTGGGAGTTGTTTATAAAGGAGTTGGCACCGAAAGGGGTCCCATAATGCCTTAGGGACAGTCTTGCCTTAGGGACAGTCTCTCTATGGAAAGGGGGTGGCAGTCACCTGCATCCATCTGCAAGGACTCCCTCTGTCTGCGCAGTGAAGAGTCATGAGGCACAGGCATTGGGCACTCATGATGCCTGGCCTAATGGGAAAGCCAGGGCAATAGCTATTACCAATACCAAGGGATGGGTGGAGGGAACTGTTGAGATCTACATGACAACACAACTCAATGATCAACATTAGCACAAGAAAGAACATAAGAAATTTACCAGAACTATAGTTTGAGCTACTAGGCCAGTCAGCTTCATTCAAGAGTGGTTTGGGCCAAGCTATGTGGCAGTACAACCATTGAGCGACCCTGCAGATTTGGCCCACTGGGCTTGCAGCCCCCATCAGAGCTGTGTGTCCACTCATCAAACCTGCTAGATACTGTGAATGTCAACAGTAAGAGGCATGGCAGAAGCAGTAGCAACAGGTCCCACAATTATTACACACTGTTTATCAGCACTGTGTTAACTACTTGGCTTACATTATATCTCATTCAACCTTAATAATACCTTGAAGGGGTAGTTTTATGCACCCCATTTGCATTAGTCTGTTCTCACACTACTTTAGAAATACCGGAGACTAGGTAATTAATAAAGAAAAGAGCTTTAGTTGGCTCACGGTCCCACAGGCTGTACAGGAAGCATGGCTGGGGAGGCCTCAGGAAACCTACAGTTATGGCAAAGGTGAAGGGGAAGCAGACATATCTTCACATGGCCAGAGCAAAAAGAAGAGAGAGAGAGGGGAGGTGCTACATAATTTTAAACAACCAGATCTCACAAGCACTCACTCACAATCATAAGAGCAGCACGGAAGGGGAAATCCACCCCCATGATCCAGTCGCCTCCCACCAGGCCCCACCACCAACATTGGGGATTACAATTTGACATAAGGTTTGGGCTGGGACACAGACCCAAACCGTATCACCACTTTTAGATGAGAAAACCAAGGCTAGTATCACTGCATATCTGTTCTGCAGTTATGGCTAGTAAGTGCCAGAGGAAGATTTCAATCCAATTTCCTTTGACTCCCAAGATTTCAATTGCCAACATGGTGTGGCCTGCAATGTGGGTCACACCTGCAGTGCTGCCCAACAAGGCCTTGAACCTCTCCATTGCCCCAGCCCCTTCTCAAGCTGCCTGCCTTAGGGGATGGCTCAGACTTCCATTCTAGAAACCATGTCCAACTTCTTTAAAACTTGAAACAACCATTATTCTATTTCAAACTTCCTATTATTTTGTGCATGAATTAAAGAGCAGAGGAATAGTCTTAAATGCCAGAGGCCACTTGCCGAAAGGCGCAAAGTCAAGGAAGAAAACAGCTAAGTGGGTGTGTATGTGGGGGAGCTGCTCTTATTCTTGAGTTTCTCCTATCAGCTCTGGAGCTGGTCTCAAAACTGTGACCTGGTTTTTTGACAATATGTCCACACCTTCTCTACCTTCAGACAGAGAATGTGCCCAGAGTCCAAAGGGCAGCAGAAACATGCAGAGATAAAGCAACTTAACTTTTCCTAAATTACTTGAATCTCCAGAATAAATAATGATAATAATAACAATAAAAACACCCCTGCTATGTTATTTTGTGACCCCTCCCACTTCAACATAATAATAATGCATAGTTTTACAAGATGGAGGTGCAAGAACTAATAAAATATATGGTTTAATTAACTAAACTTATGCTGTAGTCCACATTAGAAGGCCATGATTTAGCACGTACTCTCATCCTCAGGACAGAATAATGCAAACAGCATAATTAAAAGTTGATGAGAAGTATATTTATTGGGCACACAGCAAGAAGAGACATCTAGATTTATGATACATAAAGTAAACCTTTAGTTTACAATATAATTAATATTTTTAAAACCACAGTGTGCATATAATGCAGCCAAAGAGTCCTCTTCCATGGAAGGATAATTTCTTTGGTGCTGATCTTGGCCCCATTTAATAGTAAATTATGTTCCTGAACATATACAAATGTAACATGATCTATTATGATCTAGAGATGATGCTCATTGAGATGTCTACAGCTATGATAGATCATGGTTGTATGTCTCTGAAGACATGGAGGATGGCTGAAGGGCCAATTATTTATCTGTGGCATGAATTCCATGGCTATTAGTCACACACGCAGTGATGCAAAATGTGGGTATGCTACTACATTTTAATCAATCCCTGCTCAAGAAAACCCTTCGTTAGCACAGACCTGAGGATATCAGGAATTTGCAGTGGAAGAGGTGAGCTTTATAAAAGCAAGGGGGTTGGGTTAGAAGGACAGGCTCAGAGTCCCAGAAAGCACCCAACATCCACATTGGTTTTGAGGACTCCCAGCATTTATGAGCTTGGGCTACAGGTTCAATGTCAAGTAATCCTCTAACAATCCTGTGTGGTAGGTACTAATTTTTATCATGCTTATTGCACAGATGAGGAGACTGAGGCTCTGCGAAATGACCATGCCAGTAAGGGCAGAGCCAGGATTCCTAGCCAGAAATGTACAAGCCAGGATTCCCAGCCAGATCCTACAGACTCATTCTGTTCCACCCAAGGCTTCCATGAAGGACCTTGGAGAGAGGTGAGCTTTATTTCTCTGCAAGCCAGTCCACACTTCTTCTTAGGGTCTGGGAGCTCAGGGTCCTCCTCTTGCGTAGATTCTATGTTTCTCCTCTCACACACATCCCTACATTGCCTCTCTGAGGAACAAATTGCTGTTGCTCATACTGTGCATTGCACAGTTTTCAGGAGACTCGGTCTGGATCCTCATCTCAAGGACATTCCAAATAGGAATGCTGCTATGTAATAGACTCATTTTTCCTTGAAAAAAAAAAGTCCTGGTATATAACTAAATAAGTTAATTATCTTCCCTCTCTTCCTTCTCTTCTTCTTTCCTTCCTTCCTTCACTTCTGTTTTTTAAACCTGGCGATTGGTTTAAAATTTAGACTTGTATTTTCTTTTTAGTGAAACAGAGATACTACATACTTGAAAAAAATAAGATGGCGTTGTATATATTCTTTAGTGCTCATCCTGTCTAAATTTCCCAGGCTGACTAGTCTACCTCACTCCATGGGCTATGAGGAATGTGGGCAAGGTGTTTATTAGCATGGAATTCTCCCACTTATCTGTCTGCTGTGCTTGTTCTATCATCTGGATCGCTGCTATGGGAGTCACTGAAGGAATTTAAGAAGAAATACCTGGCTAAAGTATTTACCCAATATACATGTGTCACAGGTCATGGAACAGTTACGAGCATCTTATGAGAATGGCAAATAATTTGACGGCACATGGAGGAACCCTTTGGAGCCAAGAGTGCCTGAACTTTGTGCTTGAGATCCCATTGCTTCTGCCACAACCTAGTCTGAGCCCTATCACCCAGTATTATAACCACAGGCAGGAGGAGTCCAGTCCAACATGGGCCACACTTTCCACTCCAGCCATAGTCCAGACTCCAAGTGTAAACCAGCATGGCTTCCTTAGCCGCATTGGCTTGAGGAAGGCCCCATTGGCTTGAGGCTTAAGAGAATTCATTGGAACCTGAGTGACAGCCAGTCCTAGAAGGGGGCATTGTGTCCTGGTCATGAGTTTTGAAACTGTGTCACTGGTGGTCTGGATGGGATATCACCCAGCTTTCAAATTAGGATGTTTACCAGGTTTCAACGAAACTAAGTGAAATATTTATCTAAAATCCTAACGCTGGAAAAACTCTCAGGCAGGGGCATGCAAAGGAAAAATACAAAATAAATTAAGTACTAAATAGATAAAGAAAATTATATGAGTTCTTCTTCATTATCTGGTTCATTACACTGTTTAGTGCTTATTAAAATCACTGTTAAATGATTTAATTTTGTTTGGGGAAAGAAGTGAATGAAAAAAAGAATAAGAGATTAAGGAAATAAGCTGCTGAGTTTTCCATTTTGGAACCGGTTGTAGAGCTAGGCTACGATGAGAAAATTAATTTGTAGGTCTCTCTGGGGGAACAGTCAACACCAGGCACCACAACACAAGCAATTTGCCTTATTTTTTGCTTAATTGGCATGGCCTTCTCTGGGGAGAGCTCAGGCTAAGCCAAGTAAGAGGATAAATCACCTTTAGTGTGGCCCCTTCTGGGTCACGGATAATTTTTCTGACAGCCATGTCAGATCAGGATGCTAATGTGTCAGCTAACTCCTCTGTATGCCAGCATTGAGAGTGTAATTTCCTTCCTATTAGTGTACATACTCACACAAACAGTCTCCCAGGGTGGTTTAATGATGGTCCCAAGTACAGTTTTGGAGAAGAAGGGTTCTGAGGAAACTTAAGATGTATTAGGCCAGAAAAGATAGCAGTCTTTGCTTCCAGAACCACATTTATGCCTCCTTCAAGAGAGCTTCTTTCATCCTTTCAGGAACTTAGTATCTTCTAGTTTCCCCAGATGCCCCAAGATACATGCTTATGTGTCATCTGGTAGGTTTGTAGTGGTGGCAGTCACCCTGAAGTTGTCTTAAGTTTTCATGGCAATTAACATCAGACCACACTGCCTTTACCAAGTAAAATATTGGGAACTTAACATGCCTTTAGGACACCATGGCTGAATCCATGTGAACGACACTAAAGGGGGAGATGTTGAGTTTTAAGATAAACTCAGAAAGGTACCAGGAAAGGGGAGAATATGTGTGCTTTTCAAAACCCAGCATGTAGACCACAACAGACCGAAGTGATTCTAACTGTAGTTTGCATGTCCTGGGGATGGCGCAAGACACTAGGAGGTCCGAGTTTGGTCTCAGGAAGACTTTCCTCAGATGTGAATCTTCTTGGGCCTTTACATCCAGTCCTGAGATCACCAGATGCCAATCTGCAATCCTGGTTAAGGAGGTAAAGATTTCCTTGTCCTCCTGGCCTCAACTGCAATCACTTTTTTGTCCTATGTGACAGTTATACCAAACTATTTGACATTCCCTGGATGTTTCATGCATGAAGGTTTCTGCTCCCTGAGGCAGAAAGAAATCCTCCTTCCCTGTGCATATGGTTGTTTATCATGGCACTCATCCCAATGATTGAGCTCCTGGAGGTCAGGGACCATTGTCATGTGCATTATTAAATGGATGTTATAGATTTGTAGAGTCTAGCACATAGTAGGTCCTTGATAAATGCTGAGTGGATGAACTATAACGCGATAGAATCTTCCCTGCAAGGAAAGTAGAGGAGATAGGAGATTATATGACTACTTCCAAGGCAAGATAGACAGTGCCAAGTCCCTTAAGAGAGGTATGCGTCTTTATGGCGGTTTAATTGGGGAATAAACTGAGAAGAGTTGGGTTACCTTGAGGGCCCGTCTGGGCTCTGAGCATTCATTATTCTGAGAAGCAGAGATGCACTCTATTGGGGCATGGTGAGGGTTAGAGCAGTGCTGAGTGCAAGTTGTAAGCCCTGCATGAAAGCTCAGGGATGAAATCCTGGGGTGTACAGCATCTTCTCTTTGAATTCTAGAAGGCAGGTTTTACCTTTCTGCCCAAGCCTGCCTCTTCAATAATATTAGTCTCACTACAATATCAAGCCCTTTCCACCCAGTCCTCAATCTATGCCCAATGGGAAGACCATCAGGAACCTAGCAAATGGACAAAGGGCCTCCCATCCAACAACTGTGAGTACAGAGGCTGAAAAATGATGACTCCAAAGGGAGGAAAAAGCAAGCCCTTTGCTGCCTCTGATGATTGAGGAAAACAGGCCAGGCAGGCTGGGGGCCTGAAAAGTTCTTGGCAATGAGGACTCAACATTTTCCCTCAAGAGAGCATCTAATAGTTCACTGACCATCCCTATTAGAAGAAGGAAACTTGCTATGTTCTCTGCTACAGACACACTGTACAGCCACTCACATCTTTTCTGTTGCCAAGAGATTTTCACCACTGCTCAGTGTGTGCAGCATCATGAATCTGAAAGAAAACAAGCGAGAGGACTGGCACTGATCACCAGAGGCAGAGGAAGGGCTGTGCTGAGGCGCCGGGGCAGGGCCGACCTGGGCAGGTGCCAGGGATGAGCCAAACTAAATCTTTCCTTTATCCTGATGCTTCCCCTCCCAGGAGCCTTTGGTCTGCATTACTAAATCCTCTGTAAACTGCTGTGAGGGCAAAAAGCAAGCCTCTGCCTTTCATAATGGATCTGGGCATAAATGAGGATTGTTCCTAGGTAACTCACCCTGCCCTACTTTCTCCCACCTGCTTTCTAACAAAGTCAACCAAAAGCAAACAGAGCTGGGCTTTCAAAGCCCAAGATTTAAAACAGAAAAATCCTCCCTTTCACAGTGCCTATACTTACAAATATGTATTCTGTATTTATACAGCATATTAAAACCTAAAACCTACAGTAATGCAACATTAAAGTCAAGAAATGCAAAAGTGAAGGGTTTATGATGTTGTTAGCTTGCCCACATTGTGCATTCTGCATAATGAACCTCACCTTGAAATTCAAGCCATATACCATGTGGCTGAGTTCACCCCACCAGGCAAACCTTAAACCTTTTGCATTTTGTGAATTTCATTACCTCAAATTGCAATATTAATAACTGAAATGTGCAGCTGAGAAAATGCTAATTTTCTGCTTTTCCTTTCATTTTATTTTTTCATCTACTTTCCCCTCTAATTAAAAAAGTGGGGAAGGTAAAGAAATAGGGAGAGAGGGATGGGGGAAAGCCAATGGGGAGGAAGTCCACCACACATAGTCACAATGTCAGACAACTTTATGAAAGGGGAAACTGAGGTCAAGAGGGAGATTCAATTTGCCCAGGGTTACTCAGCTTAGGAGTGGCCTTGCAATAAGCTTCCCACTGTAAACTCAGGGCTCTTCAGCTTCATTTTCTTACTAATTCTTTTCTGAGGCCCCAAATCCAAATGGGGAAATGGATCCAACAGCAAATAAAGAAAAGGCAAAAGCCAAATTTTCTTTGAGCTTCTCCAACTACTTTTCTTTCATTCCACTGTCTGGTTTATCAACATCACTCTGATCTTGAAGAGGGCAGAATGACTTTGAAGTACTGGCATTCAAAGAAGGTTCATGTCACAGACCACAAAAGAAACGCATTCTCTCTTTGGTTGCATCATTCCCAAGCAGAAGAATAATTTAACTCACAAAATAGCCTGCATGGACAGAGCCCTTAGGGCTCCACATTATAATCAATAATATTCCCTTCAGCCAGTGAGCTGGCACCTTTACAGGGATGGCTGGTCCCCACTTCTTGTGGAGAAACAGATACAGGGTTCTGAGATGGAAAGCCTGGTTGACAGCCCTGGCTTCCCCTTGAGCAGCCTGCTGTCTGGGTCGTCTGGAAAAGAGAAAGGGTCAGTGTGACCTCCAGTCAGACTTTCCAATGAATCTAGACCAGGGCTGCCCTGACACTTGGCAGGCTCATAGAATCAACAACAAAAAAATCATATAGATGAATTTTTATTCCAAGAAATTTGATCATAAAACATATATTTGTCTGTTTCTTGATTAGAATGCATCTGAAGGCAATGCCAACTTGGCCCCAATGAAGGGATGAGGAACGAGATGAATAAAAATGGAAATGCAGGCTCCCACCCCAGAAGGAGATACTCCTAAATGTCAAGCATCAACTTCTAGAACTTCCCCCACCCAAGGGCACTGAGAGTTTCCTTCTAAGGGGAAACTTCGCTTCAAGACTTCACTATCCCTCACACCTTATACACCCGGGAGTCATTTCTGTTTTGTTATCCTGTTTGGAATCCAAATGCATTATTCTAGAATGTGCTGGAGGTCCCTCTGCCTGGGTCCTTGCAGAGGTGTTTTTGAGGAAGGGTGGCAACTCCAGGGCAGTGATCCAGCTCCTACCTCCATCACTGGGGGAATAAGAACCAAATGCTTCAAGTAGGAGGTGGGGAGAGGAGAAGAATGCCCCCAAGAGGGTTTGGCTTAGTTAGGGGACTCCTTTCCAAATGACCCAGAAACCCAGTGGATAGAGTGGAAACAGATTTAATGGGGCAGAAGATGAGGAAAAAGAGGAAACATGCAAGAGAGGAAGATGAAAGTCAGAAGCTAATGCCCATCAAACAGAAGACAGGAGGAAAAGGGATTTTCCTCACACCATCAATCCTGTCCAGAAGTGACTTACCCTTTCTTGGTCAGTTTATTGAATCCAAAAGTGCTTACCCCAGCCAACAGCATTCACTCTCCCTTCTCTCACCTCTCCCCTCAAGTCCCTGCTGTTCTCCCCCTAACAGATGGTATCACACACAAGCTTTTTTTTTTTTTTTTTTTTTTGCTTCTGATGCTAAGCATGATTTACAGGCTTGAGTTATTATTTATCATTATTCATTTTCTGTCAGCAGTGCATTGAAGGTTAATAGAAATGCCAGCATGCTCACTGATTTACTTAGTAAAATATTTGTTCCAAGGTTTAGGTCATATGATTGGTGTCTGAGTGAGTTTCAGGTTTATGCATTATGAAAAGCAAGATGACTTGACCTTCAGCCACTAACACTAGCACCATCTATTACTTTAGTGAGTGACCTTCAGAGACCTAAGACACAGTAGATGTATTCAACACATGTTAGCCTCCTCCATATTGCTGGCATTGTATACATACCAGCTGAGTTTATGCAATGTAAGCCGAGCCCTGGAGCCCATCTAATGAATGGGAGGCAGATGAGATGTAAACTTAGGCTAAACCAGATCCTCTTCTTAAGATAATAAACTGGATTTGCAGCCCAGCTGCACTGAGTGTCTGTATATACACAGGGAATAATTGCTTCGCATTGCCTCCTGGGCTCCTTGCGGCTCGGCGGAGAGAAGGATGCAGACAGAAGTGCAATTCTGAAGGAAATTTGTTTTAGATGAGCAATTAGACAGGGCTCCAAAGGAAGAATGGACTTGGAAGGACCCACTATGCTAGCGTCATTGTAATGTGGTTGCAGGCCGGGGATGCCAGGGAAGGGAGATGGTGAAGAAGGAAGAGACATGAGCCTTCTAATTAGAAGCTTGGAGCCAGGTTAGCAGAAGAGATTTAACTAGCATTACAGTGATGTAGAAAATAAAAACTATGTTAAAAGCAATGAGTGGGTAATTAATTTCTAAAGAGCCAGTTCTAATTATTAGTGTAGAGGTAATGCAGTATCACAGTGAAATGTGTTTAAGTCACAGGCCAAGATTTAGTGTGCATGAGTTTGAATCCCAGATCCACTGTACAAGTTGACTTAACCTACTTAAGCCCAAGTTTTCTTATTAAAACAACAATAAGGTACCAGGTCTTGAGGCTGCTGAGAGGGTCCATTGAGATGACAAATGTAATGTGCCTAGCACAGGGACTGGTGTCTTCACCAAATGTGCACCAGTTTTGTAAGTTTTGTGAATAAATGGCAAAGAGATTGCTGAGAGCAGCTGGCCAATCTTCATGTTTGAGGAGGGACTTGATCTGCCAGCGGCAAAAGAAATGATGTTTGTTGGAGGAGAAAAATGGGCTTTGCAAGAACAGAAAGCCTGCTGGATGCCCGAAACATGTTGCAACTCTGGGGTCAGAAACAAAGGTCAGAATGTTTAAGAGTTGGACTTTTTGTTTTCTATTCCTAAACTATGCTCTTTCCCTAAAGTTCTCCAAAGAGGTCACTAATGTCCCCTGTCACCAGCTATCACTTACTTTCAAACCCAGAGAAATTTCTTTAGGCCTTTAGAATTGCATCAGTCATAGTTTTAGAACTCCATGATCAACTGATATTTTCCAAGGAGTCTTCCCAGTCACTCCCCCGATCCATCCCCTCCCTTCCTTGTTGTTGACACAGGCCATTACCAGCTGGACTTCCCACCTTACAGGTAACACATGTGATGTCTAAGTTCATCAACTTGGATTTAAGTGACTGGGCCTACTTCAACTCTTTATGACTGCGGAAGAAAGTAGGTGTTTTGTTCCTTAAATTACTGCCTTTGATATCTGCTGAGCAGAGAGTTTAATACTCCAGAACCACATGCACATCTCCTGGAAGCAGCATGACCCCTCTTTCCCACATGTTGTACATTAAGAGAATAGTCTATATTAGGCAAGCGTCAGGGAAGGTGGCTTAACAAGCAGTGGAAATATCTTAACCAGAAACTAAACATAAGGCAGTTTTCTTCAAAGAAAGCAAATACTGGAAATGAATCCAGAGATTTACATCAGCGTAGAGGAGAAGGCTAAAATTATATTTTATAATATGTTATATATAATTATAATATATATTTATATATTATGAAATATATAAATAAAAATATATAATAACAGATATTTATGTTATATATACACATATATACGTATATATGTATATATGTACATATGTATGTATATATGTATGTATGTATATATGTATATATACATATATATGTATATATGTATATATACGTATATATGTATATATGTATATATATGTATATATGTACGTATATATGTATATATGTGTATATATGTATATATATATGTGTGTATATATATACACACACATACATATATATATATATATATATACACACACACACACATACTTTTTTAAATAAGAGACAGGATCTCTCTCTGTCACCCAGGTTGGAGTGCAGTGGCATGATCATAGCTCACTTACAAACTTGACCTCCCTGGCTCAAGTGATCCTCCTGCCTTAGCCTCCCAAGTAGCTGGAACTACAGCTGCATGGCACTAAGCCCACCTGATTTTTTATTTTCTTGTAGAGATGATGTCTCATTATGTTGCTCAGCCTTGTCTGGAACTCCTGGGCTCAAGCAATCCTCCCACCTCAGCCTCTGAAGTAGCTGGGACTACAGGTACTTGCCACCAGCCCTGGCTAGCTTTCATCTTTTTTGTAGAGATGGGACATCACTATGTTGTGAAGGCTGGTCTCAAACTCCTGGACTCAAGAGAGGCTTCTGCATTGGCCTCCCAAAGTGCTGGGATTACAGGTGTAAGCCACTCTACCTGGACACAATATTTTATTTGAAATAAGAAAAATTTTCCCTCACCGGGAATGCTGCAGTTGAACTAGATCAAATCCATAAAGAATGGAAGACTGCCCAGTGGTCATTCATTCACTCATTAATTCTAGATGTTAAATTTTCTAGGGTTGGGGAATGTGCTCCTACATTCAAGTCATTCTTGAATGTAGCCAAACTTCGTAGTTTAGCCAAACTTCGTAGTTTAGCCAAACTTCATAGCTAATAGACAAAGTTTGTAGTTTAGCCAAACTCTTCTAGCAGCAAAACCCATGATACTGGAACTCTGTTATTCACACTGGTCATTTGTAATAGAATAACAGAGCTTTAGCACTAGACAGGTTCTGAAAGATCATTGAGTCTAATCCTCTCCCTTTGCCAGTGAGAATTCTGAAGCCCAGATTTGTTGATTTGTGATTGATAGTGTCAAAGATAGGCCTAAAACACAGATGTCCTGGGTCCTAGAGGTGCTGTTTGCCCCTCTCCATATTTCTTCTGTTCCAGAAAACTCTTCTCCAAAACTGGCCCTAACAATCAGCTGATTATTGGGTTCCAGCTGCCCAGACTACAGGGCACCACTCTCAAAAGAACCACTTTTCCTCCCCTTGAACAAGGGTGGAAATACCAAGAAACCCAGGGTGTTTCAGAAACGTTGATGATAAAATATTGCAATGTAATAACAAAGGCAACCTTCAGAGGAATAAAGAAACAAAGCAATTTAAATTTCATTTAAATAATTTTCCCTTCGTCCTCCCATCTTCACCCTAGACTGTTCAACAAGCCCATCTGAATTCCGAGGGCATGTTCATTGTCCCACAATGGGGGCTGAGTGCTGGAAATGTCCTTTCATTTAATTTCCAGTACTAGCTAAATTATCTATTGCCATGATCTGTGATTGATTTAGTTTTTATTGCTCTTGGCTGTGACAATCTATAAGGACCCAGCTGATTTTCCCTCTTTGGGTTTTAGGCTTTATTGCTGTCATTTTAATGACAGATATTAAACACAGAGAATTCTCATCTGTATTTCCTCCAACAGGCTGAGCTATCTGCTGCATTTGAACATGAAATGATCCCAGGAACTGGTATTTCCAAAGTCTCCTTCCCCTATATCATCCATGCAACCATGCTAGGAATTTATGACAATTCTGAAGAAGAACACATGTATCTTCAGACTAATTTCATTATCATACTACCAAAAATATAGTAAATATCTAATACATATTTGAATGAATTAATGAATGAAGACTTCATTAACACTTTGGCAGGTGGACCTTTTCATGAATCTGCCATTAATCTTCATTTCTAAATGCTAAGTGAGCACCTACCGTGTATAAGGAAATTGTGCTAGGTGTTAAGAAATTCAAAGATGCATATTATCATACATTCCACTAACTTGCTATTTGTTGATAAAAACCACACGTGTACATTAAAAAATCAATATCATAAAGTATGAAATGAGTTATTCTAAATAATAAGTAAGATTGCAAGTTTTCTAAGGATAGAAAAGAATGAGATATTCTCTTGAGTTGGTCAAGATAAGAGAAAAGAAGTAGGAAGGCTAAGTAGCTTATGGAATAAGTAACTAATGAAAAAGGGAACCATTTGATACTGAATTAGGTCTTTTTCAGCTAAAAGAGACAGAAACCCAATCCAAGTTAATTTATTAGCTCACAGTGTTCAGACACTTCTGGGTTAAGTGCTGATATGACATCATAGGAATCTAAAACTTCTGCTCACTACAAGACCAGAGGAATGATCATTCCATTCTATGCCTACAGATGTACTTCATTTTATAGATATTTTCCAACTAAATCCTCCTTCTTTACTCTTCACACATGGACACAGATTGTTCAGTATAAGAAATATATAATTTCTGAATTTTGTTTTTGGGATGCCTTCTTAAGTCTTGAAAATATGTGTTCAACTCAGGCTGAAACCCAAGAGCAGTGGCATAGTCAAGTCAAGTAAGAATTTGACAGAAAAATTAATTGAAAATCCAGAAGTCAACTCTGCATTCTGTTTAACAATCATGGGCCAAAAAGGAGGTTTTTTTTTTCTTTACTTTGTACACTTTCATGAGATGCATTGCTCAATTATCTCCTAGTTCTCATTCTTGGGTGCTGCTCCTGATAATATTTTCATTTGTTAATAACACAGGAGTTACTCTAGGGTTTCCATTCAGAGAGCTGACTCTACCTGGGGAGAAAGAAATGTATTTCTGTTGACCATCATGAAATTATTTGTGGAAGGTTATGGTGAGAAGGGTACCAGCTTAAAAAAATTAATAACTCCACAGAACTGGATTTTTGGCTAGTCAAGAAGCACAGAAACTACGTGTAAGTAGTAAACAATATTTTTATTTAATGTAAGTATATGTGTAAGTATTATATGTTAGAAGATAGAAAAAGATAACTTTTCAAAATGTTTGTATTGATATTATTTATCTTTTGTACAAAGACTTGAATGATGACATCGAAAGCATGAAGGCATACTTATCAAATTGATGGATGACACAAAGCTTTGATGAAGGATCTACATTCTTTCCTTTAATCCTCAACACTCAAAATTCAGATGACAAACAATGAGCAGAAAGGGGTTTCAAAACAGCAAAAAGGAAATGAGATATGCCTACCTTTCTATCCTTCCAAGAAAGTAGATTTAAGTTAGCCACCCGAAGTCTGAGCTTGCAGCGCCCTAACAGGTAGAAACATTTGAATTTCTTTTGATAAGAATAGAGCTTGGCAATTTAAAAGAATTAAATTTAACCTGAAATTTTAGAGGTTGGTTTTCTGTGTGTGTGTTTTTCTTTGTCCTGGAAAACTTGGTTTTCTTCATTCAGAGATAAGAGGCTCTTTGAGCATCTGAAATTTCAAAGAGCTCAATTTAAATAAAATTAATTTATTCAACAAATGTTTTCTGAGTGTTTCCCATGTTCCATTCATTGTTCTAGGAGATATGATACATTGGCCAACAAAAATGGTAGAAATTTCTACCGTTTTGCAGCTTACAATCAAGTGAACTGAAGTGACCTTGGAACATAACAAGACGTACCTTGGCATGCTCACCTCTACTAGCAAGGGAGTTCAGAGGAACAGACCTGGAAAGTGAAGATAATGAGAGAGATTCTGGCTGGTTTTGGGGTAGGAGTGAGCTTTGGGGACTTCCTGAATTACACAGGAGAAACACACAAACACACACACACACAGGCACACACTTCGAACAGTTTAGCAATACTAAATGTCCAATACTCTACAGCATCTTAGACTCCCTTGCTTGGGGTTTTCTACCAACCTCTATGCAGAAATTCCACAGCCAGTATCACCAACCAAAACTACTTCTTAATGTTCCAGTGAGAGAGAGCCTGAAATCTGCAGTGGTGTTGAGAGCCCATCTGTCCTGCTGCAAAGGCCCAAGGAGGAAGAAGTTCCCAAGAGAGGTTCCAGATGTCTCAAATGAATCCAAAATCCAATCAGATGACCTAGGACTGTCATCCAACTCAAGCAATAAAGAAACCAGTAATCACAGATGACTGCCTGCCAGGTGCTTCGTGCATTTTACACAGTATTTTCAACATGGGCTTTAAAGTCAGAAAATGAGTTGGAATTCCAGCTATGATCATTTTTAGTTGTGACTTTGGTAAGAGTTTCAAACACAGTATCTTCTACTAGTATTATTATTGCTACTACCCTCCAACTGTTCCTTTTACTACGGTGATGACTGTCTCATTGAATGCTACATAATTCTCCCTAAAACCTTATGAAGTAGATATATATATCCACTATATCAAGAAAAGAAAATAAATAAACAAAAAGCAAAATTAAGTCTAAGAATTATTAGTTTGTTTAAGGTTGTAGCAAGTAAGTAGTGGAACTAGAATTTGAATCTAAGTTTGTTTGTCCAAAACCTATATGCTGATCCAGTAATTCATAGTACCTATAGGGGTGGACAAGAATCCAGTTCCTTTAGACCTAAGGAAAAGAGAGGTAGGAGGATGGCTTCCCAAGACCTTAAACAGCAGAAAAAACTCTCAGCACAGCAATGAGGATGGGGAGAGTGACTCTGGAAACTATCTCAGACACTATCCAAAGAGACCAACCCAGCCCTAAAGGCTGTTCCTATGCCACACACGCCTACTGTTTGCTTAACCACTAATCTTGCCTTGGCCCTTCCTCCTCAAGCAAAGTTTGGCTTGTACAGATCATGGTTGGAGCATCTTCTCAGGGCTGCCATGGGGACCTACATCTCCAGTGCAGCCACATGGTCCAAGATGGTTACTGTTTAAAACATGCAGTCCTAGTCTTTTATGTCACTGAGATGTTTCAGAAATTCTGATGTTTCTGTGTCCAGAACAGTGTTAGGCTGACTCTCACAGCTAGAAATAGTTGAAAAAAATTGTGCATATTTTTAATTTGGAAAATACAGCTGCTAGAGTTGGACCCTTCTCTAGCTGAGCTGCATTGTTGCTGTCATCAGGAGAGGGAACTCAGAGCCCAGCATCCTGAGGCTGGGAGTAGCCACACCAAGAAAGCCCCTTGGGGACCATGAATAATAACAACAAGGAGATCCTTCCTATTTGTTCCTTCCTATTTCCTGGTGTCAAGTGATACCACTTGACACCAGAGCCTCGTAAACTCCTTGTGAGGAGACTCATTCCTTTACTGATGAGAAAGAGAATACCCAAAGGGAGGGGAAGGGGTTCCATATCTCACGGGCAAGTGCTTTACCTGGGCTGGCACTGGTGGGTGGAGGTGGGTTATTTTTTTCTCATTTCTAAGTGAGGAAATTCAGGTTCACAGAGTTGAAGTAATTTTCCCAGGGTCATCCAGTTTCCACACAGCCACCTGGATCAAAGGCTTCAAGCTCTTTCCATGGGTCCACGCTGCCTTTCTCTCCCGGACCATGAAGCTCCATGACCCCAAGCTAAACAACCCACATCAAGGGATGGGGGCCCTGAGCCCTCCCTGCAGAGAAGTCAAATGCTTGGGTAGACCACGAAGGTGTTCGTGTTTGGGAGGATGTTTTTAAAATCCAGACTGTATTGAGGAGTTCCCATTCAAAAGATGAGAGTGCGGTTTCACTTATGAAAGCCCTCCGCTGTATCTGCAGCATCTGTGAGGGAGCAAATGTGAGAGTGGATCCACCCCATGTTAGCACAAACATGTCTGGAGGTCTTGCCTTCAGAGAGTAGCCAGGGTTTCTCACTTAATCACTGTCATTTCCCCAATGCACAGAGATCTGAGACTTGAGCCTTATTTCTCTGCGGAAAATCTATCTCAAACACAGTCCCCGACTTGGGGCAAATGAACTTTTGCAATGGGAAAGAATTGTACCATTTTATGCAATTCTTCTGTGTGCTCAATGCTTTTTTATTTTATCTTCATAACAACTCTGTGAAGTAAGCACTTTCATTTTCTCATTTTATAAAAGGGAAAACTGAGGATCGAAGTTACCCAGCATCCCTTAATAGGAAAATGGCCCGTCTGGAATTCAAACATGGGTTCTTCTGGATCTACAGCATTGCATTTGAGCACCCCAGTAACTTTCAGAAGGGCTCCCTGGAGTAGGTTGCAGCTGCAGCCTAGGCATTATTGAACTTTCTGCAAACACTTGTTCCATTTCTATTTCGGACAGAGGGTGAGAGGATATTGCCATAACTTCAGCCCTTAGAGGGGTAGTTTGGGTTTGTAGGACTAGTGTTTGTATTCATCTACCTTCCTACTTCCTGACTGTCATTTGCTGGAGAACCAGGAAATATACCTGCTGTTACTGCCATGGCATCACCCAGGTCCAGGAGAGGGCAGTATTGAGAGATGCCACCTTGTGCCCAGCCCACAGTGGAAAGGAAGAGGTGCTCTCTGGATGGTATAATTTATCATGCCCCACCACCTCCTCTGCCATCATGCCTAGGCTATGGCATTCTGCAGGATCCAAGAGGAAGGAGTATAAGCCGTAGAGACTCAGCTGGACGCTTTCCCAAGTGATGAGCGGAACCCAAATGGGACCAACAAATAGCACCGCACCAGGAGCCCAGTCAAACTCCCTCAAATGCAAAGACCCTTTGTTCTCTTGAAAACTTGCCTTTGTTGGTGAGGTTGCTATCGTTGTGGTCTGGGTAGGGGTGGGGGGAGGAAAATGCCGACATCTCCGGTTTTTAATATGGTAAATGTCAGTGTTTATGCCTGCACGGGGCTGGCCTAATTATCCCGTGTCCTCTAAAATCTTCCGCTGTAATTACCACTCACCGCAGTGACACCTACTGCTAAAGGGAGAGCCGTCAGCGGCAGCTCAGAGCCAGAGCACACTCAGCAAACTGCAAGCAACACCGGCAGCTGTTTCTGGTTTTGAAACGGTGGGAGCTTCATGAGCCATTTTGCCTGGTCCCTCTGGAGTAAATGACACCATGGTTGAAAAGTTGGAAATGTTTGTCAGGCCTGGAACAAAGCTGTGAATGAATACTACAGTAATTTGCTTTCCCACAATCCCCTCCTTTCTCTAAACAAGCCACAGAGGCAACTGATGGGTTAGAGTAACAAAAAAAAAGAAAAGAAAAGAGAGAGAGACTATTAGCACCAGTGGTATCTGGTATGTCATTGCTATTATGGGTATAATAGCCTTTGTGTTATCTACATATGTACTGTAATGCACAGAGAACTAGCTGAAGAGTTGAGACAGCTGAAGAGAATAGCTTTTTAGTAAAACGCTATGTTTAAGAGACTGATCCTCCTTTGGAAAAAAAAAAAATGCCCATTAGCACACATGGGCAGTACTGAATTGTGGTTGCAGTGTAGAGGGAATAGTTGGCCCAGCTTCTATGCCTGCAACTGTACAGAAGGAGGAGGAGAACAAGAAGAGGAAGGAGAAGGAGAAGGGGGAAAAATCAATAAATTCAGTGTAAGCAAAGTCACAGCAACCTTTAAAATAATAAGACAAATCCATTTATTTCACAAATGTCTTCATTTCCAAATGCCATTGTTTGGGGCACTGTGCTGTCATTGTCCATGACATTTTCAAAAACTTGGCTCTTAATCATTTAGGTGTAGCTGGAGTTCTCCTGCAACAGCCAAGTTAAAAGATTATACATTCACCCCACTGCTCTGGCAGGGAAGAACAACTTTAACAGCCTTATCCTGTGGGGTGAAGGAGGGAGGCTGGTGGTGGGGGAAGAGGCTTGGAGAAAGACAAGGCTTAAATATGGACAGAAAAGCTCAGCTGTATTGCTATATACAATGAAAAGTAATTACAGAGAAAAATGAAAGCTGTTTCTTGCTGTTAGCAGGAAGAATAAGAGAATTCTGTACCTTTTTAAAGCTCTGAGTCCATTTTGATGTAATTGGTTCTGGAATTATTTATGACATTAATTGCTGCGCTATCGACTGCCTGTCAGTGGCCCTGGCAGTTAGTCCATCTTTCTTAGCAGAGACAGCCTGCTCAGCCCAAACTAGACTGACAAGCTAATTATACCCATCTTCCCCTTCAATGACAAATGCTGCTCATCGGAAACCTTTCTAGAAATAAGCTCTCATTCTTTTCCCTTTTTCCTGATCCAGACATAACGGATATCTCAAGGTGCAGATCACAGCTAAAACTCAGCTCGCAGGGCTATTAGCTCTGAACATCTCACTTGAGCCAAAAAACCTAAGCATCTTATGTTATCAAACTGTATGTCATTCCCCGATGCTAGTTTTCAGGGATGAGCAGGGGCCCGGCCTGTCAGTCAGAACAGGGCAGAGAGAGCCAAGCTGATGGAATTAGCCAAGCTCTTCTTAACTGTCCACGGACCTGACTCAGGTGATGATAAGAAGGCTGGGGAAATGCCTTCTGTGCTTTGCACAGCTGCTGCTCTTGGGGGCGTTTGGGGGATGCTCGATGCAGGGGCCCACTTTGGGGAGGCCAAGTGGGGAGCTCCTCTGTCCACCATGCAGCTTTATCCAAGAGCCCCCTGGTGATTGAAGTATACGAATGATTCCTGTGTTTAAGGCTTTCATTGCATGAAACTTTAGTAGATCATTTTGTGGGCATGACATGCCATCAAGCATGGCTTTGTAAAGCAGGCATCCCTGTATGTGGGACACTAGAAAGAGGCACACAAGAAGAAATGATGCGATTCTCTTGTTGAAGGAGCTTGCAGGCTAGTTTGGAAGACAAGGCATGCACATAAACAGATGTGTACAAGAATGATGAAAAGTGGCCAGGCGCGTGGCTCATGCCTGTAATACCAGCACTTTGGGAGGCCGAGGCAGGCAGATCATGAGGTGAGGAGATCGAGACCATCCTGGCTAACACGGTGAAACCTGTCTTTACTAAAAATACAAAAAATTAGCCGGGTGTGGTGGCACGCGCCTGTAGTCCCAGCTACTCGGCAGGCTGAGGCAGGAAAATCACTTGAACCCGGAGGTGGAGGTTGCAGTGAGCGAAGATCGCGCCACTGCACTCCAGCCTGGGGAACACAGTGAGACTCCATCTCAAAAAAAAAAAAAAAAAAAAAAAAAGATGGAAAGCATAACAAAAGGAAACAACTCTCCTTTAAAAATAGCACTTAGTTTATTCTCTACCATAGATTTCTTTTTTCCTTTTTGCACTGTTTTGTGTTTTCCAATGTAGGTCAGCAAAATCTTTTTTTTTCAAATGATAAAGGCACCTTAGAAAAGAAAGGCTCACTTGTGCCTGTTACCCAATTGGAATAAAAGTCAGGAGGCCAGAATTCAAGTTCCCTACTTGAGCTTTGGGCAAGACACAAACTCTCAAAATCCAAATCTGTAACATGAATTTAGTAACCTCATCCTGCCTCCCACACAATATTTGGTAGGAAGCGATTTAGAAAAAATTATAAAAACACAGAATAAAGAAGAAATCTGCCATCCAGCTGCAAAGTGTAGTGATGAGAACAAGGGCAAAATGTGGCTTTGGATCAGTGAGGTTATTGGATGCAGCTTGCTTTGAGAACGCTCTTGGTCTTTGAGATTGCGAGATCACCAGGGCAGTGTTAGTGCATCAGAATTCTTCACATAATTTCACTATTTTTATTTATGATTGTAAGGGATGCTTACGGATGCTGAATAAACAAGAGGTGGACTGTGGTGGATTTGCATTGTAGCCACTTAGTTTAAATGGAACTGCATTTCCCACAATACCCTTCTCTGAATACTTTCAACTTGATGTAAGACCCAAGAGACATTTATGTGAGATCTAGAAGGCAGAAATAGAGGTGTGGCCCAATTGCTTTACTCTCAGTAGGTGAGTGGAAGCAGCTTCTGGGTAATTATGGTTATCTTCTGGCTCTTCTTCTTGGCACAGGACAGCAGGCAGGCTCAGGGCTCCCCCAACTCCTGCCGAATCTTCTGCTTCAGCTTTTCCAATGCCTGGCCCGGGAGCCAACAGGACAAATGGGACTAGCTTCTCCTCAAAGTTGGAAGGCTGTAGGAGGTGAGAAACCAACATGGGTTGCAGCTGGCTCTCCTGAGTTCCAGCCCAGCCTTGGAGATCCTGGCTTGTCCTTGTTTCCCCTACTTTGGATCCATCTTTCTTGCCTTGCTGTCTGCTATGGACTTCAGGCCTCAGTGCCAGTATATATTTATTTTTATGTCTATAAAGTCTCCTAGTGGTTGTGCTTCTCTGATCAAACACTGACTGAATCAGGACCCTAGGGCAGTATTCAGTGCCTCCAGATTACTCATTGTCCAGAGACTCCAGTACAGGAATCTCTACCCCAGCATGTGGGAGAGGGAGACAGCCACTGTGTGCAAAATGACATGGGCATGAGCATAACCCACAAGAGCTGATTTTCATGTTAGTGTAAGGAAAACGACACAAGAAAAACTGTAAAATGTGAGCTTTATCTTTATAATCCTAAATACCTAGACACCATCTAATATTTTCTCCGTAACACCAAACAGTGTTATGGAGAAACGAAGTGTATTTTCATGCAGATGGCTGATACTCCAAAAATGTAAATTTCTTCCCCAGTGCATAACACAGTGAAACTTGTTCTACAAAGGAGTATAGCTAGGATAAGTAACTATCTCAGTTTTCTCAAGATGGAAGGATTTCATGGGACACGGGATGCGATCTTCATTGTAAACACCAGTACAGTCCTGGTCACATTGGGACGATTGATTACCCTAAGTGTAAAACAACTTTTCTGCCATTAAAATGTTAGCAAGCTCAGCATGATATGTTTTTAATCTCTCTGAATCTGTTTCCTCATCTCTAAAATAGTTTTTCTGAGGGTAAATTCTTTTAATATGTATAAGATACCACAGTTCTTGAAAAATAGCAAACACCAAATATATAGCTATTAATCATTAGTAAATACTATTATCAGAAAAGGTAACAAATGAATATGTTAAAATATAACAATAAATCCATATGTGATGCACCAAGCATCATGTGATGCAGAAAATGTGCTACTCTCAGGGTCTATGGGGAGAAACAACATGATGGGTGGGAGATGCTTGTATTAATTCATTCAACAGAAGCACCCACTCTGCAATAGGCACCAGACAAAGTGTCAGGTTTAATTTGTTGAATCAAGTAGACATTAGTTCCTACCTTCAGGGTGTTTTCAATCTACTGTGAGAGTCAGACATAAACAAAACACAGGCAAAAAAAATAAAAAGAGTATTATGGGAGAAAACATTTTTGTACCCTCAGAGAAAATTTAGGGGGAGACGTAATTTAGATGGAGTGATCAGAGAGAATTTCTCTGATAAAGTGTCATTGAGAATGACACCTGAATGATGGGAAGGAGCCAGCCAGGCACAGGATAGGAGGAAGAGCAGCCCCATGAAGGGAAAAAAATAGGGTTCAGAGAATGTATCTTGGAAGGGAGGGGCTTGAATCGGGTCTTGAAGAACTAGTGAGGTTCCAATGGACACAGAATTAATGCCTATCATTGGCCTTTGAATTCCTTCATCATATTGGGCATTATTTCAGTCTCTGGACCTCAGTTTCATCTTCCATGAAATAATCAGTTTCAACTAAGTGATGCTATGGAGGAATTATGTTGATAGGATTGAGTATGTCCAATAAAATAAACACAGAAGAATTAAAAGCTGCTTGTCATTAACCATGGCCACACACAACTATCCCACAGGAATTGGCGGGAAAGCCCTGGTTACTGTGTTTGCTGCAGGCACCATCCATTTACTGAAAGGGCTAAGATGTCCTGAAGACTTGAATAAATGCTGGGGGTGCCAATTAGAACTCCCAGGAGTGTGTCTGATGCCTTTTTAGGAGGAATTTGTGCTTCTTATTTTCAGTGAATCATTTCAGTGTGTCAGAGAAAAGGAGTCTCCCTTTATGAAGTCCCTTCCCCAGTAGGAGGAAGGGGATAACTGAATAGCTAAACCATGCACATGTCACACACACACACACACACACACACACACACACACACACACACACACTATATATATATATATATATATATATATATATATATATTATATTATATTATATTATATTAATTATATTATACTGGTAAACTGGTAAACTCCTTGGGAAAACCCACATAAATTTAACATGAAGCTTTAAAAATTGGTTGCTTTAAACCACTCTCTACCTATAAATTGTGTGGTGCTGAGGGCAGCTTTCTTAGGCCATTCTTTTCTCTAAGTGTGCAGAGCACTGAAATAGGTGGGTGAGGGAAGATTACTATGCAAGTCCCCACCCCACCTCCTTCCAGGCAGCCAGGGGCTCATTTCTGTGCTTCTCCCTCACAACTGGCACAACAGGAGGAAATTAGGACTTCCCTGAGGACTTTCAGCTAAACCAGGGAGCCCCAGGAGGGCAGAGAAGCCCTCTGCCTCCTCTGACTTACGGCACACAGCCTGGCCCAAAATGGGAACTGGGGATATGTCACCTGGATGGATGGATTAACTTCAAGCCAAGATCTGGTCTGATTTGACCTGGCTAATGTGGAAATTGAGAAATGGCAAGAAGATTGGAAAGCATTTAGGGAAAGAATAGCATCCTGACTCTTGGCAAGAGATATAGATTCTCGGTCAAGCTGCAGAAAAAGGCTGCCTCCTGGGGCCCTCAGCAAGGTGACCTTGACCCAAGTGACTGTCCTCTTATCTGAGCTCTGCAAGTAAGAACTTCTCTCCTAGCTGGGAAAATGTCTATTTTTAAAACGTGAACTTGGCAAACAGTCTTTCAAATCTGTAGCTTAGACTTCTGAATAAACATTACAATGATGGCTTTACCATAGCCCTAAGACAGAAATCATCTAGCAATTGCAATAAAAATATCAGTGGTATCTTGGAGTTACTAAACATATCATCTATTGCAAAGCCCTTTTACATACAATATCCCATTTAGAACAGCACAACTATAATGTAAGCTCCAACATGGACAGGGACCAAGTCGTTTTGTTTATCACTGTACTCTCCTCATTTTGATAAATATTTGTCGAATAAATCAATGACAGTGAATAGAATGCTAAGGCTTAGAAAGGCCATATAGTTTTCCTAATGTCAGATAGTTCATAAATGACACAGCAGTTAATTTTTAGTGTAGGTAGTTCAGAATGTTTTCCAGGTATGCTCACAACTCAGCCTCTTTTGATGCCCACAATAGCAGATAGATTCACCTTCAGCTTCATTGACACAGGGAGTATTCAAGCTGAAGAACTGGAGAAAGTCTTAGATCATAAAAAATATATATAGAAAAACAACAACCCAAAGAAGCTTGTTTTACAGAAATTATCTCCCTAATCCAAAAGAATATCAGCTCTCATTATAGCATTTTGTTATAGTATAGCTTATCATGCTGTGCGGGTTAGTATGGTAAAGTCAAGAAATAATTTTATTCTAGAATGCAAGTAATATTTCTCTTTCCTAGACTCCTTTGAATTTTCCGTAAAAGTATGCTTTGACCCAAATTTAGCAATCATGAAGATGATATGCATATGCCTTTCATTTTTAAGAATAATAGCACTATACCCAGGGATTGTGGAAATTATCTTCCAGATGCTTCTGTACTGCCTCTTGTAGAGGAAATCCTGTACCTGATTGCATATCAGTTGTTGGGATGTCAGGAGATGTGACTCTTTATACCCAAACAAGAACAGAAAGGCTGCCTTACTGAAATCTGGCTAAAATTCTATATTCGATGGTGCTTTCTCTTCTCTTAATTTCTGAATTTAGGGCTGCAGTTGAAAGGAAGAAAAATATGGGAGCCCTTTTTTCTGTCGATAAGCTCGCCTGGTACTCACAGACATTATCTTCACTCAGGACAGACGGCGGAAGAGGTGGTTTGCTCCCTCCTCACTCTGTCCTTTTAGGTTTCCAACATTTTCTGGACACATGTAGAATTTTTTTCAGGTGAGTGCCACAAGAGATCTAATAGAAGATGCATTTGTTTTTGACTCCTAATTAATCAAGATAACATCTCTCTCAACCATTAGACAGTAAAATCAATATCTCGGGTGGCTGTACCGCCAGTTAGACTTATACACCAATACCTATTATTGGCAAATCAGTGATATATTTAACCATGTTGCACTCTATCATTTTATAATATGCGAACAATGTGACTATGTTGAGAGTATGGAGAGATGGTGATTTCTGCCTGTGGAACCAATAATAGGATTTCAGCTACATCCCCAGTCCTGGTCCACTGCCTCCCACACCCAAAGCTGGGGTGTTGAGTCATTTTCCAGATTCTGAGGGGCATGAAACCACTCACTCATTATCAGGGATACCAGAATCCCAGGATGCAGAAAAGGTAGGTAGAGCAAAGATCCTAGATTCAAAGGTGGAACTACTATAAGAAATGTGGGTGTGTCAAGAGCTCGTTCCATAACAGAGAGCAATGGCTAGAGGTGACGGTGCTGTCTATTTTGAGGCTCTGCTCTCCAATTAAGAGTGGGAGTAGGAGAAGAAAGGGGACGGAAAGGGGAAGTGAAATCCTCTGTATAAGTAATATATGGAGGATCTCTGAGGTGTAGCTGAGAGGAAAACAAATTTCTCGGGGATTAGCTGTAGAGTTTGCATAAGTTACACCTACCTGAGTCATTGCGAACATTCTTTGAGGAAGCAACCAACAAGTCAAGGACTTCATGTAGGTGGAGGACTTTCTCTTGAGTCAGTCTGTTGCCTTCTCTTGACCTGGAGCTAGAGCACCAAGTGCATGATATGCTCCTCAATTCTCTAGGCACCGAGACACTGTGTGGTAGGCCAAAAAAGCATATAAGGTAAATGACTTACCATGGCCCCTACCTACAGACTTGTCAAGTCACTCAAGTCCTGCATCACTATTGCTTTTAGCTAGGGTTCCCAATGTCTCCATCTCCCTGAATTTTCATCTAATTAGTATTGCAAGACTCTTTAAGGCATGACAAATTCCAGGTTACCTGGGATTTTTTACCTTGAAGGTGAGGAAAGGCTGGTGAAGTGATATGGCTGCAGGGGCTGAATAAGGGGACCTACTGGGGCACCAAAGTCCAAAGGACCCAGTGCAGACCTTTAGATAAGGACAGTCTTCCAACTGATCCTTTTCCAGGAAGCATTCCTGACCTTCCCAAGCCTGCTCCTCCTTGCCCTGGCTTTACCTGGAATCCCCTTCCAAAACTCTAAAATGACATTTCTTCAGTTTTCACTGAGATATTTTCACTTTTTCTTCAATACTGTTTTTCCCCCAGGCCTGCTGGAGCTATACCTGCTGGAGCTTTCCTTTCATTGGAAAGCTATACTTGGAAAGTCAATGCAAACAGAAAAGTAAATTTACAGGAATATGATTATGCTACTGGGGTCTGTTCTTGTGATACCAAGATGGTGGGTCATAGATGTTGCCCTGAAGACATATGTGCACAATCCTCCAACAGGTGGAGGAACAACCCACAGTGTGTGGCTCTGTTCTGGTGACACTGCCTCTAATCTATGGGCCTCAGTTACATCCCCCAAATTGTTCCCCAGTAACTTGAGCTGTGGGCTCATTGAGAGACTCCTCTTCCATTCCTTGCTTTTTATCCAAACTGATAGTAACTAAGAGTTTATATTTCTTTGTCTATGAACTTGGTTCAATTTGTCACTGGAAATGATTTTTTTTTAATGTGTCCCTGTGCAGGAAGTGGAAGCTATAATTTGCAGCAGCAGTTTATGTGATATAGGGGCATAATGCCTCTTGCCCGATTTTTCATGGTATTTTTCTGTTTGTGACATTATTTTCACACTCCAACCTCATAATGTCTTGAGCTATATAAGCTGTTCCATTTGAATAGAAAGTCCTGTATCAACTGCAATGTGCAGCCCAATACATTGCCTATAGGTTTGTGGAAATGAACTAGGGTTTTGATTAGTTACCTAGTGTCTTAGTGTTGAGAACAAATCTCACCTTTAATGTATTACCATGTGAATAAGCATTAAGGATTGCAAAACCACTCACTCTTACAGGAAGTTGTTTCACTAACATTTTAATTTTACCACTCATTTGCACCATGATTTGAGAGACAAACCATCTTCTGACAGCAAGTGCTCTGAGCTCTCCTAGAGATTTGTTGGTGATGCACCAGCCCCTGTTGGACATCTCCAAACCACAATTCCATCCTGAGTTCCCGCTTCAAACCCTATTGGTTTGTGTAATTCAATGTCAGCAAAGTCAAAGGCAGGGCTGGTCTTTCACAAAACGTAGGCAAGTCAGGTGTGTCTTTGACTAACACTCTCCTCTGGTACCCCATTCACTGTGCAGTGTTTTCCTCTGCAGTTCCCGGGTCTTTAGGCAACCATAATCCCAGTCCCTCCTTCCCTGATTCAGGCCGTACTGGAGCAGATGCCCTGCTCTAATCCAACCATCGGTGTCAGCCATGTCTGCTTTCTTGCACTGATTCTTTATTTTTTAGTTATCCATTCATTCATTTGATAAATATCAGTTGACCACTCACTGTGTGTCAGGCAACCTGCTGGATACTAGGGATAAAATGCTGATTATAATTGACATGGCCCTTATATTCATGAGCCTTAGAGTTTATTGGGGGAGATATTTAGTAATCGAATATATAAAAAGATGCATTTACAAATTGCAATAAATTTCAGGAAAGAAAACAATAGCATGCTATAAAAAATTAACATGGAATGTACTTGAGATGGACTGGTGGGAGTCAGCTTGCAGATTCCTAACTTTATGACCATGGAGCTCATCCTCCCCTCCTCCATCTTGGGGCATTGCCCACAGCTGAAATGTCACTGCTGTACTGGGGCCTCTCTTATACCACCTGCCAGAGTGGAGTCTGTATGACATCTGCTACATTGTGTCACAAACTTGTGGGTCAGTCTCACATGGGGGCATCTGACTGGTAGAATCTAAGTCAGGTATCATGTTGCAAGAGAAACTGGGAAACCACGTGTCTGGCTGCTTCTGTAGGGTGGTGTGGATTCATAGGTGGAAAATTAGAAGCTTAGGAGAGGTGTTCTAAGGTAATGAACAACCCAAAATATTGACTAATGCCCACTACACACAAAAAGGAGGCTTTACGGGCCTCTAATAACAGCCTAGGAAGTTAACCAACTTTTAGGGTCATTATGGACTCCTCTCTTTCTCATGCCTTACATCCAATCCCTGAGAAAGACCTTCTGACTCACTTCATAACCATCTCTTAAAACATTCTGTCTCCCTTTCTATCATCCCAACACAGGGGTTGGCAAACTACAGTCTGCAGACCAAATCCAGCACACTTGCTGTTTTTGTAAATAAAGTTTTGTTGAACCATACCCATTAATTAATATGTTGTCTATTGCTATTTTTACACTACAACAGCAGAGTTGAGTAGGATTTTTGCTGATAAATCCTAAAATATGTATTAACTGGTTCTTTATGGAAAGGATTTACTGTCTTCTGTCCTAGTCTGAGCCACCACCAACTCTTTCTGGACTACTGCAAGAGCTTCCTGAAAGACCCCACATTTCCTATAAGCTCCAACAATCTGATGTCACACTGTAGTCACAGTACTCACTGCAAAACATAAATATGACTAGGTCACTCAAGACAAAATCATTCAACAAACTTCCTTGCACTTAATGTAAAGAAATACCTTCAATATAGCAATAAGACCCTGTACAGTTTAACTTGCCTCTACATGCATGGTTGTTCAAAGGAACAATAATATTGAGTGAAAGACACCAACAACCATGGTTGGAAGATGTATGTTTCTTTGATGGCCAAAAAGAAGAGGTGATGTTCTCATCAAGTATGAAATGATGGCTTGCTCCTAGGTACCAGATACAGGGAAGGGCTTCACCATTTCCCAAGTCCATCACAGAACAAGCAGCTACTGTGGCTCACAATGAATAAGGGGAAGATTCAGGCAGCTGCAAGAAGTTGCTGATATGGTTTGGCTGTGTGCCCACCTAAATCTCATCTTGAATTGTAGCTCCCACAATTCCCACCTGTCATAGGAAGAACCCCATGCGAGATAACTGCATCATGGGGGAGGGTCTTTCCTGATGATAGTGAATAATTCTCATGAGATCTGATGATTTTATAAAGGGGAATTCCCCTGCACAAGCTATCTTGCCTGCTGCCACATAAGACATGCCTTTGCTTCTCCTTTGCCTTCCGCCATGATTGTGAGGCCTCCCCAGACGTGTGGAACCGTGAGTCCATCAAGCCTCTTTCCTTTATAAATTACACAGTCTCTGGTATGTCTTTATTAGCAGCATGAGGACAGACTAATACAGTAAATTGGTACCAGGAATGGGATGCTGCTGTAAAGATACCTGAAAATGTGGAAGTGACTTTGGAACTAAGTAACACACAGAGGTTGGAACAGTTTGGAGGGCTCAGAAGAAGATAGGAAAATGTGGGAAAGTTTGGAACTTCCTAGAGACTTGGAGGGTTCAGGAGACAGGAAAAAGTGAGAAAGTTTGGAACTTCCTAGAGACTTGGAGGGCTCAGAAGAAAGGAAGACGTGGGCAAGTTTGGAACTTCCTAGAGACTTGATGAATGGCTTTGACCAAAATGCCGATAGTGATACAGACAATAAAGTCCAGGCTGATGTGCTCTCAGATGGAGATGAAGAGCTTGTTGGGAACTGGAGCAAAGGTGACTCTTGCTACGCTTTAGTAGAGACTGGTGCCATTTTGCCCCTGCCCTAGAGATCTGTGGAACTTTGAACTTGAGAGAGATGATTTAGTGCATCTGGCAGAAGAAATTTCTAAGCAGCAAAGCATTCAAGGGGTGATTTGGGTGCTGTTAAAAGCATTCAGTTTTATGTAATCACAAAGATATCATTTGGAATTGAAACATGATTAAAAGGGAAGCAGAGCATAAACTTTCAGAAAATTTGCAGCTCAAAGATGC